>NC_000011.10:65811198-67097322 GCF_000001405.40 Homo sapiens | reverse complement strand
CCAACGAAGGGTGCATCGTCGAGCAAGTCACTGCAGTGGCTGCTGGTGCTGCCTGGCTGGACACCTCTGGGAGACAGTGTAGAAGGGGACTCCACATTTTCCTTATCCACCCGCTGCCACCTGCCATTGGTTGTGGGCTGCTTCCAGAGGCTGTTGGCTCCCTGGCACACTCACTGCCCCATGTGTGTGCAGAGTCAGTGGCCTGAGCAACCCCTGGTCAGAGACACAGAATCGGGACTGCCAACGGCCCGTGGTAGGCACCACATCCAGAGCTACAGAGGGCAATGGAGAGTTCTGGAGAGTTCTTTGGATGCTCTGAGAGAACTAGGGTAGGGTATGGTGGGCACCAGAAAAAAAAAAAAAGTTCAGTTTGAGAGAATGTCAGACTTAGTGACATCCTTTACCAAGGCTTTCTAGGGATCATGGGCATTGAGTTTGAACTTGCAGATGTGGGAAGGAAAGCCCGCTGGAAACAAAAACCTCCTGTGCCACATCCCACTGCAAGAGCCAGCCTGCTGGGAGGCAGCCTGCTGGGCTCTAAGGCAGAGTTGGGAGGGCAGGAGGCAGGTGAGTGGAGGTCCCTGGTAGCAGTGTCTCCCGGCCTCCCTGCTCCCATGGGGCCCCTGCAGCCACCAGCCTGGCTCCACCCAAAGCCAAAGATGCCCCTTATTTATTATTATTATTATTATTATTATTATTATTATTATTATTGACACAGTCTCGCTCTGTCACCCCAGGCTGGAGTGCAGTGGTATGATCTCCGCTTACTGCAAACTCAGCCTCCTGGGTTCAAGTGATTCTCCTGCCTCAGCCTCCCGAGTAGCTGGGATTACAAGTGCCTGCCACGACCCCTGGCTAATTTTTGTATTTGTAGTAGAGACAGGGTTTTGCCATGTTGGCCAGGCTGGTCTTGAACTCCTGACCTCAGGTGATCTGCTCGCCTCGGCTTCCCAAAGTGCCAGGATTATAGGCATGAGCCACCACGCCCGGCCAATGTGCCCTTTCTTTTTCTTTTGCTTTCTTTTTTTTGAGACGGACTTTCGCTCTTGTTGCCCAGGCTGGAGTGCAATGGCGTGATCTTGGCTCACTGCAATATTTGCCTCCTGGGTTCAAGCGATTCTCCTGCCTCAGCCTCCCGCGTAGCTGGGATTACAGGCATATGCCACCACACCCAGCTAATTTTGTATTTTTAGTAGAGGTGGGGTTTCGCCATGTTGGTCAGGCTGGTCTCAAACTCCCGACAGGTGATCCGCCTACCTTGGCTTGGCTTCCCAAAATGTTGGGATTATAGGCATGAGCCACCACGCCTGGACTTCCTTTTTTTTTTAGAGAAAGGGTCTCGTTTTTTCACCCAGACTGGAGTGCAGTGGCGTGACCATAGCTCACTGTAGCCTCAAACTTTTGGGCTCAGGTGATCCTCTTGCCTCAGCCTCGAGGAGCTGGGACTACAGGTGCACTTCAGAGAGAGAGCCCCAGCCAGGGGCTAAGGTACCTTTCCTTTAACCTCCTCACAGGTCACACCTATATGGGCCAGGACCTTGCAGAGGTTGCAGCTAAGAAGCAGGGGCCAGAGGGTGGCCTGCTGCAGGAAGGCGGCTACCTAGTTACTGATCCCTAGTTACTCACGGGGGTGAGGGTCCCATTCTCCCCTGAACCCCCAGCAGTGTCCCCTGCAGTGTGAGCACTTCTCCGGAGAGGACAGTTTCTGCCCCAGTACTCACGCTGCAACTGACTAGCAGCTTCAGGGGACAGGGCAGGGAGAGGGGCAGGGTCGACCCTTGCTGCTTAGGTGAGAGGTCTTCATCCTGAACCCTGCTTGTCTTCACCCTGAGCGGGTGCTGGAGCATCATCCATCCAGAGAGGTCTGCAGGTCCCTCCAGCCCATCCTGCACATCCCACCACTGCTCTCACTCCTGCTCCAGGATCAGCCCAGCTGTGAAAATTCTCCAGTGTCCCCTCACCTGGCTCAGCCCTAAATCTTTCCCTCACTTCCACCACAATCCTAGCATCCCAAGCCCCATGCATAGCTGACCACAGACCACTGCCTTGTGAGCCTGGACTGGAGCAAACTTCAGCTAGAGGCACAGGGAAGGTCAGGTTTTGGGCACATGTAGGGGAGCAGTGGCCCTTCCAGCTGGTGGACAGCTGTTCCTGGTGTCCCTGCAGGTGCCTGGGCCTCTAGCATGCTGGCCTGGCAATCCTACCCCACCCCACCCCCGCCCCCTGGCGGGCTTTTAATACCTGGCATAATCTCTTCTGCTGATGCAGCTGGTTTTAAGGTGGGAAGAGGGGCCAGTGAACTTGGAGAAGCTTGGGAGCTGCTCTGCCTGCAGCCCAGAGACCCAGGACGGGTGGGCAAAGGAAACTTGAGCGAACAGGCACCAGGTGGGAAAAATGCGTGAGCAAATCTATTTTTTTTTTTTTTCTGAGACAGAGTCTCCCTGTGTCACCCAGGCTGGAGTGCAGTGGCGTGATCTCTGCTCACTGCAAGCTCCGCCTCCCAGGTTCAGGCCATTCTCCTGCCTCAGCCTCCCAAATAGCTGGGACTACAGGCACCTGCAACCACGCCCGGCTAATTTTTTTGTATTTTTAGTAGAGACGGGGTTTCACCATGTTAGCCAGGATGCTCTTGATCTCCTGACCTCGTGATCCGCCTGCCTCGGCCTCCCAAAGTGCTGGGATTACAGGCATGAGCCATCGCGCCTGGTCTGCATGAGCAAATCTAAAGCTATCAGGGGCTTTCTTTCTTTCTTTCCTTCTTTCCTTCTTTTCCTTCCTTCCTGCCTTCCTTCCTTCCTTCCTCCCTCCCTCCCTTCCTCTTTCTCTCTCTTTTCATTCGTTCTTTCTCTCTCTTTCCCTTCCTTCCTTTTCCCTCTCTCTCCCTCCTTCCTTTTCTCCCTCCCTTCTCCCCTCCCTCCCTCCCTCCCTTCTTTTTTTTTTTTTTTTTGAGACGGAGTCTCGCTCTGTTGCCCAGGCTGGAGTGCAGTGGCGTGTCTCGGCTCACTGCAAGCTCCGCCTCCTGGGTTCACGCCATTCTCCTGTCTCAGCCTCCCAAGTAGCTGGGACTACAGGTGCTGGCCACCATGCCTGGCTAATTTTTTGTATTTTTAGTAGAGATGGGGTTTCACCATGTTAGCCAGGATGGTCTCAATCTCCTGACCTCGTGATCTGCCCACCTTGGCCTCCCAAAGTGCTGGGATTACAGGTGTGAGCCACCACGCCTGGCTTTTTTTTTTTTTTTGAGACAGAGTCTTGCTCTGTTGCCCAGGCTGGAGGGCAGTGGCACGATCTCTGGTCACTGCAACCTCCACCTCCTGGGTTCAAGCGATTCTCCTGCCTCAGCCTCCCTAGTAGGTGGGAGCACACCCCACCATGCTCCACTAATTTTTGTATTTTTAGTAGAGACGGGGTTTCACCATGTTGGCCAGGCTGGTCTCAAACTCCTGACCTCAAGCAATCCGCCCGCCTCAGCCTCCCAAAGTGCTGGGATTACAGGCGTGAGCCACCGTGCCCGGCTTGGCTGTTTGCATTTCTATTGTCAGCTGCCAGCTGAGGTTTGTTTAAACCTCAGGAGGTATCCCCTGGTTCAAGTGGGTTACTGCTCCACCCAGGACTAGAATTTCACAAGTAGGTGTGCGTTGCACCCATCCTATAGGTCTTGCCTGGAATTGGGGCAGTTCACATCTTACGCTGCACACATGCATTTACTGAGCAGTGCTCTGCACTGAGGGAGGCAGATGGGTTGCTATTGGGTCTCTGGGACCTACCCTCAGCCAGTATGCCATCTAGGTACCAGTAGGGGCAGCCCTCAGGTGGCCCACCCAGCCAGGTCCTACTCTTGGGATTTCACCTGACTACTACTGTAATTTCTGGTGGCTACTTTGATTTTTCTTTTTTTGAGACGGAGTCTCACTCTATTGCCAGGCTAGAGTGCTGTGGCACGATCTCAGCTCACTGCAACCTCTGACTCCCTGGTTCAAGCGATTGTCCTGCCTCAGCCTCCCGAGTAGCTGGGACTACTGGCGCATGTCACCACGCCCAGCGAATTTTTTTGTATTTTTAGTAAAGATGGGGTTTCACCATGTTGGCCAGGATGGTCTCAATCTCCTGACCTTGTGATCCACCCGCCTTGGCATCCTAAAGTGCTGGGATCACGGGCCTGAGCCACTGCGCCTGGCCTGATTTTTTAAATAACCATTCTACTTTAGAACAGTTCTAGATTTGCAGGAAAAGTATGTTTCTATATAGCCCTGCACCAAGTTTCCCCTATTATTAATATCTCAGATTACTGTGGTACGTGTGTTACAAGTAATGATACATGGCTGGGCGTGGTGGCTCACGCCTGTAATCCCAGCACTTTGGGAGGCCAAGGCGGGCAAATCACTTGAGGTCAGGAGTTCCAGACCAGCCTGGCCAACATGGTGAAACTCTATCTCTACTAAAAATATAAAAAATTAGCCAGTCACGGTGGCGCACGCCTATAATCCCAGCTACTCAAGAGGCTGAAGCAGGCTGGACACGGTGGCTCACGCCTGTAATCCTAGCACTTTGGGAGGCCAAGGCCGGCGGATCACGAGGTCAGGAGATCGAGACCATCCTGGCTAATATGGTGAAACATCCTCTCTACTAAAAATACAAAAAATTAGCTGGGCGTGGTGGTGGGCGCCTGTAGTCCCAGCTACTCGGGAGGCTGAGGCAGGAGAATGGCATGAACCCGGGAGGCAGAGCTTGCAATGCCACTGCACTCCAGCCTGGGTGACAGAGCAAGACTCCGTCTCAAAGGCAAAAAAAAAAAAAGAGAGGCTGAGGCAGGAGAACCTCTTGAACCTGGGAGGTGGAGCTTGCCATGAGCCGAAATTGCACCACTGCACTCCAGCCTGGGCGAAAGAGTGAGACTCTGTCTCAAAAACAAACAAATAAACAAAGAAAAAGGAAAAACAAGTAATGATACATACAATATTGACACATTATTTTTAATTAAAGATCATACTTTACAAACTAACACAGGAACAGAAAACCAAACATCGCATGTTCTCACTCCTAAGTGGGAGTTGAACAATGAGAACACATGGACACAGGGAGGGGAACATCCCACACCGGAGCCTGTCGGGGAGTGGGGGACAAGGGGAGGGAGAGCATTAGGACAAATATCTTTTTTTTTTTTTTGAGATGGAGTTTCACTCTCGTAACCCAGGCTGGAGTGCAATGGTGTGATCTTGGCTCACTGCAACCACTGCCTCCCAGGATCAAGCGATTCTCCTGCCTCAGCCTCCCGAGTAGCTGGGATTACAGGCATGCACCACCACCTCCGGCTAATTTTGTATTTTTAGTGGAGACAGGGTTTCTCCATGTTGGTCAGGGTAGTTTCGAACTCCCAACCTCAAGTGATCCGCCTGCCTCGGCCTCCCAAAGTGCTGGGATTACAGGTGTGAGCCACCACGCCTGGCTTAGGACAAGTATCTAATGCATGCGGGGCTTAAAACCTTGTTGATAGGCGCAGCAAACTACCATGGCACATGTATACTTACGTAACAAACCTGCACGTTCTGCACATGTATCCCAGAACCTAAAGTAAACAAAACAAAACAAAAGAATACTTTATTCTGATTTCCTTAGTTTTTGTTTGTTTTGTTTTTTTGAGACGGAGTTTTGCTCTTGTTGCCCAGTCTGGAGTAAAATGGCACAACCTTAGCTCACTGCATCCTCTGCCTCCCAGGTTCAAGGATTCTCCTGCCTCAACCTCCCAAGTAGCTGGGATTACAGGCATGTGCCACCATGTCCAGCTAATTTTTGTATTTTTAGTAGAGACGGGGTTTCTCTATGTTGGCCAGGCTGGTCTCGAACTCCCAACCTCAGGTGATCCTCCCGCCTCGGCCTCCCAAAGTGCAGGGATTACAGGCGTGAACCACTGTGCCCAGCTTGATTTCCTTAGTTTTTTTTTTTTGTTTTTTTGAGACGGAGTCTTGCTCTGTTGCCCCGGCTGGAGTGTAGTGGTGCGATCTCAGTTCACTGTAAGCTCCGCCTCCCGTGTTCATGCCATTCTCCTGCCTCAGCCTCCCGAGTAGCTGGGACTACAGGTGCCTGCTGCCACGCCCTGCTAATTTTTTGTATTTTTAGTACAGACAGCGTTTCACTGTGTTAGCCAGGATGGTCTTGATCTCCTGACCTCAGGTGATCCGCCCGCCTCGGCCTCCCAAAGTGCTGGGATTACAGGCGTGAGCCACTGCGCCCGGCCTGATTTCCTTAGTTTTAATCTAATGTCCTTTTCTGTGCCAGAATCCCATTCAGGACACCACATCGATGGCATTGAGTTGTCATGTCTCCTTAGGTTTCTCTTGGCTGTGATGGTGTCTCAGACTCTCCTGGTTGTTGTTTTTTGAGACATGGTCTGAGGCTGGAGTGCAATGGTGCGATCACGGCTCACTGTAGCGTTAACCTCCTGGCTCAGGCAGTCCTCCCACCTCAGCCTCCTGGGACTGAGGTTTGAGCTACAATACCAGGCTAATTTTGTTTGTAGAGACAGGGTCTCACCACATTGCAGAGACTGCTGGTCTTGAACTCCTGTCCTCAAGCAGTCTTCCCACTTCGGCCTCCCAAAGTTCTGGGATTATAGGCATCAGTCACTGCTCCTGGCCTTTTCCTTGTTTTTGATAACCTTGACAGTTTTGAGGACTGGTCAGATTTGTACAATGCCCCTTAATTGGATCTGTCTGGTATTTTTCTCATTATTAGACAAGGATTGTGGGATTTTAGGAGGAAGATCACAGAGGTAAATTGCTTTGGTTAACTTATCTTTTTTTTTTTTTTTTTGAGTCTTGCTCTGTCACCCAGGCTGGAGTGCAGTGGTGCGATCTTGGCTCACTGCAAGCTCCGCCTCTCAGGTTCACGCCATTCTCCTGCCTCAGCCTCCTGAGTAGCTGGGACTACAGGCGCCTGCCACCACGCCTGGCTAATTTTTCTTTTCTTTTCTTTTTTTTTTTTGTATTTTTAGTAGAGACAGGGTTTCACCGTGTTAGCCAGGATGGTCATGATCTCCTGACCTCATGATCCGCCCGCCTGGGCCTCCCACAGTGCTGGGATTATAGGCATGAGCCACTGCAGCCGGCAACTTTTCTTTTTTATTTTATTTATTTATTTATTTTTTTTTTGAGATGGAGTCTTGCTCTGTCACCCAGGCTGGAGTGCAGTGGCATGATCTTGGCTCACTGCAAGCTCCACCTCCTGGGTTCATGACATTCTCCTGCCTCAGCCTCCCCAGCAGCTGGGACTACAGGCGCCCACCACCATGCCCGGCTAATTTTTTTGTATTTTTAGTAGAGACGGGGTTTCTCCATGTTAGCCAGGATGGTCTCGATCTCCTGACCTCATGATCTGCCCTCCTCGGCCTCCCAAAGTGCGGGGATTACAGGCCTGAGCCACCGCGCCGCCCGGCCAAGTTTTCTTTTTTTTAAAAAAATTATTATTATTTTTTGGGATGGAGTCTCACTCTGTCATCCAGGCCGGAGTGCAGTGGCTTAGTCTTGGCTCACTGCAACCTCCGCCTCCCGGGTTCAAGCAATTCTCCTGCCTCAGTCTCCTGAGTAGCTGGGATTACAGGTGCCCACCACCATGCCCAGCTAATTTTTCGTATTTTTAGTAGAGACAGGGTTTCACCATGTTGGCCAGGCTAGTCTCAAACTCCTGACCTCAGGTGATCCACCCACCTCAGCCTCCCAGAATGCTGGGTTACAGGCATAAGCCACTATGCCTGGCCCTGGTTACCTTTTCATATAAAAATCAAGTTGTCGGCCGGGTGCGGTGGCTCACGCCTGTAATCCTAGCACTCTGGGAGGCCGAGGCAGGCAGATCACGAAGTCAGGAGTTCGATACCAGCCTGACCAACGTCGTGAAACCTTCTTTCTACTAAAAATACAAAAATTAGCTGGGCATGGTGGCTAACCCCTGTAATCCCAGCTACTCGGGAGGGTGAGACAGGAGAATTGCTTGAACCCGGGAGGCGGAGGTTGCAGTGAGCCAAGATCAAGCCACTGCACTCCAGCCTGGGTGACAGAGCGAGACACTGTCTTGGAGGAAAAAAAAAATACCCAGCTTGGCGGGCGTGGTGGCTCATGCCTCTAATCCCAGCACCTTGGGAGGCCGAGGTGGGTGGAGAAACCCCATCTCTACTAAAAATACAAACATTAGCCAGTGTGGTGGTGCATGCCTGTTATCTCAGCTAGTCCAGAGCTGATGCAAGAGAATCGCTTGAGCCCGGGAGGCGGAGGTTGCAGTGAGCTGAGATCCCGCCACTGCACTCCAGCCTGGGTTACAGAGCAAGAATCCATCTCAAAAAACAAAACAAAAGAAAAACAACAAAAAACAACCAGCTTATTGGGGTTTGTTTTGTTTTTGTTGTTGTTTTAGACGAAGTTTCGCTCTTGTTGCCCAGGCTGGAGCGCGATGGCGCGATCTCCGCTTATGGCAACCACTGCCTCCCAGGTTCAAGTGATTTTCCTAATTATGGCCACTGGGTTGGCCATAATGATCTGATCTTGATCAGACAATGAATCAATGTATCTAAAACCAGGGGTGTCATTGGAAAATTCAGTAAGTTTTTTATGTAAAACCTTTGTCCTGGTCCGGGCGTGGTGGCTCACACCTGTAATCCCAAAACTTTGGGAAGCCAAGGGGGGCAGATCACTTGATGGCAGGAATTTGAGACCAGCCTAGCCAACCTGGGGAAGCCCTGTCCCTACCAAAAATAAAAAAATTAGCCAGGTGTGGTGGTGTGTGCCTGTAGTCTCAGCTACTCTGGAGGCTGAGGTGGAAAATCACTTGAACCCGGGGGGTGGAGGTTGCAGCGAGCTGAGATCGCGCCACTGCACTCCAGCCTGGGCGACAGAGACCCTGTCTCAAAAAACAAAAGAATATTTTAAAATTTTTAAATAGAAATAAAAATAACTGGGCGCGGTGGCTCACGCCTGTAATCTCAGCATTTTGGGAGGCGGAGTCGGGCAGATCACTTGAGGCCAGGAGTTTGAGACCAGCCTGGCCAACAAGGCAAAACCCTGTCTCTACTAAAAATATAAATAAATTAGCCAGGTGTGGTGGTGGGTGCCTGTAATCTCATCTACTTGGGAGGCTGACGTGGGAGAATTGCTTGAACCCGGGAGGCGGAGGTTGCAGTGAGCCGAGATAGTGCCACTGCACTTCAGCCTGGGCGACAGAGTGAGACTCCCTCTCAAAACAACAACATCAACAAAATAAATAAACAAACAAACCTTTGTCCTGGATCCCCTTTAACAATTCTGAGACCAAATGTAGTGGATCACGCCTATAATCCCAGCACTTTGGGAGACCAAGGTGGGAGGATTGCTTGAGGCTAGCAGTTTGAGACCAGCCTGGGCAATATGATCTCTACAAATTTTTTGTTTTTTAGACATAGTCTCGCTCTGTCACTCAGGCTGGAGTGCTTGATCTTGGCTCACTGCAACCTCCGCCTCCTGGAGTCAAGCGATTCTCGTGCCTCAACCACCCAAATAGCTAGGATTACAGGCACACGCCACCACACTGGGCTAATTTTTATATTTTTAGTAGAGATTGGGTTTCTGCATGTTGGCCAGGCTGGTCTGGAACTCCTGGCCTCGAGGGGGATGTGCCCGCCTCAGCCTTCCAAAGTGCTGGGATTGCAGGTGTGAGCCACCACACCCAGCCTACAAAAAAAAATTTTTTTTAATTAGTTGGGTGGACGGGCGCGGTGGCTCACACTTGTAATCCCAGCACTTTGGGAGGCCAAGGCGGGTGGATAACTTGAGGTCAGTAGTTTAAGACCAGCTTGGCCAACATGGTGAAACCTCATCTCTACTAAAAATACAAAAATTAGCTGAGCGTGGTGGCACTTGCCTGTAATCCCAGACTCCATCTAAAAACAAACAAACAAACAAACAAACAAATGGCCGGGTGCAGTGGCTCACACCTGTAATCCCAACACTTTGGGAGGCTGAGGCGGGTGAGTCACCTGAAGAGTTCAAGCCCAAAATGGCAAAACCCTGTGTCTACCAAAAAGACAAAAATTAGCTGGGTGTGGTGGTGGGTGCCTGTAATCCCAGCTACTCAGGAGACTGAGGCAGAAGAATCACTTGAACTCGGAAGGCAGAGATTGCAGTCAGTCGAGATCACACTACTGCACTCCAGCGTGGGCAACAGAGCAAGACTCTGTCTAAAAAATATATATATATACTATTTTTAAATGTTTTCCAGTTTTTCTCTTACTTCTTTTTTTTTTTTTTTTTGAGATGGAGTCTTGCCCTGTCGCCCAGGCTGGAGCGCAGTGGCGCGATCTCAGCTCACTGCAAGCTCCACCTCCCAGGTTCACGCCTTTCTCCTGCCTCAGCCTCCCGAGTAGCTGGGACTACAGTCGCCCACCACCACGCCCGGCTAATTTTTTGTATTTTTAGTAGAGACGGGGTTTCACCGTGTTAGCCAGGATGGTCTTGATCTCCTGATCTCGTGATCCACCCGCCTTGGCCTCCCAAAGTGCGGGGATTACAGGCATGATCCACTGCGCCCGGCCTCTCTTACTTTTTTTTTGTTTTTATTTATTTATTTATTTATTTTTATTTTTTTTTTGAGACGGAGTCTTGCTCTGTCGCCAGGCTGGAGTGCAGTGGCGCAGTCTCGGCTCACTGCAACCTCTGCCTCCTGGGTTCAAGCAATTCTCCTGCCTCAGCCTCCCGAGTAGCTGGGATTACAGGCACGCACCACCATGCCCGGCTATTTTTGTATTTTTAGTAGAGATGGGGTTTCACCATGTTGGCCAGGCTGGTCTTGAACTCCTGACCTTGTGATCCGCCCGCCTCGGCCTCCCAAAGTGCTAGGATTACAGGCTTGAGCCACTGCGCCCGCCCTTTTCTTTTGTTTTTAAATGACAGGATCTTAGTCTGTCACCCAGGCTGGAGTATAGTAGCGCAATCATAGTTCATTATAACCTTGAATTCCTGGGCTCAAGTGATCCTCTCACCTCAGCCTCCCGAGTAGCTGGTACTACAGACACGTGCCACCCTGACTGGCTGATTTTTAAAAAAATATTTTGTACAGATGGGGGTCTCCCTATGTGTCTACACTGGTCTCCAGTTCCTGGCCTCAAGCGATCCTCCTGCTTTGGCCTCCCAAAGGGCTGGGATTATGGGCATGCCCCGCCATGCCTGACCTGAATTTCTCTTTAATATAGGATCTGAACCAATGAGAGCTCTTAAGAAGCTTCAGACATCAAAAAGGGCTTGTTAATTTCAGCAGAAAAGAGCCTTGTGGGAAGGCTATCTGATCACTCTGAGTCAGTGACAGGGCTGGTAGCAGGCCCCCACAGCCTGGGTTACAGACCACTGGACACTGTGGACCTGCTGTCCCCATCCATGGCCTGAACACATTGTGCGTTCTGGGACCATCCAGACTGGATTCAAATCCTAAATGTCCCTTGTCAGCTTGTGATTTTTGGACAAATTTTTTAACCCCTCTGCCCCTCAGCAGTTTTCTCATCTGTAAAATGGGGCTGCTGATAACTGTACCTACGTTGCAGGGTGGACATGAAGGTTTAATGAGTTAGTATTCGAAGTGTTGTTGCAGAAGAAATGAGGGTTAAAAATAATTTTTTTTTGAGTTGGAATTTTGCTCTTGTTGCCCAGGCTGGAGTGCAGTGGCAGGATCTCGGCTCACGGCAAACTCCACCTCCTGGGTTCAAGAGATTCTTCTGCCTCAGCCTCCCGAATAGCTGGAATTACAGTCACGCGCCACTATGCTCAGCTAATTTTTGTATTTTTAGTAGAGACAGGATTTTCCCATATTGGCCAGTCTGGTTTCGAACTCCTGACCTCAGGCGATCCACCCTTGGCCTCTGAAAGTGATGGGATTACAGGCGGGAGCCACCGCACCCAGCCTATTTATTTATTTATTTATTTATTTACTCATTTATTTATTGAGACAGAGTCTTGCTCTGTCGCCCAGGCTGGAGTGCAGTGGTGCAATCTTGGCTCACTGCAACCTCTGCCTCCTGGGTTCAAGCGATTCTCCTGCCTCAGCCTCCCAAGTAGCTAGGATTACAGGCACACGCCACCATGCCCAGGTAATTTTTGTATTTTTAGTAGAGACAGGGTTTCACCATGTTGGCCAGGCTGACCTCAGGCAATCCGCCTGCCTCGGCCTCCCGAAGTGCTGGGATTACAGGCGAGCACCACCACGCCCGGCTTTTGTTTTATTTGTTGAGATGGAGTCTCACTCTGTCACCCAGGCCGGAGTGCAATGGCGCCATCTCATCTCACTGCAACCTCCACCTCCCGGGTTCAAGCGATTCTCCTGCCTCAACTTCCCGAGTAGTGGGGATTATAGGCATGCGCCACCACGCCCGGCTGGTTTTTGTATTTTTTGTAGAGACGGGGTTTCACCATGATGGCCAGGCTGGTGTCGAACTCCTGACCTAAAGTGATCCTCCCGCCTCAGCCTCCCAAAGTGTTGGGATTACAGGCATGAGCCACCACACCCGGACTAAACATTATATTAAAAAAAAAAAAAGTGTTGCACGGGGCTCATGCCTATAATCTCAACACTTTGGGAGGCTGAGGCAGGAGGATTGCTTGAGTCCAGGAATTTGAGACCAGCCTGGGCAACACAGTGGGTCCTTGTCTCTCAAAAAAAAAAAAAAAAAAAAAAAAATTAGCCAGGCATGGTGGTATGCTCCTCTAAGTCCAAGCTACTCAGGATGCTGAGGTGAGAGGACCGCTTGAGCCCAGGAGGTTGGGACTTCAGTGAGCTGTGATTGAACCACTGCACTCCATCCTGGACAACAGAGTGAGATCCTGTCTCAAAAAAGTGGCAGACATGTAGTAAGCACTATATATTTTTTTTTCTTGAGACGGAGTTTCACTCTTGTCGCCCAGGCTGGAGTGCAGTGGCACCATCTCAGTTCACTGCAACCTCCGCCTCCCAGGTTGAAGGGATTCTCCTGCCTCAGCTTCCCGAGTAGCTGGGATTACAGGCACAGGACACCATTCCCGGTTAATGTTTTGCATTTTTTAGTAGAGATGAGGTTTCAGGCCTCGTCTTGGCCAGGCTAGTGTCGAACTCCTGACCTCAGGTGATCCACCCACTTCAGCCTCCCAAAGTGCTGAGATTACAGGCGTGAGCCACCGTGCCTGGCAGGAGATTCATTTTTACCACAAATCTTAGCAACTTCAGCTTTTGATTTTTTTGTTTCTTTAAGTTGAGAACTTTCACCTTTTCAGTGAAAGGAAGCTCTCTACAGTTTCTCTTTGGCATATCAGAATTGCCAGCATCACTACTCTTGTGCCCTGGGGCCACTGTTAAATACAGTAAGGGTTACTTGAAACCAGCACTGCCATACCACAGTGGATCCCAACCAAGCCAGCTACTAAGTAACTGATGTAATGATTCCACACTAACTAATAGGTAGTGTCTACCAGGAAGGATGGAGTGGGAATTGGGGAGATGTCATCACGCTACTCAGAATGATGTGCAGTTAAACTTACGGCCAGGCTTGGTGGCTCACACCTGCAATCCCAGCACTTTGGAGGCCGAGGTGGGGGGATCACCTGAGGTCAGGAGTTTAAGATCAGCCTGACCAACATGGCAAAACCCTGTCTCTACTAAAAATACAAAAAGTAGCTGGCCATGGTGGCACATGCCTGTAATCCCAGCTACTTGGGAGGCTGAGGCAGAAGAATCGCTTGAACCCGGGAGGCAGAGGTTGCAGTGAGTGGAGATCACACCACTGCACTCCAGCCTGGGCAACAGAGTGAGACTGTGTCTCAAAAAAAAAAAAAAAGAATTGTTTATTTCTAGAATTTTCCATTTAATAGTTTTGGGCCAAGGTTAACCATGGGTAAATAAAACTGTGGAAAAGGAAGGATAATTCATTTAGGAGGAGATCCCGGGTAGGAGGAGTGAGGGAGGGAGGGGGAGAAGGAAATGGGGAAAGAGAAGCTCACGTATTCTGTTAATGCCCTAGGTGAAGGCTGCGCGTGGACTCTGCTGAGACCCTCCAAGATGTGATCAGAGTGGTATGACTTCCTCCTGGATGGTGGGCCTGAGGACAGCGGGGAGGGGAGGATGTAGGTGAGGGGATTGGGAACTTTCAGGGAGATGGTCCTGGGGGATGTGATGAGTGACAAAGGTATAAAATATTCTTGGCAGGCCGAGCGTGGTGGCACACGTCTGTAATACCAGCTACTCCAGAGGCTGAGACAGGAGAATCGTTTGAACCAGGAAGGCAGAGGTTGCAGTGAGCCAAGATCTCAACACTGCACTCCAGCCTGGGCGACAGAGCAAGACTCTGTTTCAAAAAAGGAAAGAAAAAAATTCTTGGCCAAGCGAGGTGGCTCATGCCTGTAATCCCAGCACTTTGGGAGGCCGAGGTGGGTGGATCACCTGAGGTCAGGAGTTCGAGACCAGCCTGGACAACATGGTGAAACCCCATCTCTACTAAAAATACAAAAATTAGCCGGGCATGGTGGCATGTGCCTATAATCCCAGCTACTGGGGAGGCTGAGGCAGGAGAATCTCTTGAACCCAGGAGGCGGAGGTTGCGATGAGCTGAGGTCGCACCACTGCACTCCAGCCTGGGCAACAAGAGCGAAACTGTCTTAAAAAAAGAAAAAAAAAATTAGCCAGGCATGTTGGCACACGCCTGTGGTCCCAGCTACTCAGGAAACTGAGGCGGGAGGATCGCTGCAGCCCGGGGAGTTTGAGGTTATAGTGAGCTAGGATAGCGCCACTGCACTCCACCCTCGGTGACAGAGTGAGATTCTGTCGCTAAAAATAAAAAATTCTTTATCAGGCCATTTCTTTTTTGATTCTCAACAGAGGTGTTGGGGTGGGGAAGTGAAAAGAACTGGAGAGCTGGGAGTGTCTGAAGAGGCTGGGCTGGGCCAGACAGAAGCTCCTGAGAGGTGTCACCTCTTGGCATTGTGGAGGCAGCAGCCCTTCGCTGTTGGGAGGACGAGGAGGAGTTCACAGCTCCGAAATGTTTCCCAGTGCCCCACACGGGGGTTGGGTCTCTGCATGGGTTTGTTCTCCAGCAGGAAGGTCCCGCCGGCCATCCAGCCTGCCCCGCAGGGTCCTCCAGCTCCACCCCTTCTCTGGCAATCCTCCAGGATTATTCTGGCCACACGCAGTGGGGTGTGCCCCCTGGTGCCTGCCCATAGCACCTCTCTTTCTGGGATCCCTCTCTCGGGGTTCCTTAACACTCTTAAGTATTTTGATCATCTCCCTGAACTGCGTTGCAAATTCTGGGGTGGGGTCAGGAGAGAACAGCAGTGGTGCTCTTACTGCGCTTCCCACGTTTGATCTCACTCCAGCCAGGCCCGCCTGACGCTTGACAAGAATCCTGCCAGTTGGTAGGTGCAGGGGAGGGATTCAAACCCGCATCTCTCTGACCTTAGAACCACAACTGATTCAGGAGAGCATGATTCTCTTTTGGGTCTTTCTAGACTAACTGAATGGTCAACTTACTCAGCCACTCTGAGCCCCAGTTTTATTTCTGTAAAATGTTGGTGGGGCGGGCAGGGCTCAGTGGGTGGGGCTGGTGGCAGTTGTGTGTTGCTAAACATGCCCCAGGCAGGAGCGATGGGGCAGATCGCCACACCTGCCCCATGGGCCTCGCGAGGAGTGGGGAAGGCACCTCTCCTTGGGCCCTGCTGCCCTCTGGTGGTCGAGGTCCAGCACCTGGACAGTACCCAGGGGAGGCCAGGAGCTGAGGCTGAGAGTTGGGGTCCTGTGTCCAAGCGCCCAGCTTTGCCACTCACTGCTTTTGATCCTGCCTTTTATCTTTCTTATTTTTTTCTGTTCCACTAATTTTTTTTTTTTTGAGACAGAGTCTCACTCTGTCACCCAGGCTGGAGTGCAGTGGTGCAATCTTGGCTCACTGCAACCTCCACCTCCCAGGTTCAAGCAATTTTCCTGCCTCAGCCTCCCGAGTAGCTGGGATTACAGGTGTGCGCCACCACACCCGGCTAAGTTTTGTATTTTTAGTAGAGGTGGGGTTTCACCATGTTGGTCAGGCTGGTCTGGAACTCCTGACCTTGTGATCTGCCCGCCTTGGCCTCCCAGAGTGCTAGGATTACAGGCATGAGCCACCGCTCCCAGCCTGTTCCACTAATTTTTTAAAAATGTACCAGCCTTGGCAACATAGTGGACCCTATCTCTACAAAAAAAATTTTAAAATTAGCCAGCTGGAGGCCGGACATGGTGGCTCATGCCTGTAATCCCAGCACTTTGGGAGGCTGAGGCGGGCGGATCACGAGGTCAGGAGATCGAGACCATGCTGGCTAACATGGTGAAACCCTGTCTCTACTAAAAATACAAAAAATCAGCCGGGCGTGGTGGCGGGTGCCTGTAGTCCCAGCTACTTGGGAGGCTGAGGCAGGAGGATGGCGTGAACCCAGGAGGCAGAGCTTGCAGCGAGTTGCCGAGATCATACCACTGCACTCCAGCCTGGGTGACAGAGCTAGACTCCATCTCAAAAAAAAAAAAAAGAAAAAAAAAAAGCCTGCTGTGGTGGTCTGAGCCTGTGATCCCAGCTACTCAGGTGGCTGAGGCGGGAGGATCGCTTGAGCCCAGGAGGTCGTGGCTGCAGTGAGCAGCGACCCTGCCACTGCACTCCAGCCTGGATGACCGAATGAGACCTTGTCTCAAAAATAAAAAATACTTTGTGTGTGTGTGTGTGTGTGTGTATGTGTGTGTGTGTGTGGAGATAGTGTCTTCCTATGTTGCCCAGGCTGGTCTCAAATTCCTGGGCTCAAGCAATCCTCCCACCTTGGCCTCCCAAAGTGCTAGGATTATAGGCATGAGCCACTGTGCCTGGCCTAACCCTGTTTTAGCTGAGCTCCTCCTGTTTGTCTCAATGGCAGGAGCTGGCACCCACACTTGTGGGTTGCTGAGTGAATGTGGCACACTCCCCTCCCCTGCTGGTTGTATCCACATCTGAGCTCCCACGGAGGATGGAAGATGGAAGCTTGGAAGGCAAGGACCACATCCTGCTCTCCTCACCTCTGCACCCTGCCTCCTGCGCTTGGTGCTCAGTAGACACAGTGCCTAGAGCAGGGCCTGTGGTGGCATGCGCTGTGTAGTCCCAGCTACTTGGGAGGCAGAGGCAGGAGGATCACTTGAGCCCAGGAGGTCGAGGCTTCAGTGAGCAGAGACTGTGCCACTGCACTCCAGCCTGGATGACAGAGTGAGACCCTGGCTCAAAAAGAAGTAAAGGCTGGGTGTGGTGGCTCACGCCTGTAATCCCAGCACTTTGGGAGGCCGAGGCAGGTGGATCACCTGAGGTCAGGAGTTCTAGACCAGCCTGGCCAACATGGTGAAATCCCGTCTCTACTAAAAATACAAAAGTTAGCTGGGAGTGGTGGTGGGTGCCTGTAATCCCAGCTACTTGGGAGGCTGAAGCAGGAGAATCGCTTGAACCTGGGAGGCGGAGATTGCAGTGAGCTGAGATCACACCATTGCAGCCTGGGCAACAAAAGCGAAACTCGGTCTCAAAAAAACAAAAACAAAATCAAAAAACCATAAATAAATAAAAATTAAAAAATTTTTTGGTAGGAGCTGATACTACACATTTCCTAATCAAACGTATTAACATTGTCAGCCCTGGGCTGAGCACTGCTCAGTTTGGTGTGTCCCGTGCAAATAGAAGCCCTGGAGGAAATTCCAGCCCCATCCTCCCTGGCTCTGCTGAGGGTCCAGCCCACTCCTGCAGGCCTGCAAACAGCAGTCGGCCTCATGTTCCATTCCGTCTCCTTGATGAAGCTTCCCTCTCTTCTCCTCCCAGGCTTGGTGACCCAGATTGGGAAGAAGAGGCCAGCATCAAACACATACATGCTTGTTTCTGCTTCACAGGCCCTGCAACAACCCTGCACAGTAAACAATTATCCTCATTTCATAGTTAATAGCTCTAGTTAGGAGTTAGCACTGAGGGAGTGAATAAGCACTATTTGCTTATTGAATCCAACCAATGTAGGAGGTCAGAACTACTCATACCCACATTTGACAAATAAAGAAACTGACACATAAGAAAGCCCTAGTGTCTCCTTCAAGGTCACACAGCTGGTAAGTTGAAGAGCCAGGATTTGAGCCCAGGAAAGTCCCCTTCTAGTCACAATCTGACCTTTTTTCTTTTTTGAGATGGAGTCTCTGTCGTGCCTAGGCTGGAGTGCAGTGGTGCGATCTTGGTTCAGTGCAATCTCTGTCTTCTTGTTTCAAGCGATTCTCCTGCCTCAGCCTCCTGAGTAGCTGGGATTACAGGCGTCTGCCACCATGCCTGGCTAATTTTTTGTATTTTTAGTAGAGACAGATTTTACCATGTTGGTCAGGCAGGTCTCAAACTCCTGACCTCAGGTGATCCGCCCACCTTGGCCTTCCAAAGTGCTGGGATTACAGGCGTGAGTCACCACGCCCAGCAATCTGGACCTATTAATCAGCAGCATTACCGTGGAGATTACGCCCTTGAATGCATGGGTGGGCGGTCAGCCGTTCCACTCATTCGACGCTTACTGCCCTCAGCCTGGCCATATGCTTTGTTGGTTTCCTAACCAGCGGCTGAGCGATGACTTCCTGGGGGCTGTGAGTGGTTATCCTCCAAAGGACAGGACCCCAGGAGGAAAAGGAGGCTGGAGAGCAGAGGGTGGCCTGGAGTAGGGTGATCTGCTGGCCACCATCCTCTCCCTGTGTCTAGACATGGGATGGGGCCCAGAGTGCTGCCCCGGCACAGGGGAGAGGGAAGCTCTGTGACTCACAGACAGTGTGCGCCCCACCCTCCTCCTCACCCTGAGGGTGTCAGGGAGTGGCCTGTCCTGGAGGAGATGACTTGAGGTCCCCACCCCTGCCCTCTGCCTTCCCAGCAGACAACCCCAAGGCTGGGCGGAGGCGGCATGGGGAAACGAAGACGGTGGTTTGTGGCTCTTGGCTTGCGCTGGCCTCCAGGCTGGGCCTTCCCCAGCTCCCATCCGTCTGGCCGTGCCTGCCCTACCAGGCTGGGTAGTGAGGAATTGAAAGAGGGGATTGTTGGGGGGAGAAGGAGGAGGAGAATAGTAATAACTCTGGCTCCTCACAGGCGTCTCCAAGGACCCCCCTGCCCCCCGCCCCCGTGCCCTCCTTGGACACTTTGGAGAGCTGTGTGTGGCGGGCTAGGCAGGATGGGGCCTGAAACAGGCGGGGCAGAGGGAGAGGCCAGAGTGAGAAAGCGGCCACCCAACTAAGGTCCCCGCCTCTCCCAGTGCCGGGTCTGGGAGAAGTGCTCGCCCTCCCCACATTCCTCCCGCCCCCCCCACCCCGACCCCAGGTGGGAGAGGCCTGCATTCTTCCCTCCCTCCCAACGTCCCCACCCTTCCCAAAGTCCACCCTTGGTGCTACAGCTTCCAGCCCAGAAGTCACCAAGCCTTGACTTGTAGTGGCTTGTTTCTTGTGTCTGGACATCTGCAGCTCCCCAGCTGGTCTCCAGGCTCCCGCCTCCCTCCTCCCAGATAGCCCACCTGGTCCCACCACCAGACCTGTCATCTTAGGGAGTCTAACCTGGCCCTTCCCACAGCACGGGAAGAAAAGCCCAGTTCCTTAGCCAAGGGGCCCCGTGAAGAGAGATTTGGTGCGCACAGGCAGGCGTGCAGTGAAGAGGGAGAGAGGCGGCAGGCCCGGCCCACAAGCTTCCTGGAGAGGGTGGTGTCCCAGCTGGACCCTGAAGGATTTGGGGGAGGAGGGGAGGTTTGAACAGGCGGTGACTGGGAGGCAGGGCTTGCCGAGGTGGGGAAGCAGTCTGAGCGAAGGCTAGGAGGTTGGTGCTCCTTGGATGTGGCCCCTGGGTGTGGCCGGAGTGGGTGTGGGGAGGTGTCCTGGGGATAAGGCCCGGATCAATGTGGGCTAGGGCCAGATACTGGAGAGCCCCAGGCCCCAACTGTGGACTCTGGCCCTTCTTCTCTGGGCAGAGGGGGCTGCTGAAGGCTTCTGTGCAGGGACGCACTTATGCTTTGGAGGATGGCTCTGCCAGGGTGAGGAGGATGGAGGAGGCCGAGAGCCTGCAGGCTGGGAGACTTATGTGATGGTCCAAGCCCGAATGGATGAGGGTCTGAATGGAGCACGGATTCATGGCATTCATTAATTCATTCACTCATTTCTCACCTATGTATTTGGTGTTTACTCTATGCTAGGCATTGTTTGAGGCACAGGGGATTTCTTTCTTTCTTTCTTTCCTTCCTTCCTTCCTTCCTTCCTTCCTTCCTTCCTTCCTTCCTTCCTTCCTTCCTTCCTTCCTTCCTTTCTTTCTTTTTTTTTTTGAGACGGAGTCTCGCTCTGTCGCCCAGGCTGGAGTGCAATGGCGCAATCTCAGCTCACTGCAACCTCCGCCTCTGGGGTTCAAGAAATTCTCCTGCCTCAGCCTCCCGAGTAGCTGGGACTACAGGCGCCTGCCACGACGCTCGGCTAATTTTTTCTATTTTTAGTAGATACGGGATTTCCCCATGTTGGCCAGGCTGGTCTCGAACTCCTGACCTCAGGTGATCCACTCGCCTCGGCCTCCCAAAGTGCTGAGATTACAGACATGAGCCACTGCGCCCGGCTGGCACAGGAGATTGCAACAAGCCCAGCCTGTGCTCTCAGAGAGCTGGCATGACCATGGGGAGACAGACAGGACCATTTCAGGTGGTGATGAGCTCTCAAAGAAGGAGAGGAGGGCAGCCCTTGGCAGGGAAGGAAAGTCCGATGTGTGTGCTCCTGAGTCCCACTGTCTCTCCCAGGAACTCTCTCCCCCGCACAGCAGGCAGGTGCCGACTTCCCTCCTCTTATTTGGTGGCCCCAGATGCCTCTCCCCAACTTCTGCACACCACTGGATCTTTCAGCTCCCCAGACCATCCTGTTTCTCTTTTGCCCACAGAGCTCGGTTCCTCACTGACCTTGATCTCCCAGCACGTGTCCTCAGTGAAGTGCCATGAGAGGCTGAGCTGAACTTCAGCCCTACCTCTGGCCACATGACCCTACACAGACCACTCTCCTGCTTTGAGCCTTATTTTCTTCTCTGAAATGGGTCTAATAATGGCATCTCATCAATCAAGCGTCTGGCATGGGGTGGGAACCCAATAAATCCCAGCACCTGTTCCTTCTGCTGGGATCCTCAGGTGCTGCTCAGCCTGCTTCAGCGGGACTTCTGTGAGCTGTAGCTCTGCTGGTGTCTGGGTCAAACCACGTGGTCTTCACAGCCTTGCACCTGCCATGTTGCCCCCAATCCCTGAAAGACAATTCTAGGCCTTCTTGTCTCTGTAAACTCTGAGCTCCTTGGGGTCTGGAAATACTGGTACAAAGCAGGGGTCCAGGGCTGGGGGTCTGGGGAAGAGGTGACTCAGGACAGGGGTCCAGTGTAGTGGCTGACAGCCAAGATTCTGGACAGTCAGACTGTCCTGGGCTTAAACCTTGGCTCTGCTACTTCTTCTTCTTTTTTTTTTTTTTAGAGACGGAGTCTTGCTCTGTCACCCACGTTGGAGTGCAATGGCACAGTCTAGGCTCACTGCAACCTCTGCTTCCCAGGTTCAAGTGATTCTCCTGCCTCAGCCTCCCTAGTAGCTGGGATTACAGGCACACACTGCCACACCTGGCTATTTTTGTATTTTTTGTAGAGACAGGGTTTCACCATGTTGGCCAGGCTGGTCTCAAACCCCTGACCTCATGATCTACCCGCCTCGGCCTCCCAAAGTGCTGGGATTACAGCCTTGAGCCACCACGTCCAGCTGCGGCCCTGCTACTTCTTGAGGTCATGAGCATTTGACCGAGCCCTCTGTGCTTCCGCCTCCTCATCTGTGAGGTGGGTGTGTACCTGGTCCTAGCTCACTGGGGCCTGTGACTACTAAATGGGATACTTCATGGAAAATGACTAAGCACAGCACTAAGCACATAAGTGGGTCTTTTCTTTTTTCTTTTATTTATTTATTTATTTTTTTTTTTGAGACAGAGTCTCGCTCTGTTGCCCAGGGGGAGTGCAATGGCGTGATCCCGGTTCACTGCAACCTCCACCTCCCGGATTGAAGCAATTCTCATGCCTCAGCCTCCCTAGAAGCTGGGATTACAGGCACGTGCCATCACACACAGCTTATTTTTGTATTTTTAGTAGAGATGGGGTTTCACCATATGGGCCAGGCTGGTCTTGAACTCCTGACCTCAGGTGATCCACCTGCCTTGGCCTCTCAAAGTTCTGGGATTACAGGCGTGAGCAGCCACGCCCAGCCTCAGTGAGTCTTAAGTCAATGTGAACTTATTAAAACCAATTCAGTGACAAGCCCACCCCATGATCTACTCTGCTCTACAGCACTTAGAACCCTGCAGGGGGATTAGCCAGGTGTGGTGGGCAACTGTAGTCCCAGCTACTCGGGAGGCTGAGGCAGGAGGATTGCTTGAGCCCAGGAGGTTGAGGCTGCAGTGAGCTATGATTGCACCACTGCACTCCAGCCTGGGCAACAGAGCAAGACCCTGTCTGTAAAAAAAAAAAAAAAAGAATCCTGCCGGGGCTTGAGGGGGAGGTCATTCCTAAGAGAGATCTTGGGGTGTCCTGAATCAGATGAAGTTTGAGCACCCCCACTGTCTACCCATCTGGCCAAGCCACAAGGTGAGCAGGGCACTTATGACTCCCCCACCACAGCTTCATTTCTGGCCTGAATGAGTAACTTTCTTATGCTCGGAGGCTCGATCTGAACCAAACCATGAACCAGCAGCCAAAGCTGCACTAAGCTACTCTATGGCCATGTGCTCTGGACTCAAACCCAAATATTCTCCAACTGTACTGTGAGCCTAATTAAAGCTCTTGGGAAGTTCCAAAACCAAACATGTATTTTCTTTTTTTTGAGACAGAGTCTCACTCTGTCATCCAGGCTGGAGGGTAGTGGTGTGTTCTCAGCTCACTGCAACCACTGCGTCGCAGGTTCAAACAACTCTCCTGCCTCAGCCTCCTGAGTAGCTGGGACTACAGATGCGTGCTACCACACCTGGCTAATTTTTGTGTTTTTTATAGAGACAGGGTTTCACTATGTTAGCCAGGCTGGTCTTGAACTCTTGGCCTCAAGCAATCCACCTGCCTTGGCCTCCCAAAGTGTTGGGATTACAGGTGTGAGCCACCGCGCCCAGCCGAACTGGACCATTTCTTTTGCGCTGATACACATGATCCTTAATGAGAACCAGCTGCTGACACCTGTCCCGGAAGTTTCATCAGAAACAGCTCCAGGTGGGGGACTGCTTCAGCAACGTGGGGCCTCACAGCTCAGATTACAGGGCCGAGCTGCCGCAAGTGAAATAGTGTTAGGGGCCAACGTGGAAAACCCTACCTAGATTCCAGTCCCCACTGTGAGGTTTCTTTTTTTAAAATTTTTATTATTTATATATTTTATTTTTAAATTATTATTATTTATTAATTTATTGTTATGGTTCTTTTTTGAGACAGAGTTTTGCTCTTGTTGCCCAGTCTGGAGTGCAGTGGCGTGATCTCGGCTTACTGCAACCTCCGCCTCCCGGGTTCAAGTGATTCTCCTTCCTCAGCCTCCTGAGTAGCTGGGTTTACAGGTGCCCACCACCATGCCCAGCTAATTTTTTTGTATTTTTAGTAGAGATGGGGTTTCAACATGTTGTCCAGGCTGGTCTCGAACTCCTGACCTCAGGTGATCTACCCTTCTCAGCCTCCCAAAGTGCTGGGATTACAGGCGCGAGCCACCACACCAGGCCCCACTGAACTTTTAATCTCACCTGCTCAGGGATGGGAAACAACTTTTCCCAGCTTCCATTTCCAGCCTGATTGCTCTTCCCCTAAGCATACCCTGCACCCAGAATATTCTTCCCTATTCTCCCCAAGCCTAGTGAGCTTAACCTAGCTCAGACAGCTCTCCTCTGTAACTTCCCTGTGTTCTTGGAGCCCTTGATGGTTTTGCTGTTATGCTTTTTATGCAGACTTCTTGCAGATTTTTCTTCTTGCACAAGCCTCAACTGCTCTGAAGTCAGAAGTCAAGATCCTTTTTTTTTTTTTTTTTTTTTTTTTTTTTTGACAGAGTCTCGCTCTGTCACCCAGGCTGGAGTGCAGTGGCGTGATCTCAGCTCACTGCAACTTCCACTTCCCGGATTCAAGTGATTCTCCAGCCTCAGCCTCCCAAGTAGCTGGGATTACAGGGACGTACCACCACATCCAACTAATTTTTATATTTTTAGTAGAGACCGGGTTTCACCATGTGACCACTAGGCTGGTCTCGAACTCCTGACCTCAGGTGATCCATCCGCCTCAGCCTCCCAAAGTGTTGGAATTACAGGCGTAAGCCAACACACCCGGCCACTTTTTTTTCTTTTTTTTTTTTTTTTTCTGCTTTGTAGCCCAAGCTGGAGTGCACTGGTACAATCGTGGCTGGGACAGGTGTGCCACAGCACCTGGCTACACCTTTTTTTTTTTTGAGAAGGAGTCTCGTTGTGTTGCCTGGGCTGGAGTGCAGTGGTGTGATCTCGGCTCACTGCAACCTATTCTCCTGCCTCAGCCTCTGGAGTAGCTGGGATTACAGGTGTGGGCCACCACGCCTGGCTAATTTTTGTATTTTTAGTAGAGATGGGGGTTTCACCATGTTGGTCAGGCTGGTCTCAAACTCCTGACCTCGTGATCCACCCACGTCGGCCTCCCAAAGTGCTGGGATTACAGGCATGAGTCACTGTGCTCGGCCCTGGCCGAACCTTTTGTGAGCACTTACTGCGTGCTAGGCACCTACTAAGCTCTTTGCGTGTGTTGGTCCTCATGACCCTCTTACTCATCCGAAAGTTCCATGGCTTAGTCTGTGATCCATTTCACAGGTGAGGAAGCTGAGGCCCAGAAGAACTTGCCCAAGGTCGTGGAAGCAATAAAGCTGGTTTGGATCCAAGCAGTCCCATCCCAGTGCCTAGATGGGGTGGGCTTTTACCTACCTTGGAACGTGTGTGTAAAGACACCTTGAAACAAGAGGCATAGGCAGGGCGTGGTGGCTCATGGCTGTAATCCCAGCACTTTGGGAGGCCGAGGCGGGTGGATCATGAGGTCAGGAGTTCGAGACCAGCCTCACCAACATGGTGAAACCCCGTCTCTGCTAAAGAAAATACAAAAATTATCCGGGTGTGGTGGCGCGCGCCTGTAATCCCAGCTACTCAGGAGGCTGAGACAGGAGAATCGCTTGAACCCAGGAGGCACAGGTTGCAGTGAGCTGAAATGCGCCACTGCACTCCAGCCTGGGCGATAGAACGAGACTCCGTCTCAAAAAAAAGAAAACAGAAAAAAGAGGCACGACACAATGATAAGTGATGTCGTTTTTCTTGTTACAGTTACCAGTATGACAGGTGGGAAGGGGCCGGGTGTGGGTTCTGGCCAGAGGGACCTAAGAACATTAGGTCCTGGCAGGTGCAGCCCTGGGAGCAGCCACGAGGGGGCATCAGGCTGCACAGGCGGCTCCAGGATGTCGGTCCGGGACCGGGCATAGGGGTTAGCGAGTGATTCTCGGGCACCGCAGGACGAGCCCTACACAGAGCAGGTGGGCCCAGGAACCCCCTTTCTCAGTCCAGGACTCCCAGGCCTCAGGGCCTGGCTTTGGTGGCGCCCGTCTGTTGCAGTGGAGTTCGGCGGTCACAGCCTAGGGACCGGGTCCAGCCCAGCCAGCTCAGCAGCAGGTCAGCGCCCTGCCCCTTCCCGCGTCGCTGGGACGCCCCGAGCCGCTCAGGTCACCACGCAAAAGCCCTGGGTAATCCGCCGCCAGAAGTTGCGACCGCGGCTGCTGAGGGCCACCTCGGCGGCCTCCTGGAAGACGGCGTGGACGTTGTCATGGAGCCGAGCCGAGCACTCGAGGTAGGCCACCGCGCCCACGGACCTCGCCATCTCCTGGCCCTAGAGGGAGAGGTGGATGGGGCTGCGGTGAAGGGGGCACTGGGCAGGCCTCACGTTCTCGCTTCCTTTTCCCGGACAAGAGTGGAAGGTGGGGTCTGCGGAGCACCCATGGCTCCCGTATCCCTGCTTGCCCAAGCGCCCTCATGCACTTCATCATGTTTGTTTTTCTTTTCTTTATTTTTATTATTATTATTTTTTTGAGACGGAGTCTTGCTCTGTCGTCCAGGCTGGAGTGCAGTGGTGCGATCTCAGCTCACTGCAGCTCCTCCAACCGGGTTCAAGTGATTCTCCTGCCTCTGCCTCCAGAGTAGCTAGGACTACAGGCACCCGCCACCACACCACTTGGCTAATTTTTTGTATTTTTGGTAGAGACAGGGTCTCGCTATTTTGCCCTGGCTGGTCTCGAACTCCTGACTTCAAGTGATCCACCCACCTCGGCCTCCCAAGTGCTGGGATTACAGGCGTGAGCCCCTGCGCCCTGCCAGCCTTCGTTGTTTTTAACCTCCGTTCTGGGCCTCTTTGCCTCTCAAGGCACCAAGAAATGAACTTCCCATGAACCCAGACGTGTAGCAGAGAGGGACCCACGGTCTGAATATGTGGGTGCCTGCCTGGGCCCCCTCTCTGGGTCTCAGGTTGGTGGTGGAACTGACTCTGATATGCCTACTTCCTTGTTCTCCCTTTTGCCTGTGGAGGCTCCCAGAATATTCTAGGGACCATTTCTAAGTGCTGGAAGTTTCTGACCTCTGACAGCCTCTAAGACGACCGCAGCTCTGACCTACACCCTGAGCGTTCTGGACACCTGGTGCCACTGAGAGGCATCCAGAGGTCCCCTCACTCAGTCCTCCCCAACTCCCACCTCGGGCTGGGTTTCCTACCCTGTGGTAGGTCACAGGCTCCAATCCGTTTCTTCGGAGCTTGTTCACCAGTGATTTGTCCTTGCGCAGGTCAGTCTTGCAGCCCACGACGATGATGGGTACCTTCTTGCAGAAATGATTCACTTCTGGGTACCACTGCAGGGGGGCGAGGGGGCATGTGGGGGGCATGTGTGAGCCCTGGAGAGTTCTGGCCCTCTCAGTGGACCACTCTCTTGCTCCCCAGCCTGAGCTCTGATATGGATAATCAGCAAAGCCAGCACCTAGGGAGAAACTATTTGGTACCAGAACCTCATCTAAGAATTTACACGTATGGACCCATTAATTCCCCGAGGCCGTGGCAGCAAGTTCACAACCAATCCCACTGTACAGGTGCGGTAACTGAGGCACAGAAAGGCGATGTAACTTGGCCTTGGCTGGAAATGGCAGGATTTGAGCCTGGGGGTGGGGCTCAGAACCCTGCTCCTGCCGTTCTAGAATCTTTCCTCTCTGCAGGGTAAGGGCCCTCATGGACACCCACCAAACTGAGCAAAACATATAAGGAAGTAAGGGATCCTTTAAAAACAAATCTGGGCCAGGTGTGGTGGCTCACGCCTGTAATCCCAGCACTTTGGGAGCCTGAGGCAGGTGGAACACCTGAGGTCAGGAGTTTGAGACCAGCCTGGCCAACAGTGAAACCCTGTCTCTAGTAAAAATACAAAATTTAGGTGGGCATGATGGCGGGTGCCTGTAATCCCAGCTGCTCGGGAGGCTGAGGCAGGAGAATGGCATGAACCTGGGAGGCGGAGGTTGCAGGGAGCTGAGATCGCGCCACTGCATTCCAGCCTGGGCGACAGAGTGAAACTCCATCTCAAAATAAATAAATAAATCAATTAAAAAGATAAAAATAAATCAATCAATCCAGGCCGGGCTCGGTGGCTCACGCCTGTAATCCCAGCACTTTGGGAGGCTGAGGGCAGGCAGATCACCTGAGGTCAGGAGTTCGAGACCAGCCTGGCCAACAAGGGGAAACCCCGTCTCTACTAAAAATACAAAAATTAGCTGGGCGTGGTGGCGTGCACCTGTAGTCCCAGCTACTCTGGAGGCTGAGGCAGGAGAATCGCTTGAACCTGGGAGGCGGAGGTTGCAGTGAGCTGAGATGGAGCCACTGCACTCCAGCCTGGGCTACAGAGTGAGACTCCGTCTCAAAAAAATAATAAATAAATAAATCTGCTCACAAAATGGTTGCAGCAGCTGTCTGCCTCAACTGCTTGCCTGGTGGAGGGAGGGCTGCTCTGCAGAATGTGAGGCCACCAGGGCCGAGTTCTTTCAGCCTGGACTACAGCTGGGGAGCCGGGGATCCCGGGAGGGGGCTTCCTATCTCCAGGAGCACTAAGTCGGCTGAAGTCGGCTGGTTTGGGCATGAAACTTGCCTGATAAAAATTGGCATCAGCCGGGCTTGGTGGCTCAAGCCTGCAATCCTAGCTACTCGGGAGGCTGAGGCAGGAGAATCGCTTGAACCCAGGAGGTGGAGGTTGCAGTGAGCCCAGATTGTACCACTGCACTCCAGCCTGGGAGACAGAGTGAGACTCTGTCTCAAAACAAACAAACAAACAAACAAACAAAAATTGGCATCAAACTACCTCATTCCTGGAAGCAAATGGGGCCTTTGTGGGGTCCCTGGCAGATTCCCCACACCCCCGCATCCACCGAAACTGCCCATGAGAAAGGTTTCCTTGGTGGCTCCCACTGAACCCAGCAGTGAATCCTCTCTTTTTTGAGACAGTCCCGCTCTGTCGCCCAGACTGGAGTGCAGTGGTGCGATCTTGGCTCACTGCAACCTCCGCCTCCCGGGTTCAAGCAATTCTCCTGCCTCAGCCTCCCAAGTAGCTGGGTTATAGGCATGTGCCACCACGCCCGGCTAATTTTTGTATTTTTAGTAGCAACGGGGTTTCACCATGTTGGTCAGGCTGGTCTCAAACTCCTCAAATAATCCACCCTCCTCAGCCTCCCAAAGTGCTGGGATTACAAGGCGTGAGCTACCGCACCCGGCCACCATCAGAGAATCCTTAGCCCTGCTCCTACTGATCCCTCGATAACCCCGACCCTGGGCATCACTCCCTCCTACCTGACTGAGCCTGCACTTCACCCCAGGACCCCACTCTCCTGGCTCTCCTAGGTCTTATGGGGCCTTGCCCTCCTCCTCCTCTCCCTGGGGTTCAGCCTGTGGTCTTTCCTCTCCTCTAGCTGCTCTCCCTTCCTGGGCAGCCTCCCCCAGGCTTTACTGCACCCGTAGCTTCTAAATGTGCAGCTGCATTTAGGCTGCCCAGCTGGACTGCCTGCTCGGAGGAACTGCAGACGCATGCATCGCACTGCCTGCCGGACACCTCCACTAGGATGTCCCACTCCCGAACCCAGCTTGCTCCTTGTCATCTTGGCCAAGGGCAACTCCACCTTCCAGCTGCTCTGGTAAAAACTCCTCCCAGGCTGGGCGTGGTGGCTCACGCCTGTAATCCCAGCACTTTGGGAGGCCGAGGCGGGCGGATCACGAGGTCAGGAGATCAAGACCATCCTGGCTAACATGGTGAAACCCCGTCTCTACTAAAAATACAAAAAATTAGCCGGGCGTGGTGGCGGGCGCCTGTAGTCCCAGCTACTCAGGAGGCTGAGGCAGGAGAATGGTATCAACCTGGGAGGCAGAGCTTGTAGTGAGCCGAGATGGCGCCACTGCACTCCAGCCTGGGTGACAGAGCAAGACTCCGTTTCAAAAAACAAACAAACAAACAAAAAAACTCCTCCCTCCCACCCACATCCAATCCAACAAGAAACTCTGATCATCAGCAAACTCCGCCTTCTAGACCGATTCAGAATCAGCCCCCTTCTCGTCACCCCCACTGCTAGCACCCTGGCCCCAGGCACCACCATCTCTCCTGGTACCCAATGCCCAGAACAGCACCAGAACGAATGTGCTCAATCATTCGTTCTGAATGAATGGGCGGAGCAGCCTGCCTGGGTTCAAATCCCAGTGTTACCACTTTAATAGATGTGTATCTTTGGACGAGTGACTGGATCCGGGAATAATAATACTCCATAAGGTTGGCCGGGGGAGTAAATGAGTAAATACATGCAAGTACCAAGAACACTGCCTGGCACGTGGTCAGTCCTTAAAATTGTCACCGTTGTTGTTGTTGTTGCAAATACTGTCATGGGCTGTACCCTGCGGAAACTCGGAGGCCCTGGCAGCAGTGGGTGAGGGGCTGTGCCATGGCTAAAGGCAGCTGGAGCAGAGGAATTCAAGGGGCCACATCCCTGATGCCCATGAGCAGCCTCTGAGAACCAGCAGCCACGCAGAGCTGCTGGACTCTGACTTGACTGTTCATGCACCTTGGGCGGGCACAGGCTGGGGAGATGTAGCAGCCTCTGGCTCACCCAGCAACCTCAGGCAGAGCCGCCGTGGGAAGAGCCACAGTGTTCGGAGTCTGCAGCATAGGGTAGGCAAGGAGCACTGTACTGGGAGTCAGAAGGGCAGACGCTGCCACCAAATCCCTGTGCCAGCAACCCTGGGCAAGCCACTGCCCCACTCTGAGCCTCAGTTTCCCCATATATACACCAAAAGCTCTGGAATCAATATCATTTTGGGCCTGCCAAGCTCTGACAGTCAGCTGGGTCGAGGGTGGGTGGCAGAGTGGAGTGGCCTGGCTATGGGGGCTATGCCTCCCTGCCCCCCAGTACCTACCCGGTTAAAGATGTTGTCAAAGCTGTTCGGGCTGGTGACATCGAAGCAAAGCAGCAGGACGCTGGCGTCAGGGTAGAACAGGGGCCGCAGGCGGTCATAGTCATCTTGCCCTGGGCAGAGTGGAGGTGGTCACTGCCTTCAGGGCTCCTGGCCCCTGTCAGCACTGCCCCAATGTCAGGAGGTCACCTCATCAGATGGGGAGCTTCTGGGGACAGGGCCTAGTTTTTTGCCTCAGAGTTTGGCACAAATTTGGCTCTGAGGTGGCTACTCCATGTGAGTGCCCCTTTGGGGCAGTGCTCACCTCTGCCTGTGGGATGTCTGGAAGGGATGACGGGCAAGGCAGAGGCCAGGCCTGGCACCGCCTGGAGGAACTGGGGCCAATTGCTCAGAAGCCAGCTTTGCCCTGAGCTTAGGAGTGAGAAATAAGGGGTAGGTGGGAACCTGGCAAAGACATCTTAGCCCGTCCAACTAAGAGGGCTGCTGGGAGGCCCTGAGTTTAGCTTAGAGCTCACCCTGGTATAGGCAAGGTCAGGAGGCTGGAGGGCAGAGGCCACGGACAGACAGATCCTACAGAAACTAAAAGCAGAGTGGAGTGCTCAGAAGGCCAGGAACAGTCCTGAAAGCAAAGTGCTGGACTCCCGCTTGCCTCCAGGACGTAGCGGGCGGCCCTGGGGTGCTGGGGGTGCAGGAGACACTGCTGCAGAGGCAAGGAGGGCTCAGACTCCTGGGCCCACTCCTGGCCCACACCTGTCCCTTGGAGACTGGCTGGCCTCCCTGGTTCAGAAGGAAGCAGAGCGGAATCTGTCCCAGGCATCAGGGGCCCACAGAAGCCCCTCCCACCCTGCCCCACCCCTGCACACCCACCTGCTGTGTCCCAGATGTGGAGGTGCACAGGTTTGCCTTTCACTTGCAGGTTGACCATGTACCGCTCAAACACCGTGGGGGTGTAGCTCTGAGGAGAAGCAGGGCGGGGGAGGGTGTGAGGAGGCTTCGGAGAGGCACTGGGGACTTGGTCTGTCCACAGCGCTGCTCCCTCCTTGGGGGTCAGTGGAGCGTAGTTGTTTGTGAGAAGCCTCCTCCTTGGCCTGCCTGGGGTGGCGGCCTAGAGCCTGTCTGCTTTTGCAAACTCCTGAACCTCCCCAGCTTTGTTCTCAGTTGTGAAATGGGAATATTAAAAGTCCCTACCAGCCAGGCACCATAGCTCACCCTGTAATCCCAGCACTTTGGGACGTTGAGGTGGGCCTTGAGGCCAGGAGTTCGAGACCAGCCTGGCCAACATGGTGAAACCGTCTCTACTAAAAATACAAAAATTAGCTGGGAATGGTGGGCCTGCCTGTAATCCCACTACTTAAGAGGCTGAGGCACGAGAATTGCTTGGGACTGAGGTTGCAGTGAGACGAGATCGCACCACTGTACTCCATCCTAGGTGACAGAGCAAGACTCTGTCTCAAAACAACAACAACAACAACGAAAAGGCCGGGTGTGCTGGCTCACGCCTGTAATCCCAGCACTTTGGGAGGCCGAAGTGGGCGGATCATGAGGTCAGGAGTTTGAGACCAGGCTGACCAACATGGTGAAACCCTGTCTCTACTAAAAATACAAAAATTAGCCAGGCGTGGTGGCACATGCCTGTAATCCTAGCTACTTGGGAGGCTGAGGCAGGGGAATAGCTTGAACCCGGGAGGTGGACGTTGCGGTGAGCTGAGATCGCGCCATTGCATTCCAGTCTGGGTGACACAGTGAGACTCCGTCTCAAAAAAAAAAAAAAAGTCCCTACCGCAGTGCCGCTACAAGGATTCAGTGAGATATTCCATGCGGAGCCCTTAGCTCAGGGCCTGGCATAAAATAAGCACATCTACATGCCAGCTACTGTTATTTTTATCATTGCCCTCTGGATGGGGGCAGGGGACTCCCGTTTTTCTTTTTTTTCACAGACAGGGTCTCCCTGTGTTTCCCAGGCTGGAGTGCAGCAGCTATTCACAGGCACCACAGCTCACTGCAACCCCAAACTCCTGGGCTCAAGCAATCCTCCTGCCTCTGCCTCCCAAGAGCTGGGACCACTGGCACACACCGCTGGGACTCCCATTTCTGAGCCTTCATTCATGTTGTCCCCCCTTCCTAGAACAACATTAACCTACATGTTTATTCATTCCTTGCTTTGTTCATTTGTTCATTCACCTACTCATTCAGCAGCATTAGCACCTTCTCTAGGCCCAGTTCTGGACACTGGGAAGCAGGCACCAAAGACTCAATACCTGCTCTGGGGAACTCGCAGCTTTTTGGGGTTCCTCCTTTGCCTCTCAACCTCTCACAATCCAAACAAGACCACTATTAAATGCTACCTTCACCTTTCTGGGATGCCTTTCCTGATCCCTTACCAGAATGCCCCAATGCGCCCCTCTACCGTTTTTTTTCCTTCTCTTTTTCCTTTTTTTTTTTTTTTGAGAGGGAGTCTCACTCTGTCACCCAGGCTGCAGTGCAATGGCGTGATCTGGCTCACTGCAACCTCCGCCTCCCAGGTTCACGCCATTCTCCTGCCTCAGCCTCCTGAGTAGCTGGGACTACAGGCGCCCGCCACCACGCCCGGCTAATTTTTTGTATTTTTAGTAGAGACGGGGTTTCACCGTGTTAGCCAGGATGGTCTCGATCTCCTGACCTCGTGATCCACCCGCCTCGGCCTCCCAAAGTGCTGGGATTACAGGCGTGAGCCACCGCGCCCGGCCTTTTTTTTTTTTTTTTTTTGAGACGGAGTCTCACTCTGTCACCCAGGCTGCAGTGCAGTGGCGTGATCTTGGCTCACTGCAACCTCTGCCTTCTGGGTTCAAGGGATTCTCCTGCCTCAGCCTCCCGAGTAGCTGGCATTACAGACATGTGCCACCATACCCGGCTAATTTTTATATTTTTAGTAGAGACGGGGTTTCACCATGTTGGTCAGGCTGGTCTCGAACTCCTGACCTCGTGATCTGCCCACCTTGGCCTCCCAAAGTGCTGGGGTTACAGGCATGAGCCACTGTACCCGGGCTTTTTTTTTTTTTTTTTTTTTTTTTGAGAGAGAGTCCTGCTCTGTCACCCAGGCTGGAGTGCAATGGTGTGATCTCTTGGGTCAATGCAACTTCTGCCTCCTGGGTTCAAGTGATTCTTCTGCCTCAGCCTTGTGAGTAGCTGGGATTACAAGCACACGCCAGCACACCTGGCTAATTTTTTGTACTTTTAGTAGAGATGGGGTTTCACCATATTAGCCAGGCTGGTCTTGAACTCCCGACCTCAAGTGATCCACCTGCCTCGGCCTCCCAAAGTGCTGGGATTACAGGCATGAGCCACCACGCCTGGCCTTTTTTTAAAAAAAAAAAAAAAAAAGATAGGGTCTCACTCTGTCACCCAGGCCTGAGTGCAGTGGTGCGATCTTGACTCACTGCAACCTCTGTCTCCCAGGCTCAGGTGATTCTCCTACCTCAGCCTCCTGAGTAGCTGGGATTACAGGTGTGGGCCACCATGCCTGGCTAATTTTTCTTCTTTTTTCGTAGAGACAGGGTTTTGCCATGTTGCCCAGGCTGGTCTCGAACTCCTGAACTCAAGCAATCCACCCACCTTGGCCTCCCAAAGTAATTTTTTGTATTTTTTGCAGAGATGGGGTCTTGCTATGTTGCCCAGGCTGGTCTTGAACTCCTGGACTCACACGATCCACCTGCCTTGGCCTCCCAAAGTGCTGGGATTACAGGTGAGCCACCACGCCCAGCCCAGTGCCCCATGTTTGGGCCTTTCTTCTTTGTCCTGCCTGGGCTTGGGAGGAGGTCACCCAGGACAGAGGCCCCTTACTCCAGCCCTGCCCAGCCTGAGCTCACTGCTGCCTTTCCATGAAGGTGAGATGAACGGGCAGCAGGCCAGGTTTTGTACACAGATGAAAATGCAGGAATGAAGAGGGAGCTTTTGTAAGATGGGTTTGCAAAACTCTGCCACAACCTGTGCCCTCTGCTCTGAGGGGATGCTGGGCCGCCCGCTCTTGGGTCCCTAAGCCTTGACTGCCTGCTCAGGGCTGGTTGATGGGGCCACAGTCTGGGGGGCCCCTATCCTCTTCCCTTCCCATGCCGGGTGCGGCCCACACCTGCCCGTGACTCAGGAGAATTTCACGCCTGCCTGCCCGCTGGCCCTCTGAGTCAGGCCCTGGCCAGCTGGGAGGGGCAGCACCTGAGCAGTGGGTCAGCACCGTCCTCCAGGGAAGCTGCAGGGAGTGGGGTGGGGAGAAAGGCAGGTCCCAGAGTGGGCAGCTGAGGAAGATGGAGAAGTCTGGATAGCCTTGAGGTAAGGGCTGGCCCCACCCCAGACTCTAGACATGCTATCACTCCCTCTACCAAAAGGAACCAACAGGAACAGACAAGGGCCTCACCTACCTCTCCATCCCCCCTTGCCTGCTCAGGGTGCCCTCCCTCAGGCCCTTTGCCTTTGCCAGGGCAGTGTGACCTGGTAGCTAGGAGCACTAGCTTTAGGTTTAGATATGCCTGGCTTAAGACCGGGCTCCAGCACTCACCTGCTATGTGTCCTTAGGACAGTCTCCTCACTGGTTAAAGGGGGAGAGTGTCATGCCATGATGTGGGAGGGAGGATGGACTGGCAGGTGAGGCCCCAGCATAAATGCTCACCACCAGGGAAGCTGGTGGCCAGGGGCAGTGTCCACACGAGCCCCCGTCCATCCTTCCAGGTGGTGACACCTTCGCCAGTGATATGGATTGGCTGTGTCCCCAAGCAAATCTCATCTCGAATTGTAATCCCCACGTGTCGAGGGAAGGACCTGGTGGGAGGTGATTGAATCATGAAGGCGGTTTCCCCCATGCTGTTCTTGTGATAGTGAGGGAGATTTTTTTTTTTCGACGGAGTCAGGCTGGAGCGCAGTAGTGCAATCTTGCTCACTGCAGCCTCTGCCTCCTGGGTTCAAGTGATTCTCCTGCCTCAGCCTCCTGAGTAGCTGGGATTACAGGTGTGTCACCACGCCTGGCTAATATATATATACACACACACACACACACACACACATATATATATACACACACATATATATATATACACACACACACACACATATATATATATATATATATTTTTTTTTTTTTTTTTAGAGAGGGTCTCGCTCTGTCGCCTCCTGGACAGGCTGGAGTGCAGTGGCCTGATCTCGGCTCACTGCAAGGTCCGCCTCCCGGGTTTGATTTTTTTTTTTTTTTTTTGAGACAGAGTTTCGCTCTTGTTGCCCAGGTTGGAGTGCAATGGCACGATCTCAGCTCCCCACAACATCTGCCTCCCAGGTTCAAGCGATTCTCCTGCCTCAGCCTCCTGAGTAACTGGGATTACAGGCATGTGCCACCACGCCCGGCTAATTTTGTATTTTTAGTAGAGATGGGGTTTCTCCATGTTGGTCAGGCTGGTCTCGAACTTCCGACCTCAGGTGATCCACCCGCCTCGGCCTCCCGAAGTGCTGGGATTACAGGTGTGAGCCACCGTACCCAGCCTAATTTTTGTACTTTTAATAGAGATGGGGTTTTACAGTGTTGGCCAGGCTGGACTCCTCCTGACCTCAAGTGATCTGCACACCTTGGCCTCCCAAAGAGCAGGGATTACAGGTGTGAGCCACCACGCCTGGCCAATAGTGAGGAAGTTCTTACGAGATCTGATGGTTTAAAAGTGTGGTGCTTCCCCCTTCTCTCTCTCTCCTGCTGCCACATAAGAAGTGCCTTGCTTCCACTTCACCTTCCACAATGATTGTAAGTTTCCTGAGGCCTCCCCAGCCATGCAGAACTGTGAGTCAATTAAACCTCTTTTCTTTATAAATTACCCAGTCTCGGGTAGTTCTTTATAGCAATGTGAAAATGGACTAATACACCCAGCCCCTCCGCAGCTTCTGACCTTTGTCCTAGAGTAGGGGCCTGTCATTGTGAAGGGCACTGGTGCCCTTGCATCTGAGCTCCCAGCTTGACCACCCACTCAGTCACCTTCTTGATCTGAGCTGCAAGGCAGCCTGCTGGAAATCTCTTGGGAGACATGTTTCAGTGCTTTGCAAATGCCCATGGTAATGACACCACCACCCACCATTCTCTAAGGATCTTCTGTGTGTGGCTGTGTACTGGCACCATCTCCGATCCTTGCAAGCTCGGAACGTCAGTACAACCTTCACTTTCTGATGATGCCCAGAGAGAGGAAATGACTTGTTCAAGGTGACACACTGAACAGCTGGCTAGTGACAGAGCCAGGTCTTTGTGGCTGCAGAGACCAGGCCTTGTCCTCAGCCACCTGCCTTTCCTGAGGTTACCAACTCCAGTTCCCGGAGACAGAAAGGGGCTGGGTTTCCCCTCTGGCTTGTAACTGTCACAGCCCTTTCCCCCACTCGGGACGTCATCCTAGAGACTCTGTCTGTACCTTTTGTTGTGTTGTTCTTTGACCCCCAGGCAGGGTCACCCTCTGTCCATGGGATCAATGGCACCTAATTTTATCTGTTAAGCCGTCCTCAGCCAGAAAAGAAGGACTGGGCCTGTGCTGGACCAGGACGGAGATGACTCAGGCTCAGGTCTGCCCTCCAGGGGCTCACAGACAGAAAATGAATCATTACCAAGATGGGGGACCTGGCTCAAGAGGGAGTGTCGGGGCATCCCTGGTTAGGACACCCATGGGAGTCCAAGTGCGAACCAGGAAGGACCCAGGGGGCTCTAGCCAGCAGGGCCGGGTGCTCCCTGCCACCTCCTATCCCCATGCTGGTGTGGGGGCTGCTAGGCTTTGAACCTGTGGGAATGGTTGCAGCCACAAATGCCAGCCAGGACTGGGCAGAGGCTGGCACCCCAGCCTGGGGCTTCCCCCTGTCCTAGGAGCTCTCTCCACCTTGCCCTCCCCTGCTGCCCTGAATCCAGGGTTGGGTCACAGCCAGATGAGGGTCACTGAGGTCCCTCCAAATCCTCAGGCTGCTCTCAGCCCTTTGCTGTGTGCAGGAAGTCTGGGAGATGGGACTCCAGCCTCCTGGCTGCTGGCCCCTTGGGCTTCGAGGGCTGCCTAGAGGAAGAGTCTGGTGCTAGGGACAGGGGCAGGAGGAGGCTGGGTCCAGCAGGCAGAGCACTGGGGGCTGTGGAGAAGGCCCTGGTCGGGAGGGGGAAGACCTGGGCTCTAGATCAGTGCTGCCACTGCCGGGCCATGTGCCCCCAGGTAAGCCTCTGGGTTCTGGACTCAGTTTTCCCATCTGCAAAATGAAGCCTTTCCAACTCTTACACGTTGTGGGTTCTTTTAATTAATTTATTTAATTACATATATATATATATATTTATATATATTTTGAGACGGAGTCTCGCTCTGTTGTCCCCGAGCTGGAGTGCAATGGCGCGATCTCGGTTCACTGCAACCTCCACCTCCTGAGTTCAAGCGATTCTCCTGCCTCAGCTTCCCGAGTAGCTGGGATTACAGGCGCCTGCCACTATGCCCGGGTAATTTTTTTTGTATTTTCGGTAGACATGGGGTTTCACCATGTTGGCCAGGCTGGTCTTGAATTCCTGACCTCAGGTGATCCACCCACCTTGGCCTCCCAGAGAGCTGGGATTACAGGTGTGGGCCATTACGCCCGGCCCATTGTGGGTTCTTTAAATGAAGAGGACTCTCCTGCTCCAGGGAACTCAGAGCCCCCAGACGGGAGGAGCCTGGACAAATCCAGCCCATTTTCCTGGTGATAAGCATGCCCTCCCCCCATTTCTGGCCAGCCCCAGCATGTCCCTCAAAGCATTCACATCTTATCAACTGGAAGAGGCCCATTTCCACGTCATAACTCCTCTGAAGTTGGGATGGTCTCACCATCAAGGACATCTCAGAGCTGGTGGTGAGGCATCAGCCCTCCAGCCCCCGCCCATCAGGTGCCTTCCCCTGGGCCTGGGCCACCTGTCCCTGTGTGGTGCTCTTCCCCGGGTGCCCTCATTGTTGGGTTCCCATGGGCAGCATCTAGGGGCCCAGAAACATGTTTCCCCCAACTTAAAAAAATGTATGACTGGTCAAAGGAGGTGACACCAGCTCCGCAAGCTACTAAACAAAAGTGGCTCAATGCCACTGCAGCAGAAAGCACATGGGCCAAGGGTGGGAGACAGGCAGACAGATATCATCCTGATAAGAACTACAGTGTGATAAGAACTGGGGTAGGCCCGACCGTCCTGCTTGTGCTCAGATGCTCCAGCACCTATACAACCCCAGGGGCTTAGAGGATGCTGGGAAGAAAAGGAGGAAGAATGCCAGTTGCGGTGGCTCAGGCCAGTAATCCTAGCACTTTGGGAGGCCGAGGCGGGCAGATCGCTTGAGGCCAGGAGTTCGAGACCAGCCTGACCAACATGGCAAAACTCCATCTCTACTAAAAATAAAAAAATTGGCTGGGTGTGGTGGCTCACACCTGTAATCCCAGCATTTTGGGAGGCCAAGGTGGGCGGATCACCAGGTCAAATGATCGAGACCATTCTGGCCAACATGGCGAAACCCTGTCTCTACTAAAAATATACAAAAATTAGCTGGGCACGGTGGCACGCGCCTGTAGTCCCAGCTACTCGGGAGGCTGAGGCGGGAGAATCGCTTGAACCTGGGAGGCAGAGGTTACAGTGAGCCGAGATTGTGCCACTGCACTCTAACCTGGCGACAGAGCGAGACTCCGTCTCAAAAATAAAATAAAATAAAATAATTTTAAAAATTAGCTAGGCGTGGTGGTGGGCGCCTGTAATCCCAGCTACTTAGGAGGCTGAGGCAAGAGAATCGCTTGAACCCAGGAGGCGGAGGTTGCAGTGAGCTGAGATTGTGCCAATATCACTCCAGCCTGGGTGACAGAGTGAGACTCTTCTCAAAAAAAATAAAAATAAAAAAAAAGAAGAGATGCTGGAAGCAACTCCATGGACTCCCAGGACAACAGGGCTGAGAGGCGGCAGAGCAGGGGCCGCCTGGTGCCCGTGGAGTCTGCCTGGGCAGTCAGTGAGCATGTCAGGAAGGATTAACGGTGGGCATGCCTACAGCGCCAAGGACATGCCAGCTACCGCACGGGAGCTGCCTGTCAGCCTCCCCTGGGCTCCACTTCACCACTGCCCTACAGTCCCTCTACCCCATGGGGTTGTTGTGAGGAAACTGAGGCTCAGAGAAGCTAAGCAGGTTACAAAAGGGCACGGGGCTCAGAGGAGAGCAGAGACGCGGGCCCAGCAGCTGAGGCTACAGCTGGCGTGCTCCCACCCTCCAAGGCAGAGCCCATGGCATGTGCTTTCCAGCGGCAAGAGCTGGAAGGGAGACAATGTTTCCCAGGAGCGACATGTGCCAACTCTCCGTGAGTCCTTCCTGTGCACAGGCCGGGGCTGAGTGCTTGAGGTCTATTAACTCTCTGTCACAGTGACCCTGTGTGGTGGGCACTGTCACTCACCTGTGATGTAGTGAGGGACACAGGCACAGCAGGGTTAGGGGACTTACCCAAGGGCACACAGCTATAAGAGGCAAAGCCATAATTTGAACCTCGGCAGTCTGGCTTCCAAGCTCTCAGGCCCTCAGCGGAATTGTGTGGCCAAGTGCTGTCTTAGGATCTTGTGTGCACCCAGGTCGCCTCACTCAGTCCTTGTGACACCTCTCCCCGGTGGATGCCATTCCTCCGGCTTTACAGATAACATCACTGAGGCCTTCATTCCCAATGGCTGGGGCGGAAGAACTCTGCCCTGGACCCCAGGCCCCGCTGGGACACCCCTCGGAGGCCGGGTTAGGCGCACAGCCTGGGCCGCTCCGGCACGGACCTGTACACCCGGGCGCGCGAGCGGAACCGGGCGAGGCGGAGGCGCGGGGCACTCACCTCGGGGAAGGCCCCATCGGCGAAGACCATCAGCAGCGACGTCTTCCCGCAGCCGCCGTCGCCCACCAGGACCACCTTGACGGACCGCACGCCTGGTGGCGCCTCCTCACCCGCGGCCTGGGCCGCCGTCATCCCGGGGCCGGGCGCTGAGCGGGCGGGCGGGCGGCTGCGGCGCAGAGACCCAGACTGCGCGGGGCAGGCCCGGCGGGGCAGGAATGTGGAAGGGGCGGGGCGGCGGGAGGAAGTGCGAGCCGGGCGCCCCGAGAGCCAGGTGAGAGGCCCGGGCGGCTGGGCTGGGGCCCTTCCTCTCCAGGCCGTCTAGGTCCCTGAAGAAACGCTGCCCGAGCACCTACTGTGAGCTGGCCGCGCTGGGGCCACGGGAGGTCGGAAGGGAGAAGACAAACAGCGGGACCATGACAGTGGGGGCGGGGGTGTGCTCAGGGGCTGGGTCCCAGATCCCAGGCAGGAGCCAGTGACCTTTAGTGAATGAATGAATGAATGAATGAATGGTGCATTTCCCCAGGGGTCTCAGGACGCAGCACAACACAGGCGTTTCATGCCAGGTGGGAAGGGGATGACCCCCTTCACTGGCCCCACCAGGCCTGGCCTGCCCCCTCCCGCAGCACCAGGAAGCTCTGCTGCAGGTGGGCAGCCACCTGACACCGTGGCTGGCCACGATCTAGGGAAAGCGATAGAACCTTCCCTCTGTAAAGTGTGAGTGTTTCTTATTATTGCACCATGAGATGTCCCCCTGGTGCCCAAGGGCCCGGGGACCCTGAACTGTTTAAGACAAAATCCAGGCCCTGCCTTGAGAAGCCCACGGCTTAGAATGGTAGACACGCAGGACATCAGTGTGATCAGAACTACAACGGGAGTAGGGACAGGCAGCGGGACGGGAGTAGGGGAAAAGAGCTCCTCGCCCACGTTGAGGGAGTCAGGAAACCTTTCAGAGTCTTGAGGAAAAAGTGAAACACAGTCAGATGGGGGAGGGAAAAGGTGTTCCACCGGAGACAGCGGCACGTGCGAAGCTGCGGAGGCCGGAGCGGAATGCTGCCCCCCCACCCCGCCCCCGCAGAGGGTGAGGCTCGCTTGCACAGTGGTGCAGCATGAGGAGCTGGTGCTTGCTCAGTGGAGCACGTTGGATGCCAGCAGTAAATCCAGCATTGAACTGGGAACTCATTGTCACCTGATCTCTCCACTTCTCCTAATGGCCAGAGTTGAAATCTTTTAAAAATGGGCACAAGGGTCTTCCCAGATCTTGGACTGAGTGTTTCTATTGAAGCTTAAAAGAACAAGGGGCAGACGTCATTAGGTTCCCCCTAATTTATGCTGGTCATGACATCCCCCCTCATGGAGTTCCAAGTCAGGCAGGTGAAAAAGCACCTTCAACCTCCTTTAAACTCACTGTGGTCTAAAGAGGCAGCCAGGGCAGGAGTCACTAGGTGGAGAGGCAGAGCCCAGCTCCTTGACTCCTCTGCCCGGCTCCCGCTCCGGGCTGTGGTCTGCAGGCTGGATGGAGCCCCACTTGGAGGGAAGGATCCTCCCCAGCACAGCTCTGCCTTTCCAGGTGCCCCTTCCTCCCCGAAACTGCCACAGGGCTCGGCAGTGACTTGACACTGGGCTGGGCAGGTAGCTCCAGAGCAGGGCTCCCCGCCCCAAGGAGTGGTGAGAGGGGCCCCACCCCCTCGGATCAGCTGTCAGCATCTTCCTCCCAACTGCTGCTGTCGTCAGGCCTTGGGTGGCAAGGCTGGAAGGCAGGTGGGGCCAGACTGGGGGTGGAGGGAGCTGAGAGTCAGGCAGAGGCGTTTGGCCTTGGTTGCTATAGGGATAATCTCTGTAATGACACACTTGATGTTTGTCATGCTATACAGTTTCACTGAACATTTCCTAATAATAACAACACCCATTAGTGGATTGCAAGCCACGTGTAGGCACTGTTCCCTAGGAGGTAGGGACTCTTAGCTCCATTTCACAGATGAGGAGCCTGAGGCCCAGAGAGGCTAAGTTGTTGACTAACATCCACAGCTAGTAAGAGGCTGAACTAGAATTTGGATCCAGGCGTGACCCCAAAGCCAGGTGGTCTCCCTCCATCACGCCTCATCTGCACAATTGCAATTTCATTTAGCTCTCAGACCACGAGGTAGACCAAGCAGATGACCTGCTTCCTCCCATTTTACAGATTTGGGAACTGAGCCTCAGAGAGAGGCAGAGGGGTGTCTTAGACCAGCAGGACACAGCAAGGATTCAATCTCCTGACGTCAAGCCCCAGCCTCCGCTCCCCCACCATGCTTACGCTCCTGCGAGAGGGAGCTTAGTCACCAGGCCACAGAAATCGGCTCTGGTTGGCAGGGAATGTCCCTGAATCTCAGACATTGCTGGACCTGGGACCATACTGTTTTCCTGGAATTTATTTTTAGAGTGGTGGCCCAGGTCACACAGTCTGCCTGGCCAGGGTACTGTTTACTGTTTTAGTGTTTACTGAGGCTTCTCAGGACTTGCAGCCTGTGGGAGACTTAGGCCCCTCGAGGCCCCACCAACCCCAGGCCCAGATCTGTGGGGAGCCCAGCACCGTGGCCTACTGCCCTGAACCCTTCAAGGGCAGGGGCCAAGGCTCACCGTATCCCCTAGAGGAGTGCCTCTCTCAGGCTGGCACCCAGCTGTGGCTCAGGACGGTATGCCCAGTTGATCTCCTGGCCAGACAAACCAAAGGGACAAGAAAGAAAAAAACAGAGTGAGAAAGAGAGGAAGGAAAGACGGAAGGATGGACGGCAGAGGGGCTGGCTTAGAAGAATAAACAAACTGAAGAAATGAATAAAGGAACAAATACTTGCATGGATGACGAATACCACATGTGACATGAATGGGGAGTCTGTGGACAGGCAACCACTCTCCAGCCTCCGCCTACTCCAAGGCCCCCTGGCCTCACCCCTCTCCCCATTTTCTCACATCCCACCCCCATCCTAAGGCCAAATCCTATGCGGTCCTGATCGAGTCTCCACTGCCCTCATGTGGTCGCTCAGCTCCCTGCACAGTCATCACCTGGGGCTGCCTCCCTGCTTGGGGTTCCTGGCTTGGGGGTGTGGGGTGTTTGTGGATGGCTGAATGAAGGGGAGAGATACAGTCTTTCCCCTTGGAGTGGCTTGGCAGGGTGCACGGGCCCTGGTGTGTAGCTCCCGAAGCTCTTGGTTCCGCGTGCATCCCCTGTCCTCTGCTCTTTTTTTTTTTTTTTCCATGGGGAGTCTTGCCCAGGATGGAGTGCAGTGATGTGATCTCGGCTCACTGCAACCTCCGCCTTCCGGGTTCAGGCGATTCTCCTGTCTTAGCCTCCTGAGTAGCTGGGATTAGAGGCACCTGCCACCACGCCCAGCTAATTTTTGTATTTTTAGTGGAGACGGGGTTTCACCATGTTGGCCAGGCTAGTCTCAAGCTCCTGACCTCAGGTGATCCACCCGCCTCGGCCTCCCATAGTGCTGGGATTATAGGCGTGAACCACCGCGCCCGTCCCTGGCCCACATTCATCTGAAATACTGGATCCTAAGAGCCTTTGCCCTCAGCCTGAACTCCTCCACCCAAAGCCTTGACCTCGCATTTACTGAGCACCTACCTGTGCCGGACACTTGGCACATGTCATTTCATGCCATCCTATGAAGTATGTTCAATTCTTATCCTCCTTTGACAAGTGAGGAAACTGAGGCCCAAAGAGGTTGGATAATTTGCCCAAGGTCCCGCAGCTAGTAAGCAGAGAAGCTGGGATTTGGACCCAGGCCCTTGGGCTCCGGAGTCCATACACACAGAATGTCCAAAAGTCAGAGGTACAGGGCTCTTTAGAGGCCATCTTATCCAACACCCCCATTCTTCAGATGGGGAAACTGAGGCCTGAGAAGGGAAGGAACTTACACAGCAAGTGAGCAGCAGACTCAGCTTTACGCCAGGTGGAAACCAGAGGGCCTCTGCTCCCAAGTTTCTTTTTGTCTAGCCTGCCCAGACAGCTCCAGCCTGGCTGCCATCTAACTGGAGCCCCAGGCCACGGGGACGTGCCCTCCTGCCCTGGCCTCCTCTCCCTGCCAAACCATTATTGATCTTTCAGGTTGGGACGGAAGGGCTGATAATAGGGTGGGAGGGGTGGAGAGAGAGGAGGTCTGGTGGCCCCATCCTGGTGCTTATTAAGCCTTTTGATTTGTCCCTTTTGGGGGTCTGCAGGCACAGACAGATAGAAGAGAGGAAGGGAAGTTTGGAGCTTAGAGCTGCTGCCGACCGTGATGCAGTGGCTTGCTCTGCTTCTCCCACATGCAGGCCTAGCCCAGGCAATGCTGCTGGGCAGGTCAGAGACCTCCACACCTGTCCTCTTCGGTGGGGCTCCCAGACAGAGGGGGCCTGGGACCCTGGAGGTGTGTCCTTGGGCCCAGGGCTGGAGGAGGGGAGATGAAGGGGTGGGGAGGGATGGGACCCTGGATGTGGGGTGGCCTGAGAAAGGAGGGAAATAGGTTGGGAAGATTACAAGAGAGAAGAAGGAGGCAAGACAGCTTCTCAGAGCCTGGGTTGTCCCAGCTTCTCTCCAGGATGGCACCTCAGTTTGAGTCCTGCTGAATGAACCCAAACCTAAAGGCAGCTCAGAGGCCTCCTGCCTGCCCCTCCTGCCACTCACTGGCGAGGGTAACATTCACTGATGTCCCTCTGTGTCACCTCCAAAGCTGCTTAGAGTGACCCCTCCCTCCCTTGGACCTGCTCCTGCTCAAGACCCCACCATGGCTCCCCACTGCCAGCAGGATAAGGAGCTTCTCCCTGAGCTTGGACACACAGCCTCCACAGCCCAACCCCACCTGGCCTCTCAAGCCTCAGCCCAGCTGTGTCTCCCCAGACACTGTGACACCTTTGCTCAGGCAGTTTGAGACCCCTCTCCCTCCTCCATGTGTACAGTCCCCCTGCTGCAAAGCCAGCTCTCATGCTTCTACCTCCTCCAGGAAGCCCTCCCTGGTCTCTGCCCCTCTTACCGGCTCCTGCCACAGCCCGTCTCATTGGTTGCCTCAGAAGCTCTTCGGAGTCAGTCCCTGTGGTGGACAGGCCTCCCAGGAGCTGCTGGGAATTCTCCATCAGCTCATCCTTATCCATGCTTGATGTCCCACGCTTCTGATCTTCCAGGGGTGGGGAGGGGAAGGCAGCAGCCTGGGACCCAGCGGGGGTTTCTCTTATGCCCTCAGCCTTACATTCAAGGAGCTGGGGAAGGGGGCGTTGTTGCTGAGTGATCCAGAGCACTGGCTCTGTAGCAAAGACAGGCCGAGCTTGAGTCCCAGCTCTGTGACTTTCTGGCTGTGTGGCCTTGGGCTAGTTACCTAACCTCTCTGAGCTCTTTTCCACATCTGCAAAAAAGGGGATAGCAGCAGCACTTACTTTGAAGTGTTGCAGGCTGAACACCAGCACTCGCTGAATGTGGAAGGCCCTTCTACCCTTCAGAACTCCCCCTTGGCTCTCTTCTTCCCACCCTGCTCACTCCCTCCACCATCCCCCACTTTATTCTGGCCAAATGGATACACTGGCCAAGTTTTCGCCCCCTTGTGCCCTTTTGTATATGGGGTTCCCTGCTAGGAATGCTTCTCCTGCCGTGTCTACCTGATCTCCTCCTTCTGGCCCTGAAGCCTCAGCTGGGTGTCACCACCAGGAAGCCTTCCTTGATACTCCCCATCATCCTACTCTCTCCTGCCAGAGCTGGCTCAGTGGCCCCTCCTCTGAGCTTCCCAAGGAGTCTGATGCATTGGTCCTTCCTTTTTTTTTTGAGACCTTTTTTTGAGTCTTGCTCTGTCGCCCAGGCTTGAGTGCAGTGGCGCGATTTCAGCTCACTGGAGCCCCTGCCTCCCAGGTTCAAGCGATTCTCCTGCCTCAGCCTCCCGAGTAGCTGAGATTACAGGCACATGCCACCACACCTGGCTAATTTTTGTATTTTTAGTAGAGATGCGGTTTCGCCGTGTTGGCCAGGCTGGTCTTGAACTCCTGACCTCAAGTGATCTGCCCACCTCAGCCTCCTAAAGTGCTTAAATTACAGGTGTGAGCCACCATGCCCAGCATGCATTGGTCCCTGTGATGGTCTCCCCAGCAGAGAGAGGCCTCACTCCCCTCTGGGCACTCTGTAGCAGGAAGGAGGGTGCACAGTAACACATAGGAGGCCTGAGTCCCTGATTCCTAGAGAAGAGACGAAGGTGATTCAGGGCCGAGCAGGGCTCCCTGGAAGCCCCCTCTTCCTGCCCCAACTTTATTTTGGTTCTAGAATCATTCCAGTTGGCATACCCGGTCCCCACCACGGCTGTCCTGGGCACACAGTTAACATGTCATGCAGTTAGGGGGAGGGAGAGAGGGGAGAGGGCAGGGGGGGAGTCAGTGGCCTGCACCGCACAGCCACTGGGTTAGAGAAAGTCGGGGTCTCCCAGGCTGCAAAGCCTTGTCCAGCCATGTGTCTCCTGGCCCTGGGCTGACCTCCTGCTGTGGCCATAGGGTAGACAGCCTGGCCTTGGGGCTGGGCCATGGCTGTGTCAGGTAGGGAAAGCCACCATCCTGCCTCCAGTCCCCTGGGCCCTTGTTCTAGCCCCTCCTCCCCCCATATCACTGGGGATAATTTGTTGGCCTGGGTCTCCATAGCTCACCAGTTATGGACCAAGGAACAGGGGCAGCCAGCCTGAGGGTCCATGCTGTCACCTGTGGGTGGCCCCACCGAGCAGATGATACCCCACCTGCTGGCCTGGGTGAGCTCAGCCCTTCCCAGCACTCAGCCATGAAGGCAAGAAGCGGCTTCCTGGGACTGCGGGACACCAGGCTGGGGATGACAAGCTCTGCCTGCTCTCCTCCTACTGGGGCTGGGGGGTAACCAAAGACTGATGCCAGTAGAGGTGCAACAGCCCAGCCCCTCTGCTTCTGGGTGGGAGCCCCCAGGGTGCCCCTCGTACTCCAGGCCCCTGCCCCCACAGCGATCAGGCCAAGGCGATGGATCTTGAAGCCACACTTGCGTGGCTTCCTCCATCCAGCCTGAGCTCCCTTTCTTGATCTGGTAAGTTTCTCTGAGAACACTCACCCGCAAGAAACTACTTGCCCCAGAATCCCCCTCTCAGATTTCGCTTCTAGGGAACTCAAGCTAGGAGACCCGGTGTCGGGGGCACCCACCCCGTGATCGAGAGCCGCCTCCTTCCTAGCCTGGCATTCAGTCTTCTCCTGGCGTCCCTCAAGCCGCCCTTCCACCCTGGCCTTCCCCGGCTTCCCATCAGGCCTCAGCCACCTGGGCTGTCCTTCCGCTGCCACCCCTCCAAGGCCCAGCCCGAGAGCCTCCTTGTCCACCACATCTTCGCAGGCACGTGCAGCCCACCAAGACCTCTGCTGTCAGTATTCTCTCTGCCCCACCCCTGCCACCCCCAGGCTGAGACCTGCCTGAGGCATCTTTCTCCCAGTGGGCCTGCAAGGGCATCAACAAATGCTTGCAGGGTCTGGGCCTGGTTTGCGCAGGACTGAGCACAAGGACCTGGGTCTGGGCCTCTTTGGACCTCTGGTTCTTGCCATGGTTGAGGTCCGGGGAGTAGATTTGACAGAGAATAACTCCGGAGCCAGTGTTCCACGTGGCCGGTAGGCTGCTGCCCGGGCCTGGTCTCTTGGTCTCTTCTCCGGCCCCGAGAAAGGCCCTTCCTTGTATCCACTGCAGTGGGCTGAGAACTGCATTTGCGATGGGGAAGTTCACATCCTGCCATTGCTCAGGCTGGGCCCGCTGCCTGCGACATGCTCAGTTCTTTTCCTGCCCCTCCAAGCACAGCTCCTACCTTGTCAAAGAGGCCCTTCCTGTTTCCCTAGCCCTCAGAGCCCCCTGAGTCCACACAGCTGGGCTGCCATCAGCACTGAGCAGATCCTCCGGGGCAGGGGAGCTAGTCTTCCTGATGCCCTAAGGGCCGGGTCTTCTTCGTGTTACCCCTGCTGGTGCCTAGCACAGTGCCTGGCCCCCAAGATTCACTGGGTTCCAGAACATAGCCCAGCTCGGCAGCTGGCCTACCGGGAGGAGCAGGGTTGAGTCCTCTGTCCTGGCCCAGCCACAGCTGGTCCTCAGCAGGAGCAGACCCTGGGGCCCTGGACACAGAGCCACGCCCACTCCTCTGCTGCAATCTGGACAGAGAGACCAGGATGGGTCATGAGGACTCTGCCAGGGGACCCCAGTGTTCACGGCTCCAGCTGGGCTATGGAGAGGGCATCAGACAGAGCTGAGTGGGTACCGGGCTCCAGCAGCTCCATTGCCCAACTGGCCCGCCCTGGTTGCTAGTTTCGCCGGACAGCGTGCCACATGGACACGGGCCTGCGCAGCGTGGCCAACATCTGGTTCCAATGTGTGGTTCCCATGCCACTGGCTGACGGCCCAATGATGACATGGCCCACGTTGTCCCCACGGCCGTCGCTGCTGCTCTCAGCCACCGTCACGCGGAGAGACAGGTCCTGAGGAAGAGGCAACATGGGTGCTGAGGACCAGGGGCAGTCAGAGGTACTTCTTGGCCTCTGGGTTCAAGGTTACAAATGTCAGGCCCCAGTGGGGTGCCAGGCACAGCTCCCTGAATCCTCACCTCTGATCTAAGAGGTGAGGAGACTTGCCCCAGGTCACTCAGCAAATAAATGGCAGGCAAGAGTTTGAACTAGGCCTGCCTAGGCCCTCAGGTTTCTCTTGCTGCCTCCCTCCACAGTGGCAGCACCTGCCTGCCAGGTTTCAAATGCTGGCCTCCCCAATTCCCCCTGATCCTTTTTTTTTTTTTTTTTGAGACAGTCTCACTCTGTTACCCAGGCTGGAGTACAGGGGCATGATCTCAGCTCACTGCAACCTCCGCCTCCCAGGTTCAAGCAATTCTCCTGCTTCAGCCTCCCAAGTAGCTGGGATTACAGGCTCCTGCCACCATGCCCGGCTAATTTTTGTATTTTTAGTAGAGATGGGGGTTTCGGCCGGGCACGGTGGCTCACGCCTGTAATCCCAGCACTTTGGGAGGCCGAGGCGGGCGGATCATGAGGTCAGGAGGTCGAGACCATCCTGGCTAACATGGTGAAACCCCGTCTCTACTAAAAATACAAAAAAAAAATTAGCCCGGCCTGGTGGCGGGCACCTGTAGTCCCAGCTACTTGGGAGGCTGAGGCAGGAGAATGGCGTGAACCTGGGAGGCGGAGCTTGCAGTGAGCCAAGACAGCGCCACTGCAGTCCAGCCTGGGCGAAAGAGCGAGACTCCGTCTCAAAAAAAAAAAAAAAAAAAAAAAAAAAAGAGATGGGGGTTTCATCATGTTGGCCAGGCTGGTCTTGAACTCCTGACCTCAGGTGATCCTCCCACCTCAGCCTCCCAAAGTGCTGGGATTACAGGCATGAGCCACCACGCCTGGCCTCCACTTCCTTGCTGTGTGACCTTGGGCAGTGACTTGGGCTCTTGCTACCTCAGCTTCTCCATCTGTGAAATGGTGATGATAATATTTGTTCTGGCTGGGCATGGTGGCTCACATCTGTAATCCTAGCACTTTGGGAGGCCGAGGCAGGCAGATCACCTGAAGCTGGGAGTTCGAGACCAGCCTGGCCAACATGGTGAAACCCTGTCTCTACCAAAAATACAAAACTTAGCCAGGCATGATGGTGCTTGCCTGTAATCCCAGCTACTCGGGAGGCTGAGGCAGGAGAATCACTTGAACCTGGGAAGTGGAGGTTGCAGTGACCAAGATCACTCCACTGCACTCCAGCCTGGGTGACAGAGCAAGACTCTGTCTCAAAAAAAAAAAAAAAAAATTGGGGGTGGGCACAGTGGCTCACACCTGTAATCCCAGCACTTTGGAAGGCCGAAGTGGGTGGATCACCTAAGGTTGGGAGTTTAAGACCAGCCTGGCCAGCGTGGTGAAACCCCATCTCTACTAAAAATACAAAAATTAGCCAGGTGTGGTGGCAGGTGCCTGTAATCCCAGCTACTCAGGAAGCTGAGGCAGAAGAATCATTTGAACCCAGGAGGCGGAGGTTGCAGTGAGCTGAGTTCACACCATTGCACTCCAGCTTGGGCAACAGAGTGAGACTCTGTCTCAAAAAAAAAAAAATTGGTTTCTATCTCATAGGGCTGTTTCAGGAACAAAAAGAGTGAACTGTGTAGAACGGCACCTGCGCACAGTCAGAACATGCTAGAGGTTGCGTTGCTATTACTAATATCACCACGTTGCACTCACAACCGAGGACGGGAGAGACTGCTTGAGATGAGAGCGGGAGCTGAAACTCAAACCCAGCCCGATCTCTCTCCTCCTCCACTTCCCCCATGGTCCCAAGAAGTCTCTTGCTTTTAGAGGCTGTGGAGAAGTGGCACTATGACACCCAGGGAGAGGCAGAGGACACATGGGCAGCCTGCTCCACGAGGGTGGCAGGTGAAGGCTACGATACCCAGGATGGGCCAGAGATGCTGGGGTGTGCCCGGGTTAGGAACACTCAGAGTGAGGCAGATTCTGGGCCTTTACATGCTGGCGGGGTCCCCGGGTTGGGGGAGATTAGGCGGGTTCTGTACAGCCCTGGGGCTATGGAGGCAGGTTTTGGCTCAAGGCACAAAGGACTTTCTCATTGTCAGGAGTGCCGAGGAGGGCTAGAGATAGTGAGGGAAGGTGGTGCGAGCCCCATCCTCCGAGGCATGCAAGCAGGGCCCAAGCCCTATCTTCAAGCCCCACCCGTGGTCTGTGATGTCCCTGCTGGGAGAGGTCTCCCTGGAGCATGTCACCTTCTGAAGACCACGCGAACCTGGGGAGTTCAGCAGAACCCTGAAATGGAGCTTGGGAGATTCAGAGCAGGAACTCTGGGTGCCTGGCTCACCCCAGCTCCTCTCCAACCCTCTGCAGTTCCCTCCACCAGGAATGGTCCTCCCTCAGAGCTGGGTATCCCCTCCTGCAGGAATCCCCCCTCACCTGAGGACACTCTTAGTGGATTAGGGACTCTCCTGCCTGTCCCTTGTGAGCACCGAGAAAGCCATGCCTGTGTCCCCAGCACCCACCCTAGGGCTGGCCCCAGTGGCACTCAATAACTGCTAGAAAGTGATGGCTGGAGGCAAACCACTACCCCTGCAGGGGCCCTGAGAAGAGAAGGTGGAGAGATGCGGCAGCCCCAGAGCCCTGGGGTGACCTGGCCCCTTCCCATCCCCCAGCCCCCCTCACCTGGAGCACAATGGCTGGCACCGAGAAGATCATGGCTTCGTTGAACACCGGGTTGGGGTCATCCCTCTTCACGGCTGTCTTCTTTTTGCTCATCTTCCTCCCATCCTGCAGCAGGTACACCTTGACGAAGGGGTCTGTGGGCAGGCGGACAGGTGAGGGCCAGTGTCACACTCACTCACCACAGCCCTGCCCAGTTTGGCTCCACCCACCGACTCCAAACTCCCCAATGCTTAACTGTTGCTGTGACCTCCTGCAGCCCTGCCATTGGTCCTTTATTATTTTTCCCATTTCACAGATGAGAAAACTGAGGCTCACACAGCACGTCAGGTGAGGGCTGGGCTTTGTGCTCAGGCAGCTGCCTCACAGCCCACGCGCTCCCCTCCTAGGATGCTCTGGGGAACTCAGCAGCCCCACCGTGTTCCTTCTATAAATGGCCCGAGTGCAGACGTCAGCCCTGAGTCACCGGGCACCCGCACAGCAGAGCCTGACTCAACCGTGTGCGGCTCTGAAATAACAACTTGCCGTCTGCCCATCACCTATTGCCCACGGGGTGTCCTTGCCGCACCTGCCTGGAGCTGCCCCCCCCACCTACCCCCGCCCCAAGGCTTGCAACTCCCAATAGATCAGGCTCCCCCAGCCCCTGGTCTTCAGTTCTCTAGAATACAGCTGCCTCCACGGTCACTGCTTTGAGAGGGACTGGGGACTCCTGCAGACCTAAGGCATCGGGTCCTGCCTGGCACCCACCCCAACCCCGTGGCCCTGGTCCCTTTTTGGAGTCTGGGATACTGCCCTGTCTCTGGGAATGGAGTCTCCACCATGAATTCCAGTTCCAGGGAACAGATGCCCACCTTGGTTCCCTGCCCAGTGCCCCCAGCCCTGAGTGCGGCCTCCTGCCCTGAGACCCCCGCATCACTCTGACCCCCTTCACTCTGCCCTCACAGGGGCCCCTGCCACCCTCCAGGGATCTCATGTTTCCCCGGCTGGATTAATTGTCCCCATGCCACCCCCTATCCATCTGCATGACTTCTGGGCTCAGCAAAGCTGAGGGGGACCTTGGCACTGTGTCCCACACCTGCCGATGCCTCCGGGTGCCCACAGCACAGCAGCTGGGCCACAGCTTCCACTGAGCTACGTGGAGGAGCCGGGCTGCCGGCTGGGCCTTACCCGCTGTGGTCTTGTCGTTGGTCCAGATGAGGTTCTTGGCCTTAACCACGACCACGGTGAGGCGCTCGGCTGTGGGGAGGTAGCTGAGGGAGAGCAGGATCTCCCCCACAGCATCGGCGGCCTGGGGGACAGACAGGTGGCTCAGAGGGCTTCTCCCCACCCGACTTGAGGGGTCCAGGGAAAGCCTTGGTTGCCAGGGAAAGGCTGGGGCTTCCTTCTCCATAGAGAAGTGGCTGCACTGGGGGCCCCTTACCACAGGGCTCCAGGCAGGCAGGGACAGCCTGGAGAAAGGGACAGCCACCCACCCCCCGCCACTGCATGGAGCATGCCCCACTCCTCCCTTCCACCGGGAGGGTCCTGCCTGGGGCGGAGGGTCAGAGGCGGCCTGTCAAATGTAGCTATCAAATGTAGTTTCGTTCCCTCATTGCAGGCCAAGGAAAACACTGCGGTAGTAATACACAGCGATCAGAGTGGAATGGAATTAGATTCTTTGATTAAACAACAATGATGTTCTGTGAGCATTCCTACAATTATAAAACTAAAGTGCAGCTTGGTGTCTGTCTGAAATCATCCCCTCTAAGGCTAGAGGAATGTTTCTCTAGCAGAAGCTCAGTAGGGGTAGAACCTCTGAAGCTTTGGTGGCAAAGCAGCAGACGAGCTGTAAACAGTGGTCGGGATGTTTTTGAAATTTGCCTGCAGCAAGCAGTTTCCTCGGATGTGGCTCAGGTCTTCTTCTCTGCTCTCCTAATGATGATGGGGCTCAGGCTATTGCAGAGGATGATGAGGATGATGGAGTCCCTTCCTGGAAGTGTATGTGTGTGCACGCTCTTCCGAGGTGGACGAGCAGGCAAGTCACTTACCTTGTTCTGGTCCTGTAAATAGAGCCAGCCACTGAAGGGCTGCAGCGGGAGGTCAAGCACAGAAAGCTTCAGCTCCACCACCCCCGTGCTGACGTTGCGCTCATCCTCATCGATGCCAAATACAGAAAACCGCAGGCTCTTCTCCTCCAGGGCTGTGGGATCCAGGGGGATGGAGAACTTCTCATCAAAGAAGATGGAGTAGGCATTTCTCTGGATCTGCAGGAGAAAAGGCCATGGAGGGCGCTAGGGGCCTGAGAGGCCACAGCAGGGAGACAGCACTGGACAGGGAGTCCAGAGGCCCAGGCTAGAGTCCTGGCTCTGTTGTCTTGACACCCTCAATGCCAATCTTTCCTTTGGTGGCTCAGCCTTGAAGGTTTAAAAGCCTCCTGTCCTCTCCTCAGTGGCGGCCAATCTAGTGGCCTGGCGTTTTAAGCTCCCACAATCTGATCCCAACTAATTTCCGTCCTCAGTGCCCGTGGCACCCCAGAACCCTCAAGATGCCCTGGACGAGCTGGTCTCCATCTTTCTTGCATCTGTTCGAGTCTAGCCCTAGGCCAGGCAAGCAGTGGAGTGGGACAGTTGCCTGTGGAGTCACGAGCCACTGACGTCCCAGGTTCCTGCAGAGCCTGGCCCAGGACTGTTTGAACACCGTAGGCTGGATGGGTGGATGGAAGGGAGGACTAGGCGAGGTTGGGCCAACTCGGTTTCCAAGCCCAGTCCTGCCTGGTGGGCACCACTGACCTCCTCCCAGGAAGTTGTGGGCAGGCCCCCTGGGAAGGTGCATTGCGGGCTCTGTCTCTGGGGAATAAGGGGGATGCTTTAGTCACTGCCTGGTGATATTTAAAGAAAGGCGCTCTCATCCCTGGACCCTGCCTGAGGCTGGGGGGCTGCCTAGCCTGGGGGCAGCACCCCCTGGTGGGATTGCCCAGGCTGTTAAGCTGGGAAGCTTGCCTTCCCTGGAATAAATCCCCCAGCGCCACCGGCCACCATGACCACACTCTTCTGTCACTGCCTGGGTGTGGGAAGGCTCCTCGCACAGTGCTCACGTTCCCTACACAATCCCCTGCTCTTGAAGGGCTCCTTGCCCCCAAGTGATAAAGCCCACCTGGCCTCCTGACCTCCTGACCTCGGCATTCAGGCTCTTCATGATCTGGCTCTGCCTCTCCCTCCTTCGGCTAAATTAGCCTCTCAGCTGTCCCCTGCTCATGGGGGCCTGGGCTCCCCAACCAGCCATTCTCTGAGCGTGTGCTTTATGTGCACATGGGTGGAGGAGGATGGAACCCTGGGTTTGAGTCCTGGACCTCCTGCTTCCTTACTGGCGTTGTCTTGGGCAAAGCACTTTCCCGAGCCTCGGTTTCCTCATCTGTAAGATGCCCTAACAATCTGTCCTGTTGGCGTCAGGGGCTAATGAGAGAATCATGGATGCACTGGGCTCTGTGAACCAGGTTCTCAGCACACATCAGGCTGTGGCGGCTGCTGTCTGCCAATGTCTCTCCTCAAGGAATGCGTCCCCAAACCACAGGCAACATGGCTGGGCACGACAGGAGCTCTGCACGGTCCTGAGAGCCAACCTGCTAGGCACTGACCCAGGCTGGGCTAAGAACTTCACATACATTAACCCATCTCTTCCTCAATAACCATGATGCCCATTTGACAGATGGGGAAACGGAGTCATGGGGTACTAAACTGACTTAACCAAGATCATACTGCTAGGAAGAGGTGGAACAAGGATTTGAACCCAGGCAGTCAGGCTCCAGGGTCCTGCTCCTAATCGCCCACTATACTGCCTCTCAGAAGCTGGGCCACCCCAACTTGATGCCCTAAACACGCCCTCCTCGCACTCTGCTCACAGGCTATCCCCACCCTTCAGCCCAGATGTGGCTCTGTTGGCTTGGTTCTGTGAGTTACAGCGATGTGTGGAGGGTAGCCTAAGGGACTGGGCACCTTCCCTGCCCCTCACGCTTTATTCTCCACCCTTCCCCCCTCTGCTCTGGCCCTGAGAGTTGACCTCCATGGGCTGTGTCAACAGGTTCCCTTGGCCTTTGGCTTCTGGTTGGGTCAGCCAGTGGAGGTCACCAGAAGGAAACTGGAGGGGGAGGGAAGTCCCTCTCTGCAGTATTGTTGCGGGATGACCATGTCCCTTGGCCAAAGGGCAGAGCTTCCACCAAGGTAGCCCTCTCCACACAAGGTGGCCCTCTATCCTTTTGGGCCCAGTAACCTCACCTTCCCCTCACCCCTTCAGATCTAGAGTGGGACAGCCCCTCCTGTTACGCCCTTCCAGGGTACCATGCCATCCCTGAGGCTGCCCCACACCCCATCCGCACCACTCTAAATGGTCTTATTATTTTCATTTTTAAAATTTATTTATTTATTTATTATTTTTGAGACGGAGTCTCACTCTGTCGCCCAGGCTGGAGTGCAGTGGCATGATCTCGGCTCATTGCAACCTCCGCCTCCTGAGTTCATGCAATTCTCCTGCCTCAGCCACCTCAATAGCTGGGATTACAGGTGTGCACCACATGCCCTGCTAATTTTTGTATTTTTAGTAGAGACGGGGTTTCACCATATTGGCCAGGCTGGTCTCAAACATCTGACCTCAGGTGATCCACCTGCCTCAGCCTCCAAAGGGCTGGGATTACAGGTGTGAGCCACTGCACCTGGCCCTATTTTTATTTTTTGAGATAGGGTCTCATTCTGTCACCCAGGCTGGAGTGCAGTGGTGCAATCGTGGCTCATTGCAGCCTCAACCTCCTGGGCTCAAGTGATCCTCCCATCTCAGCCTCCCAAGTAGCTGGGACTATAAATTAGCTGGCACTACCACAGCCAGCTAATTTATTTTATTTTATTTTATTTTTTTTGGTAGAGAAGGAGTTTTGCCATGTTGCCTAGGCTGGCCTTGAACTCCTGGTTAGGCTCAAGCAATCCTCCCACCTTGGCCTCCCAAAGTGCTGGGATTACAGGCATGAATCACTGTACCTGGACAGTCCTGTTTTATTTTTATTTATTTATTTATTTTGAGACAGAGTCTCCCTCTGTCGCCCAGGCTGGAGTGCAGTGGCACGATCTCGGCTCACTGCAAGCTCTGCCTCCCAGGTTCACGCCATTCTCCTGCCTCAGCCTCCCGAGTAGCTGGGACTACAGGTGCCCGCCACCACGCCCGGCTAATTTTTTGTATTTTAGTAGAGATGGGGTTTCACCGTGTTAGGCAGGATGGTCTCGATCTCCTGACCTCATGATCTGCCCGCCTCGGCCTCCCAAAGTGCTGAGATTAGAGGCATGAGCCACCACAACCAGCCCCAGTCCTGTTATTAAGCCCTCCCCAAATTAGCCTTCTTAAGCATGTCATCCCTTTTCTGCCGGGACCCCATGTTGACACAGGGCAGATGTGGACAACGACAGTTGCCACATTCTGTATTCACCTGGTGGGACCGCTAAGAACTCCACACAATGGGAGCCTTCAGGTGGAGCCCCCCACCTCCCAGCTCTGTACAGAGCTCCCTCTACAGTCTGAAGCTTCAGCTCTGGGATCAGCATCCATACTTGCACTCTACTGCCTTTCTGGGATCCTGCCGGGCCCCACCGCCATGCCTGCCTGGGAGGCATCTAGTGAGCCCAGAGCACCCTTCTGCCCCGCCCTGAGCCCCACTTACCCGAGAAATGCCCACGATCTGCTCGTCCGGCAGCAGGCTGACGCGCATGAAGCAGGACTCGAAGCTGGCCTCCTCCCGCTCCAGGAGGTCCTTGCCCTGCATCACCGCCACGTTCAGCGTGTGGGAGGCAGTGTCGTACTCCATGCTCACCTCCACCTGGCCCAGTGTGAAGTCCTGCCCAAAGGTGTTGCTCACGGAGGAGATGGAGTTCAGGGAGTCGGCCGACTGGGACTTCCGGAGGGTCCCATAGGGGGCCAGGTCCAACTCCCGGCCCATCAGCTCCAGAGGCCCCAGTTCACTGATGCTCTCAAAGGTGTCCTCAATGCTGAGACTGCCTTTGCGGCTGGGTGGTCCCCGCGTGCTGGCCCGCTGGGCATTCCAGGCAGGCACTCTCTAGGGGTGAGAAAGAGGGACGTGGGAGCATCATGGGGGCCATAGGCAAGGTCACTGGGAGACGGCAAAGAGATGAGTAAGGCCTGTTCATTCTCGAATCTCCAAGTTCCCCTTTCACAGAAGCCCTGCATCCCTTAGCTAGGAAGGTCGCTGTTTAATATTATTTCATGTCACTTATTTATTTACTCATTTTTTTGAGATGGAGTTTTGCTCTTGTTGCCCAGGCTGGAGTGCAATGGCGTGATCTCGGCTCACTGCAACCTCTGCATCCAGGGTTCAAGTGATTCTCCTGCCTCAGCCTCCTGAGTAGCTGGGATTACAGGGGTGCGCCACCATGTCTGGCTAATTTTGTATTTTTAGTAGAGATGGGGTTTCTCCATGTTGGTCAGGCTAGTCTCGAACTCCCAATCTCAGGTGATCTGCCCACCTACCTCGGCCTCCCAAAGTGCTGGGATTACAGGCGTGAGCCACCGTGCCCAGCCTAGGGGTATATGAAACATTTGTTTTTTTTGAGAGAGTCTCACTCTGTCACCAGGCTGGAGTGCAGTGGCTCGATCTCCATTCACTGCAACCTCCCCCTCCCAGGTTCAAGCAATTCTCCTGCCTCAGCCTCCTGAGGACCCGGGATTACAGGTGCACACCACCACGCCCGGCTAATTTTGTATTTTTAGTAGAGACAGGGTTTCTCCATGTTGGCCAGGCTGGTCTGGAACTCCCGACCTCAGGTGATCTGCCTGCCTCGGCCTCCCAAAGTGCTGGGATTACAGGTGCGAGCCACCACTCCTGGCCAACTATTTATTTATTTATTTATTTATTTATTTTTTGAGACAGAGTCTCGCTGCATCGCCCAGCCTGGAGTGCAGTGGCATGATCTTGCCTCACTGCAACCTCTGCCTCCTGGGTTCAAGCAATTCTCCTGCCTCAGCCTCCCAAGTAGCTGGGACTACAGGCGCCTGCCACCACACCCAGCTAATTTTTGTATTTTTAGTAGAGACAGGGTTTCAGTATGTTGGCCAGGCTGGTCTTGAACTCCTGACCTTGTGATCTGCCTGCCTCAGCCTCCCAAAGTGCTGAGATTACAGGCGTGAGCCACCACGCCCAGCCCTTCAACTTTTTCTTAATATGTATATTTGTAGGGACAGAATTCCATACATCAAGTTGTCGATTGCAGTGATGTTTAGAAAAAGGAAAAGCAGCTAGCAATCTAAGTGTCCCAGAAGAAGAATGGGTAAGAATACCAGAAGCCAGCTACTCAAGAGATGATGGAGCAGCCACAAGGGAAGTTTACAACACAGGAAGCTTTCATGTTGGGTGACACTCACCCAAATATTAATTTTTTTTTCCCTTGGCCAGGCACGGTGGCTCATGCCTGTAAAACCAGCACTTTGGGAGGCTGAGGTGGCGGATCGCCTGAGGTCAGGAGTTCAAGACCAGCCTGGCCAACATGGTGAAACCGTCTCTACTAAAACTACAAAAATTAGCCGGGTGTGGCGGCATGCACCTATAATCTCAGCTACTCAGGAGGCTGAGGCAGGAGAACTGCTTGAATCCAGGAGGCGGAGGTTGCAGTGAGCTGAGATTGCGCCGCTGCACTCCAGACTGGGCGACAGGGTGAGACTCTGTCTCAAAAATAAATAAATAAATAAATAAATAAATAAATAAATAGTTTTATTTTCCCTAAATTGACCTTGGGATTTGAGAAAACAAGAACCTTTTATTCCATAAGCATCTTCCATGCCTTCATTACCATAATTTTTTTTTTTTTTTTGAGACAGGGTCTCACTTGCCCAGGGTGGAGTGCGATCACAGCTCTCTGCAGCCTCAACCTTCTGGGCCCAAGCGATCCTCCCCCCTCACTCTCCCAAGTGTCCAGGACCACAGGTGTGACCTACTACACCTGGCTTTTTTTTTTTCTTTTTTTTTTTTTCTGAGGGGGAGCCTCGCTCTGTCGCCCAGGCTGGAGTAGAGTGGTGCGATCTCTGCTCACTGCAAGCTCCACCTCCTGGGTTCAAGCGATTCTCCTGCTTCAGCCTTCTGAGTAGCTGGGATTACAGGCATGCACCATCACACCCAGCTAATTTTTTGTATTTTTAGTAGAGACGGCATTTCTCCATGTTGGTCAGGCTGGTCTCGAACTCCCAACCTCAGGTGATGCCCACCTCAGCTTCCCAAAGTGCTGAGATTACAGGCATGAGCACTGTGCCTACCCACACCTAGCTAATTTTATTTATTTATTTATTTATTTATTTATTTATTTATTTTGGTAGAGATGAGATCTTGCTTTGTTGCCCAGGCCAGTCTCCAACTCCTGGGCTCAAGCGATCCTTCTGCCTTGGCTACCCAAAGTGCTGGGATCACAGACATGAGCCACTGCACCTGGCTGCTTACCATAATTTTCATGGTTCCCCAATTTTGCATTGAGCAGATAATCATAATTTAATTTACTCTTCCCCACTGTTGGACATTTATGTTGCTTGTACTTTTTCAGAAATACAAATACTGCAGTACTGAATAGCCTTCTTAAAATCCTGGCTCAGAGGACACAGTCCCTTGAAGGTTTTTTGTTTTTGTTTTTGATGGAGTCTCACTCTGTTGCCCAGGCTAGAGTGCACTGCCACGATCTTGGCTCCTAGGTTCAAGCAATTCTTGTGTCTCAGCCTGCTGAGTAGCTGGAATTACAGGCGCCTGCCACCATGCTCAGCTAATTTTTTTGTTTTGTTTTGTTTTATTTTGTTTGAGACAGAGTTTTGCTCTTGTTGCCCAGGCTTGGAGTGCAATGGCGTGATCTCAGCTCACTGCAACCTCCACCTTCTGGGTTCAAGCAATTCTCCTGTCTCAGCTTCCCGAGTAGCTGGGATTACAGGCATGCGCCACCACACTTGGCTAATTTTGTATTTTTAGTAGAGACCAGGTTTCTCCATGTTGGGCAGGCTGGTCTCAAACTCACGACCTCAGGTGATCCACCAGTCTTAGCCTCTCAAAGTGCTGGGATTACAGGCATGAGCCACTGTGCCCGGTCAATTTTTGTATTTTTTTTAGTAGAGACAGGGTTTCACCATGTTGGCCAGGCTGGTCTTGAACTCCTGACCTCAAGAGATCTGCCCGCCTCGGCCTCCCAAAGTGCTGGGATTACGGGCGTGAGCCACCACACCAGGCCTGGAAAATTTTTTTCAAATTTACATTCCCCCAACAGCGTGTGAGATAGTCCCCCCAGACACCCTAAGTGAGTGAACATGAGGGACTCTAATCTGGTAATAGATTCTGGCTGTGCTCTCTGGAACTCTACATGACATTCGGAAAACTCTCTGCCATGTGTTAAATGATAAAACTTTCAGCAAGGTATAGTGAGAGCCCTAAGAATGTGTGTGCCCCCAATACAGCAGTTACACATCTGGACATCCATCCAAAGCACACTATCCCAAATGAAGACAAAGTTTTACCTACAGAACATCCACTGCATTATTTATCATGACATTTAGTCAATCATGGCACATGTACAAAAAAGAATCTCATACAGCCATTAAAATAATGTTTATGATGTGTGTTCAACAGTATATCAAAATGCTTCAGCTACAAGGGAGGTGAAAAGAGAAGGACCTGGCACGGTAGTGCATGCCTGTAATCCTAGCACTTTGGGAGGCCAAGGCGGGCAGATCTCTTAGCCCAGGAGTTCGAGGCCAGCCTGGCCAACATGGTGAAACCCCGTCTCTACAAAAAATAAAAAAAAAATTAGCTAGGCATGGTGGCTTGGGCCTGTAATCCCAGCTACTCAGGAGGCTGAGGTGGGAGGATCGCTTGAACCCAGGAGGTGTAGGTTGCAGTGAACTGAGATTGTGCCAGAGCACTCCAGCCTGGCTGACAGAGTGAGACCCTGTCTCAAAAGAAAGAAAAGAAAGGAAGGAAGGAAGGAGGGAGGGAGGGAGGGAGGGAAAGAAAGAAAGAAAGAAAGAAAGAAAGAAAGAAAGAAAGAAAGGAAGGAAGGAAGGAAGGAAGGAAGGAAGGAAGGAAGGAAGGAAGGAAAGAAAAGAAAAGAAAAGAAAAGAAAGAAAGGAAGGGCCGGGCGCGGTGGCTCACGTCTGTAATCCCAGTACTTTGGGAGGCCAAGGCGGGCGGATCACGAGGTCAGGAGATCGAGACCATCCTGGCTAACATGGTGAAACCCCGTCTCTACTAAAAATACAAAAAATTAGCTGGGCATGGTGGCGGGTGCCTGTAGTCCCAGCTACTCAGGAGGCTGAGGCAGGAGAATGGCGTGAACCCGGGAGGCGGAGCTTGCAGTGAGCCGAGATTGCCCCACTGCACTCCAGCCTGGGCAACAGAGCGAGACTCCGTCTCAAAAAAAAAAAAAAAAAGAAAAGAAAAAGAAAAAGAAAAAGAAAAAAAAGAAAGTAAGAAGAAAAATATATCAGGTTACTCTGGGCATTTGGCCTATGGGGTAGCCCTGCTCTGCAAGGAGCATTTTGAAAAAAAAAAAAAAAAGAAAGAAAGAAAACGTTAGCAGTTAAAAAGCAGGCCAGGTGTGGTGACTCACGCCAGCACTTTGGGAGGTCGAGGCAGGTGGATCACCTGAGGTCAGGAGTTCGACACCAGCCTGACCAACATGGTGAAACCCCGTATCTACTAAAAATATGAAATTGGCCAGGCATGGTGGTGCACGCTTATAATCCCAGCTACTTGGGAAGCTGAAGCAGGATAATCGCTTGAACCCAGGAGGCAGAGGTTGCAGTGAGCCCAGATCATGCCATTGCACTCCAGCCTGGGCAACAAGAGGGAAACTCTATCTCAAAAAAAAAAAAAAAAAAAAAAAAGTTGAAGATGTGAAAGGGGAAGAGGGAGGTCTACTCCCCTTTCAAAGGAGGACATTAACCAGGAGGAGGTGGTGACGGAGGGAGAGGGGCTGAAGACTGATCTGAGTGGATGGTAGGGGCATGGGGTTGCACTCGCTGTGCACCTGCAGGAGCAGAAGCCTCACCTTCTCCCTGGCCTCTGCGCAGCTCTCGCCGTACTTCTGCTGAAGGTACCTGTAGTCGTAATTGGGGAACGGAGAGGGGCTGGGGAAGCTCCCCGACGTCCAGAGCTTCCACAGGCTCACAGCTGCGATTCCCAGCAGGGCCAGGGCCCCTGCAGCATAGACACCCACCTCCCAGCCAGGGGGGCTCTTGATGACTGCAAGGCAAGGGCAGCCTCTCATTAGGGCTTCCTAGTGGATACAGACCCCCACCCGGGGAGCAGCACCGACTTCTACATTGAATGGATATTTATTGAATGCCTACTATGTGCTAGGTGCTGGAGATCCCATGTCGAACAAGACATACACTTTCCTGTGTTGCTTGGGACCAGAAGTGTTTTGGGTTTCAGATTTTTTCTGATTTGGGGATATTTACATTACACTTATAGTCTGAGCATTCCTAATCCAAAAATCTGAAATCCAAAATGCTCCAATAGACATTTCTTTCAGCATCATGTCGGCCCGCAAAATATTTCAGATTTTGGATTTGGATTTTTGGATTTAGGATGATCAGCCTGTGTACATAATATCCAGAAAAGGCAAATCTATGTAGACAGAATTGACACCAGTCTATACAGTAGATTAGTGACTGTCAGGGGCTGGAAAGTTGGGAGAAATAGGGTTTCTTTGGGGGATGATGAAAATATTCTAAAAATAGATTGTGTGGTTGGTTGCACAATATACTAAAAACCATTAAATTGTACACTTTAAGTGGGTAAATTGCTTGGTATGTGAATCTTTTCTCTCTGTGAATCTCTTACCAAAACAAACAACTCAGCCACAAGTGAGAGGTGGCTGCAGGCTGTGCAGGGCTTGGAGACAAATCCAGATGCTCAGAGGCTTTTGCTCTGCTGATGAGTCAATAACCTTCTCTCTCTGAGCCTTGCTGCCCCCGAAAACGGAAATTAACAACCTCCTCAACTGTGGCAGGCGAGTCCTCCCCAGCACCGCGCTTGGCACGCAGCAGGACCATACACGTTCCAAGGTTTTGCCTCCCTCTCCCAGGAAACCTGGCTCTGCTTCCCCAAAGGAAGCCAAGGAGACACTGGGATTCATTGTGCAGGTCACAGTGCTGGCAAATACAGTTCTCTAAACTGCTCTTAGTACTGCGTCTGTCTCAATTCAAGTGAGGAAACTGAGGCACAGAAAGGCTAAAGAACTTGCCCAAGGTCACAGAGCCCAGAAGGGGTGGTGCTGGGACCCCAACTCTAGCAGCCAGACCCCAAAGCAAGTGGGGTAACCACTGCCCCACCCGGCCTCGACCCCGCACAGTTCCCTGGAAGCAAGGTGGGGAGAGGTGCGAAGAGCACCTCAGGGCATGAGATTGATCACTGCACATCCATTGAGCACCCATCCTGGTGTGCCAGCAGCCTATGGGCATGGGTAGCCAGGGTTGAGTCAGCCCCAGGCCAAGTCCCTGTCCTTAAGTAGCTGGCAGTCTAGGGGGTGGGGTGGGGCAGGCAAATAAATAGACAGATCAGGGTACTGGGAATGGGAGCAGCCCAGGAAGGCCTCCTGGAAGAGGGACATGTAAGCTGAGATATGAGGAGGGGCAAGAAGTGTGCCAGGCCACGGCAACAGGAGCTGGAAGTCAAGAGCGGGAAGAATAGAGGGGTATAAAAAGCCCAGAGTGGGCAGAGTGGCCGGGGGAGGGAGGGAGGGGACCCGGGGCTAGAGGAGTTCCTCATCACTGCTGCCCTGAAGCCCGGCCACACAGGAATGGATCACACAGTGGGGCAGCCCCTCTAGCCTGCCCTGCTGTCTGCTGAGCTGCCTTTGGCCAGAGTCCACAGCACTGACTCACTGGCCTCCAGCCCTGACGCCCTCCCAGCACTGAGCACCCTGTAAGGCTCTACTTTCTTTTCTTTTCTTTCTTTTTCTTTTTTTTTTTTTTTTTGAGATGGAGTTTCACTCTTGTTGCCCAGGCTGGAGTGCAATGGCACGATTTCGGCTCACTGCAACCTCTGCCTCCCCGGTTCAAGCGATTCTCCTGCCTCAGCCTCCCGAGTAGCTGGAATTACAGGCGTCCACCACCATGCCCAGCTAATTTTTTGTATTTCTAGTAGAGATGGGGTTCCACCATATTGGCCAGGCTGGTCTCAAACTCCTGACCTCAGGTGATCCACTCGCCTTGGCCTCCCAAAGTGCTGGGATTACAGGCGTGAGCCACCGCCCCTGGCCAAGGCCCTACTTTCTAAAAGAGGAAAACTGAGACCAAGGAAGGGTAATGAGCACATCTGTTTCTCCACTCAAGGCCAGCGGTGAGAAACGGCAGAGCCGGGCACCGGTACCTTGGCTTCCAGGCAAGTCACCCAGCACCTCTGGGCTTCATACTCCGTTTGGAAAATGCGGATGACAAGAACATCCCCCATCCAGCGGTCCCACTCTGGTGAATTTATTCTAAAGGGAAAATCCCAACAGGTTTTGTGTCTGGGATGAGTCATCGAGGCTGTATTTATAACAGCAGAAATCTGGAGACAGCCTGAAGGTCCCACCGAGGGGGCCAGTGAGGGCTGGTGGCTCTGTCTTGGGAGGAAATGTCACTGGCCTTCGAGAATGACAATTGAGGTCATTAGGATGGCACTGTGGCAATGCAGAGACACATTTCTGGCATTGTTAAGAGAGGAAAAAAATGAATCCCCAACATGGTCTAATCACGCAATCGTGTGACGTGCGCAAAAGTCACGCAGCACATAGTCACGGGCTGGGCAGACCAGGGAAAAACAGAAGGAATGGGTAACGACGGTGGAAGGGCTGTGAAGAAACCCTCCTTCCTCCTGCCGCTGTTGACAGAATGTCACCTGTGGGCTACGTATGCCCATGACAAAGAGATCCATGGAGGCTCCCGGGCCCCGCCCTGCTAAGGCTTGGTGTATTCTGGGAGTCCTGGGAACAGGGTCACAGCAGGGCTGGGTAGTAGCCGGGGGTTGGCTAGAGGGCAGGACCAGAGGCCCAAGGTCTCTAAGCAGGCTGTGGGCACAGCCAGGTGGCAAAGCAGGTTCAGGCTCCCCTGTGCCTGAGGCTCTTTGGGAGCTGAAGGGTGGAGCCCATGCCCGGGGTGGCAGAAAAGGGGGCAGGGCTGGGGGCACAGAAGGAAAAGCCCCAGGAAGGTGACATGAAATGACAATTCGCATTCATTTATTGATTTTATGGAATACCAGTCTTGGGGTGATATTGGAAGTGGGGTCTAGGCGAAGACCAGAAACGAGTGGGATGAGGAGGAGGAGGAATAGCTCCCCTTATGAAGCACTTACTATTTATGATTTGCCAGGCCCTGTTCTAAGCACGTCACGTATATTAACCCATGGAGTCAAGGCAATCCTGTGAGGTTGGTTCTATTGTTTTCCCCATTTTACAGATGAGGAAGCTGAGGGACGGAGGAGAGATCTGCCTCCAGACAGACTGGGTCCAGATCTGCACCTATAACCCCACCACCAGGTGCCAGGACTCAGGCAGGCAGTGGCAGAGGCAGGGAAGGACTCCAGGACAGGGGAACAGCGTGTGCAAAGCGCTGCCACTGGAAGAGTGGCGTTTGCACCATGCTGGGCGCTGCACAACCATCAGCTCTCTAAATCTTCCCAACAGCCCTGAGGCAAGCCTCATCTTTTGCATTTTACAGATAAGTAAGTAGAAGTTCCGGTTTCACCACTTGCCCAAGGCCATACGGGTAGGGGGCAGGGTGGGGGCAGGGGGGCAAGACCTGTGAGCCTGAGGGTGAAAAGTGCGGCTCCCTGGCTCACTTTTGGGAAAAAGTGATGGGAAAGGTGATTCCCGGGCACACCCTTCAGATCAGCCCTGGGCTCCCCAGGGGCTGCGTTAGGGTAGGGGCTAGAGTGATGGGGAGCACGGGGCTGGGAGTCAGGAGACCTGAGTGCACATCCTGACCCCGTTACTCTCTAAGCCTCACTTCTCCCATCTGTGAATGAGGAGAGGAACAAAGGGAGAAAAGACGGCTGGTATGTTTCTTCTCTGACCCCATCCGCTGTCCATGGGGAGGGCTGCAGGAGTATGTCTGGAGTCTCGAGGCATCTCCCAGCCAGCTCCCATCTCCCTGCTGAGGCAAAGGGTGACAAGGTGGGAGCCATGGCCCTGGACTGGGTGGCCTCTTTTTTTTTCTGATGAGACGGAGTCTCACTCTGTTGCCCAGGCTGGAAAGCTGGAGTGCAGTGGTGTGATCTCAGCTCACTATAACCTCTGCCTCTGGACTGGGTGGTCTCTGAGTTTAACGCCCCATGAATCTAACCTTGACCTTCCTGGGCTTATTTTCCCTTGGCTACTTGACAGTCTCCACAGAAGGCCTCGGTGAGTGGATTCCGAGTCACAGGCTCATCCCCAGGGTGCAGCAGGATGAGGGTCTCCCCGGGGACCCTTTCAAGTGAAAGAGAGAAAGTCACTTTAACAAGAAGGAGCCACTTGAGTGGCAAGATGAGGAGACCTCAGACTGGGCCAAGCTTGATGTCCCCAGGGCGGGCTGTCTGACCTTGGGCAAGTCACTGACTGTCCTTGACAGTGAAGACATTAATGGCAAGGACTAATTATTCATGTCCCACAGACACCTCCCACCCAGGCCTGGTGTAAGGGTCTCGCAGGCGTGATCCAGGAGGGGTTTGCCCTGGGCACTCACCGCTCAGATGGTATTCTGCCACATCCACAGCCATGATGTCTGCTGCAGTGACTGTGACTGGAAGGGAAAAGAGAGTGAGAGGAGAGGGCTGCAGAGAGTCAGCGTCCCGCTCCTAGGTCCTGGCCTCCTGGCACCCACGTGCCTGTCATCCAGAGCTTACACTCAGCTATAAGGGGAGTGCCACCAAAGGGAGGCTTGGCATTTTAAGAAATGATGTTTAAAGCTCTTTTCAAGCATTCTAAGACTCTTCTCAGGATTGCCAGATAAAACACAGGATGCCCAGTGGCATGTGAATTTCAGATTTTGTTTTGTTTTGTTTTGTTTTTTCAGATGGAGTCTCTCTTTGTTGCCCAGGCTAGAGTGCAGTGGCGCGATCTCGGCTCACTGCAGCCTCTGCCCCTGGGTTCAAGTGATCTCCTGCCTCAGCCTCCCAAGTAGCTGGGATGACAGGCATGTGCCACCCCACCCGGCTAATTTTTGTATTTTTTGTAGAGATGCGGTTTCACCATGTTGGCCAGGCTGATATCGAACTCCTGGCCTCAGGTGATCCACCAGCCTTGGTCTCCCAAAGTGCTGAGATTACAGGTGTGAGCCACAGCGCCTGGCCAAATTTCAAATACGTTTTTAATATGTGTGTCCCAAATATTCCACAGGACATATTTACGCCAAAATCTTTTCCATTGTTCATCCAAAACATCAATGCTCCTGGGTGTCCTGTTTTTGTATTTGCCAAATCTGGCAACCCCAGCTCATTTCCATCCTAACAACATCAGGCTGACCAGCGGCGACGCAGTAGGTGACTCATTAGAGCAAGGCCCCCCTGGCTTGAGCCAGAGCCTTCCTTCAAATGCTTCCATTTTGATTGGGAAGGAAAGGCTGCGTGTCTGCAATATTCTATTATCAGTCCTTTCACTGCTTGGCATGGTTTCTTCCCCACCCCATCCTCCACCCCCAGCTTTTAGGAATGACTGAGGCTTAAGTTGTTCTAGAAAGGTCTGGGAGCTCGTACAACCCATTACCTGAACCTAGGTGACTGCTCATTGTTTTATTAGTGTGCTAAGAAGTAAATCTGGCTCACAGATGTGTTCTAAGTGGGTGTATGTGGGAGTCCTGGAAAAAGGAATTTGGGATGGGCTGCACTGATCTCAGGTCAAGGGCACCGAGGGCCAGGATAATGCCCACCCCAATTTCTGGATTCCCTTGTAGTTCAGAGAGGTGGTTACACATGGTAAGCCTGCAGGCCTGGTGCAGGGTGGTAGGGCAAGGGGAAGGGGAGGTAAGAACTGCAGAGTGATGGCCTGGCCCAAGGGCAGCTGCATTTTTGCCCCAGCAGGAATGCCAACCACCGTGGCTTGATCTTCTGGCACTTTAAAGAAAAGCCAGATACCTGAATTTTTTATGTGCCATTTCCTGAGTTTTAAAGGTAGCAACCAATTTGCAAAAAAATGCAAACACCATTCAGACGCAGTATAAAAAGTCCTTGGGGAGTGTGACCCACCAATTCCCAACCCCTCGGAGCATCCTGTAGGTTCCCTTTGGGACTGGGGTCGAATCAGAGGGTAAAGCTAAGGCCCTCCACATTTTCAGGAATTCCGGGGTTCTCCCCAGTCTGTGGCTTTGGAGTCAAGAAGCTTCGGTGCCATGCTCCAGTCAGGGTTATCCAGCACATTTGGGGTGCCATAAGTCCTAGTCTACCCCCTTAAGTCCTGGAGGTGCCCAGGAGCCTCTAGAAGCAGGTCAGATAAGGTGCACAGCCAGCTCCTGGCTTCCAGTTCTCCTGATGCTGCCCCCACTCCCACAAGGAGATGTGCGTTGTCATGGTGATGGAAGGGTGGTGCTAAGCCAGGAAGGGCTTCACCCATCCTGACTAGAGTGGAAGCTCATTCCTGGGCCTGGGCTGGAGATAATGATAGTAATAGAGAACCTTGTCGAGCCCTTCTTACACATCAAGCGCCATTCTAAGCACTTTGCATTTATCTGACCTCATTTAATTTGCCTAACAGCCCCATGAGGTAGGTACTATTATTATCTCTGGTTTGCGGGTGAGAGTCCCAGGGCGTAATTTGCCCCAGGCCACACAGCTAATAAACTGTTCAACCCAGGCCAACTGGCTCCATGCTCCTAACCACTGTGTCTCACTGCAAGTGGGCATATGGTTTCCAAAAAGTTTCCTAAGAATCTGCAGGTCAAATGGGTCACCATGTACCTGCCCAAGGTGGTCCTAGCTCCTGGCGGAAGCTGGTCTGGATACGCTGAAACACATGCTAATGTACACACACGCACCTCCCAGCCTGCTTCTGCCTTGCCGGGAATCAGATAAGCCATCGGCTTTTTCCTGCTTACCTGGCACAAGCTGACTTTGCAAGAGTGGGGCCAAGCTGGGACAGCCAATGCCCGCAGCACGCGAGCAAGGTATGCATGGCAAAGTACACCCCACAGCACAACAGGCGTGGTACGGGACAAAGCCTCAAGCTGCATCTGGCCTCTGGCTGTCGGGGGCCCCATCACCTCCATGGCTGGCCCAGCTCAGACCCCAGACTCCCACGCTGTCTGTTCTTTCCTCTCCCTTTAACACGACATCCTTTCCCAGGGAGCTGAGATTTCAGTGAGGGTGTGAATGACTGCTAGGCACACCCCAGACAGAAGTTCCTTCTTTTTTTTTTTTTTTTTTTTTTTTTTGAGACAGAGCCTCACTGTGTCACCCAGGCTTGAATGCAATGGCGCGATCTCAGCTCACTGCAACCTCTGCCTCCTGGGTTCAAGTGATTCTCCTGCCTCAGCCTCCCAAGTAGCTGGGATTACAGGCATGAGCCACCATGCCCAGCTAGTTTTTGTATTTTCAGTAGAGACGGGGTTTCATCATGTTGGCCAGGATGGTCTTGAACTCCTGACCTCAATGATCCTCCCATCTTGGCCTCCCAAAGTGCTAGGATTACAGGCGTGAGCCACCGCCCCTGGCCTCCAGACATATGTTCCAGCCTGGTGCCCTGTGAAGGCAGAGCTCATTTGCCTGAGTGGAGGGAGAAGAGAACTGGGAGAGAGGTCGAGGCTCCTAGAGGGTGTCATCCTGAGCACAGGGTTTGTAGTCAGCTGCACCCAGCTCTGACTCCCATACCTGCCCCTGGCTAGCTGCAGTGGCCTTGGGTAATTTTCTTAGTCTCTTAGAGCCTCAGTTCCCCACCTGTAAAGCAGATGTGAGGCTGCCAGGAGGGTGGAATGAGAAGGTACGTGTAGTCAGGCTTGGCACATATTGGTTGCTGTGGTTAGCAGCCTGGTGATGGCCCATACAGACCCCCTAACCCCTAGTCTGGGCAGTGTGGGCAGCACTGCCAGCCTACAGATGTGTTTATTTGTCTTACATTTAAGTGAGTTGCCAACATTTTAAAATTGAAAAATTTAGCTGGGTGCAGTGGGTCATGCCTGTAGTCCCAGCTACTGGGGAGGCTGGTGTGGGAGGATCTCTTGAGCCCAGGAGTTCAAAACCAGTCTGGACAACATAGTGAGACTGTGCCTCAAAAAAAAAGTGTGTGTGTGTGCGGGGAGAGTTTCCCATTAAAAATTGATTTAAAAAGGATTTCCAGCTTCCCTTTGAAAATTAGAAGATCTGGCCGGGCGCGGTGGCTCAGGCCTGTAATCCCAGCACTTTGGGAGGCCGAGGCAGGCGGATCACCTGAGTTCGGGAGTTTGAGACCAGCCTGACCCACACGGAGAAACCCCATCTCTGCTAAAAATACAAAATTAGCCGGGCTTGGTGGCACATGCCTGTAATCCCAGCTACTTGGGAAGGCTGAGGCAGAAGAATCGCTTGAACCTAGGAGGTGGAGGTTGCAGTGAGCCAAGATCGCACCACTGCACTCCAGCCTGGGCAACAAGAGCAAAACTCCATCTCAAAAAAAAAGAAAGAAAAGAAAAAAAGAAAGTTAGAAGATATGGGGACAATGGGTTTGCATCCCCCGACTCCAACAGGAGTTGGAGCTAAGTCGGCATTGCCCCTTCCCTGGCTGCTCCCATCCTTCCATTCACTGCTAGAACCTGTTGAGCCCTGGAAGCATCCCTGCTCATAAGCCTGGTAAAGTGGGCTTTGAATGAGCTACTTTTTTTTTTTAATTAATTTATTTTTTTGAGACGGAGTTTCGCTCTTTCACCCAGGCTGGAATGAAGTGGTGTGATCTCACCACGCCCAGCAAAGCTGTGGGAGATTAAGAGAGGTTAAGTGACTTGCCCAAAGCCACACAGCCAGCGGTGGTAGAGCTGGGCCTGGCAGTCATTCCTGTAGCCCAGTCCAGCCCCTCTTCCATTAGCAGTGACAACCCTCATGCCGTCTTCCCCATCACCCGTAAGACCCATGGGGCAAATCCTGTTACTACCCCCTCCTCCACGGAGGAGGAGAGGGAGGCTCAGAGAAGGGCAGTGAATTGGCCCGAGGTCACCCAACCAGTGAGGAGGAAGCTCAGACCAAGCCGCAAGTGCTGCTGTGCAGCCAGTGCCCTTCTCAAGGGCTTTGCTCACTATCCCCGAGACCCCTTGACTCTGTCTCACCTGGGACCACCTCAGTGGGCTCCCGCTGGCAGCCTGGAGGTCTGCCAGGCAGAAGGACTGTGTCTTTGGCTAGAAGAGGATAGCAATGAGGTACAGTGGGACCAGGGCAGCCTGTGACCAGAGCATCCCCGGTGTCCAGACACACAGCAAAGAGCATAACATGGGGGACCAGAGTGGCTCCAGACCCTCACTGAGCTCCCAGACTGCACATCCCTACCTCTGCAGCACCCCTCCCCATCTGACCAATTCGTTCAGTCCCAAATCCCCAGACCCTAAACTGCACAGAGCTTACTCATTGAAAACAGCTCTAGGTTCAAATTCCAGCTCGATCATACCTACCTAGCAATATCTCCTTACTGCTACATGCATGTGGACATAACATGTGCTAAGTGCTTAGCACTGTGCCTGGTTGTAGTAGGTACACAATGTGGACATGATGATTCAGTGGATTAATGGATCCCCCTTTTATAGATGAGGAAGCTGGGGCCCCAGGTCACCTAGCATACAAGTAGCAACACTGGGATTGGTGCCAGGGTGCAATGGATCTGGGCCTGGGCTCTTGGTCACCATGCTGACTCCTGAACAGGCAGGCCTTTTGGGGTGGGGAGTTGGAAGAGCCCCCCACTTCCCCCAGCTTTGCTGGAATCAGACCATGGCAGAGGCCCCTCCTGGGCTTGTCAGAGAATTGGCTTTCCATGAATGTTGTGCCTCGGCGGGGGAGAGGGGCCCTCTGTCCCTGCCTTCTGCTCCACCCCACCTCCTTGCCCAGTGTCCTCACATCATTCTCTGGCTAGCAAGGCAATGGGAAGGGTCGGGAGTTGGGCCCAGGAGAGCCTCATCCTTCAACCTGTGAGCCTCTTCAGGATCTTTAGGTTGAAACCTTTTCAAGTACCCCTCCTCCGCTTTCTGAGATAACCACATCCTGCTGCCATCCCCCAAACAGCCCACAGAAACCGCAGGACAGACTGGCTGGGAGGTGCTGGCTGGCATTTATTGGGCACCTACTGTGTGACTTGCCCTGTGTTATCTCAGCACCGCAGCCCTCTGAGGGGGCTGCTACCCTGCTCCTTGTACTGGAGAGGAAACTGAGGTGCAGTGTGGGCAGCGCTGCCAGCCTACAGATGTGTTTTATTTGTCAGTCAGTCACCAGAGCTGACAAGTGGCAGAGTCCGGGTTTGAAACCCAGGCTGGGAGCCCCCACTCTGCAGAGCTGCTTAGGAAAGCTTTCAGACTTCAGAGTAGGGAGGCTGGGGGCTTGGGGACTTGTCCTAACCCTTCTTCACACTGGCTGTGGTAACTTCGGTGGGTCTCCTGCCCTCTCTGAGCCTCAATTTCCCCATTTCTAATAGGAAGCACTATTGCTGCTGCTCTCTAAAACTGTCATCCCCTGACGGGGAGAAGGAGCTGACATTCCATGGTGCAGCTTTCCCAGGCTTTTGGGAATGGAGGAGGGTGCACACAGTCTCTCTGCAGCCCCTGGAAGAGAGCTCCCAGGATGGCCAGCTCAGGGCCTTCCACCCACAGGCCAGGCTCCCGGCCCCCCACCTCCCTCCCCCAACTTCAGCCCAAATCTACAGCCTTGAGGCCCTGAGTCTGGGCAAGCTTCCTCCCCTGCCCCGCCATACCCCTCTCCTAAGCTCTGGAAAGCCCCCCACTCAGGCTGGTGCCACCGGCGGCTGAGGGTCATATCTGGCTCTTCACACGGCCAGGGCCTCCTCGGGCTGGGGTGCAACGTTCCCCTCCAGATTGGGACGGTTCCTGCAGACCCAGCGCTCCTGCCTCGGGAACCTCCAGGGTGTATGGGGACCGGAGTGTCGGGAGGGGGTGCGAAGCCAGAGCAGGGACAGTGAGGACAGTCAGGGCGCTGAATGCGAAAGTGAGGGGCGTGTGTGCAGCGTGGGCGCGGGGAGGCGTGTAAATGGCCGGGTGAGCCGCGTGTGTGCACATGCGGGGCGTGCGATGCGATGCGCACTGCGCGGAGTGGCCGGGCCGGGTAAGGGCGCCCAGCGTGCGCGGTGCCCGGCATTCGTTCGTGTGCAAGCGCGGCGCGGAGGTGCAGGAGCGCGGAGTGCGCGGGGCTCTGGGGTCCCGGGCCCAGGGCCCGAGGAGGGGGCTGCGTGCGTCCGCGATCAGGGTGCGATCCCGGCCGCGCACGGGGGTCGGCGGGGTGCGTACTCACCCGGGCTCCGCGGAGGGGCCGCCGCTCCGGCTGGGCTCCAGCTGCCGGCCCGCCTCCCGCAGCGCGCACGCACCTGCGCCTAGCCCGGCCGCCGGCGGCAACGCCACCCCTGCAGTGTCGCCGGGCTCCCGCCTCCGAGGAGCGCGGCGCGGGCCGGGGGCTCGGCCGGGCCGGGGCGGCGGACCGGAGCTGCGCCGCAGTCCGGGCACGCTCCCAGGAGCCCGCCGCGCGCTCCCTCGCGCTCGCCCGCTTGCCCGCCCGCTCCCTCTTGAATTTAAAGTGACAAGCTCGAGCGCTGTCTCTGCTCCTGGGGTCCGAGCCGGAGATCCCCAAGCGCGTCCGGGATCCAGGGACGCCCTGAGGCCAAGCCCAACCCCTCGCTCCCACGCCTGGGGACAGGGGTGGGTGGGGACGTGCCCACAGGCCTCTGAGAGGCAGGCCAAGCACTGGACTCAGAGCCAGCCGGCCTGGGTTCTAGCCCCAGCCTCCGCGCCCTGGGTTATCCTGTTCTCTTTCTAGGCCTCAGTTTCTTTACCTTAAAAACGGACCCGATACTGCGCACCTCCGGGAGCCAAGGAAAACAGCGACAGGAGGCGCAGCGGAAAGTTTCCCCTTTTCTGAATGGATAATTACTCCCTCCCACCACGATTGAGCTGTAGGTCAGCTCTGTGCTGGTGCCTTACAACATCATCTCAGTCCTCACCGTGGCCTAATCTGGTCGTGGTGACTCCATTTTTTACATGAAGAAACAGGCTCAGAGAGGTGACCAAGGTCACAGAGCCAAAGGTCAGAGCCAGAATTGAACCCAGGTCTGTGTGACTTCAAACTCCATACCTTTAACCACTAAGGGGTCGTGCTTTCTCTCCCAAAGGAATGAATGAATCATTCAGGAGATATTTATGACGCCCCCGCAGGGGCTGGGCACAGTGCCAGGTGTGGGCGATCTTCCATCTTCCGGGAACAGGGGACAGGTCCCTCCCTGCCCGCGCAGTCTGGCAGTGAGGCACGGCTTGCACTGGGAGGGGCTGGGTGCGGGGGAAGGTGCCACATGTTGTGGGCACAGTAACCAGGGGAGCAGGCTGGGTGGACACCTGGGGAGACCTCTCCAACGGTCTGGGGTGGGGGAGGAAGAGGGGCGAGGATCCCAGATGGGGAGCAAGTGTGCAAGGGTGGCAGTGCTTCCTGGCTCATCTACACTCTGGGCCTTTAGAGCTGAGGGCAGCCTGTGGGCACTGACCTCTCAGTGGAGGCTGGGTCTGTGCTGGCTTGGTGCAGTGTGGGCATCCTTGGTCTAGAAGACAGGATGCTGGGGAGCCCTAGAAAGAGAGTTGCATCTGGCTAACACGGTGAAACCCCGTCTCTACTAAAAATACAAAAAAATTAGCCAGGTGTGGTGGCGGGCGCCTGTAGTCCCAGCTACTCGGGAGGCTGAGGCAAGAGAATGGCGTGAACCCAGGAGGCGGAGCTTGCAGTGAGATCGCGGCGACTCCGTCTCAAAAAAAAAAAAAGAAAAGAAAAAGAAAAAAAGAAAGAGAGCTGCATCTTACCTTCACCCACAGGGGGCGCTTTTGTCTTCATTTCATTTCCTGGACCTGGAACAGAACAAAGAGAAAGGGCATTATCATGGGGCGGGGGGCCTGGGTAATGGGCCCTGAGCTTTCACTGCCATTTCCCATTTAACTCAACCTTCACAGCCAGCTGCAGCTTTGGTACGATTGAGTCCATTTGAGTCCATTTTCTTCGCAGGACACCCAGGCCTGGGGAATGAATGGCCGAGTTTCTGGTTTGGAAGGGAGTTGGGAGTCAGACACATCATCAGGGCATAAAAGGGGCCAGACTCTAATAGGGTATTCTACCCAAGCAACAAAAGACAAAGTTGAGGCCAGGCACAGTGGCTCAAGCCTGTAATCCCAGCACTTTAGGAGGCTGAGGTAGGGCGGATCACTTGAGGCCAGGAGTTCGAGACCAGCCTGGCCAACATGGTGAAACCCCGTCTCCACTAAAAATGCCTGTAGTCCCAGCTACTCAGGAGGCTGAGGGAAAAGAATTGCTTGAACCTGGGAGCATAGGCTGCAGTGAGCCGAGATTGGCCTGGGCAGCAGAGCAAGACTCCATCTCAAACAAACAAAAAAAAAAAGCAAAGTTGAGGCTGGTCCAGTTCTGGTGTCACACTGGGGAGCTGATGCAGGGGCGGGAGTGAGCTTGAAATGAGAGATCTTGTCAATTTCATGTTGAACACCCTTCAATGATCAGAAAAGCGTACACGGGTGCACCAAAAGACAAGGATAGAATGTTGACAGTAGCCCCAAACAGGAGACCACAAATGCCCATTATGAATCAAATGCACAGATGCATTGTGGTGTAGTGACACAATGGAAGACTGTGCCACTAAGAAGAGAAGCAAAACTACAACCACTAATGAAAGGCGAGTGAATCCACCTTTCAGGCTCACGCCTGTAATCCTAGCACTTTGGGAGGCCGAGGCAGGTAGATTGCCTGAGCTCAGGAGTTCGAGACCAGCCTGGGTAACAAGGTGAAATGCCGTCTCTACTAAAAAATACAAAATTAGCTGGGCGTGGTGGTATGCACCTATAATCCCAGCTACTCGGGAGGCTGAGGCAGGAGAATCGCTTGAACCCAGGAGGTGGAGGTTGCAGTGAGCTGAGATCACGCCACTGCACTCCAGCCTGGGCGACAGAGACTCCGTCTAAAAAAAAATGGTGGGTGAATCTCACAAACGTACTGCTGAGCAACAGAAGCTGGACACAGAGAACGCTGCTGATGGATGCATTTATAGGAGGTTCAAAGACAAGCAAAACTACTCTGTGCATGGGACTCTGGTCCCCATGGGGGTGGTGACTAGAGGGGCCTACGGGAGGATGCTGGGGTGCTGGTCACATTCTGGTTTTGATCTCAGTGCCCATCTCCTGGGTGTGTTCACTTTGTGAAAATTCATGGCATTGTACACTGATGATTTGTACACTTTTGTGCATGTGTGATATGCTTCTGTACAATTTACAAAAACAAACACATCTCATGTGGCTGCATGCTGCACTGGAAATGGAAGCCAAACTCCTTTCTGGGGCCTACAGACCCTGCTGGCCTCTCTGAACTTTCATGCCACCATCCCTGTCACCTGCTGAGCTCCTGCCTCCTGGGCCTTCTGGCCTTCCTGACGCCTGACAAGCCATTCTCCGCCTCAGGGACTCTCCCTTGCTGGTCCCTTTGCTTGGAGTGTTTTCCCTGCTCTCACCAACAGCTTCCTCCGTCTTCTGTGCATCACATCCTACAGAAGTCACCTCCTCCGAGCAAAGCCCCTACTCATTCTTCCTTGACCTCTGGGACCTTTGGGACCAGTTCCTGAAGAGCAGTGCACCTCAGGGGAGGCCCCACCCTGAGGTTGGCCTGAAGGATGCTCCATCTGAGCATCACAGAGATGCTGTGCGTGGAGTCAGTGACACTTAAAGGTGAAGAGACTAGAAAGAAAAGGCGCCCAAGGCCACACAGCTGGGCCCCAAGACTAGTGCTCCAGCAAGCGGCTCGCCACTTTTTTTTTTTTTTTTTGAGACAGGGTCTCACTCTTTCACCCAGGCTGGAGTGCAGTGGCACAAAGACGGCTTACTGCAGCCTTGACCACCCAGGCTCAGGTGATCCTCCCACCTCAGCCTCCTGAGTAGCTGGGTTACAGGCTCACGCCACCACGCATGGCTAATTTTTTGTATTTTTGTAGAGACAGGGTTTTGCCACGTTGCCCAGGTTGGTCATGAACTCCTGGGCTCAAGTGATTCCCCCCTCCTCGGCCTCCCAAAGTGTTGGTGATATGGTTTGGCTGTGTCCTCACCCAAATCTCATCTTGGATTGTAGTTCCCATAATTCCCACGTGTTGTAGGAGGGACCCAGTGGGAGATAATTGAATCGTGGGGGGCGGTTTCCCCCGTACTGTTCTCGTGGTAGTAAGTCTCATGAGATCTGATTTTTTTTTTTTTTTGAGGTGGAGTTTCGCTCTTGTTGCCCAGGCTGGAGTGCAATGGCACGATCTTGGCTCACTGCAACCTCCGCCTCCCAGGTTCAAGCGATTCTCCTGCCTGAATCTCCTGAGTAGCTGGGATTACAGGCATGCGCCAACACGCCCGGCTAATTTTGTATTTTTAGTAGAGATGGGGTTTCTCCATGTTGATCAGGCTGGTCTCGAGCTTCCGACCTCAGGTGATCTACCCACCTCAGCCTCCCAAAGTGCTGGGATTACAGGCATGAGTCACCACGCCCAGCGATCTGATGGTATTATAAGGGGAAACCCCTTTCGCTTGGCTCTCATTTTCTCTCGTCTGCCACCATGTAAGATGTGCTTTTCGCCTTCTGCCATGATTGTGAAGCCTCCCCAGTCATGAGGAACTGTGAGTCCTTTAAACCTCTCTTTCTTTATAAATTGCCCAGTCTTGGGTATGTCTTTATCAGCAGCATGAAAATCGATGAATACAGTTGGAACAGTAGGCGTTGAGCCACTGCACTTGGCCTCAGTTCTCCGCTTTCCAGGCCCCGGCTCAGCTCATGAGGCACCAGCCACTTGTCTGCCCTGTGCACCCCACAGGCCCAACTCTTTCACTTTTGCACTTTTGTTTTCTTTTTCTTTTTTTTTTTGAGACGGAGTCTCGCTCTGTCGCCCAGGCTGGAGTGCAGCGGCGCCATCTCAGCTCACTGCAAGCTCCGCCTCCCAGGTTAATGCCATTCTCCTGCCTCAGCCTCCTGAGTAGCTGGTACTACAGGTGCTCACCACCATGCCCGACTAATATTTTTGTATTTTTAGTAGAGACAGGGTTTCACCATGTTAGCCAGGATGGTCTTGATCTCTTGACCTCATGATCCGCCTGCCTCGGCCTCCCAAAGTGCTGGGATTACAGGCTTGAGCCACCGCGCCCGGCCTCTTTTTCTTTTTTAAGAGACAGAATCTTGCTCTGTCACCCAGGCTGAAATGTGGTGGTAAGATCATGGCTCATTGCAGACTTGAATTACAGGGCTCAAGCCACCCTTCCACCTCAGCCTCCTAAAGAGCTGGGACTACAGGCACATGTCACCATGCCCAGCTATTTTTTTTTTCTTTTTCTTTTTTGGTACTGCTCCTTGTGGAGCAGGGCTACCCCACAGGCAGTGTACCCAGAGTAGCCAGCCCAGTTATTTAAAAAAAAAAATTTTTTTTTTTGAGACAGAGTTTCGCTCTTGTCCCCCAGGCTGGAGTGCAGTGGCACGATCTCAGCTCACTGCAACCTCTGCCTCCCAAATTCAAGAGATTCTCCTGCCTCAGTCTCCCAAGTAGTTGGGATTACAGGCACATGCCACCACGCCTGGCTAATTTTTGTATTTTTTAGTAGAGACGGGGTTTCACCATGTTGGCCAGGCTGGTCTCGAACTTCTGACCTTAAGTGATCCACCTGCCTCGGCCTCCCAAAGCATTGGGATTACATGTGTGAGCCACCGCGCCCGGCCTTTAAAATTTTTTTTCTTTGATATGTAGCCTCACTCTTGTCCTCCAGGCTGGAGTGCAATGGTGTGATCTCAGCTTACTGCAACCTCCGCCTCCTGGGTTCAAGTGATTCTCCTGTCTCAGCCTCCTGAGTAGCTGGGATTACAAGCGCCTGCCAACACACCCAGCTAATTTTTGTATTTTTAGTAGAGACGGGGTTTCACCATGTTGGCCAGGCTGGTCTCGAACTCCTGACCTCAGGTGATCCACCCGTCTTGGCCTCCCAAAGTGCTGGGATTACAGGTGTCAGCCACTGCGCCTGGCCTTTAAAATTTTTTGTTGTGGCTGGGCGAGGTGGCTCACTCCTGTAATACCAGCACTCTGGGAGGCTGAGGCAGGCAGATCACAAGGTCAGGAGTTCGAGACCAGCCTGGCCAACAATGGGGAAACCCCATCTCTACTGAAAATATGAAAAATTAGCCGGGCGTGGTGGCAGGCATCTGTAATCCCAGCTACTCAGGAGGCTGAGACAGAAGAATCACTTGAACCCAGGAGGTGGAGGTTGCAGTGAGCCTAGTTCGCACTACTGCACTCCAGCCTGGGCGACAGAGCAAGACTCCGTCTCAAAAAAAAAAAAAAAAATTGTAGAAATGGGGTCTCCCTATGTTACCCGGGCTGGTCTTGAACTCCCGGGCTCAAATGATCTTTCTGCCTCCGCCTCCCAAAGTATATGGATTACAGGTGTGAGCCACCATACCCGGCCTCAACTCTTTCACTTTTAGAGAGGCTCAGCCTAATGCTATGGGGTCAGGAAGACATGAACTTGAATTACCATTCTGGACCAATGGCTTTCCTTCCTTGAGCTAAATGCCTTTCATCTGTAAAATGGGGATGAAGCTGTTCTCACTCATGAGGTTGGAGGACGATTAAAGGAGCTCATGCCTGGTATAGAGCAAGTCATCAGCAAATGAGAGCTGCAGCTATGACCCTCCTCACATCTTTTCTTTGAAATAACAATAATTACAGAATTTACGTAATATTTGACATTGTGCAAAGTGCTTTCTTATTTACGACCTCATGTAATCCTCAACAGCGCTGGTGCTGTTGAGGCAGATGATCCCACTTTATGAGACAACTGAGGCTGGCCACAGAGAACTTTCCTGAGCTCCCAGGCAGAGCTGAAGGTTCCTCTGGGGCAGTGCTGGCTTCTAGGGGGAAGTGTGAAGAGCTGAGGGCCTCTTGGGAATGGCTGCATGGGCACGAGCATAGCTCCCAGACACCCTCAGCTGAGACCCACAGTTCCAGAGCTGGGTCTTGCAGCACCGCATCCCATCATGCCAACTTCTTCTAGGCTCACAGAATAGGGCATACGGTTTCAGAACAAGACCACCTTGGAAAGCTTTTGGGAAACTCTTTTTTTGGATAATATACACTACTTTCAGGCTCTGTTTTAGCATATTTAAAGAAACACCAGTCTAGCATGTAAACTGGCCGAGAAGTGATTTACATCTTTCTGAAGCCTCTCTAGAAAATGCCAAAGAAGTGCATTCATAACCCCTGGCAAGAATCCTTTCTTCCCATAGTCTCTTACCCATGTCTGCTGCTCCCCAAATTTCTCTCTGCCCCAGCTCCAAGCTCCTTCCCAGGCCCTCAGTTCACGCCTTCTCAGCAGCCCACTTCCCTCCCGCAACATCTTTTATTTATTTATTTATTTTCTTAATGAGACAGAAATCTCACTCTGTCGCCCAGGCTGGAGTGCAGCGGTGCGATCTCGGCTCACTGCAACCTTCATCTCCTGGGTTCAAGCTATTCTCATGCCTCAGCCTCCCAAGTAGCTGGGATTACAGGTGTGTGCCACCACTCCCGGCTAATTTTTGTATTCTTAGTAAAGATGGGGTTTCACCATGTTGGTCAGGCTGGTCTCGAACTCCTGACCTCAGGTGATCTGCCCACCCCAGCCTCCCGAAGTGCTGGAATTACAGGCATGAGCCACCATGCCTGGCCCTCCCATCATCTTTTCGTGTATGATATTTTTCTCTAGCATGAGCCCACTGGCCTTCCCAGTGTGACCTGGCCAGGCCTCTGGCTTCTCAAACCCCCTTCCTCCTGCTCCCAGCCTCCTGAGATCCAGAGTCCTCCTTCCCAGCAAGGGAGGAGGGAGAGGCTGTGGACCCTCCTGCACTCACATGGCTTCTGGCTATGAACGTGAAGGAGCTTTACGAAGATCCCAGCGTTTACCATATGAAGGGATTTTAGCAGTGAAAGCCACAACAGCTGGGAAGTGTCACACATGTCCCAAACCCTCTCCATATTCATTACCTCCTTGACGCCATGAAGGCGATGCTGTTTCTAACTCTTATTGCTAAGGAGGAATCCACGTCCAGGACAGCGAAAATCCCTGGGCCTGGCCATGTGCAGCCCACCAGTCCTGGCTCCAAGTCCTGAGCGCTTTTCTCTCCCGAGGAGAGAAAGCCCTTCCCTTTCCCTTCCCTTTGTTCCCAGCTGGGACTCCCATCATGCCACAACCCCCCACCACCGCCTCCACACCAGGGTAAAGATGTGGCCCCTGGAAGCAGCTGTCCATAGCACAGATCATTGGAGAGCAGCCTGTGGGGTGCAGAGAGGATGCTGAGGAGCTGGGCCTGCATTGGAGGCCAGCACTCATGGGGCCAGGCTGAGGCCAGCAGGGGTGGCAGGGACTTGCTCTCCCAGCATTGGCCTTGGCCGCCCTGCCCTCCTGTTGCGACCCCCTGCCCAGGGACTACTGGTCTCTACTTCCACAAGACACCTGCGCTGCCTTTCCACCTGTCACCGGGATCCCCTTGGTTGGGGGAAGCTTAAGAAGGAGCCGCGGCTCTGGATGCAAGGCAGGGATCTCCCATTGTTGTGGGAAAGTAAGGGGCCAGAGAGACCGAATTGGGTGAAGGAGTTTATTTAAGGTGCACACCGGCTCAGCGGACTTGCATCTAGAAAGTTTGGCACTAGACAAAGAAAGCAGCTGTCTTTTAAGTAGTTTGTGGCGGGAGCTACGTGATGCAGGAATATTTTACTGTGAAAAATAATTTTTTTTTTTTTACTTCATTCCAGCCACCCTGCATATACCCAAGGCAGCCTGACTGCCACCAGCCTCCAGGGAGCGTCGAGAGTGGTAGTAAGGAGGCCACGAGGATCCCTGCTGCCCTGGAGGGCAGGACAGGGAACCTGGCCAGGTTTGTGGGCCACGGACAGCCAGCCAGGGCACCTAGGCCCCTCTGGGTTCTCAGACCCCCATGCCATGCCTCAAGGCTGCCTCCAAATCAGTCAAAACAGCCTTGGGGCCTGCCTGCTACCCCCACCTCCACCCCAGTCCTACCTCCACTGTGATCCCTCAGCCCCTTATTGTCCAGTCTGGGTCTCACCCACAAGGCCCCAAGCTCCCAGTTGCTGGGTCCCCTGCCTGGCTCACAGACCGGCCTCAGTGCCTGGCAGAGGGCAGCCCGGCAGGAGCCGCTTCTCCAACCCTCTCCAGAGAAGCTGGTGCTGGGTGCGTCAGGGAAGCCAGCCCTTGGATCTGTGGGTCCTCGCCTGTTCCCCGCCCTCATACTCAGCTACCCCAGGCATCTGCTCTGGGCGTGCTGCTTGGATTCACAGTCATCAAACTCATTAACAAGATCTTCACTCCTTCCAATGAGCACTTTCCATGGGATGTGGAGGTGAAGGGACACCCTCCCTGATCCCGGACACATCTACACACATCTAGGCTGATGGGATGGTTGCAGCAAGTTGACTTGTGACCCCCCAAAAAGATACATCTGAGTCCTAACACCTAGCACTTGCGAATGTCATCTTTTTTGAAAATAGGGTCTTTGCAGATGTAATTAAGTGAAGGATCTCAAGCTGTAATCACTTTAGATTTACAGTGGGTCCTACATGCGATGGGTGGTGTCCTTATAAGAAAGAAAACAGGGACATCTCAGCCATGAAGGCACAGAGAGAAGAAGGCCACGTGGAGACGGAGGCAGGGGCTGGAGTTATGAAACCCTCAGCCAAGGAATATCAAGGGTTGCTGGCAGCCCCCGGAAGCTGGGAAAGAGGCCTGGGATGGATTCTCCCGGAGAGCGTCTGGAGGGAACCAGCCCTGCCAACACCTTGATTCTGGGCTCTGGCCTCCAGAACTATGAGAGAATTAATTTCTGGTTTTGTAAGCTGCCAAATTTGCAGTAATGTGTCATGGCAGCCCCAGGAAAGGAACGCAGACGGCATTAGCCCCAGCCTGTGCTAAGGGCGCTGAGCAGACTGCAGCTGAGTGGAGGGCAGGGAGGCCCTGCGCCGGGGGCCACACTTGACAGGGGCCTGTAACCTCCTGAGAAGACACACAGACAGGGGAGGATCCATTCAGTAACAAGGTAACTGGCTGGTGGGATCCTGGCCCAGGGAGGGGGCTTGTGGGCCAGGAGCCTCGAAGGGTGAATGGGATGGGCTCAAGGACTAAAGGCCTTGACTGTCAGGGTTGGGGCTGGGACAAAGAGGAGAGAGGCAGGAGCCCTGGCTGAAGACGAGAAAGGCCCAGACGCTCACTCAGTTCCTGGAAGGGCTGCAGGGAGAAAGGGGAGAAGGTGCAACCCTGCCAGGCCCTGAGCACCAGCGCCCTGAGGACCAGCACCCTGAGGAAGCTGCAGGGAGGCAGGTATCAGCTCGGCAGACACAAGAGCTTGCATGGCCAGGGCCCCCACAGTGAAAATGACCCCGAGTTGGGGCAAGCTCCCCATCAAGGGAGATATGTAAATAAAAGTGCCTGGTAGGGATCCTAGCCCCAACTAAGTTATGTTATGGGTGGTCCCTGAAGACCCCTTTGCAACCTGAGACACTACATATTGCCTGGCTGAGCTGCTCCTCCCCACTCTGCGTGTCAATTACACTGAATTGATCCGGCTCAAGCCACTTATACCCACTTTCCTTCCGGACTCTGGGGCCTGCACCTGTGAGGACAGGGACTCACTCCTGGAGATCTGGAACTCAGGAATGACGGGCAGATTCCCAACCTCCTCCCAAAGGAAAGGATGACCCCCCCCAGGTTTCAAAAGCCTTCTCTCTTCACAGTCCCCTCCATTTGAAGGAAGAAACACAACAGCCCCCTTTCAGTGTGTGGTTACTTCATGCTAAATCTCTGACACAGCACGTGTGGTTAAGAACACTAAAGTCACTGTGTGACCTTGGATTAGTTTCTTACCTTCTCTGTGCCTCAGTTTCCTCAACTGCAAAATGTAGTTAATAACCGTGCCAACCTCCTAGATGAGTGAGACGCTGAAATGAGACCCTGAAATGTGACAGCTCTTAGCATTTTAAGGTGGACACAGAACCAGCCCCAGTGCTGACTTCAAGGTTCTTTTGCCTCGTTTCCCTGCTGATATTTATAAGCACTTACATTTTAAGAAGGATGCTGGTCTGAGGGCCAATGAATGAGACAGACCCTACCCTCTTGGACTCATAATCTGATGGAAGAGGCCAACTCGTAGCCAAGAAGTGACAAGGCAGTGTGATGTGGCAGCACAAAGGTGGGATAGCTCAGTCAGTCTGAGGTGGGAGAGCTTCAGAGAGGGTTTCTTGGAGGAGGTGACTTTTATTTATTTATTATTATTTTTAAAAATTTTTTGAGATGGAGCCTCGCTCTATCACCCAGGCTGGAGTGCAGTGGTGCAATCTCAGCTCACTGCAACCTCCGCCTCCCGGGTTCAAGCGATTCTCCTGCCTCAGCCTCCCCAGTAGCTGGGATTACAGGCACACACCACCACGCCTGGCTAATTTTTGTATTTTTAGTAGAGACAGGGTTTCGCCATGTTGGCCAGGCTGGTCTCGAATTCCTGACCTCAGGTGATCCGCCCGCCTCGGCCTCCCAAAGTGCTGGGCTTACAGGTGTGAGCCACCATGCCTGGCTGGAGGCGACTTTTCAACCAAGACCTGGCCCGGGCGCAGTGGCTCACGCCTGTAATCCCAGCACTTTGGGAGGCCGAGGTGGGTGGATCACAAGGTCAGGAGTTTGAGACCAGTCTGGCTAACATGGTGAAACCCTGTCTCTACTAAAAATAAAAAATTAGCCGGACGTGGTGGTGGGCGCCATTAATCCCACCTACTCGGGAGGCTGAGATGGGAGAATTGCTTGAACCCGGGAGGCAGAGGTTGCAGTGAGCCGAGATTGTGCCACTGCACTCCAGCCTGGGCGACAGAGCAAGACTCTGTCTCAAAAAAACAAAACAAAAACCAAACAACAAACAAAAAACAAAACCAAGACCTGAAGGATGATCAGGCATCAGCCAGGCAAGGTGGGTGGGAAAAGACAGTCCAAGCAGAGGAAACTGGGCAGATACCAAGAGCCTCTGTGGAAGCGTTTTCATAGCCTACTGCCTCAGACCCAGTGTGGAAAGAGCCGGCAATGCCTGCCATCTGGGGACAATGATTGGCTTCCAAATAAGAAAAGAAAATCAGGCCGGGCACAGTGGCTCACGCCTGTAATCCAGCACTTTGGGAGGCCCAGGCGGGCGGATCACCTGAGGTCAGGAGTTCGAGATCAGCCTGACCAACATGGTGAGACCTCATCTCTACTAAAAATACAAAAATTAGCTGGATATGGTGGCACGCGCCTGTAATCCCAGCTGCTCAAGAGGCTGAGGTAGGAGAATTGCTTGAACCCAGGAGGTGGAGATTGCAGTGAGCCAAGATCGTGCCATTGCATTCCAACCTGGGTGACAAGACCAAAAGTCCGTCTCAAAACAAAAAAGAAAAGAAAGTCAAAGTTAATATACATACACTTTATTATTTCATTTCATTTTGTTAGAGATGGGGATCTCATTATGTTGCCCAGGCTGGATTCAAACTCTTGAGCTCAGATGACCCTCCCCCTCAGCCTCCCAAGAAGCTGGGGCTACAGGTAGGTTCTACTGCACCTAGCTAAAGTTAATATTGACCGTGCACAAATACGTTGTCAACTAGAATACTGCACCTGAATATAGTGTGATAAAGAATTCTACTTACTGTGAAATATGATGTTTGTTTGTGTGTTATGTGACATATTTGTGTGGCGTGCTGTGGGTTGAGGCCTTTAGGAGAAAGAAGACCCAGGCCCTAGGCAAAGTCTTAAACGGCTCTGACCCCAAAATTCTTTCTCCACTTTCCCAGGTCTGGAATTCCTTTGGTTCAACTTGTTCTAGGAGTCAAGACAAAAAAAGGTGTGGGCACCATCAGCGACAGACGCCTGTTCACACAGGACAACCAGAAGAACCACAGGAACGCATCTCCTGACCCCTCCCCAGGCTCTGAGCCACAGCTGGAAGCTGCCCTTTCCCAGGCTGCCTAGGGACAGGTCCCAGGGCCTCACTGGCATAAGCAGGATGTAGGGCAGCCACAGAAGGCATTTGGAGGTGGTGGCAGGTGTCACCAGCAGGGTACTGGGCAGCCAGTTAAGATGGAGCTGGAACAGGCCTGGCAAGATGAAGGGGCATGAGCTCAGGGTTGGGCACAGAGCCCAGGGAGGGGTGGGGGGACCCGAGGGTTACTGGGGCTTGGCTACATCATGTTGTCCACTGTCTGGACACTACCCCTGTCTTGGCTGCAATCTCTCCTGCCCAGCCCTTGGGGCCCAGCATGTTAGAGCTGGAGCCTGGACCTGGGCAAGGTGGCTCGCTCCAGAAGTCACACTGTCACCACCCGGCTCACCATGAGGGAGTCTGGGAGAGAAATGGCACAGATGTTGCTGTGGGGCAGAGTGGATGAGTGGAGATGCTGCTTCAGGGTAATCCCTAGGACTCAGTTCTGTCTTTTTCTAGCCTGGGAGGGACAAAACCTTTTCTCTACATGTCTCCGTAAAGCCAGAAATCAAAGGTCAGATGGTTTCAGTGTTTTCTCACCTGTCACTTCAGCTTCTTGTCCGGCTGTCACTGTCCACGGGCCATACACTTTAAGCTTCTGCCACCACCATGCCCTACTCACTGTTTCTCAAACACACCAAGCCCTTTCTTGCCTCCATGCTTTTACTCGATGCAGTTCCTTTTGCCTGGAATGCCTTCTATTTGCTTCTTTCCAGAGGATGTAAACTCTTCATCCTTTCAAACTCTCTCCCATGGAGCTGAGATCGCGCCACTGCACTCCAGCCTGGGCGACAGAGCGAGACTCCGTCTCAAAACAAACAAACAAACAAAAAAAACTCTCCCATGAAGACTTCCATAAATGCTCCAGCAAGCCACTCACTCCCCTTTCCCACAATAGCTGGACTCTCCTTCTAACACATTTATAGTGTCTGTCCTGGAATTATTTGTTCCTGTGTCTGTTCCTACTAGATGCTGGGAACTTGAAGCAGACATGAGGTGTCTTATTCATCTCTTTAGCCTTCAGGCCCAGCATATAGCAGGTGTTTTGTCAGTATTTAAATCAAGGGCTGGGGCTGGGCACAATGGCTCCCGCTTATAATCCCAGCACTTTCGGAGGCTGTGGTGGGTGGATCACTTTAGGCCAGGAGTTCGAGACCAGCCTGGCCAACATGGTGAAACCCAGTCTCTACTAAAAATACAAAAGTTAGCCAGGTGTGGGGGCACATACCTGTAGTCCTAGCTACTTGGGAGGCTGAGGCATGAGAATTGCTTGAGCCTGGGAGGTACAGGTTGCAGAGCCAAGATCGAGCCACTGCCCTCAAGCCTTTTTCAAAAAAAAGAAAAAAAATCAATCAAGGTCGGGGCACAGTGGCTCACGCCTGTAACCCCAGCACTTCAGGAGGCCAAGGCATGGGGATCACTTAAGCGCAGGAGTTCAGGACCAGCCTAGACAACAAAGTGAGACCCCATCTTTACAAAAAATACAAAAATTAGCTAGGCGTGGTAGCACATGCCTGCGGTCTCAGCTACTCGGGAGGCTGAGGTAGAGGATCGCTTGGGCCTGGGAGGGCGAGGTTGCAGGGAGCCAAGATGCACTGTACTCTAGCCTGGGCGACAGAGCCAGACCTTGTCTCAAAACAACAACAAAAGCCCCAAGAACCCACATGCATGAAGTCCTTATATACCTGGCACCATTCTCAGTGCATTACACATATTGGCTCATTCAATCCTCCCAGGACTCTCTATCACCAAGGTTCCTTTATCAGCCCACAGGTTACACATTCGGAACCTGAGGTACAGAGAGGTTAAGAAATGTAGCCAGGCTGGGTGCAGTGGCTCACGCCTGTACTCCCAGCACTTTGAGAGGCTGAGGCAGGCAGATCACATGAGGTCAGGAGTTCATGACCAACATGGTTGAAACCCCGTCTCTACAAAAATACAAAAATTAGCCAGGCATGATGCCGCATGCCTGTAATTCCAGCTACTCAGGAGGCTGAGGTGGGAGAATCACTTGAACCCAGGCGGTGGAGGTTGCAGTGAGCCGAGCTCATGCCATTGCACTCTAGCCTGGGCAACAGGGTGAGACTCTGTCTCAAAAAGAAAAAAAAAGAGAGATGTAGCCATCTCACACCTGTAGTCCTAGATACTCTGGAGGCCAAGGTGGGAGGATCACTTGAGCACCAGAGGTTGAGGCTGCAAAGAGCTATGATCACGACACTGCACTTAGCCTGGGCAACAGAGCAAGAACTTGTCTCTAAAAAAAAAGAAGAAATGTAGCCAAGAATAAACACCAGCAGGTGACAGAGGTGGGATTCAAACCAATAGTAACAAGTAATAGTAAAGAGTTGATGAATAAGCAGTGAATAAAAGAACTGAAAGGAGGAAAAATCAGATTAAGAAGGGCTTCCTGGCCGGGTGTGATGGCTCAAGCCTGTAATCTCAGCACTTTGGGATGCTGAGGCAGGCGGATCACGTGAGTTCAGGAGTTCAAGACCAGGCTGGCAAACATGGCAAAACCCTGTCTCTACTAAAAATACAAAAATTAGCTGGGCGTGGTGGCACGCGCCTCTAGTCCCAGCTACTCGGGAGGCTGAGGCAGGAGAACCGCTTGAACCCGGGAGGCGGAGGTTGCACTGAGCCGAGATCAGGCCATTGCACTCCAGCCTGGGTGACAGAGCGAGACTCTGTCTTAAAAAAAAAAAAAAAAGTTAGGGCTTCCTCAGGATCAGGAAGGAAGTGCTCCTTGTCAAAAATGAAAAGGAAAAAACCCTCTTTCCAAATCCACTTTTTAAAAAATAGGCCCGGGTGCAGTGGCTCACACCTGTAATCCCAGCACTTCGGGAGGCCAAGGAGGGTGGATCACCTGAGTTCAGGAGTTCAAGTCCAGGCTGGCCAATGTAGGGAAACCCCGTCTCTACTAAAAATACAAAATTAGCTGGGCATGGTGGCACATGCCTGTAAGCCCAGCTACTCTGGAGGCTGAGGCAGGAGAATCGCTTGAACCCGGGAGGCGGAGGTTGCAGTGAGCCGAGGCCGCCCTGTTGCACTCCAGCCCGGGCAACAACAGTGAAACTCTGTCTCAAAATAAACAAATAAATAAATAAATAAATAAGAAAAGAAATATACGAATTCCTCCTCCCCACCCACTCCCTTTTATTATTGCCTCCCACTCAGGAACTGAGAACTCCGCAGATAAAAATAGCAAACCTGAAGGAGTTTGAAGGAAGTGTTCAGTGGAGCACCCCACACAGCTGTGACCCCTGGGTCCTTCAGAACCTGAGAGGGAGGCCCCTGGGTAAGGCTGGGGACAGGCCATGGTGCAGTCCCTGGGAAGGCCCTTCGCCCACGAGCCCGACGCAGGGCATGAGAGTTCCTCAGTCTCAGGCTCCCCTTAGGGATGAGTGTCTTCTGGGCTTCCCGTACCAGCCCCTCTGGGCCAGGAGATCTGGAGCCCTGCTGTGGTTCCTTCGGCCTCCTACTCACTGGGTAGCCTACCCTGCCTCTCCATCACCCCAGGTCTTGGCCTCAACTTGCCTCCCAGGTGTTCAGGCGCCCTTAACCCCATCAGGAAGTCCACTCCCTCACCATGCGGCCCACTCCCGTAACTTGCTCATCCTTCAGGACCTGACTCATTTTCCCTTCGTCGGCTAAGCCTTCCCAACCACTAGCAAGTAACAGAAAACCGCTCAAGCTGGCTGAAGCAACAGAGGTGGCTTTAACAAAAAGATAAAGCATTGCAAGGCACCTCAAGGCAGCAGCGCTGCCAAATGTCCATAAAGGACAGGATCAGGGTTGGAGAGACCATTATGAGCCCAAGTGCCCTTCAGCTTCCTTTTTCCTTCTCTGCCAGCCACAGCTCCCCCAATTAACATTTTCTAGAACTTCAACCTGAGCCAGTGTCAGGAGAGAGCTCTGATTGGCTAACTTGGGTCAGGTGATCAGCCCTCCTCCAACCCACAGTGACCGAGAGAGGGGGTCACGTGATACATACGAACATGGCTGCCGAAGCCTTCCCTTGACAAGGGGTAGAGTGAGGGATAGTGACAGCTAAGAATGCATCTCTGATGGCTGCTCATTCTTCACTTCGCTTTTCCTGTCTCTGCTTGTGTTCTGCTTGCTGTTTGAACTGGTTATATGCGTGCCTACCTCTGTGCATGAGCACATATGAGGACTCCAGCCTGCATTAAACACGGACCCCTGACCTCTGTATCTAGTTCAAGGCCTCCATCCTGAACCTCTCTTTAGGATTGGCTTCACAGGTGTAAAACCTGAGCTTGCACACAGGGCCCAGTACATGGTTAATGCTCTGCTGTTGCTGTCTTAAAATTCTCTCTCTCTCTCTCTTTTTTTTTTTTTTTTTTTTTTTTTTTTTTTGTCGAGACAGGGTCTAGCTCTGTTGCTCTAGGCTAGAGTTGAGTGGCGCAATCACCGCCCATGGTGTTACCGGATATGGGTCCTAGTCCAGACCCCAAGAGAACGTTCTTGGATCTTGCACAAGAAAGAATTTGGGACGAGTCTATAAAGTGAAAGCAAGTTTATTAAGAAAGTAAAGCAACAAAAGCATGACTACTTCATATGCAGAGCAGCCCCAAGGGCTGCTGGTTGCCCATTTTTACGGTCCTTTTTTTTTTTTTTTTTTTTGAGAAGGAGTCCCACTATGTCATCCAGGCTAGAATGCAGTGTCACGATCTCGGCTCACCGCAACCTCCGCCTCCCGGGTTCAAGCAATTCTCCTGTCTCAGCCTCCTGCGTAGCTGGATTACAGGTGTGCACCACCATACCTGGCTAATTTTTTGTATTTTCAGTAGCAACAGGGTTTCACCATGTTGGCCAGGCTGGTCTCGAGCTCCTGATCTCAAGTGATCTGGCTGCCTCGGCCTCCCAAAGTGCTGAGATTACAGGCATGAGATTAGTTCTTGATTATATGCTAAACAAGAGGTGGATTACTCATGCCTCCCCTTTTTAGACCACATAGGGTAACTTCCTGGCATTGCCATGGCATTTGTAAACTGTCACGGCGCTGATGGGAATGTAGCAGTGAGGACGACCAGAGGCCGCTCTCATCGCCATCTTGGTTTTGGTGGGTTTTTGCCGACTTCTTTACTGCAACCTGTTTTATCAACAAGGTCTTTATGACCCGTATCTCGTTCCGACCTCCTGTCTCATCCTGTGACTAAGAATGCCTTAACCTCCTGCGAATGCAGCCCAGTAAGTCTCAGCCTTATTTTACCAAGCCCCTACTCAAGATGGAGTTGCTCTGGTTCAAACACCTCTGACAATTGCAGTCTCAACCTTCTGGGTTCAAGGGATCCTCCTGCCTCAGCCTCCTGAGTAGCTGGGACAACAGGTGCGTGTCACCACACCCAGCTAATTAAAAAATTTTTTGTAGAGATGAGATCTCACTGTGTTACTCAGGCTGGTCTCAAACTCCTGGGCTCAAGCGATCCTCCTGCCTCAGCCTCCCAAAGTGCCTTGAAATTCTCAATAATTTTTGAACAGGGAGTCCAGCGTTTTCATTTGGCACGAGGCCCTGCAAATTATATACCTGGTCCTGCCTTTCTCCTTGAGCCATCTTGAGTCATTATTCCCAACCTGACAATATTAGTCTGCTGGGGCTGCCATAACAAAACAGCGTGGACTGGATGGCTTACACAGCAAAAATCTATTTTCTCACAGCTCTGGAGACTGGAAATCTAAGATCAAGATGCCATCAGGGTTGGTTTCTGCCCTCTTCCTAGCTTGTAGAGGGCTGCCCTCCCCTATGTCCTCACCTGGCCTTTTTCTCTTTGCCTCGTGGAGCCTCTTCCTTTTTTTTTTCTTTTCTTTTCTTTTCTTTCTTTCTTTTCTTTTTTTTTTTTTTTTGAGACAGAGTCTTGCTCTGTTGCCAGGCTGGAGTGCAGTGGTGCGATCTCGGCTCACTGCAACCTCCGCCTCCCTGGTTCAAGTGATTCTCCTGCCTCAGCTTCTCGAGTAGCTGGGATTACAGGCACGAGCCACCACGCCCAGCTAATTTTTGTATTTTTAGTAGAAACGGGGTTTCACCATGTTGGCCAGGATGATCTCGATCTCCTGACCTTGTGATCCACCCGCCTCGGCCTCCCATAGTGCTGGGATTACAGGCGTGAGCCACCGCGCCCGGCCGCCTCTTCCTCTTATAAGGACACCAGTCTTGTTGGATTAGAGCCCCACTCTTATGACCTTGTTTAACCTTAATTACCTCTGAAAAGCCTTATTTCCAAAAATAGTCACATTGGGGTAGAGCTTTAACGTGGATTTTGGGGGACACATGAAGTCCTAACACCGACCTTGCACCCTATGCCTCGCCCGGTGCCCATGCCTTGGATCTCCCTGGTGGCACTGCCCTTTGGGGTTGACCTCTGGTTACCTTGCTTTGGACACTTGCCTGCCCTACCCAGTCTATCATGGACCTTGTTTGACACAGCATTTTAGGGCCAGCCTGGAGGAGGATGGGGCTACACACTGTACTCCACTGGACAGGGAGATCTCATGCCCTCCAGAACTTTGTCATCTGCCTCGATAGTGCTTTCCCCATCTGCCTAACTCATACTCAACTCGGCTGAGACCCCTCTTCATCTCACATGCCATTTCTACCCACTGCCCGTTGCCCCCATGGCTGGGTTCAGAGTCCTTTATATATGCCTTTATCTTAACCAATTAGAGCTCCTACCATCCCCTATCACAATGGCCAACCTTGTGCCTGTTGGAACCACTAGTCCATTTTTGATGTCAGGGGCATTCAGTAACATTATTTATTTATTTATTCGTTTATTTATTTTGAGACAGTCTTGCTCTGTCATTCAGACTGGAGTGCAGTGGCGTGATCTCAGCTCACTGCAACCTCTGCCTCCCGAATTCAAGCAGTTCTGTGCCTTGGCTCCCGGAGTAGCTGGGATTACAGGCACCTGCCACCACTCCTGGCTAATTATTTTTGCATTTTTAGTAGACAGGGTTTCGCCATGTTGGTCAGGCTGGTCTCGAACTCCTGACTTCAGGTGATCTGTCCACTTTGGCCTCCCAAAGTGCTGGGATTACAGGTGTGAGCCACCGAACAAGGCCAGTAACATTTTTAAATTACAGAAGTAATACACTTATATCCTCACTGTGCCAAAAATCAAACAAATGGCTGTAGTTTAAGATCCTAAAGATAAGAATTGGTATGAAAAACGTAACCTTTTCTAACTCTCTAATAACCAAACTCATCTCACCAGCCTGACCTACACAGAGACTTTTTGTAGTCTTTGAGAAAATTTTTCCCATATTTTTGGCCTTGACTAACAGTGGGAAATCCAGTGCACTTTGAAACCAGCACAACATTTAATCAATAATCATGTAGCAAAAGTTTCATAAAGTAATACTCTGTTACTTGATTTGATTCTATTGTATTTTGTCAACCCACTGAATTTCATGAAACCAGTTTTTCTCCCTGCCCCTTATCCTCTTGTGCCAGGGCAGAGCCAAGCACCGCAGGTTTAAGTTGGTCCTAACATTAGGAAGGGGGCACCTAGTCCCCACACCTTTCTCTGTCCTTCCCCTGAGGGCCTCTTGCCTCTCAGCTCCTGGACATTGGCCTTTGTCCCTGCTGGCCAGGGTCTGACGAGACCTCTGTTAACAGGTAGGCAGGCCACATGAGGGCGGGCAGCGGCCTCCCTTCCTGGTGCCAGGTCCTCTAGTCCTGCAACCCTCTCCCATCCTTATGAGGCTCGAGAAACATTTAGAAGCCCTTCCGTCTCCATGGGATACAAGGGTGGTGGCAGGGGTCCCCCTGCAGTTTCCTGAGGCCTGAGGACCCAGACTCAGCCTCCTGACCTTTCTGGTTTTATTTTTTTATTTCTGGTTTTTCGGGCATGGCTAAGTTATTCTCCCAGGGGCTTGAAGGCACTCAGCACTCCCGGGGGCAGGGCCCGGGGAGGTGAGCATGGAGAGAATGTCGGGTTGGGGCAAGGCCTCAGGCTACCTCAGAAACAGGAAAATGTGCCTACCTGCCCCCAGCTTCTTCTATTCCTATGTGGCTGCTGTACACCTTTGGCTGTGAGCCTGTAGCTCTTTTCTCAACAAACCTCTTCTCCCTCAACAGCCCAGCCATGAAAGGCTCCTACATGGGAGGCTTGTTCTCAAGGCCATTGTTCCTGCTGTGGGCTTTGAAAAAGTCTAATTTGAAAAGCATAGCTTAGCAACGACTTCTTTGTTCCCCTGCATCCGCCCTCCCAGGAGGTAGTGCTGGGAGAGCTGGTCCAGTGGCCAGTGTCTCTGTGCTGCGGGTGGGGCAGCTGCAGGGAAGAGAGGAATGAAAGGAAAAACACAAAAAAACCCCACAGAATCAAAATAATACTCGTTCATGCAGATCCGTCAAAGTCTTATCCACTCCCCCATCCTCCCGCTTTGCCCTGGAAAGGTAAGATGCTTATCAGGTTGCTGGGCTGTGGAGACCTTTCAGGTGTTGTTTATGTATTTGCATATATGTAAGCATATGCACACGGATTTGTGTGGGTACGTGTGTGTGAGTACGTGTGTGTGTGTGTGTGTGTGTGTGTGTGTGTGTGTGAGAGTGTATATAGTTGGTGGTCGTGGTTTTTATTTTTATTTTTGTGAGACAGGGCCTCACTCCATCACCCTGGTTGGAGTGCAGTGGCGTGATGATAGCTCACTGTAGCCTCGAACTCCTGTGTTCAAAGGATCCTCCCTCCTTAGCCTCCCAAGTAGCTGGGACTACAGGCATGTGCCACCATGCTCGGCTAATTTTTTTTTCTTTTTTGTAGAGACAGTGTCTTGCTATGTTGCCCAGGCTGGTCTCAACCTTCCAGGCTCAAGAGATCCTTCTGCCTCGGGCTTCCAAGTAGCTGCGACTACAGGTGTGTACCACCATGTCCAGCTAATTAAAAAAAATTTTTTTTTTTGGTAGAGATGGGTGTCTCACCATATTGCCCAGGCTAGTTTTGAACTCCTGGACTCAAGGGGTCCTCCCACCTTGGCCTCCCAAAGTGTTGAGATTACAGGCCTCAGCCACTGCACCCAGCCTGTTGTTGTTTAAAGCAGCTTACTTGGGTTCAAATCCTCACTCTGCTATTTATTAAGTGTGCAATCTTGAAAAAGTTACTTAACCCCTCTCTGCCTCAGTTTTTCTCATCTGTAAAATGGGGATAATAATAGTAATTAACTCACAGAGTTGTGAAAATTACATTTTGAGAGAGGCTGGCACATGAGTGCTGCACAGTGTTAACGGGGATCATTGCTCTATTTGCACTGTAAACGCGCCTCAGGCTTTTTCGTCATTCGCAGAGTATTTCATTGTGTATGTGCATCCTAGTCTCCTATTGATGGACTAAGGTTGTTTCTGATTTTTGTTATTACAAATAATGCAGCAAGGAACACACTGGGTATGTGCATTTTTATCTTAAAAGTCATAGGCTGGGCGTGATGGCTCATGCCTGTAATCCCAGCACTTTGGGAGGCTGAGGCAGGTGGATCACGAGGTCAGGAGAGCGAGACCAGCCTGGTCAACACAGTGAAACCCCGTCTGTATTAAAAATACGAAAATTAGCCAGGCATGGTGCAGATCAGGTCAAACCCAAAGCTGAGCAATGATTTCTTTGGTCCCCTTGTTGCTTGGTGGCACACTCCTATAGTCCCAGCTACTTCAGAGGCTGAAGCATGAGAATTGCTTGAACCAGGGAGGCAGAGGTTGCAGTGAGCCAAGATCGTGCCACTGCACTCCAGCCTGGGCAACAGAGCAAGACTCTGTCTCACAAAAAAAGAAAAAAAAGAAAAAAGAAAAAGAAAAGAAAACTTATAGCCAAATTGCCTCCTCCAAAGGTGGTACCATTTTATCTGCCTACACCACTCATTTCCCCATGCCCTCTTCAACACGGGACGTCATCAATTTTCTCTAACTTTTACCAATCTCATTGGGAGAAATGATGGTTTATTGTTGTTTTCATTTGCATTCTTTGATGACAGGGTGGTCAGGCATCTCTTCATGTGCGTATTGACCTGTTTGTCTCCTCCTCTGTGAACTTGCCATTTCCTTCCTTTGCCCATTTTCCTGCTGGATTGTTTTCTACTGGGTTAAAAAAAAAATTATAGGCCGGGCGCAGTGGCTCACGCTTGTAATCCCAGCACTTTGGGAGGCCGAGGTGGGTGGATCATGACTTAAGAGATTGAGACCATCCTGGCCAACATGGTGAAACCCCGTCCCTACTAACAATACAAAATTTAGCTGGGCGTGGTGGCGGGTGTCTGTAATCCCAGTTACTCAGAAGGCTGAGGCAGGAGAATCGCTTGAACCCAGGAGGCGGAGGTTGCAGTGAGCCGAGATCGTGCCACTGGACTCCAGCCTGGCGACAAAGCGAGACTCCATCTGAAAAAAAAAATTATAGGCATTCTTATGTTTTCTGCCTATAAATGCTCTCCTCACTGCAGCCTCAACCTCCTGAACTCAAGGGATCCTCCCACCTCAGCCTTCTGAGTAGGTGGGACTCTAGGCGGATGCCACCACGCCCGGCTAATTTTATTTTTTGTATAGATGAAGTGTCCTTGTATTTTCTCCCAGGCTGTCTCTTGTCTGTTTTCTTTTTTAGTATATTATTTAATTTAGAATAGTTTTAGATTGACAGAAAAATCACAAAGATAGTAGACAGTTCCCATATAGCCCACACCCAGCTTCCTCTATTATTATTTTGTTATTATTATACATTTGTCACAGTTAATGAACCAATATTGATACATTATTGCTAAGTCCGTAACTTATTCTGATTTCCTTAGTTTTTACCTACTGTCCTGTCGTGCCTGACCCCTATTGATGCCAATAGCGATGGCACTGTGTCCAAGAGGCTGAAGAAGAGACCTGGAGGCAGGGAACGAGACATAGGGTTTATTTATTTATTTATTTATTTATTTATTTATTTATTTATTTATTTTTACTTTTTTGAGACAAGGTCTTGCTCTGTTGCCCAACCTGGAGTGCAGTGGCATGATCACTGCTCACGGCAGCCTCATCCTGCTGGACTCAAGTGATCCTCCCGGACTCAAGTGATCCTCCCACCTCAGCCTCCCGAGTAGCTAGAACTACATGTGCATGCCACTACACCCAGCTAAGTTTTTTAATTTTTTGTAGAGATGGAGTCTCACTGAATTTCCAGGGCTGGTCTTGAACTCCTAGGCTGAAGCAATCCTCCCACTCAGCCTCCCAAAGTGCTGGGATTATAGGTGCGAGCCACCACGCCTGGCTGAGACACAGGGCTGATTGAGGGGGACTTACATATGAGGACAGTCCAGTGGCAGCAGGCTGGACAAGAGAACTGCTACTGTTTATAAACGGCATGCAGTTTATATAGCATTTTTACTTAGCAACCTCCACCTAACCCAAAGCAAAAGGGCCTTGACCCTGTACATGACCTGAGTTCCAAGGGATGGGCCAAGGGTTCTTCATAGATAAGGGGTGAATCTCTAGAGCGGCCACTCTCAGATTCCTTAGCTCAGGACCGTCACGCGTGTTTCTTACGTCTTTCTCAGGGTATGCTTACATTATTGGCGTCAGATGCATCTACCACACATGTCCTCCTTCTGTCCCAGGGTCCCCCCTAGGACACCACATTACATTTACTCATCATGTCTCCTTAAGCTCCTCTTGGTTGTGACAGTTTTTCGTCTATCCTCATTTAAAACCTTTTTTTGGTTTTGTTTTTTGTTTTGGGTTTTGTTTTTTGTTGTTGTTGTGTTTTTGAGACGGATTCTCACTGTGTCGCCCAGGCTGGAGGGTAGTGTCACAGTCTCAGCTCACTGCAACTTCCACCTCCTGAGTTCAAGCGATTCTCCTGCCTCAGCCTCCCGAGTAGCTGGGATTACAGGTGTGCACCACCATGTCTGGCTAATTTTTGTATTTTTGGTAGCAACGGGGTTTCACCATGTTGGCCAGGCTGGTCTCAAACTCCTGACCTCAGGTGATCTGCCTGCCTGGGCATCCCAAAGTGCTAGGATTACAGGCGTGAGCAACCACACCCAGCTTTGGGTTTTTTTTTTTGAGATGGAGTCTTGCTCTGATGCCCGGGCTGGAGTGTAGTGGGGTGATCTCGGCTCACTGCAAATTCTGCCTCCTGGGTTCCATCAATTCTCCTGCCTTAGCCTCCTGAATAGCTCGGATTACAGGCGCCCACCACCACGCCAGGTTAATTTCTGTATTTTTAGTAGAAACGGGGTTTCACCATGTTGGCCAGGCTGGCCTCGAGCTCTTGGCCTCAAGTGATCGGCCCACCTCAGCCTCCCAAAGTGCTGGGATTACAGGCATGAGCCACCGGGCCAAGTCTAAAACCATTTTAAAATTTTACTTATTTTTTATAGATGAGGTTTTGCTATGTTGCCCAGGCTGGTCTCAAACTCCCAGGCTTAAGTGATCTTCCCACCTTGGCCTCCTGAGTAGCTGGGATTACAGGTTTCCTTGTTTGTTTTTTAAATGACCTTGACAGTTTTGAGAAGGACTGCCATCTGTTTTGCAGAATGTCCCTCAATTGGCATTTGTCTTTCTCATGACTAGGGAAGGCTTATGGGTTTTAGGTGAAAAGATCATAGAGGGAAAGTGCCTCTTTCATCGTAACCCTCATGTTGCTGGTGTCGGCCTTGGTCACCTGGCTGAGCTAGTATTTGTCAGGCTTCTCCACTGTATTTTTATTTTTTTTCGAGTGGGAGTCTTGCTCTGTCACCCAGGCTGGAGTGCAGTGGCACAATCTTGGCTCACTGCAACCTCCACCTCCTGGGTTAAAGCGATTCTCCTCCCTCAGCCTCCCAAGTAGCTGGGATTACAAGCGCCCGCCACCATGCCCAGCTAACTTTTGTATTTTTAGTAGAGACCTGGTTTCACCATGTTGGCCAGGCTGGTCTTGAACTCCTGACCTCAAGTGATCTGCCTGCCTCAGCCTCTCAAAGTGCTGAGATTACAGGCGTGAGCCACCGCGCCCGGACTTCTCTACTGTAAGTTACTCTTTTATTCCCTTGTCTCTTGTCTTTTACTGTGTTTATGGTGCCTTTCATACAGAAATTTGACATATTCAGTCTTGTTAGAACTGGACATCTGTCGTCTAAAAGAGAGCAGCTGTGGCGGTGGCAGCCCCTAGGTTTCAAGTGCTCCTGGCACACCTAGCCCTGTGCTAAGAGCTTCCAAACGTCACCTCACTGATGCCTCAGGACAACCCATAAGCTTGGTCCCAACATTGTCATAGATGAGACATTTTCAAAGATGAGAACACAGGATCTTCCAGCCATGAGCCACACTGGAGCTGGCAAGTGGCAAAGTCAAGATTCATACCCGGGTCTGTGTGACCCTGCACATAACAGCTGAAATGTAGAATCAAAGCCCAGAGATGCTTGTCCAAGCTTTGCCCAGGGCCCTCCCTATGGCCAGGCCACCTCTGGCACCACTGAGTCTGCAGTTAGTTCTCACCCACCACGCCCTGCCTGACCTCAGTGTCTGCTTCAGGCTGCCCATTCCTGACCCTCCTCCAGCTTGTGTCCTTCGGCTGCCATGGCTTCCAGCAGCCCCAGGGGAAGAGACCCAGACTTCCCAGCAAATAAACACCGCCCACAGATGTCCAAATATACAGAGATAAGTGCTCCCTCTTGCCACAGCTGAGACTGGCTGGAATTCTAAACATCTCATTTAGCTTCTGCTTCTCCTGGTGATGGCTCTGGGTCCTGAGTTCTCATTGGAACAGCACGTGGCCTCTTCTGTATGGTGGAGGTGATACCTGCACCGTGAGGCATAGTCACCATCAACAACGGCAGTAATAGGAACTAACAGCCACAGTCCTGGTTTGGATGCATTTTATATTTATTTATTTATTTATTTATTTATTTATTTATTTATTTATTTATTTTTAGGGACAGGGTCTTCCTCTGTCACCCAGGCATGAATGCAGTGGGACCTTGTTTTGTTATTGTTATTATTGTTGTTTAAGGCAGGGTCTTGCTCTGTCACCCAGGCTGGAGTGCAGTGACGCGATCTCAGCTCTCTGCAGCCTTGACCTCCCAGGCTCAAGTGATCCTCCCACCTCAGTCTCCCAAGTAGCTAGGACTACAGGCACGAACCACAATGCCGGGCTACATTTTTTGTATTTTTTGATGGGTTTCGCCATATTGCCCGTGCTGGAAGTGCCACCTTCTTAGCTCACTGCAGCTTCGAACTCCTGGGCTCAAGCAATGCTCCAGCCTCAGCCCCCATCCATCAGTAGCTAGGTCTTGAATACGTTTTATAGAACAATTGTGAGCAAAGTCTTCACAGACATCTTGGAAGCATCTTCACCATCAGATGGAGCCCCTTTGTGAGTTTTGGAACAAGGCTGTTGTTCCTCTAGTCCCAGCTACTCAGGAGGCTGAGGCAGGAGAATTGCTGGAACCCGGGAAGCAGAGGTTGCAGTGAGCAGAGATCACACCACTGCACTCCAGCCTGGGTGACAGAGTGAGACTCCGTCTCAAAAAACAAAAACAAACAAGAAAACCCACTCTATTTTGAACATATACAAAATTAGATACTCCCAGCCCCACCCAGCACCCAAGCTGATCTTGCTTCATGTACATTCTCGTCCATTTCCCTCACCTTTGAAGCAAATCCCAGACATTAGATTATTCCATTCATCACAAGGAAAATAATCTAAAAGATGAGGAGTCTTTTATCAGCGTAACTTTTTTTTTTTTTTTTTTTTGAGACGGAGTCTCGCTCTGTCACCCAGGCTGGAGTGCAGTGGCGCGATCTCGGCTCACTGCAACCTCTGCCTCCTGGGTTCAAGCGATTCTTCTGCCTTAGCCTCCTGAGTAACTGGGACTACAGGCGCTTGCCACCACACCCGGCTAATTTTTGTATTTTTAGTAGAAATGGGGTTTCACCATATTGGCCAGGCTGGTCTTGAATTCCCGGCCTCGTGATCCATTCGCCTTGGGCTCCCAAAGTGCTAGGATTACAGACATCAGCCACCGTGCCTGGCCTCAGCATAAATATTATACCAAGCAAAAAAAATTTTTTTAGGAATAAATAAGGACTGTACTTTCAAGGATCATTTCTATAGTTTATTACTAAAGAAGTTTCTCTGAACATATAAAGCAAAACATTTTTTAAGAAGAAAAAATAGACCAGATGCTGTGGCTGACACTTGTAGTCCCAGCACTTGGGTAGGCTGAGGTAGGTGGATCACTTGAGGTCAGGAGTTTGAGAACTGCCTGGGCAACATGGTGAACCCTGTCTCTACTAAAAATACAAAAATTAGGCCAGGCACGGTGGCTCACGCCTGTAATCCCAGCACTTTGGGAGGCCAAAGCGGGTGGATCACGAGGTCAGAAGTTCAAGACCAGCCTGGCCAACATGGTGAGACCCTGTCTCTACAGAAAATCCAAAAATTAGCTGGGCTTGGTGGCACGTGCCTGTAGTTCTAGCTACTCAGGAGGCTGAGGGAGAATTGCTTGAACCTGGGAGACAGAGGTTGCAGTGAGCCAATATCGCGCCACTGCACTCCAGCCTGGGCGACAGAGCAAGACTCTGTCTCAAAAAAAAAAAAAAAAGTTAGCCGGGCATGGTGATGCACACCTGTAATCCCAGCTACTTGGGAGGCTGAAGCACGAGACTCGCTTGAACCCAAGAGATGCAGGTTAGTGAGCCGAGATTGTGCTACTGCACTCCAGCCTGGATGACAGAGTGAGTGAGACTCCATCTCAAAAGAAAAAATAAATTGTTATATCATTTTTGCTCCTAAAAAAAGGAATAGTTCTATAATATCAAATATCTGGTCAATTTCTAGTTAATGTTCAAAGTTCCAAATGTCTCATAAATATTTTCTTTATTTTTTTTTTTTTTGCAGTTTGTTTGAATTAATATCCAAATAGAAATAATGCAATTGGTTAATAGGTCAGGTTTCTTTTCATCTAGAGCTTTCCCATCTCTCTTTTTTCTTCATAATTTATTTGTTGAAATAAAGTGGCCGGGCGTGGTGGCTCATGCCCATAATCCCAGCACTCTGGGAGGCTGAGACAGGTGGATCACCAGATGTCAGGAGTTCGAGATCAGCCTGGCCAACATAGCGAAACCCCATCTCTACTAAAAATACAAAAATTAGCCAGGTGTGGTGGCGGGCACCTGTAGTCCCCGCTACTCGGGAGGCTGAGGCAGGAGAATCGCTTGAACCCGGAAAGTGGAAGTCGCAGTGAGCCGAGATTTTGCTGCTGCACTCCAACCTGGGTGACAGAGCGAGCGAGAGTGAGACTCTGTCTCAAAAAAAAAAAAAAGTTGGGCTGTTTGTCCTGTAGGAATCCCCACACCTGCATTTTGCTGGTTGCAGCCCCATGGTGTGATTTGATATGTTTATCCATCGCCAGGGGTTCTTGTAAATTGGGGTTGGATCTAGAAGCTTGATAAAACGCAGCCTTGACTTATTTGGGCAAGCATGTTTTATAGATAGTACTGTTGCTCCCATCAGGAGGTACATACTGTCTGGCTACCTCTCTTTTTGTGATGTTATCATATTGCTTTATTTTCTTAATTTCTTATTTTGTTTTGTTTTTTTGTTTTTCTGAGACAGGGTCTCCCTCTGTGGCCCAGGCTGGAGTGCAGTGGCGCAATCTTGGCTCACTGCAACTTCTGCCTCCCAGGTTCAAGCGATTCTCCTGCCTTAGCCTCCTGGTTAGCTGAGATTACAGGCGCATGCCACCACGCCCCGTTAATTTTTATATTTTTAGTAGCGATGGGGTTTCACCATATTGGTCAGGCTGGTCTCGAACTCCCGGCCTCAGGTGATCCACTCACCTTGGTCTCCCAAAGTGCTGGGATTACAGACATGAGCCACTGCGCCCGGACTTATTTTGAAAAAAATTTATACCTACGGAAAGTTGCAAGGGTAGTACAATGTATGCTCATATACCCTTCACCTTGATCCACCAATTTTTGCCACATTTGTTTTATTGTTCACATTCTTTTATATGAATATGTAATATGTGTATATGTGTATATATTTCCTTAAAATCATTTGAGAATAGGTTGTAAACATTATGTCCCTCACCCCTAAAAACTTCATTCAGCATGCATCTCGTAAGAACTCCCTTACATAACCATCAAATTTGGGAAATGTAATGGTGATACCATTCTATTCTTTAATATCTAGATCATATTGCAATTTTGCCAATTATCCTGTGTTGCTTTTTTTCTTTTAAGACGCAGTCCTGCTCAGTTCCCCAGGCTGGAGTTCACTGGCATAATAATCGCTCACTGCAGCTCCATCTCCCAGGCTTAAGCAATCCTCCTGTCTCAGCCTCCCCAGTAGCTGAGACTACAGACATGCACCACCATGCCCAGCTAATTATTTTTTTAGCAGTAGACATGAGGTCTTGTTATGTTGCCCAGGCTGGTCTCAAACTCCTGAGCATGCCTGTAATCCCAGCATTTTGGGAGGCCGAGGTGGGCAGATCACAAGGTCAGGAGTTCGAGACCAGCTTGGCCAACATGGTGAAACCCCGTCTCTACTAAAAATACAAAAAATTAGCCAAGCGTGGTGGCAGGTACCTGTAATCCCAGCTACTTGGGAGGCTGAGGGAGGAGAATCGCTTGAACCTGGGAGGCAGAGGTTGCAGTGAGCCGAGATTGAGCCACTGCTCTCCAGCCTGGGCAACAGAGCGAGACTCAATTTCAAAAAAAAAAAAAACAACTCCTGAGCTCAAGTGATCCTCCTGCTTCAGCCTTCCAAAGTGCTAGGATTACAGGTATGAGCCGCCATGCCCAGCCCTGTGTTGCCTTTTGAAATGAACTTTAAAAGACTTATTTCCAAAACATCTAATTCTGGCAGCCACGAATTCATGGCCTCATAAGTAATTTATAAATCTATGTTAAATCTATTATTTGATTTTATTTGATTTGATTTGATTTTTTTTTTTTTTTGAGACAGAGTTTCACTCTTGTTGCCTAGGCTGGAGTACAATGGCGTGATCTTGGCTAACTGCAACCTCCGCCTCCTGGGTTCAAGCAATTCTCTTGCCTCAGCCTCCTGGGTAGCTGGGACTACAGGTGTTAGCCACCACGCCTGGCTAATTTTTGTATTTTTAGTAGAGACGAGGTTTCGCCACTTTGACCAGGCTGGTCTTGATCTCCCGACCTCAGGTGATCCACCCGCCTCAGCCTCCCAAAGTGCTGGGATTACAGGTATGAGCCTCTGAGCCTAGCCTGATTTAAATTTTTATCAAAGCAACCTATGTGCTTAGTTTACAAAATCAAATAGTTGAATTCAACCTGGGAAAGCTGATTTCCAAAAAAAAAATCAAATAGTTGAAGACTTAAGAAAACCAGCAGCACTTGGCCCTATCCCATGCCACCCCCAGGGCAGCTGCTCTGGGAGGTGTTTCCTCTGAGATTTACCTCTGTATTTCTAGATTATATGCTTGCATTGCAATTTCTTGGTTTTTCAAATTTGGACACTATCTATTGACTTCCTACTATGGAAGATGAGAGCTTAGCTCTTCTATCTCCCTCCCACTCCCCACATACATACACACCTATCCTTTCTTCTGGCCCTCCCAACAGAGTTCCGTCGTGATTTTTGGTTAAATAAGTATTTGTTGATTACATTATTTTTACTATGTAAATATCATTTACAGCTGAGCTGCTTAGTGTTCTAAGTGTTCATTTCCATTCTTGTATTTTTTTTTTTTTTTCATAGCTACAGGGCTGGGGCTTGATTGTTCTGGGCTCCCAGAGTCCTACCCAGAGCAGAAGTTGGTACACATTTGCTGAATGAGCGAATGAGGCTTGAGAGCTGAGCATGGTGGCTCATGCCCATAATCCCAGCATTCTGGGAGACAGAGGCAGGAGGATCACTTGAGCCCAGAAGTTCGAGATCAGCCTGGGCAGTATAGCAAGACCTCATCTCTACTTTTTATTGAAAAAAAAAAAAAAAACTGTGGGCTGCGCGCCATGGCTCATGCCTGTAATCCCAGCACTGTGGGAGGCTGAGGTGGATGGATTACCTGAGGTCAGGAGTTTGAGGCCAGCCTGGCCAACATGGTGAAATGCTGTCTATACTAAATATACAAAAATTAGCTGGGCATGGTGGTGCATCCCTGTAATCCCAGCTACTTGGGAGGCTGAGGCCACTCACTTGAACCCAGGAGGCAGAGGTTGCAGTGAGCTGAGATCACGCCACTGCACTCCAGCCTGGGCGACAGAGCAAAACTCTATCTAAAAAACATAAAAATAAAAATATAAATAAAAAATATTTTTTTTGAAAAGAGAGTCGGCCGGGCGCGGTGGCTCACGCCTGTAATCCCAGCACTTTGGGAGGCCGAGGCGGGTGGATCATGAGGTCAGGAGATCGAGACCATCCTGGCTAACAAGGTGAAACCCCGTCTCTACTAAAAATACAAAAAATTAGCCGGGCGCGGTGGCGGGCGCCTGTAGTCCCAGCTACTCGGGAGGCTGAGGCAGGAGAATGGCGTGAACCCGGGAAGCGGAGCTTGCAGTGAGCCGAGATTGCGCCACTGCAGTCCGCAGTCCGGCCTGGGCGACAGAGCGAGACTCTGTCTCAAAAAAAAAAAAAAAAAACAAAAAAAACAAAAAAAACAAAGAGAGTCAGGGCAGACATGTGCCAGTAAATTCAAAAGATTAGAGAGGGAACCCCAAATTCTCAAGTTCCGCTACCTGACCCAAGTAAGCCTCCTTCCATGAAGTTTCCTAAACTCTTTTGGATGCTGAAACCTCATTCAATAAGTCATTCATTCATTCAAGTCAGTTAACAACTTTTTTTTTTTTTTTGAGGTGGAGTCTCACTCTGTTGCCCAGGCTGGAGTGCAATGGCATGATCTCGGCTCACTGCAACCTCCACTTCCCAGGTTCAAGCGATTCTCTTGCCTCAGCCTCCCAAGTACCTGAGATTACAGGCATGCACCACCACAACTGGCTAATTTTTATATTTTTAGTAGAGACGGGGTTTCTCCATGTTGGTCAGACTGTTCTCAAACTCCCGACCTCAGGTGATCCGCCCACCTCAGCCTCTCAAAATGCTGGGATTATAGGTCTGAGCCACCATGCCCGGCCTCAGTTAACAGCTATTAAATGAGCATCTATTAAGCACCAGGTATTGGGAATACAGCAGGACACAAAACATATCAAATTCCTGTCTCATGGAGCTGACATTCTGGTGGGGGAGACGATAAGTAAATGTCAGCCAGAATAAACAGGTAAGGAACAGAGAGAAAGGATGGGTTGGGGAGAGCTGGGTTTGTTGTTGTTGTTGTTGGAGACTGAGTTGTTGGAGGCTGGAGTGCAGTGGCACAATCTTGGCTGACTGCAACCCCACCTCCCGGGTTCAAGCAATTCTCCTGCCTCAGCCTCCCGAGTAGCTAGGATTACAGGAGTGTGCCACCATGCCAGGCTAATTTTTGTATTTTTAGTAGAGATGGGGTTTTGCCATGTTGTGCAGGCTGGTCTCGAACTCCTGGCCTCAAGTGTTCCATCCACCTCAGACTCCAAGAGTGCTGGGATTGCATCTGGAATTGGTGGGTTCTTGGTCTCACTGACTTCAAGAATGAAGCCGCGGACCCTCGCAGTGAGTGTTACAGCTCTTAAGGTGGTGCTTCTGGAGTTTGTTCCTTCTGATGTTCAGATGTGTTCGGAGTTTCTTCCTTCTGGTGAGTTCGTGGTCTCGCTGGCTCAGGAGTGAAGCTACAGACCTTCGCGATGAGCTCCTAAGGCAGTGCCGCCTGGAGTTGTTCGTTCCTCCCGGTGGGCTCATGGTCTCGCTGGCTTCAGGAGTGAAGCTGTAGACCTTCGCGGTGAGTGTTACAGCTTATAAAAGCAGTGTGGACCCAAAGAGTGAGCAGTAGCAAGATTTATTGCAAAGAGCAAAAGAACAAAGCTTCCACAGTGCAGCAGGCGACCCTAGTGGGTTGCCACAGCCGGCTCCCGCAGCCTGCTTTTATTCTCTTATCTGGCCCCACCCACATCCTGCTGATTGGTAGAGCCCAGTGGTCTGTTTTGACAGGGCGCTGATTGGTGCCTTTACAATCCCTGAGCTAGATACAAAGGTTCTCCACGTCTCCATCAGATTAGTTAGATACAGTTTCGACACATAGGTTCTCCAAGGCTCCACCAGATCAGCTAGATAGAGTGTCAATTGGTGCATTCACAAACCTTGAGCTAAACACAGGGTGCTGATTGGTGTGTTTACAAACCTTGAGTTAGATACAGAGTGCCGATTGGTGTATTTACAATCCCTGAGCTAGACGTAAAGGTTCTCCAAGGCCCCGCCAGAGCAGTTAGATACAGAGTGTCCATTGGTGCACTCACAAACCTTGAGCTAAACACAGGGTGCTGATTGGTGTATTTACAATCCCTGAGCTAGACATAAAGACTCTCCACGTCCCCACCAGACTCAGGAGCCCAGCTGGCTTCACCTAGTGGATCCCGCACCGGGGCTGCAGGTGGAGCTGCCTGCCAGTCCCGCGCCGTGCGCTCGCATTCCTCAGCCCTTGGGTGGTCGATGGGACTGGGCGCCTTGGAGCAGGGGGTGGTGCTCGTCGGGGAGGCTGGGCCGCACAGGAGCCCACGGAGGGGGTGGCAGGCTCAGGCATGGCGGGCTGCAGGTCCCGAGCCCTGCCCCGCGGGAAGGCAGCTAAGGCTCGTGAGAAATCGAGCGCAGTGCCGGTGGGCTGGCACTGCTGGGGGACCCGGTACACCCTCCGCAGCCGCTGGCCCGGGTGCTAAGTCCCTCATTGCTCGGGGCCAGCAGGGCTGGCCGGCTGCTCCGAGTGGGGGGCCCGCCAAGCCCACGCCCACCCGGAACTCCAGCTGGCCCGCAAGAGCCCCGTTCCCGCTCGCGCCTCTCCCTCCACACCTCCCTGCAAGCTGAGGGAGTGGGCTCCAGCCTTGGCCAGCCCAGAAAGGGGCTCCCACAGTGCAGTGGTGGGCTGAAGGGCTCCTCAAATGCCGCCAAAGTGGGAGCCCAGGCAGAGGAGGTGCCGAGAGCAAGCGAGGGCTCTGAGGACTGCCAGCACGCTGTCACCTCTCAGGATTACAGGGATGAGCCACCTCGCTCAGCCAAGACCTGTTTTTGGTAGAGGTCAAGGAAGGCCTCTGTGATGAGGCAATTAATGAGCAGAGAGGCAAGGAAGTGAGGCAGGCATTTCGGGGAAGGTATTTCAGGTAGACGGAAGGGCAAGTGCAAAGGTCCTGAGGTGGGATGTGTGTTGGGTTCCGGGAACAACAAGGGGCCAGGGTGAGTGGAGCCGAGGGAGAGGCCTCCTGATGAATTTGGAGGCACCCAGAGGGTAGAGTGTCATGGGCCGTGGAATTTACTCTGCATGAACAGGGAAGCCATTTCTGAATTTTGATCAGAAAAGTGCCTGGACATGGCTTTTGTTTTGGACCTTGTGTGGTAAGTAAATGGCAGAGGGTGAAGCTGAACATGGGCCACCAGGTAGGAGGCTGCAGAAATTATCCCAGTGAGAGATGACGGTGGCTCAGCCCAGGGCTGTGTTTCTGAGGATGAGGGGAGGAGCTCAGAGTGTGGATATATTTTATTTTGAAGATGGGGCTGACAAGGTTAGCTGGTGGATGTGGATGTACAGTGCCAGGAAAAGCGTTCCCTGCTTGCTTCGCTGCTTCCTCCATTAGTGCAACCGAGCAGCCCCATTTTCCCTGCAAGATGTTTATTTCCATCTCTCAGGCTTTTTCCTCGCAGGAAGCTCACGGGAAGCTGAGGAAGGTGTCTGGTCAGGCCGAGAGTCACACTGGTTTAGGAAGTGGGGCCTCCGTTTAATCTCCCTCATCTCACTGCCCCAGTTAGCACTTAACTCTGTTCTGCTTCGTGGCAGAGCAACCAGTCTGGAAAGAGTCACCGACCATGGAGGTTTCCATCCTTCCAACTGTCTCTTGTCTGTGGACATTTAATGTCAGCACACTAACTAGACATTGTCTGTTGTCTATGTTCAGGAGGTGACAACCATGAGAGTGAGGGTGGGGAGGTGGGACCTGTGGCTCCAGCTTGGGCGCGGGGACAGAGCAGGGAAAGGCCCAGGAGGCATCCCACACAGGCACAGGCAGAAGCAGGGGCGCAGGCATGCCACCAACCATCATTGACACATCCGCCTCCTGCTGTCAGGGCTGATGGCCTTGGCGGGGGAGGGGAGGCCCAAGTGCTCCTGGCCTCTGGGAGCAGCTACTGGGGGAGGTGGAACTCGGGCAGGGGGAAACAAGACAGAAGGTAAAGCTATGCCAAGGAGGCCAGATGGGGTGTTGGGTATAGGGCACTCAGCTGTGTGTGGCCCAGTTAAGCCCGCCCCTCCCTCTGAGCCTCTGTCTGCACTCCTCCCAGTGGACCCCACCCAACCTCTGTGCTCACATGACCACAAGGAATCTTTCTAAGCTGCTGCTCTCTCTCTTCTACTGAACACTCTGCAATGGCTCCCTCGTGCTCCTCAGGCCAAGTTCAAACTCTTGTTCTTGTCTTCCCAGTCTTTTTTTTTTTTTTTTTTTTTCCTTTTTTGGAACAGCATCTGGCTCTCTCTCTCAGGCTGGAGTACAATGTCGGCTCACTGCAACCTCTGCCTCCTTGGCTCAAGCGGTCCTCCCACCTCAGCCTCCCAAGTAGCTGGGACCACAGGTGTGCACAAGCATGCCCAGCTAAATTTTTTTTTTTTTTTTGAGAGGGAGTCTCGCTCTGTCCCCCAAGTTGGAGTGCAGCGGCATGATCTTGGCTCACTGCAACCTCCGCCTCCCAAGTTCAAGTGATTCTGCCTCAGCCTCCTGAGTAAGTGGGATTACAGGTGTGTGCCACCGCGCCTGGCTGATTTTTGTATTTTTAGTAGAGATGGAAGTTTCACCATGTTAGCCAGGCTGGTCTTGAACTCCTGGCCTCAGGTGATCCACCCACCTTGGCCTCCCAAAGTGCTGGGATTACAGGCGTGAGCCACCACGCCAGGCCCTTCCTGGTCCTTTGAGCTCTGTCCCTTGCCAAACTCTCTGTCCTCACATCCCCCAGTTCCACCTTTTCCCCAGGAAACTGAGTTTGCCTTGTTCTCCCAATATTCCAGCTGTTCCATATCTGCATGCCTTTGCACCTGCCGTTCCCTCTGCCTCATGTGCCTTTCCAACTCTTCCACTGGGGTAGCCCACACTCAGCTCTGCCGGCCCCTCCTCAGGAGGCTGTCTCTGGTGCCCACCCTCCAAGAGCTAACCTTGCCTTTCTCAGGGCACCTTTGTGCTGGGATGTGGGCTCTACCTGGCTGGACTTCAGTGCGCAGGCGCGACTCATCTTTGCTGAAGTCCTCGCCCTAGCAGGGCCCTGAGTGAGCCTTGCCAACTATTGACTAACTGACTGCTTGTACCTGAAGCTCAGAGAAGGGAGACATGGCCTGGCTGGGGTGGGACAGGGAGGGTTCTTTGGCAGCCACAGTGGGAGTAGGGGGCCGGGAGAAAGCTCCTTCCTCCCAAACCCACGACCATGCAGGTCATTAAAGGACAGCCCACCTCCTGGGAGGCCCCAGGGTGGCCATCTGGTCTGGGGCTGGACCCACTTTCCCAGATCCTGATGGCCCTTCCCTGCTGCCCATGGGCCTGCCAAGGCCAAGACCAGCCAAGGTGAGCTGAGGACACACTGGGCTCCAAATGCCAGGCTTCCGAGGCACTCATTGAGCCGGCGCTTCTGTGGGCTGGCCCTGGGCTCAGCACAGTGTGTGCCTTGGCCCTGCTCCATCCTCCAGGTCGCCTCCAGCCAGGTGCTATTATTAACATCCCCATTTTTCAGAGGAGGCTGCTGAGGCTCAGAGATGAGACCTGCCCTGGGTTGCACAGGGAGAACATCCTGGAACTGGCTCCTAAGAACCAAGGACCAACTGCTCCACATGTTTTACATGTACTAACTCAACAATCTTGTAAGGAGGGACAGCCAATTCGAGGGACAGAGAGGTTAAGTGGCTTGCCTGATGTCACCCAGCTAGCAAGTGGCAGAGCCAGGATTCAAACCCGGGCAGTTTGGCCACAGAGCTTTTACTCTCTAACATGATGAAGAAGGTGGTGAGGAGCGGGTGATGGTGGTGTTGCCTCTCTGGACAAAGCATCTGCAATTTGCAAAGCGCTTACAACACTCAGCATCTCATCTGCCCTTCAGCCCAAGGGAGAAACAAAGATCAGGATCCCATTTTACGGAGGAGAAAATGAAGACCAGTGGTGTCCCCAGGGTCACTCAGCAGGCTAGTTGCAGGGTGGAGGCTTGGACTCAGACTTCCACCGGAGCCTGAGCCCCTCCTGGCTCTCCTGACTGGCTGGGCACCCTGAGTTTGGTGCCTCCCGGGGAAGGGGGCTTTGGATACCCAGTGCAGGCAGAGAACTCTGGGCTGGGAGGTAGGAGTTCTGGAAGGGGACCCCCAGCATTGCCTCTGGTTTGCTGTGGGAGCCTCAGTTTCCTCATCTGTAAAATAAATGGGTTGCATCTGTTGGACTCCTAGGGCCCTTCCAGCCTGAGTTTGCAGTCTTCACTCAGAGGTGGGTGGGGGCACAGCGTTCCCTGCTTGCTTCGCCGCCTCCCCTATTAGTGCAGCCAAGCAGGCCCATTGCCCCTGCAAGATGGTTTTTTTCTACCTCTTGAAGGCTTTGCCCTCACAGGAAGCTTGCAGGAAGCTGGGGAAGATGTCTGGCCAGGCCCAGAATGTCACACTGGTTCAGGAATGGGGACCTCTGTGTGATCTTCACCTTGCTGCCCCAGTGAACACTTACTCCATTCTGCCTCGTAGCAGAGCAGCCAGTTATGTGTCTGTTGGTCTGTCTGCCTCTCCAGCCACAGTGAGCATCTTGAGGGAAGGGGTCATATGCGCAGATCAAAGCCTGGTAAGTAGTGAGCTCCCCAGCCCTGGAAGTGTGAGGAGAGGCTGGGTGAGGGATGTTGGGATGTTGAGCAGGAGAGAGTGGAGCTTGGTGGGGAGGGACTGAGGGGGTCACAGGCTTCTCCAGATCCTGTCTGTAGGACCCCATGAGGAGTACCTGAGACCGCATGGCATGGGAGAGGACTGGGTTGCTCTGCCCACTGGGGGCAGCTGAAATAGAACATAGAAATGGACTCGACTGCCAGGCGCTGTGGCTCACGCTTGTAATCCCAGCACTTTGGGAGGCCGAGACGGGCGGATCACGAGGTCAGGAGATCGAGACCATCCTTGCTAACACGGTGAAACCCCGTCTCTACTAAAAATACAAAAAATTAGGTGGGCGTGGTGGCGGGAGCCTGTAGTCCCAGCTACTCAGGAGGCTGAGGCAGGAGAATGGCGTGAACCCGGGAGGCAGAGCTTGCAGTGAGCCGAGATCGCGCCACTGCACTCCAGCCTGGGCCCTTCCTCTCACCAGGTTTGAACCCAGCCCTGCCATGGCTCTGGCCCAGCTCAGTGCGGTCCACGCCTCCTCCAGTCACCTCACCCTGCCCTAAGAGCTGGCAAGGAAATTTATCATCTCCCTTTGACAGAGGAGGAAATGGAAGCCCAAGGGCATGAGTGTGTGGGCGGCAGTTCCACAGCCTGGCCTGAGGCCCAGTCAGTGTCTTTCCCAGCCACCCACCTGCCCCATGACCGTGAAGTTCGTATGTGCAGACAAAACCAGGATGGGCAAGACCTGAAGAAGTCTTGAATGGGGCAGGGAGCAGGGAGAGGAGATGGGGAATCATTTGCAGCAAACGTGTGCAGAGCCTGGGCCAGGGGGCATCTGCTGTGTCCTAGACCACGGAATGGGTTGGCACTTCCCAGGTGAACTCTGTTCTCTCCAGCCTCTGGACCTTTCCCATGCCGCTCCACCTTTCCCTTCACATGAAAGATTGATCCCCTCCCTTTATCTGGCCAACTCCTGCTCATTCTCCAGGTCTCAGCCTCAATGCATTCAACAAATGCTTCTTCCTACAATGTGGCGGCCACTGTGCAGGGTGGGCTGCTCATGGTGAGTGGGAGACATGGTCCTGCCCTCAAGGAGTTTCCAGTCTCCTGAGGGAGCCACGTGTTACTAACATGGAATGAGTCAGGGTAGGCTCATGACTATAAAGAGCAGCCCCCAAATCAGTGGCTTAACATGATGAAGGCCTATTTTGTACCCAAGACAGTCCAAATGGGAGGCAGGGGACTCTGTTCCAGGTGAATTCTACAAACACACCTTGTGAGTTTCCTGTGGCTGCTGTAACAAATGACACCAAATCCAGTGGCTGAAAGCAACAGAAATGGGTTCTCTCGCAGTTCTGGGGAACAGCAGCCTGAGGTCAAGGTCAAGGTGCCAATGGGGCCACACTCCCTCTCGAGGCTCTAGAGGAGGGTCCTCCCTTGCCTTTTGCAGCTTCTGTGGTGTTGGCAATCCTTGGCTTCCAAGGTTTGTGGCCACATCACTCCAATCTCTGTCTCTATCTTTGTGTCGCCTTTCCTCTGTGTCTTTCCTTTGTGTGCCTCTCTGACAAGGACACCTGTCATTGGATTTAGGGCCTACCTGGGTAATCCACAATGATCTCTTCCTCCCAAGATCTTAACTTAATCACACCTGCAAAGACCTTTTTTCCAAATAAGGTCACATTCACAGGTTCAGGGATTAGAACATGGACACATCTCTTTGGGGCCACCATTGAACCCCCTCCACACCCGATGTCTAAGTGCCTGGGGCCCTGGGGACGAAGCCAGGATTCTGGGAAGGTGAAGGGAGACCAGCTCAGTCTGGGGGAGCAGGAGAGGGAGACATCCCTGAGGATGAGATACTTGAGCCAAAGATGAAGAGAGAATAAGCTAGAAAAAGGGAGAGAAGAGTGTTCTAGGCAGAGGGAACAGTATGTGCAAGCAGTATGTGCAAGGCCGAGGCAGGTGGATCATTTGAAGTCAGGAGTTCAAGACCAGCCTGGCCAACATGGTGAAACCCCGTCTCTACTAAAAATACAAAAATTAGCCAGGCGTGGTGGCAGACACCTGTAATCCCAGCTACTTGGGAGGCTGAGGCAGGAGAATTGCTTGAACCCAGGAGGCGGAGGTTGCAGTGAGCAGAGATCCTGCCACTGTACTCCAGCTTGGGTGACAGAGTAAGACTCCATCTCAAAAAAAAAAAAAAAAAAAAAGAATGGATCTCCATTTCTTCACCTGTAGAATGAGGACAATGATGCCAGCCCTGTGTGGCTGCCACGAGGATGATTAGATCATAAGGATACTTCCTCTGTTCTGGGCAGTGCTAAGGACCTTACATTCATGAGAGCCCCTCAGTGACCCTAGGAGCTGAGTGCCGTTATTAGCTGCATTTTACAAATGAGGAAACCGAGGCAGAGAAGATAAGTGACTTGCTCAGGGTTATAAACCACCAAGTGGTAGAGTCAAGATTCAAACCCAGGTAGTCTGGCCCCAGCACCAGCGCGGTTAGCCACTGAATCCTATTGTCTCTCCAGATGGCCCTGGCTGAGTGCCCAGAAGAAGGCGTGGACCCCGTGAGTGATTCAGAAACGCTATTTTCCTTCTTCCTGTCTTCCTCTGTTTAAAAATTCTTCAGGGACTATTATTGACAGAAGAGCGGTCACCCAATTTAGAAACTCTGTGGCCACCCTTCTGGCCTCCAGCCTGGGGACAAGTTTTCTTTCTTTTTTGCCTTTTTCCCCTGCTTTTCCAAGTTACTGGTAAAGAGACAAGTTTTTTTTCCTTTCATTAATTTTTTTTTTTTTTTTTTTTTTTTGTGAGACAGAGTCTTGCTCTGTTGCCCAGGCTGGAGTGCAGTGGGGAGATCTCGGCTCACTGCATCCTCCATCTCCCGGGTTCAAGCGATTCTCCTGCCTCAGCCTTCCGAGTAGCTGGGATTACAGGTGCTCGCCACCACACCTGGCTAATTTTTTTATTTGTTTAGTAGAGACTGGGTTTCACCATGTTGGCCAGGCTGATCTCGAACTCCTGACCTCAAGTGATCTGCCTGCTTTCTCATCCCAAAGTTCTGGGATTACAGGTGTGAGCCACTGCACCTGGCTGAGACAAGTTTTCTAATGGACCTCAGAGCCTGTTGTAAAGGTTTTACCCAGCCGTGGCAACCAGTCTGCAGCACCGCGTAACTTTATTCCTTCCAGGAAGGTTATAATCAAATGCCTTGATCCTCTCTTGGCATTGTCCTCAAGCTACTGTGCCCCAGCTGAGAGCTACCCTGCCACCAGTGTCACGGGAAGGAGGTGTGTGTGTTGCCTATTACACATATCAAACTACCCCCCTCTACTGGGTTGAATTTTGTCTCCGCAAAATTCATGCATACCTGGAACCTGTGAATATGACCTTATTTGGAAACCGGGTCTTTGCAGATATAATCAAGTTAAGGTCATACTGGAGTAGAGTGGCCCCTAAACCCAATACAACAGTTGTCCTTACAAGAAGAGAGAAATTAGCTGGGCGCGGTGGCTCATGCCTATAATCCTAGCACTTTGGGAGGCTGAGGTGGGCGGATCATGAGGTCAAGAGATTGAGACCATCCTGGCCAACTCAGTGAAACCCCCTCTCTACTAAAAATACAAAAATTAGCTGGGTGTGGTGGTGCGCACCTGTATTCCCAGCTACTCTGGAGGCTGAGACAGGAGAATCGCTTGAGCCCAGGAGACGGAGGTTGTAGTGAGCCAAGATCGCACCACTACACTCCAGCCTGGCAACAGAGAGAGACTCCATCTCAAAAAAAAAAAAAGAGAGAAAGTTTGGCCAGGTGCAGTGGTTCATGCCTGTAAACCCAGCACTTTGGGAGGCTAAGATGGGAGGATTGCTTGAGAACAGAAGTTCAACACCAGCCTGGGCAACATGGCAAAACCCCACCTCTACAAAAAATACAAAAATTAGCCAGGTGGTAGTCCCAGCTACTTGGGGGGCTGAGGCAAGAGAATTGCTTGAACCTGGGGGGCTGAGGCTGCAGTGAGCCAAGACCGTGCCACTGCACTCTAGCCTGCGTGACAAAGTGAGACCTTGTCTCAAAAAAAAAAAAAAAATGCTGAGCGCAGTGGCTCAGCTTGTAATCCCAGCACTTTGGGAGGCCAAGGCAGGTAGATCACCTGAGGTCAAGAGTTTGAGACCAGCCTGGCCAACATGGTAAAACCCCATCTCTATTAAAAATACACATACACAAAAAAATTAGCTGAGCATGGTGGCGGGTGCCTGTAATTCCACCTACTCAAGAGGCTGAGGCAGGAGAATCCTTTGAACCCAGGAGGCAGAGGTTGCTGTGAGCTGAGATGGCACCACTGTACTCCAGCCTGGGTGACAGAGTGAGACTCCATCTCAAAAAATATATAAAAATAAAAATTAAAATAAAAAAATTAGCCAGGTGGCCAGGCGTGGTGGCTCACGCCTGTAATCCCAGCACTTTGGGAGGCCGAGGCGGGCAGATCATGAGGTCAGGAGATTGAGACCATCCTGGCTAACACGGTGAAACCCCATCTCTACTAAAAATACAAAAAATTAGCCGGGCATGGTGGCAGGCACCTGTAGTCCCAGCTACTCGGGAGGCTGAGGCAGGAGAATAGTGTGAACCCAGGAGGCGGAGCTTTCAGTGAGCCGAGATCATGCCACTGCACTCCAGCCTGGGCGGCAGAGGGAGACTCCGTGTCAAAAAAAGAAAAAAAGAAAAATCAGCCAGGCATGGTGGCACATGCTCGTAGTCCTAACTACTCAGGAGGCTGAGGTGTGAGGATCCCTTGAGCCCAGTAGTTCAAAGTTACACTTGAGCTATGGTCATGCTACTGCACTCCAGTCTGGGCGACAGAGAAAGATGCTTTGTGTAAAAAAAAAAATAAGAAGAGGGAAATTTGGTCACAGACACACAAGGAGAATGCCATGTGATGATGGAGGCATAGATTGGAATGATGCTTCCGAAAGCCAAGGAATACCAAGGATTGCCAGCAACCACAGGAAGCTAGGAAGAGGCAGGAAGAATTCTTCCCTAGAACCTTCAGAAGTAGTGCAGCACTGCCAACAACTTGATTTTGGACTTGTGAACTCCAGAAGTATTAGAGAACAAATTTCTGTTGTTTTAAGCCACCCAGTTTGTGATAATTTGTTTTGGCAGTCCTAGGAATGTAACACACCCTAAACCTAGAGGTGTAAAGCAAAAAGGGTTTCTTAGATCTCAATTCCATGGGTTGGCTGGGCTCAGTTGGGTGGTTCTTCTGCTCCATGTGGTGTCAGCTGGGGTGAGCCAGGCTGCAGTCAGCTAGGAGCTGGGCTGGGGGCTCACTTACATGACAGGCAGTTGGTTCTGGCTGTTGGCTGGGGTACCTTGGTTCTCTTCCATGTGGCCCTTGACCTCCACATGGCCTTCCTATCAGGATGGCCCAGAGTTCTTTTTTTTCAATCTTTTTTTTTTTTTTTTTTTTTGAGATGAAGTTTTGCTCTTGTAGCCAGGCTGGAGTGCAATGGCACGATCTTGGCTCACTGCCACCTCCGCCTCCCAGGTTCAAGTGATTCTCCTGCCTCAGCCTCCCGAGTAGCTGGGATTACAGGCTTGCGCCACCATGTGCGGCTAATTTTTGTATTTTTAGTAGAGATGGGGTTTCACCATGTGGGCCAGGCTAGCCTCAAACTCCTGACCTCAGGCGATCCACCTGCTGGGATTACAGGTGTGAGCCACCGTGCCTGGCAGGATGGCCCAGAGTTCTTTATACGGCATCTGGCTTCTAGAGGTAGAAACAGAGGACAGCGAAAACAGAAGCTGCAAGGCCTATTGAGGCCTAGGTGGCAAAGTCCCAGAACATTATTTCCAATGCATTCTATTGGCCAAAGCAGGTCACACGGCCCATCTAGAGTCAAGGAAAGGGAAAATATATCCCACTTTTTTTTTTTAAGAGATGGGATCTTGCTGTCTAGTCCAGACTGTAGTACAGTGGCACAATCACATCTCACTGCATCCCGGAACTCCTGGGCTCCAGAGATCCTCCTACCTTGGCCCCCCATAGACTCCACTCTAGATGAGAGGTGTGACAAGACAATGCATGGGGGAGATGTGATGGGAGAGACGGTTATGGACATCTTTGGAAGCAACCTACCTACCAGAGTGTGTGAATGTTTGGGGGAGGCCTCAGCCAAGGACCCCAGAGATGTGGTCCCTGTTGATGGGGTTGCTGACAAGGCTAGAATTCCTCTGTCTGAACAGGACCCCCCCAAACCCATGAGACTCAGGCTCAGTTCAGCCATCAACTCACTGGGTGACCTTGGGCCAGTCCCTCATTCACTGAATGATAATTCATTAAACACCTACTATGTGCCAGGCCCAGAGCTAGGCACTGGGGTCCTGGTAGTGAACAGACCAGGTTTCCGTGGAACTTTCAGTGTAATGGAAGAAAAAAGCCAGGCACTGTGGGTCATGTCTGTAATCCCAGCACTTTGTGAGGCCAAGGAGGGCGGATCACCTGAGGTCAGGAGTTTGAGACCAGCTTGGCCAACATGATGAAACCCCATTTCTACTAAAAATAGAAAAATTAGCCAGGAGTGATGGCAGGCGCCTGTAATCCCAGCTACTTGGATGAAGCAGGAGAATACAGGCTGAGGCAGGAGAATTGCTTGAACCCGGGAGGCGGACGTTGCAGTGAGCCAAGATCATGCCACTGCACTCCAATCTGGGTGACAGAGCAAGACTCCATCTCAAAAAAAAGCACATAACTAGACAAAAAAAAAAAAAAAAAAGAGAGAGAAAGAGAAAGAAAGAAAAAGAAAGAAAGAAAGGAAAATAAAAAAGCACATAACTAGACTAACTGGTCAGTGTGACAATTAGAACTGCTGGGAGTTGGGCTAGAGATTCTCTGAGGATAAAGAGGCTGGGACAAACTTGGAGGGCAGCGTCCTGGAGGATGAGAAGTCCTGCCCCATTCTGGGCGCCATTTTCCTCCTCCAGACATTGAGGAGGAACATTGAGAGGTCCTCCTCCAGACACTGAGAGGTGGGTCAGAGCTGTGAATTTCAATTCTGTTCCCTGGAGTCCTGGGGTTCCCCAGAGGCACCTCAGGTACTACTGCAGAAGAAGCTGAGAAGGGTATCTGAAGCATAAGACCGGCCGGGCTCAAGGCTTCTGGTGGGCTCCTACCATCTAGCTTCCCAGCCAGGCACCCTAGGCTTCCTGGAAGAAAATTTTCCCAGCTCCCCCCTTGTTTCTGAATGGCCCTGATGGGGCCTGGTCTCTGGGGAAACGGAAGCCTCCCCTCTGTCCACTGGACAACACCCCCCGGAACAGATCCTGGACCAGGATACTTAGCTGCTCCCTCACCTTTGTCCTTGGGCCTGCTTGAGCCTGGAGAGCCCCAGGGGCCCTGCAAAAAGTGCCAGTGTCTCTCGAAGAGCTCAGGCTTTTTGGGGTCAGACCCTCTCCTTCTGTGTGGCCCTTGCCTCTCTAAGCCTCAGAAGGAGCCCCACCTCAGTGGGGTGGGCACAGAGGCAGGACACTGAGAGCCAGGTCCTCTGAAGCTGGCCTTGAGGTCAGCACAGGGTGGGCACAATCCCTCTGGGGAGAAAGGTCCAGAGAAGTGGCAGGAAAGGCCCAGCCTGGTGGGGGATCCAGCCCGCCCCGGGCCCTGGTGCCCCTGCCCAAGCATTCTGGGATGCTTTGGGCTTAGCCTGCCTCACAGGGGTCAGCAGGGGTGGGGGGGTGGGGGTCTGAGCCAGCGAGTTAGTCACCAGGCAAATCGTTGACTTTTTCTCAGCATCTTTATTACTGTGTTCGACTCCAGTGCTGGACACTGGATGGGGTGGGGTGGGGTCGGAGATGTCAAAACCAAGAAATCCCTTCCCCACTCTGGGCCTCAGTTTCCCCCTCTGTCACACAGGGAGGAAGACTTCCTCTGCTTCCTTCATCAGGACACCGTGAGGTTCAAAGGTTTTCAGCACAGAGTGCTCAGCCAGGAGGGCCACCCAGCTGTGGTCCTTGCCCCAGAGGGCTCACCATCTGGGAGGGAGACCTGCGCCCTGGCCCACCATCAGCAACTGACAAGAAGGGCAGTTGGGTCATGGCCCAGTGACCAGGCAACGTCCGTGAGCCTCTCGGCCATGGGTCTGGCTTCATCAAGCTCCGTCCTGGAAGTTGACAGCTGGTCGTGTGGGGCAGGAGCGTCCACAGCCCCCATTCCGGGCAGGCTTCTTCTAAACCTTCATAGAATCATAGTCCAAGGCCCCTACCCAAGCCCAGAGGGCAGACAGCTGAGCCCCCTTCTTTTTGACCCTGCTGGGATCTTCAAAGAGAGCTAGTGCTGGAGTGGAAGGGCCAGAGCTAAGAGTGGCAGCCACGTGGCGACTCCAGTGAGCTGGTGGCAGAAGCCTCCTAGGGCCACCCAGCCAAAGTCCAGAGAGCTGTGAAGAGGTAGGTCAGCAGACACGGTGGGCTGGTCCAGGCACAGCAAGGGGGCCACGATGGCTTCCAGCATCTTTAGCTGATGGTGCCCAGTGTGGGCTACGGGGAGGCCGGCTGACTCAGAGTCACGCTGGGGAAGATGGCGACAAAGCTCTCCCACCTTCTTCTTACCTGCTGGAAGACAGAGGTGGGGGAGGTCCCATGGGCTGAGTGGTGGGCTTAGATGTTGTTCCACCCATAGCCACGAGGTGGGGGTAGACCCCAGGTAGAGAAGCACTGCTCATTGGAGACCCTGTCTCTTAGAGGAGGGAGCCTGCAGCCCCCCACAAAGGGGTCCAGATCTCCCCTTTTTCTCTGGGGTGAGAGGGTCACACAGTGTACTTCCCAGGAAGTTGCACTGGCTGATCTCCTTGCCTCCTGCTCTATTCCCCCATCCAGCATACTATCAATCAGCTAAAAACAGCGCTTACCATATCACCCTCCTCCTCTAAAACCTTCAGTGGCTCCCCAGTGCCTGTGGGATAAATCCCAAATGCCTTCAGGGCCCTCTGAAACGTGGCTCTGGGGTGTCTCTCTCTGCACCCTCATCTCCAGGCAGCTCGGTTGTCATCTTGGTACACAGCCTGGGCTGGCTCTGTCTCTGAACCTTTCCTGCCCTGGAATCCCTGCCCACCTGCTGTGGTACCCTCCATCCTTCAGCCCACAGCCATACCTGTTGGTACCGCCTCAGCCACCACCGGCTGCCTCTTCGCTGGGCTTGGATCAGCTGCTCTGTGTCCCCCAGGCTCCCCGGCACCCGCTCCTGGGCAGTGGCATCTGGCCCTTCTGTGCCTCTCTCGAGGCCCTGGGACCTGGACTTCTCTTGCCCCTGTCTGAGGCTTAGCGCCCTGCGGAGTTGGCCCTCCTGGGGCCTCCCCCAGGGCTCCTGCAGCTTTCCATAGGAGGGTCGGGGCTCTCGCAAGGACTGACTTCGCAGCCCTGTTCCCATGGCTCCGGAGGCTGCAGGCACAGGACTGCTCCGGCCCCTCAGCAAGACACTGGCCCTCTGAGGTGGCCCAGTGCCTCCACCCATCTGACAAGAGATCACTGGGGGCAAAGGTTGGTGCTGCCAAGGTGGCTTTCATAAATCAAAGGGCAGGCCACAGGGCCAAGCATCCCTGAGTCACCTCACCACTGCCTCCCCACCTTCTGGGTCAAGGAGTGAAGGCCAAGGGGAGGAAATTGCCACTCCCTCCTTCACCTATCCTTCCCCCCTCCCCCTCCCCTCCCCCTCCCCTCCTCTCCCCCCTCCCTCCTCCCCCATCCTCCCCCCTCCTTCTCCCCTCCCCTCCCCCTTCCTTCCCCTCCCCTCTCCCTCCCCCCTCCTCCTTCTCCTCCTTCTCCTCTAGGCAGCTTCCCTGACTACCTCATCCCTGAAGAGTTTGTTCTCCTCTGAATCTCTATGGCCCCGGCATCCATTGACACTGAGCACCATGGCTTAACAACCAAACAGAGACAGCCTTTTAAGAATTGGGCCAGGCCCGGTGGCTCACGCCTGTAATCCTAGCACTTTGAGAGGCCGAGGCAGGCAGATTGCCTGAGATCAGGAGTTCCAGACCAGCCTTGCCAACATGGTAAAACCCCGTCTCTACTAAAAATACAAAAAATTAGCTGGGCATGGTGGCGGGCGCCTGTAATCCCAGCTACTCAGGAGGCTGAGGCAGGAGAATCACTTGAACCCAGAAGGCGGAGGTTGCAGTGAGCCGAGATTGTGCCACTGCACCCAACCTGGGTGACAGAGCAAGACTGCGTCTCAAAAAGAAATATATTTTTCAAAAAAGCATCAGTATGGCTCCAAGCTAGAACAATCACATTCACAAAGACAGCAAGGAGGATGGCCGTTGCCAGGCACTGGGGGAGGGAGGAATGAAGAATTTAATGGCTGTAAATTTTCAGATTTCATAAGATGAAGAGTTCCAGAGATTGGTTGCACAACAATGGTTGAAATGGTAAACTTTATGGTATATGTGTTATACAATACTGGAGAATTTCTTTTTTTTTTTTTTTTTTTTTAAGAAACAGAAGGAAACAGGACGGCTCCAGGCTAGGAGTCAGGAGGCCTGGATTTTTTCCAGGCCCAGCGCTGCCCCTAATGTCCCAGCAGCACAGCACTATCCTTGAGCACTCAAGCTCTGAGGACCAACTGCCTCTGGGTAAACTGTAGCTTCATTCCTTGCAGCCTTGTGACCTTGGGCACATTTTTCTCCTTCATTCGTAAGAGGGACAAATAACTTGGGTAATTGTTGTGCGTATTAAATGTGGTCCACAGGGCTTGGCACACAGCAAGCCCTCGAACAAAGTGAGTTGGTGGTTGTATTTGTCCGTTCTCCTGCTGCTATAAAGAAAGACCTGAGGCTGGGAGCAGTGGCTCATGCCTGTAATCCTAGCACTTTGGGAGGCTGAGGCGGGTAGATCACTTGAGGTCAGAAGTTCAAGACCAGCCTGGCCAATATGGTGAAACCCCTTCTCTACTAAAAATACAAAAATTAGGCCAGGTTGCAGTGGCTCACAACTGTAATCCCAGCACTTTGGGAGGCTGAGGCAGGTGGATCACAAGGTCAGGAGTTTGAGACCAGCCTGGCCAACATGGTGAAACCCCGTCTCTACTGAAAAAATACAAAGATTAGGCAGGCATGGTGGCGTGTGCCTGTAATCCCAGCTACTCGGGAGGCTGAGGCAGGAGAATTGCTTGAACCCAGGAGGCAGAGGTTGCAGTGAGCCGAGATCGTGCCACTGCACTCCAGCCTGGGCAACAGAGCAAGACTCCGTCTCAAAACAAAACAAAACAAAACAAAAAATTATCCAGGTGTAGTGGTGGGCAACTGTAATCCCAGCTACTCGGGAGGCTGAGGCAGGAGAATCGCTTGAACCCAGGAGGCGGAGGTTGTAGTGAGCTAAGATTGCGCCACTGCACCCCAGCCTGGGCAACAGAGAGAGAATCTGTCTCAAAAAATAATAATAATAAAAATAAGAAATACCTGAGACTGGGTAATTTATAAAGACAAAAAGTTTAATTGGCTCATGGTTCTGCAGGCTGTACAGGAAGCATAGCAGCTTCTGCTGCTGGGGAGGCCTCAGGAAGCTTCCAACCGTGGTGGAAGGCAAAGCGGGGATGAGGCATCTTACATGATAGGAGCAGGAGAAAGAGAGAGCGTGGCGGGAGGTGCTGTACACTTTTTTTTGAGACAGAGTCTCAGTCTGTCGCCCAGGCTGGAGTGCAGTGGCGCGATCTTGGTTCACTGCAACCTCCGCCTCCCGGGTTCAAGTGATTCTCGTGCCTCAGCCTCCTGAGTAGCTGGGACTATAGGTGCCTGCCACCACGCCCAGTTAATTTTTTGTATTTTTGGTGGAGACAGGATCTTGCTATATTTCCCAGTCTGGCCTTGAACTCCTGGGCTCAAGTGATCTGCCCACCTCAGTCTCCCAAAGTGTTTGGAATAAAGGCGTGAGCCACTGTGCTCAGCCTACACACTTTGAAACAACCAGATCTCACAAGAACTCACTATCATGAAAACAGCACCAAGGGGATGGGGCTAAACCATTCACGAGAATCCACCCCCATGAGCCAACCACCTCTAACGCTAGGGACTACAATTCAACATGAAGTTTGGTGCGGACACAAATCCAAACCATATCAGTGGTATTCACTGCCGTGGGCAGATCCTTTCAGTCTCATCTGTAAAATGGGTTGTTTCTTTTTAAATTTTTTTTTGAGATGGAGTCTCTCTCTGGCGCCCAGACTGGAGTGCAGTGGCGCGATCTTGGCTCACTGCAACCTCTGCCTCCCGGGTTCAAGCGATTCTCCTGCCTCAGCCTCCCGAGTAGCTGGGATTACAGGCACATGCCACCATGCCTGGCTAATTTTTGTATTTTTAGTAGAGATGGGGTTTCACATTGGCCTGGCTGGTCTCAAACTCCTGGCCTCATGATCCACCTACCTCGGTCTCCCAAAGTGCCAGGATCACAAGCATGAGCCACCGCACCCAGCCTGTAAAATGGGTTGTTTCAAAAATAAGATGAAATCATGAGTGTGGATGCTTCTAAAGGTGAGACTACTGGCAGCAACTCTTTCCCCCAAGACAGGAGGAAGAGAAAGAAGCTTGGGGCTGGGCCAGCAGATTCCTCAGAATGGTTGTTTTGTTTTTTGAAACAGGGTCTCACTCTGTTGCTCAGGCTGTAGGGCAGTGGCACAATTTCAGCTCAATGCAACCTTGACCACCTGGGCTCAAGTGATCCTCCCACCTCAGCCTCCTGAGTAGCTGGGACTACGGGTATGTGCCACCACGCCTGGCTAATTTTTGTATTTTTTGTAGAGATGGAGTTTCATCATGTTACTCAGGCTGGTTTTGAACTCCTGAGCTCAAGCAATCTGCCCACCTCAGCCTCCCAAAGTGTGCCACCACGCCTGGCCTCAGAATGGTAGAATTTGAGTGCTGAAGGGACCTCATACATCTGTTCCATGCTCCTTTTTGTTTTATTTTTATTATGTATTTCTTTGTTTATTTTAGAGAGAAGGTTTCTCTATGTTTCCCAGGCTGGTCACAAACTCCTGGTCTCAAGTGATCCTCCTGTCACAGCCTCCTGACTAGCTGGGATTACAGGCATGAGCCATCACACCCAGCTCCTTTTTGTTTTAACCACTGTTTTGAGTCAACCCCTTCACAGATTTCATTTAAACCTCATGATAGTCCTATGATGTGGGGATTGTCATCTCATTTTATAGATCAGAAAACTGAGGATCAGGGAGATTAAGCACCTGGCTGGAGAGCATGCCCACTAAGTGGCAGAGCTGGTCGGCCACCCTGGTCAGCCGGGCTTTAAAAACCCATGCTTCAGTCACTCAGGTCTCCTTCCCCAGACTCGGCAGCAGAGGCAGGACTGGAAGCCAGCTGTCCTGCCTCCTCCATGTTTGGGGTACTGCAGAGGGCACCCCTATTCAGGGCCAGGGAAGTGCTGGCTGCAGCTCTTGGCTCACACTAGCCTTGTCCCCTAGGGCCTGGCCTTGCCCTCATCCTTTCTGCTCCGTTTCTGAATCTTCCCTGGGTGAAGGGTTGCTTAAAATCTGCCAGGCTCAGCTCCCAGAGGACCTATGACAGGGCCAGTGTGAAGAGAATGTAAAAAAGGAGCCCTGACCTTCTGCCCCAGCCTGTCCCAAACACTGGCTCTGATTTGTACCCAGACCTTTTAATTTCAACCCTGACAACACACCAAAGGTCAATCCTGACCCTGGTTAAAAAGCAACAAAACCATTACACAATCTTCAACGCCCTCACTTCAACACACGTAGTCAACTCAAATCCCCACTCTCACAAAGGTCTGAGCCCAGGAAGAACTGGCTGACTCACAGACTTTTGAGATGTGGTGGGATGAATCACTCACTCTTGCGTCAAGCACATAGCTGCGGAGTACCCTCTTGCCAAGGATGCAGTCTTAAAACAACTTCCCAAATCCACTGAGGAGAGGGAGAAAATCTGTGTTCTCCTCCTTCCCTCCTCACTGCTTCTCTGCCTTCTTCACCTGGTATCTTAGGCTGATTAGTGTTGCTGTAACAGAGACAGGTTAATTTCTAAACAACTGTTCATTTGATTCATGGTTCTGGAGGCTGGGAAGTCCAAAAGAATGGCATCAGCCTCCGATGTGGGCCTTCGTGCTATGTCATCCCATGGCAGAAGGTGGAAGGGTAAGAGAAAGTAAACGTGAGCAAGGACAAGAGGGGGTTGAACTCACTTTTATCAAGAACCCACTTCCTGATAATTGCAGTAATCCAGTCACCTAATCACCTCTTGATACTGTCATAATGGCAATTATAGTTCGACATGAGTTTTGGAACAGACATTCAAACTATAGCAACTGGCAAGCTCTTACTCACCTTTCAAAATTCTGCTTTGTGAGTGACACCTCCCCAAAAAGCCTGCCCTGACACCTCCAGGCTGTGTAAGATAGGCAGTCCCCTCTCCAGCCCACCCAATGACCCAATACACACAGTAACACAATCACACATGTCTGCCTTACCTCACCAGACTAGGTACCCCTTGAAGGCTAAAAGAACACCTTAATGTCCCCACGACCCAACACAGTAAATAACTGGCATTAAATATTGGAGACTGTTAGTTGTCTATTGCTATCTAACAAATTACCCCAAAACTTAGAGACTTAAAACAACACACATTTATTATCCTGGTTTCTGTGGGTCAGGAATGGGGGCGTGGCTTAGCAGGTCTCTGGCTCGGATCTCTCGGAGGCTACAGTCAACTCTTCTCCAGGTCCTTCTGGGGTGAATCTGCTTCCAAGCTCATTCTTGTGGTTGTTTGCATAATTCAATTCTTTTCGGATTGTGGGACTGAGGGCTTCTGTTTGTTGATGGTTGATTGCTGCTACTTGGGCCTCTCCAAAGACCATCTCACTATGTGGCAGCTGGCTTTAATCAGAGCAAGCGAGTGAGAGCAAGAGATGGCGAGAAAGACAAGCCAGGATCTTTGGGGACCTAACTGCAGAAGTGACATGTGGAGTCCAGAGCAGCTCCATCTTGGATGCTAATCCACCATGTTGACTTCTTATTAACCCCCATTCTGGGAATGCCTCTAAGATTTCTACTTTATCTACTGTTACCAGAAATCTTACCCATAGGCAGATTCATATCACATTCTTGCCTTTCTCTGAGGTCTCAACTTTACTTGTCTTACACATTCCTGCCCTGTGGTATATAAGCCCTGGGTCTGGGGCTTTATGGCCTGGGGATCCACCATCACGTCTTGCTGCAGCCTGAGACACAGACTTGGCTTCTGTTCCTAAATCTATATTAAATGTTTCTTTTTTACTGGGTGTGGTGGCTCACACCTGTAATCCCAGCACTTTGGGAGGCCAAGGCAGGCGGATCATTTGAGGTCAGGAGTTCGAGACCAGCCTGGCCAACATGGCGAAATCCGGTCTCTACTAAAAATACAAAAATCAGCCGGGCATGGTGGCGGGCACCTGTAACCCCAAGTACTCGGGAGACTGAGGCAGGAGAATCGCTTGAACCTGGGAGGCAGAGGTTGCGGTGAGCCTAGATGGTGCCACTGCCCTCCAGTCTGGGTGACGGAGCGAGACTCCGTCTCAAAAAGAAACAACAAAAAAAGAAATGTTTTTTCTAAGAAACCGAATTTGTCAGCCGCTTTCTTTGGCCTCAGCTTCCTTGGGTTTTGGGGATACGTGTACATAGACTTTCCCACCCAGAACATGACAACCCATCACTTGCTTTATTCTGTTCCTTAGAGGCAAGTCACCAGGTCCAGCCTACCCTCAAGGGGTGGAGATTACACAAGGGTGTGAACACCAGGAGGCTAGGATCACTGGGGACTGTCTTGGAGATGGCCTACCACAGACACCGAGGATTCCAGGCCTCCTCCATTACCTGAGTTTAAAGCCTTGCCCTTTCATGTACTGGCTCTGTGTCTTGGGTGAGTGGCTTAACCTCATGTGTCTATAATTTCTCAGCTATAACACAGGAATAATGCTTTATTTCATCAAATCTAAGAGGACATCTACGGAAAGGTGGCAGTATTTTATATACCATTAAGAAAGAATATCTGGGCTAGGCACGGTGGCTCACGTCTATAATCCCAGCACTTTGGGAAGCCAAGGCAGGAGGATTGCTTGAGCCCAGGAGTTTAAGACCAGCCTGCACAACATGACACCCTGCCTGTACAAAAAAATAGAAAAAAAAAATAGCTGGGCCTGGTGGCATGTGCCTGCAGTCCCAGCCACTTGGGAGGCTGAGGTGGGAGGATCGCTTGAGCCCAGCAGGTTGAGGCTGCAGTGAGCTGTGATTGAAGCCACTGCACTCCAGCCTGGGCAACAGAGTGAGGCCCTGTCTCAGAAAAAAAAAAGAAAAAAAAGAAAGGAAGGAAGGAAGGAAGAGAGAGTACCCATTACCCACTCATTGGAAGGTGCAGGCCCTTTTTAGAGAGGTTAAAATGTGGAGGAAAAAAAGTGTGGCTTGAAATTAACAAAACACAGTAGTATCTATTTCCTGAAGTGAAGTAGGAAAGAGGTATTTCCTGTATTTATTCATGTACATGGCTGATGTCATTTAAAGTTCTGGTGAGGCTTAGACATACTGGAAGGCTGCAAGCTGGGGCAGGCTACCATGTTCCTTAGGAGTGAGCCAGTGAATGTGATCTACATCTACCTGCTGTGGGCAAGACCTTGTTTTGGTGAACAGAAGAGAATGAGAGACCACATCTGGTTTGAGGGAGGGGAGGATCTAGGCAGGCCTCTCGGAGAAGATGATGTTGGAGCCCAGTCCCGAGAGCCCACTCGCCAGAACCTTGAGAATTAGACATTGGAAGTCTGACTGACCTTGGAGGGCAGCAGGGGTGGGGCGTGCCCTCTACCCTGGAGACTGACCTTTGTGAGTGCACTTCACCCTTGCATCCCTCTGGAACTTATCCTCATTTCCTCTTCTCTCCGTTGAAATGACAGAAGCATAGTCAGTGATGGGCCTGGAATCCAGCCCAGTTGAGTCAGCCCAGCACATAAAGTCTTCAGCAAATGTGTGTTCTACCCTCCATGGGTGGGGCCTGAGTCTTCATATACCCTCTAGGAGGATCAGACAAAATTATAAATCTAGCAGTTAGTAGTACTAGACTTTCTCCTTGAAAATATGATGCCCAGGCTGGACGCAGTGGCTCATGTCTGTAATCCCAGCACTTTGGGAGGCCGAGGCAGGCAGAGCACTTGAGGCCAGGAGTTCAAGACCAGCCTGGCCAACATGGCGAAACCCTGTCTCTAAAAAAAATACAAAAATCACCCATGCGGCTGGACGTGGTGGCTTATGCCTGTAAATCCCAGTATTTTGGGAGTGTGAGGTGGGTGGATCACCTGAGGTCAGGAGTTCAAGACCAGCCTGGCCAACATGGTGAAACCCCAACTCTACTAATAATACAAAAATCAGCGGGTATGGGGCACACACCTGTAATCCCAGCTACTCGGGAGGCTGAAGCACAGCAATTGCTTGAACCTGGGAGGTGGAGGTTGCAGTGAGCAGAGGTCGTGACACTGTACTCCAGCCTGGGCAACAGACTGAGACTCTGTCTAGAAAAAGTTTTTTAAATAAATAAAAAAATGAAAAAAATAATGCTCACCAGAAGTAAGATGAGTGACTGTGCAGATATACATTTATTTAATTTGAAATTGTTTGTGGGCCAAGTGCAGTGGCTCACACCTGTAATCCCAGCACTTTGGGAGGCCGAGGCAGGGGAGGATCACTTGAGGGCAGGAGTTTGAGACCAGCCTAGGCAACAAAGGGAGTCCCCATTTCTATAGAAATTTTAAAAATTGGCCAGGCATAGTGGCTCACGCCTGTAATCCCAGCACTTTGGGAGGTGGGCGGTGTGGGGGGCAAATCATGAGGTCAAGAGTTTGAGACCAGCCTGGCCAAGATGGTGAAACCCCGTTTCTACTAAAAATAAAAAATTAGCTGGGCATGGTGGCGGGTGCCTGTAATTCCAGCCACTTGGGAGGCTGAGGCAGAGAAGCATTTGAACCCAGGAGGCAGAGGTTGCAGTGAGCCGAGATCATGCCACTGCACTCTAGCCTGGGTGACAGAGCAAGACTCTGTTTCAAAAAAAAAAAAAAAATAGTTCTTGGGTTTATCTTCTGTCCCTTATTCCCTCCTCACACCTCTACAAGAGTTGAGTTTAGCACATAGTAAATGTTTAATAGTCAGCGAATAGGAGTGCCCCAGAGACCAAGCAGAGTCCACAGAGTCCAGTGGACGCCATGTTTATGGGGGAGGGAAAAGTTAAAGAGATGATAACCTGGAACAGGTCAAATTGGGGGCATGGACCGAGAGGAGCAAATTCTGAGGAATTTCTGAGGCTCTGACAGTGTCCCTGGGCCGGGAAGGAAGATGAGGTGGTGGGAGGATATTGAGCCATTTCTGCAGCACTATGAAAAATGAGCTACTTTCCCAGACTCGTTTTGGGGGACAGACCTCAAAGCACCCCATTTCAAAGCAGTGTGGTGCTGGGCTAGAAATAATGCCCAGGGTGTTATGGGAGTCCTAAGAGGGCCCCTTACACCATGAGAGTGGCCTTGGAGAGCTTCATGAAGGAGACAATGGCTGGGTTAAGTCTTGAGAGAGAGAGAGAGAGATATGACAGGAAGAGAGTTTATCAGGTGAATCTATTGAGAAAAGGAATCCCATGCAAGGAAAACAGCCCAAGCACAGGCAGGAAGGCACGATGGGGATAGAGGAATGATGATACCTCATACCATTGGGGTGTAGGGAGGACAGCATACCAGCAAGTTCAGACAGCATGGTGGCAAGGACAGGGCAGTTAGGAACAAGAAGGTTGGAGACATCCAGATGGATGGGAGCTCCCAGACAAAGCTACAGATCCTGGCTGGGCACAGTGGCTCACGTCTGTAATCCCAGCACTTTGGGAGGCTGAGGCGGGTGGATCACCTGAGGTCAGGGGTTCAAGACCAGCCTGGCCAACATGGTGAAGCCCTGTCCCTACTAAAAATACAAAAATTACTTGGGCGTGGTGGCACATGCCTGTAGTCCCAGCTACTTGGGAGGCTGAGGCAGGAGAATCGCTTGAACCCAGGAGGTGGAGATTGCGGGGAGCCAAGATTGCACCACTGCACTCCAGCAGCCTGGCAACAGAGCGAGACTCTGTCTCAAAAAAAAAAAAAAAAAATTAGCCGGATGTGGTGGCAGCTGCCTGTAATTCCAGCTACTCAGGAGGCTGAGGCAGGAGAATCACTTAAACCCAGGAGGCGGAGGTTGCAGTGAGCCGAGATCACACCATTGCACTGCAGCCTGGGTGACAGAGTGAAACCCTGTCTCAAACAAAACAAAACAAAACAAAAACCAACCAACAAACAAAAAAACAAAAAACAAAGCTACAGATCCCTCAAAACACAGCTGTTACTATGAGACTGGAAACAGCCCACCCCTCTGTGTTTAGAATCCAGAAGCCTGGCTTTACCCTGAGGATCTCATAAGGACAACCCAGATGTCTCCAATCCCCACTCCAGAGATGACAAAAGAAAGATTTCTCCCGCCAGCATGGACTGAGCAAGCAAGGCATTGGCCAGGAGTGTTTGTGGTGTGGAAACTGCAAGTGTGTGAGGTGGCCCTGTGCCCTTGCCTGTGGCCACTCAAGTACCATTTTTGGCTTGGAGGGAGCCTAAATTCCAATGTTTCCCTGCACTGTGTTCCCAGGCTCCTTTAACCCCATGGCTTCTCACCCCTAGAAACCGCCCTGTCTTTTCAGCCTCCTCCTACTTTGGCCGTTCAGTCTGGACAATTCCACTGGGCTCGTGGAACCCATCATGGGATCGCCACAAGGTGGTCAGACCTTCCACCGGCCGAGGTGGACCAAGGGCCAGTGTCTCCCCTGTGTTCTCAGACTGCAGAAGTCTCTGTCAATTATGAGATCTGCCCTCTTCTGTCTCTGAGCCTCTGAACATGTCCCTAAGAAGCAAAGGGATGGGTTAGCTACTCCCAACGTGCCCCCCAGAGTTACTGGGGTAACAGTAAAGCCAGTCCTTTTACCTATCCACAGCCCAGCCTCTTAGCTGCAACTTCCTGTTTTTGTTTTGTTTTGTTTTGTCTGAAGACTGGATCTTGCTCTGTTGCCCAGGCTGGAGTGCAGTGCAGTGGCACAATCTCGGTTCATTGAAACCTCCACCTCCCAGGCTCAAGCGATCTTCTCACCTAGCCTCCCCAGTAGTTGGGACTATAGGCACACCCCACCAAGCCTGGCTGACTTTTTTTTTTTCAATTTTTTTTTTTTTTTTTTTTGTGAGACAGAGTCTCACTCTGTTACCCAGGCTGGAGTGCAGTGGTGTGATCCCGGCTCACTGCAACCTCCGCCTCCCGGGTTCAATGATTTTCCTGCCTCAGTCTCCCGAGTAGCTGGGATTATAGGCATGCGCCAGCCACCACGCCCGGCTAATTTTTTGTATTTTTAGTAGAGATGGGGTTTCACCATGTTGGCCAGGCTGGTCTCAAACTCCTAACCTCAAGTGATCCACCCACCTCAGCCTCCCAAAGTGCTGGGATTACAGGCATGAGCCACCGTGCCTGGCCTTTCTTTTTCAATTTTTAATAGAGATGAGGCCTCACATTCAGGAGATTGAGACCATCATGCCTAACACGGTGAAACCCCATCTCTACTAAAAATACAAGAAAATTAGCCGGGCGTGGTGGCAGTCGCCTGTAGTCTCAGCTACTCGAGAAGCTGAGGCAGGAGAATCGCATGAACCTGGGAGGTGGAGGTTGCAGTGAGCCGAGATCGTGCCACTGCACTCCAGCCTGGGTGACAGAGCGAGACTCCATCTCAAAAAAAAAAAAAAAGAAAAGAAATGAGGCCTCACTATATTGCCCACGCTGGTCTCAAACTCCTGGGCTTAAGTGATCCACCCACCTTGGCCCCCGCAAAGTATGGAATTATAGGCATGCACCACCACACCCAGCTCCCACTCCTGTTTCAAAGCCCACTTGCCCAAGTCTCATGCCCCTAAAGCCTGTGGGAGATACCTCACCATGGCTGCATCCCTTTATCATGGTGCCAGGTCCATACCAGGGCTGACGCCCACAAGCTGGGGCAGAGGAAGAGGAAGAGCCTCCTCACCACTTTTAGCCTCCCAAAGTGCTAGGGTTATAGGCATGAGCCACTGCAGCCGGCCCAAGAATTTCCTTTTTTTTTTTTGAGATGGAGTTTCACTCTTGTCATCTAAGCTGGAGTGCAATGGTGCGATCTTGGCTCACTGTAACCTCCGCCTCCCAGGTTCAAGTAATTCTCCTGCCTCAGCCTCCCAAGTAGCTAGGATTACAGGCGTGCGCCACCACGCCCAGCTGATTTTGTATTTTTTTAGTAGAGACGAGGTTTCACCATGTTGGCCAGGCTGGTCTCAAACCCCTAACTTCAAGTGATCCACCTGCCTCAGCCCTACAAAGTGCTGGGATTACAGGTGTGAGCCACCATGCCCGGCCCAGCCCAAGAACATTTTAGAGTGTTAGCTATTAAGAAATAATAAAGCAGGCCTACACTCCTAGCCTTAGGGCAGCCCCTCAGCTGCTCTGTAAGGGCCCCCTGAACATCATTTCCCTCCCAACAGAGTCCTGCGGCCTGTGTTCTCTGCACCAGAGCTTAACCTTGGCCAGCCTTCCATAGCACATCTCAGCCCCTCTGTCTGGCTTCAGCTGCTGCTGCATCCTCCTAGGAGCTCAGCTAAGTTTCCCAAGCTCCCCAGATCTCAGGAATCAATTGAGTGCTTGCTAAAAGAAAAAAAAAAAAAAGCATTGAAAAGATTACTAGGCCCCACCCCAAACTGACTGAATCATTATCCACAGGGGTGGGTGTGGGTCCAGGAATCTGGTTTTGTTTTTATTTTTATATTTATTTATTTATTTATTATTTGAGACCGAGTTTCGCTCTTGTTGCCCAGGCTGGAGTGCAGTGGTGCGATCTCAGCTCACTGCAACCTCTGCCTCCCGGGTTCAAGTGATTCTCCTGCCTCAGCCTCCCGAGTAGCTGGGATTACAGGCATGTGCCACCACACCTGGCTAATTTTTGTATTTTTAATAGAGACGGGGTTTCACCATGTTGGCCAGGCTGGTCTCGAGCTCCTGACCTCAGGTGATCCACCTGCCTCAGCCTCTCAAAGTGCTGGGATTACAGGCGTGAGCCACTGTGCCCGGCCTTGGTTTTGTTTTTAAAGGGCCCTGGAAGAGTCTTACCATCCAGGAAGCCTAGATAGTATTTCTCTAGCCTCCCTGTGGGTCTTCATACTGACTCCATTAGAACCACTTGGAGAGCTTCTAAAACTAGCACTGCAGTGCAGGGGGTCTTGTTTCTGAAACACCAGGGCCTCCATCTAGGTCCTGCTGCTTTCTCCACAGAAAGCTAATCACTGAGACAATTATTGCCAAGGAAGAAGGCTTTAACTGAGTGCTACAGCCTAGGAGATAGAAGATCAGTCTCAAATCCATCTCCCTGAGTGACTAAAATTAAGAGTTAACACAGAGGGAAGAAATGTAACAATGTGTAAAAAAACAAGAACTAGGGGCCAGGCATGATGGCTCACGCCTGTAATCCCAGCACTTTGGGAGGCCGAGGTGGGTGGGTCACGAGGTCAGGAGTTCGAGACCAGCCTGACTAACATGGTCTACTAAAAATACAAAAATTAGCCAGGTGTAGTGGTGGGCACCTGTAATTCCAGCTACTCGGGAGGCTGAGGCAGGAGAACTGCTTGAACCTGGGAGGTAGAGGTTGCAGTGAGCTGAGATCACACCATTGCATTCCAGCCTGGGCAACACAGCAAGACTCCGTCTCAGAAAAAAAAAAAAAGAAAAAAAAACAGGAACTAGGGAGAAGTAAGGAAGCAAGCAGGGTGAAAGTGGGTTCTGGCATCTTGTTGTCTGGATGCCTTGATCTGGTGAGTTTCAGTTCTCTGATACTTTTTTTTGAGAGGCCTGAGTGTCCTTTCCTGAGGAAGGAACTCAGATAAAACAAATGTAAGTTTCAAGCTTTAAGACCAAAAGGGTCCATTTCTATGTTTATTAAAAAAAAAAGTCTATGGGACTATTGGGTCAGTTTCAGTCTCAGTCCCTAGAGATGGATTGAAGAGGCAAAGGTGACTCAGGTATTCTGCTGATGATTCTAAGACCTCTGAGTTGGTGGTTAATATGCATAAGAGCAATGGGATGGGGCTCAGGAATCTGTGTTTCCCACCTTGTCCCCAGGAGATTCTGTTGCTAGTGGCACAGAAGCCTACGCTGAGAAGTACTTTTTCTTTTTCTTTCTTTCTTTTCTTTTTTTTTTTGAGACAGAGTTTTTCACTCTTGTTGCCCAGGCTGGAATGCAATGTGCAATCTTGGCTCACTGCAATCTCCGGCTCCTGGGTTCAAGCAATTCTCCTGCCACAGCCTCCCTAGTAGCTGGGATTACAGGCATGCACCACCACGCCTGGCTAATTTTGTATTTTTAGTAGAGACAGGGTTTCGCCATGTTGGCCAAGCTGGTCTCGAACACCTAGCCTCAAGTGATCCACCCACCTCGGCCTCCCATAGTGCTGGGATTATAGGTGTGAGCCACTGCACCTGGCCAATTTTTATTTTTTGAGATGGAGGTTTGCTCTGTTGCCCAGGCTGGAGTGCAATGGCGCAATCTCAGCTCACTGCAACCAATTTTCCTGTCTCAGCCTCCCGAGTAGCTGGGATTACAGGTGCCCACCACCATACCCAGTTAATTTTTGTATTTTTAATAGAGAGGGGGTTTCACCATGTTTATCAGGCTGGTCCTGAACTCCTGACTTCAGATGATCCACCCACCTCAGCCTCCCAAAGTGCTGGGATTACAGGCGTGAGCCACCGTGCCCAGCCCATTTTTTAATTTTTTTTTTTTTTTGAGATGGAGTCTCGCTCTGTCACCCAGGCTGGAGTGCAGTGGCATGATCTCGGCTCACTGCAACCTCCGCCTCCCGGGTTCAAGCGATTCTCTTGCCTCAGCCTCCCCAGTAGCTGGGACTACAGGTGACTGCCACCACACCCGGCTAATTTTTGTACTTTTTTAGTAGAGACGAGGTTTCACCATATTGGCCAGGCTGGTCTTGAACTCCTGACCTTGTGATCTGCTGCCTCGGCCTCCCAAAGTGCTGGGATTACAAGTGTGAGCCACGGAGCCCGGCCCCATTTTTTAATTTTTAAAAGACAGAGATGAGGTCTTAGTGTGTTGCCAATGCTGGTCTCAAATTCCTGGGCTCAAGTATTCCTCCCTACTCAGCCTCCCAAAGGTGAACTGGGATCTTAATCCTTGTTCTGTTACTAAAATAGCTGTGTCGGATCCAACCCAAGGTTGGAGTTCTTCAGGACGGGTAGAAGGAATGACAGGGAAGTTGGAGTGAGAAACTACTTATACAAGAAGTCTGAGAGAAGAGTCAGATCTCTCCAGGCTCAATAAACAATTTCTAGTTAGCAAGATGTTCTCATAGTCTTTGATTCTCCTTTTTGGAAGCAGGTTATTTTTTCTCTTTGCCCTTATCACCATCTGATGTACTATGTATTAATCTGGGCCGGGCGCGGTGGCTCACGCCTATAATCCCAGCACTTTGGGAGGCCGAGGCGGGTGGATCATGAGGTCAGGAGATCGAGACCATCCTGGCTAACAAGGTGAAACCCCGTCTCTACTAAAAATACAAAAAATTAGCCGGGCGCGGTGGCGGGCGCCTGTAGTCCCAGCTACTCAGGAGGCTGAGGCAGGAGAATGGCGTGAACCCGGGAAGCGGAGCTTGCAGTGAGCCGAGATTGCGCCACTGCAGTCCGCAGTCCGGCCTGGGCGACAGAGCGAGACTCCGTCTCAAAAAAAAAAAAAAAAAAATATATATATATATATATATATTAATCTGTCTGCTCTCCTTTGAAGGCAGGATTTTGGTTTGTTTGGTCACTCCCTTATCCCCTGGTTGGCACAGACCCCAGTTTACGCAGCGGTGAATGAAAGTAAAAATCTCGGGACCCCCCCCCAGCGCCCCAATTCATGCGAAAGTGAAGATTAAGCCTTGAAGCTGAGTCACTGCAACACCCTCTTCCAAAAGAATAGCTGTTACTAGCATTAGGCATCAGCCATATCCACACGGAAAGGTAAAAACCTCAGGCATTTGGGAAGGGCTGCCCCCACAGATCATTCACAAGTAAATTCTTGCTGGCCTCCCATAAACAAGGACAGGTCAATTGTAGCTTCAGGTCTACAATCTAAGTCTAGCTCCTAAAAATTCCACAATAAGAATGTCATTACAAGCTTATTTTCCCAGGTGCAGAACAAAGTCAAAACTACCTACTCAGAGACATCTGCATAACTGACTCTTCCTTTACTCTCTTTTTCTCTTCAGACATTCATCTCATCTTACGTAGATTTACCGGGCATTAGCTAAAGTCCCATAGGAATGTAACTATTGTCCTAATCGCCTACTTGCCCTTCTTCCTACATGCCTTCCCCTCATTCCCCCTTTAAGGAAATGCATAAATACTAAACCTCCCGAAAACCTCTTCGGAAAAACAACCACGGATGTGTCTGTGGTTCGTGTTTTTCCCGAGCACGCCCTCAAACTGGATTAATAAGCCTCGATGACAGAGACTTATGCCTCAGTCACTTGTTCCACTTGTCAAAGCTTTCCTCTTTGACAAGTGTCTTGGGTCTTGTCAAGTGTCTTGTGTCTCAAACAAGGCTTCCAAACCCCCTAGGTCCTGAGTAGCTTCGCTCTGCAGATGACAAAACCGAGACTCAGAGGTTAAGTTGCTTGCCCAAGGTCACACAGACGTACTGTAGACCCCCATCATCATCTACGCAGCTGTTAAAGGACATAGTCATGTAACCCGTGTGGCACAAGCGCCTTCTCCTTCCTCCTGCCCTTCGCTAACGTTAGCTTTTCCTGCGACCTCTTCTCCGCTAGCCAGCGCGTATCTGCGTCTAGCCGGGATGCCTGAGCCCCAGTGCGAACTGTTGTGCTTGCAGCTTCGGGAGACACGTGCTACTCGGGTGAATGAATCGAACGTCCCCACCCCCGCCGACAGCCAATAACTGCGAGCCACAGCCCGGCCACTTCCGCCTATTGCGGGCGTCGGCTAGGGTCCGGCGGCCCACGTGAGGCTCCGGAGACAAGGGAGTAGGCGGTGGTGCGCCAGGGGCGGGCTCTCCCAGCCTCGCCACTTATCCAGGCGCTCGCCGGGGACGGGAGGGGCGGGGCTGACGTGGGGCGCCAAGGCTTAAACGTGACGGACAGGCGGGCACAGGGAGGAGTCCAGAGCCTAGGGGCGAGGAGTGACGGAGAACACTGCCCAATAACGGGAGGGGTTGGGCTGTCTGGGCCAATAGGAAGTCCGTAAGGCGGGGCCGGGACTGCAGCAAGTTCGGTTGCACGGAGACCGCAGCTGTTCTCTGTCAGTGGAGGCAGCAGCGGTAGAGGCGGCGGCGAGGACTGGCGACGGCGAGGAGGTGAGTGTCCGCCGCGCTCCGCACGGTCCTCTTCCCGCGGCGGGTCGGAGCGGGTGGACGTGCGCCGGCACCGCTGCGAGGGACGCTTATGTAAGGGTCGCGCGCGCAAAGGCGGCGCGGGCTCCGCGAGTGACGGCTGGAGGAGACAGCGACGGGCTGTGCGCGGTGCGCGACGCGACGCAGCGGACGGCGCCCCTCCCCCTCGCGCGGGGGCTCGGCCGGCTGGACCCGCCCCCGGACCCGCCCCCGGCTGCAGCCCCCGAGCGCCCCTCCGCAGCGTCCGCCTGCGGGCTGCCTCATTCTTGCTCTCGGGCCCATTTTGCAGATGGAGAAACTGACTAAAGCGCCTCGCGCGAGGTCCCTGAGGGTTCGAACCCAAGTCTGTCAGGATCGGGAGCCCAAGTTGTCCCCATCGTACTGGATGTGGCTCAGCTCTGCAGGAAGCCGCGGCGTGTAAGGCGAGGGCTTTCCTTGTTCCTTGCTCTCGCACTCCGCCTCCCGTAGGATCCTCTACTTTGTTTCAGACGGGGAAGCTCCAGGCGCCCAGACGCAGTGATTCGCCCAAGGCCGCTCATTCAGGAGGTGGGGCTGGGCTCAGCCCCTTATTTCTCCAGCTTTTAGTAGTTTACAAAGCGCATCAGAGTCGGAAGCCAAGTCCCTAGGTCCCTGGCAACTTTGAGATTCTTTTGTTTTCTTTTCTTTTTTAGACAGGGTCTTGCTGTCACCCACCCAGGCTGGAGTGCAGTGGCGCGATCTCGGCTCACTGCAGTCTCGACCTCCCGGGCTCAAGCGACCCTCCTGCCACAGTCCCCCAGTGCTGGGACTACAGGCGGGCGCCACCACGCCTAGCTAATTTTTGTATTTTTTGGTAGAGACGAGGTTCCGTCATGTTGCCCAGGCTGGTCTCGAACTCCTACGCTCAAGCGAGCGGCCTGCCCTGGCTTCCCAAAGTGCTGAGATTACAGGCGTGCCTCGTCTGAAATTCTAAAAAATCAGATTGTGTCTTTATTTTGTGAGAAGAGGTAGGCCTGGGCTCCTTACCCGTTCTCCAGCTGAGAAAACAGGCTCAGAGAAGTACCAACACTTGCTGATGACAACCAGAACCTCCAGAGTGCCTGCCATCTGCCTCCCTATTGCTCCCGTACCCACTGCCACCATCAGCCCTGGCTGGCCTCCCCCAAGGCACCCTTTCCCTGTATGTGATGCAAACACTTGTGCTGGGGGTGGATGTGCTCAGCATTTCTCTCACTTGCAGCTACAGCTTCCTGCCTGCAGGCTCTCCTTAACTGTTGAACTCTTAATCACATTCTTTTGCACACCTACAGTGTTCCTATCCCTACACTGGGCCGAGAGACAGCGTGGGCGATGAGGTCAATCCTTGTCCTGCAACTGCTGACAAACCCATTGGGGGAGAGAGAAAATAAACAAAACCTAAGCAGCAAGGCAGCCTGCTGCAGATGTTTGTAGAGAGCCTAGTGGGTGAGGTATTGGCCCTAGGAGGACATGGAAGAGGAAGTTCAGTAGAGGCCAGTAAATCACAGCAAACCACACACTAAAGCGAGAGAGAGGAGAAATGGCCTGGAAGGGGATGGGCTTGGGAAGGCTTCGTGGAGGAGGTGAGTTGTGGACCTCTTTTTGATGCCGCTGCAGTGGAGAAACAGTGATTGGATTTCAGCAGCTAGAAAGTTTTATTCTGGAGAGGTTTTGTTAAAGAGGTTTTTTTGTTTTTGTTTTTTGAGATGGAGTTTCGCTCTTGTCGCCCAGGCTGGAGTGCAGCGGTGTGATCTCAGCTCACCACAACCTCCGCCTCCCGAGTTCAAGCGATTCTCCTGCCTCAGCATCCTGAGTAGCTGGGATTACAGGCGCATGCCACCACACCTGGCTATTTTTTGTATTTTTAGTAGAGATGGGGTTTCACCATGTTGGCCAGGCTGGTCTTGAACTCCTGACCTCAGGTGATCCGCCCACCTCGACCTCCCAAAGTGCTGGGATTATAGGCATGAGCCATCATGCCTGGCCAGTTACAGAGGTTTCAAGCAATTAGAACTGGAAGAGGAAGGCTGAGGAAGGTGGAAGGAGAATGTGGGGGAAACAGCTTCACTGTTGGGTGTAAGAAACTTGATTGGTCACTGGGAAGAGGCCTCTACAGGAGATGTAACCAGGTGAGGGCACTAGGATTTGCTAAGGTGCAGGTAAGTCAGTGACTGGAAACCAAACTGAGGAAGCAAGATTAGATGCAAAGGTAGACGGGGCTGGGCGCGGTGCTCATGCCTGTAATCCCAGCACTTTGGGAGGCCGAGGCGGGTGGATCACCTGAGGTCAGGAGTTCGAGACCAGCCTGGCCAACATGGTGAAACCCCTTCTCTGCTAAAAATACAAAAACTAGCCAGGCCTGGTGGCGGGCACCTGTAATCCCAGCTACTCAGGAGGCTGAGGCAGGAGAATTGCTTGAACCTGGGAGTTGAAGGTTGCAGTAAGCTGAGATCACGCCCCTGCACTCCAGCCTGGGCGACAGCATGAAACTCCCTGTCAAAAAAAAAGAAAAAAAAAAGCCCAAAAGGCAGACAGGGCTCTGAGGGCCCAGCTGCAGGCCTGAGCTGCAGATTGTGTCCCATGGTGTTCTGGTAAGCTCCCTGAAAGCAGCCGTCATTTGTTTACTAATGGCTCCTTCACCCTGCTGTGCCCTGCTCTTAGGGAAGGGGCTTTGTTCACTACAGTTGCTCAGTATCTGCTTTTTGAATTAATTAGGCTGTCATCCAAAGTTTCCTCAGTTTACCCCAATGTACCCTCATGTGTCATAACGCCTTCTGTCTTTCTACTGAAGCCCGCTGCAGCCTGGCTGACTCGGTTCCCTGTGCCAGTCCTCACCTCCAAGATCTCCCCTAGAAGGTTGTCCCTGGTAGCCCACAGTAGGTCCCCCAGGCCCTTTTCCCTTTTTTGTCCTGCTCCTTGCTTTCACCCGGTCTCACTTCCAGTGCCCCAGGCACTGTGATAGGTACCTGTCCTCCCACCACCACTCATGGGGGCTCTGGGACCAGTGGCAGGGCAGGACCTCAGATTCACTACTCTTATCCCAAGCCACAGTTCCCTGTGTCCCTCTTCCCTCTGTCCTCTCAGTACCTAATAGTGCCAGGAACAAGTAGGTGCCTAATGAGTGTTTTGGGTGAATTAGTTGAAAAGGGGTCAAACTGGGAACCAGTGAGGAGAGAAGGGTGCAAGATGGGGAATACGGAAAGGAGTTACTTTTGGAGGTGGCAGGGATGGCCAGCACCAAGGTCAGTATGGCAGTAAATCTGGCAATCCACATTTCTCACTGGCACCTTCTGCATGGGCTGGAGGCCTCGTTCAGGTCAACGTTTTCTGTGTTTTTTTTTTTTTGGAGACGGAGTCTTGTTTTGTTGCCCAGGCTGCAGTACAGTGGCACCATCTTGGCTCACTGCAGCCTCTGCCTCCCGGATTCAAGTGATTCTCCTGCCTCAGCCTCCTGAGTAGCTGGGATTACAGGCACCAACCCTTTGCCTGGCTAATTTTTGTATCTTTAGTAGAGATGGGGTTTCACTATGTTGGGCAGGCTGGTCTCGAACTCCTGACTTCAGGTGATCACCTGCCTTGGCCTCCCAAAGTGCTGGGATTACAGGCGTGAGCCACTGCACCCGGCCTCTGGTCAACATTTTCATTGAGGATGAGCATGGCCTTCTCTTTGGCTGCCTCCCAATATCGTCCTGCCCCCATCTGAATGGGCCCCGTTTCTTGTATCCTGAAAGTTCCTGCTTTGGGGCAGGTTTCTCACCCAGAGGCCTCCTTCACAGCAGCAGGGCATTTTGCCTGCTCACTCTGAAACCTCACCTGGGCCTGACTGACCGTGCCTTCCTCTCTTTCTCTTAGCTGCCTTCTAGTCTCACCTGTGGACACTTTGCCAAAGGAGTCGGGCCTGACGGTGGAAGATGGGAAATGGCCAAAAGAATAAACCATTTCCTCTTACTTACCGAATGAAAAGCTTGCTTCATCTTGGCGTTCAAGACTCTCTAATATGATTCCACCTGTTGGGCTCTTTCTTCCATTTGCCTCCGCAGGTACCCTCTTCTGTGTCAGCCCCCATAGTGAGATTAGTCACTGTTACCCCAAACTCACTTCTCACGGTCCCCCCTCTGCTCTTGTTCTTGTTGACTTTGTTTTCTGCAGGGCCTTGCTTCTTATCTTGTCCTGTCAAAATTAAATTATTCTTCGAGACACAGGACTTTATTAAGGCTTGCCAAATCTATTCAGTTGGACTGGGCTCTCTTTTCATAACGATGATGATAAGTAATGATTTATTGTTATTAATAATAAAAGTCAACTACTGTGTGGTGGTGACGGCCTTGCTAAGCCCCTTACATACACATAATGTGATTATCACAACAATCCTATTACGAAGGTCCTATTAGATCCATCTCTTACAAATGACGGACTCTCATAGGTGAAACTCAGAGAGGTGAAATAACGCCCAGAGTAACACAGCCAGGCAGGCTAGGTGGCTCACTGCTGGAGTCCCTCTCACGTGCCATCCCATTTTTGCTTCTTTTAACCAGCCCCTAACAACTTGCTTTTTGGCACTTTGTGGGCAGGGCCTGAGTGTACATACAGTTCCTTGTGCAAGGCATGTGCTCAATAAATATTTTATTGACTTGAGTGCCCCAGACATTGAATTTCAGCCTTGACGTTATCTGTCAAGGCAGCTGGTTTTCTCTGAACAGGGATTTGAGCTTGCTGGCCTGTTTTTCCATTTTGCTGTTCATTGACTAGTGGCTAGGGTAGGTGTGGCTTTTTCGGAAATAAGCAGTCAATAAAACTCCGAAAAGTGATTACACAATACCAACTGTGGGCTCCCATGGGCATAAACACGAGGTGGGCTCTTACTTATGGCAGAGAGGGGTCTCTGCAGGAAAGGATTTGAGGAAATAGCCAGGAAATAGAGTACACATCTCAGGTCACGTAAGACAGCTCCTTATTAGTTTCAAGTTGTGGAGTGAGAGAAGAACCAGACTCCCAGTATTCAGAGGGAGCTCCTGAAGGATTAGAGACAGCTCTGCGGAGATGCAGAGAAAGCGGGCCTGAGGCTGGACGGAGTGGGCAGGAAGAGAAAGCACTTCAGATAAAACGAACTGTTTCTAGAACTTCTTGTTCATGTGTAGTGGGTGGCAGAAAAGGGTTTTACTTAAGCGCTTCCCACCTAGCCTGTCGGTTAACGTCCCAGTGTGTCCTCTGTGCCAGGCATGGTGCCACTGCTGTGCGTGTGCTGCCTCATTGGGTATTCCCTAGTACGCTGTGAGATGGGCATTGTTATTATTCCCATTTTACAGATGAGGAAACAGACTTTGAGTGATTACAGAGCGGCTGTCAGAGTAACAAGAGGTGCAGTCCAGGCAGTGGGACAGCACAGCTGGCGCTTCCAGCTCTGTACCCTCCTGGTGCCCTCAGTGGAAGCAAAGAAACAGTTCTTGGCCGGGTGCGGTGGCTCACACCTGTAATCCCAGCACTTTGGGAGGCCGAGGTGGGTGGATCACCTGAGGTCGGGAGTTCGAGACCAGCCTGACCAACATGGAGAAACCCCCATCTCTACTAAAAATACCAAATTAGCTGGGCGTGGTGGCACATGCCTGTAATCCCAACTACCTCAGGAGGCTGAGGCAGGAGAATCGCTTGAATCCGGGAAGCAGAGGTTGCAGTGAGCCGGGATTGCGCCATTGCACTCCAGCCCGGGTAACAAGACTGAAAAAGTTCTCTGGGTTCTAAAATCGGTGTTCTTGCCACTCCTGTTTTCTCTGGGAAGTTCCTGGAGCAATGAGGGTAATGCTGTTTTTTCTTTTGCTTTAGATAGTGTCTGCCTTCTGGAGAGCTGACCAAACACTAAGGGTAAGTCCTGTGCCTGAATCCAGGCTGGCGGGATGCATGGGGGTCTTCACCAGGAGCAGCTGTGGATGCCAGCAGTTTGGCATGTCAGGTCTTAAGCTCAATCAATAAAAAAAGGCTGCGCTCTGATTTGTGGATAATATCCGTTTAAGCAGTCTTGTCTGTTTCCAGTTGCTCCTGATTTTTACAGGAAAGTGACATCTGGCTCCCTGCTGGCCCCATTTGGCAGCTGGCCAGCCTCAGCAGAAGGCCCTGGTTCTGGAAGGGTATGGTCAGCTTGGGAAGCTGGGCAGGAAGAATCCCTGGGGCTGGGCCGTCTCTGAGAAGACCCCTTGAGTCAGCATGGAGAGCAGGCAGCTGTGGTGTGAGGTGGTTCTGCCAGCTGGTTGTAAAGTCACTTGACACGGGTTTCCAGAGGGTGACGCTCAACCTTTGCCAGTCACGGTAACAACGGGGAAAAAGGGACCTGCCCTTCTTCCCCTGCACATTTTACAGGCATGTGCCACCACACCTGGCTAAGTTTTTTTTTTTCTTTTTTTTTTTTGAGACGGAGTCTTGCTCTGTTGCCAGGCTGGAGTGCAGTGGCGCAAGCTCGGCTTACTGCAACCTCTGCCTCCTGGGTTCAAGCAATTCTCCTGCCTCAGCCTCCCGAGTAGCTGGGACTACAGGTGTGTGCTGCCATGCCCAGCTAATTTTTGTATTTTTAGTAGAGACGGGGTTTTACCATGTTGGCCAGGATGGTCTCAATCTCTTGATCTTGTGATCCACCCACCTCAGCCCCTCAAAGTGCTGGGATTACAGGCATGAACCACTGTGCCCGGCCTAATTTTTGTATTTTTAGTAGAGATGGGATTTTACCATGTTGGTCAGGCTGGTCTCGAACTCCTGACCTCAGGTGATCCGCCCTCTTCGGCCTCCCCAGATGCTGGGATTACAGGTGTGAGCCAGCGCGTCCGGCCTCTACTGCTTTTACAGTTCCCCCAACATGGATTTCCATGGTGGCAGGTGCCTGGGAGATTCAGTGGCCTCCCCTCAGCCTAAATTCCACAGCCCTCCCGCCGGTCCCCTGCTAGTCCAGTCCCCTCTCCCCCTGCTGGTCTGCAGGAGCAGCCGAGCCAGGGAACCAGGTGCTCTCCCAGCATTTGTGACAACAATAATGCTCTTCCCTTCAGGCCCGCTGTGGCCTTGGGGACTTTGTGGCTCAGGGACAACTTTCTCCAGAGCTCATATCCAGTGCTGAGTGGGGATTCCTTGGTATAGGAGTTTTTCTCGGTTTTCCACCCATTATGTGGGGGTTTTCCTCTGACGACCCTTCATGACGCAGGAGCTGGTTTCCTGTGTGAGATTTCCCGCAGTCCTCCCTTGGAGCTAGGTCTTGGGCCAGCAGGTGCCGTCTGCGTGCTACCATTGAGTAAGGGCAATGGGCTCATGGTGGGAATGGCCGTAACGTGGAAGAACTCCACCCTCCACGAGTTTCACCCCCTTGTTCTCTCTCTGCTTGCTCTGTCCTCTTATTCTTGGCTGCTAGAGTTGGATGTTATTTCTCTTACTTGCATCCCTACAATGAGAGGTGGGCATGTTGGGGAAGGTTCCCCCCAAACCACTTGTCTTATGGAACTGAAGAAACTGAAGCCTAGAGAAGGCTGCTTAGCAGAATCCAAGATGCTGATCCCATTGTTTATTCTTCTTTTAAAATTGCCATATTTTATTGATGTCTTCCCTTAGATCCATCAATAGAGAGGGAAAATCAGTCACCAAGAAGGGACCTCTTCTTCCAGGTTATGTAATTTGTCAAAGCTTGTTTGGCTCCTCAGTTCCCAAGGCACTGCTGACTTGAGCTTTGCCTAGGGACTAAGGCTCTGTAGTCTAAGCTTGTCACCCTCCCCTCCTCTTCAGCTTTCTCCTGGGGGGACATGGATGTGGCCCTTTGTTGTGTTGTTAAGTGTTATGCCTGAAGGCGTTACCCCAGGTACTCCCAGCACTACCTCGGGTTTCCTACTCTTGTGTTACCTCCTTGTCCTGATATGCCTCGAGGCCAGAGAAAGAGGTGGGGCCGGGAGGGCACGGGACAGCTGGGAGTACATTTCCACTGCCTGTGTGTGGAAGGGCCTGACTGCTTCTGTGGCAGCTCCTTTCCTGATGACATCCACCATGACATCACAACGAGGCTTTGGGAAAATTCCACGACCTGGCCATGCTGAGTCATACTTAGTCTCTGGGGATGTGTGTCACCTTTCTCTTGTCTGTCACTGAGTGCTGCAGTTACTATGAAGTGACACATGCTGCCCATTTATTACGTTTGCACATCACTTTATGCTGCTTTGGAGCCTCTTCTCATGTACATGCTGTGTATCAATGTGAAATGTATTAATATTAAATCATTAATAATAAGTATATTATTTATTCTGGAAAATATTTGTCTCTTGCAATGTGTGAGGAACCAGAGGTTCAGAGAGACTAGAGACTAAGCGACTTGGTGAGTTTCGGGTGACTGGTGCGTGGCATGTCTGAGGGAGGTTTGGATGCCACACCCACTCCTACCCCTGGATTTTTATGTAATGCAAAGATTATTCAGAAATTACTTTGGTCGAAAACAATTGATTTTCAATTTGTTAAAATTATGAATTCAGAAACCTAGTTATTTTAAGGGCCAGTCTTTTAAGTTTAGCTTATAAGTGTAGCCTATAAATCTTTCTGATCTATTTACGATTCTAGGACATTTTAACAGTCACTTTCAGGGGGCTTTTATTTATTTATTTTTTTTGCGATGGAGTCTCGCTCTGTCGCGATCTCGGCTCACTGCAACCTCCGCCTCCTGGTTCAAGCGATTCTTCTGCCTCAGCCTCCTGAGTAGCTGGGATTACAGGCGCCCGCCACCATGCTGGCTAATTTGTATTTTTAGTAGAGGCGGGGTTTCTTCATGTTGGTCAGGCTGGTCTCGAACTCCTGACTCAAGTGATCTGCCCGCCTCGGCCTCCCAAAGTGCTGGGATTACAGGCGTGAGCCGCCGCCCCGGCCTTAGGGGGCTTTTTGATTAATGCTTGGTCCCATTTGCAAATTTGATGAAACTTCTGAAATGTTTCAATTGAACTTATAAATCATATTCAACTTCAGTTAACTATTTTAATAATTCTTCTGGCCGGGCATGGTGGGTGGCTCACGCCTGTAATCCTAGCACTTTGGGAGGCCAAGGCGGGCAGATCACGAGGTCAAGAGATTGAGACCATCCTGGCCAACATGGTGAAACCCTGTCGCTACTAAAAATACAAAAATTAGCTGGGTGTGGTGGTCACGCGCCTGTAATCCCAGCTACTTGGGAGGCTGAGGCAGGAGAATCGCTTGAACCCGGGAGGCGGAGGTTGCAGTGAGCTGAGATTATGCCACTGCACTCCAGCCTGGCGACACAGCAAGACTCCATCTCAAAAAAATAATAATAATAATAAATAATAATAATAATTCTTCCATTTTTCTGATTAAAAAAACCCTCTAATACCTAAATGACTCTTGTAAATCTAATAAATGAAGCTGAATATTACACTTTTCTTAAACTTTCCTATACCGTTTTATGTTTTGTTTGTTTATTTTTGTTTATTTTGAGACGGTCTGATTCTGTCACTCAGGCTGGAGTACAGTGGCACAGTCTCAGCTCACTGCAACCTCTACCTCCTAGGCTCAGGTGATCTTCCCTTTTCAGACTCCTGAGTAGCTGGGACTACAGGTTCAAGCCACCACACCCGGCTAATTTTTGTACTTTTTGTGGAGACGGGGTTTCACCACATTGCCCAGGCTCATCTCGAACTCCTGAGCTCAAGCAATCAGCCCGCCTTGGCCTCCCAAAGTGCTGGGATTACAGGCGTGATACATTTTAGTTTTTACAATAGCTTTATTGGAGTATTACTGAGATATAATAAGTTGCACATATTTAAAGTATACAGTTTAGTAAGTTTTAACATATGTGTACCCTTGTGAAACCATCACTGCAGTCCAGAGAGTGAACACATTCATCACCTTTGGAATTCCTCCCTCTGCCTCCTCACTCTTCAGGAAACCATGGAACTGCTTTCTGTTACTATAGGTTAGTTTCCATTTTCTGGAATTTCACATAAATTGACTCATACAGTATATATTCTTTTTTCTCTGCCTTCTTTTACTCAGCATAATTATGTTGAGATATGTCCATGTTGTTGCTTGTATTGATAGTTCATTTCCTTCTTTTTTTTTTTTTTAAGACAGAGTCTTGCTCTGTCACCCAAGCTGGAATATAGCGGCGTGATCATAGCTCACTGCAGCCTTGATCTTCTGGGCTCAAGTGATCTCCCATCTCACTGAGTAGCTGGAACTACAGGTGTGTGCCACTACGCCTGGCATATCTATCTATCTATCTATCTATCTATCTATCTATCTATCTATCTATCTATCTTTAGTAGAGATGAGATCTCGGTATGTTGCTTAGGCTTTTTTTTTTTTTTTGAGACGGAATCTCACTCTGTCGCCCAGGCTGGAGTGCAGTGGCATGATCTCGGCTCACTGCAACCTCTGCCTCCCGGGTTCAAGCGATTCTTCTGCCTTAGCCTCCCAAGTAGCTGGGACTAGAGGCGCCCACCACCACGCCCAGCTAATTTTTGTATTTTTAGTAGAGAGGGGGTTTCACCATGTTGGCCAGGCTGGTCTCGACTCCTGACCTCAAATGATCCACCCCACCTCAGCCTCGAAAAGTGTTGGGATTACCTGCGTGAGCTACCGCACCTGGCCCTTAGGCTTGTCTTGAACTCCTGAACTCAAGCAGTCCTTCCCACTTTCCACCTTGGCCTCCCAAAGTGCTGGGGTTACAGGCATGAGCCACTGTTCCTGGTCAGTTCTTTTTTTTTTTTTGAGACTGAGTCTTGCTCTGTCGCACAGGCTGGAGTGCAGTGGCACGATCTCGGCTCACTGCAAGCTCCGCCTCAACCTCCCGAGTAGCTGGGACTACAGGCACCCACCACCACACCCAGCTAATTTTGTTTTTGTATTTTTAGTAGAGACGGGGTTTCACTGTGTTAGCCAGAATGGTCTTGATCTCCTGACCTTGTGATCCTCCCGCCTCGGCCTCCCAAAGTGCTGGAATTACAGGCATGAGCCACCGCACCCAGCTTTTTTTTTTTGCTGATTTCATTATATGGGTATTACAGTTTATCCAGTCACCTTTGTTGGTCATCTCAGGTGCTTCTACTTTTTGGCATCTACAAATAAAGCTACTGTGAACATTTGTGTATAAGTCTTTGTGTGAACATATATTTCCTTTTCTCTTGGGTAAATGCCTAGGAGTGGAGTGGCTGGATCCTGTGGTAGCTGTATGTATGTTTAACTTGAACTGCCAAATTTTCTGACGTGGTTGTAGTATTTTACATTCCTACCAGCTGTGTATGAGAGTTCCAGTTTCTCTTCATCCTCCCCAACACTGGCTATGGTTAGTCTTTTAAATTTTAGCCATTTAAAAAGGTATATGGTGGTATCTCATGGTTTCAATTTGAATTTTCCTAATGATAATGATGTTGAGCATCTTGTCATGTGTTTGTCATCTGCCAGTACTGATTTTAAACTTAGTAAAATTTCTATGTAAAATCACACGTCTAAACTAACTACTCAGTTACATGTTTTTTGTTTTGAGACAGGGTCTTGCTCTGTGCCCCAGGCTGGCTTGCACTGATGCGATCGTGGCTCACTGCAGCCTCGACCTCCCATGCTCAAGCGATCCTCCCATCTCAGCCTCTTGAGTAGCTGGGACCATGGCATGCACGTCATGCCTGGCTGATTTAAAAAAAATTTTTTTTTTGAGATGGAGTCTCACTCTGTTGCCCAGGCTGGAATGCGGTTTCATGATCTTGGCCTACTTGCAACCTCCGCCTGCTGGGTTCAAGCAATTCTTCTGCCTCAGCCTCCCGAGTAGCTGGGATTACAGGCGTGGCCCAGCTAATTTTTGTATTTTTAGTAGAGACGGGGTTTCACCATATTGGCCAGGCTGATCTCGAACTCCCGACCTTGTGATCTGCCCGCCTTGGTCTCCCAAAGTGCTGGGATTACAGGCATGAGCCACTGCACCTGGCCTTTTAAAAAATTTTCTTTGTAGAGGTGGGATTTCACTGTGTTGCCAGGGCTGGTCTCAAACTGCTATCATGCGATCCACCTGCCTCAGCCTCCCAAAATCATGTGGTTACAGATGTGAGTCACCACGCCTGGCCTCAGTTACATGTTTTAATTGGAATCTCAAGACTGATTTGTTATTCTAAACAGACCATATTCTCTTAGAGTACATAAAGTAACAGACAACACACAGATTTCTTTTTTTTTTTTTTTTTTTTTTGAGACGGAGTCTCGCTCTGTCGCCCAGGCCGGACTGCGGACTGCAGTGGCGCAATCTTGGCTCACTGCAAGCTTCGCTTCCCGGGTTCACGCCATTCTCCTGCCTCAGCCTCCCGAGTAGCTGGGACTACAGGCGCCCGCCACCGCGCCCTGCTAATTTTTTGTATTTTTAGTAGAGACGGGGTTTCACCTTGTTAGCCAGGATGGTCTCGATCTCCTGACCTCATGATCCACCCGCCTCGGCCTCCCAAAGTGCTGGGATTACAGGCGTGAGCCACCGCGCCCGGCCAGATTTCTTAACACAAAAATATAAATACTATGGTTTTTATTTTCCTAGCCTTGTCTATATTTAATCTAATATTTTCCTGGAATTAGAGAAGCTTACCTAATAAGGAATTAAATACATGATTTTAAAGTATAGTAAATTATTTTTCTAATTAACTTTTGGCCTTTCTTTCTCAACTGGATGACATTTTCTTTATAATTAAAGAGACCCCTGGCAGGGATGAAACTGGACTTTGAATCTAACTGCTAAGCAGAGCCTGCTCCACTGCCACCATTTTGCCTCCAAATGGGGATGGTCTCACAGCCCATGTGCCTCAAATAGAAGTATCACATTACTAATGTCTTCCTCTTCTCATCTCATGTAACTCTGCAGTTCCGACCCGCCCCCCCAAACCATTTGAATTCAGTTAATCTATTTAAGGCTTCCTTTTTGTTATGCAGTATGGCCACAAAAATAGGTGGAACTAAATACAAAATAGATACAGTTTAGATTCTTTAGATTCTCTGTATCTCCCAAGGCTTTCTCTGACCAAGGACTAGTAAAATCATGTCTGACCCACCAGGGCTAGAATTTGAGTCCCAGTCTTCTGAGTCCATGTCTGGCATTTCCTTCCATCTCTTAAACCTTTTCAAATAAAGAGAAAGAGGGTGGTACTTAAGAGTTCTTACTTTCTGATCACGCCTGGTTACCAATAAATTATAGCATCTGGAACCAGTGCCACCTTTTTCATGTTCTTCAGTTCACGCCCCTGGAAATGGTGAGAATTTTGGCCTCTCCCTAACCTCCCGGTGGAGAGCTACCAATCTTTGGAGAGCCCATTGCCATCAAATTCTTGTTAGAAATCTGCGTCTTGGATGATAACTAGATGCAGAATTGCATTCCTGTCCTGGTCACTGGGTATGGCCCCAGGAAGCTTGTAGGTGGTGAGTGGACCTGGTTGAGAATTATTAATGCAGTTTGACCTCTCCGTTGATGTCTGATGCACATGTGGCCCAATGTGAGTAAGAGCAGAGGTTTGTAGAGTGACAAGAAAAGGACATTTGGGGGAGAAATTGGCAGGAGGCTGACTTAGGTTTTTGCGCTGCAAGAGTTTTTCGTCCCCCATTTTAAAAAATTGTGGCAAAATACATTGTCTTCATCCCTTTGGGCTGCTATAACAAAATAACCTTATTCTAGGTAATTTATAAACAATAGAAATTTATTTATTTATTATTTTTATTTATTTATTTTTTGAGACAGTCTTGCTGTGTCACCCAGGATGGATGCAGTGGTGCAATCTCGGCTCACTGCAACCCCTGCCTCCCAGGTTCAAGCGATTCTCCTGCCTCAGACTCCTGAGTAGCTGGGATTATAGGTGTGTGCCACCATGCCCAACTAATTTTTGTACTCTTAGTAGAGATGGGGTTTCACCATGTTGGGCAGGCTGGTCTCGAACTCCTGACCTCAAGTGATCCGCCTGCCTTGGCCTCCCAAAGTGCTGGGATTACAGGTGTGAGCCATTGCGGCCGGCCTGAAGTTGTTTTTTCTGAGACGGAGTCTTGCTCTGTCACCCAGGCTGGAGTGCAGTGGTGCAATCTCGGCTCACTGCAAGCTTCTCCTCCTGAGTTCATGCCATTCTCTTGCCTCAGCCTCCCAAGTAGCTGGGACTACAGGCGCCCACCATCACACCCGGCTAATTTTTTGTATTTTTATTGGAGACGGAGTTTCACCGTGTTAGCCAGGATGGTCTCGATCTCCTGACCTTGTGTTCCGCCCGCCTCGGGCTCCCAAAGTGCTGGGATTACAGGCGTGAGCCACTGTGCCCGGCCTTTTGTTCTTTTCTTTTTTTTTTTTTTTTGAGACAGTTTCGCTATTATCACTCAGGCTGGAGGGCAGTGGCTCACTGCAACCTCTGTCTCCTGGGTTCAAGAGATTCTCTGCCTCAGCCTCTCTATTAGCTGGGAATACACGCGCCTGCCACGACGCCCGGCTAATTTTTGCATTTTTTAGTAGAAACGGGGTTTCACCATGTTGAGAAATTTCTTTTTTTTTTTTTTTTTTTTTTTTTTTTTTGAGCCGGAGTCTTGCTCTATAGCCCAGGCTGGAGAGCAGTGGCGCGATCTCTGCTCACCACAAGCTCCGCTGCTTCCCGGGTTCATGCCATTCTCCTGCCTCAGCCTCCCAAGTAGCTGGGGGACTACAGGCGCCTGCCACCACGCCCGGCAAATTTTTTTTTTTTGCATTTTTAGTAGAGACAGGGTTCCATCGTGTTAGCCAGGATGGTCTCAATCTCCTGACCTCATGATCCTCATGATCCGGGCCTCGGCCTCCCAAAGTGTTGGGATTACAGGCGTGAGCCACCGCACCCGGCCGAGAAGTTTATTTCTTAACGGTTTTGGAAGCTGAGAAGTCCAAGATCAAGGCAGCAGCAGATTCGGTATCTGGTGAGGGCTTGTTCCTCACAAATCATGCTGTCTTCAGGCTGCGTCCTCACAGGGTGGAAGGGACAAGGCAGCTCCTTTTGACCGTGACCCCTTTTTTTTTTTTCCTCCGACTCCTGGGCTCAACATCTTCCCACCTCAGCCTCCTGACTAGCTGGGATTATAGGCGCCAGCCACCATGGCCAGCTCGACCTCTTTTATTAGGATGCTAATCCTACTCATAGAACAGGACCCTCATGACAACCTCCTCAAGGCCCCACCTCTTAATACGATTGCATTGGGAGTTAGGTTGAACATGTGAATTTTGAGGGGATGTCCATATAACACATGTATTATGTACACCTGATATTAAACTTACTTTTTTTTTTTTTGAGATGGAGTTTCGCTCTCGTTGCCCAGGCTGGAGTGTGATGGCATGATCTTGGCTCACCGCAACCTCCGCCTCCCGGGTTCAAGCAATTCTCCTGCCTCAGCCTCCCGAGTAGCTGGGACTACAGACGCCCGCCACCAGACCCAGCTAATTTTGTATTTCTTTTTAGTAGAGACGGGTTTTCTCCATGTTGGTCAGGATGATCTCAAACTCCCGACTTCAGGTGATCCGCCCGCCTCGGCCTCCCAAAGTGCTGGGATTACAGGTGTGAGCCATCGCACCCAGCCGAAACTTTCTTAACCATTTTCCAGCGTACAGTTCAGTGGTATTAAGTATATTTATATTGAGCAACCATCACCACTATCTGCAGACTTTTTTTCATCTTGTAAAACTGAAGCTCTGTAACCCTTAAATCCTGACTCCTCATTCTCCACTCACCCAAGCCCCTGGCACCCACCATTCTACTTTCTGTCTCTGAATTGGACTGCTCTAGGCACCTCATATAAATGGAATCATACGGTATTTGTCTTTTTGTGACTGGCATATTTCACATAGCATAATGTCCTCAAGGTTCATCCATGTTGTAGCATGTGTCAGAATTTCTTTTTTTTTTTTTTTGAGATGGAGTCTCGCTCTGTCGCCCAGGCTGGAGTGCAGTGGTGCGATCTCGGCTCACTGCAAGCTCCACCTCCCGGGTTCACACCATTCTCCTGCCTCAGCCTCCCGAGGAGCTGGGACTACAGGCGCCTGCCACCATGCCCAGCTAATTTTTTTTGTATATTTAGTAGAGACGGGGTTTCACCGTGTTAGCCAGGATGGTCTCGATCTCCTGACTTCGTGATCCGTCCACCTCGGCCTCCCAAAGTGCTGGGATTACAGGCATGAGCCACCGCGCCCAGCATTTTTTTTTTTTTTGAGATGGAGTTTCACTCTTGTTGCCCAGGCTGGAGTGCAATGGTGCGATCTCGGCTCACTACAACCTCTGCCTCCCGAGTTCAAGCGACTCTCCTGCCTCAGCCTCCCGAGTAGTTGGGATTACAGGCATGTGCCACCACACCCGGCTAATTTTATATTTTTATTAGAGACGGGGTTTCCCCATGTTGGTCAGGCTGATCTCAAACTCCTGAGTTCAGGTGATCTGCCCGCCTCAGCCTCCCAAAGTGTTGTGATTACAGGCGTGAGCCACTGCGCCTGGCCGGAATTTCTTTTTAAGGCTGAATGATGGGGGCCAGGCATGATGGCTCACACCTGTAATCCCAGCACTTTGGGAGGCCGAGGCAGGCAGATCACGAGGTCAGGAGATCGATACCATCCTGGCTAACACGGTGAAACCCCGTCTCTACTAAAAAATACAAAAAATTAGCTGGGCATGGTGGCGGGCACCTGTAGTCTCAGCTACTCGGAAGGTTGAGGCAGCAGAATGGTGTGAACCCGGGAGGCGGAGCTTGCAGTGAGCCGAGATGGCGCCACTGCACTCCAGCCTGGGCGACAGAGCAAGACTCTGCCTCAAAAAAAAAGAAAAGGCTGAATGATATTCCGTTGTATGGATTTTACTTATCCATTCATATATCTGTGGACACTTGGCTTGGTTCCATGTTTGAGCTATTATGAATAATGCTTCCATGAATATGGGTGTACAAATATCTCTTTGAGACTTTGCTTTCAGTTCTTTTGGATATATACCTGATTGCTGGGTCAATGGCAATTCTATTTTTAATTTCTCAAGAGCCTGCTATGCTATTTTCCACATCAGCTACAGCATTTTACATTTCCATTAACAGTGCATGAGGGTTCCAGTTTTTCCACATCCTCACCAACACTTTGTTGTTTTGATAGTAGCCATCCCAATGGGTATGAGGTGATATCTCATTGTAGTTTGGATTTGCATTTCCTTAATGATTAGTGATGTTGAGCACCTTTTTTTTTTTTTTTTTTTTTTAGATGGAGTCTTGCTTGCTCTGTTGCCCAGGCTGGAGTGCAGTGGCACCATGTCAGCTCACTGCAACCTCTGCCTCCTGGGTTCAAGCTATCCTCTTGCCTCAGCCTCCCAAGTAGCTTGGATTGTAAACATGCACCACCATGCCTGGCTAATTTTTGTATTTTTAGTAGAGACGTGTTAGCCAGGCTGGTCTCGATCTCCTGACCTCAAGTGACCACCTGCCTCAGCCTCCCAAAGTACTGGGATTACAGGCGTGAGCCACTGTGCCTGGCCTTGAGCATCTTGTGATGTGCTTATTGGCCATTTGTATATCTTCTATCTTCTTTGGGGAAATGTCTGTTCAAGTCCTTTGCCTTTTTAAATTTTTATTATTTATTTATTTATTTATTTTGAGACAGGGTCTTGTTCTGTTGCCCAGGCTGGAGTACAGTGGCACAGTCTTGGCTCACTGCAGCCTCGACCTCCTGGGCTGCAGTGATCCTCCCACCTCAGCCTCCCTTGTAGCTGTATTTTTTTGTATTTTGTATTTTGTAGCTGTAGTTTTTGTATTTTTTGTGGAGACAGCGTTTCACCATGATGCCCAGGCTGGTCTTGAACTCCTGAGCTCAAGTGATCTGCCTGCTTCAGCCTCCCAAAGTGCTGGGATTACAGACATGAGCCACTGCACCTGGCAAACTCCCAAAATTCAACACACACACACAAAAAACCACCTGATTCAAAATGGGCAGAGGGGCCGGGTGTGGTCCCAACTACCAGGGAGACTGAAGTGGGAGGATCACTTGAGCATGAGAAGTCGAGGCTGCAGTGAGTCGAGATTGTACGACTGCATTCCAGCCTGGACAACAGAGTGAGACCCTGTCTCAAAAAAAAAAAAAAAAAGTTTTGGGAACTTTCTATGTATTCTCGATATTAATCCCTTATCAGATACATGATTTGTAAATATTTTCTTCCATACTGTGGATTGCCTTTTTACCCCATGATAATGTCTTTTGATGCACAAAATTTTTACATTTTCTTGAAGTCCAACTTGTCTATCTTTGCTTTTTGTTGCCTGTGCCTGCCTTTGGTGTTGTATCCAAGAAATCATTGTTAAATCTAATATAAAGCTTTTCCCCTATGTTTTTTCCAAGAGTTTTGTCATTTTAGGTCTTATGTTTAGGTCATGGATATGGTGTCAGGTAAGGGTCCAATTTCATTCTTTCTCATGTGTCTCTGCAGGAGTTGTTTTTTTTTTGTTTTTTCTTGTTTTTGGTTTTTTTTTTTTTTTTTTTTTTGAGACGGAGTTTTGCTCTTGTTGCCCAGGCTGGAGTGCAATGGCACGATCTCGGCTTGCTGCAACCTCTGCCTCCCGGGTTCAAGTGATTCTCCTGCCTCAGCCTTCCGAGTAGCTGGGATTACAGGCATGCGCCACCACACCTGGCTAATTTTGTATTTTTAGTAGAGACGGGGTTTCTCCGTATTGGTCAGGCTGGTCTCAAACTCCTGACCTCAGGTGATCCACCCGCCTTGGCCTCCCAAAGTATTAGGATTACAGGCGTGAACCACTGTGTCCAGCCTCTGCAGGAGTTTTAAGTACAGTCTGTCCTCACCTGTGGCTGTGTTCCCCTTTAAGGTGGTAAAGGAGCACTGTGAGATACAGTATTTCATAGCACAGTTGTTTCTTGCTATCCCCTGGGGACTGGTTCCAAGACCCCCCTATGGATGCCAGAATCCTCCAAGATGCTCAAGTGCTTGATAGAAAATGGCATAGTATTTGCATATAACCTATGCATATCATCTTGTGTACTTTAAATCATCTCTGGATAACTTAAAATACCCAATCCAATGTAAATGCCATGTAAATAGTTCTTATACTGTATTGTTTTTATTTGTATTATTTTTTATTGTTGTATTGTCATTTTTTATTTTGCTTTTTCGAATATTTTTGATCCCCAGTTGGTTGAATGAGTGGATGTGGAACCCACAGATACAGAGGGCTGACCATATAGTAAACGAAGGCAGTGATGTCACTGAGTGACGACTCTGCTCTCAAAGAGGAGGGAAAATGTGCTTCACCATAGGGCCAGTATTAAATGACTGGGGGGTGCAGAGAAGATGAAACCTAAAATGTCAAGTCATTTAACACAGCAATTCCAGTTCTAGAAATGTAACCTGTGGTATCATGGGACAGGCGTGCAAACATATGAGGTGATAGCAGAAAATGGGAAATCACCAAAACGTACATCAGAAAATGATTGCTACATATGAAGTCTGTTCTGTGTCATATGATGTAGCCTTTAAAAATAGCTCATGTATCCTAATCAAGCTGTCACTCTAAATTTATTACCATAGGACGAGAGCTATGATGCCTTTACACAAAAAATATATATTATAAAACAGAATGTATAATATCTCATTTTTTGTTATTTTGGAATGCTATACCAACAATTTGTTCAGGTTGCTGGAGTTACAAAATTATGTGTTTAAAAAATTTTCTATATAGTATTTTTTTCTTTATAGGATGTTTTAATTTTAAGTTATCAATTTAAAAAATCTAATTAGAGAAGGGTGCAATTCATAACACTACTTGGGGCTTACGGTCGAGTACTAGGTACTTAAATATCAGAGTTTGACTCTTTTACCCCTCTTTTCCAAAAAATTGTTTTGGGGGATGAAAACCTCTTTCTAAATGCCATATGAGATATAGATTGCTGGGGAGTGGTGGAGTGAGGACTTCATAAATGCTGTTCCTCCATTTAAAGGAATGAGAAAACTGGCAAAAATGATTAAAACCAACTTTTTCAGAACTCGAGAAATTAACCAAAGGCTTGCAACAATCTAAGACACATTTATTCAGGAAAAATCGCAGAAAAAAGTTATTCTTGTTTTCAACAAAAAGTTATGAGGCATGCAAAGAAACAAGAAAGTATGGTTCATACACAGGAAAGACACAGTCTTTTCCAGCCTAGATGTTGGACTTCATAGACAATGATGTTAAATCAACTATTTTAAATTTGTCTAAAGAACTTAAGGAAAATGTGAGAAGAGTGTCTCACCAAATAGAGGGAGGCCAAGGCAGGTGGATCACGAGGTCGAGAGATCGAGACCATCCTGGCTAACACAGTGAAACCCCGTCTCTACTAAAAATACAAAAAATTAGCTGAGTGTGGTGGCACGCACCTGTAGTCCCAGCTACTCAGGAGGCTGAGGCAGGAGAATCGCTTGAACCTGGGAGGTGGAGATTGCAGTGAGCTGAGATGGCATCACTGTACTCCAGCCTAGGCAACAGAGCAAGACTCAGTCTCAAAAAAAAAAAAAACAAAAAAAACCCAGAAATTCTGGAGTTGAACTGTGTAGTTACTGACATGAAAAATTCACTAGAGGCTGAACAGCAGATTTGAGCAGGCAGAAAAAAATCAGCAAGCTTGAAGATGGTACCTTGAGATTTTTCAGGCTAATGAAAAAAGAATGAAGGAAAATTAACAGCCTCAGAGACCCATGGTGCACCGTCACACAAATCAACATATGCATCATGAGAGTCCCAGAAGGAGAGGAGAGAAAGGGTCAGAAAGAATGGCCACAAGCTGATGAAAAACAGTAACCTACCCACTCAGGAAGCTCAGTGAACTCCAATGAGGATGAATATCAGAGATCCACACCTAGATATTTCATAATCAAAGTGTCAAATGACAAAGAATCTTGAAAGCAGCAAGAGATGAGCAACTTATCTTGTTCAAAGGATCTTTGATCAGATTAACAGCTCATTTCTCCTCAGAAATCATGGGAGCCAGGAGATAGTGGGATGAACACTGTTGAAGGCAAAACCTTCAACTGTAATTATTGGACTTTTGAGTCTTAGATGGTCCTGACCTCTTTGTCTTCAGGGACAGTTTTTCAATTTAATCCCTAATAACAATTAGTCAAGCTTCCTTGACCTGTAGGAAGGCCTGTCTTTAGGCCGGGCACAGTGGCTTACACCTGTAATCCCAGCACTTTGGGAGGCCCAGACGGGTGGATCATTTGAGGTCAGAAGTTCGAGACCAGCCTGACCAACATGGCGAAACCCCCATCTCTACCAAAAATACAAAAATTAGCCAGGCGTGGTGGTGCATACCTGTAGTCCCAGCTACTTAGGGGGCTGAGGCACGAGAATCGTTGCTTGAACTTGGGAGGCGGAGGTTGCAGTGAGCCAAGATCGCGCCACTGCATTCCAGCCTGGGAGCCTGGGTGACAGAGCAAGACTCCATCTTAAAAAAAAAAGAAGACCTATCTTTTATAGAGTTCCCTTCCCCAAGTTTTTCTACAAATACCCAGGGATGCTTATGTGTTCCACCAAGTTTGGAACATAGTTAGGGAGTGAAAAACATAGGTTAAATGAATGTCATCTGTCTGGCTTGGTTATTTCCTTGGCCAGCTGTTCTCTTCTGTATGTTGCCTAGTTCTCCCTGCCTCAGGGCTGTTGCTTCACCCTTCATACCATATTGCCTTAAATACACAAACGACCTGTCAGGCATTTCACAACATTTTACTGAATGCTTGGAGATAGCAGAATGGAATTACAATACAGAAAAAGATGTTTTGCTCACAAAGGGGAATTTACCCTTTACCTCAAGAAAAATAGAGCAATTGCCAATAACAATATTGGTGGCCTCTCCCCTGCCCATTAACCATCAAGACGTCAGCAAATACTGGGGTCTAATCTCAACTAGTGTTACTCCAGGACACCATATGGAGCTGACTGCTGATGTTCTGTTCTTGATAATATCCCTTATGTGTGTGTAGCACTTTATAGTTTTTTTATTTCATTTTTTTCTTTTTTTCTCTCCCCCCCCACCTTTTTTTTGTGTGTGTGTGTGACAGGGTCTTGCTCTGTCACGAGGCTGGAGTACAGTGGCACCATCCAAGCTCACTGTAGCCTCCACCTCCTGGGCTCAAGCAATGCTCCCACCTCAGCCTCCCAAGTAGCTGAGACTACAGGCATGTGCCACCACACCCAGCTGATTTTTTTTTTTTTTTTTTTTGAGACAGGGTCTCACTCTGTCACTCATGCTGGAGTGCAGTGGTGCAATCACAGCTCACTGCAGCCTCAACTTCCAAGGCTCAAATGATCCTCCCACCTGAGCCTCCTGAGTAGCTGGGACTACAGGCATGTGCCACCATGCCTGGCTAGTTTTTGTATTTTTTGTAAAGACTGTGTTGCCCAGGCTGGTCTCAAACTTCTGAGCTCAAGCGATCCTCCTGCCTCGGCCTCCTGAAGTGCTGGGATTACAGGCATGAGCTACAGCACTTGGCTAGTTTTATTTTATCAACCAGTTTTCCCTGGAACTGGTTATGGTTGTGGTTTTGCTGCTTATGGATGACAGACCCGAGGTTCAGAGAGGTTCAGTGTCTCTCTCAGCTTCACTAGGAAGAGTTATAGCCAAGCTCTGACAGCAGCAAACCAGATTCTGGCCTGAGGTTCTCAGAATATGCTGCCGTTCCACAGGATGTTGCAATATGGTGTGGCAGGGTGTTACAGTGCACAGGGCTGAAAAGACCAACCTGAGACCCTCCCCTTTCCTTCTGAAGTTATCACTTCATGGACGTTTGCAGCTTTTATCATAAGAGCCATTTGTTGTCGCATGGCTTGTGGCCAACTGGGAGTCTACCTCCATCTAAGGCAGGGCTCTTCTCCCTGCCATGTTGCCCAAGGCTGTTTCAGTAAGACTGTAAGGTTTTCTTCAGCCCTCCTGGCTTTTGACTGCCCCATTCCAACTGGTTGCAAAATAGCTATTTGTGTTTTTGCTGACCTGAGCCATCTTTCTGTCCATTTATACTTCTGATATTCTTACGTGGCAATCAGTATCTAGCAGAATGAATGCCCCATTTTCTAATCCTGCGTTTTCTCAGTTGACTGAGTGGCTTAAGGAGGACAAGTTATTACTGGGCAGTACTCCAAGAAATGGTTCTTTCCTTCAGCATTTACTGTGCATCTGTGCTATGCACAGCTCCTTACTGGATGCTGTGAGGCCACAGGAGGATCTGACAAGGTGGCCTTGCCCTGAGTTGTTTATCCGTGGTTGGGAGAGAGGGAATGCACGTGCTGGACAAAATACATGCTTGCATAGTGACTGGCTAGCGTGGAAGAGTAGTAATGACCTCATTGATCCTGCTTCTGTGCCAGGTGAGATGCTAAATGCATAAACATACACAGGGGGCTGGGCGCGGTTGTTCACACCTGTAATCCCAGCACTTTGGGAGGCCGAGGCGGGTGGATCACCTGAGGTCAAGAGTTCGAGACCAGCCTGACCAACATGGTGAAACCTCATCTCTACTAAAATACAAAAAATTAGCTGGGTGTGGTGGGAGGCTGAGGTAGGAAAATCACTTGAACCCAGGAGGTAGAGGTTGCAGTGAGCCAAGATCGTGCCATTGCACCCCAGCCTGGGCAACAGAGTGAGACTGTATCTCAAAAACAAAAACAAAACACACATAGGGAATTACCGGGGAGTGGCATAGCAGAGTTGAGAGCATGGACCCTGGAGTCAGGCGGACAGGATGGAGTTCAGGCTTAGCCCTGATCAGCAAGTTCCTTAGCTTCTTCAAGCCTTGGTTTCCTCATCTATAAAATGAGGGCAGTAAGACCTTCCTTCCTTGTCTTACTACCCCCATTTTATAGATGAGGAAACCAACCAGTGGGGGCTGTTGGGTAGAGATCAAATGCAATAACTTTTGTACAAATGAAATAACACACGTTCATTCTGTACAAATGAAATAACACATAAACAAATGAAATCACACAGTCATGTGCCTGACACTTGGACACACCGTAATGGTGGCTCTGTTAATGGGACCAGTGATGAACAGTTAGAAGTGAACCCCTTGAGGGTAGAATATGTGAATCCGAGGCCCTGCAAGATGAGGGGACTCTCTCAGGTGGGTGGAGGAGCTGGTCCTCGCATGTGTGATATTTGAGTTCGTAGGAGGCGGGTGCCCCCGGACAGTGGCAATGGGAGTGAGGCCAGGTGATGAGACAGAGGGTGATGCCCCAGCCTCGCTGGCGTGGAGGAAGGCAGTGGGAAGCCGGCAAGGGTGGAGGTTGTGCCTGCATTGATCACTGTGGAATCCTCAGGGCCTAGCACTTGGGAAGCAATGTTGGAGTGTGCTGGTGGGGCGTAGTGAGCATTAGGGCTGGAAGTTCATTCTGTGAACCCCAGCTGCGTGTTGGGATTTGAGACAATAAGAAGCCCCTGAGATGCTTGAGCCAGGACTACCCAGAGGTGAATGGGATTTTTGGAAAACCTCTGGGCGGAGTGGGTGGCTGCCTGGGAATGGGGAGAGGCAGAGGTTGGGTGGGGACTAGCTCAGCAGGGAATGTAACTCAGACATTCCGGAATGATGCAAGTGGAGGTTAGGGAAGTGGTTGCAATGGGAAGGAGGTGGCAAATATAAAGTGTCACAGAAGAAAAGTTGTCATGGGGCCAAGTGGAGGGAGGGATTGGAGAGCTCTAAATTGCAGCTCAATCTTCATCTTGAAATGCAGGATGGAAAAAGCCACCCCATTTATTTAGCTAAAGGGAGCTGACTCCAAGACCTGAGGTCGGGGAAAAGTGGAGAGACAAATAGAAAAGAAATAGGGAATTGGGACAGGGCACCATCTTTCGGGATGGTGGGCTTTTAAGCCCAACTCAGCATTTCCTGAGAAAATTGAGATAGCTTGAGACCAGAGCAATAAGCGTTGAGACTTACCCGGAGAAAATGTTACCCAGAGAGGAGAAAGGGCTGGTAGGGCCTGAAGATTCTTGAGCTGATTTTCCCCAGTTCTTGCCTCTTAGTGCCTCCCATTTCTCCTCATCTGACGGTTTCTGGGTGAGACAGTTGCATCTCATCTGTGGTAGGCTGCCTACTGCTTGGTGAGCCTGGGCTGAAGGGCTGAGGCCTCTGGAAGAGCTGTCAGGAGAGAGACACCTTCAGGGTACTTGGAGCTTTCGCCTTGCTTCCAGGGCGGGATAGGTGGAAGCTGAAACTGCCTCCTAGCAAACAGATTTACACTGATCAAAACAAAGTATTTGTAGGTGTTAGAGTTAAGAGGTTGAGGTTTTCCGTTGGATTTTTTAGGTGCATGGTGGAAGAGGTATTTTAGACGAAGGATTCTCCTAGCAGACACAAAATATGAATTAAGAACACTTGTTTCTGTTTTTCTCCCAACTACTTCTTGATATTCATAGTTCCTGGTGCTGGGACTTTGGAATGGGTTTTGGTGTGCAGAAAAGACAGGGCATTTGCTGCCAACAGGGGACATAATTGAGACTAAATTCACAAGATAAGGGATGGTATGATTTACCTTCCAAGAAAAGATCTGTGTCTGGTCCTGTATCTGGCTTCTTTCTTTATTGCTTTTGCAGTTCTGAATCAGTTTTCTTTCCCCGATGGCTAGCTTCTCCAGCTGGAGAGAACACACAGTTTAAAGAGGCTTTCCCCCCAGGGCCAGATTAAGGATACTTCTGGGCTAAAGGGCAAATGCAGCCATTCCTAGCAGATTTATGGCCCCGAAAGGACATTTCGGCCACTGCATCTGCGAGATTTTTGTCCCACATCAGCTAGCCCAGCAGCGTAAGCCCAAGGGTTTAGTCATTGACAGAGTCCAACCAAGGGGTCTCTGTGGAACCCTGGGCTTGAATGGGCTGGAGTTCTACCCTCCCATTGAAATCATTTGAGATGGTAGAGTGCCTTCCATGCTGAAAACAGGTCTCATGTAACAGTTACTGATGGGGCCAAGGAAGCCCAGGTATGACCTAGGTAACTCCTCAGAGATGCTACTGTTGAACCTAATAGTCTTCTAGCAGGTTACCAAGCGGTAATCCAAAGAGTTAGTGTTTAACTTAAAAAAAAAGGTATTCAGTTTAGCTATGTAATACTTGCACCTTGTACAAACATTGAAATGTATGAGTCTCCTTTTTCCTCTCTCCCCAGTAACCCAGTCCCCTCCCAGGAGGCCACTTCCGGTTAAATTATCTTGTCTGTCCTCTTGGAGGTGGTCTGCCCTTTGAAATAGAAACATATTTCCTTTTTTCTTTTTCTTTTTCTTTTTTTTTTTTTTTTGAGACAGAGTCTCGCTCTGTCGCCCAGGCTGGAGTGCAGTGGCGTGATCTTGTCTCACTGCAAGCTCCGCCTCCCGGGTTCACGCCATTCTCCTGCCTCAGCCTCCTGAGTAGCTGGGACTACAGGCAACTGCCACTATGCCCGGCTAATGTTTTTTGTATTTTTAGTAGAGATGGGGTTTCACCGTGTTAGCCAGGATGGTCTCTATCTCCTGATCTTGTGATCCACCTGCCTTGGCCTCCCAAAGTGCTGGGATTACAGGCGTGAGCCACTGCGCCCGGCTACAGAAACATATATCTATTGTTTGTTTCTCCTGTGCCCTTTCTGCTCCATGCCCTTTTCATTTATCAGTGTATCTTGGAAATCGTCCGATGTCAGCACAAATAAAAAGTCTGCAGTACTCTGTGTGCCATTGCATGTTTTTTTTTCTTCATTTTGCCATTTGTTTATTGCAAAATCCCACACTTAACAGAAGACATGTTTAAAACATATGAGTATGTTAAAACAAAATAGTAAAATGAACATCTATGTTCCCATCCCTAGGTTAAGGTTAGGACCATATAAGCCCCCTATGTTCCCTCCCCGGTTGAAGTCCCTTCCCTCAGCTATTCCTTTTTTTTTTTTTTTTTTTTTTCTTGAGATGGAATCTTGCCACTCTGCTGTCCAGGGTGGAGTGCAGTGGTGCCATCTCGGCCCACTGCAACCCCTGCCTCCTGGGTTCAAGTGATTCTCCTGCCTCAGCCTCCTGAGTAGCTGGGACTACAGGTGTGTGCCACCATGCCCGGCTAATTTTTGTATTTTTAGTAGAGACGAAGTTTCACCATGTTGGCCAGGCTGGTCTTGAACCCCTGACCTCAGGTGATCCGCCCACCTCAGCCTCCCAAAGTGCTGGGATGACAGATGTAAGCCACCACACCTGGCACCCCAGCTATTCTGAATTTTGTGATATTTATTCTCTTGTTCTTGTTAGTTTTCCCACCGATAGCCAACCTCTGAATAACTTATTGTTGAATTTTGCCTGGTTTTGAACACCTGGACATGGAATCCTACAGTAGATTTCTGTGACTTGCTCAGCATTACATTTGTGATTCGTCCATGTGGATGCACATGGCTCTGTTCATGTTCACTGCCGTAGAGCTTTCCATTGAATGAATATCCACAGTGTGTTGATCCTTTCTGTTGCCCTGTTGCCAAGAAGGCCTTGGTCTGCCTTTTGTTTTTTTTCCTCTCTCAGGAATAACCCTGCTGGGAACTTTTTTTTTTTTTTTTTTTTTTTTAAGACAGAGTCTTGCTCTGTCGCCCAGGCTGAAGTGCAGTGGTGTGATCTTGGCTCACTACAACCTCTGACTCCCGAGTTCAAATGATTCTCCTGTCTCAACCTCCCAAGTAGCTGGGATTACAGGGGTGTGCCACCATGCCCAACCAATTTTTGTATCTTTAATAGAGACAGGGTTTCGCCATGTTGGCCAGGCTGGTCTTGAACTCCTGAACTCAGGTGATCCGCCTGCCTCAGGCTCCCAAAGTGCTGGGATTACAGGCATGAGCCACCACGTCCAGCAGGAACATTCTTACATATGGCTCCTGGAACACATGAGCAAGAATTTCTGTGGGGTATAAACTAGGAGTGGAGTTGCTGGCATGTCTAACTCTTCTAGGTTATCCGAAACCAAAGATTTGAGGTTTTGAAAACTAATTTGCCCTTCTCCTGCCATCAGTAGGAGCACTGAGTATTTTCTGATCGCCCAGGTAGTACAACTTTGGACTGCAAGTCTGTGTGAGGGCTGTTTTGTGATTGCAGCTTCTTGGGGGGAGTTTTTTGTTTTTCTACCTGCTTTTGTTTTTCTACCTGCCAAGGATTTAGACAGTTGATTTTTCTTGCAGGTAGCTCTTGGGGACAGGGAAGGGTACATCAAGTTTCTTGGTGGTTCACTGTTACGTTAAGGGAGTATCCTTTGGAAGTCCCAACTTCACTGGGGGTAAGATCTCTTTAGATTTCCCACCGTGGCTGGGCTCTGGGCCGTGCTTCTGTGACCTTTTGAGGCTTTGAAAACTGAAGCTCAGGTTTGCCTAGTTCTGCAAATGCCATCTAGATAAAAGCTTCAGTGTTAACTTACCTCCCTGTTTCTCCTCCTTAGGGTTTTAGCCTGAATGTTCCTTATTTTCTTGCCAGCTTGCCTATGCTTTTAAGACAAAATTTAATCTGGCCAGGCGTGGTGGCTCATGCCTGTATTCCTAACACTTTGGGAGGACAAGGTGGAAAGATCACTTGAGCCCAGGAGTTTGAAACCAGCCTGGGCAACATAGTGAGACCTCCATCTCTGTTTCAAAAAAATATGTAAAAAATAAAAAGAAGGCCAGGCACCGTGGCTCACACCTGTAATCCCAGCACTTTGGGAGGCCGAGGTGGGTGGGTCACTTGAGTTCAGGAGTTCGAGACCACCCTGGTCAACATGGTGAAACCTTGTCTCTACTAAAAATACAAAAATTAGCCGGGCATGGTGGCATACACCTGTGGTCCCAGCTACTTGGGAGGCTGAGGCAAGAGAATTGCTTGAACCTGGGAGAGAGAAGTTGCAGTGAGCTGAGATTGGGCCACTGCACTCCAGCCTGGGGGACAGAGCGAGACTCTGTCTCAAAAAAACAAAACAAAAATAAAGTAGCACTTTCAAGATGAGCCTTTGCATCCCTAGGGTTATGGCTTCCATTCTCAGGGGTTGCTGGATTTCACATTTGAGAAGTAAGGCTGCCAGCACCACAGCGATGAGACAGAAGTGGTTTCGGCCACTCCCCCAGAATTTTAGTACTATGCCTGGGCCTGGAAATCTGACTCATATTTCAAACTCACATGACACTGATTTGTCCCAGAAGGCTACTTTATGGATTTATAATGGGAGATAGAATCTCTGGGGTCAGCCTCTTCTGGTTTAAAGATCCTTGGTTGACCTGTCGGTACTAGGTAAGTCTTAGATGGTGGCTAAGTCCATTCTAGCATTCAATAAATAGTACAGATAGGGTTGCTTACAGAGCAGGAATCATACACAGGCCCTTTTAAAAAATGGTATGACCCTATTTTAGACCCTGACCCTCCTTGTCCCTGGTTGCAGATTCCCACTTTCATGTAGTGTTTCTTTCCCAAATATTTTGCTATTTTAGCCTTTTGATTTCTGAAATTGCCCATAATAAGTAATGCTCATGGCCAGGCACGGTGGCTCATGCTTGTAATCCCAGCACTTTGGGAGTCGGAGGTAGGTGGATCACTTGAGGTTGGGAGTTCAAGACCAGCCTGACCAACATGGAGAAACCCCGTCTATACTAAAAATACAAAATTAGCCAGGCAAGGTTACACATGCTTGTAATCCCAGCAACTCAGGAGGCTGAGACCAGAGAATCGCTTGAACCTGGGAGGCGGAGGTTGCAGTGAGCTGAGATCGCTCCATTGCACTTTAGCCTGGGCAACAAGAGCGAGACTCTGTCTCAAAAATAATAATAATAATAATAATTAATGCTCACATTATTTTTTTTTTTGCACTACTAGGTAGACTGAACACCCCATGGTCATTCTGCTGCTGCCAAGTTCATCTTGGTAGGTGCTAATTTCAGGCTGGCCTGATTCTTGTTTTTTTTTTTTTTTTTGAGATGGAGTCTCACTCTGTCGCCCAGGCTGGAGTGCAGTGGCACAATCTCAGCTCACTGCGATCCTGCCTCCTGGGCTCAAGCAATTCTTCTGCCTCAGCCTCCCAGGTAGCTGGGACTACAGGTGTCCACCACCGCGCCTGGCTAATTTTTTTGTATTTTTAGGAGAGATGGGGTTTCACCGTGTTAGCCAGGATGGTCTCGATCTCCTGACCTTGTGATCCGCCCGCCTTAGGCTCCCAAAGTGCTGGATTACAGGTGTGAGACACCATACCCGGCCTGCCACAGGTGGGCTTCTGAAGGTGGTAGACCCTGGAGCCAAGCAGTGGCACAACATAGGCATCTGAAATCCACACGTCCCTTTGTGGCTTCATGTCTGTGGCCGAAACCAACAAGCAGATGTATAGTGTTATGTTTGCTTGTATTGTTCATCTTAGAACTTAGTTCCCTCTCTGTCTCTTCATGTAAATTTCTCCTTTACATTATTTTCTTCTTTCTCTTAGTCCCAATTCGACAAACCTTTCTTGTTTCCCATGATCTAGTCTCCAGGCTTCCTTACTACCCTCTCCCCTTGAGTAGGCTTGACACCATCCAGCCCTTTCTAGTGGGGAAAGCAGAACCCAAAGTTGGCATCCCAGATTCTATCTTTTTTTTTTTTTTTTGAGACGGACTTTCGCTCTTGTTGCCCAGGCTGGAGTGCCGTGGCACGATCTCAGCTCACTGCAACCACTGCCTCCCGGGTTCAAGCGATTCTCCTACCTCAGCCTCCCTAGTAGCTGAGACTACAGGCACCTGCCACCAGGCCCAGCTAATTTTTTGTATTTTTAGTAGAGATGGGGTTTCACTGTGTTGGCCAGGCTGGTCTTGAACTCCTGACCTCAGGCAATCCACCCACCTCAGCCTCCCAAAGTGCTGGGATTACAGGCATGAGCCACTGCGCCCAGCTTGCCTGGCTGATTTTTAACAGTGACTTTTAAATTTCTACTGCCATCCAGCGCATTCCTGGGCTGCTGTGTGTGTTTCCTATCAGAGAATGAAAACCAGAGGAGTACGGGAGTACACTGGTGTGGCTGGGAGTCGAGCTCTAGAGTCATACTGCTGAGTTCAAGTCCTTGACTAATTAAAGCATGACTAGGGGAGGCCAGCCTGGATAGTTAAAAATTACATATTTAAAATGTAATATATGTGTGAGCGTTCACAGCAGCGTTATTCAAATACAAAAAAAAATTAGCTGGGCATGATGGTGCATGCCTGTAATCCCAGCTACTCAGGAGACTGAGGGTGGGAGAATCGCTTGAACCTGCGAGGCAGAGGTTGCAGTGAGCCGAGATCATGCCATTGCACTCCAGCCTGGGCGACGAGAGCAAAACTCCGTCTCAAAACACAAAAAAAGAGCCAAAAGGTGGAAACAACCCAGATGTTCATCAACCAATGAATGGCTAAACAAAATGTGGCCTACCCATCCAGTGGAATGTTGTTCAGCCATAAAAAGGAGTGAAGTTCTGACACATGCTACGACATGGATGAACCATGAAAACATTGTGCTAAGCAAAAGAAGCCAGACACAAAAGGTCACATACTATATGACATTTCTAGGAAATATCCAGAATAGGCCATAGAGATGGAAAGCAGATTACTGGTTGCCAGGGGCTGGGGGTGGGTGGGAATGGGGAATGACAGCTAGTGGTACCAGGTTTCTTTTTGGAGTGATGAAAAGGTTCTGGAATTGGATAGTTGGTTACCAACATTATAAATATGCTAAAAACCACTGAACTGTATAGTACTGGTAACCAGAATATGTGCATCATTAGGCCTATATATTAAACAATTCTAGTTGGTCATGTCCCTAGACCCCGGTTGTGTTGACTTGCCATGATTTGTTTAACTGTTTGCCTACTGTTGAATACTTGGCTTATTTCCAGGATTTTGTGATCATTGATAATGGTAAGCCTTACTTTCAAAGTCTGATAAGCTTTTTAAAAAATTCTGCTTCCTATGTGATGCCAAGCACTTAAGAAGTACTCTATAAATATTTATTGAATTATCTTTGCTTGCTATTCCTGTTTCATTAGTGTAGATAATTACTTTCTGTTCCAGATTATTTCAAAAGAAAATATTCCTTAAACTGTTAGCCTTTCAGTAAGAGCTGTACATTTTATATTTGTAAGTGGTATATTTCAGATAGAAATAGTTTGCTTGCCTTTTCTGATCACAAGGGTAATATCTGCTAATTATAAGAGATTCAGATAATGGCCTTGCCTGGACAGTGGCCTTTATCACAGTCCTCCAAGCAATTCCACATCTGCAAAGAAACATGCTTCTTATCTTTTTGCCATATCATTTCATTATCTTCTCTGCATCTTGAGTTTGACTCATTTTCTTCTAAAAAACTTCTTAGATACCTTCTGCTAGACAGTAGCCTACGATGTATGATGCCATTGCCTTCTTTTTTTTTTTTTTTTAACTCCCCTCCCTGTTGCGGGAAGTCAGGAACCCTGAACGGAGGGACCCGCTGAAGCCATGGCAGAAGAACATAAATTGTGAAGATTTCATGGACATTTATTAGTTCCCCAAATTAATACTTTTATTTCTTATGTCTATCTTTACTGCAATCTCTGAACATAAATTGTGAAGATTTCAGGGACACTTATCACTTCCCCAATCAATACCCTTGTGATTTCCTATGCCTGCCTTTAATCTTTCAATCTTATCATCTTTGTAAGCTGAGGAGGATGTATGTCGCCTCAGGACCCTGTGATGATTGTGTTAACTGCACAAATTGTTTGTAGAGCATGTGTGTTTGAACAATATGAAATCTGGGCACCTTGAAAAAAGAACAGGATAACAGCGATGTTCAGGGAACAAGAGAGAGAACCTTAAGCTCTGACTGCCGGTGAGCTGGGCGGAGCAGAGCCATATTTCTCTTCTTTCAAAAGCAAATGGGAGAAATATTGCTGAATTCTTTTTCTCAGCAAGGAACATCCCTGAGAAAGAGATGCGTCCCTGAGGGTAGGCCTCTGAAATGGCCGCTTCGGGGGCAGCCGTCTTTTATGGTCTAAGCCGTAGGGATGAAATAAGCCCCAGTCTCCCGTAGAGCTCCCAGGCTTATTAGGACGAGGAAATTCCCGCCTAATAAATTTTGATCAGACCAGTTGTCTGCTCTCAAACCATGTCTCCTGATAAGATGTTATCAATGACAATGCGTGCCCGAAACTTCATTAGCAATTTTAATTTCACCCCGGTCCTGTGGTCCTGTGATCTCGCCCTGCCTCCATTTGCCTTGTGATATTCTATTACCTTGTGAAGCACATGATCTCTGTGACCCACACCCTATTAGTACACTCCCTCCCTTTTTGAAAATCACTAATAAAAACTTGCTGGTTTTATGGCTGGGGGGCATCACGGAACCTGCCAACATGTGATGTCTCCCCTGGACACCCAGCTTTAAAATTTCTCTCTTTTGTACTCTGTCCCTTTATTTCTCAGACTGGCTGACACTTAGGGAAAATAGAAAAGAACCTACCTGACTATCAGGGGCTGTTTCCCCCGATACCTCCCCTCCTTCATTGTCCTTTTGTCCAAAGATCATGTCTGTCTTGTTTGCAAATAAGAAGGAATAATAGGCTAGGCTCAGTGGCTCACAAGGCCTGTAATCCTATCACTTTGGAAGGCTAAGATGGGTGGATTGCTTGAGCTGAGGAGTTCAAGACCAGCCTGGGCAACATGGTGAAACCCTGACACATGCTAATTTTTTGTATCTATAAGAAATTAGCCAGGCATTGTGGTGCGCACCTGTAGTCTCAGCTACTCAGGAGGCTGAGGTGGGAAGATCACTTGAACCTGGGAAGCAGAGATTATAGTGAGCTGAGATGGTGCCAAAAGAAGGAAGAATAGTGTGCCATTTGTTTTGCTAAGTCAGCATCCTTAATTTCTAACTTTTTTCCTTTCTTTCTTTCTTTTTTTTTAATTGAGGTGTGCACTGTCATGCCTAGCTAATTTTTTTTTTTTTTTTTTTTGGTAGAGATGGGGTCTTGCTATGTTACCCAGGCTGATCTTGATCTCCTGGCCTCAAGCAATCCTGCTATCTTAGCCTCACAAAGCATTGGGATTACAGGTGTGAGCCACCATGCCTGGCTCAACTTTTCCTTTCTTTTCTTTCTTTCTTTCTTTTTTTTTTTTTTTCTGAGATAGAGTCTTGCTCTGTCGCCCAGGCTAGAGTACAGTGGCGCAATCTCAGCTCACTGCAGCCTCTGCCTCCTGGGTTCAAGCGATTCTTGTGTCTCAGCCTCCCAAGTAGCTGGGATTACAGGTGTGTGCCACCACACCTGGCTAATTTTTGTATTTTAGTAGAGACATGGTTTTGCCATGTTGGCCAGGCTTGTCTTGAACTCTTGGCCTCATGTGATCCACTGGCCCTAGCCTCCCAAAGTGCTGGTATTATAGGTGTGAGCCACTTTTCTTGGCCACTTTTTTTCTTTTTCTCTTTTTTTTTTTTTTTTTTGCCTTGAGGTCTTGTGACATTCTGAAGCTATGTGCTTTTCTGTGACCTTTTAAACCCTTTGTATTGGCCGGGCATGGTGGCTCACATCTGTAATCCTAGCACTTTGGGAGGCCAAGGTGGGCAGATCACTTGAGGCCAGGAGTTTGAGACCAGCCTGGCCAATGTGGTGAAACCCCATCTCTACTAAAAATACAAAAATTAGTTGAGTGTGGTGGTGCACCTGCACATGTGTAATCCCAGCTACTTGGGTGACTGAAGCGGGAGAATCACTTGCATCTGGGAGGCGGAGGTTGCAGTGAGCCGAGATCGCGCCACTACTACGCTCCAGCCTGGGCGACGGAGCAAAACTCTGTCTCAAAAACAAAAACAACAAAAACAAACCCAAATCCTATGTATTCCATAGCTGTCTTGTAAGGAAGGAATGAACCGATGGGTCTCTTTTCTCTTTCCCTGTGTCATGTGGTGGAGCTGTGCCTAGCACGACTTCTTTTTTTTTTTTTTTTTGAGACGGAGTCTCGCTCTATCTCCCAGGCTAGACTCTGTCTCCCAGGCTAGAGTGCAGTGGCGCAATCTTGGCTCACTGCAACCTCCGCCTCCCAGGTTCAAGCGATTCTCCTGCCTCAGCCTCCCTAGTAGCTGGGACTACAGTTGCATGCCACCCCGCCCAGCTAATTTTTTGTATTTTTAGTAGAGACAGGGTTTCATCGTGTTAGGATGGTCTCGATCTCCTGACCTCGTGATCCACCCGCCTCAGCCTCCCAAAGTGCTGGGATTACAGGCGTGAGCCACCGCGCCCGGTGCCTAGCCCGACTTCTTGCCCCACATTATTGTGTGTTCGCCTTTCCCTGCTGCGCCATCATTGCTCAGCACGCCTCAAGATGGGATGTGGCAGCAATGGTGGGCCATTCTGTCCTTATGAAGCTAGTGTTATTGACTATGCCTTGCTTTTTTTCTTCAGAGTCATTTTTCTAGGAACAAGGACAATCTCATACCTTTGCCTCCCTGTCTGAGACCCCTGTTTTAGCTAACAGCAAGCTTGGACAAGATGGTTTATCAGAGTCAGGGTTAAAGCCTAAGAAGTGAAGTGAAACTAATGAGCCATCTCAGTGATGCAGAAGCCTCATCTTCTCCAGCTGTCTGTGGCTCTGGGCTTCCTTGTGTTGCTGTGTTGCTGGCAGCCATGTGGGGATCTGGGCCAGAGACAGAAATGAAAGAGTGGAGGAAGACCAGGTACTTATCCCTGATGCACCTCTGGAAGTGCTGGAGTTGTGGATGCACCTCTGGAAGTGCTAGCTAGGCTCATTGCTTTTTTTTTTTTTTTTTTTTTTTTTAAGACAAAGTCTTGCTCTTTCGATCTCGGCTCACTACAAGCAACCTCCACCTTCTGGGTTCAAGCGATTCTCCTGCTTCAGCCTTCCAAGTAGCTGGGATTACAGGCGCGCACCACCACGCCCAGCTAATTTTGTATTTTTAGTAGAGATGGGGTTTCACCATGTTGGCCAAGCTGGTCCCGAACTGCTGACCTCAAGTGATTCGCCCGCCCCAGCCTCCCAAAGTGTTGGGATTACAGGTCTCAGCCACTGTGCCCGGTCTAGGCTCATTGCTTTTTCCAGCCAATGCTGATGACTGAAAGACTGTTTTAATCTTAGAATGGTGCAGTTATTTATTGAGTGAAAGTTCAACTGTCTGTAGCTGTCTCCTCATCTTTCTTGTCGTTATTCTGTTTAGATTTCCAGCCCCACACTCTCCTCTCTGACTTAAGACTCTCTGAAACCCCTTTACTTCGTCAGTAAATCTATTCTGGGATTGTAGGTGCTGGTTGGGCTTTATGGGGACAAAGGGACCCCTACCCTCATTCACAAGCACAGGGGAATTGTCATGAGGAAGATGGGGTGAGGGAGAGAACTCCTTGCGAGTGATGTCACAGTGGGCAGCTTTCTCTTTGTAGATCCTTGACAGTCAGATCTCAGGGACAGTTCCAAAGTGTGGGGAAAACGAGATTAGAACTCTTGGGTGGTTTTGGATCTGCTGTTTGGTTTTTCCTCATCTAGAACTAAATTTATATAAAAGAATACAACAGTAGAATAATCATGGCAACTAAGTTTGTTCTGCTGTCCTGGGGCCTCTTCATGTATTATCTCTACTTACTGCAACAGCTCTGGAGGTAAAAGGCGTTACCTTGAAGAAACTGAGGCTCCAAGGGGTGAACTGCTTGTCCAGGGCCATCCAGCTCGGGAGTGGCAGAGCTCAGATCTAGGCTCCTGTCTCCCACCCCACCGCCCATGCCCCTGCCTTCCCCTGCACCAGAACAAAGCCACCACCCCCAGAGGGCCGTGTGTTTGTGCTTTTATTTCCCTGAATGGCTCCAGGTTTTTGCTTTGTCATTTCTGTGCTTGTGTCCTTTGCAGAGTCTTTGGCTTCCTTTTATTTTTCCTACCCCAGTAGCATCTGACGCAATGCCTGGGGTCTGGGAGGAAGCAGGGTTCTTTGCTTAGACATCTTGGTTTTCATCTGTTTTACAAAATTATCCTTGGCCTCTGTTCTCTTTTTCCTTTTATTTCCTCCCTGAAATACTGGTTCTTTAAGGCTATCGGGAAAAGAAAGATAATCCTACCCAAGAGTTTGAAGAAATGTAAAGGAGAAGTGTTTTTAGCAAGCAGCTGGGTTTTTAGCGGGGTCGTTTCCACGCTCCGTGTTGCCCTAGTGAAAGTGGTTTGTCTTCCTCACGACTCCAAGGGAACTGGCACATAAATGGATGCAGTCAGGTGGCCGTTGAGCCAAGGGCCAAGTAAGGCATTTCGTCCTCAGCCACGTTGCCCTTGCCTCATGCCTGTATTTCTGTTCTTTTTTTTTTTTTTTGAGACGGAGTCTCGCTCCGCCACCCAGCCTGGAGATCTCGGCTCACTGCAACCTCTGCCTCCTGGGTTTAAGCAATTCTCCTGTCTCAGCCTCCTGAGTGGCTGGGACTACAGGCACCTACCACCATGCCTGGCTAATTTTTGTATTTTTAATAGAGACGGGGTTTCACCTTGTTGGTCAGTCTGGTCTCAAACCTCAGGTGATCCACCTGCCTCGGCCTCCCAAAGTGTTGGGATTACAGGCGTGAGCCACCACGCCCAGCCTCATGCCTGTATTTCCATGTCCTGAACATGTTACATTTGCATCCAGGCCCAGCTCTGTTCCCTGAGGAGGTTGGAGTTCTGATACCCCACAGAAGGAAGGAGTCAAGGCGGGGAGGCTGCTTGGAGGAGGGTGCGGCGAAGACAAAGAAATGGCTCTACGATTCTTGGGATTGCTGGGAAGCTGTTGCTTATAGGGTTGGCTCTCTGTCCTCTCTGATGCTCCAAACAGGTCCCCAGGGGACAGGCCTTCCCGGGGCTGCCACTTTCTCCAGTGTTAGGTCCATATCCATTTTCCTGTCCCCCTCCGCTTGTCCCAGCTTTATCATCCGAGATATGGGGCTTCTTTCCAAAGGTGAATTTAAGTTTCAGGTTTTCCTAACAGTTTCAGCTGTTAGGCAGGGGCTTGTGGCAGGAAAAAGAAGACAGAAATTTCTGTTGCCCATAGGAGGGTGACGGGGTGCTGGGTAAATACCAGTTACAGGGAAGTTCCCTCCAATGAGTAGCCTGGCACCTTTCTGCAGGGTGTCTTCTGAGCCAGCTGGATTCATCGTGTTGGCCTGTGAAGTCTGAGAACACCATCTCTCTCGTCTTTCCCCTCCTCCCCTCCTCTGTGCCACAGCAAGAGGCGTGGTATACTCTGGGTCCTCCCTCATCACTTACACAGCCTTCTCTCTGTGTTTGATTACCAGAATGAGCCAGCCTTGTTCTGAGTCCGTTCATTCATTTATTCATTCAACAACCGTTTTGTGCTAGGCACCATGGTAACCTACATTTCAAGGCTGTAACTGCTATTATCAAGCCATTTGCAGAAGTTTGGGTCACTGATGTGCCTTTGACCTGATGCCCATTTTCTAAACCCAGGCATTCCTCTTGAGTGATACAGCATCTCTGTACCTCTTCTCCAGGACTTATGGCTTAGGTTTTTGTTTTTATTTTTAATGGGGCTTTCTGGCAAAGACCTGAAAGCCTGCTAGACAAATTCTAAAAGTGCTGTAACACTAACGCCTAGGTTTCAGTTCTGACTTCATGCAAAGAGGATGCCTGAACCAAGCTCCTCACTACCAGGCCTCATTCTTTTCTCAGTGACTTAGATCCCTCTCCCCAACCTTGGTATCTGTTTGCTGTTCCTAGCACAGATCCTCAGCACTGGTGTATTCACTGCCTCTGGCTGGAGCCCATTTGACTGTTGTCACTACCTCGTCCCCCTGCCCTTCCTCGCCAGCCAATGACTTCTCATCTCTTCCCAGCTTGTCAAGCTCCTGGAGATCTCAGAGTCACAGGCCCCACCCAGGGCTCTGCAAAAATATTCTTTAAGGGTGTGGGCGAAGGGATAATTGTTTTATTTTTGAGACAGAGTCTCACTCTGTTGCCCAGGCTGGAGTACGGTGGCTCAATCTTGGCTCATGGCAACTTCTGCCTCCCAGGTTCAAGTGATTCTCATGCCTCAGCCTCCCGAGTAGCTGGGATTACAGGCATGTGCCACCACGCCTGGCTAATTTTTGTATTTTTAGTAGAGACAGGGTTTCATCCTGTTGGCCAGGCTGGTCTGGAACTCCTGGCCTCAAGTGATGCACCTCCCTTGGCCTCCCGAAGTGCCGGGATTACAAGCCTGAGCCACCGCACCTGGCTTGAAGAGAGAATTTGAAAATAGAAAGTTTTTTCCATTCATTTCACCTTTTGAGGCTAACCTAGACAGCTTGAGGTAATCCACCTGGGCCCACAGTCCCAGGATTATGTGAGTCTTCAGGGACTCTCCAGAAACCCTCTTGTTGATATGGGTGCTGGAAACTTGACGGGGCTTGGTTTAGTTCCTCTCTGAGCTGCCCTATTAGAGGAACTTCTGGATAGATGAAATCTTCCAGGGAGAAGTTCTGAATGTTCTGAATGTTGCTGCTCCCTCCTCCTGGGCCTTCTTCACTGGGCTGGGGCTCTGCTTTGAGGCCAGAGTGGGAAGACTATTTGGAGGTCACACGTGTTTGGCGTGGCTTAGGGGGTGAGGAAGCCTTTTATTTATTCTTCTGCCTCTTATCTCCCTACTTATCTCTATACCCACACCCCTAAAAAGAGAATGGCAGAAGTAGATTTTGTTGGGCTGGGCATGGTGGCTCACGTCTGTAATCCCAGCACTTTGGGAGGCTGAGGTGGGCGGATTACTTGAGCTCAGGAGTTCGAGACCATCCTGGCCAACATGGTGAAACCCCATCTCTACAAAAATACAAAAAATTAGCTGGACTTGGTGGCGCGTGCATGTAATCCCAGCTGCTCAGGATCTCTTGAACCCAGGAGGCGGAGGCTGCAGTGAGCCAAGATTGCGCCACTGCACTCCAGCCTGGGCAATAGAGCGAGACTCTGTTTTAAAAAAAAAAAAAAAAGTAGATTTTGTATATGTTTTTTGAAATAAGGTCTCACTCTGTTGCCCAGGCTGGTCTTGAACTCCTGGGCTCAAGCAATCCTCCTGCCTCAGCCTCCCAAAGTGCTGGTATTATAGGCATGAGCCACCACGCCCTACCTAGAAGTATAATGTTAATTGCAGAGTTGGTTCTAGTGGACTCAAAACATTATAGTTTGTGTACCTCCCTTCTACAGGACTTGGGAATGGAAAGAGGAATTTTAATTGCCTTGCATGTGAATTTTTCTTTAATGCAAAATTCTTTAAGAGGAGGAAAAAGGATTCTATTTGCTGTTTCTATCACCACCTAGAGGGCTCACAGGCTGCTGTGGGGGAAAGGACTTGGGCATTTGACTAAAGATTTTGCAATTGATGGTGGGTGCTCTATCAGGTATGTGCTAACTTAGGGGAAAGCTAACCAGCTTCCAGTTTGTCCCCTTCCTGCAGCAGGAGGTCCTCCTGGACCATCCCAGGCTCTAGGCTGCCCATGGAGGTCTTTCCCTGCAGCTCACCCCAGGGTATGAGTGCCGTAATCCTAGAAGGCTGAGGCTGGGCTCAGGTGCCTCTTGCCCCAGGTAACCCAAGTTCAGGCCAGATAAATTTCTCCGTTATTATACAGAATGCCAGGAGTTTTCCAGACCCTTTCCCCTTATCAGTAATTTCATGTCCACCAGAGCAGTGGACAGGCATCATGTAGGTGTTAGACATTCTGAAGCTTACGTCTAGCTAAGGCAACACACATACACAAGACAAGATTGAGGACAGCGTCCAAAGCAACAAACGCAGCCTTCAGAATAGCATCAGTCCTCCCGGCCTGGTTCTAGTTTTCCTTGGAGCTTAGTTCTAGAATTTCAGACTTGACCTCTTAGCTTATCAATTCTCTATGCTCTTGAACTCCATCCTAGGTAGGAAAAAGTGAAGGGTGATCTCTGGAAACCTACGCCAATTTGCATAGACCCTTCTGATAAGTAGAGTGCTTTAATATACATTTCTAAGTGGGGACCAGGTACAGTGGCTCACAGTTTGGGCCCCCAGCACTTTGGGAGGCCAAGGCGGGGTGGATCACTTGAGGCCAGGTGTTTGAGACCAGTCTCACCAACACGATGAAACCCCGTCTCTACTAAAAATACAAAAATTAGCCGGGTGTGATGGCGCGCCCCTGTAATCCCAGCTACTCAGGAAGCTGAGGCAGGAGAATCCCTTGAGCCTGTGAGGCTGAGGTTGCAGTGAGCTGAGATGGTGCCACTGCACTCCAGCCTGGGCAACAGAGTAAGACTCTGTCTCAAAGGAACAAAAACAAAAACATTCCTGCATGGGGTGAGGGCTCTTGGTTTGTAGATGATTTGCTCAGGGTCATGACGAACTAGGGCTGGAATCTAGGTTTTGTGCTCCCAAATATTTTATTTTATTTTATTTTTTTGAGACAGAGTCTCACTCTGTCACCCAGGCTGGAGTGCAGTGGCACGGTCTCGGCTCACTACAAACTCTGCCTCCCGGGTTCACGCCATTCTCCTGCCTTAGCCTCCTGAGTAGCTGAGACTATAGGTGCCTGCCACCACGCCCGGATAATTTTTTGTATTTTTAGTAGAGACGGGGTTTCACCGTGTTAGCCAGGATGGTCTCAATCTCCTGACCTCGTGATCCGCACGCCTCGGCCTCCCGAAGTGCTGGGATTACAGGCATGAGCCACCACACCCGGCCTTTCTGCTCCCAAATCTTTTGTACTTTCTGTAGTGTCATGCTTTTCTCCCTTCCACGTTTATTGGTTCCCTATCTTTACCCAGTGCCTTCTTGGATCACTGCTCTGTTAGCCTTTGGGGAGACTAAGGTGACTAAACTGTGGTCTCAGGACTGGCAGCTCCTAGGAACTCAGGTCCCCCAGAAATTGAGGTGAGTAATTTGCTGCCTATAAGCCAGATCTGCTTAGACGGTGAAGTCCTCCTTAACCCTGTTCAGAGCACAGACTGCACATACAAAACTGCTTGGCAGGTCGGTCACAGTGGCTCACGCCTGTAATCCCAGCACTGTGGGAGGCCGAGGTCGGAGGATCACCTGCGCCCAGGAGGTGAAGACCAGCCTGGGCAACACAGTAAGAACTCATCTCTACAAAACAATAGTAATAGTAAAATAAAACTGCTTGGCAACGAGCAGGACAGGCTTGCTGTCTACAGCTGTGGGCCTGGCCTGACCTACGCTAAGGGAAAGACCACAGGGGCTGGGCCAAGTGTGGTGAGTGAGAGCTGGGGAACAGACGTGGCCCCTGCACAGAGCGCATTTGTTCCTGCTGATCCCCTCCAGCAATAGGGGAGTTCCAGCAGAAGCAGTGGCTGAAAGAAACACAGTTGGTGTGTTTGTTTTGGAGGGTAAGGAGGAGGAAGGACCAAAGCAGAGGGAGTGGAGGCTGTAAAGAGCGTTGTAGGAAAGACTGAGACTATGGGAGGGGTAGTTAGTACTGAGCTCAAAGTGCCGAAAGAGGCAGTGGCTATTGCCTGTAAAGGACGAAGAAAGAAGGGAGACAGAACCAAATCTGGGGCCTCAGAGGATTGGGACCAGGCTTCCCCCAACACCATGTGCTTGTCAGCACCAGGATTTTTTGCCTGACTGCCCTCTCTGTTACGTTAGCGTGAGACTTTAGGATAAATCGAGGAAGTCTCGGAACCTGGCATGCCACCTCTGAGGCCTGTGGTCCCTCCCCTGGTAGCTCCCCCTGCGGGCAGGGCCCTGGTACACCCCTCCATGGATGGAGCAGAATCACCCCTGGAGCCCTTGCTCCCTGCAGGATCACAGGGCACGGAGTGGTCCACAGCTGGCCCTCAGCTCCAGGGGCTGCCGTGTGGCTTAGGGAGACTTGCCTTTGCTCTACAACTGTTTACCGAGCAGGACTGTGTTCTAGGCCGCATGCTTCATGCTGGAGACACAGCAGGGAGAAGGCCTCAGCCATCTCCTGTCATCAGGGGGGACTGGCAGAAGGCCATTCCCTGTTCAATTATAGCTGTGATCATTGCTGCACAGGCAGCGGGTAATGAGAGTGCCCTAACCCTGCTGGCCCATCAGGGGAAGCCTCCCTCCCACTGTGGTTATCTGCCTCTCGCAGCAGGCAGTGCCTTGCTGTGGAGCTTGGCAGAACATGGGGAACCTTAGGCAGGTTTCAGAGACTCCACCGTGCTCTCTGTGAAATGGAGTGGAGGGCGGGAGGAGCTTATGGCAGCAGCACCCTCCCTCCCTCCCTCCCTGGCTGGAGTCTGGTTGCTGGAGCTGTCTGTTTGCCTTGTGAGCCCTCCCCATTGGCGCACCCTAGGACCCTGCTGACACTAGTTTTTTTGTTGTTGTTGTTTTGTTTTTGAGACAGGGTCTTGCTCTGTCACCCAGGCTGGAGTGCAGTGGCACCATCATAGCTCACTGCAGCCTTGAACTCCCCCAGGCTCAAGTGACTTTCCCACCTCAGCCTCTGGAGTAGCTGGGATCATAGGCACGTACCACCACACCCAGCTAATTTTTTTTTCTAGACGTGGAGTCTTGCTATGTTGCCCAGGCTGGTCTTGAACTCCTGGACTCAAGCCATCCTCCCACTTTGGCCTCCCAGAGTGCTAGGATTACAGGTATGAGCCACCACAACCTGCCTGGCACTACTACTAAACAGTCCCTGGTAGTGTAATTGGAGGCGACGGCAGAAATGCCTCGAGGGGACAAGGCCTGTTTGGAGTTGAATTAAATGCCTCCTTGCCTGGCAGTGAATTATCAGTTTGTAGATTATCTGTGTTTGTTCTTTACTTACCTTTTTTGAGCATTTACTATGGGCCAGACTCAGTCCTTCCCTCAAAGGGATCCTGGCAAAGTCTTTCTTTCTTTCTTTTTTTTTTTTGAGACAGAGTTTCACCCTTGTTGCCCAGACTGGAGTGCAGTGGCGCCATCTCGGCTCACTGCAAACTCTGCCTCCCAGGTTCAAGCGATTTCCTGCCTCAGCCTCCCTAGTAGCTGGCATTACAGGTGCCTGCCACCACGCCCAGCTAATTTTTGTATTTTTAGTAGAGACGGGGTTTCACCATATTGGCCAGGCTGGTCTCGAACTCCTGACCTCAGGTGATCCGCCCACCTCGGCCTCCCAAAGTGCTGGGATTACAGGCGTTAGCCACCGCACCCAGCTGCAAAGCCTTTCTTTTTTCCTGGCTTCTTACCTGTTGACCTTATGGAGAGAGAGGGGCAGGAATACATTGTAAAAATCAAAACAGACCACCCTGTTTTATCCAGTAGGGAGAAAGAGAAAGACCTGCTGACTTACCGAAGTGTTTGGATTGCCCAGGTAGCTTGATAACCCCAGAGAGGAGGAAACGAGACGTACCTGGGCTTTGAGTTCCTAGATTTCTTTTTTGAGGGCAACATTCTTAATCCTTCAAACCCATCTTTGTGGCTGTGTGTCCTCAGGGTCAGTAGCAGCCTTAGGCCTGGGCACATGTGGCCCCTGTTCAGACTCTACACCTGAGGGGTACCTTCCTCCAAATTTTCCAGGTCCTCCTCCAGTGCCTGGGGCTGGCTGGGGCTCCCAGTACCATTCTGGCCACGGGTGTTGCAAACCCACCCTGGGATCCTTTGGGGTACTCTCCATCCCTCTACGTTGCACAGGGACAACAGCTGTTCTGTGGAGTCGTCCTGGGGCCCAGTTCCGGGAGATGGCTGCAGTATTTCTTTCTTTCTTTCTTTTTTTTTTTTTTTTGAGACAGAGTTTCTCTCTTGTTGCCTAGGCTGAAGTGCAGTGGCGTGACCTTGACTCACTGCAACCTCCGCCTCCCAGGTTCAAGAGATTCTCCTGCCTCAGCCTCCTGAGTATCTGGGATTACAGGCACGCCCGGCTAATTTTTGTATTTTTTTAGTAGAGATGTTGGTCAGGCTGGTCTCAAACTCCTGACCTTGTGTTCCGCCCACCTCAGCCTCCCAAAGTGCTGGGATTACAAGCGTGAGCCACTGCGCCCAGCCTGCAGTATTTCTTTAGTGGGAATCATGTGAGATTGGGCTGCCAGAATGGTGCTGATGCACTAATTTTGAGTGACTCAAGTTTTTATATAGACGAGTCCCCATAATGTATTTGTCTGGGGCCCCATGCATCCTAGATCTGCCCAGGGGCCACCCATTGGGCCCTCTAGCTCTGCTTAGCAGCTCTGCGCCTGAACCAGAAAAGAGCATAAGGGCCTATTGTGTGTCCCCAGGGCCTGAATGGTACTTTGTTTTCTGCCTTTGGCGCCACAGGCCAAGCGGCTTTACTACTGCTGCTGCCGTTCTAACAGTCTCGTCTCCAATGAGAAATTCATTCCCACCCGGGTTTCACGTTGTTTTACTGAATATCCTGTGAGGAATGGGCTTTGAGCCAGCTTGGGGTCTCGTGTGGGTTGCTGGGTGGGGGCTTATCACTGCGGTAATGAGAGAAGGAGCCTTCCCTACCCAGTGACCTCAGCTGTGGCAGGAGGAAGCCCTTCGTTAACATTGAACTAGGGGGCTAAATGGCAGGAAGGGAATGTGGTGGGAATTGTTGGGAGACCCCTCCCCACCCCAGGGTGAACTGAGGCTGGGGGCAGCTGGGCAGAGGCAGGAGCTGATAGTATTTGCCGTCCTCTTCCCTTGCTGCTTCTTGCCCTCCTTCCCCAACCATCCCCATTCCCTCTTGGCCCACTCTAGTGGGGAAGCAGGAAAAGGATCCTGTGAATCAAAGCTGCCTATTTTGTGTTGAGGTCAAAGGAATGGAAAGGGTGGAGAGGAAACCAGCGGAGAGCAGGTTGTTAGATTTGGAAGTGCCCACAGGAAGCGGCTGCTCAGCTGAACTCCACCCTTTACGGCTGTCAGTCACACAGCGCTGAGGTCAGCCATCCCACCTACTCAGTGCAGGAATCACGCCGCTCACCTCGCTGCCTCTTCTTGTGTCCCAAGGTGAAGAAGCTTGTTTGTTTTATTCCAAAACTGGCATTACTTTCTCCCAGGCCAGCAAGGAGTGTCTTCCTAGACTGGTGGTTCTCAAACTAGGGTCCCCAGGCCCTTACACCTCCTCAAGTCTGTTCCAGGGGGGTCTGTGAGTCAAAAGGATTTCCATAACAATACCAAGAGGTTCTTTGACTTTTCCAGTGTGTTGACATTTGCACCCATGGTGCAAAGGCAGTGGTGGGCAAAACTGTTGGGACATCTAGGATTGCGATGGGGATTGTAGGTCAGTGTGGCGAGTATTCCCATCTTAGCAACAGGAAGTCTCTGACCCATGAACATGTGGTATCTTTCCTTTCCTTTAGATTTTTAATTTCTTTTGAGGGTCTTTTATAGTTTTCAGTGTATAAGGTTTGCTTTTCTTTTCTTTTCTTTCTTTTTTCTTGTCTTGCTCTGTTGCCCAGGCTGGAGTGCAATGGCGCGATTTTGGCTCACCACAACCTCTGCCTCCTGGGTTCGAGGGATTCTCCTGCCTCAGCCTTCCGAGTAGCTGGAATTTACAGGCATGTGCCACCACACCCGGCTAATTTTTGTATTTTTAGTAGAGATGGGGGTTTCACTATATTGGTCAGGCTGGTCTCGAACTCCTGACCTTATGATCTGCCTGCCTCGGCCTCCCAAAGTGCTGGGATTACAGGTGTGAGCCGCCATGCCCAGCCTAAGGTTTGGATTTCTTTTGCTAAATTTGTTCCTGAGTTTGTATTCTTTTCAATGCTTGTCTTTCTATTAATTTAACTTTATATTGTTTAATCTCTTCCTCTTTACGCCTTCCTTCTTAACTAGACTAAAGACAGGGATGTGTCTTATTTATTATTACTTTTTTAAAGAGGCAAGCTCTGGCTGTGTTGCCCAGGCTGTAGTGCAGTGGCTATTTACAAGTGTGATCATAGCTCACTGCAGCCTCGAACTCCTGCCTCAGTATCCAGAGTAGCTGGGACTACAGGCATCTGCCATTGCACCTGGGTTATGGTGTTTTTTTTTTTTTTTTGTCCAGGCTGCTCCTGTAAAGAAGGCTGGTAATTATTATCCCTGGTCTAGTGGGGGAAGAAACTGAAGCCCAGGATGGCGGGGTGACTTGCCTCTTGGCACAGCACTGGTAACAGTAGCAGAGATAGGGCCATGACTGTCTGATTCACATCTCGCAGCTCCTTCCAGTTGCCATCCTACAAGGGACTGACATTCTGTTCTTAGCCTCCCTGAGCTTGTGTCTAGGTCTCTACCTCTCTTGTATTGAGGCCCTAGGGCATGATGGAAGAGAGAAGGACTAAGGCTATTATTACAAGGGCTGACCATTGGGGTCATTTTTTTGGACATCTCTACCGTGCTAGACTCTCGTAGGTATTTCAAAAATACGTTACCTCATTGGGTTCTCATAGCAACTCCACAAGATGGCTCAGATCATTCTGCATTTTATAGATCAGGAAACTAAAGTTCAGAAGGTTACGTAAATTCCCAAGTTGAAGAGCGACTTAAGTGTTGGAGTTGCAATTAAACACAGTTCCCAGAGCTCAAACTGCAGTGCTGGGAGGGGACAACAGTGGGTTTATGTGACTTGTGTGGAGGAGGAAGGACACTGGGGCATTCTGGGACACTGTGAGACTGTCAGCACTAGCGTTGGGTTGGGTCAATCCAGAGCCTTTGCTCTCTGGCCTGGAGCTGGTATCACAAAGTGGTTGGTTTGTTGCATCTTTCTAGGGGTCATGGACAGTAGAGGCCTGGAAACCTTAGCCCCTGTGACCCCTGCCCTGCAGCCTTATTCTTTGACAATTAACTCTGGGGGTGGATGCTAATTTGCCACATGCAGATCTTGCTTCCACCGGCCGTATGGTGAGTTCTTAAAGTGTGGGGCCATCACGCTCTCTCTGCTTCCCTATAGCACCTAGTATCTTTTGTGTTACATAGTGGACAGTCCTCACAAGCTTTCCGAATAAATGAAAGAAACTCTACTTGCTTGTCTTGCTCCATAGAAGTCATACGACATCAATGTATGTGTGGCTAGATTTGGGGTGGCAGAGGAGAATGGGGGACCAAGGCCATTAGAAGGGTCCATCCAGCTGCCCTGATGGCACAAGGAGCTTTCTGCAGGATGGACCATGAGCCAAGACAAGGACGAGACAGATGTAAGCACTACCCAGAGCTGAGCACAGAGCGACTCGTTCTCCACCTGGAACCTCCAGCTGGAAGCCTGGTTCTGTTTGTCACCCAGGACTAACAGTGTTGTTGAGCATGTGAGCGACTCGTTCGCCAGGGCAGCAGCGCATAACCTTGCTACCGTTTAAGCCAGACACTTACTCCCCCCGCTTGTGTTTTTCTCAGATGAAGAAAACACCTATAAAGTCGTCATAATTGTTGGTTTCAGGGTATTTTACAATTGCATGGAAGGTTAATTGTTGAATTTTTCAACACCGGGCTTTCTGTGTAAATTGAAGACAGCATGGATCATGCTGTGTTGCTCTGCCGCAGTGAGTGGTCAGGCCCCTGCGTCCCCTTCTGCTCATACCCGGTGTTCCAGCCATACCAAACTGCATGGTTTGTGACCATACAATGGCCCGTGTCCTGGCCACACCACTCTCTTCCCTTTTCCCTTCCCGCCGGTCCTCTGTCACTCACCTTGTCTGTGAGTCTCAACTCCCATGGTTTCCTGATACCTGAGTCCCCTCCTCCCATCACTAGTTCAGCACTGGCATTTGCTTCCTTTGGCTCCCACCACACTTGGTTTCTCCTCTTTGTTTACGTGTCTAGTGCCTTCCCTGACGTGAGCTCCTGGAGGGCAGGGACTGTGTCTTCTTGTCCGCTCCGGCTCCCCAGTGCTGATGGAGACTCAGGCAGGCTGCGCTGGACCAAATAGGACACGTGGTGGTGATGACATTTTTGGTCCAATCCAGTAGCAGCCTGTGAAGTGCTCATTGCAGGCAGAGCTGAGTAAGCTGTGACCCCACTCTCAGGCAGCTTCTCTTCGGGGGGGAGCGGCAGGGACACCTGTTCCGAAGATCATGTCCTGCATGATCTCTGTGTGCTGAGGAATGAAGCATGAGTGGAGATGGCTGGGGTCCATGACGAGTATGACCTTGGGCAAGTCACTGTGAATGGCACTCCTGGGTGAGGCTTAGGCTGAGTGCAGGCTCCATGCAGATACTTCCTCCAGCTCTGGCCCCACACCAGCAGCACACCAGCCAGAAGGCAAATCTCAAGGCGAGTACGGGAGTTGGTGGCACCTCTCTGCCTCCAGCTGTGGAAGAGGCACCCGGTGCCTGTCTGGGTGCTAGGATAAGGACAAGAATTGTCACAACCAGCAGCTGTAGCACTGGACACGGGGAACAGGGACTTTCTGCCATTTCCCACTTTGGCATTCCAGCTGATCCTCTACTCTTTATTCCCAGATAGGGCCCCTGGTTTGAGTCTCATTCTGAGCTCACCTTCCGGGTAGCCCCCTTCCTTCATGGGCTGGAAGGGAAGCAGAAAGCTGCTTATTGTCATCTTGGGAAAAGATAGAGAAGAGGCGGAAACAGAGGTGCCAGTGCTGGTCAGGATCCTGGACCTGAAGGAATGTGCAGGATCCCTCCACCCTGACTTTTCAGTTAACGCGTGTTCTCGGGGACATCGGGGTGTTCAGACCTCTGCCTGGCTTGGATCAGGGCGCACTTACGTTCCCGTAGCAGGCTCAGCCTACCCGCTCTCTTCAGATGCCAGCTTCTGTCACACAGTGAGCGCGCCGAACCATGCAAGACCTCCGACCAATTAGCCTCGGGTTCGGGAGGCCAAGCAAAAGATCTAACAGTGAGCTATTGACTGTGCCTCCTCCAAGGAGCTGGTCAGAGCTCAGCCTGGTGTTTTGCTTCCTTGCGATGGTGGGGTGGTACCCAGTAGGTGGGAACTCTGTTCTGGCTTCTTACTGGGGTGCCCTTTAGGATAACACTTTGTTAAATGAACTGAGCTGGGTGGTTTCATAGTATGTTCAAGCATGTGAACATCTGCTTGCTGATAAATCGTACTGGGTCACCAGCTCACACTAATCACCAGGTAACATGTGCCCTGGTGAGGGATCCAGTCTTCTGGCCCTGTGGGGAGACAGGCCCATGATGTCACCAGTTCCCAGGTGGACAACCCAAGGCATAGTGAGGTCTCGGCAGGAAGGAGGAAGACATTAGACTCCTTCTTTTTTCTTCTCCCCATTGAATCTTCTGCTCCTTTCCTTAGGCCAGATGCCCTGTCTCTCTCCTGGCTGGCTTTCCCAGCCCTGGCCCTGGCCCTCCCTTCTTTGTGAAACTCGAACACCACTGCCCTTTCATCTTTCCACCAGAACTTGTGAGCAGTGGCTTTTGACCGCCGCTCTTCCAGCTCACCCCTGACCTAGTGTTTGTTTTTTTATCCTTCCCTCAGTCTACTCAAGGCCCACCCCTAAGCCAGAGATTGGCTCCCAAGCAGCCTCTCTCTCCTGGGAGCGGTAAAGGAGGGGACAGTTCTGGAAAGTCATTGACAGGGGATTAACCTAGAACATCAATTATAAACAGGCAGCAGGCCTCAGGCCCAGACTTGGGTGTTACAGGAACAGTGTGGCCTCTCTGGAACTCTGCAGACCAACTGCCGTGGTAAGAGAACCGACTTTCAGAGGCCTCTAGGCACTTTGTCCTGGGTAGGGGTGCCCACACATCCTGGCCATTGTTGCTCTTCCCTCTGGAACTTGGCAGCTTTCTAGCAGTTAGAAGAGCAGAGGGTAGAAGGATGGGAACAGTCCTTAGAGAACAGGAATCTAGGGGAGGGTTGGACTAGATCATTTCTCAAGAGCTGTGGGGACTGTTCTGGTCAGGCATGGGCAAGCTGAGGGGCAGGAGGTAGGCAAACCCTACTTGACCTGAGAACAGATTTGTTGTTGTTTTGTTTTTGTTTTTGAGTCTCGCTTTGTCATCCAGGCTGGAGTGCGGTGGTATGATCTCGGCTCACTGCAACCCCTGCCTCCCGGGTTCAAGCGATTCTTCTGCCTCAGCCTCCCGAGTAGCTGGGATTACACGTGTGTGCCACCACACCCGGCTAATTTTGTATTTTTCGTAGAGACGGGGTTTCACCATGCTGGCCAGGATGGTCTTGAACTCCTGACCTCAGGTGATCTGCCCGCCTCGGCCTCCCAAAGTGCTGGGATTACAGGCGTGAACCACTGTTCCTGGCCGAGAACAGGTTTTGCCTGAGACCTTGGACAGAAGACCTTGGCCATGGATCCAAGAGCTCTGGGCCAGAACACCCTTGCATGATGGTGACAGTTGAGGGAAAGGCCACATGGTTCCTTGTGTAAATGGCATGGCTGCCAGTGGTCATGGGGAGGCCCTGCTCATAGTTCAGCACCAGCCGGCCCTTCGTGTGCTGTGCTCCAGCTCCCCAGCCGGCTCAGTCCTTCACAAAATGCCCTGGAGTTACAGAACAGAAAGGCCCGGCTTTCCTTTAGGAATCTGGGAAATAGGAGGGCTGAGGTCATGCTCTGTTCAACATGTGAGACCTCCCAGACAGCAGTGCAGGAAAAACATGTTACTACCCGTATTTTGGGAGACCAGACCTCTGGCGTTTGAGTAGGACTCACTGCTCAGATCTAAGGGGAGAGAACATCTCCCATTTTGAAGAAAACCTTTTCCTCAGTTTAGGAGGAGGAGAAACTGATCAGGTTCCAAATGGCCTCTTGTTCTTTAACTGCAAACGGGCCAGGCTCCCTGCCAGGTCATGGGATAACAATCCAAGGAGAGGGGAGAAATGCAGTGTGCATGTGTGTGTACATGGGCATGCTCGTAGGGGGAAAGACTGGGGGGATGGAGGTGACGTGGACATCTGTGTATGCTTCAGCTCTATTTCCCTCTGCTTAGTCCCAAACTGCTCGGGATTAGCAATTGTTAAGAACATGCCTTTCTCCCCACCCCGGGAGTTCTAGGCCAGGGGTGGAGGGATTGAGCACCGTGGCTTTGTTCTCTGTCAGGTGGTGCCTTTCTCTGTGACACCGAGGGAGACCTGCCATCAGGAGGGAGTCTGAGGCCAGGAGACAGTACTTACCGATCAGGATGGATCTTTGGTCTTGTTTGTGTGCTTGGTTTCCTGGCTGGAATGAAATGTCAGTTTCATGAGGACAGGGACCTGTTCTCTCCTGCACAACTTTCTCTCTGATGACCGACAGTGCCTGGCATGTTGTAAAGGCTCGTTCAGAAGTGACTGAATGAATGAATGCATACTTTTTAGGCGGGGCTGCATATCGTTCCCTTAAACCTCCTGATTCATCTTCCGTTGCTTCCGTGTCAGCTTCTCACTGGGTCATTGTCTGCTTTGGTGCTGCCCTTCCCCACAACTTTGAGAGTTCATGTTACTGCAGGCTCCCCGCCCGCCCACCTCTGCCTGAAACTTCTCTTTTGGGCTCCTGTGCTGTGACATACTAGCAGTATTTGTTTGCCCCTCTTAAGACCATCCCTTCAGTTTCATTCCTGCCTCAGTTTCTCCTCCTCACATTTCTGCTGTTCCACCTCTGCTCCTGTGCTCTTCTCAGGAAAGCAGGTGAGTGGTGATGCCCTGGGCTAAGCTCGCCAGGGCCTGGGCAGCCCAGGCACCCGTGGTTCGGGTGGGGAGGGAGCATGCTGGTGGCCGGAGCTGGGCTTGTGGGCAGCAGCCCTCCCCACCTTGCTGAGGCCAAGCTCTTTCTCATGGCTTTGGCTGTCACTTCTATGCTGATCACCCCCAAATCATTGTGTCTATATTTCTCTATTGGTGCTTCTGACCTTCCAAAATCTGATCCCACCCTGGCAGTCAGACCTTATTTGATGTCAAGGATTATTAATTTGTAGCATGTATTACATCCCTAATATGGACCAGTTCACATGCATTCTCATATTTCATCCTCCCAATGAACATACAAAGTCAAATAATTATTCTTATTTTACAGAGTCTCAGACAACTTAGTTCCTCTAGGTAACCAGATTAATTAGCATTAGGGGGTTGTGATCAGGATTTGAACTGGCTCCACTGGCCCCTGACCCTGAACAGAGTCAGCTTGGAGTCCGCCCTTGGAGACGAGGACAGCCGGTCCTGTTTCTCCCTCTCACCCCAGTGCACTCACACAGCAGGCGTTGGCACCCTTGCTAAGGGCCAGGCCAAGCGTCTCCTCTGTGAGCCTTCACTTAGCTCTCCTAAGCTGCTCGGCCTGCCTCCTCTCCCTTTTCTCTAACAGCAGTGCCTTTGCACACACTATGTGTTTGTTATATGTTGGCTGTGCCAGTCTTGCCTCGTCAGCAGATAGTGATTTTCTTAAAGGCAGAGGCCATGTTTTATATGATCCTCCATCCCTCAAGTGTGTGTTACAGGCAGTTTGTTGCTCAGTAAACACTTGATACCTCTGATGAGGTGAAATCTAATCACAGTCCTTTGCATATGTATTGTGGTTTACAGTTTCTGAAACCGAAGAGCCAATTTGAAGTTTCCTGTAAAACAGATCCCTTAATTGTCAGCGCTCTGTGCTGAGAGGGATAAATCTGTTTTGTAGACGGACTAACAGGTCCAGAGGTAGAGTGAATTCCCCAAGGTCATATGATGGATGATAGCAAAGCCAGAACTTGAACCCAAGGTTTAACTCTTAATGCCGTTCCTCTTAATGCCGTTCCCTTCCCACAGAATCACAGCAGCCTGTGGTCCAGACTTGGCCAGGTGACCCCTGCCAGGCCTTCCATCCCACTTAGTCATACAGTTCCTTATTTGTATTTGTCCTTTCTCTTTCATTAGAACTCGTGTCTTTTTGTGTGTGTGTGTGTTTTGAGACAGGGTCTCGCTCTGTCACCCATGCTGGAGTGTGGTGGCACAATCACAGCTCACTGCAGCCTTGACCTCCCAGGCTCAGGTGATTCTCCCACCTCAGCCTCCTGAGTAGCTGGGACTACAGGCGCATGCCACCATGCAAGGCTAATTTTTGTATTTTTTTAGAGGCAGAGTTTCACCGTATTGCCCAGGCTGGTGTCAAACTCCTGGGCTCAAGTGATCTGCTTGCTTTGGCCTCCCAAAGTGCTGAGATTACAGACATGAGCCACCGCGCCCAGCCTTAGAATGCTTGTCTCTTGAGGGCAGGGACCCTGGCTGCTTTTCCCATTATCCTTCCAAAGCTCCAGCTCTGGGGCCATGAACCAGAAATCATTCCTTCAAGGATGTTGACACAGTGAGTCACCTGAGAAGGGGCAGGGTGCAGGAGGGGTGGGGCAGGAGATCAGGAACTGGTGTGGGACATTAGGGGTGGGAGATAGGCCAGAAAGCCCCATGCTCTGTGTAAAAGCTTCTGTCAAATGAAGATGTGCTTGTCCTACCTACCAGGCGAGGTTACTCTTAGTAGCAAGTGAGAGTGTCTGCTAAAGCGCCTTCTAAACTGCAGAGCACTAGCAATATTGTTGTTAAATATAATTATAGTCTGTAGCTGGGCATGGTGCTGGGTGTCTGTAATCCCAGCTACCCGGGAGGCTGAGGCAGGAGTATTGCTTGGGCCTAGGAGGCGGAGGTTGCAGTGAGCTGAGATCGTGCCGTTGTACTCCAGCCTGGGTGACGAAGTGAGACTCTGTCTCTAAATAAAAAAAAAAAAAATGTATATATGTGTGTGGGTGTGTGTGGGTGTGTGTATATATATATATATATATTTTTTTTTTTTTTTTTTTTTTCCTGAGATGGAGTCTCTCACTCTGTTGCCCAGGCTGGAGTGCAATGGCACCATCTTGGCTCACTGCAACCTCCGCCTCCCAGGTTGAAGTGATTCTCCTGCCTCAGCCTCCCCAGTAGCTGGGATTACAGGTGCCTGCCACCACGCCTGGCTAATTTTTTTTTTTTTGTATTTTTAGTAGAGACAGGGTTTCGCCAAGTTGGCCAGGCTGGTTTTGAACTCCTGACCTCAGGTGATCCACCTGCCTCGGCTTCCCAAAGTGCAAGGATTACAGGCGTGAGCCACCACGCCCAGCCAAAAAATATATTTTTTAAAATAATAATAATTATAGTCCGTAGGGATGAGCTCAACAACATGGTTGGATAGAATCATACTGGCCTTGTGAGTATTGAGGAGACAATCAGGATGGTGCCTCACCCAAGGCCTGGCACTCCAGCTATTATGAATTATTCTTGTTTTCATAATTATTATAAGACATGCCCTCTTCCTTCAGATTGGGGAAAGGAGTTGGCAGTGCTGAGAATGCATCGCTTCTGGATTGGGACTAAGAAGATGGGAAAGGCAGTCTGGCCCTAGGGCTTTCGTAGATCCACTCACCACCGCAGGTCCCCGACTCTGAATACCTCCTTCCTCCCAGTGGGGGTTTTCAGCAAGCTAATTTCTCACCCCTGAGGAGGAACTGTTATATTCGGATGAACACCCCCCTGCTAATGTGGAGCAGAAAAGTAAGGCCTGGCGAGTCAGCAGCTGCTCAGCAGGTGGATGGGCTGCGGTGGTGTAGCGGGTAGGCGCCTGACAGCCCGGCTTGCCGCAGCCGCTGTGCTTCCCTCCCATCCCTGGGGTGTGCATTTTAGGGTAAAGGCAAACTGGAAGCTCTTGCTATTTGCAGAACTCCAAAACAACAAAACAAAATGTCCACTCAGCTGGGGGTTGGCTGGGCAGCACCACTGTGATTACACAGTTAGCCTGGGGGAAGGGCTGTGGTCAGAGTTTGGGGGACACACAGGTGTGACTGTGATGTGATACAGCTGGAGGAGGAAGAGGAGGGTGTGATCACAGGCCCGGGAGTGGCCAGGGCAAGAGTGATGGTGGAGGAGAGTGGCTGAGGTTGGCAGGCAGGGAGGAGAGATTGGTAACTACTAATCACTAGCATGATCAGTCTTGACAATCTATCTACAAGGGACTCCCAGGTGGCAGGGCAGGACCTGAGGCACAGCTCGGCATGACGGGCAGACAGGGGTCTACGTGGCTTTGAGCTCTGAGACCATAGGCAAGCTGTTCATCTGGGTGTCTTTCCATGCTTACAATAATATTCCCCTTACAAGCCCTCTGATGATTGAGATCATAGAAATCACTCAGTGCAGTGGCTGGCACTCAGTAGCAGCTCACACAAATGATCAGCAATTCCGACACTTGCTATGTGGCCATCACAGTAAAATCAGCAATAGTGGATGCCCAGAGCTGCATCTCCGGGAAGCCTCTGAGCCAGTCAGTGTTTGTGCTCAAACTCCAAAGCATAGGATGAAAGGTCAGATCATGGGGCTATGAAGATATGTTCTCCTAGGAGTCACGAATAGGGAGAGAAAACAGCAGCAAACACAGTCAAGGCCATGTCCTGCCTGGGTTGCTGTTTACTTTCCTCTTCCAGGAACTGAAGCTGTTTCCCATTGGATTTCTTTACTATCGCCTTGGCTCATGGACTGGGTACTTTGGTAATCAGTTCGCCCAGAGAACCAGGCTTTCACATTGACCTAGGTTCCACAGTGACTTCCTCCACGGGATGTCGGGGTGTGTCATCTAGCAGAATAGCAGTCAAGACTACCCAGGAATGGTTGAGGGTTGCACACTATTTTTAATAAATTGAATTAAATAGCCAAGAAAAGTCAGACACCCAACAAGGGAAGTTGAGGCACCAAGCGACAGTGGAAAGTCATTACTACCACTAGGCTTGAAGGGGTCAGGAGAAGAAATAGCATTTCCTGGCTGGGCGTGGTGGCTCACGCCTGTAATCCTAGCACTTTGGGAGGCTGAGGCGGGCGGATCACCTGAAGTCAAGAGTTCAAGACCAGCCTGGCCAACATGGCAAAACCCCATCTCTACTAAAAATACAAAAAAATTAGCCAGGCATGGTGGCAGGTGCCTGTAATCCCAGCTACTCCAGAGGCTGAAGCAGAAGAATTGGTTAAACCCAGGGAGGTGGAGGTTGCAGTGAGCCAAGATCGCGCCATTGTACTGCAGCCTGGGTGACAGAGCGGGACTCTGTCTCCAAAAAAAAATAAATAAATAGCCTTTCCTGCAAACACCAGTGAGGGCTGAATAGTGGACACTGGGATGCCAGCAGGAACTGTCATAGCGACAAGACACAGCCTGGGTCAGGATGGTGGCATCAAAGCTGGTAGAGAGTGAGGAAGGCACACCCCACGTTCTCTCTCCACCGCCTCCTACCTACCCTTGTCTCCCGCCTGTGCCTCTGTCTCATCGGCTGGACCTACAGGAAACCAGCCAGGAAGGGAGCCCAGGTGCCTCCACCCAGAGGGCTCAGCCCCGCTGGGTCCAGAGAAGGGCATACAGGGAGGCCGCCAACCAGGTAGCCTTTCCCCAAAAGGCAAAGCTGTGGAGGAGGCATCCACTCAGCAGGTGTGGAAAGCAGGGGGGATGAGAGCTCTGGCATCCTAGGGTCTGAGCGGCTGCTGCTGCTACTTTTTGGGAAGGGGCTGCCAAATCAAAACTAGTTACTAGTTCAAAATTTGATCATAAAGGGCAATTAGGAAAGATAAGGAAATAAAGAACATCCAGATTGGAAAGGAAGAGGTAAAAGTATTTTTATTTTCAGTTGACATGATCTTGTATAGAAAAACCTAGGGAACTCATTAAAAATCTATTTGAATTAAATGAGTTCAGCAAGGTTGCAGGACATAAGATCAGTATGCCAAAATCAATTGTATTTCAGTAGCAGTGGGCAAATTGAAAATGAAGAAAACAATTCCATTTAAGATAGCATCAAAATAAAATATTTGGGAATAAATTTAATAAAAGTGCAAGACTTATACTCTGAAAACTATGAAACATTGTTGAAAACAATTAAAGAAGACCCAAATAAATGGAAAGATACCCCATGATCATGGATCAGAGACTTAATATTGTTAAGATGGCAATACTTCCTGAATTGATCTGCAATCCCTATCACAATCCAAGATGCCTTCATTAGCGGAAATTGACAAGATGATCCTAAAATTCACAGAGAAATGTAAGGGAACCAGAACAACCAAAAGAATCTTAAGAAAGAAGAACAGGCTGGGTGCAGTGGCTCGCACCTGTAATCCCAGCACTTTGGGAGGCCAAGGCGGGCGGATCATGAGGTCAGGAGATCAAGACCATCCTGGCTAACATCTCTACTAAAAATACAAAAAAATTAGTCGGGCGTGGTGGTGGGCGCCTGTAGTCCCAGCTAGTTGGGAGGCTGGAGAATGACGTGAACCCGGGAGTCAGAGCTTGCAGTGAGCCGAGATCGTGCCACTGCACTCCAGCCTGGGCAACAGAGCAAGACTCCGTCTCAAAAAAAAAAAAAAAAAAAACAACGTTGGAGGACTCACACTTCCTGATTTCAGAATTTAACTGCAGTGTGGTACTGGTGTAAGGATAGACATATAGATATATAGATCAATGGAATAGAACTGAGAGCCCAGAATAAACCCTCACATTAACAGTTAATTGATTTTCAGTAAGAGCGCCAAGACAATTTAATGGGGGAAAGAATAGTCTTTTCAACAAGTGGCGCTAAAACAACTGTATATCTGCATGCACAGGAATGAACTGGACCCCACCTCATACCATATACAAAAATTAATTCAAAATGGACCAAAGACCTAAATGTAAGAAGAGCTATAAGGAGAAAAATAAGTGTAATTCTTTGTGACCTTAGGTTAGGCAATGATTTTTTAGATACGACGCCAAAGCACAAGCAATAAAAGAAAATGAACTGTACGTCATCAGAATCAACCTTTGTACATCAAAGAACACTATCAAGAAAGGGAAAAGACAACCCACAAAGTGGGAGAACATTTTGGAAATCATCTATGTAACAAGGAACTTGTATCTAGACTACCTCAAGAACTCTTGGCTGGGTACGGTGGCTCACATGGGAGGATGGCTTGAGGTTGGGAGTTCAAGACCAGCCTGGGCAATGTCATAAGACCCTGTCTCTGCAAAAAGTAAAAAGGAAAAAAAAACTAGCTACTTGGGAGGCTGAAGCAGGAGGATGGCTTCAGGAGCCCAGGAGTTTGAGGCTGCAGTGAACTATGGTCGTGCCACTGCCCTCCAGCCTGGGCGACAGAGTGAGACTCTGTCAAGTAAAATCAATAATATTATGGGACCACCATCGTATATGCATTTCATCATTGACTGCAACATCGTGTGGCACATACCTGTAGTCATATGATGGGATATTATTTAGCCATACAAAGAAGTGAAGTACTGGCACACACCACAACACGGATGAACCTTGAGAGCAATATGCTAAGTGAAAGAAGCCAGACCCAAAACCCACATAATTTATGATTCTGTTGATATGAAATGTCCAGAATTGGCTGGGCACGGTGGCTCACCCCTGTAATCCCAGCACTTTGGGAGGCCAAGGCAGGTGGATCACTTGAGGTCGGGAGTTCAAGACCAGCCTGACCAATATGGAGAAACCCCGTCTCTACTAAAAATACAAAATTAGCCGGGCATGGTGGCGCATGCCTGTAATCCCAGCTACTCAGGAGGCTGAGGCAGGAGAATCGCTTGAACCCGGGAGGCAGAGGTTGTGGTGAGCCAAGATCGTTGCCATAGCACTCCAGCCCGGGCAACAAGAGCGAAACTCCATCTTAAAAAAGAAAAGAAAAGAAATGTCCAGAATAGGCAAATCCATAGAGACTGAGAGTAGATGAGTGGTTGCCAAGGGCTGAGGGAGCTAAGGGGGTTGGAGCATGACAGCTAGGGGATAGGAAATGTTCTAAAAGCGGATTATGGCGGTAGATGCACATATCTGTGAATATATTTAAAAAGCCATTGAATTGCACTTTATTTGTTTCTTGAGACAGAGTCTTGCTCTGTCGCCCAGGCTGGAATGCAGTGGCGCAATCTCGGCTTACTGCGACCTCCACCTCCTGGGTTCAAGCGATTCTCCTGTCTCAGCCTCCTAAGTATCTGGGATTACAGGTGCCTGCCACCACGCCCAGCGAATTTTTGTATTTTTAGTAGAGATGGGGTTTTGCCATGTTGGCCAGGCTGGTCTTAAACTCCTGACTTCAAGTGATCTGCCCACCTCAGCCTTCCAAAGTGCTGGGATTATAGGTGTGAGCCACTACACCCGGCCATTGAATTGCACTTTATGTGTCTCATCTATATGGTATGTGAATTGTATCTCAGTAAAGCTGTTAAAAAACAAAACCCTGGCCCTGAAGGGCAGCGCAGTCGGCTAAAAGACTGTGATTTAATGAGGAAACTTTCCCACCGGGCTGTGACCGCTGGCCCTGGCTCCCTTTGGCCGGGTGGAGGTGCTGTCTGCCACTGAGGGCCCTCAGCTGCTTTTTCAGGATCTCAGAACATGGGAGGACCCCAGCTCCAGAAGAAAATCTTAATTCCAGTTTAATCTTAATTCCAATTTAATTTGGTTGAGTTAAACATTTTTGGAACTGTACTGTGAGCTAGGCACCAGGCTAGCTGCTCTCATGAAAAAACAGGGGCCCTGGAGCTGGGCAGCCTTAATTATTCTTGAGTTTGCTACTTCCTGTGGGTCCTTCCCAGCCTCAATTTTCTTTTCAGTAAAATGAGGGTTGATAATACCCCATGAGATTGTGGTGACAATTCAGTGGGCTAAAAGGAAGATGCCTGGAATATTGTAGGCAGAAAATGAAAGTTTCTTTCCAGTGCTCCTGGAGCAAGTTATCTCTACCAAGTGGACATAACAAAGATGAGTTAGTTATGTCTGCCCCCGTAGAGCTCAAGGCTGGATACATGACCTGTACTCGCTAACCAGGGCCTGGGGAGAAGCAGGCCAGGAGGAGGGTCCCTGTCTTACTCTGGTCCTGGGTTGGGAACCGGGGAAGGCTTCCTCAGGGAGGGGGCAATGAAGTGAGGCTTTGAAGGAGGATAGCTTTTCGCATGTTGTATTTTATTCGCTTTTTGTTTATTTATTTTTTGTAGGCAGGTCTCTCTCTGTCGCCCAGGCTGGAGTGCAGTGGCATAATCTCTGCTTACTGCAACCTCTGCCTCCCGGGTTTAAGCAATTCTCCTGCTTCAGCCTCCCGAGTAACTGGGACTACAGGTGTGTGCCACCACATCCAGATAATTTATTATATTTTTAGTAGAAACGGGGTTTTGCCATGTTGGCCAGACTGGTGACGAACTCTTGGCCTCAGGTAATCTGCCTGCTTCGGCCTCCCAAAGTGCTGGGATTATAGGTGTGAGCCACTGCACCCCGACTTAGTCACTTTTTGAATAGATAATCAAGTACATGGTGCCAATTCAAAAGGGTCAAGGCTGGGCGCGGTGGCTCATGCCTGTAATTCCAGCACTTTGGGACGCCTAGGCAGGTGGATCACCTGAGGTCAGGAGCTCGAGACCAGCCTGGCCAACATGGTGAAACCCCATCTCTACTAAAAATACAAAAAAATCAGCCAGGCATGGTGGTGCGCGCCTGTAATCCCAGCTACTCTGGAGGCTGAGGCATGAGAATCTCTTGAATCCCGGGGGCAGAGGTTGCAGTGAGCCGAGATTGCACCACTGCACTCCAGCCTGGGCGACAAGAGTGAGACTCCATCTCAAAAAACAAACAAACAAACAAACAAAAAACAAAAGGATCAGCAGTGAAAGAGAAACCTTTCCCAGAGGCAGCCACTGTTACCAGCTCCTGAAGTGTCATTCTAGAAATACTCTATGTTTATGAGTGTATGTGCGTATATATAGGCGGACGCTTCTCATCTAGGCAGATTTTCACAGCATCCACATTGTGGTCCGTGGGGATCAGGGGCCTCCTGCTAAGGTGTGGGTTAGGCTTCAGGTGTTATGTTCTTGCTGCTTTCGTGTCTTGCGGTCAGGTTCGGCATAGGCCCTCTCATCAGTAAGAGTGAGGCTTCATTTTCCTTTAGTTCCCCTTGAAGGGAGCCAGCGGCGCTGTCCATCCTCCTTGCCCCTCTGCTCCCTTGGCGTGCCCTCTCCCAGGGATTTCCTCTGTCTTTCTCCTTTGTTCCCCGCTCCTCTTTCTCGTTTGCTTGCTCCCTTGTTTGGGTGCAGCATATTGACAGCAGCTTCCTAACAAAGACCTTTGCCTTTTCTTGTTATTTTACTTTCATACATGGTTGATAGTTTAGCTGGATAGAGAATTTCAGGTTGGGGCCAGGAGCCATGGCTCATGCCTGTAATCCCAGCACTTTGGGAGGCCGAGGCAGGTGGATCACTTGAGGCCAGGAGTTCAAGACCATCTTGGCCAACATGGTGAAACCCCATCCCTACTGAAAATACAAAAATTAGCTAGGCATGGTGGCACATGTCTGTAATCCCAGCTACTCGAGAGGCTGAGGCAGAGGATTGCTTGAACCCAAGAGGTGGAGGTTGCAGTGAGCTGAGATTGTGCCACTGCACTCCAGACTGGATGACAGAGCCAGACTGTCTCCGGAAAGAAAAAAAAAAGAGAATTTCAGGTTGGAAACAATTTTTCCTTGACAAGTTTGAAGGATTGCTTTGCACTTTTCTAACTTCTGAAACTGCTAAGAAGTCCAAAACCTTTCTGATTTCTGATACTTTTGTCTTTTTTTTCTTTTTACCCTCCTTTGGGAAAGCTTACAGGATCTGAAATTGGACACAGTGCCTTGGTGTAGGCCTGTGTTCATCTGTTTCGTGAGGCTCTCAGCAAGTCCTTCCAGTGTGGAAACTCATGTCCTATCCTGGGAGTTTCTTGAAACATTCCTTTTCTTGCCCTCTGTTTTTTACTGTTCTGTCTTTCTGAAACTCCTATTATTTAGTTTTTGGATCTCTTGGACTGACCCTCTAATTTTTTTCCCTTTTTCACCTATTTTCCATCTCTTTGTCTCTTTTCTTCAGTTTCTAGAAGATTTCCTTTTATCTTTCAACCTTTCTATTGCTTTGTCTTATTGTATTTTTTAATTTCCAAGAGCTTTTTTGCTCCCCAAATGGTTCTTTAAAAATGTGTGTAGCATCCTATGTTTTCACTGATGTAATCGTTTCTTATTTCTGTGAGAATGTGAATGCCATGTTTGTCTCTAAGTTTTCTTCTCCCTGCATAGTTGGTTTCCTCCAAATTGCTTTCTCTGCTCTTTCCTTTGGTCTCCATCCTCTTTGAATGAATCTGCCCAGGGACCTTTGGTTGCCCACTCATAATTATTAGGAGGGTCTAAAATGCTGCCTGGGAGCTGGAGCAGGTGGGGGTCCAGTTCTGAGTTTACCAGTACATGATCTGGGCAGGCTGTTTGTTGGGGAACCTCAGTGTCAACACCTGGGAGCTCAGTTGGGGAAGGGGGTAGCATGCAAAGAGTCACGTAACCTGCCACCCCCATTTTTGGCAAGGTCCCCAGGCCCTCAACTGTGCCTCGAATTTCCCAGTCCAGAGACCCCACACTTTTCCCTCCCCAGAAAGTAAACCTCTGTTCTTCCAGGGCTGGAGAGGGGAGGTCTCTGGCATGAGATGGGGGAGGTAGGGGTCTAACTGCTATTTTTTTTTTTTTTTTTCCTGAGACGGAGTTTTAACTCTTGTCACCCAGGCTGGAGTGCAATGGCACAATCTCGGCTCACTTCAGCTTCCGCCTCCTGGGTTCAAGTGATTCTCCTGCCTCAGCGTCCTGAGTAGCTGGGACTACAGGTGCATGCCACCACGCCCAACTGATTTTTGTATTTTTAGTAGATACGGGGTTTCACCATGTTGGCCAGGCTGGTCTCGAACTCCTGACCTCAGGTGATCCACCCGCCTTGGCCTCCCAAAGTGTTGGCATTACAGGTGCGAGCCACTGTGCCCAGCCCTGATTGCTTTTTGAAAGCTTTCAGCCTGCCCTCTTTATACACGGCAGCCCGTTCAGCCCATTGTGGAGGTGGGAGGCCTGGAGCTGCAGTTCCCTGGCCTTTGGAGGATTCCTGGTGGATGGTGGGAACCCGGGTGTTCTCAGCCTGCTCCAGACCCAGGCTGTGAGGTCAGCTGACGCGAGCTGCGCTCCAGCTTCTGCAGTCATGTTGCTGTTGTCTCCTCTCCTGTTCTGCCCTTGGGGGTTCATAGCTTTAAAAATATATATATATTTGCTGAAGTCTTAGTGGGATTTCATAAGGGAGGGAGAAAAATTAGATGCATACCTGAGACAGGAGCAGGACTTGCATGGGCAAAAGCTGGGACGGGAAGGGTGTTCTAATGGTAGAGGGAGTGCTCTGAGGGAGAGGGGCAGGTGCTAGGATTTCTGAGAACAAAGAGGAGGCAGCTGGGCTGCAGCTGGAGAATCCGGGAGGCTGGGGCATGGGGGGACAAGGCTGGACAGGCAGGGTGCACTAATTTTGGGGGAGGTCCCCAAGGAGACTTGAGTTTCCCACCTACAGACAGTGGGGAGTCAGAGAATTACCCCACTTTTCAGGAAGAGTGCCGTCATGCCTGTATTTGGGGATGCTAGCTATCCCTAGTACCTAATGTGGATTGGTAGCTAGAGCTGTGGTAATGAGTAGGAGGTTTTTACGATAGTTAAGTAGTAAGAAGAGGACATTTCAGGGTCCTCTTCTTAGAAATGAAAAGAGGGAAGGATGTGAGGGATTAAAGAGGTAAAACTGCCCAGACTTCTTGACCAGATGGTAGGTGAGGGAGGGGAAGAGCTAAAGAAGACCCTAAGCTTAACCCTTGGTGACCAGGGAGAGGGTGGTGAGGAAGGAAGGAGGAGGTGTCTGGTTGGGTTTGGTGTATGTGTGCAGTTTGGGAGGGGGAGTGAGGGGGTAGGGGGCGGGGGCTAAGTTCTGCTATAGAATAGGCATTTGCCATGTCCACCAAAAAGCGTGATTTTACACCCCCACGCTTCAACCTCCAAGTGCCTGTGTTGATGGAGAGAGAGAAAGAAGGTGTTGAGAGCAGGGGTAAAGAAATCAGTCCCTTAGAAGACAAAAGAATAATTTTCCAGTTGTTAAATGAGATTCTCAAAAGAATTTTTATGTTGATATCCTCAAAGATTAATTCATGTTGCAGAATGTCATTGGAACTACCTTAAGACATTGATAGAGTGCCTGTCTGCTGTCTTCCTTAGCTCATCCTCATGTTTTGATCAAATTAAGTACTTGGACACCAGGTCTGTAAAAAAGAAAAGAGCCTTCTTTATTTGGGTTCTGTAGGCAAAAGGGAGAGTGGAGAAGCGACTCTGTCTACGCTGCTCCCCTCACTCCCCGTCTCTGGGCCCTTCTGGGATTTGCATGCCACCCACTGCTCTGTCAGGAGTGGCTCTTAGGGAAGTGAGGAAAGGGCCTTGATTATAGTGTTTGCCAATTTCTGTGGCATAAATATGCCCACTGTGGCCCGTGTCAGGCTACCAACGTGATGTCATAGCACAGAGCTGGAGTCAGGCAAGCCCGTGGGAGTGAGTCGTGCCCTGGGGTCACAGTGGGGGTCCTCACTGACACGGTGCAGCTGGACAGCAGAATCTCATCTTTCAGGTCGTCTGACTTGTTCTAAGGGTCTGTCAGGGTTGAATCATGCTTGCCAAGTAGCATCTTAAAAGATATTTCCACTGCAGCAGCCCCAGCCCTTCAACCTGGGCTTCTGTGGCCTTCTAATTCTTCCTTCTCTGCCTCCCCTCCACCCACCCCCACATCATCAGCAGCAGATCCAACATGAATACCAAACACTCACAGTTAATACTAAAAGCCAACAATTTTTTTTTTTTTGAGATGGAGTCTTGCTCTGTCACCCAGGCTAGAATGCAGTGGCGCCATCTTGGCTCACTGCAACCTCCACGTCCTGGGTTCAAGCGATTCTCCTGCCTCAGCCTCCCGAGTAGCTGGGAAGCTGGGATTATAGGCGCCCGCCACCGTGCCTGGCTAATTTTTTTGTATTTTTAGTAGAGACGGGGTTTCACCATCTTGGCCAGGCTGGTCTTGAACTCCTGACCTCATGATCCACCCACCTTGGCCTCCCAAAGTGCTGGGACTACAGGCGTGAGCCACCGCGCCCGGCGACATTTTTCTTAAAGTTCAATCTCTCATCTCTGATGCAGCTCGCACTCATTATTGCCATCCTTGGAGCAGCTGTGGCAAACGAGTAGCTTGGATGTCAGTAGGAAGTCTTGTCTCTACAGGCTGACCTGCCTGGACTGTTGCTTTGCCCTTTTGGTTGTGCGTTCTGGAACGTGATGCCTGTGCTTGTCAGCCTTGATGAGTCACATTGAAAAAGCTCTTAGTCATCCCAGGCCCTGGCTGAGTCAGTGTATTGGGTGACACCTGTGGCCAAGCACTGGCTGTTTTACAACTGAGACTGTCCCAGAACTCTTAGGCACTCTGGTCTCAGGGGAAGTGTTCTTCATCTAGTTCAAGGCCAGTCTTTCACCCGAGCCTCGCAGCCTTGTTCCCGGACTCGCCCCACCTTTTATTCTCATCCTTCCTTCTTCAACTTGTCATTCCCTCTCAACTCCTTCCCCTTCCTCTTCCTATAACTTGCTAAACATCCTCCCAAGCGTCTGCCATGGGTATAACAGAGAATGGATTCATGCCTAGAATACATAAAGATTTATTACAGCTCAGTAAGAAAAAGACAACCAGCCCAGCAGAAAAGTGGGCAAATGATGTGAACAGGCAGTTCACAAAAGGAAAAACCTAAAAATATATCCACAATCATAAGAAAATAGCCAACTTCAGTAATAATCAGGGGACTGAAAATTAAAATGATACCATTTTATACTACAAGGTTGACAGAAATCAAAGTCTAACAATATAACAGTTGGTAAAGATGTGGGGAGATAGACATTCTGTTGTATTTCTAGTGGCTGTGTAAATTATTAGGATAACTACCTTGAGACTTATTTGGCAATATTGATATTAAAAACTTGCCTATTGGCTGGGTGCGGTGGCTCACGCCTGTAATCCCAGCACTTTGGGAGGCTGAGGTGGGTGGATCACCTGAGGTCAGGAGTTCACGACCAGCCTGACCAACGTGGTGAAACCCGTCTCTACTAAAAATACAAAATTAGTCGGGCATGGTGGTGCATTCCTGTAATCCCAGCTACTCGGGAGGCTGAGGCTGGAGAATCGCTCGAACCCGGGAGGCGGAGGTTGTGGTGAGCTGAGATCGCGCCATTGTACTCCAGCCTGGGCAACAAGAGCAAAACTCTGTCTCAAAAAAACAAAACAAAACAAAACAAACAAAAAACAAAAAAACTTGCCTATTAGGTGGGCACAGTGGCTCATGCCTGTAATCCCAGCACTTTGGGAGGCCAAGGTGGGCAGATCACCTGAGGTCAGGAGGTAAAGACCAGCCTGGCCAACATGGTGAAACCCTGTCTCTACTAAAAATACAAAAAAAATTAGTTGGGCATGTTGGCGCACATCTGTAATCCCAGCTACTCAGGAGGCTGAGCCAGGAGAATCACTTGAACCTGGGAGGCGGAAGTTGCAGTGAGCCGAGATCGCGCCACTGCACTCAAGCTTGGGCGACAGAGCGAGACTCTGAAAACAAAAACAAAAACAAAAAAAAACCCCATGCCTATTGTCTGACGCAGCAATTCCAATTCTAGGTATATGTCCTAGAGAAATTTTTGCACATTTTCTATATGGGGTCAAAGTTATTCATTTTTTAACACTTTTAATCGACTACTTTTATATAGACACAAAAATAGAGCAAATAGTATAATGAACTCTATGTACCTGTCGCCCAGCTTCAACAATGATCATTTTGTCAGCCTATACAACACAGTTCTTAATTGCTAAAAATTGGAAACAACCGCGGCGGGGGAGGTGGCTCATGCCTGTAATCCCAGCGCTTTGGGAGGCTGAGGTGGGTGGATCGCCTGAGGTTGGGAGTGGAGTTCGAGATCAGCCTGACCAACATGGAGAAAACCCATCTCTCCTAAAAATACAAAATTAGCCGGGCATGGTGGCACATGCCTGTAGTCCCAGCTACTCGGGAGGCTGAGGCAGGAGAATCGCTTGAACCTGGGAGGCAGAGGTTGCACTGAGCCAAGATCACGCCATTGCACTCCAGCCTGGGTGATAGAGTGAGACTCCATCTCAAAAAAAAAAAAAAAAAGATGAAACTGCCTTATTTATTTATTTATTTTTTGAGATGGAGTCTCGCTCTGTCACTCCAGCCCAGGCAACAAGAGTGAAACTCCATCTCAAAAAAAAAAAAAAAAATGGGAAACAATCTATTTGTCACTGCCTTAGTCTGGGCTGCTATAACACAATACCATAGGTTCATTAAACAGCAGAAATGCATTTCTCACAGTCCTAAAGACCAGAAAGTGCAAGATCAAGTGTCAGCAGATTCAGCGTCTGGTGAGGGCCCACTGCCCGGTTCATAGATCACTGTGTTCTCACGGACAAAGGGGAAACAGAGTTGTCTGATCTCTTCTGTGAGGCTTCTAATCCCATTCAGGAAGGCTCTGCTACCAGCCGCTAATCTTCTCCCCGAGGCCCCACCTTCTGACACTGCCACATTGGTTAGGGTTTCAGCATAGGAATTTGGTGTGGACACAAACATTCAGGCAATAGCAGTCCCTCATTCGGCATGTACAGATTGCGATATGTCTAATAGAACATTGTGCAGTCATTCGTGAAGTAGGTCTACTGTATTAACATGGAGAGATTTCAAATATATATTGGGTAAAACAAGTTAAAATGATTATATCATTTATGAAAAAAATTAGAACATATGGTTATGGGCACACAAATATCCAGGTGAAATCAACAAAGGGGAAGTAGTAACTCTGCATTGTGGGCCCCCTGGGAGAAAAGGAGAAAAGGACCCGGAATGGTATTAGGAAGAATCACAAAGGAACTGCACCTGTTTGCAGAGTGTGGTTTTTTTTCCCTTTTGGTAAGTTTAACTTTTATTTTATCAAAATAATACATGTGAGACTGGGCACATTAGCTCATGCTTGTAATCCTAGCACTTTGGGAGGCCAAGGCAGGCGGATCACTTGAGGTCAGGAGTTGGAGACCAGCCTGGCCAACATAGTGAAACCCCCATCTCTACTAAAAATACAAAAATATTAGCTGGGCGTGGTGGCGGGTGCCTGTAATCCCAGCTACTCGGGAGGCTGAGGTGGGAGAATTGCCTGAACCTGGGAGGCGGAGATTGCAGTGAGCCGAGATCATGCCACTACACTCCAGCCTGGGTGACAGAGTGAGACGCTCTCAAATAATAATAATAATACATGTGGACACTTCTGAAAGTCAGATTGTACCCTGAGGCTCATTTGCCCCCGCCACCCCTGTCCCACTGCCCTCCCCATGAGTGCCTCCCAGAGGCTGCCCTGCAACTCCTGTTCCCCACGGCATTGCTCTGTTTAGTGGTCTCCTTTGATGGAAGATTGAGCTCACTTTTACTGCCCTCCCCATCTCAAACCCTGCCCCACACATGTACCCACTTTCCCTCCCTTCACCCTGCATGGTTATATAGAAACACTTTTAAGTACATTTTCAGAATTTACATTTTTGTTTTGTTTTGTTTTTTGAGATGGAGTCTCACTCTGTCACCCAGGCTGGGGTGCGGTGTCGCGATCTCGGCTCACAGCAACCTCCGCCTCCTGGGTTCAAGCGATTCTCCTGCCTCAGCGTCCTGAGTAGCTGGGATTACAGGCATGCACCACCACGCCCGGCTAATTTTTGTATTTTTAGTAGAGACGGGGTTTCACCATGTTGGTCAGGGTGGTCTCGAACTCCTGACCTTGTGATTTGCCCGCCTGGGCCTCCCAGAGTGCTGGGATTACAGGTGTGAGCCACTGCACCCAGCCAAGATTTTACATTGTTAACATTAAGTTAATATTCACATCTGAAAATACAGAGTGTCTACTATGGTGGCATTAACTTTTCATTTTCCTGGAGTTGATGTTCATCCCCAGACAAGTTGTGCGTTGCCATCTCCTCTTCATTCTTTCGGAGACACCAGGTAATCTGCCTTTTTGTTTGTTTATTTAAGGCCACATCCCCAGGAGCTGCTGTCCAGGTGCCTGGCGGGTCTCCAGGCCTGTGGACAGCGAGCGACCTGGGCCTCCCTCCCCATCGCCGTGGGAGTTCCCTTTGCCTCCTCTGTGCTGGCTGCCCAGGTGCCTGGATCCCTTGTCTTCCTTATTCTTGGTTTATTTAGTCCTTTGTTTTGTTCGTGCCCATCCCTGGGCTTCTTGGGCAGACAGGCTCACAGGTGGCACACCTCCCAAGGCCTGGCGTGTCTCAAAAGATTGGTATTTTACCCCCACTGGATTAGTAGTCTAACTGGATAGAGGACTCCAGCTTGGGAAGCGTTTTCCCTCCAAAATTGGAGGACATTACTCCAGAAGCTTCTGACTCCATGTCACTGCTGAAGACAGTTGTGTGTGACCCTTGGTCTTCAGAAGTGTGGTAGGCTGGAGATGGCCTCCAAAGGTACCCAGGTCCTAATCCTAGTTGTTACCTTAGAAGGAAGAAGGGCTTTTTCAGATGTGATGAAGGATTCTGACCTGGAAAGGTGATCCCGGATCATCCAGGTGGGCCCCGAATGCCATCACAAGTGTCCTTAGAGGACAGAGACCTATGCTGAGGAGAAGGCGATGTGGAGACAGAGCCAGAGGTGGGAGTGATGTGGCCACGAGCAAAGGAGCCCGGCAGCCATAGAGGCTGGAAAAGACTCGGGAGGGATTCGTTGCAGGCCCTCGGAGGGGCGCAGCCCTGCCCTCACTTGGTTTCGGCCTGTGAAAGTGATGTTGGATTTTTGACCTCCCAAACTGAAAGAGAGTGGGAGGTCTCTTTTGGCATCCCAAACTGATCTTTCTTCTGAGTGGGACTTTTGGCATCACTCCAGGCGCTCCAAGACCTTTCCACATGGATACGCGTCCTTCAGTCCCGGGAGACTTTCCAGCAGGATTCCCCTGCCCCTGGCTCTCTCGTCTCCCCTTCCGGGAGTCCCAGGCAGCTGGATGCTGGACTTGCTGGACTGAGTCTCTTATTTTCTTATCTTTTCTCCTATTTTCCATATGTTAGTCTTTCTGGGTAATGTCCCAAACTATCTTCTAATTCTCTATTTATTATGTTTAAAAATTTTGCAACTCTATTTTTAATTTCCTAGAGCTCTTTCTTGTTGCCTTTTTAAAATAGCTGCCGCCTCTTACTTAATGGATGCAATAGCTTTTCTTGTTTCTCTGAGGAGATAAATTATAGTTTTTCTGAGTATCTGTTCTCTATATTACTTTTCTCCTCAATGTTCCTGTTTTTTAAAAATCCCAATTTGTTTTGGTGAATTTTTTGGTCATTTCCTCAAATATCTGGTGGTGGTTCGCTGACCGTTCACACTGAAAAATGAGACACCAACACCCATTGGCAAGTCTGGGTTGGGGTGGAGCTTGGTGGCCCCTGGTCCTCTCGCTGGGAGATGAGACTGGGCTCCCTGGGGAGCCCACTGCATACCAGTAGCTGCAGGACTCCTGGTTCCTGGAACGGAAGCTTCCAGTTCGCTGCCTGGAAAAGAGCCCAGTAAGCACTCTGTGGAGCCGAGAGGACCTTCCACACATTCCCCAACAGCCATGTGATGCCTCACCTCCTGGGCCAGCCCTGATGGCCGGGGCTGGAGCCTTGTATCTTGGGAAAGACGCTGTGGCACAGTGGTCAAAGGCAGGACCCTAGGTTCTGAAGCCAGGGGCGTGCACCGTGGCACTGACACATCCTAGCAGCGTGCCTTCCTGCCTTCGTCTCTGGAGCGGGCTGGGATGACTCCCAGGTCTCTGCAGCTCAGAACTCTTTACACAGGAGACTCACTGTCTAGCTGTCTGTTCTTTCCAGCCGGATACTCTTCAGGTTCAAAGCTGAGTCACTGTTTCTACCCACATTGGCTTCGCGTTCTTTAATTTGGTGTTGCCATCGTTCACCTTAAAACCCAGGGCCACCCTTCCCTGCTGCCTCTCTGCCTCCCATCTAATGGGTGCTGTTGATGCCACCTCCTAAGTATTTCTTGGCACAGTCCCTCTTCATTCCTATTCCCACCACCGTGGTTCAGGTCCTCATTGTCTCTTGCCCACATTAGAACATCTTCCTAGCTGACCTTCTACTTCTCATCTTTCCTTCTCAAATCCAGCTTCCCCAGAGCTGCCACAGTGGTCCTGAGCTCTCAGTTGCAAATCTGTCTCCCTGCTGCCTGGTATTTCCATAGCATCCCGACATAGAGGACACTGCCCAAGCTGCTGGTGGGGCCCACTAGCTCTGGACTGAGTCTCAGGCTCAGCCCTTAGGCTCCTCTCCCTGCCTGCACTCCCTGCCTCAGCGGGCCACGCCAGGCTGTTTGCTTCCTGCCTTATCTGCCTTTGCTCCAGCCGCCCCAGCACCTGGACCTCCTCCCCTCCTCTGCCTGCCCCCCTCCCTCCCCTCTTCTCCCTCTGGACGTCCCTTCCTCCTCCCACCCTGGAGTCTTTCCTTCAGGCCATCTTGCTAACTCTGCCCTGCTCTCCACGCAGGCGTGGCCCGCCTCATCATCCTTCACTTCTCATCTCTGCTGCCTCTCACTCAGCCTGCCCCAGCCAGCTGATCACAGTCCCAAATAGCGACATGCTCTGAAAGCCACCGCTGTGGCCTGCATCAGGATGTGCGGATGAGAGGGGGGTATTTTTACCATCATTGTGCTTCTCCAGCCCCTGGTGTTAGGATCTGTATAGGATCTGGTTATTTGTAGGCAACCTGGGTGTATTAGATTCCTACAGCTGCCATCACAGGGTGCCAAAAGCTGGGTGAAAACAACGGTGACTTCTTGCCTCACATCTGGAGGCCAGAAACCCCAATTCAAGGTGTGAGCAGGGCCGTGCTCTCTCGGATGGCTCTGGGAGGGTCCTGCCTGGCCACTGCCAGCTTCTGGTGTTTGCCAGCAGTCCTTGGCCTTGCCTGACTTGTAGCTGCCTCACTCCAGTCATGTGGCCGTCATCTCCTGTGTCTTCACATCTTCATTCTGTGTGTGTCTGTGTCCAGATTTCCCCCTTTTTATAAGGACACTAAGCATATTGGATTAGGGCCACCCTAATGACTTTATTTTTACTTGATTACCCTATTTCCAAATAAGGTCACTTTTTTTTTTTTTTTTTTTTAGACAGAGTCTCACTGTTGCCCAGGCTGGAGTGCAATGGCGCCATCTCGGCTCACTGCAACCTCTGCCTCCCGGGTTCAAGCAAATTCTCCTGTCTCAGCTTCCCGAGTAGCTGGGATTATAGGCAGCCACCACCACACCTGGCTAATTTTTTGTATTTTTTGGTAGAGATGGGTTTCGCCTTGTTGGCCAGGCTAGTCTTGAACTCCTGACCTCAGGTGATCAGCCCACTTCAGCCTCCGAAAGTGCTGGGATTACAGGCGTGAGCCATCGCGCCTGGCCCAAATAAGGTCACATTCTGACCTAGGTGCTAGGGGTTAGGACTTCAGTGTATCTTTTTTGGTGGGGGACACAATTCAACCTCTAACACCGGGTGACACCCGCTTGTCCTGAGCTTGACAGGTCCCGAAGTCCCCAAGGCCTCTGGGAGGCCCTCTCTAATCCAGCCAGCATTCATGTCCTGTCATCTTGGAACGAGGGGAATTGAGTGGGGAGCAGGTCCTGTGAAGCTCTCCAGCAGGGGTGGGGTGGCCTGAAGAGGGTCGGGAAATGTCCTGGGCCACCTGCAAGTGTCTGCTGGGTCCTGGCATCTTCCTCCCTGCAAAGATTGTCCAGTTCTGTTTAGAATTGAGTCTTTGGTGCCCCTAGCCTCTGTCGCCCCTCGCAGCCCTGAAACTCAGCTTCCCTGGTTCCCATTGCCAGGCTGCGTCTGAGTCCTTTTGGGCTTTAGTGACAAAATACCACAGGCTGGGTGGCTTTTAAACAACAGACATTTATTTCTCACAGTTATGGAGGCTGGAAGTCCAAGATCAAGGTTTCAACATATGGGTGTGGGGGGCACAGGCACGCTCTGCATTAGTCTGGGAGGTGCTTTTTGCTGACCTTGTCCTTCAGACCCTCTCTCTGTCCTGTCAACATCACTTTGGGCTCTAATCAATATGTATGGGACATTTGTGTGTCCCACTAGTGTGTGTGTGCTGTTCCCAGGAGGGGCCAAGCCTTACTAATCTTTATCTGAATGCTCCATAATATTTCTAGGTAAATCTTTTTTTTTAACTAATTGATTAATTATTTTTTGAGACAGAGTCTTGCTCTGTTGCCCAGGCTGGAGTGCACTGGGACCATCATGGCTCACTGCAGCTTCAACCTTCTAGGTTCAAGCAATCCTTCTGCCTCAGGCTTCCAAGCAGCTGAGACTATCTATGGGCACCACCATGCCCAGCTAATTTTTTTTTTTTTTTTTTGAGATGGAGTTTTGCTCTTGTTGCCCAGGCTGGAGTGCAATAGCACGATCTCAGCCCACCGCAACCTCTGCCTCCCACGTTCAAGCGATTTTCCTGCCTCAGCCTCCCAAGTAGCTGGGATTACAGGCGTGTGCCACCATGCCCGGCTAATTTTGTATTTTTAGTAGAGATGGGGTTTCTGCATGTTGGTCAGGCTGGTCTTGAACTCCCAACCTTAGGTGATCCACCCGCTTCAGCCTCCCAAAGTGCTGGGATTACAAGTGTGAGCCACGTGCCAGGCCACACCCAGCTAATTTTAAAAAGTTTTTTTTTTAATTTTTTGGCAGAGACAGGATCTCAATATGTTGCCCAAGCTGATCTCAAACTCCTAGACTCAAGTGATACCCCTGCCTCGGCCTCTTAAAGTGCTGAGATTACAAGCATGAGCCACCACGCCTCACGGTGAATCTTAACAGCCTCATGCCACTCTGCAACCTCATTGTGACCTGAAGTATTTCTTCACTGATTCATTCCCTCAGACATTTATTTAGTTCTGGTCTTACGCACTGTACAGAGTGCCAGGGAGATGTGGGGACAAAAGAGACCAGGGATCCTGTGCCCAGGGCCCTAACAGTGTCTATTAAAGGAGACAAGACGGGTCAACAAATCTTTATAACATTAAATGCTCTTTGCTGAGGACACAGACGCCACGGAGACCTCATGGAGAGCCCCCTGAGCAGGACGATGGGTGGGGCACAGACAAGGACAGAGCTGAGGGAGGTGGCTGCCCGGGGAATATAGGGAAGGCATTCCTGAGCCTACTCCTATAGGATGTGGAGGAATGGGGACAAGTGACCTTCCCATGTGAGCCCTGCCCACACCCCGTGCTGCAGGGTCGGCAGGAAGCTGGCTCCTCGTGCGCCAGGGGGCAGTGTTGGCCCTGAAATTCTCACTGCTTTCCAGTGAGGCTGGGATGGAGCAGCCACCTCACTGCAGGCCCTCGGGACCCCTCACTCTGCTTTCTCTGAGACCCCCTTTGTCCCCCAGTCCACAAGTCCCGAGACCATGGCGCCAGTCGCCTCGGTGCCACCCTTTCCCCCTCGGCTGCTCCTTTGAATAGAGGGTTGCCAGGGCGATGAGGAGCCCTGCTGGCACTGTTCACTGCTGTTCGTCGCCGCAGTGCCACTTGGAGCAGCCGGCGCTCCTGGGGGCCCAGAGCCCGGACAGCTGAGCCTCGGCGAGCACCCGTGCTGTGTCTGTTTCCGTCTTTGGTATTGTCTCTCTCCTGTCTTCTGTGTCTGTCACCTGCATTGTTTCCAGCGTCCTCCCTTCTGCCCCCCCTGCCCAGAAATCTCAGCCTCAGTCTGTCCTCTCTTGGGTGCTTTGATATCAGCCGTGGCAGCCCTGAGAGCCAGGTGGAGTCGTTCTTTCATCTGTCCCTCTTGGCTGCCAGCCCTGGGGCCCGTCGGACATGTTTAGAGCAGAGCCGCCTGGGGAGAGCGGCCCCATCCGTCAGAGCTGCCACCGCCGCAGCCCCGAGTGCTCTGCCAAGAGCTCTTTCTTTCTGGTTCTGACCTGCTTTCACTGGCAGCTGTGGAGCCCAGCTGGGGCTAGGGGCACAGCCTGGTGCGGGTGCTGGTGCTGGGGGCAGCTGGGCCCATAGGAAGTAGGTGTGTGGAGCTTTGTTGGTTCGGAGGTTCCTGGGGCCTGTTTCTGAACCACACTTCTTTCTTCTCTGCCCTCTGCTGCTCTCCAGCACACCTCTGAGGATTTGCTGAGGGACCCAGGTGCTCTGCTGGGCTTTCAGAACCAACTTGCTGGCCACCCGCCCCTGAAGCAGGGCCTGGTCTTTCCCTTCCTCTGCGGCCTCTTGCCCACTGCTGCCCTCTGAGGCTGCAGGAGACGCTCTGTGAGGACAGGAATATGTAGGACGAAGCGATGTGGGGCCTCAGCTGCAGCAGCTCTTAGGTGGCGCCCTGCCCTGGTCCCCAGAAAGGCTGCTGAGCACTGGGGCCACGTTGTTGTCTGGAACAAAACTTGGGGGATGATGGCCTGACAGCAGGATTCTGTGCTCCTTCTGGTTGCAAGAGGCATCCTGGGAGATGTAGTTCAGGTCTGAAGTAGTGGGATTTCAGGGACATTTTGATGATTTATTAGACAAATTGAAACTGCCTTGGCTTATCTGGGACATGTGACTGCTGACATTGTTCGTCAGCTCTCGTTGGGAAGCTCTGAGTGCCACTGGTGGCCCTGCTGGAGGCCAGGCCAGTGACAGTTTTATCAGAAGTGGGGTTTTTGGTTTTGGTATTTTGGTTTCCAAGTGCCTGTCACACTGTGCTCCTGATGAAAGCCGTGACTTACTCCTTTAGTTGAGTGAAGAGTCCATAGGCCAACTCTGATGGGTCCGAGCTCCTGCTCTGGAGGGGGCCATATGAAGCGGGCTCCAGGCCGGCTCTGCTGGTGGCCTGGGTGTGTCACTTAATCCCACTGCACCTGGTCCCTTACCTGTACAGGGAGGTGATGAGGGGCTGTGAGGGTTACTGAGTGAGTCTGCGTGAAGAGCCACAGTGGCCCCTGCCTGGCAAGGAGCAAGGCTCTGCTGGGGTCACTGCCCACCATTGTGCCCTCCTCCACTGGCACTGGCCGGGCACCAGGTGGAGCTCAGTGAGTATGTGTTGTGTGCTATGGAAGCGGCAGCTCTGTCAGGAGCGGGGCAGGTGACGGCCAGGCCCTCGCCCTGCCTCAGCCTGCAGGTCGTCGTAGGTGCCTTCCTGACTCCCTTCTGGAAGGGGAATGCTGAGTTATTGATCTGAAGCTGAAGCTGGGAGGGAAATGGAAGCTGTGGAGTCACCCGAGAGGCAGCAGGGGAGGAAGCAGGTGCCCCACACACTACTGGCTTCACTGTGGCTCATTCTTGCTTGCAAGGAGTTATTTACACGTCCCAAGTGACAGTCAAAGCTGTCTTATTTCTTGGTCTCTTATGCACAACCCGAGGCCAAGAAAAGGGATCTGTCAGCTGGCATTTGCAGAAAATAGCAAGTGGGTCTCTGGGCTGTCAGCTCTCTGGAGAGGAAAACAGGGTGAAGGATCTTTGGGTGATGGTGGTTGCTTTTCTCTCACTCACTCACTACTGTTTCCCCATTTCTGAGGTCAGAAAGGGAGAGCTTTGCTTGTGTGTATCACCAGGAGCAAGCAAGACAGTGGCATCCCCCGAGGCGTGTAACTGTAACCTGAGCTGGTTGCTGGCCCTGGCAGCATCCCAGAATGCCCTTCACACCTGGGGCTCTAGCAGCCTCCCTTGAAGAGTTGCGGCTCAGCTCGAGGGAGCAGGAAACGGCTCTGTGGGTTCTGTTAGTAAAGCCCTCTGCATTTCCAGGGAAGCTTCTCAGCCAAACTTGACAACCTTGAGAACTTCTTGATTGCCATCCACCAACCAAATACCCAAAAGCAGGGTGCAGCATGGGACTGCAGCATGGGACTGCAGCATGGGACCGCAGAGGGAGCCTGGCCCCAGCCATTGCTGCCCCCTGCTTCCTGTGCCTGGCCATCGCCTATTCTGTGCCGTGCTGTGAAGATGGCAGGAAGTGCCTGGAATGGTGCCAGCCAGAAGGGCTGCAGACTGGTGGCACTTGCTGGGAATGTGCCATTGTGAGTTGAAAGGCTGGCATACTCCAGTGTCTGGGCTTGGTTTCGTACAGCCTGAGGACCGGGAGTGTCATTAATACCAGAGGCAAGGCTTCTGGGGGTCTCAGGAAGGCCGTCTCCCACCCTCTGCTGCCACTTCCGAGGGTCACCATAGGTGCCTCCAGCTGCAGGGGTTCCTTCTTCTATACCCCAAGTGCTGTGCAGAGGCCCCTGCTCCCTTCGGCTTTGGGGAATGGTCTAGTATTGGGGAGCAGGGGGAGTCTGCCCACCCAGCTCCTCCCTTTGAACCATCCCAGACCCCTCAAGCTCAGCATACCCAGAGTCGGCTTATTCCACCATAACCTTGAAGACCCTGCTTCCTGGAGAGAGGGTGGTGTGAGGGGGCCACGCCCATCTTACAGTGCGGTTTCTCCCAGCCGATGTTGATTCTGGAAAGGCCTGGGTTTCAGATCTGGGAAGGCAGTGCCATTCGATAAGGAAAAACTGGGTTAACCAAGTTCTAGGAAGGGTGCAGGCGCCCTGGGAATGCAGTGGTGTTTCAGTTCATCTTTATGTCTGTTGGGCCCCATCCGTGCCTGGCATTGTGTGCGGGTCAGGGAGAGACAGGTTGGTGGTGGGGGTCTTGTGTGACCACAGCGGTGAGCTTAGTTTCAGGGCCATAACTAGGTTCTAAGGAGCAGTGCAGCCCTCACCCTCCGTCATTCACAGCAGCTCCTGACAGCCTTCCCCAGCCCCACACTGCCTGCTGGCCAACATTTCCGTGTCTTCCGCCTCACTCGGCAGCACATCCCAAATCCATCACAGAAACCTGCCCTCCCGTCTCTGACTGCCTCCTGTCTCAGACCACCTCCCTCATCATCTTGCCAGGTCCCTAGGGGGCCGAGGGAGCAGGCTGTGGGCTGTGGATCAGCTACTCTCTGCGTGACCCAACCTCCCGCCTCCCTGCAGCCAGCGGCCCATGCCAGCTTCTAGGCCTCAGGTTCACAGCCTCTAGGCTCACTGCTGCCCCTTCCCCTGATTGCAGCCCAGGCCTCCAGCAGCCTTGTGTTGGGGAACTTTGTATTCTGGGCCAGTAACCTCAGGCAGAAGAGCAGCTGTCTGTGGCTCCTCAGACACCCTCCTCTGTGCACTGAAGGCCGGTACAGGGTGAGTGCTCTGGGACAGGTGCCCCCCTCTCTGCAACACCTGACACTCCCAACTACTTTTGTTTGGGGTGGGTCTTCCTTTGCAGAGGAATGTTGGGGACAGGTTTCTGCATTGGCAAAAGCACGTGGTGTCCTCGGGCCTGTGTGTTTGCTCCAAGTGTATGTGGGCATCACACCTGCTGGCTCCCCTATGCAGTGAACTCTGCTAAGCATTGGGTGCATGGTCAGCCTGGCTTGGTGGGTGGGCTGCCTGTGCTGCCTTCACCCCAGGACGGCCTGGCCTGTGGGGAGGTCAGCATGGAGCTGCATCATGGTGCGAGTGGGAGGGCGCAAGTGTGTGGGCCTTCCAGCTGTGTGGGGCCGGGGGCTTCCTCCCTGGCCCTCTGTTCATCTGGGAGGGGAGGGAGTTGGGAAGATAGTGACAGCAGCTGATGTTTGTCACCCAGGCATGGCGCTTTAGCTGTACTGTCTCAGTCGACCCCCAGGATGACCTGCTTAGGGTGGGCTGGTGGAACCCCGTTTTACAGATGTGAAAGCTGGGGCCTCAGAGGTGCCCAAACCATGGAGCTGGGGCAGCCCCCGGCCAGTGGACTGTGGGCCTGCGCTGGGCTGTGCCCCAGAGGAGGCTACTCTCTGTTCCACTTTTCCCTGCTCTGACTTCAGCCGAAGAGCCCTGATCTTTTCCCTTCCATAAACATCTGCCTGGCATGCTGCCACCCAAAGAGCTCCCGTGCCCCGGGGACAGTCCTCTTGGCCTCAAGTCTAGGCCTGCTTTCGCTTCCCTCTGAGGGACACAAGGACTCACGGAGGCATTCCTGTGCCCCCCGCTGCCCACAGCCTCCGGCTCTTGGTGGAGTGGGACTGCTAAGGAATCCTTTACCCACCAAGAAAAAATGAGGATCCAATGCAAGAATGTATGTGAGAGGGGCCGCCGAGGGGGCGGCAACATGTCAGCACTCCATCATTTTCCTGCCTGAGCTAAGCAGACACTTGGTGGCCACGCTGTGGGGCAGGGTGCAGCCTTCCAGAGGCTCTGGAGGTGACCGGCCTTTGGCATATCTTCTGAGGAAATCTCTTTCTTTGCATGGAAAAGGCAGTGGGGAGTGAGTGTGGTGTGGACAGGGGAGGAGAGCAACAAAAATGACCTGTTTACCCACAAACCACGGGTAAGTGCCCCTGTGGTCGCAGGGTAAACCCACCCAGGTGGGAGGAAAGGACTGGGGCTCCCTGGAAAAAGCTTGAAACTGCCCTGGAGGTTTGAGAATCTCGGTGCCAGTGGGCTGCTGCCAGCTGTGAGGCTGCTCACCTATAGGCAGGCCAGCAGGTGAGGAGGGGGAGGGTGCTAGGCTCCTGGGAGACACATAGCCAAGTCCTCCCACCCAAGGAGTCGGTGTAGCAGGAGCTCCCTTCGCCTTTTCCTGCGGAGCTCTTCCTGTCCCTTCTGTATATTTCTTCTTTTTTTTCTAATTATAAATAACGCATCCCCAATGGAGAAAATATGGAAATTTTCCATATGGAAATATAGAAAAGCATAAAGAAGGAGGAAAACACAACTCTACAGCAATTCCATAGCACGTGGGAGTGAGGAGGGTGGCATGCAAGCAGTCCTACAGTTGTTGCCATTCCTTTAAAAAAACTTCATGAGATCATGTTGTTTACCATTAAATTTTCTTGGCTTCACATTACATCACAAGCATTTCCCATGTCATCAAAACCTGTGCAAACACATTATTGTTAATGGTTACATAATGTCTGTGGGAGCCAGGGTGTGGAATCTTTAAATTGCTTCTCATGATTTTCTGTTGTAAATAATGCTGCTTTGAACATCTTTCTGCGTACATCTTGGTTCCCATTTTGGAATATTTCCTGGGGTTGGATTTCTGGAATAGTAATGACTGGGCTCAGGGGCATAACCCGCCACCATGCCTAGCTAATTTTTTTGTATTTTTTAGTAGAGATGGGGTTTCACCGTGTTAGCCAGGATGGTCTCCATCTCCTGACCTCGTGATGCACCCGCCCTGGCCTCCCAAAGTGTTGGGATTACAGGCGTCAGCCACTGTGCCCGGCTTTTTTTGTTTTGTTTTGTTTTTGAGATGGAGTCTCGCTCTATCACCCAGGCTGGAATGCAATGGCGCGATCTCGGCTCACTGCAACTTCCGCCTCACAGGCTCAAGCAACTCTCCTGCCTCAGCCTCCCGAGTAGCTGGGACTATAGGCGCCCACTATCATGCTGGGCTAATTTTTGTACTTTTAGTAGAGACGGGGATTCACCATGTTGGCCAGGGTGGTTTTGAATTCGTGACCTCAAATGATCCGCCTGTCTCAGCGTCCCAAAGTGCTGGGATTACAGGCGTGAGCCACCGCGCCTGGCCGGGCATAAATACCTTAAAGGCTCTTGATAAGTTTTGCAAACAGCTTCCCGGAGAAGCTGCCGTGATGCTCAGCAGTGCCTGCGGGCCGCCTCCTGAAGGCCTTCCTGGCGCTCAGCACTGCATTTACAAAGCTCCCAGGCAGGAGTGGCACCTCATGGTTGTATTTTGAATCTCTTGCTTTCTCGTGGGTTCAAGAGCCACTTGTGTTTGCTGTCTTGTTGCTGTGCTTGTCCCGAAGGCTCCCCTCGCCTCTTCCTGACTTTGCCCTATGTGGTAACTTGAGCTCTTTTGACATGGCCTTTCCCAGCGCTCAGCAGAGTAGACATTTGGTGCCCAGGAGGAGGGTGAGATTTACACCCCACACCTGCTCTCTGATGCCAGTGCCGCCTGCTCCCAGCTGGGAAAGACCTGTCCTCCTAGTGGGCAGCATCCGATAACTCGCCTGGAGCAGGGCTTAGAGGATTGTAGATCTGCATGTGGGAGATAGCAGGGTGATAACGTCTGACGTTCATCCTGCTCTGAGCAGGGTGTCTCCACACCTGAGCTCCTCGCTGGTGCTCCCGGCACCTCTTGAGCAGCAGGTGCTGGGGCATGCACTCCCTAAGGTTATCTCCTCCAGCGGCATTAGCGGTGGGTATGGTTCTTTTCACTTGTCAATTTGAAATGATTTCAGACTTTCAGTAAAGTTGCAAGAGTAAGACAAAGAATTCTCGTACCCCTGACCCCAGTTCCCCCAATACTAGCATTTGCTTCATTGTTCCCGTTTTTCCCTGAACCATGTGAGTGGGTGTAAATTGCAGATGTGGTGCTCGTGGACCCTTGAGTTCCTCAGTGTTTTTCCCTAAGAATGAGGCTGTTCTCTAACATAACCACAGTCCACTGATCAAGATCAGGAAATTGATATCAACGCAATCCTCTTTCAAACCTGCAGACCTTATTTAAATTGTATCGTTGTCCCCTGATGTCCTCTTAGCAATAGAAACCCGGATCCAATCCAGGATCGTGTGTGGCTCTCACCATTGTTGCTTTGGTCTCCTTTCATCTGAAACCGTTCTTGCGTCTTTGTCTCTCACGACCTTTGACATGTTTGAAGAGTCCAAGCCAGTTATTCTGTGGAATTTCCCTGAATTTGAGTTTGCCCCTTGCTTTCTCCTGATTAAATTCAGGCCGTGCACGGCAGCGGGAACCCCATCAGGAGGTGTGTGGTATCCCTTCGGTGCTAGTGATATTAACCTTCATCTCTCGGTCAGCGTGGTGTCCGCCAGGTTTCTCCACTGTGCAATGAATAAGGACAAGGTATATTTTAGAAAGAGGAGGAGCCCAGAGTCCAGCAAGGTTACTCTACCCACGTTCACCATAGCCGGGTGTGACCTGGGTGCCTCCTGGTCACCGCAGTGGCCCCTTCCCAGCCCCCATCTTACCCTGCCTCTGGGAGTCATGCTCTGCCCAACTCGCGCCCCATCCTCCTGAGAGCCGCTCGCTTCTGCCCAGCGACCCGTGCGTCCCTCCCTCCTCCAGGCATCCCCCCTGGGCTCCTTCTTGGCTCTTCCTCCTCGGCCAGACTCAACTCCAGTGGGCCTGAAGACGCAGGCCTGACCCACTTCTCCCAGGCTGTTCTCTCCCTGGCTTCAGACACCACCGCCCCTGTGATGCTGCCCAGGTTCTTGTCCCTGCTCTTCCCCCTCTGTGAGCTTGCCTCACTCCCAGCCCTGCCTTTTCTGTCTTGCCCTTCTTATAGCAGGAAAAGTCATCTCCACCCACCCATACAGGATTTCTTCCTCTACCTTGCTTTCTATGGGGGGTCTCTCGACGAATCTTGTCTGTCATAGCCCAGATGTTTCCTAAGCCCCACCCCGACCCCCATAGCTTCCCCCTGTCAGAGGCTCCGCGTCTCTCAGCTCAGCCTCTGAATTGCCCCAGACATGCGTCGTCTGTCAGCCCCTGCTGCTCGCCAGTCCAGAGAGATCCTTTCCACTGTGCATCGATCATGTCCCTCCTGTCCTGTCCATGGCTGAAGGGAGGCCTCAACCACTGGGCCCTGTCTGTGGCTGCAGCCCCACCTCAGGCCGTGGGCTCACACTTCCCTCTCTCAGGACAGCACCAAGCCTGTTCTTCCTGAGAACTTCACAATTGCTATCCCTTCTTCCTGGAGCTTTCTCTGCGGATCTGTGCGTGGCCGACTTCTCCCCATCCAGGTCCCAGCTTCTGTGTCCCCTCCTCAGAGAGGCCTTTTCTAATATCCAGCCCCCAAACCCCTGCACCCGCCCCAGATCATTCGCAAAATGTCACCTGTTTCTTATCTTCCAGGCACTTGTGATCTGAAATGTTCTGATTTGTGTCTTGTTTTTCTTTTCTTTGCTCCTTTCACTGCCATTCATCTTCCATGAGCAGAACCCTTCACTGTTGTGTTCTCGACTCCTAAGGCTTAGAACTGTGCCTGGCATAAGGTCTGCCCCTAGTGGGGTTTTCTGTTTTTCTCCCCTGGCTGTGGGTCTTTCCTCCTCCTCCTCTTCTCTTTCTTCTACTTATTTCCTTGTTTCTTCTCTTTTCTTTTTCTTCTGTCTTTATTTCCCCTTTTCTAGGTTGTTGGCTGTAATATGGCACTAAGGTTTTTGCAATATTTGTTTCATTTCTTGAGTATGTTTTTATGTTCCTTACTTAAAACAAAATGGCTGAGTCAAGTGTTTTAAACGTTTTCTAAGAAATGAATCAGATCGGCCGGGTGTGGTGGCTCACACCTGTAATGCTAGCACTTTGTGAGGCCGAGGCGGGTAGACCACTTGAGGTCAGGAGTTCAAGACCAGCCTGGCCAACATGGTGAAACCCCATCTTTATTTAAAATACAGCCAGGCGTGGTGGTTCACACCTGTAATCCCAGCACTTTGGGAGGCCAAGGCAGGTGGATCGCCTGAGGTCAGGAGGTCGAGGCCAGCCTGGCCAAGATGGTGAAACCCTGTCTCTACTAAAAATACAAAAATTAGCTGGGCGTGGTGGCGGGTGCCTGTAATTCCAGCTACTCGGGAGGCTGAGGCAGGAGAATCACTCGAACCCAGGAGGCGGAGGTTGCAGTGAGCCGAGATCGCACCATTGCGCTCCAGCCTGGGTGACAGAGCAAGACTCTGTCTCAAAAAAAAAAAGAAAAAAGAAAAGAAACAAAACAAAAACAAAATTAGCCAGGCATGGTGGTGCATGCCTATAATCCCAGCTACTTGGGAGGCTGAGGCAGGAGAATTGCCTGAACCTGGGAGGCAGAGGTTACAGTGAGCAGAGATCATGCCATTGCACTCCAGCCTGGGCAACAAGAGCGAGACTCCGTCTCAAAAGAAAGAAATGAATCAGATGGTTAGATGAGGCCCAGATGCAGGGGTGAAAAGAGTGTGTCTGGTTTGGCTTGGGCTCTGTGCTGGGCAGCTGTCTTTTTAGTCTCCACTGTACCTTGGTTTCCTTCATTTTACAAATGAAGGGCTGGCCAACCTCTGAAGCCTCTTTGCATTCAGGGATATAAGTTGTCGTCAGTTGATTTAAATATATATATAATATTATATAATATTATAATATTATATATAATATATATTATAATATATAATATAATATATAATATTATATAATATATATAATATTATATATTATATTATATATAATATATATTTTATATATAATATAATATATAATATATATAATATATTATATATATTTATATTATATTATATATAATATTTTATATTTTATATATAATATATTATATATAATATATATATATTTTTTAAAGATGGAGTCTTGCTGTGTCACCCAGACTGGTACAGTGGTGCCATCTCAGCTCACTGCAACCTCCACCTCCCAGGCTCAAGTGATTCTCATGCCTCACCCTCCCAAGTAGCTGGGATTACAGGCATGTGCCACCATGCCTGGCTAAGTTTTATATTTTCTGTAGAGACAGGGTTTCACCATGTTGCCCAGGTGGGTTTCAAACTCTTGAGCTCACACAAATGTGCCTTGGCCTCCCAAAGTGCTGGGTTTACAGGTGTGAGCCACCGTGCCCAACCTGAAGTATTATACTTTTTTTTTTTCCTGGGACAGAGTCTTGATGTCACCCAGGCTGAGGGCAGTGGCGCAATCTCAGCTCACTGCAACCTCTGTCTTCTAGGTTCAAGCGATTCTCGTGCCTCAGCCTCCTGAGTAGCTAGAATTACAGGCGTGTGCCACCATGCCCGGCTAATTTTTATATTTTTAGTAAGAGGCGGGGTTTCACCATGTTGGCCAGGCTGGTCTCGAACTCCTGATGTAAGGTGCTCCTCCCACTTCAGCCTCCCAAAGTGCTGGGATTACAGGCATGAGCCACCGCGCCCAACCTGATACTTTTATTTTTTTTGAGACGGAGTCTTGCCCTGTCGCCCAGGCTGGAGTACAGTGGCACGATCTCGGCTCGCTGCAAGCTCTGCCTCCTGGGTTCATGCCATTCTCCTGCCTCAGCCTCCCAAGTAGCTGGGACTACAGATGCCCGCCACCACGCCCGGCTAATTTTTTTTTTTTTGTATTTTTAGTAGAGACGGGGTTTCACCGTGTTAGCCAGGGTGGGCCAACCTGATACTTTTAAAAGTTATAGTGCATATTATGCTGGGTACGGCAGCTCACACCTGTAGTCTTAACTACTCAGGAGGCTGAGGTGGGAGGATCATTTGCGACCAGCCTAGGCAACATAGGGAGACCCTGTCTCTACAACAATAAAGTCACAGTTAGGATATCAGGCTGAGCTGGGGGTTCCATTTGGGGTTGGATTTGCTCCCTTCTCTAGAGCCAGGAAATGTTGGGCTTGGCCAGGCATCAGGAGGTAGATGGTGCTAGCCTTTCTGTGGGGCCACTGTGGGGTTGGGAAGGGCCCTCACTCATTCTGAGGAGCCTCAGTGCTGAGGCTGCGCTAACCTGGGCTCTAACTTCCCTCCCTAGATGCTGAAGTTCCGAACAGTCCATGGGGGCCTGAGGCTCCTGGGAATCCGCCGAACCTCCACCGCCCCCGCTGCCTCCCCAAATGTCCGGCGCCTGGAGTATAAGCCCATCAAGAAAGTCATGGTGGCCAACAGAGGTGAGCACCAGTGGGGCCGGTGAGAGGAGCCTCATGGCCGCCCCAGCCTTGGCATTCTTCTCCCACTCACTGCCCCAGGCCCTGGCTTCCCACTCCCCTTTCTGCTTCTCCTAGGACCTAGGAATCTAACTTCTTGTTTCTTTGCCCTCTAGGTGAGATTGCCATCCGTGTGTTCCGGGCCTGCACGGAGCTGGGCATCCGCACCGTAGCCATCTACTCTGAGCAGGACACGGGCCAGATGCACCGGCAGAAAGCAGATGAAGCCTATCTCATCGGCCGCGGCCTGGCCCCCGTGCAGGCCTACCTGCACATCCCAGACATCATCAAGGTGGCCAAGGTGAGCCCAGTGGCCTGGCTGGGCCTGGACAGCAGGGACCAGGGAGTCTTAGTTGCCGCGGGGGTCTCTTGAGGCTGGCGTGCTCAGCGCCTCTGTGCGTGGGTGGGTAAACGGATGCAGCTCAGCAGGTTAGGCAGGGGAAGAGGCTGGCCGAGGCCTTGGAAGGGACTGCAAGGTACCGTCCTCTCCCTGACCCCCACCTGCAGGAGAACAACGTAGATGCAGTGCACCCTGGCTACGGGTTCCTCTCTGAGCGAGCGGACTTCGCCCAGGCCTGCCAGGATGCAGGGGTCCGGTTTATTGGGCCAAGCCCAGAAGTGGTCCGCAAGATGGGAGACAAGGTGGAGGCCCGGGCCATCGCCATTGCTGCGGGTGAATATAACGGGCAAGCAAGGGGTGGCCCCGCAGCTCCTGGAGAGGGTCCAGCAGGGAGGGGTGGCAGGGATTCCCGCCTGTTACAGAGACTCCCCCACACCTTTCTCCCAACAGGTGTTCCCGTTGTCCCTGGCACAGATGCCCCCATCACGTCCCTGCATGAGGCCCACGAGTTCTCCAACACCTACGGCTTCCCCATCATCTTCAAGGCGGCCTATGGGGGTGGAGGGCGTGGCATGAGGGTGGTGCACAGCTACGAGGTGAGTGAAGATGCCCAGGGCTGGGAGCAGGGCAGGGCAGCCTGCCGTGGGGGCAGGGGCGGACCACTCAAGGGATCTGGAAAGTGGGTGGGGTTCATGGCAGGGGAGAGGTAGCGCTGTGGGGTCTGAGGTCTGGCTGGCCCCTGCCCGCCCTCGCAGGAGCTGGAGGAGAATTACACCCGGGCCTACTCAGAGGCTCTGGCCGCCTTTGGGAATGGGGCGCTGTTTGTGGAGAAGTTCATCGAGAAGCCACGGCACATCGAGGTGCAGATCTTGGGTGAGTGGTCCTGACGCCCCGCCTGGGGCAGCTGGAGGCGGGAGCTGAGAGGCCCAGTCCTGGTGCCGTCACAGTGGCTGGCCTTGGGGACAGCCCTGGGGCCTGTCGGGCGCTTTTCCAGAGGACTCTGGAAAGTGGGCTCTAGGGGCCGAGCTGGCAGTTGGTCCTCACAGCCTTGGTGATGCTGGTGTCTCTCCTGGCAGCCTCTGTACCGCTGGCAGCCGGCACTGACTGGCGACAGTGGTTATGTGGGGGTGATGGGGCATTTAGGAGGCGTGTAGATTCCAGTAAAAGCTAAGCCCAGTTTACCTCCCTCCCCAGGGGACCAGTATGGGAACATCCTGCACCTGTACGAGCGAGACTGCTCCATCCAGCGGCGGCACCAGAAGGTGGTCGAGATTGCCCCCGCCGCCCACCTGGACCCGCAGCTTCGGACTCGGCTCACCAGCGACTCTGTGAAACTCGCTAAACAGGTGAAGGGTGGGCTTCCCGTGTTGGGACAGGAGCCTGTGCTCACAGGCCGGCAGGCCTCACAGTGGGGCGCTGGTTGGGGAAGGGGACCCTGAGTCCCCTTCTGGGGACTGGGGATGGGGAGAAGAGGGTGAAGGACTCTCCTGGGGGCCAGAAGTGGGTTTGTGGCATCCTTCCCATGTGCAGTTGAGGCACCTGGCCCAGAGGCCAAGCTTAGAGTCCAGGATGGCTGAGAAGAGGGAGGGAAGGAGCCCCAGCCGCCTCCTCAGCCCTGCTGCTACACAGACCTGGCTTCTCTGTGGCATCAGCTCATCCCTGTCATCAGGAGAATGAGATTCCGTGGATTCTGTCAAGATTGAGGACCATTATGAAGGCAGTCCTCCCTCATGTGCTTCTGTCTCCTACATCATGTTTATTATGATCTGTTTCCTTGCTCTGCACCCTCTGCCCATCTCTGCTTTTCTGGGACCTCTGGTCGGGGGGTCCTGGGCTGTGGAGGAGGCTGAGGTGGCAAGCTATCTCCCCACAGTGACCTGCCCCAGGACTGGCCTGGAGAGCACCTGCTGTGGCCAGGTGTGCAGCGGGGTCCTGCCCCCTCTTCTTCCCTGGCCTATAGGCAGCAGAGGATGCGTCACCTCCCCATGCCGAAGGCCGGGGTGTGCACTCTGCAGCAAGGCCTCAGCCACAGCTAATGCGAGGCATCGACCAGGGTCGCGTTTAAGTCAGGTCTTATTTACTGGCTTATACTATTTCACATTCCAGAACAGGTTTAAGGGAGGTGATTCAGTCTGGTTTATCGTTTTGGTGAGACCAAAAGTGAAACTGGAATTAGGGCTGAAATTTGAGTTAGAGTCATTATCTGTTGGTACCTCTCAAATGAATTTCTTTGGGTGGTGGTGGCCAGAGGTGACTGCGCAGTAGACTAGAAGGGGACTTTCTGAAAACACCTCCAAGCAGAAGCAGCGGCTGGGAGAGGCCTGGGTCTCCGTGTCTGGGTGGATGACACAGCCTTGGCGGGCAAGCCCAGGAGGCAGCAGGGCAAGGTGCCGAGCCTGGGATGGGTGGGGGCTTCTGCCCATGTCTCGTCCCAGATAAGCTGGGTGCAGCCATCTGTGGCTCCGGGAACCCTGGAGCCTAGTGGACTACTTGGGGGACGTGTCCAGGCAGGAGCATGACCTGGGCCCTGGGGTCTGTCTGCCATCTGTGGGGGCAGGGTTTGCCACAGGCCATTCTTTTACGGAACCAACCCAATGGGTGGGACGGAATCCCTGTCCTGAGTCCAGTGAGTTTGCCCAGGCCCTGCCTGTGCCCTCCCCTGCTCACGTGGCCGCCCCCACAGGTGGGCTACGAGAACGCAGGCACCGTGGAGTTCCTGGTGGACAGGCACGGCAAGCACTACTTCATCGAGGTCAACTCCCGCCTGCAGGTGGAGCACACGGTCACAGAGGAGATCACCGAGTGAGTGTGGGCGGGCAGGCGGGGCGGGAGGCGCGGCTTCTAGGATTTGCATAAAGTACAGGCGAAGTGGCTCCTGGGGCCAGCCAGGGGGCTTGCTCACTCCCCACATTGGTGGAGAGCAATGGGGATCCAGGTACTTAGTGTTTTAAAAGTCATTATTCTAAAAGCATTACGTGGTTATTATAAAAATCAGCACAAAGGAGCAAATAAAAATGACTGACAGCCCTCCTCTCTGTCAGGACGCTGCCGATTGCTCAGGCCCAGGTGCTCCCATCTGTCAGAGGAGTAAAGCAAGGCTCAGAGACATTTGGAGAGTTGCTCGGGGTCACACAGCTGGCGCTGGAACCCAGGCATCTCCGGCTGTCTTTGGTTTGCTCCTTTCCCGGTTTACCTGTTTTACTAGAGACATAGTTTGATGCAATAGAGATGTTTTATATAGAATTTTTATTCTACTTTTCAAATTATTTAATATTTGTTGAAGGCATTTCCCCAGGCCATAATTCTGTCTGAATACTTTTAGTGGCTGCGTACTATTCCGTCTTGTGTGTATTTCTTAACTTACATAGTCCTCGATTGTTAGGCAATTAGTTTGTGTGTCTGGCTTTGGTGGTTATTAAGCGTGTCACTTATCATCTGTGTGCCTGAATGTTTGGCTTCAGCTCTGAAGAGTTCTGAGGGTAAACCCTTCAACAGGATTATCTGATTGAAGGATAAGTAGCATCCCTCGGAACAGCCCTCTAGAGAGGTGGCACTAGCGTGCTCCCTGCAGGCACTGAGGATGACATTTTCAAAATCCGCCTGGTTTCTAAATGACAGTCATGATGGCCCTCACCCTTCAAGGTCTCTACTATGAGCCATGTAATTTCTTGACGCTGCTTTGGGCCAGCCCATCTCACTGTGGAGCATCCCTGACCCCAGTTCTGCCCCCAGCCCCAACCCCACCTGAGACTGAGGATGCTGTCGGGGTGGCTGCTGTGGCTCGCCGGGGGCATGGAGGCCCCTCCCTCCCCTTAGGAGAAGCTTAGAGACAAGGCCAACACTTTGGCCGAGTGAGACTCTTCCCCTCAAGCTGCTGTGAACTCCTCGGTCTTGGGTCTGCTTAGAGCGTCCTGTTAGGGATGGGAGTCTGTCTGCTGTGGAGCACGGGTTTTGTGTCAGACAGATTGGGGCTCAGGTGCTCTCAGGTCCCAAGCCACGTGGAGCCTGGGTGAGCTCCAACCTCTCTGACCCTCGAGCTCCTCCTCTGGTGGGAATGACAGGGCTCTCAGCACACCGTCGTGGAGATGAAGCATGGGAGGAGTGCAGCCTGGCCTGTGGCACTGAGTGGAAGCTGTCATCTCTGCTGCGAAGTGGGCCAGCAGGCAGCAAGAACACGGGGAAATCCTGCCAGTGTAGGTTCCAGGCTGCCTTCACCACAAGCCTCAGTGGCAATACATGTAAAACCTTGAGTGGTTTTTTTTAAGACATAGTCTTGCTCTGTCACCCAGGCTGGAGTGCAGTGGTGCAATCTTTGCTCACTGCAACTTCTGCCTCCCGGGTTCAAGTGATTCTCCTGCCTCAGCCTCCTGAGTAGCTGGGATTACAGGCACACACTACCAGGCCTGGCTAATTTTTGTATTTTTAGTAGAGACAGGGTTTCACCATGTTGGCCAGGCTAGTCTCGAACTCCTGGCCTCGTGGGATTCACCCACTTTGGCCTCCCAAAGTGCTGGGATTACAGGCATGACCTGCTGTGCCCAGCCTGGTTTTTTTGTTTGTTTGTTTTGTTTTTTAAACAGCTGTTCCACTTGGACTTGTGACTGCCCTTAGGAGCAGTAAGGCTGAGCTTGGAAAACCCTGCAGAGGTGGGGAAGCTTGCACTCTCCAAGCATCTCTAGGGGGTTTTGGGCACAAGTCCAGCAGGAAAACAGGCCTCAGAAGGACAGGTCCTGACCCAGCACCCACTGTGCAACCCTCTCACAGCTGTGGTTACCATTTCGAGGAGCCCAGCCTTCACAGCACCTGTTCCCTTGCACACTGCCCCCCTCACAACCACCCACACAGCATAGCACATATGGCCCCAAGAATGTGCTATCCTGGCCCTCTGACCTAGAGATCTGCTGAGGCTTCAAATCTAGGCTTTACCAAGGGGGAGTTTAGGGGAGTGGGGAAAACAGACCTCAAGGAAGGAGGAGGCAGAGTACAGGGAGGAGCAGCTTAGGGCTGTGTGGACGGCACCGTGAGTCAGGAATGCAGGAGCAGGTGGTCCTGGTATTTCAGCGGGCCATCTCCAGCTGCCAGGCACTGTGTAGTTTAGTCGGCTCCCGGCGGGAGCAGGGCAGGGGCTGGTGGAGCCACTGGTTGGGAGGAACCGGCTGTTCAGGCTGGCCCAGAGCCTATGGGCAGGAGTCGCACTGTGTGTGGACGCCCCACTGGCTGCGGTGCCCCTCGTCTATCCCCCGCCTCATGTTTCCCCCTTTCTCCCGTCCTTTCCCCCCTCCCCCCAATGCCCTACAGCGTAGACCTGGTCCATGCTCAGATCCACGTGGCTGAGGGCAGGAGCCTACCCGACCTGGGCCTGCGGCAGGAGAACATCCGCATCAACGGGTGTGCCATCCAGTGCCGGGTCACCACCGAGGACCCCGCGCGCAGCTTCCAGCCGGACACCGGCCGCATTGAGGTGGGCGGAGCTCGAGCAGAGGGAGATGCCAGCTCACCTGTGCACAGGTTCTGCCTGGTGCCTGGGGCTGCAGTGCCAAGTTGCCACAGCCCGGCAGTTAGGGAGGACCCGCATGTGGGCTCTGAAGTGGACATAGAGTACACGGAGGCAGGCAGTGCCCAGAGGAGGGGCGGCGCCTCCCAGGGGAAGAGACTGCTGGGCGCCCAGGTCAGGAGGAAGCCGTGAGGGTGGGAGCGGGGAGCAGGCTGGCTTGGTGGAGCAAAACGCAGGGACCCAGACACAAAGCCAGCCCCTGACCCTCCAGCTCCCACAGGAGCCCCACGCCTGGCTGCCGACGGAGCCCAAGCACCACCTCCCATCTGAGGGATGGGCTGACATGGCAGGACCTGGGGGTGGGGGTGGCAAAGGACTGGGCCCAGAGGTCCCAATGGAGTCTGAGCCAAGCTCAGGGGCCCATCAAGGATGGGGGAGGGAGTCGGAGATGGCGGCACAGGAGGGAGACCGAGAGGTAGATTCGGGGCCGCGAGATGGCAGCCTTGGTGGGGGAGAGAGTGGTGTAGGGGGCGCTGAGGCGGTCCACGGCAGGCTCCTCAGCACAGCAAGACTCGCGCCTTCTCCAGGAGGGCTCCCTGTACCTTTCTTCCTCTCAGCACCGGGACCCAGTCATTGGCCTCCGAAACCCATCTCCCCCGCCTCTGGTCCCAGCTGTGGGCAGGAGCCCTGCGGCCTGCTCGGTGCCTGTTCCCAGCCCTGCACGTGCTGCCAGCACCGTGCCAGCTGTGCTAGGGACTTGCTCCCTATCCAGGGGCCTGAGCCCCAAAGGAGGCAAGACATTGATGGAGCTCCAGCTTTGCTCCAGAGTCCAAGGCAGAGGCCCCCGGGCTTGTGTGGGGCGGTGAGGGGAGCAAACATGAGTTTGGGCCAGGCTCTGGGCTTCTGAGACAAGGGAGGCTGGGGAGGCTGGGGGTAGGGACCAGAGCTCTCTGGATTCTGGAAGCAGCAGAGCCTGTGGCTTCAGCAGGGAGCTGGCCACCTGCCTTCTGTTTCTGGAAGAGTCTGTAGGTGGCGGCAGCCCCAGGCTGAGTGCTGCCCGGCGGCCCCTGACTTCTCTGCCTCCCTCCATCCCCACTTCCAAGCCCTGGCTCTTCAGAGCCTGCCTCATCACAGAGTATTTTTAGCCGACAGTTTCTGCTCTCAGCTGAGTGTTCACCCTTAAATATTTTATGAAGTTCCTTTTTATTGAACACAGGCCTCTGCCCCCGAGAAGCGGAAATGGGCAGTGGGTGTCCCGAGCCCCTCTGGGCGGTCCCCCCACTCCCCTTCTTCCTTACCTGGGCCTGACGGGTCCCCCACCTCCGGGGAGCCCTTCTCTGCGGGGCTCACTCGGGCGGCACGAACAGGTGCAGGCGGCACGAGCCACCTGTGTGTGTGAGTGTCGGCGCCTCTGTCTCCTCCTCTCCGCTGCCCCTCCCATTGCCGTCTGGCCCTGGCCCTGTCCCGCTGCCCCGCTGCCCTCTCCTCGCCCTTGGTTTGCTTCCCTGATGGGTGTGGACCCTGCCTCTGGCACTTTCCCTTCATTTCCTCTCCCACTTCCTCCTCGTTGCCTCCTCTCCCTCCCATCCTCCCTTCTGGAAGGAAAGGAAAGGAAAGGAAGGGAGCATGGGTGGATGTTGAGGCCTTCCCCACCACCCTGTTAAAAACAAAAACAAACCCCCGGTCAGCCTTGCCTCTTGCCTCGCACATGGTCCTTTGGAGGCCCTGTCGCCGGCCTGCCGTCCCCTCGCTGTCTGGGAGCCCACGGCGAGGCCCTTTAGCGGCCGGGTCAGCAGACCTCAATCCGTGCTGTGGAACGAACGTGGATGAGTCTGAAAGGCTAGAGGGTTGCTCAGGCAGGTGCAGCAGGTCCGTGGGAATAGAGGCAGGGCTGGCCCCTGCCTGCCCGGGCCCCTCTCCCGCTCTGCGGCAGGCATTCCCTTCCTCCTCTGCCCCCTCCCAGCTCCTCACAGGGAGCCAGTAGCAGTGACTGCGTGGCACGTAGAGAAGGGACGCACTCCTGGGTTTGGTGGCAGAAACAGCAAAACCTGACCAGCCAGAGCTGGGATTCACCTGCAGACACCCCACGCTCTGCTCTCAGCAGCTGCTGGGTGCACACCTGGCCAGCCTCGGGGTGGGTGGGGCACTTTTGACCGCAGTTTCTGGCGCAGGTCCTCACGCCTCACCCTTCCCACAGGTGTTCCGGAGCGGAGAGGGCATGGGCATCCGCCTGGATAATGCTTCCGCCTTCCAAGGAGCCGTCATCTCGCCCCACTACGACTCCCTGCTGGTCAAAGTCATTGCCCACGGCAAAGACCACCCCACGGCCGCCACCAAGATGAGCAGGGCCCTTGCGGAGTTCCGCGTCCGAGGTGTGAAGGTGAGAGGCTGCAGCCCCCGCCTGCCTTTGCTCCCGGCCCTTGGAGGGCCCCCTGACCGTTCACTTCCCCACCAAGGGCCTTGCACATGGCTTCACCTCAGCCTTGCCCCTGACTGATGGGTCGAGGTCAGTGGCTCTCCTTGGCTGCAGCTGCACGCCAGACTCCAGCTGTTTTCAGAGTCTGCAGGCGCCTGGGCAACCCGCTGCCAGAGTCCCTGGCAGTGGCCTGGCCGGAGCTCGTCCTCACATGCCTCCTGTCTAGTCTTGTTCCGGGGAGACCCACGCTGTGTCCCGCCCCTCTGGGGTGAGAATCACCTGGAATGTGTGTTAAATATCATCAGGCTTCCCTTCTGGAAATCCTGATCCCACAGGTTTGGGTAGAGGCGCCAGAACCTGTGTTTTGAACAAGTTCTCCAGATAATTCTTTTTTATTTTTGAAGTGGAATCTTGCTGTCGCCCAGGCTGGAGTGCAGTGGCGCGATCTCGGCTCACTGCAAGCTCTGCCTCCTGGGTTCAAGCGATTCTCCTGCCTCAGCCTCCCGAGTAGCTGGGACTACAGGTGCCCCCCACCACGCCCGGCTAATTTTTGTATTTTTAGTAGACGGGGTTTTATCACATTGGCCAGGCTGGTCTCAAACTCCTGACCTCAGGTGTTCCACCCGCCTTGACCTCCCAAAATGCTGAGATTACAGGTGTGAGCCACCGTGCCTGGCCTCCCAGATAATTCTTAATTTCTGGAAAATGTGGATCCCCCCCCACCAGGCAAGAGCCCAAGTCATGTAGATGCGGTCACTTTGCACAGTGTCAGGCCCCCGCCAGCCCCCTGCTCTCCTCACCTGGCCTGGTGCACACAGTGTCAGGTGCTTCAGGAGCAGCCGAGGGTGGGGGCGCAGCAGAGACATGAGCAGGAGGCTTGGGAGGCAACCTGCCCTTGGTGGGCTGGCAGCTCGGCTTGTCTTTGGGTGGCCTTGGTGGGTGCCCTGCCTGGCATGAGGACTCTAAATGGGTATTTAGGATCTAAAGAGCCCTTTGCTGGGCTCTGTTACTGGCGTCTGTAGCTAGAGAGGAATCCACAGCCAGGAAATGCCGCCTCGGCCTTTGAAGCCAGCACGTGTCCCGTGGGAGCCACCCTCAGAATGGCAAGAAGAGCCGGAGGACAGGGGCTTTGGCCCTCAGCCCCTGTGGGAGTTACCACCCCATCTTCTTCTTGGGGGTCCCCACAGGGCGGGCTGTGCTGGGCACTGGCACCGGCCCCTCTGCCTTGGCCTCGTGTCCTCCTTGCAGCTTCTTCCAGCCCTGCCTGTCATCGAGGCGCAGTTGCTTGGGGGATGGGGGGGCATGTGGGCCGTGCTGTCCCCTCAGGGTCCTGCAATCACTTCTCACATGTCCACATGGCTGCTTGGTCGCAAGAGCCCCTGGAGGCTTCTGGGCCTATGCCTGTGTGTGTGGCCAGCCTGTCTCCCACCTTAAGAGGGAACAGCGCACTTCCTAGAGGCCAGGGGGTGTTACTCTTCCGTGGGGAGCCTCTCAGCCTCCCTGTTGGGGGTCCCTGTCGTGCACATAGGCAGAGGTGTGTCGCGACATCAGCTGTCGACATCACGCGCTCCCCCTGCACCTTGCTGCGGCTCCTGGTGTCCTGGCGGGGATGTCCTGCGGCTGCTTCGGTGTTGAGGGGATGCGTGGCCATGCACAGGGGTGACCCAGGCCATCCCCCTCGCCTGCCCCTGCCCGTTGCTCTGTGGTCCTGGCTGGCTCCTGGGGTTGTGCCCGGTTCCTCTGCTCCCTCCTCACCCTCAGCAGCTCCCCACGTGCCAAGCTGGTCCCTGGGCCCTAGAACCTTGCGCCTGCTAGGGGTGCAGCTAGAGGTGGGCTTCTGCACCCTGGAGGGCCCGGAAAGATCTTCCTCTTTAGACCGTCCCCCGCCCCCCAGGTGGAGAAAGGGGCACTAGAGACCGTGACCACGGGGCCAGCAGCAGGATAAGTGTCTCTGGTGTCTGGGGGTGCCAAGTCCTCCCCAAATGTGCACCAAGACCAGGCCGCTGGCTCTAGCCGCCTCCTGAGCCTCATGCTAGCGCCCAGCGTGGCAGCCCTGGCCCTCCTGTCCCTTTGCCGTCTGTGCCCACCCACCCTGTCCCGCGCCCCCGCCCACTCCTCCATGGCGTTCGCTCCCCACACCCTTCTCTGTCGAGGACCTTGCTCCCATTCATCTAAACCAGGCTCTCGAAGCCCACCTCTAGCTGCATGTTCTGGGGCTGGGAGGGCAGGCACACGCGTGTGAGCCAGGTCCATGCACACGTGAACACACGTATGCCTTAGAGCACCTGCCTCACCTCGGCTGCCCGGTGGCAGCGCCTTGGCCCTCACACAGAAAACACCAGGGAGTCTGTGCAGCGTGTTTGCCGTGGCCTGGGGTGCCAGGGCCGCCTTCTGAGTTTTCATACAGCACCTGGGGGAGCTTGACCCTCTGCAGGGCTGAGGGCCACGTCTGCCCATGCCCCCCAGCCAGTGCCTAGAAGCAGATAGTTCAGGAGGCTGCAGGGGCTGGGCCAGGTCGGAGGCTGCCCGGGCCTGGCCAGGGGTCCTAGCAGAGAAAGCAGGGCTCGTGCCCATCCGGCTGCCTCCCTGCAGCGAGGGAGGGCGAAGGCCGCCTTCCCAGGAAGGCCCAGAGCACATCTGAGCTGGCAGCTGCGGTCCTGCTCGGACCCACAGTTCTGACAGGAACCTTCCAGAGGATCACGGGCTGATGGCAGAGCAGTGGGGTTCCCTGCCCTTCCAGTCCCTTTGGGATGGCGTTTTACCAGTCCACAAGATGCCCTGGGAGGTGGCAGACACAGCTGTCAGCACCTGGAGCCATGAGGACTTTTCACTGTACGCTCAGCCCAGGTCCGTTCTCCCAGAGGGCTGTACCGTCCCCCACCTCCTCCTGTTGCTTAGTCCAGTCCTGTGTCCGCCCCGCAGACCCTGAAGTGCCATGGGGAAGGCGCTCACACGTGCTCCCCAGGCTTTACACTGGATACGGCGTCCTGTCGCCACCTGGCAGGAAGGGGCGTTCTTTGCACTTACAGGCGAGGGTAGGCCGCCTGCCCAAGCCCATGCTCTTGCAGGTCAGAAGACACCAGGCACAGCCCTTGGCCGCAGCCCTGGGCCGCCCCTGTGGACAGGAAGCCAGGAGGCCCCAGGCTGCTGTGACTGCCCCCACCGGCCCTGGTAGCCCCACCCTTGTCCGTGTGCCACCAGCGGCCCGTGTCCTGTCCTCCCGTCTCGGGGGACCTAGCCAGACAACACCAGAGACTAGCACTGAGGTGTCCCCAACAATTTTATTATAAATAAAAACAAGACTCCCAGTGGGTGGCTGCAGCCCCTGCCTCGGTGGCTGTGAGCACCTGTTGGAGGGGCCTGCCCTTACCCTGGTCTGGAGGCCAGAACCGAGGAAAGGGCTCCCTGCCCCTCCAAGTACACAGGGGAGCCTGAGGTACTGAGAATAAAAACCAGGGAGGGACTCCCAGGCCAGGCGGCGGCCCCGGGCCCTCTGCCCCACGAGGCTCATCCCTTGGAGCACACAGGAAGCTGCCCGTCCATCACACCACACTCTCTTCCAGCCGCTCGGCGCTGCCTCCTACCCCCCGGCACCCTGCCCCGAGCAGCCCCCCATGCACAGAGTGGCTCCGTCGGGCCCAAGCTCCTCCCAGGCGCCTGGCATAACCGTAGCACCCGGCATCTCCCAGGTCCAGAGAGCAGCTGCGCTGCGGCCGGGGCGGGGGGCTCCGCGGCGGGTGGGCCTTGGGTGTGGGGCTGGGGCCTCCATTGGTCTGGGACTGGACGTGGCTGAGCTTGAGGGGGAGGCGGCCATTTCCGGCCCCCCGGCCCCGAACCAGCAAGGCCACAGTGAAGACCAGTAAGGCAGCCACCAGCACACCCCCCACGGCCACGGTCAGGGTCCCGCCCAGCACGTGGGCCTGCAGGGCGTGGCACAGGGGCGAGGCCGGCAGCGTGGAGAAATGGGCACAGCCCAGCAGCCTGGTGGCCGTGAGGTCAGAGGGCCCAGCGGCCGGTGACAAGGCCAGCAGGCAGAGGTCATAGTCAGCGCCGGGGACGAGGTGCTTCAGCAGGAAGTGGTGGCTGGAGGCTGGGACAATCCTGCAGGCAAGGGCAGGTGGTCAGAGCCCGGGGCTGGGGTCTAGCCCCATCCTCACCTCCCCACTCCCGTGCTCCCAGCTCCAAACACCCCTCCCCCTGGGGCCACTCGGGCTCTTGGGTTCACTCAGGAAGGTGAACAGGCTGGAGAGTGTGGCCAGGAGATGGGTGTGTGCACTGGCACAGGACGCAGGCAAGCGAGGGGAATGGGGTGGGGGGATGGCACCAGCAGAGGCAGAAATAACACGCGGGCGCGGGCCATGTGCTTCAGACAGACCCAACCGCCACCTGCTGCCGGGGAGGCCTGCACAGCTCAGTGACACCTGGGACATCTCGGGGTGGGGTCCTTCTGCCGCCCCTTGAGCTCCAGCCCCCTCAGGCAGCCAGGCCAGGCCAGGCCACTGCTCCTCCAAGAGTCCAGCAGCCATGGTCGGGGAGGGGGTGTCAGCCCCAGAGAGAGGAGGGGTGGAAGCAAAGCCTTGTGGGGAGCAGAGGGCGGAGGAAGGGCGCCGGGAGTGCAGCCGGGTGTGGGGCACGCATCCTCACCGGTAGATGAGGGTCTCATCTTCGCTGCTGTTGTACTGGATTTGGAACATCCACACTGGGTCGGCTGGCCGCCCGGGACCCCAGCTCACCAGCCCTGAGGTGGCGGTCACCTCCGTCACCTGCACGGCTGGCTCAGACTCCAGCGTCCCCTCACCCTCGGCAGCAGTGCGAGCGGAGGCGGCGATGTCCGAGGGCCCGGGGCGGCCCCCCTCGGCACTGCTGTTCCCACCATGGGGCAAGGCCAGCACCCGCAGTTCTACTCGGGCTGTGGCCTCACCAGCAGGGTTGGTGGCGATGCAGGTGTAGCCCCCAGCGTCCCCAGCGCCGGTCACCCCAATCTCTAAGGTCCCGTTGGGGAAAGCCCGGGCTCGGGAGGAGTTGCCAACCAACCGGTCGTCAGGACCGACCCAGTGCATGGTAGGCGCGGGGTCACCCAGGGCCCGGCACCGCAGCGTGGCCCGCTGGCCTTCCAGCACCCAGAGGCGCTGCGTGTGGCGGGCAATGAGGGGCGGCTCACAGGAGAACTCGCCCTCGGGCACTGCCCAGAAGTAGCGGCCGGCCAGGCCGGGCGGGGAGGCGCACGTTTCCAGGTCGTCCGGCCGCGCCAGCCGCCGCAGCCACAGCAGCTCACAGTTGCAGTGCAGGGGGTTCCCGCTAAAGCTCAGCACCAGGGGGGCGGGAGAGGCCTCTGCATCACGCCCACGAGAGAAAAGCGGGTCCGGAGCCAGCGTGGCCAGGCGGTTGGAGGTGAGGTCCAGGCGGGAGAGCTGACCGAGCTGGGCGAAGGCGCCTGGGGGCAGTGCGTCAATAAGGTTATGGTCCAGGTTGAGGGTGTGCAGGGCAGGCATGGCGCCGATGCCGGCCCAGGGCACCTGCCGGAGGTTGTTGTAGGACAGGTCCAGGTCCTCCAGGCTCTCTAGGAAGTCGTCGAAGGCTCCCGGCGCGATGCGGCCCAGCTGGTTGCCGCTGAGGATGAGGTGCTGCAGATTGACGGGGCCCCGGAGGCTCCCGGTGCCCAGCTCCACCAGCCTGTTGCCGTCAAGGTGGAGGGAACGCAGGCTCTCGAGGTCCCCAAAGGCGCGGGCCCCAATGCGGGTGATGGCATTGCGAGACAGTGTCAGGTCCACCAGTCCCGTCATGTTGCGGAAGTCAGGGGGCCCCAGGGCCTGGATGAAGTTGTCAGCCAGCCGCAGCTCCACTGTGCGCCGGTCCACGTTGGGCGGCACAAACAGCAGGCCTCGGTGGGCACAGAGGGTGCTGAGCGACTCGGACAGGTTCTGGCAGACGCAGGGCAGCGGGCAGGCGGCCGCTCCACTGGCCAGCAGCAGCAGCAGGAGCGGCGGGGCCATGGTGAGCGCCCTGTAGGAAGGGGCCACAGCCCAGGCACAGGTGGGGCTGGCGCAGGTGCCCACTTGGGCCCAGGACAGTCCCAGAAGCCAGCTTCTGTGAGCCTGGCCCGGGGAGGGGCTGGGTCAGAGGCCCAAGAGGGCCGCCAGAGATGAGGGAAGGTTGGGGCCTGCAGGGCCAGGCCCCCCAGAGCAAAGGTCACATTTCCCAAGCAGTTAAGGGGGAGTCCAGGCGCTGGGGACAAGGTGAGGCATGAGGCAGGAAGCGGAGGAGGACCGAGAGCAGGGAGGGTCCCGGAACTTCCTTTCCCAGGCGTCCCCAGGAATCGCCAGCCGCCTCCCCACTCCCCGCCATACCCTCCCCCGCCAGAGAAGGCGCCCCCCGAACCTCCCGTGGAGTCCGTGGCCCCTCCCTGGCCGGCCCCCGCGCTGCGCCCGGCGGCCCCCTCACCTGGTGTCCGTCGCTCAGGGGGCGCGGGCCGGCCTCCCTGCGAGCCCGGCCGGCCCCCGCCGACTCCTGGCCGCTCTCCCGCGGGGACGAGGCCCGGGGATGACCGGCCGCCCGCCGCCCACCCTCGGGCCCATGGCGCTCGGGCCCGCGGCCCCGGCTCGCTCGGTTCCCGGCACCTTTTCCCGGCGCGGTTAGCGGTGGCGGCGGCGACAGGCGAGCGGGTGCGCGCCGGCGGGCGCGCGCGCCGCGGACACGCACGTGGAGGGCGGACGGGGAGGGGCGCGCGGGGATCCACCCGGGCCCGGGCCGGCTCCTGAGGTCACGGGGACACGCGGCCGCTGCAGCGCCCACGGGTGGCGCCCAGTCACGCCCGAGGCCCGGGCCGGCGCGGGCCCTCCGCGCTGTCCCCCGGCGCTGCCGCAGCGCACTCACCCTGGCACAGGCGCGCGCGCCCCCGGCCATCCTGGCGCCCCGGCATCCTGCACCGCACGGGCGCCCGCCGCCGCGGCGCGAACCTCACTCTGCAGACAGCCAGACAAAGCGCCTGCTCGCGGGCCCCTTCACCATCTCCCGGAGACGGGCGTCTTTGTCACATGTCGCTGGGCACCCTCCCCAACACACCCACACATGCCCACACACCCACACGTCCCTGCACCCACGGGCAGGGCCGAGCGCAAACCCGCACTGTTGCTGGGACCCTTGCGTTCACAGACACACGCTGAAGGTCATAACCGTTCTGCATCACCGAGTCACGTGGAGGGTCCCCAACCGGCACGGGGTTCGGCCGTGGGGGGGGCTGGGGCGGCGCCCCTGGCAGGGCTGCTGCGGGGTGGGGCCGAGAGGGCTTGGCCTCCGGGCAGGCGCCCCGCCCCCGCCGCCCCGCCCTGTCCCCAGCTGCCTCTCGCCTCTCCCTCCCTCCCCAGCTGCCCCGCCCGCCCCGCGGGCCAGGCGTTCCGGAGCCAACCGGCCTCCGCCTCGGGCCGGATTGGTCTGCGCGGCGCGGCTTCCCAACCGCCGGGGGCACGCATTGGGAAGCTGTGCGTCCTCGCAGCGCCTGCGGCCCCTCCCTCCCGCTCTGTCGCCGCCGGGCCATTTCCCTGGAAGAGCGGCTCGGAACCAGCTCCTCTCAGAGAAAGGGCTCCCGGCGTGAGGTGGGGGAGGTTCTTTGCTTCCTGGTTGAGAAAGCTGGGGCTTCGGTGGCTCGGCGAGCCTGGTTTCCTTCCAGCTGTGCCCGCCACCACCAGTGGTCTGCCCAGTTGGGAAACAGGAAGTCACCACCTCCCCGTGTCTCCTGGTCCTTAAGCCACCTAAACCTCAGCCATCCTCGTTCTCCCTCCAGCCCTGATCCCCATGGGCCAGGTGGCAGGAAACTCGGGGAAACCCAAGATTGGAATTCTGATCCTGTCAGCACAGCAGTGTAGTCCTGGGCACGTTACCTGACCACTGAAAACAAGTTCCTCCTGTAGGCCAGGAGAGTTGGATGGTACATACATAAGCATTTCCTAGGGGCGAGAGGGGAGGACAGCTGCAGCTTGTGAGGGGCTTACAGGCAGCCAGAAGCCATTCTGTCACCACTCACTGGGCCTCAGCTGTGGCGTTTGTAAAATGAGGGGGATTCAGTCCTGGTGCAGGTCAACTCTGATGTGCAGTGGCACCAGCTATGTCTTTGTTCCTCTTCTCCCCATCAAAAATGTTTTCCACCGGGTGCAGTGGTTCATGCCTGTAATCCCAGCAGTTTGGGAGGCCGAGGCGGGTGGATCACTTGAGGCCAGGAGTTCCAGACCAGCCTGGCAAACATGGCGAAACCCCATCTCTATTAAAAATACAAAAATTAGCCGGGCGTGGTACCGCATGTCTGTTGGGATGAGGCACGAGAATCGCATTAACCAGGGAGCCACAGGTTGCAGTGAGCTGAGATTGTGCCACTGAATTCCAGCCTGGGCGACACACTTTGTCTCAAAAAAAAAGTTTTCATTCACTCTAAATATAGATGTTTACCAGCATCCACCATGGCCACCCAGTGCTGGGAGCCGGGTTCATCAGGAACCAGATGGGCCTGGTTCCTGCCCCCATAGAGCTTACAGTATGGAGGAGAGGATGGGCAACCCGACAGTCACAAAGGGGAGACTCAGTGGGGACCCTCCACATGACTCGGTGATGCAGAACGGTTATGACCTTCAGCGTGTGTCTGTGAACACAAGGGTCCCAGCAACAGTGTGGGTCTGCGCTCAGCCCTGCCCGTGCAGGTTCCTCAGCGGCCTGCTGGAAAGGTGAGCATCAGCTCTGCCGAGGGTGTGAGGACAGGGCGAAGGCCTCCAAGGGTCCTTCTCACTCTGCGCGCTCGGGGCTCTTTGGATGGTTTCATTAGCTGCCTCCCTTCTCCAGTGCCATGCCTTGGCCCAGCTGAAATGTCAGCATCTCTTCAGGAGAGGCAGGGGCGAGGCTCAGGGGCAGACAGGCACAGCACTGCTGGCGGGGTCCCACTCTGTGGTGAGCACCTGACAGGCTGGTGGGGGAGGCACCCTTCCTGTCCAGGCCTCCAGGTAATAGGAGCCTAAGAGACGGAGAGCTCAGAGGAGTCTGGGTGGCCTTGAGTCCCTGTTGAAGGTGCCGACAGGGATCATGAATAAGTGACGCGTGGAGGTGTTTTCTTCGCGGTGGAAGCCAGGGCTGTCGCTACACAGCCACAGGCCATGCTTTCACAGGTCTTGGAGCACCTGTCACAGTGCTGGCTCGCATGTCCCCGTTTAAGTCATACTCACCCTGGCCCAGCCTCATGTTGTCACCCAGGCATTTAATGAGTGGAACCGAGGGCCCCTGTGCACAAAGTGCACTGACACATGCCTCAGGCAGCACCCTGCCCCCAAGGGTTCCCAGGCAGACAAGCAGAGGATGAAGCCGATGGGTGTGCTTGCCCACAGCGGGTTCCTCAGGGGACTGCTGGAAAGGTGAGTGTCAGCTCTGCCGAGGGTGTGAGGACAGGGCGAAGGCCCTTGAGAAGTTCAGGGAGAGCTTCCCAGGCAGGTGCAAAGGTGTGGAGCGCAAGGCAAGTTTGATGTGGCTGGAGGTGGCCACAATGAGGAAGGCGGTGGAGGGTGTGGCCTGGAGATGGAGAAGAGGTCACAAGGTCCCAAAATGGCCGTGGTCGAATCCTCTGGCTTGACCAGTGGCATGGGAGGAGTGGGTGATGAGGGTGATGGGATGCAGGTTTTGGTAACTGGGGGGACAGTGGGGCACCCACTGGGCACAGGAGGACTGGGTGCATAGGCAGGAAGCTGGCCGTGGACTTGCTGAACTTATGCGAGGGGTGAACAAGGAAAGGCCCGGGAGGCAGTTGCACCTCTGGGTCTTGCCCTGGAGGCAGAGCCTGTCACTGGCGCCACAGCCCCGGGACGGGGCCTCCTGGGGAGCATGTGGTGTGTGAGGAGCTGGGGAGGAAGAGGACAGGAGAGCAAGATGGCTTGGAAGCCCAGGGAACGAGCAGCAAGGCGGGAGCATGCCCGCTGGACTCAGCTGGGAGGAGTGACTTAGAGTGCCAGAGTGTGGTCTGTTGCGGTCAAGGCCCTCTTTCGAGAAGCGTGGACGAGGGGCAAGGGTGACTGCTGTGGGCCACGCTGCTGGAGAAAAAGGCTGAGCCCTGTTCTAGGCTGCGGGGAGGCAGGAAGGGTGGCCTTCAGCACATGCTTTGGTGTAAACAAGTATGGAGGGAGCAGGCCCAGCCCGTGACAGCTTAGGGGGCTCTGCTGGAGTGAGGAGAGGGCTGAGGGACGGGGAAGTGCCCCTCTGCAGGGAGGCCCAGAAGCTGTGCTGGCCCAGGGCAGCATCTTCAGCCTTTTCTCTTTCAGCCTTTTCTCCTCTGCCTTCCCTGTCTGTGCTGCATGGTGACCCCCTCCCACCCGCCTCTGTCCTGCAGACCAACATCGCCTTCCTGCAGAATGTGCTCAACAACCAGCAGTTCCTGGCAGGCACTGTGGACACCCAGTTCATCGACGAGAACCCAGAGCTGTTCCAGCTGCGGCCTGCACAGAACCGGGCCCAAAAGCTGTTGCACTACCTCGGTCTGGCCCGAGACTGCCCTGCCCTGCCCTCCCCTCCCCTCCGCTCTCCAATCTCTTGCTCCTACCTCCTTGCCACTCCCCATGACCAAAGAACTCCTTAGTGCCCCCTGCCCCTCACCCCTGCCCTCATTCTGGCCCTGCGTCCTCTTGTCCTGCACCCTGCCATTCACTGCTCTCCTTGCTTCTGATCTGAGAGACCCCACCTTTCCATCCACGTGGTCCTCAAGACGTCCCCACTGCCTGTACCCAGGAGGCCCTGGCTTTGGAGAGGACAGGGGCCAGCTGGAAGCCCGGGGATCCTGGAGGGATGTGTCCCTGTCCCTGAGCCCAGCCACTCTCACTGCTGCCCTCGACTCAGCCTCTGCCCAGCCCACCCTGACCCACTGCCCGCTTTCTCCCCAGGCCATGTCATGGTAAACGGTCCAACCACCCCGATTCCCGTCAAGGCCAGCCCCAGCCCCACGGACCCCGTTGTCCCTGCAGTGCCCATAGGTAGGTGAGATCCATTCTGTCAACTCATGGGGGAGACAGGAGGTTGCCACCTGCAGGATGGGCACCAATGCCCCTGTCTACCCTAGGCCCGCCCCCGGCTGGTTTCAGAGACATCCTGCTGCGAGAGGGGCCTGAGGGCTTTGCTCGAGCTGTGCGGAACCACCCGGGGCTGCTGCTGATGGACACGACCTTCAGGGACGCCCACCAGTCACTGCTGGCCACTCGTGTGCGCACCCACGATCTCAAAAAGATCGCCCCCTATGTTGCCCACAACTTCAGCAAGCTCTTCAGCATGGAGAACTGGGGAGGTAGGCTGGCATGCTGCGCAGCGCCTGGTAGGAATGGGCGCCCGCTCTGTGGCCAGTCCCACAGGCTTAGGCCACTGGGGACAAGCTAGAGACGCTGACACGAAGAACACCAAAGAGGAAGGACCGAAGAAGGCACAGCGCCCTCTCCGGCCAGGCCTGGTGCCGGCACGAGGTTGCAGAGCTGAGACCAGGTGCATCCTGGGAGGTCCAGGGTCAGGAGGAGACACCTGCCTGTTAATTATAGCACAGAGAGGTAGAGGAGAAGATGGGATTATAAAGGGGGCATAGAAGGGACACAAATGAGCCTGGTCTCCCCCTTAGAGATCAGACAAGGGAAAAATCTGTGGGGGTTGGAGCAGGGAACACAGGTATGGCGAAGATGAGCAGGACCTGGTATTGGGGCCAGAGGCTTGTGCTGCAGAGCTAGCTCCAAGGCCTGGTGGAGTTCCCCAGGCATGCAGAGCTGATCTGGGCCTCTCGGTTCCTGTGCAGGAGCCACGTTTGACGTCGCCATGCGCTTCCTGTATGAGTGCCCCTGGCGGCGGCTGCAGGAGCTCCGGGAGCTCATCCCCAACATCCCTTTCCAGATGCTGCTGCGGGGGGCCAATGCTGTGGGCTACACCAACTACCCAGACAACGTGGTCTTCAAGTGAGCCTGGGGTGGGGTGGGCAGACGCTACCTGGTGTGGCCCAGAGGGTACCGAGCCATGTCGTGATGGCCTCTGTTCTCCACGGTCAGCCTGACACCAAGTCTCTCTGTGGCCACACGCAGCAGGGGCTGCTGTTTGGAAATATCGAGAAGTGTAAAATTGGAGTTGCAGAACCAGACAGGCTTCTAAATCACTCCCTCACTCCTGGGGCAGTGGAAGGTCTGAGACTTGCCTGGGTCACTCGGTGCAGGGCTGGGATTGGAACCCAGGCCTCAAGACTCCTTGCTCAGTACCCTCTTCCACAGCCTGCCACTGGCCTAGCTGATCCTCCAGGGCCTGGTCCACACTTGTGTGGCCACCCCCCGCCTGTGGATGCCACACCCCCTGCCAGGCGAGACCCTCAGATCTCATTCCCCAGGGGCCATAGAGTGGGTCAGGAAGGAGCCAGGGAAGACTGTTCAGAGGGAGGTGGGGTGGGGCTCAGCCCTGGGCTCTCTCACCCTTGCAGGTTCTGTGAAGTGGCCAAAGAGAATGGCATGGATGTCTTCCGTGTGTTTGACTCCCTCAACTACTTGCCCAACATGCTGCTGGGCATGGAGGCGGCAGGAAGTGCCGGAGGCGTGGTGGAGGCTGCCATCTCATACACGGGCGACGTGGCCGACCCCAGCCGCACCAAGTACTCACTGCAGTACTACATGGGCTTGGCCGAAGAGCTGGTGCGAGCTGGCACCCACATCCTGTGCATCAAGGTGCCTGGGCCACTTGTCCGTCCCTCCCTCTCTGCCCCGGCCATGTCCCCGCCACCCACAGGCACACATCCTGCCCTCTCTACCATCTCTCTCTCTCTCTCTCCCACTTCCCCCAGGACATGGCCGGGCTGCTGAAGCCCACGGCCTGCACCATGCTGGTCAGCTCCCTCCGGGACCGCTTCCCCGACCTCCCACTGCACATCCACACCCACGACACGTCAGGGGCAGGCGTGGCAGCCATGCTGGCCTGTGCCCAGGCTGGAGCTGATGTGGTGGATGTGGCAGCTGATTCCATGTCTGGGATGACTTCACAGCCCAGCATGGGGGCCCTGGTGGCCTGTACCAGAGGGACTCCCCTGGACACAGGTAGGAAGAACAGCAGCCCGTGGCCACACCCCTCTCAAAGCCGCAGCCACCACCAGTCCCAGTAGTGTTGGACCTGCCTAGGATCCAGATGCCCTGCTCTGGCCTTGCCGCCTTCTGTCACCTGAGTCAGACATGGGACCTGAGCTAGCCCTGGGTCCTGGAAGAGTCACACATTTCTAAGGCCTCCTCTGACTCTGGCCTCCCTGCAGAGGTGCCCATGGAGCGCGTGTTTGACTACAGTGAGTACTGGGAGGGGGCTCGGGGACTGTACGCGGCCTTCGACTGCACGGCCACCATGAAGTCTGGCAACTCGGACGTGTATGAAAATGAGATCCCAGGGGGCCAGTACACCAACCTGCACTTCCAGGCCCACAGCATGGGGCTTGGCTCCAAGTTCAAGGAGGTCAAGAAGGCCTATGTGGAGGCCAACCAGATGCTGGGCGATCTCATCAAGGTGAGCCCGGCCCGGTGCTCCTTACCTGACCCAGCCCTGCATGCACCTGCCACTGGCCTCCTTGAGGTGCCTGGCACCCTAACCTCCAGGGCCTTCTCCTCAGGTGACGCCCTCCTCCAAGATCGTGGGGGACCTGGCCCAGTTTATGGTGCAGAATGGATTGAGCCGGGCAGAGGCCGAAGCTCAGGCGGAAGAGCTGTCCTTTCCCCGCTCCGTGGTGGAGTTCCTGCAGGGCTACATCGGTGTCCCCCATGGGGGGTTCCCCGAACCCTTTCGCTCTAAGGTAGGGAAGGCCCAGCATGGTGTGAGGGTGGGGGCTGGATGCAGGACTTGGGACTGATCCTCTGCTTTGCTCCCCAGGTACTGAAGGACCTGCCAAGGGTGGAGGGGCGGCCTGGAGCCTCCCTCCCTCCCCTGGATCTGCAGGCACTGGAGAAGGAGCTGGTAGACCGGCATGGGGAGGAGGTGACGCCGGAAGATGTGCTCTCAGCAGCTATGTACCCCGATGTGTTTGCCCACTTCAAGGACTTCACTGCCACCTTTGGCCCCCTGGATAGCCTGAATACTCGCCTCTTCCTGCAGGGACCCAAGATCGCAGAGGAGTTTGAGGTCAGTGGCTCTGGCGCTTCTCCACACTCCACCCTGGCCCCCTGCCCCAGAGCTCTGGAGTTTAGCTTGGCTGTCACCCAGCCTCGCAAGCTTTGGGAGCAGAAAGGACCCTTGAGACCGGGAGCTAGGCCTTTAGGAACGAGGAGCCAAGGCCCAGTGTGGGGACTTCCTATGGCCAGGGCCGGGGGACTGCTCTCCCACCTTGGCGTCCAGCTCTGAGTCTGCACACCCTCCCTGCAGGTGGAGCTGGAGCGGGGCAAGACGCTGCACATCAAAGCCCTGGCCGTGAGCGACCTGAACCGGGCCGGCCAGAGGCAGGTCTTCTTTGAGCTCAATGGGCAGCTGCGGTCCATCTTGGTCAAGGACACCCAGGCCATGAAGGTATTGTCTCCCCCAGGGCCAGCCAGGCGGTGGGGCTTGGCTGGGCCCAGGATGTCATGTCCCCTCTGCCCTGTGTCTTCAGGAGATGCACTTCCACCCCAAGGCCCTAAAGGACGTGAAGGGCCAGATCGGGGCGCCCATGCCTGGGAAGGTGATAGACATCAAAGTGGTGGCAGGGGCCAAGGTGGCCAAGGGCCAGCCCCTGTGTGTGCTCAGTGCCATGAAGATGGAGACTGTGGTGACCTCACCCATGGAGGGTACTGTCCGCAAGGTTCATGTGACCAAGGACATGACACTGGAAGGTGACGACCTCATCCTGGAGATCGAGTGATCTTGCCCCAGACCGGCAGCCTGGCCATCCCCAAGCCTTCAACAGAAGCTGTGCTGCCACGGCAGGCCCAGGCCAGCCAGTGCCCGAGGCCAGGAAGGCCGGGCCGTGGAGGTCCTGTCCACAGCTGGACAGGAGAGACACCGCCTGCGGTGGTTCATTCCTTTCAGCCATCGTCCTTTCCTCCGGCGGACAGCTGCTTACATGTTCATCTCTTGCCAAATAAGGGTCCCCTCCTCACTGGAGACTACAAGTGGTGGGTCAGGTGGTCCTAGGACCCAGGGGAGGTTTAGGGGTCCTATCTCCTGGGGGAAGGGGAGATCTAAGATGTCCCAGGTCCTGGGAAGTTTACTCAATAAAGCTGGCTTTCCCCTGCCCTCCATGCTGGATCCTGTGCAGCCCCCAGCCTGCACCACTCAGCAGTGGGGGGCTGCCTTTCAAGCTCCCCATGGGTGGGCAGGTCAGTTGTGTCGTTCTCCTCAGAGGGTAGTGAGAATGACCATCGTGGCCCTGTTTTAAGTCACTATTGGGTGCCTACTGTGTATACTCCCCAAACAGGACTAGTAGTACTGAACTTGCTTGAGGGGTGGGGCCTGTTCTAAGTATTTAACACCTATTAACACAGGGAATTAACCTTCATCCTCTTATGGACACAGAAATCAAGTCACAGGAAGATTAAATAATTTGTCCAGGACTTCACAAGTAGTAAGAGAGAGAGATGAAACCCAGGCCGTTGGCAGACTCGCCTCCCAACCCCGCTGCTTTATTTTCTAAAACCCAAGGCCAGCGTCCCACCTCAGTTAGCAGGTAAATGCAAGCAGGTACCACCTTGTGGGCAGTGGGTAAGACCCTCGGGAATGGTGATCCGGGAGTCTTGTGTGTGCTCTGGATGTGAGAATGTTGGTGGGAGGTGAGGGGGAGCACCGGGTCCAGGGTCTCAGGTTCTAACCCTGCCACTCCCCATGACCACCCCTCCAGACTCCTGCTCAGTTCCCTTTCCTGCAGTGGGGACAGTAACCCTGCCTGCACCACTGCCCTCCTGCCCACCTGCCCACAGGTAGGGAGAGGATGGTGAAGGGAGCAGGAGGCTGGGCAGTTCCTGAGATGGAGGGGTGGGTGTGGGGAGGCCGATGCAGGAAATCAGCCTCTGGATGGGAAGCACCCAGCAGGCCTCTGCCCAGTGCTCCCAGAGCCAGTCCAACCTCTGGGATGGGCAACTCACAGTGGGCTTGAGCCTCTTCCTTTCTGGACCGCCATGTCCTAGATGTACCCCAGGAGGCAGATGACTGCGATGCTGCCCCTTCCATCCGGGTGGATGTCGTTGTCATGGCCAGCCTGCAGGCATCGTGGGGGAGTGACCGCACATCCTTTTTCCCTCAGTGGCCAGCCTCAGAGAAGGGACCTTGGGACAACCTCCTTGATTGGGGAATGGGACCTAAAGGGCTTTCTTCCCTCCCCCGCCCCCCCTGCCCCCCACCCCGGAGATGGAGTCTCGCTCTGTCACCCAGGCTGGAGTACAGTAGTGTGATTTTGGCTCACTGGAATCTGTGCCTCCCAGGTTCAAGTGATTGTCCTGCCTTAGCCTCCTGCCACCACGCCCCGCCTATGCCCGGCTAATTTTTTGTATTTTTAGTAGAGACGGGTTTCACCATGTTGGTCAGGCTGGTCTCGGACTCCTGACCTCAAGTAATCCAGGGCTAATACTCTTTCAGGAATCTAATTTTAAAAGAGCACAGGCAGGGAAACGAGAGCCCTTCCAAAAATGATGGAGAGCAGGCAGAACACTTGCAGGTGCCGAGAAGGACCCTGGAGTCACTGTGTTGCTTGGCAAAGTCCCTGCTGCCCTCAGGGCTGCAGCCTGTGTTCTGGGTTCCTCTGGGGCAGAGGTCAGAGGTGGAGAGAACCAGAAAAGCCTCTACTTATGGTGACTCAGGGACCTATTTCCTCTTGTGAAAAACAAGACTGGCAGACTGTGGAGGTCCTGGCAGAGGCTTCAGGCCAGTCATCTTCCCCTCAGAGGAGATACGTCGGAGGCTCCATCGCTGAGGTCAGGGCCAGGGCCATGGTTCCCACTCCCTGACCCGTCAGCCAAGGCACAGGCCCCAGGATGAGCTGGGCTCACACCTGGTACCTGCAGTCTCAGAGCCAACCACACTAGGACTTTGGGGCATGGTTCAGGAAGGAGGAAGCCACAGGCTCCCAGCAACCAGAGCTCCCAGCCCATCCTGTACTCCAGGGAACTACCCGCCTGGATGCACCGCCCAGATGTCAGTGTTCAAGGTAGCTGGGACAGGTGGTGGGCACACTCCCAAGAGCTGCCTAGAGTCTTCACACAAGATCCCAAATAGACCGATTCCCAAAGGCCCAAGGCCATGTTACCCAAGTTAAATCTCTTTAATATCCCAATACAAAGTACTGATGCAAAAAGACAATGAGAAAACCCAGGAAGTTGGGGGGTGGGGGGTGGGGAGAGGTTTTATAAATAAAAAACCCCGAGCAGCTTTTCAGAGGCAGAGGAGCTAAGAGAAGCAGCAGTCCAAAGTGAGGAAGGGAGTGTGTGGCTCCTGGGACCTGCCCCTTGTCCCCTCACTCACAGCTGCTCGTAAACACCCCTTTCAAAAGGGGCTGCACCCTTTGGATATCTGCTTCTTTCTCTTGGTCCCTGGGACGCAACTAGCTCTGGCTTCAATCCCCTACAAAAATTCCTGAGATCTCGGGGACCCCAGCCAGCCCTTCCCCTGCAGTACCCCTTGGTGGGGAGGGCTGGGGAGCCGGTGAGAGTTCATAGCGTATCCAGGAGCATAGGTCAGGAGCACAGGGGAGCCTCTGAGTCCCCTGCCCGCTCCAAAAGCACACAAAGGGGAAGGCTGCCGTAGAGCTTGGGGTCCGTGAGGGGCTGGAGCAGAAGCAGGAAGAGTCCCACACCCAGGGCATAGCCTGCCAGCAGGGGCCGCCTCTGTGGGTGCTCCAAGGCCGCGCAAACAGCTGGGAAACCCATGTAATTGCAGAAGGAATGGCAGAGAACCGGCCCAATCAGGTGTCCTGGGGAAAAGAGACAGCAGCTCAGGGAGCAGCCCTACCACCTCCTCTGGCCCTTCCAGGGCTAGTGACCCTCATCCCCTGAAACAGGAGATCAAGATCCCACTACCCCAGCCATCCACCCACACACCACGGCCTCTGCTCCTTTCCACCTCTCAGACCTCACCAGGCTGAGGGCTCTGGCTCAGCCTGTCTCAAGGACTGGAGTAGAAGAACTTTTGTTCCTAGAACAAACAGTATTCCCATTCTCCCACCCGCTCCTGTGGGCCCCCAGGGACCCATGAGGGACTGAGGACCAACCTGTGCGGATGAAGAGGAAAGCAGTGTAGGCACCGAAGACAGCTGTGTAGGAGAACTGGAACGCTGGAGACGGGGAGGCCACGAGTGACCACACCTGCACGCCCTTCCTGCCCCCACACTACATACCCATCAGCCAAAGACCGACCATCCCCTCCCCCCGGGGCAGTAGCTGCCTGCCCCACCACCTACAGCTGTCCTGCACCCCAACTTCCCACGGTCAGTGGCCTCTCCAATACTGTGGCCCTCAGTTCCCAATTCCTTCTCCAGAGTGGCCATTAGCGACATCATCATACACCCTAACCCAGGCCAGCTAGCCAGGACTCACCAGCAGACAAGAAGATGTTCCCCACGCTGCTCTGGCGGAAACGCAGCTGCTCAATAATATGGTGAAAATGGGCTGGGAAAAAGGTGACAATCACATCACAGTCATTCCTCCCAGCCTCCCTTCTAGGACTGCCCCTCACCTCAAGCCCCCTTCTGAGCTCTCATGCTGAAAACACACCAGGACTAATCTGGCCAGACTCACCAACTCCAAAAAAGAGCGGGCAGGTGAACACAGCAGGGCCCAGGCCCATGCACGGTGCTAACATGGGCAGCATACAGGCCCGGAACACCAGCTCCTCTGTCAGCGGGGCGATCACTTGGTTCCGCAGCCAACGCATGTCTGTGAGGCAGCGGGCCCAGGAGCGGGGGGCTGCAGAGGGAATTCAGGACAAGCTGTGAGTGACGGGCTGTCAGACAGTGAGACCCCAGAGGCTCCAAGGGCTCCTCTCCCACAACTTTACCCTGGCCAAACTCAGGTTAGGCATCAATACTGCTGAGGACGGGGGTGTGGACCCAACATAAACCCAATGTCTTGAGATGACCTGAATGGAAGGCATTAGCTGAGGCAAGGGCATCCTGGAAGTAAACTCTGGAGACACCAAAATTTAAGCAAGACTAGCTCTGGTTGGGGAAGCAGGGGACAGTGCTCTCTGATCCACACCAAATACTGCTGGGGGTTCCCAGGGAACTCCTTGGACGTTGGCAATCAACCCTTAGAGGCCACCTAGCTCTATGTTTCCATTTTACTGATGAGAAAACACACCCAGAGAGATGACATTTCACGTGTCCAGATCACACCCTGAGCCCGCTGACTCCCTGCCCCAATGTCCTGGACTGCCTGTGCCTACTTTTCCCTTCAGCCTTTAAGACTCACCCAGGACAACCTTCAGCCCATCTGCCAGGTCACAAGGGCAATCCATAGAGAGCTGCATCAGTGGGCCCAGGAAAAGAATCTGAGGGCAAGAAAACACTTTCACCATAACCCACCGCTTTTGCCCAGACCTTTGCCCATGCTCCCTGAGACTCCAAGCTTGAAATCCTCTCCAGCCACGATTTCCAGACCATGCATACCGGAGGACCCTGGGGCCATCTCAAAAGTCCTGTCTCCCATCAACCAAAAACCAAAAACAAGAGTCCACGGCACTGCCCATCAGGCTGATAACAAAGACCAGAAGAAAAAATACAGCAGGAGCACTCACCATGGTCAGCAACAGGGGCAGCAGCGCCGCTGGGAAAATGCCCTCCAGCCTGAAGCCCATCAGGGTGAGCAGGGATGTGCCTGGCTGAGCCACAGGAAAGGGGGCATCAGTTTTGCTTCCTCCCCTAAAGACCCCTGAGCTCTCACCGCCGTTGCCCTTTGCCCCGCCTCCTTCGCACCTGGATGCCTGTGAGTTCCCTCCAGAGCAGCACGCACAGGGGTGAGAGACTGGACACCACCAGGACGCTGGTGAAGCGTCGCTTGATGACCGCGGGATGGTCCCTACGGAGGGGACAGTAAGTTCAGGGGGCCCGCGGCTGCCCATGAGCACGGACCCGCCCCCGGCTCGCCCAAGCTCCGCCCGCAGGGCGCGGATTCCGGTCGCGCGCAGCCCCCGCACCTGGGCAGTTCGCTCTTCCAGACGTAGAGGCTGCCCACGTAGGAGCAGGCGAGGCTGAGGCAGGAGAACACTGACACCCAGCAGCACAGCCCGGGGCCCAGGCCGCCCAGCGCCGCCGACTCGGGCGGCCGCTCCGGCCGCGACACCGACAGCAGTCGCAGCCCATCCCCGCCCAGCGCCGCCATTGCGCCCTGACCCGCGGCGCGCACCAGTGACGCAGTCCCAGGGAGGTGTGGGTGACGTCAGGCCGCGGCGCGGCTCCACGCCCCGCCCCGCCCCGCCCGGGCCCGACGCGGAAGCAGACGCGGAAGAGGACTTGGTGAGCGCGCGGCAGCTTTATTAAACCACGGGATAACGGCTGCCCGCAGCCTCCGGATCGGTGGGCGCTTGCGGAAGGGGACCCGGCTCAGGGCCCAGGGCTGGGACTCAGCCACTCTGACAGGTTGGAGACCTCCTGCAGCCACAGCACGTCCTGCGGGAACAAGGGGGCCCGGGGTGAGGACCTCTCAGCAGCGGCCCGTGGCCTGCACCTCCTGCTGAGCCCTTCCCTGCGCGGCCCTCGCCCAGTTACCTCCAGGCGGCTTCCGAGGCTCGCCCTGCCCGGCGCCAGGGCCCTGCCGTGAGCCTCGCGGTGCTCCCTTCCTCTAGGAGTGAGGGGGGCCGCGGTGGCTTCCGGGCGGCGCGGGGCGGCCTCTGACGGGCTCGGGGCCCTGGCAGAGCGCAGAGCTCGCATCTCCTCTATGCGGGGGCTGCCCCTCTTGAGCCTCTTGTTTTCTGCTTGCCCGCTGGTATCTAGGAGAAAAACAAGCCTCTTCATCTTACTTTCATGGCCCTGTGCTAGGAGCACCCTTGGCCAAGGGGAAGCCTGGGAGAACGGGCGCCGAGGGGCTCTTCCCACCGCATCCCTGTCAGCAGGTCCCATCCACACCAAAACCCTGCAGCTGTGGGCGCTTCTGGAGCAGCCCGAGGCTGCAGAGACGTTTCAGGGTCTCCCTATTCTCTCACCCAGGCGGGAGATTGTCCCGAGCCCTCACTTGGGGGACTCAGGCCGCTCAGTAACTTTCTGTATAGATTCTTCCTGGAGTCTGCACTGACAAGCTCCCCTCCCTGCCAGCCTCTGTCCCCCCTCACCTTTCTGGCCTCAGTTCTGTCTCCCTTTGTTGCTCACGTTGCATTGAGCAGTGCCCATAGGCAGCTTTCCTACTCTTAACTGATTCATTTGTCAAATTAAAGCGAGTTTAGATGGATAGATTCTTCCCCAGCAGGTCTTGGGGATGCAGATCAATGAGCTTTTCCCTGAGAGAAGCTCACAGATGCTAGGAGGGGATGCAGACCTGTGTACAAAGCCCAGGGTTAGAATAGAGAAGGAAGCCGACCACCTCTGGATGTGAAGAAGGGTTTCCATGAGGAGATACCTGAGCTGACCTTTTGTTTTTTTGAGACAAGGTCTTGCTCTGTTGCCCAGGCTGGAGTGCAGTGGCTCAGTCCTGGCTCACTGCAGCCTCGACCTCCTGGGCTCAAGCGATCCTACTGCCTCAGCTTCAGCTTCCAGAGTACCAGGAACCACAGGCGCATGCCACCACACCGGCTAATTTTTTTTACTTGTAGAGACAGGGGTCTCACCGTGTTGCCCAGGCTAGTCTCAAGCTGTCCTCCCGCCCCAGCTCCCCAAAGTGACGGTATTACAGGCATAAGTCACCACTCCTGCCCCAGAGCTGGGTTTTGAAGGATGAAGAGTGATATGCCAGACAAGGGAGAGAAAGGGAATTTCTTGCTGAAAGTTAACACAAACCTTATGCAAAGGCATAAAACAACTTCCTATGTAAATTTTTACTTTTTAAAGATGAGGTCTCGCCTGTCACCTAGGCTGGAGTGCAGTGGCGTGATTGTAGCTCACTGCAGCTTTGAACTCCCGGCCTCATCCTCTCGAGTAACTGGGACTAAAGGCACACACCACCTTGCCTGGCTAGAAACAGATTTTCATCTGTAGAAGACAGGAAGCCAATAAAGAGTTTTAAGCACTGGTGAAATATATTGGTAATTTTGTACTTCAGAAAGATCGTTCTTTCAAAGGTGTGGCTTAGATCAAACTAGAGACAGGAAGACCTTAAGAGCCCAATAACAAGTAAAGACAGTGGAGATAGAGGCGTCACCAGGAATCAGAAGTGTTCATCAGGCCTAAGTGATAGGCCTTTGTGAGCGCCTGGATGTGGGAGAGGCCTCTTGGCCGGGCGCGGTGGCTCATGCCTGTAATCCCAGCACTTTGGGGGGCCGAGGCGGGCAGATCACGAGGTCAGGAGATTGAGACCAGCTTGGCCAACATGGTGAAACCCCGTCTCTACTAAAAATACAAAAATTAGCTGGGCATGGTGGTGGGCGCCTGTAATCCCAACTACTCAGAGGCTGAGGCAAGAGAATCACTTGAACTTGGGAGGCAGGGAGGTTGCAGTGAGCCGAGATCACGCCACTGCACTCCAGTCTGGGCAACAGAGGGAGACTCTGTCTCAAAAAAAAAAAAAAAAAAAAAAAATGAGAGGCCTCTTGAATGAATCCAAGATTTCAGATGTGATAAATTGGATTAATCATGAAACAGACTAAAAGTCTCTTTAGTCAGGAGAGAGGAAACTGAGGTACCAATGGGACCTCCACGAGGAGCTGCCTAGTGAGCAAATGAATCTCCCAGCTGGCACTCAGCAGAGGCCTTGGCTGGTCATACCAATTTGAGAGTCTTGAGCCCAGAGGCAGTGGTCAACAGTTGGGATGGAAGATAGCTGGGTGGGAGAGCAGGATGAGCACTATTTAGGCATGACCAGAGGAAAGTAGATGAAGAGAAAAGCCCAGGGAGGGAAAAACCAGGCGAGTCATAGCCTTACAGTGCCAAATTTTGCACATAGTTCAGATACAATGAAGGTAAATGCAAAATTTGGTAATTAAGAGGCCTTCCCTGAGGAGAGAAGTTTCAGAGGCCACAGAAAAAGCAAGTACCCTAAGTGAGGGAGAGAATGAGAGGAAGAAAGGGAGACAGGGTGCATGCAGCTTGTGGTTTTGAGATCCTTGGCTGAGATGTGAGGGAGAGAGGTTGAGGATAAGTGGAGGAAGTTCAAGGTCACGGGAGATTTTCTTCTGATGAAATGAGAGCTTGACCTGCTGAGGGAAAGGAACTCAGGGGAAGGCTGAAGGTGCAGCAGTGATAACTGATGCAAGCAGGTCCCAAGAAAGCAGAAGGGACGATCCCACTGTGAGCCTGGAGGAAATGGGTCCCCACACTGATGAGGTTCTGCAGTGGGAGGGTGCAAGTTGGGTGAGTTTACTGAGAAAAGAGATCCGTAAGTATGAAGCAGGAGGCAGAGACTGGGTAGATTTTTTAAAGAATGGAGTAGCCACTGAGGGACAAAGGCCAGAAAGGCAGGGGGAAGGACTGACAAACCAAAGGCTCCTGAGTGAGTGGACCACCAATGGATGGTGGCATCAACACACAGTTTGGTGATTTTCTTCAGCAGGGCTGCCCATGTGAGGCGTAGAATGGATGCTGAGAGCCACAGGTCTGTAGGACAGAACAGCCCAAGCCATCCTCCAGGGGTTCCACCAGATTATAAACACCTAGATTTTAAAGCTCATGTTGCACACTGGAGAAAACATGGGCTTTGGAGGCGGCAAACTGAAAGTCATTACCTCCTGCTAAGCGTTCTGCCTCACCTGAGCCTGGGTCCTCTAGTTTGTTAGGATCCATGCCTCCCCCTGCCCCCAGAAGGGCACTGTAAAGACTAAATGAGATAAGGCTGTGGAAGACCCCAGCATCTCCCCAGGGTCCACAGAAGGTACTGAATTAAATGTTAATTTTTTTCCTTGTATGGGAAGATACTTATTCCTTTGTCTCTTCTGACTGCATAAATACTGAATTGTATGTATCATATTTGCATTTTTTAAAATCTCCAGATCTAAATTTATAAAAATAGATTCTTTGCTTTGTACAAGCGTTCACAGCAGGGTTCTTTTCAGTAGCAACAGCCCCCACAACATTTAAAACATGGTTCAGTTGACAGTGATTTCAGGGACACATCTTAGGCCTAAGCATAAACGCGTATGTGTTGTGGTTGTGACCCTAGAAAGAGGGATTTACCAACCAAGCATAGGTGCTGACGTCACGATCCCCAGCTTCCCTTGACCCAGATACTGTTTTATCTGAAGGACTCAGGATCTGTAGGAGGGCATCCCTGCTAATTCGGCTCTTCCAGAGACAGCAGAGCTAGGCTGCCTGGGTTTGAATTCTTGCTCTGTCATTTACTGGCTGTGTAGCCTTGGGTAAGTTTATTGATATCTGTGGGCCTCAATTTCCTCATATGCAAAATGAGAGTTAATAACAGTACCTATAGCTCCTAGGATAGTTTTGAGAACTAAGAGCATTAGTACATTTTAAAAGCTCAGAATAGTACCTGGCATCTCTGCTAGTGACTGAATGTGAGAGCTGCTGTACCCCTGCTGCTGTGGGCTGGGAAGGCTGTTTAAGCACTGCAGGAGACATGTATGGAGAAAAGACTTCAGTATAATTGCAATCACAACCCACGCACTGACACTTTCCCATAACACACATTAAGAGTGACATGGTGCCAGGCCGGGCGCGGTGGCTCACGCCTGTAATCCCAGCACTTTGGGAGGCCAAGGCAGGCGGATCACAAGGTCAGGAGATCGAGACCATCCTGGCTAACACGGTGAAACCCCGTCTCTACTAAAAATACAAAAATTTAGCCGGGCGTGATGGCGGGCGCCTGTGGTCCCAGCTACTCGGGAGGCTGAGGCAGGAGAATGGTGTGAACCCGGGAGGCGGAGCTTGCAGTGAGCCGAGATGGCGCCACTGCACTCCAGCCTGGGCGACAGAGGTGAGACTCTGTCTCAAAAAAATAAAAATAAAATAAAATTCAGGGCCCTGAATCTGCGTATTACCTACCCCCACCCCATCATGTGCAGCTATCTGTAACTGCACAGACTTTAATACAAATTTCTAGTCCTGTCCTAACATCTTGGGGAGGGAAGACCTGCTGCTGCCTTGAAGACCCACAGTGGCAGCAACAGCCCACTAAATTGCAGAAGGACGCCGCTGTAGTAGAAGGTACAGTGGAATAGTTTGAAAGTTTGAACTCACGTTTTTTACTTCCTCTGCTGCAGTCCAGGGCTCACTTGAAAAGCTAAAACCTTACCTGCTAGGAGCTCCAGGCTGCTGTTATCAGGTGCGTCCTCAGTGCCCTGGGCTGAGTCCTTTTTTTCTAGGGTTAGCTGCTTAAAAAAATTAGAAGTCCTAAGTGAGTTTTGTAGAAACATGAACGAGCCCTAGTGAAACAGGAGTGTGCCTGGTGGCTTCACTGACCTCACAAGGTTATCTGCCCTCACCTGGAACTCCCTCTTCCTCCTGGCTCATGAATCCCCCTACCCACCCTCCAGTCTTCAAGGTTTCCCTCTGTGGATCCTTCTCCACTCTGGCCATTCACGGCACATCCTTTCTTCTCTGAGCTCCAGTCTCTTGGCTACTGCCTGCCCATTCCTCGGGCTCTGCATACTCTGCAAGTATCCTGTGTGCCCATTCATCAAGTAATGTGCAAATGTCCATTTTCTACACCCTAAATCCCTTCAAAGGCAAGGGCCATCATGCCTTTATCACTTTACAGCTAGCAGAGTGCCTTACACCAGGTAAGTTTGACTGAGAAAGTCAAACCTGGGAAGCCACAGGGTATATTCTGTAGTCATCGGTAGCCTCCTAGAGCCCTGCCACACTGGTTAGTTCAATAATTTGGACAGAGAAAAAGAGGTTCTTACTGAGACCAGAACCCAATCCTCCCAGCTCCTTTTCAAGAATACAGATGTATAAAAATAGGTATCTTCTTCCTCAAAATTAAAAATTCATAGCCAGGCGCGGTGGCTCATGCCTGTAATCCCAGCACTTTGGGAGGCCGAGGCAGGCAGATCACCTGAGGTAAGGAGTTCGAGACTAGCCTGGCCAACATGGTGAAACTCCGCCTGTACTAAAAATACAAAAATTAGCTGGCTGTGGTGGTGGGCTCCTGTAATCCCAGCTACTCAGGAGGCTGAGGCAGGAAAATTGCTTGAACCTGGGAGGTGGATGTTGCAGTGAGCTGAGATCACGCCATTGCACTCCAGTCTGGGTGATGAGTGAGACTCCATCTCAAAAAAAAAAAAAAAAAATTAAAAATTTGTGCTTCTCGGCCAGGTGCAGTGGCTCAAGCCTGTAATCCCAGCACTTTGGGAGGCCGAGGCAGGCGGATCATGACGTCAGGAGATTGAAACCATCCTGGCTAACACAGTGAAACCCCGTCTCTATTACAAATACAAAAAAATTAGCCAGGCGTGGTGGCAGGCGCCTGTAGTCCCAGCTATGCGGTAGGCTGAGGCAGAAGAATGGCGTGAACCCAGAAGGCAGAGCTTGCAGTGAGCCAAGATCACACCACTGCACTCCAGCCTGGGCGACAGAGTGAGACTCTGTCTCAAGAAAATAAAAATAAAATAAAATTTGTGCTTCCTATGAACAAAAGTGAAAAGTCAATCCACAAGAATGGGAGAAGACATTTACAAATCATACCTGCTAAGGTACTGTTACCCAAATTAAAGAACTCTTTTTAAAATTTATTTATAGGCCACGCACGGTAGCTCACGCCTATAATCCCAGCACTTTGGGAGACTGAGCCAGGCAGATAATGAGGTCAGGAGTTTGAGACCAGCCTGACCGACATGGTGAAACCCCGTCTCTACTGAAAATACAAAAATTAGCCAGGCGTGGTGGCGCACACCTGTAATCCCAGCTACTCAGGAGGCTGAGGCAGGAGAATCACTTGAACCCGGGAGGTAGAGGTTGCAGTGAGCTGAGAATGCTCCACTTCACTCCAGCCTGGGTGGCAGGGCAAGACTCCATCTCAAAAAAAAAAAAAAAAAATCATATTTTCTGTAGTGACGAGGTCTCACTATGTTGCCCAGGCTGGTCTCAAACTCCTGGGCTCAAGCGATCCTCCCACCTCCGCCTCCCAAAGTGCTGGGATTACAAGTGTGAGCCACCTTGCCTGGCCCAAGGTAAAGAACTCTCATAACTCAATAATTTAACAAACCAATTTAAAAATGGGCAAAAGAGGGCCAGGCACGGTGGCTCACGTCTGTAATCCCTACACTTTGGGAGGCCGAGGTGGGCGGATCACAAAATCAGGAGATTGAGACCATCCTGGCTAACATTGTGAAACCCCGTCTCCACTAAAAATACAAAAAATTAGCCGGGCGTGGTAGTGGGCGCCTGTAAGTCCCAGCTACTTGAGGCAGGAGAATGGTGTGAATCCGGGAGGTGGAGCTTGCAGTGAGCCGAGATAGCGCCACTGCACTCCAGCCTGGGCAACAGAGTGAGACTCCGTCTCAACAACAACAACAACAGCAAATGGGCAAAAGATTTGAATAGACCTTTCTTCAAAGAAGATATACAAATGGCCAATAAGCACATGGAAAAGATACTCAGCATCAGTATTCACTAGAGAAATGCAAATCAAAACCACGAAATTACTTCACATGCACTAGAATGGCAGTAAGAAAAACAATGACAACAGTTAATGAGGGTATAGAGAAATTGGAACCATCACACAGTGCTGGCAGGAATGTAAAATGATGCAGACTGTGGAAATCAGCTCGAAAGTTCTTTAAAAAGTTAGAACATAGTGTTATCATATGACTCAGCAATTCTACTCCTAGATATATACCCAAGACAGTTACAAGCATGTCCACACAAATATGCTGTTCGTAACAGCATATTCATAATAGCCGAAAAGTGGAAAAAACTTGTGTTCATCAACTAATTAATGGATAAAATGTGGTATATCAATACAATGGATTATTATTCAGCCATAAAGAATGGATGAAATTGTTATATGGTACAACATAGATGAGCCTTAGAAACATGCTAAATGAAAGAAGGCACATAAAGGCCCATGTTGTATGGTCCCATCTATATGAAGTGTCCAGAATAGGCAAATCCACAGAGATGGGAAGCATACTAGTGGTTGCCAGGGGTTGAAGGGAGAGGGGAACTGGGACTCACTGCGAATAGGTACTGCTAATGGCATGATGGAGATGTTCTGTAATTTTAGTGGCGATGGCTGCACAGCACAGTGAATATACTTAAAATCAATGAGTTTTATTCTTTAAAGTGGTAAATTTTATGGTATATGAATTATCTCCATGAGAGATCTATCATATATTGTTTACTAAAACAAGTTTTAGTTCCCAAGTAATTATATTCCAAGGAACATAGGAGGGGCAAAAATAATTCTAAAGACATAAAGAAAGAAACAGGATATTTTCTAAATATTTTTATCTTGAGACAGAACTTGGTTTTTTTTTTGGCTTTAGCTTGGAAAATCTCGTGTCATAGATAAATCTTTCTCCTATCTTGAAATTGGTCTTATCAAGGAACTACCCGCATTGAGATATGAAGCTCTGGGCCTCTCTGGTAGCCTTGCACACCCTTCATTCATCACCTGGTCCCCCAGATAAGACAGCCCTGACCTCAGAATACACCTTGGATTTAACATTCTATGGGACATTTATTTCTAGTCTACCCCCTCCCCCGACCCGCCGGAAACAATGCCTTTCCTTAGAAAATTGCCTCCTTGATACTACTCCTGCTCATTCTGGGTTTAAGTTCTCAGTCCCTACATATATCTATGACACTAAACCCTGGAGTACTATCTTGTTCACTCCTTCCTGGCCCACTGTCTCTGTTCAAACATTCAGGCTTAAAATATCCACTCCTCGCCAGGTGCAGTGATGCACGCCTGTAGTTCCAGTTACTCAGGAGGCTGACACAGGAGGATCACTTAAGCCCAGGAGTTCGAGGCTGTAGTGCACCATGATCACACCTATGAATAGTCACTGCACTCCAGCCCGGGCAACATAGCGGGAACCTGTTTCTAAAAAAATAAAAACAAAAATAATACCTTCTCCATTCCTGCATGACCTTTCCCTGAATATGTTCACTCTGAATACACACTCCCTCATTTTTTCAGTTTCTCAATAAAGCATATAATAGATGGTTTTCTTCCCTGTTACTCAAGAGGTCAGCTATTCTACCTTTCCTGTTTAGAAATGGAAACAGAATGGCCCAGAGGTCAAAGAATTTGACCTATCATCCTTAGTCTTGTAGTTCTAGCTGAAGCCACTGGGTGCCACTCTTGTACCACTAACAAGTTATTTATCACTAAATGGCCATTACCAGAGGATGTTGAGTGGAGAATCATGGGTTCTACTCAATGACCTGGATCACTCATCTGCCCTGGGCTTGCAACCTAGTCCTCTGTGTTAACAATATTACCAGGTTTCAGAGCCGGGAGCTCTCGGTACAAATTCTAGCCTTGCTATTTACTGACTGTGATTCTGGGCAAATTATGAAAGTTCTGTAATCAGTTTCCTCATCTGTAAAATGGGAAAACTATGACCTAATTTATAACATCTTTGCAGAGATTAAAGTGAAAATCTCGGCACAGATTAGGGATTCAGTAAGTGTTCCTTCTTTCCAAGACCTATGACTACTGGTAAGACCTTGAGTTCACTAGCCATATGCCAAATTAATTGGGCTATGAATGGCCCTGAGGCTATGAGCCATGACTATAGCAAAAGAACAGGGTAAAAGAGGTCAGATCTTTTTTTTTTTTTGAGACAGAGTCTTGCTGTGTCACCCAGGCTGGAGTGCAGTGGCATGATCTTGGCTCACTGCAACCTCCGCCCCCTAGATTCAAGCGATTCTCATGTCTCACCCTCCTGAGTAGCTGGGACTACAAGGGTGTGCCAACAGGCCTGGCTAATTTTTTTATTTTTAGTAGAGACGGAATTTTGCCATGTTTGCCAGGCAGGTTTCAAACTCCTGACCTCAAGTGATCCACCTGCCTTGCCCTCCCAAAGTGCTGAGATTACAGGAGTGAGCCACCGCACCTGGCCCAGATTATCTTTTTTAGGTCTTACTGGGATACCACAGAGGCCCAAGTAAAAGTACTTCAGAGGCTGAAGCACTCCTAGATCCTGAGGAGTCCCTCTGCGCTTATATCCTGGGTCCTATGATAACAGCACATGCCTTACCCTGAACCTGTCCCTAGAAAGCTGAAGATGTGGATGGCTGTAGTGAACTGCATTCTCCCCCACCCCAAATATGTCCAAATCCTAACCCCCAGAATTTGTGAATGTGAGCTTATTTGAGAAAAGTCTTTGCACATGTAATTCCAGATCGCAAGACAGGATTAGCCTGGATTTAGGGTGGGCCCTAAATCCCTAATTACCTGCCTGTAATCCCAGCACTTTGGGAGGCCAAAGCAGCCAGATCACCTAAGGCTAGGAGTTCGAGACCAGCCTGGCCAACATGGCAAAACCCCGTCTCTACTAAAAATACAAAAATTAGTTGGGCATGGTGGTAGGCGCCTGTAATCCCAGCTACTCGGGAGGCTGAGGCAGGAGAATCACTTGAACCCAGGAGGCGGAGGTTGCAGTGAGCCAAGATCGTTGCCACTGCACTCCAGTCTGGGCGACAGAGCAAGACTCGGTGTCAAAAAAAAAAAAAAAAAAAAAAAAAGGCAGAAAGATTTGAGAGACAGGGAGAAAGCAATGTGAAGATGGAGTTACAGTTTGGAGTTATGCAAACTACAAGAAACCAAGGTACAGTTTTTATCAGAAGCTAGAAGAGGCAAGACAAGGAAGCACTCTCCTCTAGAAACTTTGGAAGGAGTGTGGCCCTGCCAACACCTTGATTTTGGACTTCTGGCCTCCAGAACTGTGACACAATAAATTTGGATTGTTCTTAAACCTTCAAGTTGATGTTAATTTCTGACAGCATCCCAGGAAACTGATACAATGGATTTTAGCTTTATTTGCGCAAGGCGTGGACAGCGGCTTTCCAAGTCCGAGGGAAACTGGCAAGAGTATTTGCGGTGAAGCAGCTGAAAGGAACAGTGGACACGTTCCTGGGAAGTGCATCGTAGAAGGCACAGCCAGCCATGGAAGGGGTGGTGAAGGGAGCACTAACGGCTTTACTGCTGCTCTGTGCCTCTCTAATCACACTGAAGAGGAGGATGGTAAAGTCCATAAGATGCTTTGATCCTTGGGTGCCTGGGCACCTAAACTTCCCCACCCAATCAGGAAAGCAGAAGTACAAGGGGCAGAGCAGATGCAGAGGAGGTACCAAAGGCCCTGTTACTCATTTTCTCAGAAACAGTGTCCATAGCGCGGTGGCTCATGCCTGTAATCCCAGCACTTTGGGAGGCCGAGGCCGGAGGATCACGAGGTCAGGAGATCAAGACCATCCTGGCCAACACAGTGAAACTCCGTCTTTACTAAAAATAGAAAAAACAATTAGTCGGGCATGGTGGCAGGTGCCTGTAGTCCCAGCTACTCAGGAGGCTGAGGCAGGAGAATGGTGTGAACCCGGGGGGTGGAGCTTGCAGTGAGCCGAGATCACGCCACTGCACTCCAGCCTGGGCGACAGAGTGAGACTCCGTCTCAAAAAAAGAAAAAAAAAAGAAAGTGTCCATACTTGTTATAACTGTTGAGATATAAACTGACAGAGTAAACTGCATACATAGAAAATGTACAATTTTTTGTTTTTTTTTTTTTTTTTTTTGAGACAGAGTCTCACTCTGTTGCCCAGGCTGGAGTACAGTGGCATGATCTCAGCTCGCTGCAACTTCTGCCGCCCGGGTTCAAGCAATTCTCCTGCCTCAGCCACCCAAGTAGTTGGGATTATAGTTGCCTGCCACCATGCCCAGCTAATTTTTTTTATATTTTTAGTAGAGATGGGGTTTCACCATCTTAGCCAGGCTGGCCTTGAACTCTTGACCTCGTGATCCACTCGCCTCAGCCTCCCAAAGTGCTGGGATTACAGGCGTGAGCCACCGCACCCGGCCGAAAATGTACAATTTTTAAGTACACATGTGCATACCTGTGAAACCATCACACAATCAACATAATGAACATATTCATCTCCCTGCAAGCATCCTGCTGCCCTTTATAATCATTCCAACTCTCCCACCTCCCATCCTCTAGTAACCACTGACCTGTGTAGATTAGTTGGCATTTTATAGAATTATATGTAAGTGCAATCAAACAGTATGTACTCCTTTAGTTTTTGATTTTTTCACTTGCCATGCTATTCAGAGATTCATCCATGTCACTGTGTGTATCAATAGTTCTTTCCTTTTATTGCCACATAGTGTTCCTTTATATGAATCTACTACAATTTTTTTATCCATTTACCTGTTGATACTGGGTTGTTTCTCATTTTTGGGGCTATAACAAAAGTGCCATGAAGATTTGTGTATGATTCTTTGTGTGGAGATATGTTCTCATTTCTCTTGGGTAAATACCTAGGAGTGAAAGAGCTAGGTCATATGATAGGTATATATTTAACTTTTTAAGAAACTGCTAACTGTTCTCCGAAGTGCTTGTACCATTTTCCATTTCCACAAACAGTGTATGTGAGTTCTTTCTTCCACATGCTTGTTAACATGTGGTATAGTCAGTCCTTTTATTCCAGTGGTATGAAATGATTATCTCATTGTGGTTCTTTTTTGAACCTTTGTTGTGACTGATGATGTTGGGCATCTTATGTCTTTATCTGCCATTTGTGTATCTGTAGCTTCTTTCGTGAAGTGTGTTCAAATATTTTGTCCATTTAAAAAAACCGAGTTGTGTTCTTATTAATGAGTTTTAAGAGTTCTTTATATATTGAGGATATTATGGTAAGGTTTTTAAACATTCAATTTTAAAAACAGATACAGTGCTATCAGGTATATAGGGGTACTTCTTCTTGAGTGGGCTTCGTATCTTTCAAGGAATTTGTCCATTTCATCTAAGTTGTAAAATATACTGTAAACTTGTTCAAAATATTCTGATAATCCTTTTAATATCTGATGCTACCTTTCTGATTTCTGATAGTGATAATTTGTGTTCATTCTTTTTATTCTGATTAGTCTGGCTAAATGTTTATCAATTTTATTAATCTTCTAAATGAGCCACCTTTTAGTTTCATTGATTTTTCTCCATTGTTTTTCTGGTTTCTATGTTACTGATTTCCATTCTGATCTTTATTATTTCATTTCTTCTGTTTAATTTGTGTTTAATTTGCTCTTCTTATTCTAGTTTCAGTTGGAAAGTGATCTCATGGATTTGAGCCTTTTTTCTTTTCTAACACAGGCATTTTCCCCTCTAAATACTACATCAGCTACATCTCACAAATTTTGATAATTTGCTTTTCCATTTAATTAAATTAAAATATTTCTAATATCCCTTTGATTTCTGTGTTTAACTCATAGGTTATTTATAAATGTGTCATTTAGTTTCCAAATATTTGGGGATTTTCTAGATAGCTTTCTTTTATTGATTTTGCTGTAATAATTCTATTATAGTCAGAAACATACTTTTATGACTTAGATCTTTTAAAATGTATTGAGACATATTTAATGCCTTAGAATATGTTCTATCTTGCTAAAAGTGCCTTGTGCACTTGAAAAGAATGCATATTCTTCTGTGGTTGAACAGAGTGTTTTTATAAATGCCAGTTAGGTCAAAGTGATTGAAAGCATTGTTCTGACTGTCTCTGCTTATCATAACTATTAATTATTGAGAGAATTATGTTGAAATCTCAAAATATAATTTTGGATTTGTCTATTTCTCCTTATAGTTCTATTAGTTTTATGTTTGTTTATTTATTATTTATTTATTTATTTATTTTTGAGGCAGGGTCCCACTGCCACCTAGATTGGAGTGTAGTGATATGATTTTAGCTCACGGCAACCTCTGCCTCCTGGGCTCATGCAGTTCTTCCACCTCAGCCTCCCGAGTAGCTGGGACTACAGGCATGTGCCACCATGCCTGGCTAATTTTTCTATTTTTTTGTAGAGATGGGGTTTTGCCATGTTACCCAGGCTGGTCTTGAACTCCTGGGGTCAAGTAATCCACCTGCCTCGGCCTCCCAAAGTGTTGGGATTACAGGCATGAGCCATCGTTCCCAGCCCCTCTGTATCATGGTTTTGTTTTTTTTTTTTCTGGGACAGAGTCTCACTGTCGCCCAGGCTGGAGTACAGTGGTGTGATCTTGGTTCACTGCAACCTCTGTCTCCTGGGTTCAAGCAATTCTCCTGCCTCAGCCTCCTAAGTAGCTGGGATTACAGGTGCATGTCGCCACACCGGCTAATGTTTGTATTTTTAGTAGAGACAGGGTTTCACCATGTTGGCCAGGCTGGTCTCGAACTCCTGACCTCAGGCGGTCCACCTACCTTGGCCTCCCAAAGTGCTGGGATTACAGGCGTAGCCACCACACGCGGCCTGTATCTCAACCTCCCCAGTAGCTGGGACAACAGGCATGTGCCACCACATGCAGCTAATTTTTGTATTTTTAGTAGAGACAGAATTTCACCATGTTGGCCAGGCTGGTCTCATACTCCTGGCTTCAAGTGATCCACCTGCTTTGGCCTCCCAAAGTGCTAGGATTGCAGGTGTGAGCCACTATGCCCGGCCTCAGCTAATTTTTTTTTTTTTTTTTTTTTTTTTTTGAGACAGAGGCAGAGGTTGCAGTGAGCCGAGGTCATGCCACTGCACTCCAGCCTGGGCAACAGAGCGAGACTCCATCTCAAAAAAAAAAAAAACAAAAAACACACACACACTTTTATCTTTTCACCTTTTTGGATGCTGGAGATCTAGAATTTCCTTAGTTGGGGTCTTTACCCTCAAGGAGGTCAAATAGCTTTTAACTGGTTTTGTGATGGTCTCCTCTAATGAGTGAACGGAGATCCTAGCAGGAAATTCTGTTTCTCCAGATTCCAGGTGTAGCTGGTAGTAGTTGTCTAACTGAAGCCCACTTTTCTGGCTTTCTTGGCTCCAGTCAGTACGATTGACTTATCTGGAACTAAAAATGTAGGATGAATAAATAAGAGAAATTAAAGATGAAATTATCCTACAGTGTCTTCTGGACAAGATGGAGTAACGGGGACTGAATCTACCCTCCTGCCTGAAATAACAAAAATCCTGGATACAACACATGAAACAACGGTTTTCAAGACATTGGACACCAGGCAACCAGTGGGATAGTCATTCCTGAGAGATAGAAAACAGATGATTTTGTTTCACAGACTTCCTTGCTGAAAGGCTGACCTCAGATTATGCAGTCTGAAACACTTGTACCTACCCACCCTCAATTCAGGATTCCCATATATCAAAATGGAAGATTCCCACCAAAGTACTGATTATTTACACTTACCTGCTTCACCTCACATGAGCAGTGGTGAAGAAATTGGTGTTGGGTGATCTCACGAAATACTTTGTGCAGTTTGGTCCTGAACTCTTGTGTGTCAGCTGCCTAAAATGGGCCAGAAATAGAACATGCTGAGTTCCAGTACTGGAAACCAAGGGGGAAAGTTCTCACAGAAAGTTTATACAGGGAGATGAGGAGGCAGACAGTAGGCAAGCCATTAAAGTTAAGAGTTTTCTTAGTTTTCATGAAGGCAGTAGAGAAAAAAAGAAGGCCTGAGATACTTGGTGTAAGACAGGCAGTTGTGGCTCCTATATGTCTTCCCACTTCTGTCATCTAAGCAAGATCCTTCAAAGAAGGTCTTTGTTTTCCCATCTCTCTTTTTTTTTTTTTTTTTTTTTTTTTTTCTGAGACAGAGTCTTGCTCTGTCACCCAGGCTGGAGTGCAGTGGCACAATCTTGGCTCACTGCACCCTCCGCCCCCTAGATTCAAGTGATTCTCCTGCTTCAGCCTCCCGAGTAGCTGGGACTACAGGCATGCACCACCACACCCGGCTCATTTTTGTATTTTTCGTAGAGACAGGGTTTCACTATGTTGGCAAGGCTGGTTTCGAACTCCTGACCTCAGGTGATCCACCCGCCTCAGCCTCCCAAAGTGCTAGGATTACAGGTGTAAGCCACTGCGCCTGGCCTGTTCTCCCATCTCTGTAGGAGATAAATATCCAGAAGATCCATCTGTTCATGAAGGGGTTATATAAACTGCTCTTCTATAAGAAGAGTTTCCAAGACAGCACAGGTTCTACTGCATAACTGAGGCTGATATGAGACTTTTTTTTTTTCTGACGAGTCTTTTAGGGAGGAGAGGAACAAAATAATACAGTTTGCACCCACAGGAAATAGGTAACAGCTTTCTACTTTTAAATATATAATTATAGGATGTTAGAATTAAAGGGGACCAGGGTAATAACCTAATACATCACACTAATTTTATGGATGAGAAAATTGAAATTCAAAAAGGAGAAGTGGGCTGGGCGCGGTGGCTCACGCCTGTAATCCCAGCACTTTGGGAGGCCAAGGCAGGTGGATCACCTGAGGTCGGGAGTTTGACACCAGCCTGACCAACATGGAGAAACCCTGTCTCTACTGAAAATACAAAATTAGCTGGGCGTGGTGGCGCATGCCTGTAATCCCAGCTACTTGGGAGGGTGAGGCAGGAGAGTCAAAAATTAGTCAGGCGTGGTGGCACATGCCTGTAATCCTAGATACTCGGGAGGCTGAGGCAGGAGAATCGCTTGAACCTGGGAGGCAGAGGTTGTGGTGAGCCGAGATCGCGCCATTGCACTCCAGCCTGGGCAACAAGAGCGAAACTCCGTCTCAAAAAAAAAAAAAAAAAGCCAGGTGTGGTGGCTCATGCCTGTAATCCCAGCACTTTGGGAGGCCGAGGCAGGCGGATCACCTGAGGTCGGGAGTTTGAGACCAGCCTGACCAACATGGAGAAACCCTGTCTCTACTAAAAAATACAAAATTAGCCAGGGGTGGTGGCACATGCCTGTAATCCCAGCTACTGGGGAGGCTGAGGCAGGAGAATTGCTTGAACCTGGGAGGCGGAGGTTGCAGTGAGCCGAGATTGCACCACTGCACTCCAGCCTGGGCAACAAGAGCGAAACTCTGTCTCAAAAAAAATAAATAAATAAAAAATAAAAAAAAAAGAAGTGACCCACCCAAGATCTCACAGCTAGTTAGTACAAAAGTTAGGGCTTTAATGGATACCTTAGAATTCCCAATATAGTGTTCTTTTCACTACCCTGTGCTATCCACATGACCCAGAAAGTTGAAGCTATGATAAAATGCACTAGCTTATAAATGTGTTATACACTTTGACTCATAACTCCATTTATAGAAATTTGTTCTAGAAAATAATTCAAAAGAAGCAAGATATTACATAAAGGTATTAACTGAACCACTATATAAGCAAGAATGTAAACAAATGTCTAACAGAGGAATGGTTTATTAAATTAGATTTAAACAATACAGTGGGATATTAACTAAAAATTCTAAGACTGTTGAAATGGGGAAAATGGCAAATTATATATGAAAATAGAATGCTTTGGTTACAAATATATATGAGATAATGAGTAAAAATTATAGTGATAAATTTTATTAGTTATTATTTTAAAATTTTTTTGTGTTATACTAGCTTTTCAAGAAAACTATACCAAAAAAATGAAGCAGGCCAGGGCGTGGTGGCTCATGCCTGTAATCCCAGTACTTTGGGAGGCCAAGGCGGGCGGATCCCGAGGTCAGGAGATTGAGACCATCCTAGCTAACACGATGAAACCCCGTCTCTACTAAAAATACAAAAAAAATTAGCTGGGCGTGGTGGCGGGCGCCTGTAGTCCCAGCTACTTGGGAGGCTGAGGCAGGAGAATGGCGTGAACCTGAGAGGCGGAGCTTGCAGTGAGCTGAGATCGCGCCACTGCACTCCAGCCTGGGCGACAGAGCGAGACACTGTCTCAGAGAAAAAAAAAAAAAAGCAACAAATATGGAATGATAAGTTGCCCATTGATAATACCAGTTGGTCAGCACACATTCCTAAAGGAAGGGAAACACTAACATTTATTGAGAATCTACCGTATGCTATGCACTTTGACACTGTCTTAGTCCATTCGGGCTGCTATACCAAATTCCTATAGACTGGGTGGCTTATAAACAATAGAAACTGATTTCTCACAGTGCTGGAGGCAGGGAATCTGAAATTAAAGTGCCAGCATGGTCAGGTTCTGGTGAGGGCCCTCCTCTGGGCTGTAGGCTGCCCACTTCCTCCCTGTGTCCTCACATGGCAGAAGGGGCAAGGGTCTCTCTGGGGCCTTTTTTTTTTTGGTTGGGACAGAGTTTCGCACTTGTCACCCAGGCTAGAGGGTAATGGTGCGAACTCAGCTCACTACAACCTTCACCTCCCAGGTTCAAGTGATTCTCCTGCCTCAGCCTCTCAAGTAGCTGGGATTACAGGCGCCTGCCACCACGCCTGGCTAATTTTTTTTGTATTTTTTTTTTTTTTAGTAGTGACAGAGTTTCACCATGTTGGTCAGGCTGATCTGGAACTCCTGACCTCAGGTGATCCACCCACCTTGGCCTCCCAAAGTGTTGACATTACTTACAGGCATGAGCCACCACGCCCGGCCTGGGGCCTTTTTTATAAAGGCACTAATCCGGCTGGGCACAGTAGCTCGGGCCTGTAATCCCAGCACTTTGGGAGGCCAAGGCGGGTGGATCACCTGAGGTCGGGAGTTTGAGACCAGCCTGACCAACATGGAGAAACCCCGTCTCTACTGAAAATACGAAATTAAGTCAGTGTGGCGATTCCTCAGGGATCTAGAACTACAAATACCATTTGACCCAGCAATCCCGTTACTGGGTATATACCCAAAGGATTATAAATCATGCTGCTATAAAGACACATGCACACATATGTTTATTGCGGCACTATTCACAATAGCAAAGACTTGGAACCAACCCAAATATCCAACAATGATAGACTGGATTAAGAAAATGTGGCACATATACACCATGGAATACTATGCAGCCATAAAAAATGATGAGTTCATGTCCTTTGTAGGGACATGCATGAAACTGGAAACCATCATTCTTAGCAAACTATCGCAAGGACAAAAAACCAAACACCACATGTTCTCACTCATAAGTGCGAATTGAACAATGAGAACACATGGACACAGGAAGGGGAACATCACACACCAGGGCCTGTTGTGGGGTGGGGGGAGGGGGGAAGGATAGCATTAGGAGGTATACCTAATGTTAAATGACGAGTTACTGGGTGCAGCACACCAACATGGCACATGTATACATATGTAACTAACCTGCATGTTGTGTACATGTACCCTAAAACTTAAAGTATAATAATAATAATAATAATAATAATAATAATAATAATAATAAATACAAAATTAGCCAGGCATGGTGGTGCATGCCTGTAATCCCAGCTACTTGGGAGGCTGAGGCAGGAGAATTGCTTGAACCCAGGAGGCGGAGGTTGCGGTGAGCCAAGATCATGCCATTGCACTCCAGCCTGGGCAACAAGAGCGAAACTCCGACTCAAAAAATAATAATAAAATAAAAATAAAGGCACTAATCCCATTCATGAAGGCCTAATGACCTAAATCACCTCTCAAAGGCCTCATACCTCCTAATATTATCAGTTCGGGGGTTAGGATTTCAACATATGAATTTTGGGGATATATAAACATTCAGACCATAGCACACATTTAGCTCTCACCTTCATAATAACTCTGTGAGGTACTATTACTTTTTCCAATTTGTAGACAAGTCTCAGAACTATAGGCCTAAACATAACTAATAAGTAAATGAGTCAGGATTTGAACCTGAGCCTCTGATTCCGTACTGCCACATACACGTAATAGGTAAGGTTGCTCAGTTATTTCCAGTGTATTCTGTCACCATGAGATAGCATTTTTCAACAAGGAATTAGATTAGGAATCACTGATCTAGTCCTAGCTCTGTTCTTTTTTTCTTATTCTTTTTTGAGACGGAATCTCACTTTGTCACCCAGGCTGGAGTGCAGTGGGGTGATCTTGGCTCACTGCAACCTCCACCTCCCGGGTTTCAGCAATTCTGCCTCAGCCTCCTGAGTAGCTGGGACTACAGGCGTGCACCACCACGCCTGGCTGATTTTTGTATTTTTAGTAGAGACGGGGTTTCACCATGTTGGTCAGGCTGGTCATGAACTCCTGACCTCAAGCAATCCACCGCCTCAGCCTCCCAAAGTGCTGGGATTACAGGCATGAGCCACCACACCCAGCCCTAGCTCTGTTCTTAACTAGCTGTGTGACCTAAAGAAAGCAGAAATCTTAAATAATTTGTTTTCTCATTTGTAAAATGGTATACATACTACTATTCCAACAAATATTTCTTAAAACTTAAGCCTGGTACTATGTAGCATCACAGTGGAGCAAATAAAGTAATGTTTCTAAAAATACTGTACATTTTACAAAGATAAGCAGTAGAATGTCATTAAAATCCTGGCTTTTTTTTTTTTTTTTTTTTTGAGGTGGAGTCTCGCTGTTGTCACCTGGGCTGGAGTACAATGGGGCGATCTCGGCTCACTGCAACCTCCCCAACCTGGGTTCCAGCAATTCTCCTGCCTCAGCCTTCTGAGTAGCTGAGATTACATGCAACTGCCACCACGACTGGCTAATTTTGTATTTTTAGTAGAGACAGGATTTCACCATGTTGGTCAGGCTGGTCTCAAACTCCCGACCTCAGGTCATCCACCCGCCTTGGCCTCCCAAAGTGCTGGGATTACAGGCATGAGCCACTGCCCTGGGCATTTTTTTTTTTTTTTAAGACAGGTCTCAGTCTGTTGCCCAGGCTGGAGTACAGTGGCATGATCACGGCTCAGCCTCAACATCCCGGGCTCAGTTGATCCTCCTACCTCAGCCTCCTGAGGAGCTGGAACCACAGGTGTGCACCACTCCACCTGGGTGATTTTTTAATTACTTGTAGAGACAGGGTCTCCCTGTGTTGCCCAGGCTGGTGTCAAATTCCTGGGCTCAAGCAATCCTCCTACCTTGGCCTCCCAAAGTGCTGCGATTATAGGCATGAGCCACCGTACCCAGCCAAAACCCTGGCACTTTTAAGCATCCCCAATCCCAATCTCCTACTAACTTGAAGGGTCTGGAGACACATCTTTCGGAAGCTGCTCCTAGTGCTTCCAGTCAGAATACTCATGATGGAGTTCACAGCCACTGAGAGTGAGGCCTGTAGTTTCTGCTGAGCCTGGGGAACATAACAAGTAAGGGGGAGACTGCATGAATCCCAAGATGTGGTTTAGAGAATCCCAGAGGGCCCACACATTTCCATCAGAGCAGGATTTCAACAATTCTTCCTATCCATCAACAAAAGTTACTGAGATCCTCACATATTTTTACATCATAACACTTAGGGAATTAAAATAAAATTTTAAAATGTTCTTGCATTTCACAGAGGTGACTTACTGACACAGACACATCAGAGAAGACAAGCAATAGGACAATGATCAAGAAAACAGACACACTATTTGGGAAAAAAAAAAAAAGCTTTTAGTTCTGCTCTCTTAGTGTGGTTGTTTTTTCCCTGAAAAGGGGGCCATATGAGGTAAGAAATGTGTTACCAAAAGTACACAGGATGGATGGATGTAGAAAATCAGGTAAGGAGAGAAAGTGGTGGTGTAAAGAATTAGGAAAATGGGGGAAGAATGTAAGACACAGCGAAACAGCAGCTCCAGAAGTCTGTGTGGGAAGGGGAATTATATGCATAAGGAAGAGGTGTGTTATCAGCCATTTTTCCCTATTAACTATTTCCCTATTTACCCAAACACACCTACTAGGAGGTAAGACTAAGCAAGCTGGTTACAGTGATCCATCTAAGCTAAAGTTTGAGTTGTAGGCTAGATGCAGTGTTACAAGATCACCCAGGTGACAGAAGAGGAGAGGAAGGGGCATTAAGGGAGGAAGGGCTCCTGGGCCCTGCCTGCCATATATGCTTGCTATCTTTTTCTTAGAGAATAGGAGAAAAGAGGCTGTGAATTCCTTATTACCTTGGCAGCCTGGTGATGTTGCTCCAAGACCTTGTCCACAGTGAATTGGATGGAACCTTGCACTACACTGTGGCTCTCCACAAGGATGGCATTGAGATGAGTTGTGAGCAAAGTATAGACTCCTAAGGGGAGGGAGAAGGTAAAATTATCACTATATCTACCTCCCCTCACTGTGCATCTGCAAAAGCTAGTCTTAAATTACCAGATGTGGCCTGTAATCCCAGCACTTTGGGAGGCCGAGGCGGGCGGATCACGAGGTCAGGAGATCGAGACCACGGTGAAACCCCGTCTCCACTAAAAATACAAAAAATTAGCCAAGCACGGTGGCGGGCACCTGTAGTCCCAGCTACTCGGGAGGCTGAGGCAGGAGAATGGCGTGAACCCGGGAGGCGGAGCTTGCAGTGAGCCAAGATTGTGCCACTGCGCTCCAGCCTGGGTGACAGAGTGAGACTCCGTCTCAAAAAAAAAAAAAAAAAAATTACCAGATGTGTAAGATTTAAGACACTTGTTTACTAATACACTGATGAATTTCTTTTAAATCCAATACTGAGTACAACGACTGAGATACTGCAGGCCCTCAGAATCAAGCTAAACAGAGGTGTACAAATTATCACAGTAGTTCAGGAATGATAACACTGGTTTCTGAGGAATCCGAGTTCTTTAGAAATGTTCAGTAGGGCTCAGAACATGGTATCAGGCTTGCATTATCCAAGGATTAACCATGAGCGAGGATAACTACTTCAAGATTGCTGTTCATGTGCTTTGAGTCAGGACTGGGAGTGGGAAAGATGCCTCTTGGAAGAAGAGACCCCTACATATCCACAAATAATTACCTTTTTTTAGACAAAATCTCCCAGCAACTTACACACCTACCTAATTCCCACTCATAAATCTAAGAAAGCTCAGGAAAATTAAGGTGGAGAATGACATTATTTTTTAAAGAAACAAATAAGGGATCCTGTTTAATTCATAGCAGAAATATATACCATGTACTATAAACAACAATCCCAGTGACTCCCAAAGGAGAGGAGAAAGGGAGAAGCAAAGGTCCTATAGAGTGTGTCTAACCCTACTCTACGTCTATGTGAACATCACTGTTGTGGCAGTGCTTTCAGACGTACTGTGGTAAAGAAAAGGTTAAAATTCACAGAGATGACACAGAACTGTTGGTATGAGGTCCTTTTAAATGGGAGATTATCTCTGTTAAAGTAACCACAGGCACCACTGCTCAGTCTCATTCAGAAAAGCTAATATGTGAGAGCAACAGGCAAAAAAACTATGCCATCAAACAATAGGCCACCATTTAATGATCCCGATGCAGCAGGCACAGGAAGCCAAATTTACAGGTCACCTGGAGAAAATCCTTCTTGATTATTCTTTGTTTTCAGTGTTCAGAATTCTATGGGAAGCAGCCTAAAACTGGCTGGCTTTTTCCAGGACTGTATTAAAAATGCAAACCAGAAGAACATTTTCTACCACAAGGCACCATGATCCTTTCCTGGTAGGGAACGTAATATATGGTAAGCTCAAAAGGATTCTGGAGCTGGAGTCAGGGAGAACATAGATTCTAGGGCCAATTCTGCCATCAACTAGTGGTGATGAAATCTTTTCTTCAGTATAGAAAATGGCTTTATACCACCTGCTCTCACAGGTATGTTGTGTAGATAAACTGCGATAATGTACACAAAGTGTTTTGTGGGTTTTGTTGCCCAGCCTGGAGTGCAGTGACACGATCTTGGCTCACTGCAGCCTCGACCACCGGGGCTCAAGTGATCCTCCCACCTCAGCCTCCCGAATAGCTGGGACCACAGGTGTACACCACCACCATGCCTGGCCAATTTTTTTTTTTTTTTTTTTTTTAAGACAAGAGTTTTGCTCTTGTTGCCCGAGCTGGAGTGCAATGGCGTGATCTCGGCTCACTGCAACCTCCGCCTCCTGGATTCAAGTGATTATCTTGCCTCAGCCTCCCGAGTAGCTGGGATTACAGGCGCCTGCCACCACACCCAGCTAATTTTTGTATTTTTAGTAGAGACGGGGTTTCGCCATGTTGGCCAGACTGGTCTCAAACTCCTGACCTCAGTGTGATCCGCCCGCCTCGGCCTCCCAAAGTGCTGGGATTACAGGTGTGAGGGACCATGCCCGGGCAAATTTGTATATGTAGAGACGAGGTCTCGCTGTGTTGCCCGAGCTGGTCTTGAACTCTTGGGCTCAAGCGGTCCTCCTGCTTTGGCCCCTCAAAGTATTGGGATTACAGGAGCCAAGCCACAGTGCCTAGCCCATGAAGTGTTTTGAAATGTACACTGTACAGTTTCAAAATATTGCTATTGCTATGTTAATGTATCATCTAGATTGGTATTTTCCATAGTTTGGTTTTAAGAACAGCTTCAAGAAATCAGATCTCTTTTGAAAGCAGACATTTAATTTAAAAGTCAAAGTTCATTCCTAAAACTTTTGACCACCAAATGCTTTTGACATTGGGGAAAATAATGAGTTAGTCACAAGAAAAAAAAAATGAGTTAATCACAGAAAAGTTACCATGACAAGGTAGGTGGGCATAAGGCCAATTAAGTAATTTTCTTAAAGACACATGGAAACAGACTAACTTTGCACCATCTGTTTCCTAAAAAAGAGGCTCTAGAGAAAGCTTTTAAGGATATGAGAAAGAAAAGGGGGAAGAGAAGGTAAAATTATCACTATGTCTATATCTACCTTCCCTCACTGTGCATCTTCTTCAGAGGCTAGTCTTAAATTACCAGATGTGTAAGATGGGAGAGCCTTACTGTGTTTACTAATACATTGATGAATTTCTTTTAAATCCAATACTGAGTACAACAACTGAGATACTGCAGGCCTTCAGGGTCAAGCTAAACAGAAGTGTACAAATTATCACAGTAGTTCAGGAATGATAATACTGTGTTTCTGAGGAATCTGAGTTCTTAAGGAATGTTCTTTAGGGCTCAGAACATGTTATCAGGCTTGCATTATCCAAGGATTACCTTCTGACAGACCTTAAAAAAAGCCTGCCAGAAGGTAGCAGATCTTAAGTCTTAAGAGGGTTTTAGACCTGGAAGGGCCTTTGATGGGGCCTAGCCTAACAATCTCATGTTAAAGATATGAAAAGGGAGGCTCAGATTTACGTGACATACTTCCCAAAAATCATTGAGGAAGTTGGTATCAGTGCTAAAATTAAACCCAGGTCTCTTGATTCCACCCTGATGTCTTTTCCACAATAATCAGCTGCTGCTCTTACCAACCTCTGTCTATGTGAGCATAAGCCACAGGGAACAGCCCCAGGAATCCTCACATTAGTTTAGGTATCTTCTATTTTCCATTCCCCTGGTGTTAATCATCAGAACGGCGGTACACCAAAGACCATTAGCTCCTCAAATAAAGAGCTACAAGCCAGAGCCCCAGGAAACAGTGCTTCTCTCCTAGTGTGTACAGCATGTGTTGGGAAAAGGCAGGGAAAAGTTTGCCTTATCTTACTTCTGAGAGGCTCAGAAGGAAGGTAGAAGGAAGAATACCACAGCCAACAATGGTTTGTTCAATAAATAATTGACACCAGTCAACATGAGCTCTTTTGATCTGGTGTAAGCAGTCTCTTTTTTCTTATGACTCAGTAGGAGCAGGGCCACACCAAATAGCACTAGAGTGCCTGGAGAATAGAGTCCCACGAAAACACATTGGCCCATAGAGAAAGGAGAACAGAGACATATCAGAAGCACCAAAAGGGAGGCTTACGAACCTTTCCCCAAATTTGTATAAGCTCCACTTCTCCTTGTAACTTTCCTCAAAGATTAGGAGGGCATTGAGAAACACTTAAATTTATGTCCCAGGGTTTATTGGATTAAAATGCAGAAGTCAACTCCTGCTCATGCTCAGTGGTTTTCAAATTTTACTCTATTTAAGAATCACTTGAGGCCAGTGCGATTGCTCATGCCTGTAATCCCAGCACTTTGGGAGGCCGAGGTGGGAGGATCACTTGAGCCCAGGAGTTCAGACCTTGCCTCTACAATAATAATAATAATGGCCTGGTGTGGTGGCTCACACCTGTAATCCCAGTACTTTGGGGGGCTGAGGCGGGTGGATCACGAGGTCAGGAGTTCGAGACCAGCCTGACCAACATGGTGAAACCCCATCTCTACTAAAAATACAAAAATTAGCCAGGTGTGGTGGCGTGTGCCTGTAATTCCAGCTACTCAGGAGGCTGAGGCAGGAAAATTGCTTGAACCCGGGAGGTGGAGGCTGCAGTGAGTCAAGATCACGCTATTGCACTCCAGCCTGGGCGACAGAGGGAGACTCTGTCTCAAAAATCATCATCATCATCATCATCATCATCATCCAGTGATTCTGATGCATGTGTTTCATGGACCAGAAAATGAAACCACTGTTTTATCTCTATCATAGATAACCTTTCTGATTGATAACAAATTGTCACCCATCTAATAGATAAACACCAAAGGTTCCCTGTTGCATACCTGAATAAGAACAGGTGTGCATTTTTTAAATCCACCTGGAAAGGCAGCATGATGATGAAAAGTTCCCAAGCCTTGCTGTACATCAGAATCACCTGAGAAGTGATTTTATTTTATTTTATTTTATTTTATTTCTTGAGACAGAGTCTCAATCTCTTGTCCAGGCTGAAGTGCAGTGGTACAATCTTGGCTCACTGCAACCTCTGCCTCCTGGGTTCAAGAGATTCTCCTGCCTCAGCCTCCTGAATAGCTGGGATTACAAGAAGCTGCCACCATGCCAGCTAATTTTTGTATTTTTAGTAGAGATGGGGTTTCGCCGTGTTAGCTAGGCTGGCCTTGAACTCCTGGCTGCAAGTGATCCACCCACTTCAACCTCCCAAAGTGCTGAGATTACAGGCATGAGCCACCGCACCCAGCCTGAGAAACTTTAAAAACATACTGACAAGCACTTGGGGATGCCGAGGAAGGAAGATTACTTGAAGCCAGGAGTTCGAGAACAGCCTGGGCAACAAAGCAAGACCTCCATACAAAAAATAATAATACAAAATATAATTGAAAAAGTTATCCAGGTGCACTGGCATGCATCTGTAGGCCCAGCTACTTGGGAGGCTGAAGCGGGAGGACCACATGAGCCCAGGAGTTTGATGTTGCATTGAGCTATGCTCGCGCAACTGTACTCCAGCCTGGACGACAGAGCATCTCTAAAAATAAAAAAAATTTAAAAACATACTGAACCCTAAGCCCCACCTCAGTCCATCTGGAAATCAGAATCTCTGGGGAGTAAGCATTTTAGATGCTCTCCAGGTAATATATTGTGCGGCTAACGTTGAAAACCGCTGATCCCTAGGGAGCAATATATGAAGTATCTGCTGATTTCTGGCCAACCAGACTAGAAATGTCATCATTTAAGCGATGCATCAATATATGAATCTTTTCTATAGGATATGTTCATTTTATTAAGCAAGGTTTTTCACTGAACTTATTTATTCTACAGAAATATATCTAATTTAGATGTGTGCATTACACAAAGTTTCCCTCTCTCTTAGCATTTGGCACACCCCAGCTGGCAACCCCATTCTCTTATACTTACCCCAGATTTCCATTTGCTGGACTGGAAATGCACTGTGGAAATCCACAAAGAGAAAAAGCAGCAGAGTTTGTCCTTGAGGATCCATAGTCTGAGACTGATCCTCCTCACTGGATTCCACCTGATAACTCACATCTGGAAGCACCAAATCTAGAGGACAAGATATTACACGAATTTCTAAGATAAGTAAAGCTCTTGAAATACAAAGTGACTACAGAACCTGTATTCTGAACAAAGAAGGATCTGAGAATAGGAGATCTAAATCTGAACACCCATTTACCCTCCTGAACCTGTTTCTCTATCCACATGATGGAAGCAAATCATAATGACTCACAGGAAGAACATTAAAATAGTAACTATGTGTGTAAAATGCAAGCCAAACAGCACTCCTTTACATTACTGAGAAGCTCTACACAATAAATTCATTGATTCCTTGTACAACTTTCTAAGGCAGGTATGGCTGGTAAGAGGTTAGATTCACCTGAGTGTAATGACAACAGCTAATTTGTGTTATGTGCCAGGTACTGCATCAAATGCTTATGTACTATTTCAACATTTAGACTTCACAACAACAGTATCGGATAGAACCTATTCTTATGCCCTTTTACAGATAAGAAAAGAGGCACAGATAGGTTAAATACCTCGTCCAACGGGAGCCAGTAGGTGGTGGAACTGAGTTCTAGACTTTGCTAGACTGACTAAAAAACCTGTTCTCTTAGCCCCAATACTATATATTTGTATCCCCAAATGTAATCCATTGCCCAGTGGTCACTTTCTAGCACCTTGATCCTTTAGAATACAATCAGGATAGTCCCATATTTCAGATCCATGTAGAGAAGTACCTCCATGTGGATCCTGGTTCTGTCCTTTAGAGTAATAAGGGAGGGAGATGAGAGGACATTTCCTACGTTATTCATTTCCAAAGTTAACTGAGAAAGTTCAGGACCATGAATTGGCAAAAAACTAAACCAGCAAAGCCCAAAAACAAAAATGAAAGAGAAAAGGAGGTATGGCGATCCCTAGAAATTCACCAGTCATATCTCTATTCGAAATCGGTGGAGTCTATCATTCCCTCTAAGATACTGCCCCATCCCAGTAGGCTTCAATGTTCTCATACCAGTCATAGCCGCAGAATACCTCTTCCCTACTGGTCGTCTTCTTCAGGAGCCAGACGACCAGACTACCTTCTAAATTTCAAAGGATTCTAGTTAGAACAGTCAATCTCAAAACTGCAACCCCTCCTAGATATCAGCCCATGGTCGCATACTCCAATTTCCCAGTTTTATTAGCTCAGTTATTAACCTCCAGCTTTTAGCATGATTCACCCAAAGCTGGTGTGGTTAGAGCTTATGGGAATATTACAGCCAGCTTCCTAGGCCTAATACTATTACATCTTGCATTTGTATGCGTTTTAACTTTTTCTAAGGAATTTTATGTGGATTTTCTCAGTTCATTATGAAGCATTTCTCTTCCACAGTAGTTCAGAGGTATCATTGCTCCCTTACTCACCTTTGTAAAGGCCCAGAGTTGACAGATTAGGTACATTAGAAATCCTCTGAACAAGTATCTAACAGAAGGACCAGGAATAGAGGAGGCAGCAGAGGAAGTAAGAGGAGAACCAGTATCAACATGCAATGCCAGGCCGGGTGCGGTGGCTCACACCTGTAATACCAGCACTTTGAGAGGCTGAGACAGGTGGGCCACTTGAGGTCAGGAGTTCAAGACCAGCCTGGCCAACATGGGGAAACTCTGTCTCTACCAAAAATACAAAAAACTATTAGCCAGGCATGGTGGTAGGCACCTGTAATCCCAGCTACTCGGAAGGGTGAGGCAGGAGGATCACTTGAACCCGGGAGGCGGAGGTTGCAGCCAGCCAAGATCATACCACTGCACTCCAGCCTGGGCAACAGAGCAAGACTCTGTCTCAAACAAAACAAAAACAAAAACAAGCAACAAAAAAAAACATGCAATGCCAAAACAAGCTCTGAAAGAGCTTGCCTGTTTGACACCTGTTTGCCTCACTTCAAGTGGTCTCTCACATTTGGCCAGACCCTGACCCCCAAACCCCAACCTGGGCCATCAGATCTCTGGTCATATTTTTATACACACGTTCTATTCATATTTCCTTTCATTTATCTAATATTCTTCAAATGTCTTAATTCCTGTGCAGAAAGAGGGAGGATATACCTCTATCCAAATTGAGATCCAAATTGGGTATCATACACAAATGGTATTTTTTCCAGTCAACTAAAGAAGAGGTATCTTTGAAGAAAGTAGTCATCGGCTGCTCCCAAGTTGACAATATCAGAGGCAGACCCAAAGGTCCATATAGAAATATGTGTAGTTGCTAAAGAAAACTGCCAAATTTTAGTATCTTATGACTATGTATTCACTTGTATAACAAACAAACAACACTGACCTGGTTTACACTCCCATAAGTGTGCTATGCAGTTACTTTTTTTTTTTTTTTGAGATGGAGTCTCGCTCTGTCGCCCAGGCTGGAGTGCAATGGCGCCATCTCAGCTCACTGCAACCTCCACCTCCCAGGTTCAAGTGATTCTCTTGCCTCAGCCTCCCAAGTAGCTGGGATTACAGGTGCATGCCACTATGCCTGACTAATTTTTGTATTTTTAGTAGAGACGGGGTTTCACCATGTTGGCCAGGATGGTCTCGATCTCTTGACCTCGTGATCTGCCCACCTCGGCCTCCCAAAGTGCTGGGATTACAGGCGTGAGCCATCATGCCCAGCCTATGCAGTTACATATTAAGCCTTTTCCACACTGAAGACAGATGTGAGGCACCAGAGATAGATCCACTAGGATCCCCAGAAATTTATTCTGGGTTTAATAAGTGTGAGCTACAGATATAATATTAAGACAGTTTATTTATTCATCCGGTTCACATGGTCATAGATTTGAAAGGCACCACAGGTTAACATTGTTTTAAGTTCTAAGTTCTTGGGGTACAAAGACAAATATCCAGATAATACCTGTCCTCAAGTTTATCATATTTACAACATGGGAGACAGACATAAAAGCCGGTAAGCTGTAATACAATGTGATACATGCTAGAAGTATATACAAGAGAATATCTTCTAGGAAGTATTTGAGTATACTTAGATTGAGAAGGAAACTTCCTCGGATTGTCTCCAAACCTATTATCTAAAACAAAGGAAGGCATGCCCCTGAAATGGTTTCTATCTCTGAACTTCCCATTCCCACTCTCACCCTACCTGTAACCCAGGGTTTCTTAACCTCTGCACTAGTGACACTTTGGGCCAGATAATTCTTCACTGCGGTGGGCAGTCCTGTGCACTATAGGATGTTTAGCAGAATCCCTGGCCTCTAGCCACCAAATGCCAGTAGCACCCTTCTTACGTTACCCCCTCCATGACAATAAAAAACGTCTCCAGACATTGTCAAATGTCCTTTAAGGACAAAATTACCCCATTAAGAACCACTGCTTAACCTTTCTTGTCCCCTGAACCAAGGCCAGAGACCAGAATGTGTGCTTTCCTTTATCTTTCATTCGTTTTCATCCTCTTTCTTATGGGGTAAACACAAGGTATTGTGAAGATTAAAATTCCTACCCAGTGGGCACTGAGGCATTATGGAAAGGCTTTATACCCATAAATGAAGTCTCCCTCACAAATCTCAGAAGGCATTAACACATGAACTAAGGCTGACTCACTGTTTAGGGCAAGGGGATTTTTAAGATGCAAACTCAGGGCCAGGCGCGGTGGCTCACACCTATAATCCCAGCACTTTGGGAGGCTGAGGTGGGCGGATCATGAGGTCAGGAGATTGAGACCATCCTGGCTAACACGGTGAAACCCCGTCTCTACTAAAAATACAAAAAATTAGCCGGGCGTAGTGGCGGGCGCCTGTAGTCCCAGCTACTAGGGAGGCTGAGCCAGAAGAATGGCGTGAACCCGGGAGGCAGAGCTTACAGTGAGCCGAGATTGCGCCACTGCACTCCAGCCTGGGCGACAGAGCCAGACTCCGTCTCAAAAAAAAAGATGCAAACTCAGAATAAGAGGGGAGTGTTTGAGGAGCCAAGATGTGCAGTTGTCTTATAATTGGGTTGTTTAAATCATTTACTTGTAATATGAAGATAGCTATAGTGGAGTTTAAATCCATCATCTTTTTTCCATTTCTTGCTTGTATTCTTTGTTTCCTTTTTCCTCTTTTCTATTTTTGGATTAGAAATTGTTTTTTACATTTTAAAAAGTGTTTTCTCTCTCTCCCCACCCTTTTATAAGACACAAGGTCTCATTCTGTTGCTCAGACTGGAGTGCAATGATGTGATCATAGCTCACTGCAGCCTCAAATTCCTGTGCTCAAGCGAGCCTCTCTCTGCATCAGCCTCCAAGGTAGTTGGGACTACAGGTGAGAGCCACCATGCCTGCCAGGAATTTTTTATAACTCCATTTTATCTCCTTTTTAAGTTATTAGTTATAACTGTTGCATTAAACCAGGGATTGCCAGGCTTTATTAGTATACAACTTTAACTTATCACAGTCTACCTTCAAATGATATTATAACAATTCATATAAAGTTTAAGAATCCAACAATATACTTCCACTTCTCTCCTCTTGGCCTTTGTGCTATTGTCACAGGTTTTATTTCCATAGATGTTATAAACCTTATACATTATATTTTTGCAGATCCATGATCAATGAACCCTAAGCATAAGAAATATGAAGAGTATAGGCTGGGCACAGTAGCTCATGCCTGTAGTCCCAGCACTTTGGGAGGCCAAGGCAGGCGGATCACTTGAGGTCAGGAGTTCGAGACCAGCCTGGCCAACATGGCGAAACCCTGTCTCTATTAAAAATACGAAAATTAGCTGGCCATGGTGGTGGGCACATGTAGTCCCAGCTACTCGGGAGGCTGAAATGGCAGAGATAGAAATCATTTCAGGGGCCTGATTGATTGAACTCAGGAGGCAGAGGTTGCAGTAAGCTGAGATCACACCACTGCACTCCAGCCTGGGCAACAGAGTGAGACTCCATCTCAAAAAAAAGAAATATGAAGAACATAGAAAATGATAGCAAGATATGTCACACACACACATGCAAAATTAGCCAGGTATGGTGGTGTACACCTGTAGTCCTAGCCACTCAGGAGGCTGAAGTGGGAAGGTCACACGAGCTTAGGAGTTCAAGGCTGCAGTGAGCTAAGATCAAGCCACTGCACTCCAGCCTGGGAAACAGCAAGACCCTGTCTCTACATAAATGAATAAAGCCTCAGTGAACTGCAGGATAACTTTAGGTGGCCTAATTCAGGAATGTGTAATTGGAGCCTGAAGGGAGAGACTTCAAGACTTGTTTTTTAAAGATTTTTTTTTTTCTGGTAAGGTACTTGTGAAAGGAAAATTAAAACTCAAGACCCCAAATCACTATGCCAAAAGGAAATAATTTAGCTGAAAGCTGAGTCATGCAAGAAGCTGTCTCTCCTTTTGTTCCTAAGCAGATAGCTACAGATAAAGGGTTAAATACCTCTACAGGTAGCTACTGTAATGTTCACCTTCTATTATATAAAGGGCCACTTTACTGAGCACAAGACAAATACATAATTGACTGTTCCCCTACTTGCTCCTTTTCTCTTGTAACATATGGATTCAATAATGTGATCATCCCCTCCATCTTTCCTCTCCAGCCTGCGTTTCCCCTTTAAATACTGAAGACCTCAAAACCATCTTTAGAGAAAGGCACAGACCTGTCTCCCAGGAACATCCTTAACCTTGGCAAAATAAACTTCTAAACTGATTGAAACCTGTCTTGGATGCTTTTTGGTTTATATACTCAAGAAGGATATTTTGTGTTTTTAAAAGGACAAAAGTATTTTGTATCTACCCGCATAGCCACCACTTCCAGTGCTCTTCCTTTTTTGGGTAGATTCAGAATTCCGTCTGGCAACATTTTTCTTCTACCTAAAAGATTTCTGTTAACATTTCTTATAATACAGGTCTTCTGGTGATAAATTCTTTCACCTTTTCTATGTCTGAAAAATTCTTCATTTTGCCTTTTTTCTCTCAGTACTTTATAAAGATGTTACCCCACTTTCTTCTAGCTAACACTGTTTCCAGTGAGAAATCTGCCATAATTATTTTGTTCCTCTATACATAATGTGTCTTATCTCCAGCTGCTTTTAAGATTTTTTTATTACTGGCTTCAAATACTTTGATTATGATGTGACTTGGTATAATTTTCTTCATATTTCTTACACTTAGGGTTCATTGATCATGAATCTGCAGGTTTATAGTTTTCATTAAATTTGGAAACTCGGGGGTGAGACCCTGTCTCTACAAAAAATAAAAATAAAAAAATTAGCCAGGCATGATGGTGCATGCTTGTAGTCCCAGCTACTCAGGAGAGGCTGAGGTAGGAGGACTGCTTAACCCCAGAAGTTCGAGGTTGCAGTGAGCTATGATCGCACAACTGCACTTTAGCCTGGGCAACAGAGTGAGATCCCTTTAAAAAAAATAGTTATTTCTCTGAATTTACACTCACATATCTTCTATCTGATGCTAAAAACTTTGGTTCCTAACATTGTTAACATAATTATTTATCATAAGTATGCATACAATAATTCCAATATAAAATACCAATATTATTACTAACAATCATGCCACTGAATAAATTTTAAGAGGTCTTTGGACTTCCATTTCATCCTTAGAGTATATCCTGCTAAGAACGTATAGTCAAAACACCATGTTCTAAAGTCTGTTGAATTAATTCTTCTTGTTACGTGGATTATAATTTTAACATAATATACAGGTAAGTTTATTACCTTTTATGTTGAGGAATATTTGGATTGGATATGAAATTCTAGGTTGGTAATGATTTTATTTCAAGACATTAACACTATTAGTCTAACACCTTCTGTTGGTATGGGGAAGTCAACTGTTAATTTATCTTTTAAAGATGATTTGTCCTCCTGACTGATTTTAAGATTCTTCTCTGTTTTTCATCTCTTTAGGTGTAGAAATCTTTTTTATTTATACTGCTTGATTATTCTGTTCTTAAATCTGTCTCAGCCATCCTGGCTAACACGGTGAAACCCCGTCTCTACTAAAAATACAAAAAATTAGCCTGGCGTGGTGGCGGGTGCCTGTAGTCCCAGCTACTTGGGAGGCTGAGGCAGGAGAATGGCATGAACCCGGGAGGCGGAGCTTGCAGTGAGCCAGATCGAGCCACTGCACTCCAGCCTGGGCGACGGAGCGAGACTCCGTCACACACACGCACACACACACACAAATCTGTCTCAGTTGTTTCAGCCATTAACTCTTTAAATATTGTTTCTGCCCTATTTTCTCTTCTCTCTTCTCTTTTTGGACATCAATTAAATATACATTAGACAGTTTTACTCTTTACTCTGTTAACCCCTCTCTTCTGTATTTTCCATAACTTGTCTCTTTGTTTTATTTTTGCTAAGTTCTTGCTATCTTTAGCTTTTAGTTTACAAATTCACTTAAGTTGTACTTAATCTGCTGTTAAACCAGTGTACTGAATTTTATTCAACATTGGTTATTATATTTCTTGATTCTACAATTTCTGTTTTGTTCTTGTTAAAAGGTATTTCATATTTTACAGTTTCAGTTTTCTAGTAAAATTTTCAAACTTTGCTTTCATTTTCATCAACATAGTAAGCATAATTTTTCATTTTTTTTTTTTTGAAACTGGTCTCACGTCACCCAGGCTGAAGGGCAATGGCACGATCATGGCTCACTGCAGTCCTGACCTCCTGTGCTCAAGCAATCTTCCCACTTCAGCCTCCTGAGTAGGTGGCACCACAGGCATGCACCACACATGCACAGGTAACTTGTATAGAGATGGGGGTCTCACTGTGTTTCCCAGGCTGATCTCGAACTTGCAGGCTCAAGCAATCCTCCTGCCTCAGCCTCCCAAAGTGCTGAGATTATAGGTGTGAACCACCACACCCAGCTAAGCATAACTTTTTAAAGTCAATATCTGATATCACCAGTATCTGGAGTCCCAGTGGGTGTTTCTGTGATTTTGTTTTTGCTAGCTCTTGTTCATATTATCTTGTCCTTTCTTACACCTGGTTATTTGTGACTGTGCATGTGTGTGTGCATATGCACCATGGGACACTGTATTTGAAAAAGTGTTAAATAATTGGGAGCACAGGATGCAGTTATTTTCCTCTAGAAATTTTTGTTTGCTTCTATAAAACATCTAGAACTAACAAATCTAAAATCATCCTAATCCAATTTCAAAGTTCAAGATTTTCTGGCCTGCCTAGATGACCAAAAAGCATATACAGTCCATGTGAAGAGTAATTTATTTCAGGTTCACCTTACTCCTTAAAATATAGCCTTCTAGTTATCCCTTGCCCAAGGCAAGAGGTGTTTTTAGCAGCACTCCCAAGCTCAGCAGGTCCTGGATTCTTTGGCCTTCTTGTCCTGCACTGATTTGGAAGTATTAATACATCTTAGCCTCTCAACTGCTTGCTCTAATTGGCAAACTGCTCCAGGGCAAAAGCATCCCCCAATGCTAGGCTCAGCTCTCTGTAATTCAAACCTCTCCTAAATCATGGCACAGAAACTCTTCCTCTTCACTAGCTCTTTGATGCTTTTATGATTTTTTTGTTTGTTTGTTTGTTTTTTGAGATGGAGTCTCACTCTTGTTGCCCAGGCTGGAGTGCAATGGCGCGATCTCGGCTCACCGCAACCACCGCCTCCCAGGTTCAAGAGATTCTCCTGCCTCAGCCTCCTGAGTAGCTGGGATTACAGGCATGCACAACCATGCCTGGTTAATTTTGTATTTTTAATAGAGACAGGGTTTCTCCATGTTGGTCAGGCTGGTCTCGAACTCCTGACCTCAGGTGATCCATCCACCTTGGCCTCCCAAAGTGCTGGGATTACAGGCGTGAGCCACCACACCCGGCCTGCTTTTATGATGTTTTAATATTTCATCTAGCCTTTGCCTTCATTGAGAAGGTTGGTCTAAATTATCAAGTTTGCCACTTTCAGAAAGTAAAATCTCAACAGAATTTTCATAGCTAGCTCTCTCTCTTTTTTAAAACATCACCTCCTTAGAGGCTTCACTGCCCATATTTAAAATAACATCTCCATCATTCTCTACTACTTTGTTCTATTTATCTCCACTGCACTTATCACTACCTAATATCTATCTGTTAAATTTTCCCCAAGAGGACAAAAAATTTGTCTGTCTTATCCCTTCTAGATGATGGAATGAGGAAGAAGAAGAAACTTATTTATTCTATACTGTTCTGTACTATCTAGATATAAAGAAAAAGCATGTTTTAAAATAGAAAATGTCCAAGCATAGTCTTCATCACTATCCTGCTCCCTCCACCTCCCTAAAAGATACTATGGTATCTTTTGATATCTGATATGCAACATCAGATAGCTGACATCTATCATACCACGCCTCTTCTGTTCTCTCTTTTTTTTTATTTTGAGACAGAGTCTTGCTCTGTCGCCCAGGCTGGAATGCAGTGCTCACTGCAACCTCTGCCTCCTGGGTTCAAGTAATTCTCCTGTCTCAGTCTCCCGAGTAGCTGGGACTACAGTCATGTGCCACCATGTCCAGCTAATTTTTGTATTTTTAATAGAGACAGGGTTTTGCCATGTTGGCCATGCTGGTCTCAAACTCCTGACCTCAAGTGCTCCGCCAGCTTCGGCCTCCCAAAGTGCTGGGATTACAGGCATGAGCCACCGTGTCCGGCCTGTTCTCATTGTTTATAATTTTCTATAACTTCATTTACTCCTATAGCTTCAATCATATGACAATAACAATTATTAATATTATTGAGTACTCATTATATGCTAGGAGCTTCACATGGATTATTATACTTAATTCTAAAACGAGCAAACAAACCCCAAAAGAACAGAAAACCAATTTTTGCAAGGGAAACTAAACCTATGAGATAAGTATCATCCTCATTTTAAAGCAGAGGAAGTAAAGGCTTAGGCTGGTTAAGTGAGTTGCCTACAGTCACACAGCTAATTAGTAGTGAATCCAACATTTACACTCCTGTGCCATGCTCTAAACACAGCACTACACGACTCTTACCTATGGAGGAAACTGAGACTCTAAAATTCTGTATCTCTAAATCTGACCATTTCCAAGTTCCAGACCAAATTCCTATATAGCTCCTTACTATGTTCAAAGGATGTCTTGAGACACCATAAACTCAACATGTTTAATGTCAAACTCATCTTCTTTATCTCCTAAATCTGCTATTAATGTTTTTTTATCTTGCTGAAAGTATCATTATTCTGTCAGTTATTCATGGAAATATTTTTAAATAGCTTTATTGAGATACAATTCACATACCATACAATTCACTCATTTTAAATGTGTAATAAAATGGATTTTAGAATATTCAAAGAGTTGTGCAGTCACTACCACCATCAATTTTAGAACACTTTCATTACTCTGAAAAGAAGCCCCTCCAGGCCGAGCACAGTGGCTTATGCCTGTAATCCCAAAACTTTGGGAGGCCGAGCCTGGTGGATCGCTTGAGTCCAGGAGTTTGAGACCAGCCTGGGCAACATGGTGAAACTCTGTCTCTACCAAAAATGCAAAAATTAACTGGGCATGGTGGCATGCACCTGTGGTCTCTAGGAGGCTGAGGTGGGAGGATGGTTTGAGTCCGGGAAGCAGAGGTTGCAGTGAGCTGAGATTGTGTCACCGCACTCTGGCCTGTGCAACAGAGCCAGACCTTGTCTCCAAAAAAAAAAACAAAAAAGCCCCTCCATCAACTTTCTCTCTGTATTTGCCTATTCTAGACAGACATAGAATAGAAATCTGACATCAACCTTAGACATTCCCTGCCCCTAATCTCTCCCTACCTTAATAATGAACTGGTTACCACATTTTGTTGATTAATTCAGGTGATAAGTCTGGCCTTTCCGTGCCTACCACACTTTAGATTCAAGCACTCATTATTATTGTTATTTTATTTTTATTTTTTCTGAGGCAGAGTCTTGCTCTGTCACCGAGGCTAGAGTGCAGTGTCGTGTTCTTGGCTCACTGCAGCCTCCACCTCCCAGGTTCAAGTGATTCTCCTGCCTCAGCCTCCCAAGTAGATGGGACTATAGGCGTACACCACCACGCCTGGCTTTAATTAATTTATTTTTTTGAGACGGAATCTCACTCTGTTGCCCACGCTGGAGTGCAGTGGCTGCGATCTCGGCTCACTGCAACCTTTGCCTCCCAGGTTCAAGTGATTATCCTGCCTCAGCCTCCTGAGTAGCTGGGATTACAGGCGCCTGCCACCATGCCCAGCTAATTTTTGTATTTACTAAGATGGGGTTTCACCATGTTGGCCAGGCTGGTCTCCAAGTCCTGACCTTGTGATCCATCCGCCTCAGCCTCCCAAAGTGCTGGGATTACAGGTGTGAGCCACCACGCCCGGCCTAATTTTTGTATTTTTAGTAGACAGGGTTTCACCATATTGGCCAGGCTGGTCTCAAACCCCTGACCTCAAGTGATCCGCCCACCTCGGCCTGCCAAAGTGCTGGGATTACAGGTGTAAGCCACTGCACCCAGCCGTCAAGCACTCATTATTTTTAATCCAGTTCACTTACTTATTTACTTAGTATTACTAACTTCTGTCTCCCATCCGTACTCTATAATGCTGCTAAAGACTTCTCCCAAAACATTCAATGGTTTCTTACTATACAGAGAATAAAATTCACAATCCTTAGTATGGCACTCAAGATCTACCATATTCAACTCCAGACTACTTTTCTAGTCCCATCTCTTCCTCGTGCACCATTCATTTCATGCTTCAGTCATATTGGATTGTATGAAAAACGCATGGCATGTGTCACATTTTACAGTTTTCAGTTCCCTGGCAAAATTTTCAAGCTTGGCTTTCACATTAGATTATATGTTTTTATACAAATCATATATATTTGTAGATGCAGAATTCACATACTAAAGGCTTTCCTAAAACTGGGATATAAAAACCCATTTCAAAGATAATTGGATGGAACTTTTCATCAAAAGGATATGGAAACTGAAGAAATCCTGTTAAGCTGGTTGGAAGAAACCTTTGGGCTGGGGCACAGTGCAGCTGCTGGAGTCAGTATCAGTTCTCCCAACAAGTCCATGCCAGCCACGTCTTCAGGGATGAAAAGCATTACTGGATGTCCTAGCACAGGGTGAATTCTGCTGCAGTGTGATTCAATTGTACCAAAATTTGGTCTACTGTCAGAAAACAGACAAGTCAAATTTAACATTTTTTCCTCTTAAGAAATTATTTAAAAGAGCATTCAAAATTATTTTTGTAACCTCTAGCATATGTACAACCACACAACCTGCCATATCAGTTTTGTTGGAATAAATAACTTATGTCTCACTCAGGGAATCACAGCAATGGAAGTAGTAGAAAAACTGGCATTTCAGAGATATCATTGCTCCTGCTTTTGCTGCCACTAACGGATGCTTCTTAGTTTCTCTTTTTAAAAAAACATTTTAGACCAGGCATTGTGGCTCATGCCTGTAATCCCAGCACTTTGGGAGGCTGAGGTGGGTGGATCACTTGAGGTCAGGAGTTCAAGACCAACCTGGCCAACATGGTGAAACTCCATCTCTACTAAAGATACAATAGCTGTGCATGATGGTGCACACCTGTAATCCCAGCTATTCAGGAGGCTGAGGCAGGAGAATCGCTTGAACCTGGGAAGCGGAGGTTGCAGTGAGCTGATATTGCGCCACTGCACTCCAGCCTGAGCAACAGAGCGAGACTTTGTCTCGAAAAATAATTACTATTATTTTATTTTATTAGAGATGGGGTCTCACTATGTTTATTAGGCTGGTCTCAAACTCCTGGCCTCAAGCAATCTTTCTGCCTTGGCCTCCCAAAGTGCTGGGACTACAGGTGTGAGATATCATGACCAGCCTGTTTCTTATTCTCAAGTATACTTCCTCCACTAAAATTAATCTTTGGTTCTGAGCAAATTTCCAAATTCATTCAAAGGTCAGCATTGTGTGAGGGGGCCCATGAATCACAAATGGCCTAAAACTGGCCCCATGATACTTATAAGTCTGCTCTCACGCATGCTACACCTTCCGCTGAAGAGGTCTGAGGTTGCTGTTTGATAGTAACAATGAGAAAAAACCAGGCCATCTTTCTCTCCTAGAAAGAATCTAGTAAAATTTTGTTACTTTCCAATAGCTCTTTTCTAAACAGAGAGAAAACAGTCAACCTGAGAAAGCTGATTAAGAATGAATGAATTAATTAATAGAGAGGAAATATTAATGAACCTTTCCCTTTGTCTCTAATCAGGTCATCCAAGGAAACACATCTACAAAAATTGGCTCAAAGGCTTAAACTTGTGTCAGTACAACTATGATGATGAGCTGCTACCTGTAAGGATTGTTTATTATTAGAGGATCACTAAAGAAAGATATGGGGTGGGGAAATTATTACCTGCATATTAAATGACAAAAATATTCTCATCTGAGGTGTAATTTTGGGTGAGAATAAGAAAACAGACTAAGAACCACAGGCAGTCTCTTTAAGCCTTAAGAGACTTTGACTACTAGTGTTGCCTCTGGGCACATAAATAGAGGCAGAAACTAATGAATAAAGACTAAATTAGGGCTGGACACATTGGCTCACATCTGTAATCCCAGCTCTTTGAAAGGCCGAGGCAGGAGGATTGCTTGAGTCCAGGAGTTTGACACCAGCCTAGGCAACAACCTCATCTCTACAAAAAAAAATTTTTTTTAAATTAGCAGTATATGGGCTGGGCGCAGTGGCTCATGCCTGTAATCTCAGCACTTTGGGAGACCGAGGCAGGAGGATCACGAGGTCAGGAGATTGAGACCATCCTGGCCAACATGGTGAAACCCCATTTCTACTAAAAATACAAAAAAATTAGCTGGGCGTGGTGGCATGCACCTATAGTCCCAGCTACTCAGGAGATTGAGGCAGGAGAATCGCTTGAACCAGGGAGGTGGAGGTTGCAGTGAGGTGAGATCTGCACTCCAGCCTGGGCGAAAGAGCGAGACTCCGTCTCAAAAAAAAAAAAAATTAGCAGCGTATGGTAGCATATTTCTGTGGTCCTAGCTACTAGCTACTCGAGAGGCTGAGGTGGGAAAATGACTTGAGCCCAGGAGACCAAGGCTGCAGTGAGCTATGATGGCATCTGGGTTGAACAGACTGAGACCCTGTCTCAAAAAAAGAAAAAATAAATTAATTGGACTTAAGCATATGTTAGGTCTTTTCTTGACATAATTCATTTTCACTTTGGATTCTGTGGTAGTTAAATGGCACAGGAAGGCAAGACAGAAGGGCTCTGTGTGTTCCATATTGTTTACCACCTCCTCCATGGATTTTTTACATTTTTTATTTATTTATTTTTTTTGAGACAGAGTCTTGCTCTGTCGCTGGAGTGCAGTGGCGTGATCTCGGCTCACTGCAACCTCCACCTCCTGGGTTCAAGTGATTCTCATGCTTTGGCCTCCCAAGTAGCTGGGATTACAGGCATGTGCTACCATGCCCAGCTAATTTTTGTATTTTTAGCAGAGACAGGGTTTTGCCATGTTGGCCAGGCTGGTCTCAAACTCTTAACCTCAAGTGATCCATCAACTTCAGCCTCCCAAAGTGCTGGGATTATAGGCATGAGCCACTGCGCCTGGCCAGATTTACTTTCTTGGAGTCTGAAGAAGATGGAGATGGGCAGAGAGATGATTTCCAAACCTATGCAAAATGCTGATGCACAGAAAATAATGTACACTGAATTCCTTTGTATTCATACTATCTCTCTAGCCAAGAATTCAAGTAAAGTTTTAAATTCATAGTCTTCTCTTCTCATGCCTAAATGGGATTGGAACTAGCAGGGTCTGTGTAAAATAAGGCCTGAAGAGAAGAAGGCACATGTCTTCAGGTCATTTAGAATAGATTCAAATACATAAATAACTTAAAATAGCAGTTTTCAACATAAAAAAAAGTTTTACTTCTGCTTTTCTTATAGAGAAGCTGACACCTGGCACTTACAAATGACAAGTGAGACAATTTCCAATTTCTACCCACATTCGTACTCGAGAGGAGAGTAAAACATGCAGAGGGACAACAAGGCTTTACGCCTTCACCTCACATAATGCTGGGAGTCGACCAAAAGAGCAATTCCATTCCCAAGGTTCAAAGTGGGTTCATTCTCCACCCTGCAAAGCAAAGCAAAGCTAAGCCATCTCTCAAAGATTCTAAAATCAATCTCTGTTTGACATAAATTTTGGCCCATGACTACTACCACCCCAGCGATTACTAGAATTCAGTAACTAATTAACCAAGGGGAAAATGGCAATCTTTAAGTTTACCCCCTCTAGAGACAGGGATGAATCTACTAAAATAATAAAATGTGGGGGTGTCAGAAAATTAGTTTCAAGGTGACTTTGGGTCAAGATATCAAACTGTGAACCTTTTGGAAATAGGACAATAATAGCTGAGAAAAATTGCAGAGCCATAGCATCATCTTAAGCCATAGACCTAAGAACTTACCCAAAGATCTCTGTGGAGAGGATTCCATTTACCTTTACACTGAAATGAAATCTGACCTGCAAAACAATAAGTTAAGTGTGAGATTTAACATGAGCCAAGATACAGATTAAAAACTTCCATATCTAATCCCTAAAGGAAAAGAATAAGCTTAAAAAATTTTAAATTAACATTACTTTTAATTGATAAACTATAACTGTATACATTCATAGGGTACAATGTGGTGTTTTGATATATGTATATAATGTGGAATGATTAAATCAAGTAGATTAACATCTATCACATAACTTACTAGCATTTTTTGTGGTAAGACATTTGAAATTTACTCTCAGCTATTTTGAAATATATAATACATTATTATTGACTATAGTCACCCCCCTGTGAAATAAGATTCTAAAGACTTATTCCTCCTGTCTAACTGAAACTTTGTACACTTTAACTAACAACTCCCTATTTCCTTCCTTAACCCACTCCCAGCCTCTGGTAACCACCATTCTATTCTCTACTATGAGTTTGACTTTTTCAGATTCCACATATAAGTGAAATCATACAGTATTTGTCTTTCTGTTGATTAAGAAAATGTGGTATATACACAATGGAATACAGTTAGTTTTTTGTGGTTTTTTTTTTTTTTTGAGACAGGGTCTTGCTCTGTTGCCCAGCCTGGAGTGCAGTGGTGTGATCTTGGTCTCCCAGGCTCAAGTGATCCTCCCACCCCAGCCTCCTGAGTAGTTGGGACCACAGGCATGTGCCACTACACCCAGCTACTTTTTGCATTTTTTTGTAGAGACAGGGTTTCACCATATTGCCCAGGCTGGTCTTGAACTCCCAAGGTCAAGTGATCCTCCTGCCTCAGCCTCCCAAAGTGCTAGGATTATAGGAATGAGCCATCATACCCAGCCTAGTCAGCCTTTAAAAAGAAGGAAATCCTGTCATTTGTGACACGGATGAACCTAGAGAAACAAGACTTTTTTTTTTTTTGAGACGGAGTTTCAGTCTGTCGCCCAGGCTGGAGTGCAGAGTGCAATGGCGCAATCTCGGCTCACTGCAACCTCCGCCTCCTGGGTTCAAGCAATTCTCCTGCCTCAGCCTCCCGAGTAGCTGGGACTACAGGCACGCGCCACTGTGCCCAGCTAATATTTGTATTTTTAGTAGAGATGGGGTTTCGCCATGTTGGCCAGGCTGGTCTTGAACTCCTGACCACCCAAGTGAGTGATCCACCCACCTCGGCTTCCCAAAGTTTTACTTCTGCTGGGATTACAGGCATGAGCCACCGTGCTCAGCCAGGAAAAAGACATTCTTTTTTTTTTTTTTGAAATGGAGTCTCACTCTGTCTCCCAGCCTGGAGTGCAGTGGCAAAATCTCAGCTCACCGCAACCTCCACCTCCCAGGTTCAATCAGTTCTCCTGCCTCAGCCTCCTGAGTAGCTGGGACTACAGGCACGCGCCACCATGCCCAGCTAATATTTGTATTTTTTTTTTTTTTTTTTTTTGGAGACAGAGTCTTGCTCTGTCACCCATGCTGGAGTGCAATGACACAATCTCGGCTCACTGCAACCTCCACTTCCCAGGTTCAGGTGATTCTCCTGCCTCAGCCTCCTGAGTAGCTGGGATTACAGGCGTGCGCCACCATGCCCGGCTAATTTTTGTATTTTTAGTAGAGACGGGGTTTCGCCATGTTGGCCAGGCTGGTCTCGAACTCCTGACCTCAGGTGATCTGCCCACCTCGGCCTCCCAAAGTGCCGGGATTACAGGCGTGAGCCACTGTGCCCAGCCAATATTTGTATTTTTAGTAGAGACAAGGTTTCACTATGTTGGCCAGGATGGTCTCAATCTCCTGACCTTGTGATCCACCCACCTCGGCCTCCCAAAGTGCTAGGATACAAGCGTGAGCCACCACGCCCGGCCAAAAAATACATTCTTTATCACTTGTATTTTCCCTAAACATACTTAATGCTTGCCTGTGTTTAAATTCTAAATCTTAAATATATTGAGCCCTATATCACAGCTCCAGGTTGTCACAAATTATCAGAAATCATCCCTGCCTCTTTGCCATTCTCTCAACCCCTATCCCTTAACTTTTTTTTTTTTTTTTTTTTTTTTGAGACAGAGTCACTTTGTCACCTAAGCTGGAGTGCAATGGTGTAAACACGGTTCACTGCAGCCTCAACCTCCTGGGTTCAAGCGATTCTCCTGCCTCAGCCCCTCAAGTAGATGGGACCACAGGTGCATGGAACCACACCCGACTAATTTTTGTATTTTTAGTAGAGACAGAGTTTCACCATCTTGCCCAGGCTGGTCTGGAACTCCTGAGCTCAAGCAATCCGCCCAAGTCGGCCTCCCAAAGTGCTGGGATTACAGGTGTGAGCCACCACACCCAGCCCCTTCACCTCCTTTTTAAAGGAACTATCCATTTTTATTTCTATTATTTTCATATGTGGAACATTCCATGCTTTTTTCTTTGCTTTTTCTTCCTCTTCTCCATCTGACTTTTATATCCTCTCCAGTGTACCTCACTGTTCTAATTATTCTCTCCATTCACCTATATTTTTCTTTCTGTGTAACATAAGGTAAGAAGTGACTCTAGAACCAGACTGCCTGAGTTCAAATCCTGACTCTTCAAGTTATTTACTCTCTGTACCATAGTTTTCTCAGCTACAAAATGCGGATGATGATGATAAAACTTACTTCACAAGGGGTGTTGTAAGAGTTAAGTGAGCGAGTGCACAAAGAGCACTTAGAATAGTGACTGAAACAATAGGCAAAAAGTAGGAAGATGGCAGAAGGGGGATGTCATAGATATGCTTAAGTGTTTATCTTTATAAACATATCTAACTACAGATAATAAAAAATTTAGCTCTCTAATATTCAAAATATTCTATCAAAATTTCTTGGCCAGGCATGATGATGGCTCACGCCTGTAATCCCAGCATTTTGAGAGTCTGAGACAGGTGGATCACTTGAGGCTAGGAGTTCAAGATCAGCTTGGCCAACATGGCGAAATCCCATCTCTACTAAAAATACAAAAATTAGCGAGGTGTGGTGGTGCACACCTGTAATCCCAGCTACTCAGGGAGCTGAGGCAGGAGAATGACTTGAACCTTGGAGGTAGAGGCTGCAGTGAGCCGAGATCAAGTCACTGCACTCCAGCGTGGGTGACAGAGCAAAACCCTGTCTCAGGAAAAAAAAAAGTCCTTATTTGTTCTTATAGTCACTTTAGAAAAGGAGATAAACAGCAAGGTTTATTATCTAGCTTTAACAAAAAACAAAGCACAGAGGAGGGAAGAGGTATCTAAAGTGATACAATAAAGCAATAAAAAAAAGTGAAAATAACCCAAAACAAAGCTCTCTCTATCCAGAGGTTTCTCGCTATAACACATAACCAACATTAAGATTGCCTTGGCTGGGTGTGGTGACTCAGGCCTGTAATCCCAGCACTTTGGGAGGCTGAGGTGTGTGGATCACCTGAGGTCAGGAGTTTGAGACCAGCCTGGCCAACACAGTGAAACCCTGTCTCTACTGAAAATACAAAAATTAGCCGGGCATGGTGGTGCACACCTGTAATCCCAGCTACTAGGAAGGCGGAGGCAGGAGAATGGCTTGAATCTGGGAGGCAGAGGTTGCAGTGAGCCGAGATCATGCCACTGCACTCCAGCCTAAGCAACAGAGTAAGACTCTGTCTCAAAAAAAAAAAAAAAGATTGCCTTGGGCCAGGTGCAGTGCCTCACACCTGTAATCCCAGCACACTGGGAGGCCAAAGCAGAAGGATTGTTAAAGCCTGGGAGTTAGAGACTAGCCTAGGCAATATAGTGAGACCTTGTCTCTCTAAAAAAAAAAAAACAACTGTCTTAAGGACATAGAAACCAAATCAATTCAATATTGAAAGTTGAAAGTTGTCTTTTTTTTTTTTTTTTTCCAAAGACAGGGTCTCGCTCTGTCACCTAGGCTGGAGGGCAGTGGCACAATCATGGCTCACTGCAGCCTCAACCTCCTGGGCTCAAGCAATCCTCTCACCTCACCCTCCTGAGGAACTGGGATTACAGGAGCTCACTACCACACCTGGCTAATTTTTAAAATTTTTTTTGTAGAGACAGAGTCTCACCATGTTGCCTTGGCTGGTCTTAAACTCCTGGACTCAAGCGATCCTCCCGCCTCGGCCTCCCAAAATGTTGGGATTACAGGTATGAGCCACCATGACCTCAAATATTAAACGTTTTAATCATCTTCATTGAAAGAAAAAGAACCAATCACATCTGTCCATGTCCTACACAGTAAAGGTCTCTGGAAAACAATGACTTAAATAAGAGAATCATTATTGTACAAAGGAACAGCTTACCTTAGGGTGCACCATGATGATTTTACGTAAAAAATGCTTTATAACCAGACAATCTGTCATCAAGGTTCTGGGCTTTTCATCAACCTGTAATAATACAACAAAAACACCTACCACACATACACAATCTCAAGAGCACAAATGAATTAAAACGGTATTTCCTCTTCTAAAAGTAACTATACCTCAGAAAGCTTTTTGGACAACCAAAGGGAGACATCTTTGGGAATGAGAATTGTATGCAAAAGAAAATCTAAATAGCCATCACTTCTTGGGTTAGAGTATCTATTACACGGAACTTCAGAAGACACGAGAATAAAGATCAGAGTAAAACCCATAATGTCAAAACCACCTTTGGGGACAAATTTAAAAGTAATTCAGACTGAAGTTGGTAAGAATAACTCCACCATCCTAATGTGCTTTGGAACAATCTGTATTAAGAATCTGAGTTATGCTTTTTTAGAAAGAAATTTTAAAAAAAGAATCTGAGTGGAGTCGGAAGGAGCAAACACTAAAAGGAACCTATTTTTGACATCAATCCATTAATCCAAACATTTATTTATAAGGAAAAGCTGAAGAGCAAAAAGCTCAAAAGTCAGAAGACCTGTGTTCTAGTACTGGTTCTGTAAAAAAAAAAAATTACTTAAATACTCTTGAAAAAAAAAAAATCACTGCTCTGGACCTCATTTCCTAATCTGCAAAATAGGGATAAAACCTACCGCTTTGACCTCACAGAACTGTTTTAAGGATCCATATATTTGAAATTGTAGGCTGGGCGTGTTAGCTTATGCCTGTAATCCCGGCACTTTGGGAGGCCGAGGTGGGCTAATTACCTGAGGTCAGGAGTTCGAGACCAACCTGGCCAAAATGGTGAAACCCCATCTCTACTAAAAACACAAAAATTAGCCAGGTGTGGTGGCATGCGCCTGCAATCCCAGCTACTCAGGAGGCTAAGGCAGGAGAATCACTTGAACCTGGGAGGTGGAGGTTGCAGTGAACCAAGATGGTGCCCCTGCACTCCAGCCTGGGTGACAGAGCTAGACTCTGTCTCGAAAAAAAAAAAAAAAAGAAGGAAAGAAAGTGTATATTATACATGGTAACAATAATAGATATCACTCATTGAATACCTACTATGTGACAAGTGTTGTGCAGTTGCTATATATATACTACCTCACAATAATCCTGTAAGGTAGGTATTACAATCTCTTCTTTGTATATATATATATATTTTTTTTTGAGATGGAGTTTTGCTCTTGTTGCCCAGGCTGGAGTACAGTGGTGTGATCTCGGCTCACTGCAACCTCTGCCTCCCGGGTTCAAGCGATTCTCCTGCCTCAGCCTCCTGAGTAGCTGGGACTACAGGTGCGTGCCATCATGCCTGGCTGATTTTTTGTATTTTCTGTAGAGACGGGGTTTCGCCATGTTGGCCAGGCTGGTCTCGAACTCCTCACCTCAGGTGATCTGCCCACCTCGGCCTCCCAAAGTGCTGGGATTACAGAAGTGAGCCACTGCGCCTGGCCCCTTCTTTGTAGATTTTTTTAAAAAGGCTCAGAGAAGTTAAGCAACATGCCTAAGGTCACTTAGCTGTTCAGTAGTATAGCCAGAACTTGACTGTAAGTCTTTCTTTTTTGTTTTGTGAGTGACCTTAAGTCTTTCTAATACTAATTGCCCATGTTCTTGCCAATATACTACAAACACTTCCCTACAAATATAAGATTTACCACTAGGTGATGATTTTACAGCAGGGATGGTGCTAAGGTATCTTATTTATATTATCTCATTTAACCTTCACAAAAACTCTATTAGGTACCCAAATTTTATAAATAAAAGATTGTGCAGGATCTGGATTTTTAAAAATGAAGGAAAATAAAAATAAATATTTTACAAAAGAGTCTCAAAAAGGTTAAACAGCTTGTCCAAGGTTAGCCAGGTCAACTTGGCTATAAATCTTTAGCATTAACCACTTACCTATACTGACTCACTATTATAGTGTTCCTAAAACCAAAGTTAGAAACAGTCTCCTAGAAAATGCAGAACTCCAAAAAAATGAAAGAAGAAATACAATCAGAAATCAGTAGGTTTTTATTGTTGGCTCAGAGAATACACAGCCATGTACTAGGTATATGTTAAAAACAAAAAACAAAAAAAATGGTCCCAGATGTCAAAATATGATAATACAAAAAGAAGAAACATGCAAATATAGAAGGATAAACTATTACAATATTTTTATTTTATTACTTTTTTTTTTTTTTTTTTTTAGAAACAGGGTCTCGCTTTGTCACTCAGGCTGGAATGCAGTGGCATGATCATAGCTAACTGTAACCTCGAACTTCTGGGCTCCAGCAACCCTCCCACCTCAGCTTCCCAAATAGCCAGGACTACAAGTGTGTATCACCACACCTGGATAATTTTTATTTTTTAATTTTCTGTAGAGACAGGGTCTCATTATGTTGCCCAGGCTGGTCTCAAACTCTTGGCCTCAAGCAGTCCTCCCACCTTGGCCTCCCAAAGCACTAGAATTACACATAAGCCACTGCACCTGGCCTTTTAATGTTTTTTATAAGTACACTGAAAAAGAAGTCAAAAACTGTGGCAATAGGTTGGGATTAAAGATAGAAAAAATTGGGCCAGGTGCAGTGGCTCACACCTGTAATCCCAGCACTTTGGGAGGCCAAGGCGGGTGGATCACCTGAGGTCAGGAGTTCAAGACCAGGGCTGGCCAAGATGATGAAACCCCGTCTCTACTAAAAATACAAAAATTAGCCTGGAGTGGTGACGGGCACCTGTGATCCCAGCTACTCGGGAGGCTGAGGCAGAGAACTGCTTGAACCTGGAAGGCGGAGGTTGCAGTGAGCCAAGATCACACCACTGTACTCCAGGCTAGGTGACAGAGAAAGACTCTGTCTAAAAAAAAAAAAAAAAAAAACAAAAAAAGAAAAAATTATTTGAAAAAGTATTTGAAAAAATTAACAAAAATGGGCTGGGCACAGTGGCTCATGCCTGTAATCCCAGCACTTTCGGATGCTGAGGCGGGCAGATCACTTGAGGTCAGGAGTTCAAGACCAGCCTGGCCAACATGGTGAAACCCCATCTCTACTGAAAAAATACAAAAAAAAATTAGCCGATTACAGATGGCGTGCACCTGTAATCCCAGCTACTTGGGAGGCTAAGACACCAGAATCACTTGAACCTGGAATGGAGGTTGCAGTGAGCTGAGATCGTGCCACTGCACTCCAGCCTGGGTGACAGAGTGAGACTCCATCTCAAAAAAAAAAAAACATTATTACCAAAATGGATGGGGGATTATTAGAAAATTCTGTAAATATGTCTAGGATTATTCATGCATGTTAACAGTGGTAATTAAATAATAACTGCAATTGGTATACATATCATAGTCACATCCTTCATTTTTAAAATTTTAGTATAAAATGTTTAAACCAAAAAGCAATAGTCTTTAAAGCATTTTCTGTGCTTACCACTTCCAAAACAACTTCTTGGAACACTTTCAAAGCTTTGTAACCTTGGTGATTATAGGGCGTATCATAGAGAGGGCTAATTATATCTAACAGTAAGACAACCGAAGTGAAAGTTCCTTGAGCAACTACTGGAGAGAGACTACAATGAATAATGATGATATTTACTGACTACTTGCTACATGTCAAGCAGTTTCTATGCAAGTAAGAAATAACTCCATTTTATAGAAGAGGATAATGAGACTCAATAAGCTAATTAATTTGTCCAAGGTCATACACAGCTAGTTAAGTGGCAGCACTGGGATTCAAACCTAGAGCTGACTAACTCCAAAGTCCACATTCTACTATCCAATGCTGCCTCTCCAAAAATGTTCATTTTCTGTGTATACAGGTAGCTATCTGAATGGGGTAATATATAATCCATCATTATTTTTTATGGAGCCTGACAAGCAATGCTTATGTATGGCTACTCAATATATGCATTTACTCACTCATAAAATATTAATGTGGCTTATTATGTACCTGGGCTTATAAAAATAAATAAGACAATCTCAGAATTAGAAGAGTTCACAGTTCAGTAGATGAGACAGACTAATTTATATGACAATGTGAAATTTAGATAAATGAGGTGCTAAAGGAATACAGCAGAAGGACCGACACCTATCCCAGAGTTAGGATAAAGTGACTAATGTCAGGTCAGAGAGGATAATTAATACAACACAACTAACCCCTTAAAAGGGGTTAGAGGACCCTTTTAAGATCTACTCATAGAATTATTAGAGAGAGGAAGCTGGGTGCGGCGGCTCACGCCTGTAATCCCAGCACTTTAGGAAGCCGAGGCAGGCGGATCATGAGGTCAGAAGATCGAGACCATCTGGCTAACACAGCCCATCTCTACTAAAAATATAAAAAATTAGCCAGGCATGGTGGCGAGTGCCTGTAGTCCCAGCTACTCAGGAGGCTGAGGCAGGAGAATGGCATGAACCTGGGAGGCGGAGCTTGCAGTGAGCTGAGATCGCGCCACTACACTCCAGCCTGGGCCACAGAGCAAGACTCCCTCCCAAAAAAAAAAAAAAAAATTATTAGAAAGAGGAAGAGAGAGATGACAAAGCCTTTTACAGTTGGGTGTTGGGTGTTAGAGACCCAGTACCCCAGCCTGACATACCTACAGAAGCAGTGAATTTACTTATTTACTGTTATGAAAAAAATAGATGCTGCCAGCCGTGCACAGCAGAAACTACTATTGAATCATATGGTTTTAGCCTTCACCTTTAAATATGTCTAATTATATGACAGAATATAGAAGTATGTTTTCAAATATGAACTTATACAGTCATGAGCCCTTATATCACTTTCTAGAAGAAAGTCTGTCTCTCTCTCTTGCCCCCTCACCTTAGATACATACACACAGAAGTACAGATGTATAAATATATAGATATGTTTGTGCATATATATGTTTGTATGTATATATGTATAACTCCATTCACTTGATCACTTAGTATTATTACAAAAATAAATATTAAACTGGATAAAGCTGTCAAGAAGATCTTATAAAATCAGATTGCTTTTGAAGGGACATGTTACCCAGCCTAATGAACACCAAGATGTAAGACTAGCTGTGGGCATAAACACAAAACCCAATATCTCTCCTAAATGAAACTTTCCTCAGTCTTCCTTGCAATTGACTTTCCTCGCAGGCCCAAATTAATGGATCATTTATTATAGCTTTTCCATGGAGTCTCTATTAGCCTTTGCTGTGAACCTTGCTACTTAACCTTTCTCCTCAATTGAGGCATCCATGATGAAATCTTTTACAATCTCCCTTTTATCTCTTCTCATTCTCTTCATTCAAATATTGTCTACATAGCTGCACAGTACCAAAAACAATGAGATATAATGGAAGAAATGCATGAGGAAATCCTTGTTCCCTTGAGGCTAATGCCGTTTGACTATACTATTATTTTACTTCTCATCTCCATCACCAGCTGACTGCTGGTCACTAAGCTCACAGTTTTCCTCTGTATGCCAAATGCTGTCATCATCTTGACTGACATCCATATCCAAGCAGATAACTAGCCTAAGCAATAACTTAGTCTCACAGTTCCCTGACCTCTTCAACAATAATGACCTTGACCTCCACTCATTCCCAGCCACCTATTTCCATGGCCACGGCTTGGAACTGTTCCATTCTGAAAATCTTAAATTGAAATGTCCCACTCTATTGTGAAAAGATGTACACCAAGGTGTTAATAACGGCTGCCTTGAAAGGCCAAATTATGTGTATTCTAAATGTTTGTTTTGATCATACTTTGATTTTTCTGAGGGAAACACTACTTTTGCAATAAAGAAATAAGAGAAACTTTATCACTCTGATAACAACTTCCTATTCTTTCAAGTGTCAGAATCTCCTACACCCAGCAAATCTGTTTTTCAGTCTCATCAAGACCTCCAGACTTCAACCTCTTCCCATGGATTAGATGCCCTTCCTCCATGCTAACATAGCATTCAGGGCTCACTTCTATCATCCATCCTGGGAATCACACCGTATTGTAATTACGTGTTTACTTCTTGATCTTTCTATTTATATTCCAGGTTCCTTGGGATCAAGTAACATATCTTTTTTTTTTTTGAGGCAGAGTCTCACTCTATCACCCATGCTGGAGTGCAATGGCGCCATCTCGGCTCACTTCAAGCTCCGCCTCCCGGGTTCACACCATTCTCCTGCCTCAGCCTCCAGAGTAGCTGGGACTACAGGCTGCCACCACACCCGGCTAATTTTTTGTATTTTTTGTAGAGACGGGATTTCACCGTGTTAGCCAGGATGGTCTCAATCTCCGGACCTCATGATCCACCCGCCTCAGCCTCCCAAAGTGCTGGGATTACAGGTGTGAGCCACGGCGCCCAGCCAGGATCAAGTAACATATCTTAAGACACTGTACCTACAGATAGTATCTAGCTCACTGACACTGACTTGAACAAACACACGTCTGGATGAATAAGTAAATATTGAAATAGCCCTGATCTATATGAGTCAGACTTTGGTTCAAGTTCTAATTCTGCCATTTAACTGTTGTATGACACTGGGAGAGTCAGTCAAGTTCTCTGAATCTCAACTTTCTGGTCTGTAAAATGGGGTGATAATCCTCATCCTACCCACTTCATAGACTTGTCAGGATGCTTACATAATATATATAAATGTTATGTATACAACTTACTGCTTGTTCAGGCTGACTGAAACACAGAACCTCATTTCCTAGAATTGCCCTTCTTGGTTCACTGGAATCACCTTTTTATTGCTACTTGACATGAATAGTTTCAGAGCTGACTAACCATTAATTGCTCCAGATTGTTTACCCTCCATTCTCCTAAAGAAGATAAGGCACAGCCAGGGATATCTGTTGTCCTGATACCATACCCATTCCTTTCAGAATGAGCATATAATTATTCAAACATGGAGAAAGGCTGCCCAAGGGCTTCCTGGGAGAATGTTTAAAGCACTCTAATTCGTTATGTCTCCACCAACTCTAAGGAAGGAAAATAGGAGATGAGAGACCTGTTAAAGGGAATGGAGAATGAATTATCACCCTCATAAATCTGGACTACAAATAAGTCGATAAAGAGATCTCTAAACCAAACTAATAAAAATGTATCCAGGTAGGATCTGCACTGGGAGTCACTTTTAATTTTCTTTATTAGGAGATCCAAATTCAAATAAGGGCTTGTTTCAGTGGTTCTCAAATTCATCTGCATATTAGGAATCACCTGGGATCTAAAAAATGTTCCAAAGCCTATGCCATACCTATTACGGACTGAGTGTGTCCCTCAAAATCCATATGCTGAAGTTCTAAGCCCCAAAGTGACTGTGTTTGGAGGCAGGGCCCTCAGGAGGTTATTAAGATTAAATGAGGTCACAAGGGTAGGGCACTGACCCCAGGTCTTAATAGGACTGGTGTCCTTATAAAAAGATACACCAGAGCCAGGTGCCAGTAGTTCCCACCTGTAGTCCCAGCTACCAGCTACTCGGCAGGCTGAGGCAGGAAGATCACTTAAGCTCAGGAGTTCAAGTCTGTAGTGTGCTATGACTGCACCTGTGAATAGCCACTGCACTCCAGACTGTGCGACATAGCAAGACCACATCTCTACCAAAAAAATTTTCAATAAAAATAAAGAGACATTAGAGATCTCTTTCTTTTCATCCACATGCAGAAAAAAAGCCATGTAAGGACACAGTGACAAGGCAGTAGTCTACAAGCCAGGAAGAGAGGCCTCACCAAAGCCAGCCCTGACAGCACCTTGATCTTGGACGTCTAGCCTCCAGAACTGTGAGAAAATAAATCTCTATTGCTTAAGCCATCTAGTCTGTGGTATTTTGTTATGGCAGCCCAAGAAGACTAATAATTACAACACCCAGACCAATTAAATCACAATCACTCAGAGTGGGACACAGACGACAGTATTTTGGGAGCTCCTAGGTGATCTAATGTCTGCACAGGCAAGTTTGGGAACCATTGCCTTATTTCATTCCAGCTTGGAACTTTGATGGACCTAGGCTTTTCTTTCTTGTTATTAGATTGCAGAAAAATAAGAATAAAATCATTAGTAATTTATAAGACCACAACAAAACCTGCCTCAAAAATCATCTGGAAGGGTGTTACCCCTGTCATATCCTGAGAATAGCTGCCTTCCTCTGAAGTCCAAGTCAGCTTTGCAGAGATTCCGGGCAGTATGGACTGTATTTCTGTGTGAGAAGAAATGGCAACAAAGTCAAACAAGCAGTTTGGATAAGAACCAGGATTTCTGGATTTGTTTATTAAACTGGTGAGCCAAGAAGGCTTTTCCCTGATGAAAAGATTATCTACAAGATTTAAAATATGACTGGAAATGGCTATGCATCAGCAAATTGCTTGAACATTTAGAATTACTTTATGGGATTAGGACATTTAACCTCATCTTTTCAATTTTTTACATTTGCTAAATCAATTTTTATTTTCTGTTAATTTCCACAAGGTCATGTTTAATGCCAGATAGCTTCAGAACTGATAGTTCTGATATTCTTGTATTTTTTAATAAATCAACTCATTATGTAATAAACACAAGTCTAGTACATGAACTAATTTAGAGCTGAAGGCTGAAAAATTCAAGAATGACTCTCAGGCATGTACCTTTTTTTTTTTTTTTGAGTCGGAGTCTTACTCTGTCACCCAGGCTGGAGTGCAATGGCGCTATCTCGGCTCGCTGCAACATCCGCCTCCTGGGTTCAAGTGATGCTTATGCCTCAGCCACCCAAGTAGCTGGGATTAGAGGCATGCACCACCATGCCCCGCTAGGCTTTTTTTTTTTTTTTTTGTATTTTTAATAGAGATGGGGTTTCATCACGTTGGCCAGGCTGGTCTCGAACTCCCGATCTTAGGTGATCCGCCTGCCTCAGCCTCCCAAAGTGCTGGGATTACAGACATGAGCCACCGCGCCTGGCCTGCTTTGTTATTGAGGTTGACAATGTTGATATTACACAAAAATTAAACTTTAAAAACCTAACGATGATTAAAAAAATATGCCCTAAAATAACAGCACAAGTTTCTCCTAAGGCATTCATGCTACATATCTCATAATGTTTTAACCACCTCAAAAAAGTGTGCACATTCCCAAGATCAAATCCTAGCTATCGGCTGGGCACGGTGGCTCACGTCTGTAATTCCAGCACTTTGGGAGGCCAAGGTGGGTGGATCACCTGAGGTCAGGAGTTCGAGACCAGCCTGATCAACATGGTGAAACCCCGTCTCTACTAATAATACAAAAATTAGCCAGGTGTGGTGGCATGCTCCTGTAGTCCCAGCTACTCAGGAGGCTGAGGCAGGAGACTTGCTTGAACCTGGGAGGTGGAGGTTGCAGTGAGCCAAGATCGTGCCATTGCACTCCAGCCTGGGCAACAAGAGCAAAACTCCATCTCAAAAAAAAAAAAACAAAACAAAAATTGTAGCTATCAATCTTAATGGGTAATATTGTTCTTGCCATTAGTTTGTTTTTCAAACCTAATTCAGTTACAAAGCCCTTGATAATAGGACAGCAAGGGTATGCTACACTGAAGTTTAATGAACTTAGCACTAAACCAGGATGTCTTACGTCAATCTTCAGTTTCACCACTGATCAACTTTCTGACCTAAGGCAACCCCCCTTTTCTGTGATTCAATTACCATTCTGTGAAATAAGAAAAAATTGTACCTGAATCCTATTTCAGTTTGATTAGTAAGACAGTACAGAAATGGGGTAAATGTGGATATATGAGAAAAGGTTTGTAAATAACTGAATTCTTCAGAAATCTTACTAATTTAAAATAAATTGTGTAGATATTTGGGGGGAAATCAATTTCAGTAGTCTCACTCCACACACACAAACATACAAATCCAGATAGGTTGACTACAGTTAAATGTAAAAAGGTGAAACAAAAACTAAGTAAAAGCCTTTGATTTCAAGATGAATTAAGCATATGCTGAAATCTCATCTTCCTGTTCAAACATATAAAATAATACAAATATTTTTAAATCTTAATAAATACATAGTCATGGTGAGAAAAAAAGAAAACAGAAATTTTTTTTTTTTTTTAAGACAGAGTTTTGCTCTGTCACCCAGGCTGCAGTGCAGTAGCATGATCTTGGCTCACTGCAACCTCTGCCTCCCAGGTTCAACAGGGTCTCCTGCCTCAGCCTCCTGAGTAAGTAGGATCACAGGGTTGTGCCACCATGCCTGGCTAATTTTTGTATTTTTAGTAGAGACAGGTTTTGCCATGTTGGCCAGGCTGGTCTTGAACTCTTGGCCTCAAGTGATCTGCCCGCCTTGGCCTCCCAAAGTGCTGGGATTACAGGTGTAAGCCACCATATCTGGCCAGAAGAGAGAAATCTTTATAGACCAGAAATGGAAAGGTGTTCTTCTTTCTCCTCCTTTGAAAAGAACAACAAAAAGGGAACAAAAGAGAGATTCCACAATAGTAGACAAGAACTAAAAAGATGCATAGTATTTGGGCCTAGACTAGGAAAAAACATAGAGCTAATACTGTAACACTCATAGGTTTAAGAGCAAGAGCCACACACAGGAGGTCTAAGCAAGGGAGCAACACATGAACAAGGACTAGAGGTGCACTGCCTGTCTACCTGAATGTTGGTTACAGCCAAGGGGATTCTGGCAGCAGCCTCACTGATATGAGATGAGGGCCATAGAGCCATTTCATGTAAGTGGTGAAAGGACTCAGAACTATATAATCTATTAAGATGCAAGAGCTTTGCATCTTACCACCCATACAAAGATTAATCCTAGGTATACATCATACAAGGCTAAGGCTCAGCAACTCAGAGAGCCTCCTACGGGACAGTTGTCAACACAAAATGTGTTCAGATTAAACATATCATGAACAATTAGCTCTTAATTAAAAATTACCAGGCAAAGAAGATTAATACCATGAAAACGATAATACACATCAACCAATGCACTTATACCTAAGGAAATAAAGTTAATAGAACAATCTGGGAGAGATTTTTAAATAAGTATCTATATTTTATACCTTTAAAAAGAAAAAGAAGCCATGAAACAAGGAAACACTGTCGTAAATTAAACAGAAAGTAATGGGGTATTAGAAATCTTGGAAACTGGCTCGGCACGGTGGCTCATGCCTGTAATCCCAGCACTTTGGGAGGTTAAGACGGGTGGATCACCTGAGGTCAGGAGTTCAAGACCAGCCTGGACAACATGGTGAAACCCCGTCTCTACTAAAAATATTTAAAAAATTAGCCGGGCATGGTGGTGAATGCCTGTAATCCCAGCTACTTGGGAGGCTGAGGCAGGAGGACTGCTAGAACCAGGGAGGTGGAGGTTGCAGTGAGCTGAGATCACGCCATTGCACTCCAGCCTGGGCGATAGAGCGAGACTCTCAAAAAAAAAAAAAAAAAAAAAGAAATCTTAGAAATTAAAGATACAAAAAAAAGAAAAGAAATTAAAGATACAGTGTTTGAAATTAAAACTCTATGGATGGTTAGATTGGACACAGTAAAAGAGCAAATGTAAAAGAAAACTTAGTACATGAATGCTCATAGCAGGATTACTCAGAACAGCTAAAAGTGGAAACAACCCAAATGTCCATCAAATGATGAATGGCTTAACCAAATGGGGAGTATTCAGCCATAAAAAGAAATGAAGTACTGTTACATGAAACAACATGGATAGGCCTTGAAAATATAATGCTTAAAGAACCCACACACTAAATGCTACATATTGTATGATTCCATTTATATGAGATGTCCAAAATAAGCAAATCGACAGAGACAGAAAGTAGATTAGTGTTTGCCAAGGCATAGAGAATGAAAGTAAGCAGAGTGACTGCTAATGAGTACACGGTTTCTTTTTCTGGATGAAAATGTACTGGAATTGGATAGTGATAACAGTTATACAGGCAGGAAGCAGTGGCTCATGCCTATAGTCCCAGCACTTTGGGAGGCCAAGGCGGGAGGACCACTTGAGCCCAGAAGTTTGAGACCACCCCTTGGCAAAACCCCATCTCTATAAAAAATACAAAAAAATGGCAGGGTGCAGTGGCTCACGCCTGTAATCCCAGCACTTTGGGAGGCCAAGGTGGGCGAATCACGAGGTCAGGAGATCGAGACCATCCTGGCTAACACAGTGAAACTCTGTCTCTACTAAAAATACAAAAAAAAATTAGCCAGGCTTGGTGGCAGGCGCCTGTAGTCCCAGCTACTCGGGAGGCTGAGGCAGGAGAATGGCATGAACCCAGGAGGTGGAGCTTGCAGTGAGCCGAGATCGCGCCACTACACTCCAGCCTGGGCAACAGAGCAAGACTCCATCTCAGAAACAAAAACAAAACAAAACAAAACAAAAACCAAAAAAAACAAAAACAAAAAAATTAACTAGGTGTGGTGGTGCACAGCTCTAGTCCCAACTATTCAGAGGGCTGAAGTGGGAGGATTACCTCAGGCCAGGAGGTAGAGGCTGCAGTGAACCATGATCACGCCACTGCACTCCTGCCTGGGTGACAGAGTGAGACCCTGCCAAAAAATATTAGTTATACAATCCCGAAAATATACTAAAAACCACCAAATTGTATACTTTAAAATGGTTGTGTTTATGATATATGAATTTTATATCAATTAAAAGAAAAGGCAAGAGACATTAAAAATAGATCCAGAAGAAATAATGACTGAGAAATATAAAACAAAGACAGATGTAAGTGCTATCTGAACAGTTTTACCAAACGTCAAGCAGGCTAAATTTCGAAAAAACAAGGCAAAAGCAAAAATTAAAAAAGCCACATAGTTAACACATCACAGTGAAACCCAAAATAACAAGGATAAGCAGAAAACCCTACGAGCTACCAAAAAAATTAAATTAGCAAAAAAAACCCATGAGTTAGCAATGCTAAATGTCAGAAGATGATCCAGTACTATCTTCAAAGATCTGAAGTAATTTTGAATCTGGACTCTTTTACTTACTTATCTATCTACCTATCATCTATCTATCTGTCTGTCTGTCTGTCTGAGACAGGATCATGTTCTGTGGCCCAGGCTATGTGCAGTGGGGTGATCATAGCTCACTGCAGCCTTCAACTTCTGGGATCAAAGGATCCTCCTACCTCAGCCTCCCAACTCACTAGAACTACAGGTGTACACGATGCCCAGCTAATCTTTTTTCTTTATATTAAACTGTTTAGGGAAATTGTTGTAATTTTTTGTAGATACAGGGTCTCACTATGTTGCCCAGGCTGGTCTCGAGAGATCTTCCTGCCTCAACCTCCCAGAGTGCTGGGATTACAGGCATGAGCCACCTCACCCAGCCAAATCTGAACTTTTAAGAGAGCCAAACTACCATTACAAAATGAGAGACTTAAAATGTTTACCATCTACAAGTCCTCAAATAACCACTAAACAAACCACCATGTCCATTTAAACATGAGTTTACATTTTTGCTGAGATCATGTGGGGATAAGGAGGAAGAAAGAGATCATTATCAGTATCAAGTTACCTCTTCACATAGGTCTTCAACTGTTAAAGATGAAGTAGATAGAAAATTTTCAATCAGATGACATTACGAACACATAGCAAAACTATGTACTGGGGCTTCTCCTCCCAGCATTAATGAAATAACCAAATGAGCCCTCAAACCAAAAACTACTGTAAAACTGGATAAAATATATGAGACAGTTGTTTTCAGGCACTGGACAATAGATAGCACAAGGTTACAATCCCTTGAGAGAAGGGAAACTCACCAGGTTAGTCCTGTTATTTCCCTGGGTGTCTGCCTGGGGAAATTTTCCCATCTACAGAACAGGGACATGGAACCCAAGCAGAGGACAGTGGTCCCACTAAGCTGAGGAGGCAGAGAATAGATTTTGGAGTTGTGAAAGTACCTGGAATCTGCAGGGCAGGGCACTGGAGAAGAGGGAGATACAAAGAGCAGGGTACTAAAGTCTGTGTAGGAGCTCCCCATGAGTCCTTGGCCAAGGTCTGGACTATCCATGCAGAGAGTGAGACTACATATGATTTCCCACAGAGCAGGTGCTATGGAGTTGAGAATGTAACAAGACACTAGCAAGATTTTCCAGTGCTGAAAAATGTTGGCCTTCAGGCCTAGCTAGAAATGGGGAGACCTTGTTAAAACTGCTGGTGTCTAGCTGAGATGCCCCACAGATAATGCTTTAGTAATAAAAACCATACTGTCGATGAAGGTGTGCTCTAGACCCACCCCAAAAAAGTCTAAAGCCATTCCTTGACAAAACCCACAGAGGAGATAGAGTTTGGAGGCTAAATGGTATCAAATTAGAAGAGTTTGAAAAATGCATTGGCTTTCTACAGACCTACCCTTTAAAATGCATAAAAACAAGCCTGTACAAGGTCAAGGTGCATAGCCTACTAGAGCAAAAATTAATACTCTCCAGAGATAGATAACACAATATAGAATATGATCATATTGCCCAGTATAAAACAAAAATGTACTAAATATGCAAAGAAATAGGAAATGATAACCCACAGTCAAGGGGGAAAAAAAGCAACTAATAGAAACAGAACCTGAGGGCCAGGCTCATGCCTATAATCCCAGCACTTTGAGGGGCCAAGGCAGGGAGATCGCTTGAGGCCAGGAGTTTGAGACTAGCCTAGGCAACATGGAAAGACTCATCTCTACAAAAAAATTTAAAAATTAGCCGGGCGTGGTGGTACATGCCTGTGGGTCCTAGCTACTCAAGAGGCTGAGGTGGGAGGATCACTTGAGCCCAGGAGTTGGAGGCTGCAGGAGCTATGACTGTGCCACTGCACTTTTCAGCCTGGTGACAGAGTGAGACCCTGTCTCTGAAAAAAGAAAAGAAACAGAACCTGATATGGTACAGATATTACATTTAGGAAAGACTTTAAAGAATCTATTATAAATATGTTCAAAGGCTTAAAAGGCGGCCTTAATGAGTGAACTGATAGGAAATGTCAGCAGATAACACTATACAAAAAGAACCAAAAAGAAATTCTATAACTGAAAAGTTAAATAATTGAAATGAAGAATTCACTTGATAGGTTTAATAGCAGATTAGAGGTGACAGAAGAGTCAGTAAAATCACTGAAGACAAATAACAAAAACTATCCAATCTGGAGAATAAAGAAAAAAAAGACTGAAGAAAAATGAATAGTCTTAGAAACCTGTAGGAAAATATCAACCAGTCTAAAATATGTGCAATGGGAGTCCCAGAAGGAGGATAGGAGAATAAAATGAGAATAGGACAAGAAAAACATCAAAAAACCATGAACAAAATTCCCTAAAATTTCATGAAAAATATTAAGGTGTGAAAAGCTCAGCAAACCCCAAGGAGGATAAATGCAAAGAAAATCACACCTAGGTATATAATAGTCAAAATGATAAAAACCAAAGATAAAGATAAAATATTGAAAGAAGCCAGAGGAAAAGCACACATCATATACACAGGAGGTATAAAATGAATCACAGCTGACTTCTTACCATAAACAATAAAGGCCAGGTCCACGCGCGGTGGCTCATGCCTATAATCCCAGCACTTTGGGAGGCCAAAGTAGGTGGATCGCTTGAGGCCAGGAGTTCATGACCAGCCTGGTCAACATGGAAAAACCCTGTCTCTACTAAAAATCAAAAAATTAGCCAGGTGTGGTGGCACATGTCTGTAATCCCAGTGCTACTCAGGAGGCTGAAGCACAAGAATCACTTGAACCCAGGAGGCAGAGGTTGCAGTGAGCCAAGATCACGCCACTGCACTCCGGCCTGGGTGAGAGAGTGAGACTCTGTCTCCAAAAAAATAAAATAAAATAAATAAATAAAAACAATAAAGCGCAGAAGACAATTGACAACATCTTTCAAAATGTTGAAAAGGAGAAAACTATCAAGCCAGATATTCCAGTGCAATATCCTTTAAAAATGAGGTTAAGGTAAAGGCATTTTAAGATAGAAGATGAAATAATCTGCTGCTAGAAGATTTGCTAAAGGATTTTCTTCAGGCTGAAGATGGAAACCCAGCTATAAAGGAAGAAATGAAGAGCACCAGAAATCATAAATAAGTGAATATAAAAGACTATTTTTTTCCTTGAATTTTTCTTGACAGCTAGCTTTTCAGAGCAAAAATAATCTCATAAGGCAGGGAATTATAAGTATTTGAGTATTTAAAAATACTCAAAATTGAGCAAAAAAACACTATTTACCTATTCTTTTGCCAATACCACAGTTTCTTTTTTTTTTATGAAAGTTTTAGGGTACATGTGCACAACGTGCAGGTTTGTTACATATGTATACATGTGCCATGTTGGTGTGTTGCACCCAGTAACTCGCCATTTAACATTAGGTATATCTCCTAATGCTATCCCTCCCCCTCCCCCCACCCCACAACAGGCCCTGGTGTGTGATGTTCCCCTTCCTGTGTCCATGTGTTCTCATTGTTCAATTCCCACCTATGAGTGAGAACATGCGGTGTTTGGTTTTTTGTCCTTGTAAAAGTATGCTGAGAATGATGGTTTCCAGCTTCATCCATGTCCCTACAAACGACATGAACTCATCATTTTTTATGGCTGCATAGTATTCCATGGTATATGTGCCACATTTTCTTAATCCAGTCTATCATTGTTGGACATTTGGGTTGGTTCCAAGTCTTTGCTATTGTGAATAGTGCCGCAGTAAACATACATGTGCGTGTGTCTTTATAGCAGCATGATTTATAATCCTTTGGGTATATACCCAGTAATGGGATGGCGGGGTCAAATGGTATTTCTAGTTCTAGATCTCCGAGGAATCACCACACTGACTTCCACAATGGTTGAACTAGTTTACAGTCCCACCAACAGTGTAAAAGTGTTCCTATTTCTCCACATCCTCTCCAGCACCTGTTGTTTCTTGACTTTTTAATGATCGCCATTCTAACTGGTGTGAGATGGTATCTCATTGTGGTTTTGATTTGCATTTCTCTGATGGCCAGTGATGATGAGCATTTTTTCACGTGTTTTTTTTGGCTGCATAAATGTCTTCTTTTGAGAAGTGTCTGTTCATATCCTTCACCCACTTTTTGATGGGGTTGTTTTTTTCTTGTAAATTTGTTGGAGTTCACTGTAGATTCTGGGTATTAGCCCTTTGTCAGATGAGTAGGTTGCAAAAATTTTCTCCCATTCTGTAGGTTGCCTGTTCACTCTGATGGTTGTTTCTTTTGCTGTGCAGAAGCTCTTTAGTTTAATTAGATCCCATTTGTCAATTTTGGCTTTTGTCGCCATTGCTTTTGGTGTTTTAGACATGAAGTCCTTGCCCATGCCTATGTCCTGAATGGTATTGCCTAGGTTTTCTTCTAGAGTTTTTATGGTTTTAGGTCTAACATGTAAATCTTTAATCCATCTTGAATTAATTTTTGTATAAGGTGTAAGGAAGGGATCCAGTTTCAGCTTTCTACAAATGGCTAGCTAGTTTTCCCAGCACCATTTATTAAATAGGGAATCCTTTCCCCATTGCTTGTTTTTGTCAGGTCTGTCAAAGATCAGATAGTTGTAGATATGCGTCATTATTTCTAAGGGCTCTTTTCTGTTCCATTGGTCTATATCTCTGTTTTGGTACCAGTATCATGCTGTTTTGGTTACTGTAGCCTTGTAGAATAGTTTGAAGTCAGGTAGCGTGATGCCTCCAGCTTTGTTCTTTTGGCTTAAGATTGACTTGGCAATGCGGGTTCTTTTTTGGTTCCATATGAACTTTAAAGTAGTTTTTTCCAATTCTGTGAAGAAAGTCATTGGTAGCTTGATGGGGATGGCATTGAATCTATTAATTACCTTGGGCTAACTACTGTAGCTTTATAAGTCTTGAAGTCAGGTAGTGCCAGTCCCCTGACTTTACTCTTCAATATGGCGTTGGCTATTCTGGGTTTTTCTTTCCATATAAATTTTATATTTTATTTTTGGAGACAGTCTCACTTTGTTGCCCGGGCTAGAGTGCAGTGCTGTGATCGCAGCTCACTGTAGCCTTGACCTCTTGGGCTCAAAAGATCCCCCTGAGTAGCTGGGATAGATGACCTATCTTTCCATAGCCAACTGAGCATCTTGAAACAATGGCATTTTAACAATGAAACTGAAATTCAGGGATTTGTACATCATGGTGTCAAGCTAATGACTTAATTCATCCTAAATTTCATCCTAGAAGTTTGTCCCTAAAGACATGGAGAAGGCTGGGTGCAGTGGCTCAAGTCTGTAATCCCAGCAATTTGGGAGGCTGAGGCAGGAGAATCACTTGAGCCCAGGAGTTTGAGACTGTCTCTTAAAAAAAAAAAAAAAGAAAGAAAAGAAAAAGACACAAAGTTCAGAAAACAGAAAATAGAGGTGGTAAACACTTATTAAAAGGTTCAGAGAAATATAATTAAAACTTTTAACCATCTCATTAACTTGTAAATTAGCTTAAATATTTTAAGTAATTGAAATTCCCAATGCTGGCAAAGTACGGTGAAGTTGGTAACTTTGCTACAAATGTTAGCATTACAAGACACAACTTTTTTTGGGGGGATGGAGTCTTGCTTTGATGCCCAGGTTGGAGTGCAGTGGTGTGATCTTGGCTCACTGCAACCTCCACCTCCCGGATTCAAGTGATTCCCTTGCCTCAGCCTCCCGAGTAGCTGGGACTACAGGCTATTTTTTTGTATTTTTAGTAGAGACGGGGTTTCACCATGTTAGCAGGCTGGTCTTGAACTCCTGACCTCAAGTGATCCACCCATGTCAGCCTCCCAAAGTGCTGGGATCACAGGTATGAGCCACCACGCCTGGCCAACACTTTTTACAAAGCAATTTCAGAGCCATAAAAATGTACACAGACTTTGATCAAGTTAATTCTATCTCATAAAATTAATCCTAAAATTTTCAATATAGTAAAGAGCTATATGCATTAAGATATTCATTCCAGTGATATTAATTAGCACTTATTGAGAACTGTGTATTCAGAATAACCACTGTGCTACATGCATTATACGTATTACTTCACTTAATCCTCAAAACAATTTTATGAGGTAGGTGCTTTCAAAAGATCAAAAACTTGTTCAAGAACACACAGTATAATCTCCTAGACACTAAACTATCCTGCTATTCATAATAATGGGGGAAAAAAAAGAATAAACCTAAATGTCTATTAATAGAAAAATGGCTAATTTATGATACATCTTGATGGATAATTTAGCCATTAAAATAATGACTAGAAGACTATGTCATAACATGAAAAATGCTTATGTTAAGTAAAAAAAGACATAGGACAACATTATAGATATAGATATAGATATATAGATATAGATATATAGATATATATAGATATAGATATATAGATATAGATATATAGATATAGTGATTACAACAGTATTAAAAAAACATGATGGGCATGATTCTGGCTTAGTGTAGCCTCCACCTCTTGGGGCCAAACTATCCTTCTGTCCCAGGCTCCCAAGAAGCTGGGACACTACAGCTGCACACCACCATGCCCAGCTAATTTTTGTATTTTTTTGTAGAGACTGGGTCTTGCCATGCTGCCCAGGCTGGTCTTCTACTACCAGAGTCAAGTGGTCCTCCCGTCTTGGCCTCCCAAAGTGCTGGGATTACTAGCATAAGCCACTGTGCCTGGCCTAGAAAAAGCATTTCAGGAAATACAGCACTCATTCATAACAAACACGCTGGCAAATTAGGAATAGAAAATAATTTCCTAAACTTAACAGGAGCAGGTATAAAAACTATTGCAAATATACTTAATAATGGACTTTTTTTTCTTCTAAGAGATGGGGACTTGCTATGTTGACCAGGCTGGTCTCGAACTCTTGGCCTCAAATGATCCTCCAATCTTGACCTCCCAAAGTGCTGGGATTACAGGCATGAGCCACTGCTCCCGGCCAGTGGTAGACTTTTAAATAATCCTTCCTTGTTTAATTTCCTTGTTTAAGGAAAGCAAGACAGATGCCTAATATTACCCCTGCTATTCTATTTAATACTAGTACTATTCTATTCAATACAATATGACAAGGAAAAGAAGTAAGCCATATGCCAGGCGTGATGGCTCATGCCTGTAGTTCCAGCACTTTGGGAGGCCGAGGCAGGCAGATCACTTGAGGTCAGGAGTTCAAGACCAGGCTGGCCAACATGGTAGAATCCCATCTCTACTAAAAATACACAAGTTACCCAGGCATGGTGGTGCATGCCTGTAGTCTCAGCTACTCAGGAGGCTGAGGTAAGAGAATCACTTGAACCCGGGAGGTGGAGGTTGCAGTGAGCCGAGATCACGCCACTGCACTCCAGCCTGGGTGACAGAGTGAGACTCTGTCTCAAAAAAAAAAAGAAGCCATATAAGGATTGAAAAGGAAAAGATGGAGTTGTCATAATTTAGAGATGCTTTGAGTGCCCATATAGAGGATCCAAAAGAATCCACAGATAAATTATCCAAATTAATAAGGGATGAATTCAGTAGGGTTGAAAAAAATGAATATCATTCATAATAGCAACAAAAACTATAAGACTATAGAAATAAATATAGCAAAAGATATCTAAGACCATTATGAAAAGAATTTTAAAGTGTTAACATAAAAGATCTAAATAGGAATGCCATCAGCAAGATGGCGGGATAGGAAGCCCCAGGTCCTCGTTTCCCCCACAGAAAAACCAACTCAACAGCAATATCAAATTATCTTTTGTGAGAACTCCAGAAGCCAGTTAAGAGGTTGCAGAACCATAAGTGAACTCAAAGCCAACAAGAGCCACATCTAAGCAAGACCTGGGCTAAAGGAGTACCCCCTCATCTGAGACATCCTAGCCTCATGGCAAAGGAAAAGAAGCTACCAGCAAAATACACATAGACTCTTAAAGCTTCTCCTGGAAGGCGACACATGTCACTTCCACTCACATTTCATTGGCCCTGGCAAGTTACATGACCCAGCCTTATACTCATAGGGCAAAAAATATAAATCTCCCAGGAGAAGAGCAGGCAATATTTTGAACAAATAATAACACCTGGCAAAATGGTCTCTAAAGTCAGGCAGACTTTGGCTTATAGCCATTTGCTCTTGGTCGAGCCCCTTATTCTCCCTTATAGTGCCTATCTCTTAAAAGTGTGACAACTAAAATTAAATAACATTTTTAAAAGAAAAATCTAAATAAATGACAAGATATATCATCTCACAAAAACAATGCTAAAAATGTTCATTGCCACCAACTTAATCTATAATTCCATTTAATAGCAATGAAAATCACAACAAGATTTTTTTGTGGAGCTTTTTTTTTTTTTTTTTTTTTTTGAGACAGAGTCTCACTCTGTCACCCAGGCAGGAGTGCAGTGGTGCGATCTCAGCTCACTGCAACCTCTGCCTCCTGGGTTCAAGTGGGTCTCTCACTTCAGCTTCCGGAGTAGCTGGGACTACAGGCGCCCGCCACCATGCCTGGCTAATTTTTGCATTTTGAGTAGAGACAGGGTTTCACCATGTTGGCCAGGCTGGTCACTAACTCCCACCTCCGGTAATCTGCCAGCCTTGGCCTCCCAAAGTGCTGGGATTACAGGCGTGAGCCACCATGTCCAGCCTGGAACTTAACTAATTATAAAACTCATAGCCAAGAGTAAAGGTTTTAAAAACCAAAGACAAGGTCAGGCGCGGTGACTCACGCCTGTAATCCCAGCACTTTGGGAGGCAAAGGCGGGCGGATCACGAGGTCAGGAGATCGAGACCATCCTGGCTAACACAGTGAAACCCTGTCTCTACTAAAAATACAAAAGAAACAAAAAAACAAAAAAATTAGCCAGGCGTGGTGGCGGGCGCCTGTAGTCCCAGTTACTCGGGAGGCTGAGATAGGAGAATGGCGTGAACCCAGGAGGCGGAGCTTGCAGTGAGCCGAGATTGTGCCACTGCACTCCAGCCTGGGTGACACAGCGAGACTTTGTCAAAAGCACAAAACAAAACAAAACAAAGAAACACCAAAGACGATTCTGAAAAAGAAAAACAAGGAGGAGAGATTTGCCCTATCATATAGCAAGATTTATTCTAAAGCTTTAGGAAATAAAACTCTACAATACTGGCCCAGGCACAGAGATAAAGACTAGATTACCCAGAAACAGACCCAAGCATATATAGAATCTTAGTATATGACAGAATAATAATATAAATTACTGGGTAAAGTACTATTCAATAATAAACTGAGTTGGGACAAGTAGCAATCTGTTTGGAAAAGGATTTAAATTAGATTCCTAACTTACATCATAAATAAAATAAAAATAAACTCCATTAAAGTCAGCTGGTTAGCAAAGCAAAACAAAAATAAACTCCAGATTCACTAGATGTAATAATAAATATAAATTTAAAACTTTAGCACTATTAAAGAAATTATATAGGCTGGGCATGGTGGCTCACACCTAGAATCCCAGCACTTTAGGAGGCCAAGGCTGGTGGATCACCTGAGGTCAGGAGTTTGAGACCAGCCTGGCCAACATGGTGTCTCTACTAAAAATACAAAAATTAGCTGGGCTTGGTGGTGGGGGCCTGTAATCCCAGCTACTCGGGAGGCTGAGGCAGGAGAATCGCTTGAACCTGGGAGGCAGAGGTTGCAGTGAGCTGAGATCACTCCACTGCACTCCAGCCTGAGCAACAGAGCGAGACTCTGTCTCAAAAAAAAGAAAAAAGAAATTACATAAAATGTCATTATGACTTTAGCGTAGAACTGTCTCTAATCAATGATTGCAGCTTTCACTTTATAAAACTAGAAACAGAAGAGCAAGTAAGACCCCAAACGAGCAAAAGAAAGAATAAAAGATCAGAGTGTAAATGAATGAAATAGAACAACAGGAAGAACCTGGTTCTAGCCAGACTGATCAAGGAAAATAAAAGAGAAGATATAAATAACCAACACCAGGGAGTAAGAAAGAGGATATTGCTAGAGATTCTACAAACATTAGAAAGATAATAAGGAAAATTATGAACAATTTTATGTCAATAACCCAATAACTTAGATAAAATGGACAAATTCCTTGACACAAATTACCCATGCTCACTCAGGAAAAAAAAAAAAGGCCAGGTGCAGTGGTACGTGCCTATAATCCCAGCACTTTAGGAGGCTGAGGCAAGAGGATCGCTTGAGCCCAGGAGTTCCAGACCAGCCTGGGCAACACAGTGAGACCCTGTCTCTACAAAAAATACAAACCAGGTGTGGTGGTGCAGGCCTATAGTCCTGAATCTGAGGCAAGAGGATCGCTTGAGCCAGGGAGGTCAAAGCTGCAATGAGCTGAGATCGCCCCACCATACTCCAGCCTGGGCGACAGAGACCATGTCTCAAAGAGAGAGAGAGAGAGAGACTGTATAATTATTAAAGAAATTGAATTTGTAGTTAAAATATTTCCTAGGAAGGAAAAAATCAGGCCCAGATGGCTTCCTTGATGATTTGCACCAAATATTTAAGGAAGAAATTGTACCAAATATTTAAGGAAGAAATAATATCTTCTACAAACTCTTCTAGGCAATTGAAGAACAGAGAATATGTCCAAAGTCATTCTATGAGGCCAGTATTACTTGTACCAAAAAAAGACAAAGACATTACAAGAAAAGAAAATTACACATATCCTTTGTGAACATAGATGCAAAAATTCTTAATAAAATTATGGCAAATCAAATCTAACAATACAGGCTGGAGTGCAGTGGCATGATCTCAGCTCACTGCAACCTCCACCTTCCAGGTTCAGCTGATTCTGCTGCCTTAGCCTTTGGAGTAGCTGGGAAGAAAGGCACGCACCACCACACCCAGCTAATTTTTGTATTTTTTAGTAGAGACGGGGTTTCGCCATGTTGGCGAGGCTGGTCTCGAATTCCTGACTTCAGATGATCTGCCCGCCTCAGCCTCCCAAAGTGCTGAGATTACAGGCATGAGCCACGGTGCCCGGCCAAGATTTTTATTTTTTGAGATAGGGTCTTGCTCTGTCTCCGAGGCTGGAGTGCAGTGGCAAAATTATAGCTCACTGCACCCTACAACTCCTGGTTTCAATCACTCCTTCTGCTTCAGCCTCCTGAGTAGCTAGGACTATAGGCATGCAGCACCATGCCCAATTAACTTTTAGAAATGTTTTGTAGATATGGGGCCTTGCTATGTTTCCCAGGCTAGTTTAGCAAGCTTGAAAAATATATAAACATCAATTGTATTTCAAATACTAGCAAGAAACAGTTGGAAAATGAAATTCTTAAAAAAATACCACTTACTGGCCGGGCCACATTTACAGTTAACTCTTCCACTTAAGTACTGAACCCCTCAAAGTCATCCATAAGGGTTGGAATCAATTTCTTCCAAACTCCTGTTAACGTTGATGTTTTGACCTCCTCCTATGAATGACGAATGCTCTTAATGGCATCTAGAATGGTGACTCCTTTCCAGAAGGTTTTTAATTGACTCTACTCACTATCTATGGCAGCTATAGTCTTATAAAATGTATTTCCTAAATAATAAGCCTTAAAAGTTGAAATTACTTCTTGAACCATGAGCTGTTCATGGATGTTCTGGCAGTGCATTTGACAGTCCCACCCATCTGTCTCTTGCTTCAATAGTATTTGGATGGAACAAACCCAGGGACTCCCTCTCTTCCAGCCTCCAACTGCCCTCCACTGTCCTCTCCACTTGCAACCTCCAGGACCATCTTCTCGGCCATCTCCTGCTTCTGAGACCAGCCAACACTGTTTTTGTGGTTAGCTCCTTCTTGCCAACTAGACTCATCAGAATTATTTCATCGAGTTGGAGGCAGCTGTCAATCGCCTGGTCAATTTGTATCTGTAGGCCTCCTACATCTCTCTCATTCTGGGCTTCTATTTTGACCACAATGATGTGGCACTGGAAGGCACTGGCCACTTCTTCCACAAATTGGCTGAGAAGTGTAAGGGTGCAGAGGATCTCTTGAAGTTGCAAAGCCAGCATGGCAGCCACATTCTATTGCAGTAGAGACGGGGTTTCACCATGTTAGCCAGGATGGTCTCAATCTCCTGACCTCATGATCCGCCCACCTTGGCCTTCCAAAGTGCTGGGATTACAGGCGTGAGCCACCACGCCCAGCCTCAAATTTAAATTTCTTAAAAAGAAATTGGAATGGCTGAGGATGGTGGCTCATGCCTGTAATCCCAGCACTTTGGGAGGCCGAGGTGGGAGGATTGCTTGAGCCTAAGAGTTCAAGACCAGCTTGGGCAACATAGCAAGACCTCATCTCTAAAAAAAAAAAAAGAAAAAAAGAAATCCAGAAGAAGTGCCATTTGGATAACCTCAACCTTTTCAGAAAAATAGAAGGTAAAGACATTTATTGAGTGTCAGGTAATTTGAAATATACACTATGAGAATTATATAAAAGAATAAACAAGATAAGAGTACTGAACAACCCCAAGAAGTTAGAAATTCTCCTTAAATTTATAGCGTACCCAACATTCAGTTTTATGATTTACACAAGTAACACTTGGCAGCTTGGAAATAAGAATGAAAAAATAATAATAATGGTGATTACCCAAGCCTGGAGACTGATAAGAAAGAAAAAGTAGAAAGTCAAGGCAGCAGGGGATTATACTATGCTAAGTGGCCAACGATGGGTAAGGAGGCCAGAAGGGGTGTCAGGAAAGAGAAGAGGGAAGTAAAGGGGAAGATGGAGTTTAAAAAACTTCAATTTCATATTACCACTGGTGTGTGGAGCATTTGTTTTGAGATAGAGTCTGGCTCTGTCACCCAGGCTGGAGTGCAGTGGTGTGATCTCAGCTCACTGTAACCTCCACCTTCTGAGTTCAAGCCATTCTCCTGGGTCAGCCTCCCAAGTAGCTGGGATTACAGGCACCGGCCACCACGCCTAGCTAATTTTTGTATTTTTAGTAGAGATGAGGGTTCACTATGTTGGCCAGGCTTGTCTCCAACTCCTGACCTCAGGTGATCCTCCCACCTCAGCCTCCCAAAGCGCTGGTATTACAGGCATGAGCCACCGTGCCTGGCCTCATTATGTTTTTGACTTGCATTTTTCCCTAATGACTAATGATGCTGAGCATCTATCTTTTCATGGGTTTACTGGCCATGTGTGTATCTTTTTAGGATAAATGTTGTCTTAGTCCACTCAAGCCGCCATAACAAGAGACCATAAACTAGGTAGCTTAAACAAGAGAAATTTATTTCTCACAATTCTGAAGGCTGGGAAGGCCAAGATCAAGGTGCCAGTTGATTTGGTTCCTGATGAGGGCTCTCTTCCTGGCTTTCAGATAGCTGCCTTCTCATTGTGCCCTCACATGGCCTTTCCTTGGTGGATACAAGGGAGGGAGAGGGAAAAAGAGAATAATCTCTCTCTCCCTTCCTCTTCTTATAAAACTGCTAATCTCAGGCCAGCCGTGGTGGCTCACGCCTGTAATCCCAGCACTTTGGGAGGCCGAGGCAGGCGGATCACAAGGTCAGGAGTTTGAGACCATCCTGGCTAACACAGTGAAACCCCATTTCTACTAAAAATACAAAAAAAAAAATTAGCCGGGCGTGGTGGTGGGCGCCTGTAGTCCCAGCTACTCGGGAGGCTGAGGCAGGAGAATGGCATGAACCCGGGAGGTGGAGCTTGCAGTGAGCCAAGATTGCACCACTGCACTCCAGCCTGGGCGACAGAGTGAGACTCTGTCTCAAAAAATAAAAATTAAAAAATAAGTAAATAAATAAATAAATAAATAAATAAAACTGCTAATCTCATGAAGGCCCAACCCTCATGATCTAATCTAACCCCACTTACCTCCCAAAGGCCCCATCTCCAAATACTATCACACTGGGGGTTGGGGCTTTACCATATGAATTTTGCTATTTGTCCTTTAATTGTTGTTGTATAAGTTCTATATGTACACTGGATACTAGACTTTTCTTATCTGTGGATTATTTATTCACCTTTTTTTTCTGAGTTTTGGAACTAGAGACCTTCATTTTCCAGCTTTTTTTTTTTTAGGTATAATTGATCTTTTCACTTTCTTAGTATCATCTTTTGAAGCATAAGAGTTTTTAATATTGATTAAATCCAATTTCTCTACTTTTCCTTTCGTTGCTTGTGCTTTAAATGTCATATCCAAGAAAACATTGCCTAATCCAAGGTCATGAAGATTTAAACCTTTCTTTCTTTTCTAAGAGTTTTATAGCTTTAGTTCTTTGATCCATTTTGAGGTAATTTTTCTATGTGATGTCATCTGACCATTTTTCAGAATGTATTAAATGGCTAGCCATAAAGTCTACTCAAGAAAAAATACAGTATCCCCTCTTCCCATTCCAGCCAAATTCCACTATACCACTATAGGGAGACAACTCTCCTTGTGTTCCCAGCTGAGAAGATGAAAGATGTGTGGTAACCCAGAAGGACAGAGTTGGAACAGTAAGTGCCCAGCTGATTACTCAATGAGGAATTGTAACAGTTCAAGCATTTTAAGCCAGCCAGGTACAAGGCAGGTTAGCTCTCATGGGCTGCTGAATAAAAGCAGTTATGTACCACTCAGCCAGAGAATGAGCCAGCTCCCAGGATCTCTAATAATAAGAGCTATCCTTTTCCTCCTGTTTTATCTATCCAAGTTCAAAAGGAAAAGGAATATGTCAGGGTTGGTAAAAACCACTTCTGTCCTTTCCATCCCCTTCTGTCACATCAAATCTTGAACATGTTCTCAATAGTGAAGTGCAATTAGATAAATGTAACAAGGAAAAGAGTAAAGAAATATTAAGGAAGCAAAAAAAAAAAAAAACAAAAAACAAAAATCTGTTTTAGCGTGTCTTGATCTTCAGCCAACCTTTATAAAATCTTACCAAGCGTTAGGTAAATTTGGCAACAACAGCCTGTTTAGAATGTATCAAAAGCTTAAAATTAAGTGTAGTCTCTCACAGTTTAATGGATAACCAGCAACCTATGAGTCTACAAATGTTTCCCTTCTTAGTATATGAGGCTAAGTCTCAGTTTTCTCATCTCTGAAACAGAGATGATGATAACACTTATGTCTGACTGCTCCTCAAGAATGAATGAGATCATGTCTACAAAATGAGCTCCCGGGGGAAAAAGCGTTAGATAAATTCTGAGCCTTAGAGTTGTTGATTTTGTAAGATATAAAATTATAATAGATTTTTATTCTTGAATACAAGAATCTCAGACTTAAAAAAAAAAAACTTGATTACGTCAGACATTCAAGAGTTCACCATTGTGAGTTTCTTACTCAATGTTGAGCAAGTCTGGACCTGTCAATCTCTCTAACCCATGAAAAGCACCACTCCTCACTTTCTTTCCCAACAAATTAACAAAGAGGACAAAAGTAAACTTGAAAATAAACAGGCTGGGCATGAAGGCTCACACTTGTAATCCTTACACTTTGAGAGGCCAAGGTGGGAGGATCGCTTGAGCCCAGGAGTTTAAAACCAGCTTGGGCAACATGGTGAGATCTCATCTCTACAAAAAATAAAATAACTAGCTGGGCATGGTGGTACACACCTGTGGTCCCAGTTACTCAGAAGGCTATAAATGGGAGGATCCCTTGAGCCCAAGAGGTCAAGGCTGCAATGAGCTGTGGTCATGCCACTGCACTTCAGCCTGGGAAACAGAGCAAGACCCTGCCTCCAAAAAACAAAACAATGAACAACAAAAAAGTCTCCCTGACACCAAAAGGGTAGCATATAGGGAAGAGGCAAAAACTGAACTATCATAGCCATGTAACCATATATCAACAGCAAAGCAGTCCTCCCTGTTTACAAGGACTGGTATTCTTATCTAGTCTTATGAAGAAAAAAGAAGGCTGTAAATTTTATTTGGGAAAAACACTTGCACATCTTTTTAAAATAACTGGCCATACTGTATAAAGAGCTAAGTTATGTCAATAAACATGGAAATGAGAAGCTATTTTAAAAAGACAAAAATAAAAATAATATGAATAGAAGAAAGAGGAAAAAGCAGCAAAATAAAGATCTATAAACATGGATTTTTTTCATATTCCTCCATCCACTTTCCTTTCCTCACTTGAATAAGGACATAATAGGAAGCAGAGCTGAGCAAATAGGACAAACTGAAACAATCATGTTTCACTAAAAGACATTTATGATAGAAATAGTTCTATATAAATGGATAAGTATACACATAAATGAATATATAAATGGAATTATACCTAAGTAGATAAGTATTCAATGCAGACAGTAGCACACATTTAACATGTAGTGACAATTTTTTAAACACATAAGAACTTATCTATCTTAATGGGCATTATTCTGCAAAGTAGAGGGGATTATCCTCTTGAGAGAAGGCCTTAACTCTGGTCTGAAGTACTTAGACCTAATATAATAATAAATAAGGAATCATTAAGGGAAGAATGTAAGCTATGTTTAAATTAATAAGAATTTTATATTATAAAGGCAGAATTAACGAAAAATCAATTACATAATGAGGAAACAAAAAAGGAGAAACCCCACCATAAAAACCAAGATTTTTAACGCTGGAGAATTATGAGTATGTCAATATCACTGAAAGGAATGCAGACATTACACAATAAGTTCATTTCAAGAAACTGAACCCCATGTTAGACATGTTACACAGGATATTTCAGAGGAACTCTCAAATGGAATAGTCTAATTGACATTCAAAGCTATTCCATTGGAGTTTAGGAGACATGTCAGTGATCAAGAGGGGGAAAAATAAGTCTCATCAGCATAGTTAATGTTAGTTAAAGTCTTGAAAGTAGAAAAGCTGTCTGAATTGAATGTAGAATAATGATGCAGAATAATGAAGGGAAGAAAAGCACATTGGTGACTGAACTTTGGGGAATATCCTCTGGGTTATGAGAGAAGCTCTTTCAACTTACACCTCCATTACAGTACTAATCACACTGCATTTTATTTGCAGAGCTGCCTCTACTTCCTGTGACTTCTTTGTGGCAAGGTAGATGTTACAATAAAAGTTTACTGAATAAAAGTATAAATAGTTAGGGACCAGAGAAGAAAGGGGAAAAAAGAGAAAATAAACCAGTAGAGAAGTAGGTGAGTAGGGAGATTACAATGGTCATTGCTTATTAATCCAGCATAAATAAAATACACAGAAATATGAGCCTATTTGGTACAGGAATTGATCTAAAGTATTCCAGATCCAGAGAAAAAAGTACCTTGATACAACCCTGGTAGAACAGATTGAAGAGTAAAGGAAACTAAAGCTGATAGTTCTTCAACAGTTCAGCTCCCCTAAAGAAGGGTCAGACCACTTGTTTTAGACACTGAGAGAAATCAGCCAAATAATGAAGAAAACAACAGAGTTAAACTGAATTTACAGACATATTAACTTTGTATAGATACACAATTTTTTAGCATCTAGAAAACTGATGAGTAATGAATCCAGCTGCCAGAGACTCCCTGATGAAGCTAACTAAACAGTGTAAAGATCAGTAAATGGACCAATTTAAAGCAGTTTGCTATTAGCTTAATAGTGTCAGAAATTCTAAATAATAATAGTAAAAAAGGCATAATTAATGGTGCATAAACCAGGGAGCTAAGGGATTCCTGTCTTATTCTTCACCAATTTCCTTTGTGAGGTTCACTGAGTAATTTTTGTTACTAATTAGTAAGAATAACTAGGCCAGGCACAGTGGCTTACGCCTGTAATCCCAGCACTTTGGGAGGCCGAGGCGGGTGGATCACCTGAGGTTAGGAGTTCGAGACAGGCCTGGCCAACATGGTGAAATCCCATCTCTACTAAAAATATAAAAATTAGCTGGCCGTGGTGGCAGGCGCTTGTAATCCCAGCTACTTGGGAGGCTGAGGCAGGAGAATTTCTTGAACCTAGGAGGCAGAGGTTGCAGTGAGCCAAGATCACGCCACTGCACTCCAGCCTGGGTGACAAGAGTGAGACTCCATCTCAAAAACAAACAAACAAACAAAAAGAATAACTAGCATTATTGAGTGGAGGTTAATATTAAGAGCCCTAACAACTGGAGAGAAGACTTAGGCTACAGTTGGCTACTAAATGTGATTGAGCATGAGCAAATGATTCAATTTTAATTATGTACTTGATGTGCAGTACTTCCTCTTTGTACGAAGAGTTAGCCACTCACACTTTATCACAATAAGGATTAAATGAAATTGCTTTGAGTTTTTAAAGTAACAGTTAAATTAAAACTAAGTCACCATGACAAAAATTGTCTAGAGTTTGTATTGGCATGAGTATGTGGTTATTCCATAAATGATAACCCATAAATGATACTCCCTAAGAGTAACAATGATAATAAAACTATTCTCTTGTAGTTACACGGCTTTTCACTTTTTTCAAAGCACTTTCACAAATATTAGTCAAACAAGTAGCCTTATATATGATCTGACCACTCCTTGTACAAGCACATTAAGTGTGGGTTTATTTTGCAAGGAATGCTCCTATCTCCTCCCTAGTGCTAATAATATACTCCATTTATATAGCTTTTTTTTTTTGGAGACAAGATCTCACTCTGTCACCAAGGCTGTAGTGCAGTGGCGCAATCACAGCTCACTGCAGACTTGACCTCCTGGGCTCAAATGGATCTCCTGCCTCAGCCCCCTAGTAGCTGGGACCCCAGGCACACCTAGCTGATTTTCACATGCCTGGCTGATTTTTGTATTTTTTGTAGAGATGGGGTTTCATCATGCTGCCCAAGGCTCGAGCAATCTGCCTACCTCAGTCTCCCACAGTGCTGGGATTTTAGTCAGAGCCACCATGCTTGGCCAGATTTTCACTTCTTTATTTTTTTTTTTTTTGGAGATGGAGTCTCGCATTGTCGCCCGAGCTGGAGTGCAGTGGCATGATCTCAGCTTACTGCAACCTCCGCCTCCCAGGTTCAAGCGATTCTCCTGCCTCAGCCTCCCAAGTAGCTGGGGTTACAGGTGCCCACTACCACCCCCAGCTAATTTTTTTTTTTTTTTTTTTGTATTTTTAGTAGAGACAGGGTTTCACTATGTTGACCAGGCTGGTTTAAACTCCTGACCTTGTGATCCGCCCGCCTAGGCCTCCCAAAGTGCTGGGATTACAGGTGTGAGCCACCGCGCCCGGCCGATTTTCACTTCTTTCAAAGCAATTTCACAGACATTAACAGGAGCAGGGCCACTAGGAATGATCTTTCCCTTCTCTGCATCAACCCAAAGACAATAATTCAAAAATGAACAAGGAAAAACTTATAAATAATTAGATGTTTTTGAAGCAGTCAGCCCATGATTCTTGAACTTGGATTCAGATCTCCCAAAAGTCTCAGAATCAGAGCAAACTCTTCAGGACAATAGCTGATATTCCCTTTTTTCTAGGCATAGGCTTAAAGAGGCAATAGAATAATTAAGGTATCTTCACTAGGGGTATAAAGGGAGAAACCAAATCTGTCTTGTTCACTACTATAACTACCTTTAAGTGGAGCACAAGGCCTAATGCATAGTAAATGCTCAATAAATTATCATTGTGATTAATACTAAAGGGAGAACATTCTTACCAAATGCTCACAGAATGTTCTGGAGCTAAAATAAAAATCTTGGCTGGGCAGGGTGGCTCACACTTGTAATCCCTACGTTTTGGGAGGCTGTTGCATGAGAGCTTGAGACCAACCAGAAGTTTGAGACCAGCCAGGGCAACAAAGTGAGATCCCATCTTTAGAAAAAATTTAAAAAGTAACTGGGCATGGAGGTGTGCACATGTGACCCTAGCTACTCAAGAGGCTGAGGCTGGAGGATGGCTCAAGTCCAGGAGCTTGGGGCTGCAGTGAGCCATGATCACACCATTGCACCCCAGTCTGGGTGACAGAGCAAGGCCCTGTCTCAAAAATAATAATAGGACAGGTGCAGTGACTCATGCCTGTAATCCCAGCATTTTGGGAGGCCGAGGTGGGAGGACTGCTTGAGCCCAGGAGTTCAGGACCAGCCTGGGCAACATAGTGAGACCTCATCTCTAATAATAATAATAATAATAATGTTTAAAATCTCATTTTTTATTACTTTTCCTCCACAATTAGTTTTTAAATGTGCTCAAAATAAAACAAAAAACATTAATGTGCTCACACCAAGTAGAACCTAAACAAAATTAGGGTCACAGAGCAAAAGCCGAAGTCTGTAAAATATCCAAGGATACAGACAGTTGGAAGGTAGATTCAGAGGGCCAAGACAATTTACAAAGGAAAAGGGGAATACATCTGATCACTTCATTTAGCAACAAGCATTTTTAAGTCCTCATTCTTTTTTATTTTAAAAACAGTCTTACTCTGTCACCCAGGCTGGAGCACAGTGGCATGATCATAGCTCACTGCAGCCTCAAATGCCTGGGCACAGGCAATTCTGCCTCAGCCTCCTGAGTAGCTGGGACTACAGGTATGCCCCACCATGCCTGGCTAATTTTCTTTATTTGTAGAGATGGGGGTCTCAATATATTGCCCAGGCTAGTCTCTAACTACTGGGCTCAAGCGATTCTTCCATCTTGTCCTCCCGAAGTGCTGGTATTATAGGTGTGAGACACTTCAGCTGGCCTGTCTCCATTCTTCAACTAAAAATTACTTCAGAAAAGAAGTTTCAAAAGGTAGAATTGTTTCCTATATATTTGTGTCTTTAGAGTATTCATCTTGTAACTGAGTTGTAAAAATAGTTTGTTTTCTTTGATATGACCAAGATAAAGAAAGGTATTGGCCGGGCGCGGTGGCTCACGCCTGTAATCCCAGCACTTTGGCAGGCCGAGGCAGGCGGATCACGAGATCAGGAGTTCGAGGCCAGCCTGACCAACATGGTGAAACCCCGTCTCTACTAAAAATGCAAAAAATAGCTGGGCGTGGTGGTGCGCACCTGTAATACCAGCTACTCAGGAGGTTGAGGCCGGAGAATCGCTTGAACCCAGGAGGCGGAAGGTTGCAGTGAACCAAGATCTCGCCCCTGCTCTCTAGCCTGGGCGACAGAGCGAGACTCCGTCTCAAAGAAACAAACAAACAAAAAAGGGTACTCTGGGTACCTAGGCCTGGGTTGTCCTTTGCATCCGCACATGTTCGCAGTCCTCTCCGCCATGCTGCCACTGCTGCGCTGAGTGCCCCATATGCTGGGCTTCTGCGTCGCCGGCTTCCACACCCCCGGGGCCCGCCCCGCCTTTCCGGCAGCTCCTGGCCGGCGCCCCGGCTGTGCGCCCGCCCTTCAGGCTGCTCAGTTTGCGCGCGTGTTCTGCGGCCGGGCCCCCTGCGGCCTCGCGGGCCCTGCACCTCCGGCTGTGGGTGTGGCGTGCGAAGGAGACAAAGCTTTGATTGATTTCCTGAGTGATGAAATTCAGGAGGAAAGGAAAATCCAGAAGCATAAAACCCTTCCTAAGATGTCTGGAGTTTGGGAGCTGGAACTGAATGGGACAGAAGCTAAATTAGTGCGGAAAGTTGCTGGGGGGAAAAAATCACTGTCACTTTCAATATTAACAACAGCATCCCACCAACATTTGATGGTGAGGAGGAACCCTCGCAAGGGCAGAAGGTTGAAGACCCTGAATTGATATCAACTCCCCATTTCGTGGTTGAAGCTATAAAGAATGATGGCAAGAAGGCCCTTGTGCTGGACTGTCATTATCCAGAGGATGAAGCTGGACAAGAAGAGGAGGCTGAGTGACATCTTCTCTATCAGGGAAGTTAGCTTTTGGTCCACCAGCGAGTTTGAATGGAAGGATACTAACTATACACTCAACACAGATTCCCTGGACTGGGCCTTATATGACCACCTAATGGATTTCCTTGCGGACCAAGGGGTGGACAACATTTTTGCAGATGAGTTGGTGGAGCTTCGCACAGCCCCGGAGCACCAGGCGTACATTACTTTTCTTGAAGACCTCAAAAGTTTTGTCAAGAGCCAGTAGAGCAGACAGACACTGAAAGCCATAGTTTTATGGCAGGCTTTGGCCAGTGAACAAATCCTACTATGAAGCTAGACATGTGCTTTGAAATGATTATCATCCTAATATCATGGGGAAAAAATACCAAATTTAAATTCTATGTTTTGCACCCTCATTTATTATCATTTTTTTCTTTTTTCCTTTTTATCTTTTTTTCTTTTTTTTTGAGACGGAGTCTCTCGCTCTGTCGCCCAGGCTGTTGTGCAGTGGCGCAATCTCGGCTCACTGCAAGCTCCGCCTCCCGGGTTCACCCCATTCTCCTGCCTCAGCCTCTGGAGTAGCTGGGACTACAGGCGCCCGCCACCACGCCCGGCTAATTTTTAGTATTTTTAGTAGAGACGGGGTTTCACCGTGTTAGCCAGGATGGTCTCGATCTCCTGACCTCGTGATCCGCCCACTTCAGCCTCCCAAAGTGCTGGGATTACAGGCGTGAGCCACCGCGCCCGGCCTATCGTTGTTTTCTATACAAATCTATTATTTCTAGATTTTTGTATAACATGATAGACAATAAAATGGGTTTATCTCCTCCAAAAAAAAAAAAAAAGGTGCTTTAAGTAATAATTGAGTTGCTATAAATTTGGGTATAAATTCAAATTTTAATTGATTTGCATTTTACAAAGCACGAAGAAAATTTGTCATTAAAAAATGGTAATACATTTCATAAACATTTATTTTATAACATTATACCTTTCCAATGTAGCTTTTTGGTTGTTCCCTTTTTTTGTTTGTTTGTTTGTGACCAAGTCTTGCTGTCACCCAGGCTGGAGTGCAGTGGTGTGTGATCACGGCTTACTACAGCCTTTACCTCCCAGGCTCAAGCAATCTTCCCACCTCAGTCTCCTAAGTAGCTGGGAGTACAGGTGTGCACCACCTTCCCTGGCTAATTTTTTTTTTTTTTTTTTTTTTTTTTTTTGTAAAGATGGGGTCTCGTGATGGTGCTAGGCTGGTCTTGAACTCCAAAAAGTTCTACTGGATCAAGCAATCCGCCTGCCTTGGCCTCCTAAAGTGCTGGGATTACAGGCATGAGCCACTGTGCCTGGCCAGTTGTTGCCATTTTAATACACAGTATGTTTTCTTTTTTTTTTTTTGAGACAGAGTCTCTCACTCTGTCACCCAGGCTGGAGTGCAATGGTATGATCTTGGCTCACTGCAGCCTCTGCCTCCTGGGTTCAAGGGATTCTCCTGCCTCAGCCCCACCAAGTAGCTAGGACTATAGATAGGTATGCACCACCATGCCTGGCTAATTTTTGTATTTTTAGTAGAGATGGGGATTCACCATGTTGACCAGTCTTGAACTCCTGACCTAGGTAATCTGCCTGCCTTGGCCTCCCAAAGTGCTGGGATTACAGGCATGAGCCACTGGGCCTGGCTACAGTATATTTTCTTAAAGCAAGGACAGATATAAGCTTTTAAAAATCTATTAATATTCCAGATTTAGTCTGGGAAAGTTTATTTTTAAAAGTTATTTTGTAAAATTTGTAAATTAACAATTCATTAGGAAAAAATAGGCCAATGGATAATACTTATGTAGCAAACAACCATAAGAAATAAAAATGAAAGCGTAAGAGTTCTAAGGTCATTTTGGCTTCCTTAAAATAAATGTTATGGCCTTTGGCTTGTAGAGTATTCTTAAGTCCAAAAAAATAAAAAGAAATTCTGCCAGGCATGGTGGCTCACACCTGTAATCCAGCATTTTGGGAGGCCGAGGCAGGCAGATTGCCTGAGCTCAGAAGTTCGAGACCAGCATGGCAACACGGTGAAACCCCATCTCTACTAAGATACAAAAAATTAGCTGGGTGTGGCAGCATGCAACTGTAGTCCCAGCTACTCGGAAGGCTGAGGCAGGAGAATTGCTTGAACCCAGGAGGCAGAGGTTGCAGTGAGCCAAGATCGCACCACTGCACTCCAGCCTGGGTGACAGAGTGAGACTCCGTCTCAATAAATAAATAAATAAATTCTTAAAACTAAGGTCAGCAAAAACTCCTAAACCGTACCAACTCTGGCATATAATGTGGAAAACATTATTACTGCTAGCCAATCATTTACAGTAAAAGCATTCTCCACACATTATTTCTTTGAAGTAGATAGAAACAAATACCTACTAAAATTTTTATTTTACATCTGGGAAAATTTTGCCTAAAGTTGTATACAGAGTATACAGAAAAGCTACAGTGATCTAGGTATCTTGTCAATTCTATACAGTTTTATATTAATAGATCATCTTTTAATCAGAAGCCAGATAAAATGTAGGATAAAGTACTGCATGAGACATACTTATGTTAAAAAAATTATTATTTATCTGAAATTCAAATTTAAGTGGGCATCCTGTATTTTTATTTATAAATCTGTCAGCTCTTTCTTTCATTATAAATTTGTTTCAGAAAATATCAAATTAATTGTCGGGAAGATATTCAGTCTCATGGAAGTTAGGTAATTCTTTACCTTTTAGGAACTTCTTGAGGACCATGCCACCAAAAAGGCTTCCTGCAGAAGCAACTGTAAGAAACAGAATACAAAGAAATATCACAAATAAGTAAATGCATTCTATTGAAAGAATCAAATGAGAGTCTAAAAAACTGCTTACAGACACAGAACATTTAAAAAGTGACCACTACTAATGAGTTTGGTAAAAATGGAAACATCAAAGAAATACTATAATGGTACAATGACTGTTTTGAGGAAAAATAACTTCTTAGAGATAACCGAATAGCAAGTATTTTCACCTATATTCAACATCCACCCACAATCAACACCAGGACTGCCTCTTTGGATGATACTCTACTTGACAGAAAAAGATTATGTGAAGACTGCAAATTGCAGCTAGTAATCAGAATATATCGTGTCAATAACTCATATCCTAATATACGAGTCAATTCAAACTTTGGCTCTTCTTCTAACCAATTTTACCCTTAAATAGAAAATACCGGCCGGGTGCGGTGGCTCACGCCTGCAATCCCAGCACTTTGGGAAGCCGAGGTGGGCGGATCACAAGGTCAGGAGCTCGAGACCATCCTGGCTAACACGGTGAAACCCCGTCTCTACTAAAAAAAATACAAAAAATTATCCAGGCGTGGTGGCGGGTGCCTGCAGTCCCAGCTACTCAGGAGGCTGAGGCAGGGGAATGGCGTGAACCCAGGAGGCGGAGCTTGCAGTGAGCTGAGATTGCGCCACTGCACTCCAGCCTGGGCGACAGAGCGAGACTCCGTCTCAAAAAAAAAAAAAAAAAAAAAAAAAAAGAAAAAGAAAATACCAGTATCAGGTAAGAATTCTCTTACCTAGAGTTCTAACTATAAATATTAGAAATTTTAGAGCAATAATTATTCAGGGTAGACAGTGAATAAGGAAGCAGGCACCAACGAGGGGACAAAAAGATCAGAACTACCTAGAGGCTTTTTATTTTCAAATTGAATATGCCCTTCCCCAGAGAAACATGACCTCATAGTTCAGAATCTAAGAATCATTGCCATAGGAACCAATAGAAATATATCTATCCCTCAGAAAATGTGCATCTTTCAGACAGGGAAATAAGGTTGAGAATCACGGAACTAGAGTGAGAGGCAACATCATTCTGTAAACTGCTGTTCAGTACAGCAGCCAGAAACTACATGTGGCTATTTACATTTAGCTAAATTAAATTAGAAATTTAGTTCCAGCCGGGTATGGTGGCTCACGCCTGTAATCCCAGCACTTTGAGAAGCTGAGGTGGGTGGATCACCTGAGGTCAGGAGTTCGAGACCAGCCTGGCCAACATGGTGAAATCCCATCTCTACTAAAAATAACAAAAATTAGCTGAGCGTGGTGGCAGGCGCCTGTAATCCCAGCTACTTGGGAGACTGAGGCAGGAGAATCACCTGAACCCAGGAGGCAGAGGTTGCAGTAAGCCGAGATTGCACCATTGCACTCTAGCCTGGGCAACAAGAGCGAAACTCTGTCTCAAAAAAAAAATTTTAGTTCCTCAGTCACATTAGCCACATTTCAAGCACTCCATAGTCACATGTGGCGAATGACTAGTCTGCTAAACAGGAGACAGAGAACATTTCCATCATCACAAAGAAGTTTTATTGGATAGTAATACTCTAGATTTCCAGATTTTAAGTGATTCTGGATAAATGATACACACTTCCAAAGGCCTAAGCCCAAGCAGCACAGAACATTTAACAACAGATAGTCTTTTTCATTATTATTTTATTTTATTTTTCACTGAGACAGAGTCTGTCGCCCAGGCTGGAGTGAAGTGGCACAATCTCAGCTCACTGCAACCTCCACATCCCAGGTTCATGCAATTCTCCTGCCTCAGCCTCCTGGGTAGCTGGGATTATAGACATACGCCACCGCGCCCGACTAATTTTTGTATTTTTAGTAGAGACGAAGTTTCACTATGTTGGGCGGGCTGGTCTCGAACTCCTGACCTCAAGCAATCCACCCGCCTCAGCCTCCCAAAGTGCTGGGATTACAGGTATGAGCCACAGTGCCTGCACCCGCCCCCACCCCCCACCGCCGCCTCCGCCCTTTATAAAGACCATCTTATGGCCAGGCATGGTGGTTCACACCTGTAATCCCAGCACTTTGGGAGGCTGAGGTGGGTAGATATTTTGAGCTCAGGAATTCAAGACCAGCCTGGGTAATATCACAAAACCCCATCTCCACAAAAAATACAAAAATTAGCAGGTCATGATGGCACACACCTGTAGTCCAGCTATTCAGGAGGCTGAGGTGGGAAGATCAGCTGAGCCCAGGAAACAGAGGTTGTAGTGAGCCGTGATGGCACCACTGCACTCCACCCTTGGCAACACAGAGCAAGACCCCATCTCAGAAAAAAATTTTGTTTACATTGTTTTAAAAAGATAATCTTCTGTTCTATAGAGGGGATTTGGGGGAATGCTTGCTTTAAAATATGTATTTTACAGATAAGTCTCTACTGTCATCTTTGCATCTGGAGGATAGAATTTTATCGTTTTTATATAAAAGCATTGGAAATATAACTGAAAATTGAGGGCTGGATAGGATGTGGAGCAGGTGGAAGCACTCCTCACCCATAATTAGCCAGGCATGGTGGTGGGCATCTGTAATCCCAGCTACTCGGGGGACTGAGGCATGAGAATCACTTGAACCTGGGAGGTGGAGGTTGCAGTGAGCCGAGACTGCGCCACTGCACTCCGGCCTGGGTAACAGAGTGAGACTCCATCCTGAGAAAAAAAAAAGGGGGGAAAAGGGGGTTAACTGTATGTAGCATTTCCCAAACAGTATGTTTCATAGTCCACACTGGCACATGAGAGGTCCTGAACAGACCTATAGTTTAAAAACTTATTTTAACTAACATTTCCCAAATTTAAATGACTACATAACTCCTTTCTTATAACTCATATAAATATTCTGTGGCATACATTTTGGGAAACATCATGAAAATCATATTTGTTAAAGCCTTCAATAATTACTGATGGAAAAAACTAATTATCTCTTGGCTTCTGATAGATGAATCATCTCAGATATCAAATTTGCTAGTCTGTTGTGGGTTGAACTATGTCCCCCAAAAGATAGTTTTAAGTACTAGCCCCAGTGTATATGACCTTATTTGGAAATAGATGCCAGCAAGTTAAGACAAGGTCATACTGGATTAGGGTGTTCCTGAGTCCATTGACTGGTGTACTTATAAGAAGGCCATGTGAAGAAAGAGAGAAATACAGAGGAGAATGCCATGTGAAGGCAGGGAGTGATACACCTACAATCTAAGAAATACCAAGGATTGTCAGCAATCACCAGAAGCTAGGAGAGAGGCATGGAACAGATTTCTGAGTCTCCAGAGCAAACCAACCATACCAAGACCTTGATTTTGGACTTCTAGCCTCCAGAACTGTGAGAAAATAAATATATTTTGTTTCAAGCCATCCAGTTTGTGGTACTTTGTTACAGCAGCCCTAGAGAGCAGAGATTTCAAACCAAATTTAAAAGATACCACTGCACACTTCCAGGTAAAGACAGCCGATTGAACACACACGTTTATTTTCATTCCCTCCTGAAACCTCAATAAAATAATAGAAAAGAGATTTATAAGGGCACAAACCCACAAGGATGGAAAACAAGAGACAAACATGATTGTAATAAAAATCTAGACACTACAGGCTAGGCACAGTGGCTCATGCCTGTAATCCCAGCACTTTGGGAGACCAAGGCAGGTGGATCACCTGAGGTTAGGAGTTCGACACCAGCCTGGCCAACATAGTGAAACCCCGTTTCTACTAAAAATACAAAAATTAGCCAGGCATGGTGGCACACACCTGTAGGCCCAGCTACTCAGGAGGCTGAGGCAGGAGAACCTCTTGAACCCAGGAGGCGGAGGTTGAAGTGAGCTGATATCACACCACTGCACCTCCAGCCTGGGCAACAGAGTGAGACTCTATATCAAAAAAAAAAAAAAAATCTAGAAACTACAAAGCAGAACGACTAGTAGGAAAGGATTTAGGAGACCTGAGTAATCTAAGTATAAGGGGACAGGGAAGGCCAAGAAACAACCTGATTTATATAATAAAATTGCAAAACACTCAGGCATGGCAGTATCAGGAACCTCTGAATGTATGGGTGAGGTAGAAGATAAATTAAGGAGAGTCTGTTGAAAAATGAATTTAAATAAATCTTTAGATTCCCTCCTCCACTCAGCATTCAAGGGACTGGCTCCTCCCTAACTTTGGTGTGGATTGGGGAGAAGATACTTGAAAATGGTCAAGGTGTCAATCTTTGGGACGAGAATCAAAATTGTACTAAAAACAAGTGGAGTTAGTGAACAGAACCCCTGAATGCTGAGATACCCAATACCCCCTTTTCTCTCTCATTCCCAGAATCAAGTCTGGCTTTTACCCACTTGGTAAGAGACTGAAAGATCTGGTCATTCCAAGAGCAAAGACCTAAAGATATTGATATTGAAGAGAAGAGAAAGTTCCCCAGTTAAAAGCCCAATTAGATCACCTTTTAGTGATGCTAAAATTTCAAATCAGCTTTATAGTCTCTAACTCTTAAAAATGAGCAACCAGTAATTTTAAGATATTTGAAGAAAGCTTCTAACATGAAAACAGACACCAGACTAAGAAAAGCAATACAAGGGAAACAAGAACGAGGTGGAGAAAAGAAAACTTTAAAAAAATCTTTATATACTCAAAAAGATAATGCCTAGAAAGTAGAAGAGATAAAAATTATGAGAGAAACGATTTTAAAAAGGAAAAAGAACCAGTCTAGGAAGTCTAATATCTAAATAATAGAAGTTGCAGAAAGGGGGGAAAGAAAAGAGAGAATGCAAGGGAAAATCTCCCAGAACCAAAGAACAAGGGTTTCCAGGTTTAAAAGTCTTGCTGAGTGCTGAGCACAATGTTTGAAAACACACCCACACCCAGGTGCATCATTGTGACAATGGAGACCACAGCAGAGACTGCTGGTGCTCGCAAACAAATACCCCATTCTCCTTCTTCCTGAACACATAATCTGACTACGTTTTTCAGTCTTCCTTGCAACTGCAGGGCTGTGGCAATAAGACTAAGTCCTGGTTGGCCAGGCGTGGTGGCTCATGCCTGTAATCCCAGCACTTTGGGAGGCTGAGCTGGGCGTATCACCTGATGTCAGGAGTTCGAGACCAGCCTAGCCAACATGGTGAAACTCTGTCTCTACTAAAAATATAAAAATTAGCTGGGTGTGGTGGCAGACACCTGTAATCCCAGCTACTGAGGAGGCTGAGGCAGGAGAATCACTTGAACCTGGGAGGTGGAGGTTGCAGTGAGCCGAGATCATGCCACTGCATTCCAGCCTGGGCAACAGAATGAGACTCTGTCTTAAAAAACATAAAAACATGGCCGGGCGCGGTGGCTCACGCCTGTAATGCCAGCACTTTGGGAGGCCAAGGCAGGTGGATCACGAGGTCAGGAGATAGAGACCATCCTGGCTAACACGGTGAAAACCCGTCTCTACTAAAAATACAAAAAATTAGCCGGGCGTGGTGGCAGGCACCTATAGTCCCAGCTACTCGGGAGGCTGAGGCAGGAGAATGGCGTGAACCCAGGGGGTGGAGCTTGCAGTGAGCAGAGATCATGCCACTGCACTCCAGCCTGGGTGACAGAGTGAGACTCTGTCTCAAAAAAAAAAAAAAAAAAGACTAAGTCCTGGCCAATAGAACGTGAGCAGCAGTAACATACCAATTCCCGAGCCTACCCCATAAAAGTCTTCCATTTATAAGCTCTGCTCTCTTTCCCCATCCTTAGCTGGAGAGAACTTAGAGGACTTAGAGAAGGATACACCCGCAAGACAGAGATAGCATAAAACAAAATACTTGCCTGCTTGCCTGCATACACACACATTCATCTGACTGTGAAATACAAGAAAACTAAACATTTTATGTGTTAAGCCACTGATATATATATATTTTTTTTTGGAGACGGAGTCTCACTCTGTCACCCAGGCTGGAATGCAGTGGTGTGATCTTGGCTCACTGCAACCTCCGCCTCCCAGGTTCAAGCAATTCTCCTGCCTCAGCCTCTGGAGTAGCTAGGACTACAGCCGCATACTGCCACACCTGGCTAATTTTTTGTATTTTAGTAGAGATGGGGTTTCACCGTGTCGCCCAGGCTGGTCTCAAACTCCTGAGCTCAGGCAATCCGCTGGCCTCACCCTCCCAAAGTGCTAGCATTATAGGCGTGAGCCACCGCGCCTGGCCAAGCCACTGAGATTTTAGGGTTTGTTATAGCACCTACCCTTATTTACTGTAATTAATACAAGGATAAAGAGAAGATTCTAAAAGCTTACAGAGAGGCCGGGAACGGTGGCTCATGCTTGTAATCGCAGCACTTTGGGAGGCTGAGGTGGGTGGATCGCTTGAGGTCAGGAGTTCGAGACCAGCCGAGCCAACATGATGAAACCCTATCTCTATGAAAAATACAAAAATTAGCCAGGCATGGTGGTGTAACGCCTGTAATCCCAGCTACTCAGGAGGCTGAGGCAGGAGAATCACTTGAACCCGGGAGGCGGAGGTTGCAGTAAGTCGAGATCATGCCACTACACTCCACCCTGGGTGACAGAGTGAAACTCCATCTCAAAAAAATAAAAATGAAAGCTTACACAGAGGGGAAGAAAAAAGAAAAAACAGGTCACATACAGAGTAATCAGAAAGATTTTTAGATTTTTCAATAGCAACACCTTAAGTTAGAAAATAATGCTGCAATGTCATCAAAATTCTGAAGGAAAAATGAATTCTGGCTTAGAATCCTATATGGCCAAACTATCAATTAGGTATACGTGGAGATGTTTTCAGAGATGTAAGGTCTCAAGAAATTTACCTTCCAAACACTCTTTCCAAGGAAGCTACTGGAGCCTGAGATCCATCAAAGCAAGGAGTAAGCCAAGTAAAAAAAAAAAAAAAAAGAGAGAGAGGGATTCAGGAAGCACAAAATCCAATGCAAGAGAAAAACTACAGAAACACTCTGAATAATGATGAAGGGAAGATTCCAAGGTAACAGCTGTGCACCAGATACAGAAAGCATCAAGTCAAAATTAGAGCAGGTCAGGATACACTGGAAAAGAGTTTTTCAGGAGGATGAAACTGATATATTATCTGATGTACTGGAATATATTGAGTAGATTTAGACAAATGCTGGAAGTTTGCGAGTTGACTAGATGATAAAAACAGAAAATAAAATAAGTATTAACTGAAGGGAAATTATAAAGAAAAGTAATCATAGTTTTCTATATGGCTAAACTGCATTTTATGGTCATGATGAGTAAATATTGATCTACGTGGTTGGAAAATTATAACTATATTAAAAGAAAGACACATGGTAGAGGTGAAGATATTAAAGAGAGCCATCATCCTCTATGGTGGAAAATCAATAAATGCCTATAAAAAGGAAAATTAAGATATAACAATTTAGGGCTGAGCACAATGGCTCATGCTTATAATTCGAGCAGTTTGGGAGGCTGAGGCAGGTGGATCGCTTGAGTCCAGGACTTCAAGACCAGCCTGGGCAACATAGGGAGACCTCATCTCTATAAAAAAAAAAAAAAAAAAATTAGTCAGCCAGGCACGGTGGCTCACGCCTATAATCCCAACACTTTGGGAGGCTGAGGTGGGTGGATCACGAGGTCAAGAGATCGAGACCATCCTGGCCAACGTAGTGAAACCTGGTCTCTACTAAAAATACAAAAATTAGCTGGGCGTGGTGGTGCACACCTGTGGTCCTAGCTACTTGGGAGGCTGAGAAAGGAGAATCGCTTGAATCTGGGAGGCAGAGGTTGCAGCCAGCCGAGATCCTGGCGCCACTGCACTCCAACCTGGTGACAGAGTGAGACTCTGCCTCAAAAAACAAAAACAAAACAAAACAAAAATTAGTCAGGCATGGTAGCACATGCCTGTAGTCCCAGCTACTCAGGAGGCTGAGGTGGGAGGATCACCTGAGCTCAGGGGGTCAAGGCTGCAGTGAGCAGTGATTGCACCACTGCAGTCCAGCCTGGGTGACAGAGTAAGACCCTGTCTCTAAATTAATAAATAAATAAATAACATCTTGGCCAGGCGTGGTGGCTAACACCTGCAATCCCAGCACTTTGGGAGGCCAAAGTGAGAGGACTGCTTGAGCCCAGGGGTTTCAGACCAGCCTGGGCAACATAGCAAGAGACCCTGTCTCTAGAAAAATACAAAAATAAAACAACCAGGCATGGTAGCACATGCCTGTAGTCCTAGCTACTCAGGAGGCTGAGTTAGGAGGATCATTTGAGCCCAGGCATTTAAGGTTACAGTGAGCTATGATTGTGCCACTGCACTCCAGCCTGGGTGACAGAGTGAGACCATATTTGGGGGAAAAAAAAAAGATACAACAACACAAACATGTTACTTAGATCAAAGATAAATATTAAATAATCAATTAACAGAGTTAAAAGTATTAGCCTCTAGGAGGGAGAAAGATGGGAAGGGAGAGATGGGGGAAGCACGCAGGGTACTGTCGGGTTTTTTGTTTGTTTGTTTTGAGATGGAGTCTCACTCTGTCACCCAGGCTGGAGTGCAGTGGTGCGATCTTGGCTCACTGCAACCTCTGTCCTCCCAGGTTCAAGTGATTCTCATGCCTCAGCCTCCCGAGTAGCTGGGATTACAGGTGTGTGCCACCACAACCCGCTAATTTTTATATTTTTAGTAGAGACAGGGTTTCTCCATTTTGGACAGCTGATCTCGAACCCCTGACCTCATGTGATCTGCCCACCTCAGACTCCCAAAGTGCTGGTGTTACAGGCATGAGCCACTACACCCAGCCAAAACCATATGTGTGTGTAACTGACAAAAACTAAAACTAAATAAGTGTACATTTTTTTACAAAAAAAATGAAATAGATCCCTTATGCTAACATGAAATGCTGCCCACAAAGTACTGGTACATAGCACAGTCATATGTATAGTATAGTTCTAGTTCTAAAAAATGGATATTGATAACTAAGAACGTAGGCATAGAAAAATCTAGAAGACAGATTATCCTTGGCAAGTAGGGGGAAAAAGGAAAATCTAGAATATATACTCAATGTTAATAATCATCTCAAAGGCGTGAGATGTGTAGAAAGTCTCACTCTCCACAATATATGTTTCTGTAATGTTTTTTATCAAGCATGTATCACCACGTTTCCTACCCAAAAAAAATATATAAACATAGGCTGGGTGCGGTAGCTCACGTTTGTAATCCCAGCCCTTTGGGAGGCAGAGGCAGGTGGATCACTATCACTTGAGGTCAGGAGTTTGAGACCAGCCTGGCCAATATGGTGAAACCTCCATCTCTATTAAAAATACACACACACACAAAATTAGCCAGGCATGGTGGCAGCTGCCTGTAATCTCAGCTACTCAGGAGGCTGAGGCAGAATTGCTTGAACCCAGGAGGCAGAGGTTGCAGTGAGCCCAGATTGCGCCACTCCAGCCTGGGCGACAGAGTGAGACTCCATCTCTAAATAAATAAATAAATAATTATAACCATAATTACTTAAAGCTCAGAGACAATAAAGAGAAGAGAAATGCCCCCTATTCTAGGTGGGCTAAAGAAGTTCATCAGGCTCAAAATGCAGAATCGAGTTTCTTGCCAAAAACTACTGTGGCTAAAGTCCTTTGCTTTGAATTAAATCAACCTTGCTACCCTGGCCAGAGTTTATTGGATTAGACTATTACAACCACACACAGACCAACCATCACCCTAGACACGTAGCCAAGCATTTCTCTCAAGAGTGGTGGGAACCCTGCCAGTCAGAGTGCAGTTCATGCAGAGTAAGAGCAAACCAACCTGTCATACTGCTCTTGAAGATGTTTAATATTAATACACAAAGACAAGACAGGTCATTCCTGTTCAGGTAAGCAAATGTCTTGTAAAGCCTAGTTCACTATCCAATCTCAACTTGGTGCCCAAGTGACTTCTCTAAGCCTGAAGGGGCAACTTCAATCCAAAGTACCCTTCAATAAACCTACACACACACACACCACACACACACACACAAAAAGCTAACACTTCAAGTTTAAGAAAATTCATGCTTCAGAGCCACTCACTGCATCAGGTTTCCCTCAAAGACAACAGGCAAAAATGATAAAAGCATGAAAGCCAAATGGAAGAGATATTTTCAAACTAATCACAGTATGCACCATTCATCATTTTTCCTTTTTTTTTTTTTTTTTTGCTACTGCCAAAATTTAGACTTGGGAAAAAAAAAGTAGGTAAAGCTCAATGTAATATAATTTAGCTGTGACAAAGTAGATTAAAATCAAGAGAAAAATAAGATTGTTTCTGAGCAATTTTAACTTAAACCAGTAAAATAAATAATCTATGGTAAGAGTCATTCAACTACTCACCTTTCCTGTATGATACATTTGTAAATCTACCACCAGACACTTATTACATAATCATTTCATTTTATAATTATGGAACAATCCTGGAATAACATGATAAAAGATTCTAATTGAAATTTTTAAATAAGCTACGACATAAACCATGACAAAAGAGATAGAAAATATTTTTTCTTTCTCTACTTACTAGTTGTTACACAATGAAGAGCATTTGCCTGGTGCTTAGAATTTAATCCTTCTATGGAAATCACTAGCTGCCCTTCTAGCAATGCTCCCTTTGATACATCTATGTCACACTTCCAGTGAATTATTAAAAATCTCAAAATCTGAAAAGAGCACAATTCAAAGAAAACATAATCTTCTTTAGAAATCACAGTAATAATACATCTCTATGACCCAGTTAAATTAGTAACTCTAATTTCCCCCCAAAAATTGTATTCTTGCTTCTAAAATGTCAGATTTAGGTTTGTTCAGAGTATTGTGTCTAAACAAAATAAATAGCTAGGAGAGTGACATAAGAAAAGAGTCAGTGAAATTCAACATAATGCCCAGTAAGACAGGAAATTGAGACAATAAATTCCTTTATTCAGAAGATAAATTCATCTGGAAATAATAATTAGGGAAAAATTAAGTGGGAGTTTGTTTTTCTTGTTTCTTTTTTCCTGCCCCAAATAAAAGCCAACATGAAGACTATGAATAAGAGTGGCATCTGGTTATGAATCATCTTGATCTTTCATTAAATCAACACTTTTGAGGGTCAGAATACTATTTAAGAGTGCTAATGCTGCCCTGCGCGGTAGCTTATGCCTGCAATCCCAGCACTTTGGGAGGCCGAGGTGAGAGGATCACTTGAGCTCAACAGTTTGAGATCAGCCTGGACAACATACGCAGACCTTATCTCTACTAACAACAACAAAAATTAGCCCAGCGTGGTGGCGTGTGCCTGTAGTCTCAGCCACTGGGGAGGCTGAGGCAGGATGATCTCTTGAGCCCATAAGATTGAGGCTGAAGTGAGCCCTGATCAGGCCACTGCACTCCACACCTGGATTTGAATCCCTGATGTGCCAAATTCTAGCATGTGACCTTGGGCAAATTACTTAATCTCTCCAAACCACAGACTCCTCATCTATTAAAATGGGGATAAAACTACCACATAGGGCTGCTGCTGAAAGTAAACAAATAAGGTACGTGCAACGCTGAGCGCAGTGGCTCATGCCTGTAATCCCAGCACTTTGGGAGGCCAAGGTGGGAGAATCGCTTGAGCCCTGGAAACATAGTGAGGCCCCATCTCTACTAAAAAAAAAAAAAAATTAAATAAAAATATGTGCAAAATGCTTAACACAGTACTTGGCAAATAGCAAATGCTTAACAGATATTAGCTATTATTTCTAAGTTCTAATGCAGTAAAGACTACACACAATATTTTAAGTTGAACAGGACTCCAAGATGTCTGGGTAAAACATTTAATCGACCGGGTGTGGTAGCTCACACCTGTAATCCCAGCACTTCGGGAGGTTGAGGCGGTGGATCACCTGAGGTCAGGAGTTCAAGATCAGCCTGGCCAATATGGTGAAACCCCATCTCTACTAAAAATACAAAAATTAGCCGGGTGTGGTGGTGTGTGCCTGTAGCCCCAGCTACTTAGGAGGCTGAGGCAGGAGAATTGCTTGAACTCGGGAGGTGGAGGCCACAGTGAGCCAAGATTGGGTCACTGCGCTCCAGCCTGGGCAACAGCAACACTCCGTTTCAAAAAGAAAAAAAAAAACACATTTATTCGAGACAAATTGAAAATAAAATATATTTCATTTATTTTTGGGGGGAGAGAGGGGACAGAGTCTCACTCTGACTCCCAGGCTGGAGTGCAGTGATGGCATCATCATGGTTCACTGCAGCCTCAACCTCCCGGGCTCAGGTGATCCTCCCACCTCAGCCTCCCAGGTAGCTGGAAGTGCAGCCGCCTGCCACCACACCCTGCTAATTTTTTTTTTTTGAGATGGAGTTTTGCTCTTGTAGCCCAGGCTGGAGTGCAATGGTGCGACCTCAGCTCACTGCAACCTCCGCCCCCTGGGTTCAAGCGATTCTCCTGCCTCAGCCCCACAAGTAGCTAGGATTACAGGCATGTGCCACCACACCTGGCTAATTTTGTATTTTTAGTAGTGACGGAGTTTCTCCATTTTGATCAGGCTGGTCTTGAACTCCCGACCTCAGGTGATCCGCCTGCCTCGGCCTCCCAAAGTGCTGGGATTACAGGCGTGAGCCACCGCTAATTTTTGTATTTTTTTCAGAGACGGAGTTTCCTCATGTTAGCCAGGCTGGTCTTGAACTCCTGATCTCAAGTGATCTGCCCGCCTCGGTCTCCCAAAGTGCTGAGAATACAGGCTACCCACCGCGCCCGGCCAACTCCCATTATTATTCATGCAAACAGATTCTCACTTTTACAGGGAGGCAACACAAGGAAAATTATTACCCCCTTTTTAAAGGCAGGGAGATCTGGGAACTAAGATCCTCATTTGTACCAGTTAACAAGAATGGTTTCCAGGTACGTGTAGAGTCTAACTATTCCTTCACACGTCCTCTGTTACGATATTCCCATATCGGGCCGGGCACGGTGGCTCACGCCGGTCCCAGCACTTTGGGAGGCGGAGGCGGGCAGATCACTTGAGGTCAGAAGTTCAAGACCAGCCTGGCCAACATGGTGAAAACCTGTCTCTACTACAAATACAAAAATGAGCCAGGTGTAGCGGCGTGCGCCTGTAATCCCAGCTACTCGGGAGGCTGAGACAGGAGAATCCCTTGAACCCGAGAGGCGGAGACTGCGGTGAGCCGGGATCACGCCACTGCACTCCAGCCTGGGCGAAAGAGCGAGACTCCGTCTCAAAAAACAAACAAACAAACAAACAAACAAACAAACCCTAAAGATATTCTCATGTCGGTATGACAGCGCAGTTGGGAAAAGAACACTGGCCTATGAGTCAGCGCCCTGGGTTCTAGCCTAGGTTCGGTTATTTGTAAAATGGAATCCCGCCGCCTTCTTTGATGACAACAAACAGGCAGGACGCCCGGGGGTACTCTCTCAGGTGCCCTCAGAGCCTGTGCTTCTGTCACCTGCCCAGTACCCCTCACAAACAGCAGCTCAACGTCCCATTGGGCACCGGCCGTGAAAGTGGGTAATGAAATGAGCACACGGGGCGTGGCCGGCGCCAGGCGCTCAGTGCCGTCTTCCAGAGCAGCTCCCCGAGCACAGGTGTGGCCTCTGAACCTCGCCCTTCCACGTCCAGCTGCTTCGAACCCAGAAACCTGCACCTGCACCGGGGCCTAAAAAAACTCTCCCTCGCTCCCAGTCTGCACTGGGTCCCTCCTTGCCTCTGTCCTGGCGCCCCGACTCCCCCCACCCCGCCCCGCAACGCCAGGGCTTGCCCCATTCCTTTCCTTCTTTCCGCGCCCCCTCCCAGCACCCGGTGCATGGAAGGCGCTGGGCTCCGGCAGGCACCTCCGAGGCTGCGTCAGGCTCTGCCCCTGGGTGTCCGCCGGTGCTCGGCAAACGCCGCAGCTTTCTGAGCCGTAGGCTGGAGAGAGGGCGTCGTTCCCCCACAGAGTACCCCGCGAGCGAGAGCCCTCATCTGCTCCTACTTCCTCGCTTCCCCGTGGGAGACGGGCCTCGATTCCCGAACCTTCCTCCTTCACCTTAGGCGACGCCCGACCCCTCTGCCCAAACTTCGCGGTCTCCTCACAAAGCCCGTCTCCTCAGAAAGTGTCCTCCGCTTTCTCTCCCTTCCCAGCATCACCTCGAACACGGCCACGGCCGTCCCCTCCATGCCGCGCAGGGAACAGCGGCAACGCCCAGTCGAAGGGTACCCGCCCGCCGCCGCCGCCGCCGCCGCCGCCCCCTCCTCAGCCCGGGCTTGGAACTCCGCCAGTGCCCACGCCCGAGTCCACGCCCACGCCCGGCAGCGCGAGCCCATCCCTTCCCGCGCGCGCGCCTGCGCCCGCGCACGCCCCGCCCACCTGCCCGCCGCGCCTGCGCACTCGACGCTGCAGGGCCCCGAGACCGCGAACCGCCGCCGGGAGCCACCTAGAGCCTCTGAGCGCCGCGGGTGCCAGTGGGCCCGCAGGTGGGAGGTTCGGGGCGGGGAAGAGCCCGCGAGAGGCGGCCAAGGCTGGAGGTGAGCGGGAATGAGGCCAGGCCACGACTCCTCCCTCCTCTCAAAGATAGTTTCCCACGGTGGCGGCGAGATGCGGCCCTTGGCCCTAATCCGGGCTTTGGCCGCCCTTCGCGCTTTCCAGGACCCTTCCCTCGGCCGGGAGGGGCGACGGTAACGGCGCGGGGCTACCAAGCGGGTTCGTGACCCCTCCAACAGCCTTGTCTGCGGCGGGGGCTGCCCCAGGCCAAGCCCTGGGTCCCAGACTTAGCAAAGAAAAAGACGGCCAATTAAAATTGAATTTCATATAGACAGCGAATTTTTTTTATAACCATACACATATCTCGGCAATTTTTGGGACATATACTAAAAAATTACTAATCTGAAATTAAAAACGACGCCCTGGGCCGGGCGCAGTGGCTCACGCCCGTCATCCCAGCACTTTTGGAGGCCGAAGCGAGTGGATCACCTGAGGTCAGGAGTTCGAGACCAGCCTGGCCAACATGGTGAAACCCCGTCTCTACTGAAAATACAAAAATTAGCCGGGCGTGGTGGCGGGCGCCTGTAATCCCAGCTACTCGGGAGGCTGAGGCAGGATAATTGCTTGAACCTGGGAGGCGGAGGTTGCAGTGAGCCGAGATCGCGTCATTGCACTCCAACCTGGGCAAAAAGAGCGAAACTCTGTCTCAAAAAAAGAAAAAACGACCCCCCGTCTTTTACCTTACAACCAGCCCCAAGCATCTCCCAGCCTAATCCAGGGGGACCAGCTTCCCCCGCAAAGGTGGGACCTGGGAGTCGACCCCTCCCTATCCAGGCCCCTTTCCACGTTTGACTGCACTGAATGTGCCAAGACCAGGAGCTGGCTTTTCTGGGCTCTGGCTGACAGGAGAAGCTCTGGGGTTTTCCAAGTGCATTCCTGGCTGGAATAAGGAGGTCCTGCAGAGTCCCAGCTGCTGCTCTCTGCCAGGTTCCGGGAGGGGCATGGTGACAGGGGCTTAAGCCTATAACTGCTGGTGATCTGACAGCCAAAAGAAAACCCTGATGAGAGATTCCTGCCTGGCAAAGAGTTGCCCAAGGAGAAGGGTGGGACAGGGTGTTGGCTGCTTTCCTTCAGGAAAAATTCTTCCACCCCAGCTCCAAGACGCCAGGATTGGACAGAACAGGCTGGCGAGCTGGCAGAGTGCCTGCCCAGTACACAACCTTGGTGCTACTCCAAAGAACATTGTCTATCGAGACCTGAATCATACCCTTCTCGAGTCTATGCTCAGCGCTCCTCCCCATTCCTCCCCATCTCAGTTGCTCACAGGTAGACCTATTGGAGCAAGGTAGCTTTTATTTCTGGAAAATCCATCGTAACCATCAAACTTGATAAACAGCTGGCATTTGAGGAATCATTGGAGTCTTCCTTTCATTCCCCCCACACCCCCCGCAGAGCTCCCCATCCCCACCCCCAGTCTCTTGTCCTTTTTCAGAAGAGGAGTTGCCAAGGGGAAGGGACCAGTAACATTGAATGACTGCTTGTTGTCGGACCCCACTAGCTCTTTACATAAATGATGTCATCCTCTCAACTATCTTGTAAGAAAATTGTTATCGTCACTATTTTATGGGTGAGAAACCAAGGTATTGAGGATGGTTCTTTAAAATATTTCCCATCGTGGCCGGGCGCAGTGGCTCACGCCTGTAATCCCAACACTTTGGGAGGCCCAGGTGGGTGGATCATTTGAGGTCAGGAGTTCGAGACCAGCCCAGCCAACATGGTGAAACCCCACCTCTACTAAAAATACAAAAATTAGCCAGGCGTGTTGGCATGTGCCTGTAGTCCCAGCTACCTGGGAGGCTGAGGCAGGAGAATTGCTTGAACCCGGGAGGTGGAGGTTGCAGTGAGCTGACATCACACCACTGCACTCTAGCCCGGCTGACAGAGTGAGACTCTGTCTAAAAAAAAAAAAAAATTATCATTGTGAGTGTTGGCCCAGCAGAAAATGCTCCACCTTGAGAATGGCATTGAGAATGAAGATGAGTTGGTTTCCTAGCTTCCAGCCCTTGTCCTTGGAAATGAGCCTCTAGCTTTCAGCCCTTGTCCTTGGAATGAACTTCAGGGATAAAGGTGTAATGGAGCACCCAATACCACCCTAGAGGCAGTGGAGGCCTCTCAAAGGTAGCCAGGGACACAGCTGTCCTCCCTACTGGACATAGGGAGAAGCAAGGAGGGAAGCCTTCGATATGAGGGTTTGCCATCAGGACTTCCGTAGCGTAAACCCACGTATTCAGGCAGCATGCAATATAGGCTTGATATATGGTGAGAATCCACTCTGTGCTAAGTGCTCTTCACTTTTTCTTATTCATCTTAAGCAGTTCTCCCAATTTTGTAATCTTGTAAGAAAGATGTTATCTTTGTTTTAGAAATGATAAAAATGAGAATCCAAGAAGAAGTTGTATGAATAAATCAGGCATGGTGGCTCATGCTTGTAATTCCAGCACTTTGGGAGGCCAAGGCAGGAGGATTGTTTCAGGCCAGGAGTTTGAGACCAACCTGGGCATTATAGTGACAGCCTGTCTCTACAAAAAAATTTAAAAATTAGCCAGGTACAGTGATGCATGCCTACAGTCCTAACTACTTGGGAGGTTGAGGTGGGAGGATCTCGAGCCCCTCGAGTTGGAGGTTGCGGTGAGCTATGATTATGCCACTGCACTCCAGCTTAGTGACAGAGCAAGACCCTGTCTCAAAAAAAAAATTAAAATTTTAAAAACGGTTTTTTGCTCAGACCTCATCCTCAGAACACTAGAATGTTAGAGCCAGAAGGGACTTTGGAAATTATCAGTTATCTATTAAGATGAAGAAATTTGAAGCCCAAAGAAACTAAATGACCTGCCCTTGGTTAAGGTCACCTTAGTTAACTAGGCCAACCAAGGAGGCTTTGAGTATGGCTCTCGATATTTTCAGCCCTGGCCTTCCAGGTCTCATTTATTGGCAGTGTCTGTAGGGAGCCAGTTATTTCCAGTCCTTAGACTGGGTGACATATTGATTCTGCTTCCATTTCTGCACCCACCTCAGAATTTATATTACTGTTTCATGTTGTATTAGTTCATTCTCATGAAGACATACCCGACACTGGGTAATTTATAAAGGAAAGAGTTTTAATTGACTCATTGTTCATCATGGCTAGGGAGGCCTCAGGAAACTTAGAATCATGGCAGAAGGGGAAGTAAACAGATACTTCTTCACATGGCAGCAGGAAGGGGAAGAATGAGTGCCCAGTGAAGGGGGAAGCCCCTTATAAAACCATCAGATCTCTTGAGAACTAATTCACTATCAGAAGAACAGGATGAGGGAAACTGCCCCCATGATTGAATTATCTCCGCCTGGTCCCTCCCATGACACATGGGGATTATGGGAACTACACTTCAAGATGAGATTTGGATGGTCACACAGCCAAACCATATCACATGTCTACTTTGGATATCTTGTTTATTCCAAAAAGAAACCCTCTGTCTGAGACACACTCCCTGCCCCCCTATAAGAAGAGCCCAAGACTGATTCTGACCCAAACTCAAGGGTTTGAGTGGAACCAGAACATCCTAGGGAGTGCTGCCAGATGAACAATGACATTTTAGGGACTGTTGAGCTTTCCTTTTGAATGTGCCCTCTCTGTGTCTCCTAGACACTTCTTAAGGCCCCACCTTGTTTCTTAGGCTCCCCTAGAGCTTTCAAATGCCCTAAAGAGGCTGACCCTAGGAACTTAAGTAGAAAATATCCTTGAGGTCCGCCTTTCCAAGCTGATGCAAAAGGAAGTCCATTTGAAGACTCCCTCCCCTGGGAAAGAACCAAGCAACTATTAAGCTGTTTCCCATCCAGACAGTAGGAAAGGGTTAACTGCTTCTCTCGGGTCCTGAGCAAAGTCTGTCCCATACCAGTTCCCATAACCGGGTTTCCTGAAATGGAGCAGGTCCCAGGTGACTCTCCACTAATCACATCCTTGGAAATGGGGCCATGAGGCTCAGATTAGCTCATCCCTTCACCTTCTTGAGGCCTTCTCCACCTGGAGCACAGAATCTGGGGCAGCTTCACCACTCACCTCCCTCTGCTTTCTTATCAGGGGTCAGACAGGGATGTTCTAGCAGAGGAATATTATTGGGCTAATGGGGGCAACTAGAGGCCATAATGGTGCTGACTTTTGTGCAATTCTTGGACTACAGCATCTGTTCTTCCCCTTTCTAAGACTTAGGGGAAAAGAGAGATTCTTTTCCTGGGACAGTACCAAAGTTTATATAACTCGAGTATTTCGTTCTTCACCCCCATTCCCTGTTTTCTTCCTCTCCTTGAATAACTGACTATGATACTGACTAACTTCCTGTTCTTCCTGGCCAAGTCACCCTTTGCACAAAGTCTGATTTCTCATCCACCAGTAGCAGGTGCTGGGCCAGCCCAGGAGATTTCATTCCTTTCCTATTATTGTCCAATTTTTCCTCTGCCTAGATAGCCAATAAAATCTACATCACAAAGTGGTTCTGCCCTGTGTAACTGGCTTTTTTTTGAAGGAGTTTTGTTCTTGTTGCCTGGGCTGGAGTGCAGTGGCAGGATCTCGGCTCACTGCAACCTCCATCTCCTGGGTTCAAGCTATTCTCCTGCCTCAGCCTCACGAGCAGCTGGGATTACAGGCATGCATCACCGTACCTGGCTAATTTTTGTATTTTTAGTAGAGACAGGCTTTCACCATGTTGGCCAGGCTGGTCTCGAACACCTGACCTCATGTGATCTGCCTGTCTCAGCCTCCTAAAGTGCTGGGGGGATTACAGGCGTGAGCCACTGCGCCCAGGCTATAATTGGCTTTTTACCTTATCTCTAAGTAGGGCTGGATTTGTCCTGCCAGCTGATGTCCACTGGAAGAGAAGTATTCTTTGTGACTTAGAAACCTTGGGAATGCAAACAGCACTGTAATGTGGTCACATATGGTCAAGTAAACCTATTGATCCAAAGACCAGATGATCAACTGTATTTGAAAGACAGGTAGGCTAATTGAGACAAAAATTCTTCCAGCAGCCTCATTAAAGAGGACATTGACTCCACATATTCTAAAACTCTCAGATTGTTTCATAGACATTATTTTAACTATATTCCTGGGAGAATTTTCCTATTTTAGCTATGGAAAACTAAAATATAACACCTAAAGAGAGGTAAAATGGGAAAAGAATTGAGACATCCTGACTGTGTGTGATTACAGTACTCCGAAGCACTTTGCCAGGGATACAGGTGTACAGTCTTTAAAGCTAGTTTTCTGGAACCTTAGTTGAGCTGATTTTTCACCGATCTCTAAAAGTTGACTTGGCTGTGCACAGTGGCTCACGCCTGTAATCCCAGCACTTGAGGAGGCCTAGGCAGGAGGATTGCTTGAGCCTAGGAGTTGGAGACCAGCCTGGACAACATAATGAGACCTCATCTTTAAAAAAATTAAAACTTAGGCCCGGCACGTTGGCTCACGCCTGTAATCCCAGCATTTGGGGAGGCTAAAGTGGGCAGATCGCTTGAGCTCGGGAGCCCAAGACCAGCCTGGCCAACATGGCAAACCCTGCCTTTACAAAAAATAAATTAGGCAGGCATGGTGGTGAGCACCTATAGTCCCAGCTACTCATGAGGCTGAGGTGGGAGGATTGCTTGAATCTGGGAAGCAGAGGTTGCAGTGAGCTGAGATTGGGCTGCTGCACTCCAGCCTGGGCAACAGAGTGAGACACTGTCTCAAAAAATAATAATAATGGCCAAGCGCAGTGGCTCACGCCTGTAATCCCAGCACTTTGGGAGGCCGAGGCAGGCAGGTAATGAGGTCAGGAGATAGAGACCATCTTGGCCAACATGGTGAAACCACATCTCTACTAAAAATACAAAAATTAGCCGGGCGTGGTGGCGAGCACCTGTAGTCCCAGCTACTCAGAAGACTGAGGCAGGAGAATTGCTTGAACCCGAGAGGTGCAGGTTATAGTGAGCTGAGATCACACCACTGCACTCCAGCCTGGCAACAGAGAGAGACTTCGTCTCAAAAATAATAATAATTTAAAAATAATAAAGTCAATTTGATTTTCATCTGTTCTGGCGTTAAGGCCACTTCTGACTTCTGTTTCCCCAACTTTCATTCTCACCAATTGGAAAGAGACTATGGGATCAAAGGTCTGAAAGGGTCAGGATGTCTCTATTCTTTTCCCATTTTACCTCTTTCTTTAGGTGTTATGTTTTAGTTTTCCATACCTAAAATAGGAAAATCCTCCCAGAAATATAGTTAAAATAATGTCTATGAAACAATCAGAGTTTTAGAATATTTAAATTAGAAGAAATCTTTTTTTTGTTTGTTTGTTTTTTTGAGACCGAGTTTTGCTCTTATTGCCCAAGCTGGAGTACAGTGGTGTGATCTCAGCTCACTGCAACCTCTGCCTCCCGGGTTCAAGTGATTCTCCTGCCTCAGCCTCCTGAGTAGCTGGGATTATAGGCATTTGCCACCACACCCAGCTAATTTTTGTATTTTTCATAGAGATGGGGTTTCACCATGTTGGCCGGGCTGGTCTCAAACTCCTGACCTCAGGTGATCCACCTGCCTCGGCCTCCCAAAGTGCTGGGATTACAGGCGTGAGCCACCGTACCCGGCCTAAATTAGAAGAAATCTTAAAGGTCATTTAATCTAGTATTTCCCAGCCAGAGAAGCAATATTTTTTTCAACTCATTTCCTTTATCCCCACCTCTTCTCCTGATTAGCTTCTCTCTACCTCCTTCCTCAACCTCTTTCTGGTATCCAAGGTAGAGTGTTGGTCCAGTTTACATAGTGTATTTAGTGTGTTTAGGGTTGGGAAACACTGACGTACTTCACCTCTCTATTTCATGCAGTAATCATTCTAACAGTCATAACAAGTTGGTATCTAGCTTTTACTTGAATATCTCGTGTTGGGAAATTTGCCGCCTCAGAGGCAACCCATTCCAGCTTTGGGCAGCAGTGGTTTTGTAGAGAGTTTTTCATTATATCAAGCTAAAGTCTACTCCCTTTCTCTGCCCCATGTCTTCCACCCATTGGTCCCAGATCTGCCTGTTGAACCCACAGAGAATCCATCTAATCCCTTTATAAAGGGGCGTGGAGAATACCCAGGAGTGTAATTGTTAACTTGTCACAGTGGCTCAGACCTGGCCTGAATGATTGTATTATAGATATCCTGTGCTTTGTATGCTAGCTGTGTTCCTAAAACATTGTATAAGCCAAGTTTTGTATGAATCAAATCATTTTAGACATACTGAGAAGTTGACTGTTTAAAAGAAACCCTGTTATCAGTTCTTTCATAAACTGAAGAATCCTTGTGTAATGCAAATAATCTCCCCCTTTAACATTTTATGCAAATCTAGATTTTCATACATTATACTTTACCTAAGGCAAGGTTTGCCTACATACAAAACAAGTAAAATAATGATAACAGTAATAGCTAACACTTATTGGGCCCTTATCTGGTACCAGGTGTCATGCATCTGACAAGCACTATTTAATTTCTCATCACAACTTCCTTCTGTAAAATTATCCCTGATTTACAGATGAGGAAGCTCATGCTTAGAGAAGTTAAATACCTTGTCCAAGTTCACACAATTAGAAAAAGATGAACCAGAATTCAAACACGGTCTGATATCTTCACACCCTGGAAGTTTCAGAAGCCATAGTAGTTGACATGACTAGCTACTAGCTGTGCGCCACAGCACAAGTAAATTAGGCTGAGATACAGAAAACTGACCTCAAATGTCTATAGCTTCAAAGATGTACACAAAACCTATTCTTCTCTGAGTGCCCTGGGTTTTCTAGTACAACTCAGTTTCTAGTGCAATTCAACTGAGGAACCCCGAAGCCTTCCCCCTCAGTTATTAGTATTAAACAGATGCCATCAAAATTTATTTTAAGCAGATGAGTGTAATCAGACACTTTTTCTTTTCTTGTTTTTCTTATTGCTGCTGAACAAATTAAGACACTTTCTCAAAGGTCTGTGTATTCACAGGGGTTAGTGGCATGAGCTTCTTGGAAGAAAAAGTGGTTCGTTATTGACTGATAAACTCAAAGGTATTGAGAATCATGGTTGGTCCCAGACTGCTCCCAGATGAGTCTGAATCATTCATATGGGCCCAGTTTTTAATGGCATTTAGGTTTGCAAGTTAAAAATCGTTTGAGAGGGATCGTCCATAAATAAGTGCTGGTTTGAGTCCCACCTGGAGAAAGATAAATGGATGTAATATTTCCATGTTCTCAAATCGGTTCTACTTTCTCCGATTTCATCAATAGCAGCATGCACTCACAGCATCGCTCAGCTTAGAACATCCCTTGGGGCTCTGAGAACCCACACTTTTCTACACTGTGTAAGGGAGCTCAAGGCATGACTGTCTTCAGTCCTCTGTACCCCACCTCCACCTACCCCCACCTGTTAGAATTCCCTATCTGATGTGGCACTTTATCTTGGCTCATTTGCAGACTTTTGCTTTCGAATACTTGATTATCCTTTGCAAACCATGCCCCAAGCTGGCCAAGACCAAGCTGACTTCATGGTCTAAGTAATCACAGGAAATCAGGTCAGTCCTCGGAAGCTATCAGGCTCCCCTAGCAAGCCACCTTTCCGACCTTTACTTGTGCAGCATGCTTGTTTACAATTTCAAGTCATAGACTCAAGTGAGGAAATATGTCATTTTCTTTATTTCTCAACTTAGTTCGTCAGCTCTCATTTCTACTGATAGCTAAAAAAGAATTAACTTCACCAATCAAGATAACGCAATCTGACATTTTGAGCTGGATGATTAAAAAAAATAAATAATGCAATCGTTGCAAGTTTGGTTTTTTGTTTTTGTTTGTTTGAGACAGGGTCCCACTCTGTTGCTCAGACTGGAGTGCAGTGGCATGGTCATGGCTTACTGCAGCCTCGACCTCCCAGGCTCAAGCAATTCTCCCACCTCTACCACCCAAGTATCTGGGACCATAGGCATACACCACCATGCCCAGATAATTTTTAAAGTTTTTGTAAAGATGGAGGTCTCACTATTATTGCACAAGCTGGTCTTGAACTCCTGGCCTTAAGTAATCCTCTTGCCTCAGCCTCCCAAAGTGCTAGGGCTACAGGCGTGAGCCACCATGCCCAGCCGTCAATCGTTGCAAGTTTTAAACTCAGTCTCTCAGTCTCTTAGGATTCTCCTCCCAGCCCCCTTCTCCTTAATTTTTTTTTTTCTTTTTTTTTTTGAGACGGTGTCTTGCTCTGTCACCCAGGATGGAGTGTAGTGGCACAATCTCGACTCACTGCAACTTCTGCCTCCTGGGTTCAAGCAATTCTCCTGCCTCAGCCTCCCAAGTAGCTGGAACTACAGACATGCGCCACCACGCCTGGCTAATTTTTGTATTTTTAGTAGAGACAGGGTTTCACCATGTTGGCCAGGCTGGTCTCCCACTCCTGACCTCAGGTGATGCACCTGCTTCAGCCTCCCAAAATACTGGGATTACAGGCAGGAGCCACTGTGCCCAGCTCTCTGCTGTAGATTTTAAAGGGTCTAATAAAGGGTTCCAAAGTGAAGAATTTAACTTTGATCTCTCTGTATCATCCCTATGCAGAGGGCAGTGCATCTACAAAGCACTTACTTGCTGTTGCCGTTGCTGCTGCTGCTGCTGCTGCTTAAGTGATGGAGATAGATTAGGGATAAAAGAAATGGGAAATACATCATTTGATATGAAAACATTTTGTTTCATCTACTGACAATAAGGACTCCTCTTCTCTCCCAAGGTCTTTTCTTCCATTCATTAGTTTATTGCACAGATATCTATATGTTTGCTCTGCTGGGGATACAACTGTGAAATAATTGTGTTCTCTTCCCTCATGGCGCTCATGCTGTAAAAGAGAACACAACCAATGGGCAGTGACAATCCAGTATGGAGTGCTCTCAGAATGCCCCTGTCCCAGACTTGGAGCTCAAGGAGGGCTTTCCAGAGGAAGTAACATCTAAATTGATACCTGAAGGATGAGTAAACATTGGGTGAATGGAAGAGGAAGAGCGATTCCAACCAGAAGGAAGAGCATGCTCAAAATCCCATAAACACTGGGGAAACTCTAAGAGGTTCCTTATGGTGAGGACACAGAGTGCCAAGTGCAAGTGGTGAGAGACCAGGCTGGAGAGGTAAGCAGGGTGTGCAAACTTGGTTAAGAACTTTGGACTTTGTCCCAAGGGCAGTGGGGAGCCACTGAAGGGTTTCCAGAAGAGGAATGATCTGTCTGATGTATTAAAGAGACTACTCTAGCCGCACAGTAGATAAGATGGCCCAGGAAGAGCGCAGAGAATAAGAAAAGGCCTAGACAAAACACCACCATCAATAACAAAATTAAGCGACAAGCAGAAAAGGAACTCACAAAAGAAACAGAGAAGGACCACAAGGGTTGAAGGAAAACCAAGAGAATGGCAACCCCATAACAAAAGAAGAAAATTTCAAGAAGCAGGGCATAATTAGAGTCAATTGCTGCCAAGAGGAGAAGTAAGACAGCAATTGGAAACTAACAGCTGGATTTTGCAATAGGATAATTTTTTTTTTTTTTTTTTTTTTTGAGACGGAGTCTCTCTCTGTCGCCCAGGCCAGACTGCGGACTGCAGTGGCGCAATCTCGGCTCACTGCAAGCTCTGCTTCCCGGGTTCACGCCATTCTCCTGCCTCAGCCTCCCGAGTAGCTGGGACTACAGGCGCCTGCCACCGCGCCCGGCTAATTTTTTGTATTTTTAGTAGAGACGGGGTTTCACCTTGTTAGCCAGGTGCAATAGGATTATTGACAACCTTGTTGAAAGCAGCTTTAGAGTGGAAGTTCTGTTGCATTGGATTAAGTCAATTGTATCAATGCTCATCTATCCCCTTCAATTACCATCTATTTCTACACTGATGTATTCCAAATGGGTATCTTAAGTCCAGACCTCCCCTTTAAAGTCCACGCCCATATACAATTGACTACTCAATATCTCCACTTGATTGGTTCAAAGATACCTCAAACCTAGGTTCCAAAACCAACAATCTCTCCACCCAAACCTGGTTTTCCTGGAGTATTCCTCATCTCAGCAAATAGTAGCTCCATTATTCCAGTTGCACAACTCATCCTTGACTAACCCTTTTTCCTCACCACCACCCCTGTATCTATCCCATCACCACATCTGGTTAATTCTTTCAACCTGTGCACTCCATCTCCACTGCCAGCAACTGAGTTCAAGCTACCATCTTCTCTGTCACCCTACCCACAGTGGTAGCCTCCTAACTGGTTTCTCACACATCTTTGCACCCCTCCATAGCAACTGGAGTAACCTATTCCCCCCATAGCAGCTACAGTGACCTTTTTAAAATACAAAGTTGATCCTATCACTTCCTTATTTCAACCTTTCAATAGTCTCTCAGGGCTCTAAAGGTGAAAATCAAAATTCTTTAAATAATGACATAAAAAGCTCTGCATGATCTAGCCCTTGCCTATCTCCCCAGTCGCAATTCTCTACACATTCCCTCTTCCCCTCTGTTTTCCCTGCACCCTGGTCTTTTCTCCATTTCTTTTGTATTGTTTTTTTTTTTTTTTTTGGTTGGTTGGTTTTTTGAAAAAGAGTCTCACTCTGTCCCCCAGGCTGGAGTGCAGTGGCACAATCTCAGCTCACTGTAGCCTCCGTCTCCTGGGCTCAAGAGATTGTCCTGCCTCAGCCTCCCGAGTAGCTGGGATTACAGGCACTTGCCACCACGCCCGGCTAATTCTTGTATTTTTAGTAGAGATGAGGTTTCACCATGTTGGCCAGGCTAGTCTCGAACTCCTGACCTCAGGTGATCCACCTGCCTCAGCCTCCCAAAGTGCTGGGATTACAGGCGTGAGCCACCGCGCGCAGCCTCTTTTCTCCATTTTTTTTTTTTTTTTTTTTTGAGAGACAGAGTCTTGCTCTGTTGCCCAGGCTGGAGTGTAGTGGAATGATCTCAGCTCACTGCAACCTCTGCCTCCCGGGTTCAAGCAATTCTCCTGCCTCAGCCTCCCGAGTAGCTGGGATTACAGGCGCATGCCACCACGCCCAGCTAATTTTTTTGTATTTTTAGTAGAAAAGGGGTTTCACTGTGTTAGCCAGGATGGTCTCAATCTCCTGACCTTGTGATCCGCTTACTTTGGCCTCCCAAAGTGCTGGGATTACAAAGTCGTGAGCCACTGCACCCGGCCTCTTTTCTCCATTTCCTATGTACACCATGTGTCCTGCAACATCAGGCCTGTTAGCCATATGCTCTGTGGCTAAGAACATGGGTTCAAGGGTCAGATTGGGTTAAAATCCCAGCTCTACCCTTGCCTGGTTTGATGACCCTGAGTAAGGTACTTAATCTCTCAATGTCTCCATTTCCTCATCTGTGAAATGGGGTTAATACTTACCTCTTGGAGTTGTTATAAAGGATTAAATGAAATGTTATGTGTAAAGTATTAGAAATACAGTTCCACGTTAATGTTAGTAACAGCTATTATTATTCCCCACTCTGTCTGGTTAATGCTTCTCATATTTCAGATCTCAGCTCAGGTGATCTGAGGTTATGACTCTGTTCAGTTCTCTCTTAACATCCTGAACTTTTCATTCATAACACTCATTATACTTTGTGGTTATATATCTGATGGGTTATTTTATTAATGTCTGTCAATCCCACCACAGGCTCTTCCAAGAGAAAACAGACAGTATCCATTTTACTCATCATTATATCCCCAGATCCCAGCACAGTGCCTGGTATATAATTAGCCATATAGTTTTTGCATAAATATTTGATTGAGCAGGGGCGAGGAAGTGAAGCCAATGAGTGCAAATGACTCAGGAAGACTGTGAACATAAAGAGCAAGGGGAATGCATGGAGGGAAGTCGGGGCTTCTTGATTATTTTTTAAGCTGGCAAATGCTTGAGCATGTTTAAATGCTGATGGGAAGGAACCAGCTGAGAGACAGCAGTGAGGGCCGTGAGGCTGCAGAAGGGGATGAGACTTAGCATAGGAGCCAGAAGAATCCATCTTAGGTGAAAAGAGGGACACCTCTTCCCTGGTATTGAAACAAGAACTGAGAATTCGGCTATGTATGTATGTTTGGTGGGCAGAGCCAAAACCTTTCCATGAATCTTGGTAATGTAAGCAGCAAATGTGGATTCACTGAGAAGCTCAACAAACTTGGTGGATATCATTCCATTCGCTTTTGCAACTCAAATAAGAAGGAACCAGATATTTTCTTCATCATTGACTGTACTGGTTCACTACAGAGCAAAATAACAAGTTTCCAAAGCAACCCAGTCACAGAGCTGAGATAGGTGATCTCAGTGTTCTCTTTATTCAATGTGCTTCCTCTCCAAATCGGGAAACAGTATGGGAAATAATACGGTAAAATCATAACGGCTGATACTGATTAAGTGCTTACTATGTGCTGCATATAATTCATTTACCTGCAATAATTCATTTGATGTTCCCCACATTATGGTGCCATTTTACATGTAAGGAAACTGAATCCTAGGGAGGTAACTTGCCCAAGGTCACATAGTCAGTGGGTGGCAGAACTATGTTTTAAACCCAAGGAGTCTGACTCCAAAATCAATGCTTTTAACCATTCTGCTATACTCCCTGTCTAGCAGAGAGGAAAGAACATATTAGGATTCAGAAGACCTGGAGTTTCTACCATGAACTAATTCTGTGAACTTGTACATTCACTTAGGTGTCTGAACATCAGTCTGTTCATCAATAGAATAAGAATGAGAATGTTTATCTTACAAGGCTTCTTGAAGGATTATGAAATGCTGAAAATAGGAAATTATAAAAGATATTATTTTGCTAATCATAAGACTTAATACCCTTGACTTCTAATTGGGTCACGATATTATAGGCTGTCATTGAGACCCTTAGTTCCCGTAACCAGTACAGCAGCAGCAGCTTGGTGGTTCCAGTTCCTTTGGCAGGGCAGCTGATTCTCTAATTTTTTTTTTTTTTTTTGGAGATGGAGTCTCGTTCTTGTTGCCCAGGCTGAAGTGCAGTGGCACAATCTCAGCTCACTGCAACCTCTGCCTCCCGGGTTCAAGCGATTCTCCTGCCTCAGCCTCCTGAGTAGCTGGGATTTCATGCCCACCACCACGCCTGGCTAATTTGTGTATTTTTAGTAGAGAAGGGGTTTCACCATGTTGGCCAGGCTGGTCTTGAACTCCTGACCTCGCGATCCACCTGCCTCGGCCTCCCAAAGTGCTGGGATTACAAGGGTGAGCCACTGCGCCTGGCCATGGGCAGCTGATTCTCATCCCATCAGCTTTAATGTCCCTGACCAAGTGTCCCTGATGACCGTCATGCACAGGTTGGTGCCTCCTTCCCCCGAACCAACCAACACATAATCCTACCTCTGGGAAGAGTTGCAGTTTATGCCCTTGTTTCTTTAATGCCATTGCCTGAAAGAGTGGCTATTAAAAATAATAAATAGCCTCAGGCCTGGCACGGCAGCTCACGTCTGTAATCCCAGCACTTTGGGAGGCTGAGGCAGGCAGATCACCTGAGGTCAGGAGTTCAAGAACAGCCTGGCCAACATGGCAAAACTCTGACTCTACTAAAGATACAAAAATTAGTCGGGCATGGTGGCATGCACCTGTAATCCCAGCTACTCGGGAGGCTGAGGCAGGAAAATTGCTTGAACCCGGGAAGAGGAGGTTGCAGTGAGCCGAGATCAAGCCACTGTACTCCAGCCTGGGTGACAGAGCACGACTCCGTCTCAAAATAATAATAATAATAAATAGCCTCAAATGCAGCTAACTGTGAGGTACACACCAGAGAGCCAGTTCCAGTTTCGTGGTAGAAGCACAGATATCAGAGCTAGGAGAGAACTTCAAAGTAATCTTTCAATGGAACTCCCCAACCCTCCTCCCAACCCATTTTATAGACTAGGAAAACCAAGGCGAGGTAGATGACACCACTAGTTAGGGTTGTCAAAACCATATCTGGAAAGTACTTCAATTGCACATATTTGTTTCAGTATGCATACCTTTTCAGAAAGGAGCAAAATCCTAAATTACCCATAAATCTATTATAAAACCTTAAATCCAATAATTCACTCAAAGCCCATTCTTTGAGTGCCCTTACTTGACCATTTCAGGCATTCCCTGGATAGAAACGGGCCCTCATCTTCAGGGGCAGTACATAACCTAACGGCTCTGTACAAAGCTCACCCTGTTACCACTGGCTCATCTCTGAGCTGAGTTCTCTAATCTGGAAGAACAGCACCTACTTCTCAGAGCTGGAGTGGGGGTGGGAGTGTCACATGAGATGATGCGCTTTTAGCACCCACCTGGCACTCTGTGAGTTTGTCATGATTTGGGCATAATTCCTTCCTCTCCTAAGCAGGCAGCAGTTCACCTTGGTTAAGGACCTTGGACCTTAGACCACTCAGACGCTAACAAACCAAGGAGAAACCCAGCCGTGTCAGGCCTAGAAATGTCTGCCCCCACCCCCACCCCCCTCAAGACGGTGACTAGGCCGGAATTCTCCTGGTTGATAAATGAGAGGAGCTGAGAAGCGCTGAGATGCCTGTTTGGAGCATCTGATCTGTAGAAGACGAATCTTCACTGTGCCATGGAGATGTTCTGGGAGGGAGAGCCGGCCCAGCTGCCTGAAGGAGGACGCGAGAGCGAGGGGACGGGTGAGAGGAATGCTTAGCGGAGACGGACTGGAGGTGCCCGGAGAGGAAAGGGGAACGGAGGCTGGATCTCGGGAAACCTCGTCGGCAGTGTCATTAGAGGAAGGATCGCGTGTCTCGGGGATACGGATTTTGGAGGAAAAGCAGAATAGGGACAAAGGTGAGGTGTCCGAACCGGGGAGATCAAGACCTGTAAGCTGTGGTGGGGGACCCAGGGACCAGCGAGGACGGGAAGGCGGGGTTTTGGGGGGACCCCGCACGGAAGGTGGCTGGGGGTCGGCAGCCGGCCTCGGAGCTGCTGCCGCGTTCGCCCCGAGGCAGGTCAACTACCCCGGGCGGGGAGCGGCGGGGAGCACCGAGAGGGGCCTCGGTTGCCATGGCGCTGGGCGGGGAAGGGGCGACTCGGGCCCCGCCCAGAGCCCCGCGGGGCCGCCGGCTCCAGATGGTCCCGGGCCTCCCGCGGGAGCCGGCGGCCTGCGGCAGGGGGAGGCTATTGTCCTCCTTCCGCGGCGCCGCAGTCCCGCCGCTCGCGCCCGCGCGCCGCCGCCACGCGCCCCGCCGCCGCCCGCCCCGCGCGCCCCCCGCGCCGCCTGCGCCCCGTGACAGCGCCCGCCCGCCGCCCGCCGTGCGCCCGGCCGCTGCCTGCAACCGCCCGTCGCGGCCGGGCTGCAGGCGCGGCAACTACCGGTGCGCCCCCGCCCGCCGCGCCCCCGCCCGCCCGGCCGCGGCTCCGCGCCGAGGTAGGTGCCGGCGCCCCGCCCGCTTTGTCCCGGCCCGCGGGGCGGCGCGCTTTGTCCGGCCGCGTGCGGTCGGCGGGGTCGGGGTCGGGGTCGGGGTCGGGTCCCGGCGGCCGGGGTGAGCCGGGGCGGGAGCAGGCGGGGACGGGACGGAGAGGGTCCCGTGCCAGCCACACAGGTACCGGGATGAGGGCGGTGGGGGCCAAGGCCGAGGGGGGGGGACTCGGGCCTCTCTGGAGCCGGGAGAAGAGTCTGGAACAGTTAGGGCTGACGGACACGTTCGCGGCGAGGCTGGGAGCGGGTCTGACAGCGCCGGCCCCTCGCGTCGCCGGGGCTGCGGGGCGGACGGGCCGGCGCCGGGCCAGGTGCTGGGGGCGCGCTCGGCCGCCTCTGCCCGGCGGACTGCGGGAGCCGGGCTCCCTCCTCCCCGGAGCCGCGTGGGCTCCTCCTCGCCTCTTTGGCAGCTGGCTCCACGCGCTCCCTTCTGTTCCCCCACAGTGTGTGGGAGAGGGGCACGCGGTTGGCTGTGGTGGCCGGAACTGGCCCGGGGAGAAAGCAGACGCTTCGGGCGGCGGGGAAGCGGCCGCGTGCGGCGTTTCTGTGGCCAGGAAGCTGATAGGGCTGTGCGGTCCGCCCCGCACGGAACTACCCAGCAAGGCCTGCTCGCGGGGGTGTTCCGGCTCCGGTGCCACAGTCGTGATTTACCTTCCACTCGCTTGGAACTTTACCCCATTGACCCCAGGACATTGCATGCTTGTGTGAGGTGCAGGTTTGCCCCGGTCTTAACCTGCTACATGTCGTCTGCCCTCCCCCTCTCGGAGCAGCCACAGTTCCAACGCTGGAGAGCCCGGGGGTTTCAGGTATGGGCAGAGGTAGCAACAAACCAGTTTTCCTTGAAGGTGAAGAGGGGCAGAGTGAGTTCCAAATATGTGTCTTAGCTTGAGGTGTGGGGCAACCTCTTGGCTTATTCAGAAAGGCAAAGGATTGGCCGAGGAGAAGATAGGATGGAGTTTACATTCTTCCCTTAGAGAAATTGATGTGACCCCGGGTTGGGGAAGGGAGATAGCAAGGGAGTGAAGAATCTGAATATTTGAATAAATCTGCCATAACTGGAGGATTCTAGAAGAGAAAATAAAATTTCAGTCCCCCTCTTCAGCCCAGTTCCTAACTTCCTCCGAGGGAATTGATCAGGAACACAGTCTGAGAGGTGGGTCGGGGTTTTGCTGTTCCTTCCTTCTGCCCTGGGCCCATCTTTCTCTTGCCTTCCTGGAGGCCCTGAGCTGATTTGTGACTTCTTTTTCGTTTTATCTCTCTGCCAGTCCACCCATTTATACTTAGAAGCAAATAAGATTTGAACTTTGCCAAAGTCCCCATTTCTTCTAATCTATTATTCATCTCACTGTCATTTGTTCAACTCTGCCTTCCCGTGACTTCTCTAGCTCTGCCGTTCTCCTCCCGCATATCTGCGGTTCGCTGTGCTGTTTCTTTCATTACCTGTGGTACCTACTCCATCTTCATCTTCCTCTCCCATCGCCTGAGCTCCTGAGGGGAAGTGATATTTGAGTTTAGTGTGGGGTAGGGCCTGAGCAGACCTAGAAGCTAACCCTGGGTCACACTCACCCCTGAAACTTTGTGTCTTCTCAACACTCATGGCTCCTCTAACCAATTCCAGCTGCTTCTCATCTTTGGACAAGGGTGGCCCTCAAAGTGTGGTCCCCAGACCATTAGCTTCAGTGTCACCCGGGAACAGGTTAGAAATGCACATTCCCAGGTACCACCCCAGAAGTACTGAATCGTAAACTGGGGGATGGGGGGGTGACCTGTGATTTAACAGTCCTCCAGGTTGTTGTGATTCATGGAAGTTTGAGAATCCCCAGACCTGAGCTGTTGAGCTCAACCCTGAAAGTATTCCAGCCCAGGAGCAGGTCTTCTCCAATCCCGTGTTCATTCTTTCCTTGAGCTTCTCTCTAGTCCTAAGAAAGACATTAATTCCATGGCCAAAAAAAATGAATTATAGTCAAGTCATTCAATATCTCTTTATTGAATATCTGTTGTACTGAGTCTGGAAAAACACCAAAACGAGTAAGACAGCCCTTGTCCTCAATGAGTTAAATGTGGAGCGGGCAGAGAGACACGTAAACAACTAACCGTAATGCGATGTGATAAGTACAATACTAGCTGCATGCCGAAGTGCCCTGGAAGCACAGAGGAGGGAATGATCAACTCTGAGGGAGGGAAATAATTCATCAGGAGCAGGATGTGGTGAGAGGAAGAATTAGGATACAAGGCAGCCTGTAGCCCAGGGTATAGGATTTCTAGCTTAACATGTCAGCTGAAAGAGAGGAAAACTGCCCTGGAGGATCGGCACGGTGAGCCTAGTCTGCCTCCAGCAGCGCCTGGAGTACATTCCAGCAGGACCCCAAGCCTGCAGCCGGCGGGGGTTGGCATTCTTCTAGCACTAACAGTGTAAGCTACTTGGGCCTGGCCTTGAGGTCAATTGCTAAGAATAAGGTATGATGAGACTGTAATCTGGATTAGCTACTGCACCACCCTATTGCCAGACTTCAGGAATCTGTGGAAGAGAGGACGATTGAGGATTCTCCAGCTTCCTCATGACAGGGGGTCATGAAGCTGGGGGGCTGCTGGCCGACTGAGGAAATGTGAGCATGGAGACCCTGGTCATAGGTGAGGAATGATCTACTCAGTGGCAAGAAACCAGCGCTGGATATGTGTAGGAGAAAAGCAAATAGAAATCAGTGGGAATCTAGAGATGGCAGCAGGGGACACAAGCTGAGAACACAGCATATTGTCCAAAAGGCCAGGGAGCTACAGAGCCAGAATGCTTGGAAACCAAGACCTAGAGACACAAAGGTAGCAGAGCCTCAGAGCCACATGCTGAACAATGCCAGAGAGCACCATTCACATGGAAGGCTGTGGAGTTGCAACATGGTGGCCCTGTGGGGGTCTGTGATCTAAGGACACCAGTGCCAGCTTGGTTCCTGATCCATATCACAGCATTTCTGGAAACTCAGAACACACAGCATGCATGCTTCAAATTCAATTTGGAGAGAGGAGCATTTAAGTGGCTGAGGTTTTATTTGGGGGAAGAGGAGGTTCTAGCTCCATACTTTCTCCTGGTAATGGTAGGAATCCGCAGAGACATTCTAACAGTTGGACTTCCCTGGAGGGTCTGGCTCCCAGTTGGGCCCCTTTGTAACTTTAACAAAACCCCCAATTCTGCATTTCTCCTGAGCCCTACTTCCTACCACCAGGGCTGTGGTCTTGGCAGTCTCTGGTTCTGGAAAGGAAGGAGGTATGGAGAAGAGAGAAGTGATGGGTGGTGAGACTCGGGTAGGTAGGGAGGTGTGTGCCCATGGACACACAAAGGCAGAACCTTTCTGGCTTCCATCATTAACTGGTTCCATGAAGCTGAACCTGACCTGCTTGAAGGCCAGGGTTGTCTGCCCCTCCCCTTGGGAGGACCAAGTTGGATCCCCAAAGATAAGCCTAAGCAGTCCATGTTTAGGTTCTGTGCAGCTTACAGGGGCCTCAGAGCTACTGTGGTTTGGAGACAGGGTCAGATGGTTAGCTTCTTTGAGTTTCTGCTCTTTGTGGAGTACAAAAATATGAGGCAGGGTTTGCAAACCTCAACAGTTGGGGCCAGGCAGGTAACATAGATATGTGAAGTGGCTGAGTCTGTAGACCCATCTAAAGGAATCCAAATCAGTCTTTTTTTTTTTCTGAGACAAATTTCACTCTGTCATCCAGGCTGGAGTGCAATGGCGCAATCTTGGCTCACTGCAACCTCCACCTCCTGGGTTCAAGCAATTTGACAGCCTCAGCCTCCCGAGTAGCTGGAACTACAGGCACCTGCCACCATGCCCAGCTGATTTTTTGTATTTTTAGTAGAGACGGGGGTTTCGCCTTGTTGGCCAGGCTGCTGTCGAACTCCTGACCTCAGGTGATCTGCCCACCTTGGCCTCCCAAAGTGCTGGGATTACAGGCGTGAGCCTCCGCACCCGGCCAAAAAATCAGTCATTTAAAAATAGCTTATTGGCCCAGCAAAACACTCCTGGGGGCTAGCCTTGGTAAGTTTGTGACTCCTAGTAAGGGGTCATGGAAACCGAAGCGGGGGCAGGGTGGAACTTGGGTGTAGGCATTTTTGTGGGCAGGTCTGTGCAGAGAGAGTTTGAGTGCTGGAGATGTCCATCCCAGAGCTGAGCTTAAGTGTGGCTGCTGGTTAGGAAGCACTAATCTGAGAGGCCGAGAGAAATGGAATTACACTTGGTCCTGAGGTGTGGACTACTTTCCCGTCTAGAAGCTGAGAGTATTAGGTGACGCTAGTTCAGGTCATGCCTTGCCCACAGCACTCTTTACTCAGGGTGATTCAACTCTGCCCTAGAATATATTTTTATATAAATATTTACAGAACAAATCCAGAGAATCTGTGGGGAGAAATGGTGGATTTTGAATGAGAAGAGTCCTAGGCCTCGTAGAAATTAAGCTCCCTTTCCTTCTACAGGGAATTAAAGCCCAAATCTACAAGCCTTAGACCTTAGCTCTCTTGCATCTCATTAATGCTCCTCCCAAGAAAAATCTTTGTGCACATTTTCTCTTTAGGAGAAAGGGGAGGGGCAGACAACCCTGACCTTCAAGTAGGTCAGGTTCAGCTTCATGGAATCAGTTAATGATGGAAGCCAGGTTCTGCCTTTGTGTGCCCATGAGTCTCACCACCTACCTGAGTCTCACCACCCAGCACTTCTCTATTCTCCAGACCTCCTTCCTTCCAGAACCCGAGACTACCGAGACTACAGCCCTGGTCCTAGGAAGTAGGGCTAGGAGAAATGCAAAATTGGGGGTTTTGTTAAAGTTACAGACCCAGTCCCCTCCTCCTCTCTTGAATGCTGCTGAATGCTAAATTACACAAGAACTTTGGACAGTAGAGGTTTTTTTTTTTTTATCCCCAGCAGATATTCTGAACCTCATTTTTTAGTTTTGAGGACAGAGTGTGTTTGCGTAAGTTAGAGCCGTAAGTAGTGCTGGTCCACATTTCCCCAGCCTGGGCCCTAGGCAGGAGCCACGGCTGCTCATCCGTCTGGGATGAGCCTCTAAGACGGTTGAGGAACCTGTGTATGTTCTATGTTCAAGAGGCTGCGATTAAGAGCGTGTCCCCCAGAGTCAGAAAGAACTTTTCAAAACCCGGCACTGTTTCTTCCGGCTGCGTGACCTTGAACCAGTAACTTAATGTCTTTTTTTTTTTTTTTTTTTTTTGAGGCAGAATCTCACTCTCTCTCGCAGGCTGGAGTGCAGTGGTGCAATCTCAGCTCACTGCAGCCTCCACCTCCTGGTTTCAAGTGATTCTCCTGTCTCAGCCTCCCCGGTAGCTAGGACTACAGTCGTGTGCTACCACGCCCAGCTAATTTTGTATTTTTAGTAGAGATGGAGTTTTACCATGTTGGCCAGGCTGGTCTCAAACTCCTGACCTCAGGTGAGCCACCCGCCTTGGCCTCCTAAAAGTGCTGGGATTACAGGTGTGAGCCAATGCCCCCAGCCAACTTAATGTCTTTTTTTTTTTTTTTTTTTTTTTTGAGACAGAGTCTCATTCTGCCGCCCAGGCTGGAGTGCAATGGCGAGATCTCGGCTCACTGCAAGCTCCGCCTCCTGGGTTCACGCCATTCTCCTGCCTCAGCCTCCCGAGTAGCTGGGACTACAGGCACCCACCACCACACCCAGCTAATTTTTTGTATTTTTTAGTAGAGACGGGGTTTCACCGTGTTAGCCAGGGATGGTCTCGATCTCCTGACCTTGTGATCCGCCCGCCTTGGCCTCCCAAAGTGCTGGGATTACAGGCGTGAGACACCGCGCCCAGCCAACTTAATATCTTTTGTGCAGCTTCCTCATCTATGAAATGGGGACAACAGTGGGCCCTCACCCCACAGGGAGTTATGGTGACGTGATGCATGTCAATGGCAGGGATATGTCACAGCCGACATTTATTGAGTACTTACTAACATTCTCTGTGGCAAACCAAAGGAAACAAAGCGGAGAGAAGCATACTGTGTCCTCCTTTGAACTCCTGGGCACTTGCTAAACAGTGTGTCAGTCTTCCTGGCGTATCATAACTTTTTCTTAACTCAAGAGCAGAATCTAGGTCTTTTTTTTTTTCTACTAGTCTCGCTCTAAGGTGCGCCCAGGTTCAAGCAATAATCCTGCTTCAGCCTCCTGAGTAGCTGGGATTACAGGCGCCTGCCACTACGCCCAGCTAATTTTTTGTATTTTTAGTAGAGATAGGGTTTCACCATGTTGGTCAGGCTGGTCTTGAACTTCTGACCTCAGGTGATCCACCCACCTCGGCCTCCCAAAGTGCTGTGATTACAGGCGTGAGCCACCGCGCCCAACAAATCTGGGTCTTTTTCTCTCAACTTGCCTACAGGGTATAGTAGGCCATCTTGGGTTGATCATGGGCTCAAAACAGTTTGTAGAAGGAAAGAATGCCACTTTCTAGTCATTATTGCCTGTGGGGCCCCATATGTGCTGCCTGCATTACCCTGGGCTGCACACTGCTGTCTGAAGCACTGAAGCCCATCACCCCTTTCTTCACCCCGCAAACCCGTCCCTCTCTGGCCCGAAGTCGTTGGAGCCTTTCCTGACCACCGCATTGCTCTGAGCTGCTGCTGCCTTCCTGCTTCACTTTCTGTGCTTCTGATGTATTCCCGTCCCCAGGCTTCCCAGGTGGCTTCCCCTCTTCCCCTGGGGGCTGATTTCCACTGAGCAGCCAACCGCAGCCTCTGGCCACAAGGAGAGCGGAGCACAGGTAGGGCAAGAAGACAGAAGGCCCCGGTGGTGAGTGGAGGGCTTGGTGGTCCCTGGACACCCCTCACTGGCCACATTCTCCTTGCAGGAGCAGGAAGCCGCCTACCACCATGAGCAGCACGCTGTCACCCACAGACTTTGACAGCTTGGAAATCCAGGGCCAGTACAGTGACATCAACAACCGCTGGGACCTTCCTGACTCGGACTGGGACAATGACAGCAGCTCGGCCCGCCTCTTTGAGAGGTCTCGCATTAAGGCTCTGGCAGGTGAGGTCAGAGGAGGGTCGAGGTGGGGGGATGCTGGAGGAGGCTTTGTCAGCTCGTCATGAAGAGCCCTTTAACTTTATGGGAAGACTGACTTTTCTTTCTAAGTGGGAGACCCAGAGCACTCTATCAATTCCCTGGTCCCCACATCCAGCCTCAAGAATAGGCTCCAGGCCATTCAGAACTTTCCCCAGCTCTTCCCCCCAAGCATAGAGACGCTTCACTGGCCCCTGGACTGGCTGAGCTGACTAAAACAGCTTCCCTCTCTGGCCTCAGCCCCCGGGTCATGTCCCTTCATCCTTCGGCACTCTCGCTCTTGCCACTCCTTTCTCCGCCTACCTCTCCCTTACCTGTCATGCCCTTGTTGTGTCTTCTTTGATTTCCACTGTCATTTCCCACACCTGTTCCCAGTCTATTATTCCCCTCTGCTCCCTCTCCACCTGTTCCTTCCACCTGCCACCTGTTACTCCCATTATCTCATCTGCCTGTTCCCTGAAGCAGGTTCCCTCCACCCGCTGCTGCTGGTTTCTGCAGCCGCCCATTCTCCCTGGTGTGCTCTCTGCCTGCCTTGGCTCCTACTCTTCCCTGCAGCCCAGGGCCTGGGCTCTCCGCTCTGAGCGGAAACTCGTCCAACGGCCTCCCTGTCTTCCGGGGGAGGAGTTGTCATGGCAACAAGAGTGCGGCTGCCACCTGACACCACCAGTGGCTGGCATGGGGCTGACTCACCCACACACCCCAAGGCCACCTACCCCGTCTGGCTTCCTCCTCCATCCCACTCTTGTCATTGCCATTGACCTGCTGGCTGCCCAGCCCAGCCCAACCCAACCCAGTCTGAGGGGTCCCAGCTACTCTCACCGAGAGGTGGTGCTCCGAGTGGGGGTGGGGGTTGGCCACTAGAAGAAGAGAGACTCCAAGGGGGAGGTTCCCAAACCTGGCCACATGTTTTACAGGATCACCCAGGGATGTTTTTTACAAATACAGGTTTCCAAGCCCCTCCCTAGACACAATAAGTTAGAATCTTGGTCCAGAACTCAGGATTTTTCAAAAGCTCCCCAAGTGATTCTTTTGAGCCAGCTCAGCACCAGTCTGAGGACCCCCTTGTGGCAGCCATAGCTTCCCAGGACCCCTTCTCATTTTCTCCTGGGCCTCTCTGTCCTTCTGGTTGGGTCTTCAGGCCGGCTGTGAAACACTCCTACCAGTGTGTCTATACATCAGAGAAGACAGAAGGTGTGGGTTATGGAGAATGTCATGTTTGGGGAAAATGTTCCTGGCACTCTGGTTTTGGATTCATGTAGCCTCTAGAACTGTCATGATGTCTATGTGTGTACAACATGTGCCACCCACCATGTTTGCACACATGACAAATGCCATCCAGGACTGTCACCATGCCTGTGTACATAGGACACATGCCTCCCAGGACTCTCACCATGCCTGTGTACATAGGACACATGCCACCCAGGACTGTCACCATGTCTGGCTGCACATAACTTGGGCCACCCAGCACTGTCACCATGTCTGTGCACACATCTGTGTGACCTCGTGCTCTCATTGGGTGTTTATCTCCACCACTGAACTGGGCTCTCCTGAAGAGGCAGCTCTGCATGGGATTTGCCTAGCACTGTGTCTCCAGCCAGTAGGTGTCAAATAAACACTGAATGAATGAAGATGAGGAAGGGCAAGTGTAGGCTGCACATGACAAACGCTGAAGCCCAGAGGAAGGGCGCCTGGTATATGTGCCCAGCAGCGGGGCGTCTGGGGGCAGGGATGGCCTGGTGGAGGATGGCCCTGGTGGGCCAGAGGGCAGGGAAGGGGCTGGCACTGGAGGTGGTGATAAGCAAGTGGAAAGGATGGTAACAGCCCTCGTTTCACAGATGAGGGAGTGAAGGAAAATGCCTCGCACAGTGCCTGGCTTTTCCTCTTTGAGGATTTCCTCGTTTCCAGATTTCTCTTTGTCTGTTTCTGAGCTGGGGCTCAAAGCCCACACATCCTGGAGAAGGACCTCCCAGAGTCACCCAGAGAGGGGTCGCCCTCGCTGTTCCTGCAAACCTCTGGGAAACAGGAGTTTGCATTGGGGGCCCCTCTCGTGGGTCCTGTGCATTGTTAGGTAACTTGGGGCCTGATGGGCGGGTCTTGAAGGCGCTGGCAGTGCCCTCCTCCGCCGCCCCGCAGGGCCTGGCCCTGCCCCCGCCGGCCACACTCCGCCTCTCTCCCCTCCCCAACACTGTCCAACCTGTTTGTCTGGAGCCGCCTGTCTCCTCTCACCGCAGCCAGGCGTGCCCCCACTCTCTGTCTCAGGAGTTCGGGACACCCCGTAACTCTTTTTGCCACTCCTTGAAATTCCCACCATTCTTGAATCCCCTGACGCTGGACTCCAGCCTGAGGTTCCACTGGGGAACAGAAACTGGCCCCCTGCCAGCGGGGAGCATGGACTCTGGGCCCTGGGCTCTGTAACTAGCAGCTGGCAGCATGAATGGGAACGGAGTGAGCAGGGTGCACGGGAACGGCCTGCATGAGGCCAGCGAGTTTTACTATGAGGCTGTGGAAGGGGCCCACAACCCCGGGGGCCTCCTGCTTTCACCAGCTGCTTTCATCAACCCTGCTCAGTATGCCAGCGTGCTGGAAGGACGCTTCAAACAGCTGCAAGGTGAGGCCCGGGGGCCCCCTGTGGGGACGACTGTGCCTGGGCGAGAGGGACCTGGGTGTGGGGAGAGTGGCCGGAGCTGAGGACCTGGCACAGGACACAGTGTGACTCCAGTGTTTGTGTTGGGAGACAACGTGATGCAGCTTAGAGGGGATAATTACAAGAGGCCGGAAAATACACAGATGTCAACGGAATGGGGAAAGGCTTGGACCTGCTGGCAGGGACCGTGTATGATGGCATGGGTGGGTGTGACTGCCGGGCCTTGGGGTGCTGCATGGAGCAAAGGCAACTAGCCATGGAGGGCGTGGGGGTGCCAGCACCTGGGGAGGCGCCAGCAGTGCCTCTGAGGTGGATCCGGATCTGGCGGTGGAGCGCTGGCCAGGACAGTTAGGGGAGGCGGAGGGGTGAGCCAGGCCCAGGGACCTGGAGATTGTGTTTTCCAGGCCTCTGAGCGTGTGTCTGAATGTGTACACGGGGGCAGTGTGTGTGGAAGCAAAGGGAGTGTCTCGAAGGAGAGGATCTGTGCAAACAGGCCCAGGTAGATGTCTGCGCAGGTGTGTGTTCACTCTGGCACAAGTGCTTAGGTGTGTTTTTGGGAATCACTGTTGTGTGTGTGTGTGTAAGGATCTAGGGATGCTGTGGGCGTCTTGTGACGTGACACTTGGTTTCTGGTGCTTGGCTTTGCCCATTTTCCTCCTAGTTGCCACTAATTCTGTGTCTTCTGACTGTGTGCCAAAATGGCCTCACCCCAGGGTGCCCAGCAGTAGGGCAGTGCCCCTGGATCCAGCAATGGCCTGTGACCCACGCTCCTCCTGGCTCAGATGGGGCCTGTAGACCTGCCGGGAGGCCCCAAGGCACCTTGGTTTCATGGGTGCTGGGGAGCATGGGGCCGTCCCATGTTATTAGGACCCCAGGTTTGGTGCCAGTATAGTGGCTGGAGGTGAAAGACACGGAGCGACGTGGGTGTGTTGCTGTGTCTTATGGGTGAGGTGCTTAGGAATGTGAGATTAAGGGATGAGTCTTTCCGGTTTCTGAGATGCTGGTGCTGAGACGGAAGCAAAAGTGACTCTTCAGACCCCAGCCACTTGGGTTGGGTCCTTGCACAGGGCTCTCTGTGGGAAAGTGGCAGAAATCCTCATCACCAGAGCAGTTTCTGATGCTTTCACTTTGTCACTTAGAACGTTCTTAATTTTTATTTTCCTACGGAACCTAGTATTTACTTCCCCTCTTCAGTAGCTCCCCTCCCCTGTGGGCTGGGCAGCAGGGCATTGCCTAACTTTTTTTTGAGATTGGTACCTAACTCTGCCTGGCTTTTTTTCCCCCATGTTTCCTGGCCTCACTGTTTTCCCAGTTCCCAACTCTCAACATCTTGTTCTTCTAAGCAATGGGGTGTTTATGTCCTGGAACTGGATCCCCTTGCAGCCAGCTGAATGTACTGTCCCCAACCCCCAGAAGCAGAGGAGCCTGCCTTTTCTTTAAGTTATCCAAGGACAGTAAGCTGACTCAGGAGGCCTGCAGCCTCTATACCATCAAGTCCTAATGACCGCTTGGAAGAGCCGCTGCAATAATTTTAGCCCACACCTTCTCCTTTGTCTGCAACCAAAAGAGAACAGCCATACCTCCCACCGGCCTGGGCAGCTCTTGCTCTCCTTCGGGCCAGATCACACCACTTTATAACAGCAGCTCACCAAGGAGCCATTTTGTGCCAGGCACCAACTAGTTGTTTTATATACCTTATCTCATTTAATCAACACAATGACCTGTTGAAGTAGAAAGTGATGTTCCCATTTTACAGATGAGACATTGGGGCTCTGATGAATGAAGTCACTTGACCAGCATTCCACTGCTTCCACGACTGCCCCATCCCAGCCCCTCCCTGCATGTCCCATGGTTTCTGAGGATGAAAGGTCTTCATCCTTTCTTCTCAAAGCCTATTTTCTTTTCTTTTCTTTTCTTTTTTTTTTTTGAGACGGAGTCTTGCTCTGTCGCCCAGGCTGGAGTGCAGTGGCACAATCTCGGCTCCCTGCAAGCTCCCCCTCCCAGGTTCACGTCAGTCTGCCTCAGCCTCCCGAGTAGCTGGGACTACAGGCGCCCGCCACTATGCCCGGCTAATTTTTTGTAATTTTAGTAGAGACGGGGTTTCACCGTGTTAGCCAGGATGGTCTCGATCTCCTGACCTTGTGATCCGCCCGCCTTGGCTTCCCAAAGTGCTGGGATTACAGGCATGAGCCACCACACCCAACCTTCGCCTATTTTCTGTCTTTCATCTTTCTTCTTTACCTTGCTTATGAGCTCATTGCAAGTTACGGGCTTTCCTCCCGGTCATCTTCCTTCCCTTCCTCCTCCTTAGAGGACCCCGCTTCCCATCTCTCAGGCTTCTCCATCCCCCACCCCTGCCAACTGGTGTTTAGAAGCAGGCATACTGAACTCGAGGGACAGAAATAAACCCATGTTGCCACCACAGATGAACGAGAAGCTGTGCAGAAGAAAACCTTCACCAAGTGGGTAAACTCGCACCTGGCCCGGGTCACGTGCCGGGTGGGGGACCTGTACAGCGACCTCCGGGACGGACGCAACCTGCTGAGGCTCCTCGAGGTGCTCTCGGGAGAGATACTGGTGAGCTGTGGTCATGAAGGGAAGTGGGGGGGCCTTAGAAAAGTGTCCAAGGGGACCAGCTGGAAGAACAGCCCTCAGAGAGAGTGACGGCACAGGGCGGGAAGCAGTGGCTCCCTCTGCTCAGAGGATGGGTTCATTTCAAGTGCCTTTGCCACTTAGATTACATAGGAGCATTGCTTCATGGAGACAGGAACAGTGGCCCCATTGAAAACATTTCTTTTCCCACCTACTCTGGGTGCAATTAATTCCCTTGGGAATCTTAATCTGCCCAAGCCTCATCTGTAAGCTCAGCTTTGGCTCCAGCCCTGGGGCTGTGCCTGTCTGTGTTCCTGAGGTAGGTCATGGGGAAGGTGTGCAAAGCTGGGCCCTGTGAAGGCTGGGGAAGAAGGTGGAAGCCCACAGTCCCGTGCCATTTTGCCCCCGTCCCTCCACAGCCAAAGCCTACAAAGGGCCGCATGCGGATCCACTGCCTGGAGAACGTGGACAAGGCACTGCAGTTCCTCAAGGAGCAGAAAGTGCACTTGGAAAACATGGGCTCCCATGACATTGTGGACGGAAACCACCGACTGACCCTTGGGCTGGTCTGGACCATCATCCTTCGATTCCAGGTACCCCAGCACACTGTCACACAGGGTGTGGTTCCTGCCCTGGCTCTGCACCGCAAGCCGTTCCTGCTGGCCCATGACACAACAAACACAAAGATGGAGGATCTAGAACCTTATGTAGCAGCTGCCATGGCGGCGCTATCCAAGCACCAGATCAGTGGACTCCCCTCTTTCAGCAGGGTAGAAACCAGCTTGGGTGAATGTCACACCCCTGTGGCAAATTCCCTGTGTTCTGGTCTGTGTGTTGGTCGTGTGCAATGGGACCAGGACCACAGGTTGGTCCACAGGAGACTGGAAGTTTTACCAACTGGTCCTTCACCACAGGGATTTGGGAACTTCTAGAGGGTCTGGTCACTGGCACCAATTCCCTGCCATAAACTCTGCCTGCCTCCCCCAATGGAACAGTCACCCTCCTCCTCCTCATGCCCCAGTGTCCTCATGCCATCACAGCGTTCCTGATCACCCCCTTCCTTCCCGGGTTCTGTCGGCTTCACCTTGGAGAGCCAGCTTTTAGAGACCTTGGAGAGCCAGCTCTCAGAAAATGTTCACTCTTCTGCCTGCAGTTCCCCACCTGGAGGGACCAGCACCCTCCACTCAGACACACCCATTCTTCAGCATCCTACCCTAATCTGCTGCCTCAAATCCCTTGCACCCAGTGTTTTGTGGTCCCTGGCCTAGGTTGAAAGGACCTCAGGCTATGCCTGTCCACCCCATTACCACAGTCTAAAGAGCAGTTTCCTGCCATTTATCTGAGCATCTCTGATAACACCAGGAGTTCCTGTCCAGGGACTGAGGGCCCTGCTTGCTTCCTTCCTAGATCCAAGACATCAGTGTGGAGACAGAAGACAACAAGGAGAAGAAGTCAGCCAAGGATGCCCTGCTTCTGTGGTGCCAGATGAAGACTGCAGGGTGAGGACACCCTGGGCGTGTGGCACTGGAGGGTCAGTGACCCCCAGGCTGTGCTGGGCTCCAGGAACCATGAGCTGGTGACTGCCCTGGAGTCATAGAACAGAGCTCAGCCCTACTCACCATTTTCTGAATCTCTGTTTATAGTTATCCCAACGTCAATGTACACAACTTCACCACCAGCTGGAGAGATGGACTAGCTTTCAACGCCATCGTGCATAAACACCGGTGAGAAGATGGGGTTAGCAAACGCAGCAGAGCTGCTGGGTCGGCTAATGACCTGGGGTGCACATGTGGAGACAGAGATGAGATGAGCTGCACAGCAGTCAGACGGAAGGAATAGCACTCGGAGCAGAACCAGAACATGGGGGTGCAGGGCTGCGCAGAGCACTTGTGATGGGAAGCAGGGGAGGTGGTGTGGGGAGGGGCTGTGAGCAGCAGTGTGGGTTTGGGATGCCTACTTCTGGACAAAATTGGGTCGGTGACTTAGGGATAAAGATTGGTGTGGGTTTCCTCTTCCTCTTCGAGATCTCACATGTTTCTGATCCCTTCTGTCTTGCCTCCCCACCCAGGCCAGACCTGCTGGATTTTGAGTCTCTGAAGAAGTGTAATGCACACTATAATCTGCAGAATGCATTCAATCTGGCTGAAAAGGAACTGGGACTTACCAAGCTGCTGGATCCCGAAGGTGGGGCCAGAGCTATGTGAAAAAGAGGTGGTAGGGTAGAGACAGGAGGTGGACCAGTGGTTGCCAGGGGCTGCGGAGGGGGAAGACATGGAGTAACCACCAACTGATACAGGGGCTTCTTTGGTGGGGGAAGAGAATGTTCTGGAATTAGAAAGTGGTGATGGTTACACAACCTTGTAAATATACTGAAAAACACGTGGTTGCTCACACCCAGCACTTTGGGAGGCCAAGGCAGGAGGATCACTTGAGCCTAGGAGTTTGGTACCAGCCTGGGCAACATAGTGAGACCCCATGACTACCCCTCCCCCCCAAAAAAAATATATATCTTTACACTGAAAACCACTGAATTATATACATTGAAAGGTTGAATTTTATGGTGTGACAATCATTTCTCAGGTTTTTTTTTTTTTTAACAAAAGACTGTAGGTAGGAAGAAAGGCAGCCCAGTGACAGAAAGAGCCCTGGACTGTGGGTTGTGTCCCAGGCAGAGCACAGAGGAGCTCTGTGACATACAGCCAGTGGCTAGCCTCTCTGTGGCTCAGTTTCCTCATGTCTTAAAAGAGAGAATTGGTCTCTAAGGGCTCTTCTGAAATTCTAGGATTCTAAATTAAGCTACATGTTGCTGGCCACGGTGGTACCTGCCTATAGTCCTAGCTGCTAGTGAGGCTGAGGCGAGAGGATCACTTGAGCCCAGGAGTTCTAGGCTGCAGTGGGTTATGCTGATTGGATATCTACACTAAATTCAGCACTGGTGACCTCCTGGGAGCAGGGGACCAGCAGGTTACCTAAGGAGGACTGAACCAGTCCAGGTCAGAATGGAGCAGGTCAAAACTCCCACACTGATCAGTAGTGGGATCACACCTGTCAATAGCCACAGTACTCCAGCTTGGGCAACAGCGAGACCCATCTCTATTTTTTTAAAACAAATTTTTAAGAAAAAAAATTAAGCTGCATGACCTTCCACTCTCACCCAGAACTGGCCTGTAGTCAGCTGACCTTGCTGATTGGTTCCTGTGGTTCTGGTCATAATGCCGATGAGATCGATGAGATCAGTAACAGCCACTGGGCTCTTTTTTTTTTTTTTGAGACGGAGTCTCACTCTGTTGCCCAGACTGGAGTGCAATGGCGCGATCTCGGCTCACTGCAACCTCCGCCTCCTGGGTTCAAGCAATTCTCCTGCCTCAGCCTCTTGAGTAGCTGAGATTACAGGCGCATCCCACCACGCCCGGCTAATTTTTGTATTTTTAGTAGAGACAGGGTTTCACCATGTTGGTCAGGCTGGTCTCTAACTCCTGACCTCGTGGTCCGCCCACCTCGGCCTCCCAATGCGCTGTGATAACAGGTGTGAGCCCCCGCGCCTGACTGCGATTAGGCTCTTATTTGATACCTGGTTCTGCACTTGATGTGTTTTAATCTTCACAACACCCCTTTGAAATCAGTACTGTTGTTATCCTCAGTTTATGGAAGAGAAGATGGGGGCCTATAATGGGTAAGCAACTTGCCCAGGTCCTCCGGCAGATGGAGCTGAGATTGGCGTTCAGGCAGCCTGGCTCCAGAGCCTGTTTCCTCCGCTGCCTCTGGGAAAGTGGAGACCAATCTTGGTGCAACCAGAACAGGGAGGAGAGAAAGGCTCGCCTGCTGGAGGTGCTCCTTAAGTTCACTGGGTGGATGTTCACTGGTCTTGGCCATTTTCTCCCTGTTTTCCATTCTACCTGTAGCCCTATCACCTGGGCCTTTTTACTGCAGAATGACAAGTGTCAGCGAGCTAGCAACAGACATAGGCTTCATGCAGTGCTCCTTGGAGAGCCTCTGGGTAGCATGGCTGTAATTCAGAACCTGGAAATAAAGCTAAGCATTCTGTAACTTTCCGAGATGACTTCAGTGGCTCCTGCCTGCCCATGTATTTCCAGAAATAGGCAAGAGGCTTCTGGTCTCATAGTCTTACCTTTAGGATAAAATCTGGCCTATTTAAAAGAACCCACAGATTTCAAGTTATGGTCAGCCTCAGTTGTGCGCTGGAAGCCAATTCGGCTTGAAAGACACTCCCCTCCTTGGGCCCACAGCTGAGCTTTAGGATTGAGGTTAGAAACGGCGTGATCACACCTGGAGATGGTGCTGAGAGCTGGCCTCTGTCCCCACTGAGCTGCAGGGATCACAGGGCCCATCGATCTGAGCATCCTAGGTTCAGGAGGCTTAGTTCATACCTTCCGTCCCACTGCCCCTCAATCCATTGACTTCTTAAACATTATTCTAGCCTAAAAGTCCATGATCCATCCCCACATAGCAATGCTGTTTCTTTTCTTGCTTTTCTTCCCCAAACAACTGATTTTGGTCTCCACGGGGAACTCTGGGTAAAAGCTTCCTTGTGCTTCTGGGGTTTGTGCTCTGCTTGGAGGGCCCTTCTTGTTTCCAGGAGAAGGGGAAAAAAAGATGAGCTTTTTGGTGCCCTTTTCATTTGAATGGGTAAGTTGTCATTTTGCTCTAAAAGGAGATGGAGAGATGTCAGCCTTGGAGGACTGGGCAGGCCCAGGGTTTGGGGTAAGTGATGCAAGTTATGGATGAACTTCTGGGAGGCCTGACCCAAATGGTCCTCTCTTGCAGACGTGAATGTGGACCAGCCAGATGAGAAGTCAATCATTACCTATGTGGCTACTTACTACCATTACTTCTCCAAGATGAAGGCCCTGGCCGTGGAAGGCAAGAGAATTGGCAAGGTACTGTCCATGGGCAGTAGGCATAAAGGCCAGAGGAGGCCCGGCTGAGGGGTCTTACTGCCCTAGTGCAAGGGCAGGGTGGAGCTGCAGGACTGGGCCAGGGACCCTGTGGCTGGGACTGTCACGTCCCTGTCTTCTGCCTCCCAGGTGCTGGACCATGCCATGGAGGCAGAGCGCCTGGTGGAGAAATACGAGTCCCTGGCCTCGGAGCTGCTGCAGTGGATCGAGCAAACGATCGTGACCCTCAATGACCGGCAGTTGGCCAACTCCCTTAGCGGGGTCCAGAACCAGCTGCAGTCCTTCAACTCCTACCGCACCGTGGAGAAGCCGCCCAAGTAGGTGTCCCTGGGGCCCCACCCTTCCCTGAGCTGTGCTCCCACGAGAGGAAGCCTAAATTAGCACAGCCTTCAGGGAGGGAAATTTGGCAGTACATAAATGCAGTGGAGATTTCCCACACCAGAAGCATCCAAACAACATAGTTGATACAAAATAAAATTTTTTAATGATTAGTCGTTTTTAAAAATCATGCTGTGGGCCGGGCATGGTGGCTCACGCCTGTAATCCCAGCACTTTGGGAGGCCAAGGCGGGCGCATCACCGAGACCAGTCTGGCCAACATGGTGAAACCCCATCTCTACTGAGGTCGGGAGTTTGAGACCAGCCTGGCCAACATGGTGAAACCCCGTCTCCACTAAAATTACAAAAAAATTAGCTGGGCATGGTGGCACACGCCTGTCATCCCAGCTACTCGGGAGGCTGAGGCAGGAGAACCACCTGAACCCGGGAGACAGAGGTTGCAGTGAGCCAAGATCACGCCACTGCACTCCAACCTGGGTGACAGAGCAAGACTCCGTCTCAAAAAACAAACAAACATGCTGTGGAAATGATTGCTATGATGTGTTGAGTCAGTGCGATCCATCAGATAAGATTACTGATCAGGTGTCATGGCAACCCAATCCTAGCATAGGATAGAGGGGACTGGACCTGACAGGCAGGTCACAACCGGCAACATGGGTGTGGCTGGTAACGTGAGAATTGCAGAGGTTCTTATCATTTCAGTATTTTAGCAATTAACTGTTCCAAGTATGTGATTGCTGTTAGGCAATTCTGTTCAGTACCTGCCAAAACGTCTGTGTTTATGCTGTCATGGAGTTCTTTTGGAGTTAATATATATCAGCTCTGAAACTAATATTAGTCCAGAAAACAATTGTTTCTATACATTCCAGGGAATGATTTAAGGTGTACCCTTTAACCTAGGAAGTTGTCTTCTGGACATTAAACAAAGATGTAGCTTCAAGGATGTTTATCAACACAACCACTAGAAAAGAAAAATAAGTCATGGGCAGCCACTGAAAATAATATTAAAGAAATGCATTTATTGACATGGAAAGGTGTTCATGAAAAATAAGTGGGGGAAATAGGTTATAAAAGAATTATTTTGGCTGGGCACCGTGGCTCATGCCTGTAATCCCAGCACTTTGGGAGACTGAGGCGGGTGGATCACTTGAGGTCAGGAGTTTGAGACCAGCCTGGCCAGCATGGTGAAACCCCATCTCTACTAAAAATACATAAATTAGCCAGGTGTGGTGGTGCATGCCTGTAATCCCAGCTACTCGGGAGGCTGAGGCAAGAGATTGGCTTGAACCCGGGAGGCAGAGGTTGCAGCGAACCCAGATCGCACCACTGCACTCCAGCCTGGGTGACAAAGCAAGACTCTGTCTCAAAATAAAATAAAATGATGTTCTTTTGGTTAGCCCATATTTTCTGGCTTCCACATAAAAAGTTTATATTGCTTTTGTAAGAAGAAAAGCAACACAGGACACCCATTTGGAAGAGTAAAGAGTCCTTGTGACCCTCGTGGGCTTTAATTCTGACCCCAACCCGGCCTCCTGCCTCAGGTTTACCGAGAAAGGGAACTTGGAAGTGCTGCTCTTCACCATCCAGAGCAAGCTTCGGGCCAACAACCAGAAGGTCTACACGCCCCGCGAGGGCCGGCTCATCTCGGACATCAACAAGGTCCGTGGCTGCCCACAGGCCACCCACCCTCAGGGCAGGCCCTGGCCCAGATGCCTTGCACACATCCCCAAACCCGGGGCCATGTCGACCTTCACCAAGTTCTACTATCTGCTGCCCCAACTTGAAACTCGAGCACTCTGCCCAGCTGCCCACACTGTGCCAGATGTGATTCTCCCATCCTCTCAGGCACACGGCTCCCTGTCCCTTTGTCTGACTCTCCATACGAGGTCACATAAGGAAATTATGCCCCAAGTTCCTCAGCTTGTTAAACCTGTCCCCAACTCACTATCCCTTCTTTTATTTTTTTCACAATATTGTAAGATTACTAAAAGTAAAAATAAGGTTCGCACACAGTCCTGCCAACACAAAGGAATCAGATGGTTTCCACTGTTCGTGCTCCCTCCAGTCCTTTTCCAGAAGCTTCTACATGGCTTCACAGACTCCCAGCGCTGCCCTGTTTCCTGTTTCCACGCCCAGGCGTCTCACCCACTGCATTCCACGGATCCACCAGACCGAGCTTCCATGGGACTTACCATGTGCCTCCAGCCCCACTGAGCCCTCCCCACCCTGTCCCTTCCACTAACCCTGTCCCCACCCCATAGGCTTGGGAGCGGCTGGAGAAGGCGGAGCACGAGCGTGAGCTGGCCCTGCGCACCGAGCTCATCCGCCAGGAGAAGCTGGAGCAGCTGGCCGCCCGCTTCGACCGCAAGGCTGCCATGCGGGAGACCTGGCTCAGCGAGAACCAGCGCCTCGTGTCCCAGGTAGGACTTGAGGCTCCTAGGATGCTTAGGCTGGTCAGAACTGGGAGAGAGACAGGGTGGATAAGAAGCCCCGCGGGGTGGAGAGACAATGAAACACAAAATCCGTCACCTGGGTAAAAAGGCCTAGAGGTCCGGGAGCCAGGGGCCAGAGGGTGGGACAGGAGAGAGGGTTGGTGAGACAGGATGGGGGTGGGATAGAGAGGGAACTTAGAGCCACCGCATGGAGCTGGGATCTTGCAGGCCAAGTGCCCTGCAGGACAGAGGAGCAGGCAGAGGCACTGTCCCTTGGTCCCCACACCTCCTCTCCCTGCCCCCGACACAGGACAACTTTGGGCTGGAGCTGGCAGCTGTCGAGGCAGCAGTACGGAAGCACGAAGCCATTGAGACGGACATCGTGGCCTACAGCGGCCGGGTGCAGGCAGTGGACGCCGTGGCTGCAGAGCTGGCCGCCGAGCGCTACCACGACATCAAGCGCATCGCCGCTCGGCAGCACAACGTGGCACGGCTCTGGGACTTCTTGCGGCAGATGGTGGCCGCCCGGCGGGAGCGGCTCCTCCTCAACCTGGAGCTGCAGAAGGTGTTCCAGGACCTGCTCTACCTCATGGACTGGATGGAAGAGATGAAGGTACCAGTGAGGCGTGCTGGGTGGGGTAAGAGTGATCAAGAGTCGAGGGGGCCCCACAGTGGGTGCGTCCGCCCGTCTGCTCGGCCGATCTCTGTGGAGTGTGAACCAGCACAGGGCCCTGTCCCCAGTTGCAGGGAACAAAGTAAACAGGGCCCTGTCCACATGGGGTTCGTGTCCACATGGAGGAGGCTGATGACAAAACCCACGGACCTTTCCGTAAACAAAAGAGCAGGGGCCATAAAACCACTGATGAAACTGGAACAGGGTGGTGTGAGGGGCTGGTCAGACAAGGCCTCTGAGAAAATACCATTTAAGCCGAGACCAGAATAGTGCCAGGAGCCAGCACAGAGAGCTCTCAGGAGAGAATGTTCCGGGCAGAAGGAACAGCCGGCACAGGCCCTCGGCCTGGATCAGCATGGTGTGTTCAGGATCAGAAGGAAGGCCGGTGGGCTGTGAGCATGAGGAGTGGGGGCCATGGACTGAGATTTGGGAGGGCACGGCCAGCCCACTAGGGCCTTACAGGCCTGGTCAGGGAGTTTGGATTTTATTCAAAGTAACATGGATCCTTTAAAGTGATTTGAAGGGGCCAGGCGCAGTGGCTCATGCCTGTAATCCCAGCTCTTTGGGAGGCCAAGGCAGGCAGATCACTTGAGGTCAGGAGTTCAAGACCAGCCTGGCCAACATGGTGAAACCCCGTGTCTATAAAAATACAGAAATTAACCAGGTGCGGTGGTAGCGCATGCCTGTAGTCCCAGCTACTCAGGAGGCTGAGACAGCAGAATCGCTTGAACCCAGGAGGCGGAGGTTGCAGTGAGCCAAGATTGCACCACTGCACTCCAGCCTAGGTGATAGAGCAAGACTCAGTCAAAAAAAAAAAAAAAAAGCAGCTAGGCAAGGTGGCTCACGCCTATAATCCTAAGACTTTGGGAGGCCGAGGCGGGCGGATCACCTGAGGTCAGGAGTCCAAGACCAGCCTGGCCAACATGGTGAAACCCCATCTCTGCTAAAAATACAAAAATTAGCTGAGTGTGGTGGCACACGCCTGTAATCCCAGCTAGTCAGGAGGCTGAGGAAGGAGAATTGCTTGGACCTGGGAGGTGGAGGTTGCAGTGAACTGAGATTGTGCTACTGCACTCCAGCCTGCACTACAGGAGCGAGACTCCATCTCAAAATAAATAAATAAATAAAGTGATTAGAAGGTTTTGAGAGGGGGAGAGATTTGATTGTACCTTATGTTTGTAAAAAAGTCACTTTGGCTACTCTGAAGAAGGCCTGTGGGCAGGCAGCATGACAGCGAGACCGTTAGAGGTTGCTGCCATCTTCCAGGCGGGCAGCGGCTAGGAGGGTGGATTGGGGAGAGATGTGGAAGGAAGGCTGCTGGGTGCTGGGGCGGAGCGGTGGCGGCAGGAGGGTGTCGATGATTCTGAGGCTGAGAAGATTAGTCACAGCAAAGCTTCCAAGAGCAGGAGTTAGTTAGAACATTGTTCCACAGCAGGGGAGTTCAGGATAAGGAGGTCGGGGTGCCAGGGCAGAACTGGGGTATCTCAAGTATGTGTGAGCAAGCAGGTTTCTCACCTGGGTGCAACACCTGGGGCCGTGGAGAAGTTGGAAGAAAAACGCAGCCAGGTTAGCGCGTCTGTGCTCAGGCGGGCATGTGCACTTCATGTGTGCCTGGCAGGGCCGGCTGCAGTCTCAGGACCTGGGCAGGCACCTAGCAGGAGTGGAGGACCTGCTGCAGCTGCACGAGCTGGTGGAGGCAGACATCGCCGTGCAGGCCGAGAGGGTGCGGGCCGTCAGCGCCTCTGCCCTGCGCTTCTGCAACCCAGGGAAAGGTGAGAAGTCAGCGAAGGCACTGGAGAGGGAGGGGCTGGGAAGGAGCACATCAAGAGCCGAGGTGGAAGGGTTGGGAAACCTGGGGACGGGAAAGATGGTGGCCAAACGATGGTGACTGAGCTAAAGCCAGGGAGGGAAGTCCAAGAGAGTGTGGTGGCAGGGAGCAGCCGGAGGGCTGGGTTAAGGCTCTGACCCTCTCCTGTGACTTTCTCAGAGTATAGACCTTGCGACCCGCAGCTGGTGTCGGAGCGGGTGGCCAAGCTAGAGCAGAGCTATGAGGCACTGTGCGAGTTGGCAGCGGCGCGGCGGGCCCGGCTGGAGGAATCACGGCGGCTCTGGCGTTTCCTCTGGGAGGTGGGTGAAGCTGAGGCCTGGGTGCGGGAGCAGCAGCACCTCCTGGCCTCAGCCGACACGGGCCGAGACCTGACCGGTGCCCTCCGCCTGCTCAACAAGCACACAGCCCTGCGGGGCGAGATGAGCGGCCGGCTGGGGCCCCTGAAGCTCACCCTGGAGCAGGGCCAGCAGTTGGTGGCCGAGGGTCACCCTGGGGCAAGCCAGGCCTCTGCCCGTGCAGCTGAACTCCAAGCCCAGTGGGAGCGGCTAGAGGCCCTGGCCGAGGAGCGTGCCCAGCGGCTGGCCCAAGCCGCCAGCCTCTACCAGTTCCAGGCCGATGCAAACGACATGGAGGCCTGGTTGGTTGACGCACTGCGCCTGGTGTCCAGCCCCGAGCTGGGGCACGACGAGTTCTCCACGCAGGCTCTAGCCAGGCAGCATCGGGCCCTGGAGGAGGAGATTCGAAGCCACCGGCCAACCCTGGACGCCTTGAGGGAACAGGCAGCAGCCCTGCCCCCCACACTGAGCCGCACGCCCGAGGTGCAGAGCCGGGTGCCCACCCTGGAGCGGCACTACGAGGAGCTGCAGGCCCGGGCAGGCGAGCGAGCGCGGGCCTTGGAGGCAGCCCTGGCGCTCTACACCATGCTCAGCGAGGCCGGGGCCTGTGGACTCTGGGTGGAGGAGAAGGAGCAGTGGCTCAACGGGCTGGCCCTGCCTGAACGCCTGGAGGACCTGGAGGTCGTGCAGCAGAGGTAGGCCCCTCAGGCTCCTAGTGGGACCAGCCTTGGGAGGTGGGGGTGGGGGGGCCAGGATGTGGGTGGTGAGTCCCTCCATAAACTTCCTGCCTCACCCCTTTGAGTCTTAATGGTTGTCCATTTCTAGTTTTAACAAAAAATGTTAACCATACTCACAAGTAGAGACATTTCACCACAAACCCCTCTACACCCGTCACCCAGATTCAGTCATTGCCAACATCTTGCTCTATTTGGTTCTCTGCCCTTTTAAAAAGCAAATCCCCAAGATTAGCACATCCCTCCTACCTTCTTCAGGGTGTGCCCTTTAAGAAATACAAGGAAGCGGCCGGGCACGGTGGCTCACACCTGTAATCCCAGCACTTTGGGAGGCCGAGGCAGGCGGATCACGAGGTCAGGAGGTCGAGACCATCCTGGCTAACATGGTGAAACGCTGTCTCAACTAAAAATACAAAAAATTAGCCGGGCACAGTGGGGGGCGCCTGTAGTCCCAGCTACTCGGGAGGCTGAGGCAGGAGACTGGCATGAACCTGGGAGGCGGAGCTTGCAGTGAGCCGAGATCGTGCCACTGCTCTCCAGCCTTGGCGACAGAGCGAGACTGTCTCAAAAAAAAAAAAAAAAAAAAGAAAAGAAATACGAGGAAGCATTCTTACCTACAATATATTATTTTCAAATTGTCTGTGTGGACTTAAAATAGCTGAGGCTTTGAAGTTATAAACCTTTTAGACAGAGACACTAAAATAGTTTTATTTACAGAATAAATCTTCAAATCATTTATTCAATAATAAATCTTAAAAATTTTTTTATAGAACCACAATACCATTATCACATAGAACAAAATTAGGAATTTCTTTTTTTTTTGAGATGGAGTCTCACTCTGTCACCCAGGCTGGAGCGCAGTGGTGCGATCTCGGCTCACTGCATGCTCTGCCTCCCGGGTTCCAGCGATTCTCCTGCCTCAGCCTCCCAAGTAGCTGGGACTACAGGCACCCACCACCATGCCCAGCTAATTTTTTGTATTTTTTTATTAGTAGAGACAGGGTTTCACCATGTTAGCGAGGATGGTCTCGATCTCCTGACCTCGTGATCCACCCGGCTTGGCCTCCCAAAGTACTGGGATTACAGGCATGAGCCACTGCGCCGGGTCAGGAATTTCTTGATATGATCTATGATCAATGTGTAATCAAATTTCCTGGTGTTTAAAAAAATATAATTAGGTCAGGCCTGGTGGCTCACACCTGTAATCCCAGCACTTTGGGAGGCCAAGGCAGGAGTATCACTTGATTCCAAGAGTTCATAACCAGCCTGGGCAACATAGTGAGACTCCACCTCTACAAAATTTTTTTTTTAATTAGCCAGGCATGGTGGCAGGCGCCTGTAGTCCCAGCTACTGGGGAGGCTGAGGCAGGAGGATTGCTTGAGCCCAGAGGTCGAGGCTGCAGTGAGCTGAGATCGTGCCACTGCACTCCAACCTGGGTGACAGAGTAAGACCCTGTCTCAAAAAAATAAATAAAAATAAAAATGTAATTAAAGATTTTTTTTAGTTTTCAAGGTATCCTAATGTAGAGGTTAACAAACTGCAACCCTTGGGCCAAATCCAGCCTGCTGCCTGTTTCTGTAAATAAAGTTTTTTTTGGTTTTTTTTTTTTTTTTTTTTTTTGAGACGGAGTCTTGCTCTGTCCCCCAGGCTGGAGTGCAGTGGCACAATCTTGGCTCACTGCAAGCTCCGCCGCCCGGGTTCACGCCATTCTCCTGCCTCAGCCTCCCAAGTAGCTGGGACTACAGGCACCCGCCACCACACCTGGCTAATTTTTTGTATTTTTAGTAGAGACGAGGTTTCACCGTGTTAGCCAGGATGGTCTCGATCTCCTGACCTTGTGATCCACCCATCTCAGCCTCCCAAAGTGCTGGGATTACAGGCGTGAGCCACCATGCCCGGTCTGTAAATAAAGTTTTACTGGAACAGAGCTACACTCGCCCTTTTGCGTATTGCCCGTGGCTGCTTTCAGGCTACAGCAGCAGGGCTGAATAGTTGCCGCAGCAGCTGCATGGCTCACGAAGCCTATAATATTTACCATCAAGCCCTTCACAGAAAACATTTGCAGACCCTGCCCTATTAGAACATCAAATGTCGGCCAGGCGAGGTGGCTCACGCCTGTAATCCCAGCACTTTGGGAGGCCAAGGCGGGTGGAGCATGAGGTCAGGAGTTCAAGACCAGCCTGGCCAAGATAGTGAAACACCCGTCTCCACCAAAAATACAAAAATTAGCTAGGCTTGGTGGCGGGCACCTGTAATCCCAGCTATTCGGGAAGCGGAGGCAGAAAATTGCTTGAACCCGGGAGGCGGAGGTTGCAGTGAGTCGAGATTGCACCACTACACTCCAGCCTGGGTGACAGAGCGAGACTCCATCTCAAAAACAAAACATAAAATGTCCCTGGAAGAAGTTATCCTTCACATTTTCATCACTCAGACAAATATTTTTGGTTATTACTTCATTTTCTAACACATATTAGTGGGATGAGACCCAGATAGGCAGCTAAGGGGGAAGTCCCAGGAGGCTGAGCAGCTCTGATAAAGGGTTGGCCCCATGCCAGGGTCTAGTTTGACTTGTGTGTCTGTTCCTGACCTTTACCTTTCACCATCTTTTGAGCATTTCTAGCGATGACAGTTATTCTGCTTGTTTTGGGGGAGTTGTGGGTTCCTTCCTTGATGCACAGATACTATGAACCTCATAGGCTGAGAGGCAGAGAGACTCCTGCAGATAAGCCTCCTGGTGAAGGAGACACCCTCCTGGGTGTTTAAGAGAGGTGGACTTAGGTGGACTGGGCACATCGCTGCCTCCCACAATTCACGCCTGGCTCTTCCACCCTCTCAGGTTCGAGACCCTGGAGCCTGAAATGAACACCCTTGCAGCACAAATCACCGCGGTGAATGACATTGCCGAGCAGTTACTGAAGGCCAACCCCCCAGGCAAAGACCGCATTGTCAACACCCAGGAGCAGCTCAACCACAGGTGGGTTTGGGAGGGCAGGACCAGGAAACTGACAGAAAAATGAAGCAATGGGGATGGCAGTGAGAGGCAGGTTTTGTAGGGCCTGGAAGGGTGGCTACAAAGGAGGAAGCAAACCAGTCTGGAATATGTTGGGGAAGGAAAAAGGATGAAAGAGATGAGAGAGGGGGTCAAGGTGGTCTGAAGCGGCTGCTGGCCAGAAAGGGAGGAGTGAAGGGGAGCTACCAAGAGAGAGAGAAGCAGGGAAGAAGCTTCCAAACAGGCCTGGCCAGGGCAGGAAGCTGAACCTTCCCCCTGCTCTCAGGTGGCAGCAGTTTCGGCGTCTGGCAGACGGCAAGAAGGCAGCTCTCACCTCAGCCCTGAGCATCCAGAACTACCACTTAGAGTGCACGGAGACCCAGGCCTGGATGAGAGAGAAGACCAAAGTCATCGAGTCCACCCAGGGCCTAGGCAACGATCTGGCTGGGGTGCTGGCCCTGCAGCGCAAGCTGGCCGGCACGGAGCGGGACCTGGAGGCCATCGCCGCCCGGGTGGGCGAACTGACTCGAGAGGCAAATGCCCTGGCTGCCGGCCATCCCGCTCAGGCAGTGGCCATCAACGCCCGGCTGAGAGAGGTGCAGACCGGCTGGGAGGACCTCAGGGCCACCATGCGGCGTCGAGAAGAGTCGCTGGGGGAGGCGCGGCGGCTGCAGGACTTCTTGCGCAGCTTGGATGACTTCCAGGCCTGGCTAGGCCGCACTCAGACTGCTGTGGCCTCTGAAGAAGGGCCGGCCACCCTGCCTGAGGCAGAGGCCCTCCTGGCCCAACATGCAGCCCTGCGGGGAGAGGTGGAGCGGGCCCAGAGCGAGTATAGCCGGCTGCGAGCCCTGGGCGAGGAGGTGACCCGGGACCAGGCTGACCCCCAGTGCCTCTTCCTACGACAGCGACTGGAGGCCCTGGGAACTGGCTGGGAGGAGCTGGGCCGAATGTGGGAGAGCCGGCAAGGTCGCCTGGCCCAGGCCCACGGCTTCCAGGGATTCCTGCGGGATGCTCGTCAGGCTGAGGGCGTGCTCAGCAGCCAGGTGAAAGTCCAGGGCAAAGTCCCAAGCAGGAGGAAGAGCAAAGTAGGGACCCGGGGAAATGTGAAGGAGCAGGATGGGCAGGAAGGACATGCTAGCAAAATGGGGCAGCGCAGTGGTTCACACCTGAAATTCCAGCACTTTGGGAGGCCAAAGTAGGAGGATCACTTGAGGCTGAGAATATCCAGACCAACCTGGGCAACATGGCAAGACCTTGTCTCTACAAAAAAATTTTTTTAAGAAAATAGAAGAATTTTTTAAAAAGAAAAATGGGAGCCAGACAGGATGGCTCACACTTGTACTCCCAGTATTTTGGGAGGCCGAGGCAGGAGAATAACTTGAGCTCAGGAGTTTGAGACCAGCCTGGGCAACATAGTGAGACCCCCATCTCTATGAAAAAAAAAAATTAACTGGACATGGTGGTGCATGCCTGTAGCTCCAGCTACTGGGGAGGCTGAGGCTGGTGGATCACTGGAGCCAGGAGTTTGAGGCTGCAGTGAGCTATGATATGCCACTGCACTCCAACCTGGGCCACAGAATGAAACCCTCTCTCAAAAAAAAGAAAAAGAAAAAAGAAGGAAAAATGAGAATGAAAAAGACGTGAATATAATTTACTAAAACTGACTTTAGAAGAAATAGAAAGCCCAGTTTGTCATGTAACTGTTAAATGGAATCAGGAGCTAGAAGTGAGATAGAACAGGATTTGGGCTGGGGAATGGAAGGTCCTTCCCACCCAGCTTCCCTGTGACTTTCTGAGGCTCCCATGCTGGCTGGCAGCCTCCCTGTCTTCAGAGCTCTCTGGGCTACCCTCCCTGTCTGCTTGTTGGTCCCTACCTCTCAGATTTGCCCCTGGGTGGGTCCCTCCTAGGGGGGTGAATTGTGCTGGGGAAAATGAGCTGAATGTCATCCCTCCCACACAGGAATATGTTCTGTCTCACACGGAGATGCCAGGGACACTCCAGGCTGCTGATGCTGCCATTAAAAAACTGGAGGACTTCATGAGCACCATGGACGCCAATGGGGAACGGATCCACGGGCTCCTGGAGGCTGGCCGCCAGCTGGTATCTGAAGGCAACATCCACGCCGACAAGATTCGGGAAAAGGCAGACTCCATTGAGAGGAGGTCTGATGAGGACAGTCCATGAATTAGGGTTCCCAGGGGGGAATCGGAGAAACAGGGTGACCTCAAAGATAAACGTGGCACAGGAAACCCACAGATGGGGCAGGAGCTGACAGAGAAGTAGAGGGGAAGAACTAAGTGGTTGGAGAGGGCTGGGAGATTCCACCCCCAACCAGGGCTAAAAGGAAGTCAGGATTCCTGGGTAGCCTCATTGTGCTCCCGGAAGGCGTTATTCCCCTAGAAGAAATGGAGGCCCCTAGGTTAGCCAAAGGGTCACAATCCTTTCACAGCAAATTCCAGAGTTTCACAAGAGGGTGTCGTTCCAGGCACAAGAAGAATCAAGACGCAGCGCAGCAATTTCTGGGCCGTCTTCGGGACAACCGGGAGCAGCAGCATTTCCTGCAAGATTGTCACGAGGTGAGGCTCCCTGGGGCCCCGGGATATTCCCTAGCCATCCCTTTCTCACCTTGAGCCTAGAATAAGTCCAGCACAAGGTACCGGAGACTGTGAGCCCCTTCATGGCTTCTTCCCAAGGCGCCCACTTCTCCTGGCTCACTGTGGCCCTGCTTTTATGCCCCCCTCTCCCCTCCCTTGGAAATGTCCCTGTTTTATGTTTGGTCCAGCTGAAGCTCTGGATCGACGAGAAGATGCTGACAGCCCAGGACGTGTCCTATGACGAGGCCCGCAACCTGCATACTAAGTGGCAGAAGCACCAGGCATTCATGGCCGAGCTGGCTGCCAACAAAGACTGGCTGGACAAGGTGGACAAGGTGAGCAGTGCTGTGGGGGCTGCCTCTGGGCAGAGTCCCCCATGGTACGGGGGAGGGCCTGGCTCCAGGACGTGGTTTTTGTCATGGTTAGAGATTGTGGGGTTCTGGTGCCACAGCTCCATGGTGGAAAGTTATGGCCTCTGGGAAACAAACGTCTTTGTTGGAGACAAAGAGTGGGACAGTGAGTCCAGAACCTTGATAAAGTACAAATTAGCAGGTAGCGAAACTGCAGCCTGGATTTAACGCCATAACTGTTCCTGAGTTCAAAGCAGGATGGTGCTCTTCAGCAGGCTCTGCAAACCTTGTCTGGAAAGGGCTTGGGCTGGATGGTCAATATCTGAGGCTTTGCAGTCCAAACAGTTTCTACTACAACTACTCATCTCTGTCGTTGTAGTGCAAAAGCAGCCTCAGAGAATAAGTGAATGAATGAACATGGCTGTTTCCCAATAAAACTTTATTTGTAAAAACAGGCAGTGGGCCAGATTACCCCGTGGGCTGTATGTAGTCTGCCAATCCTTATTTTCGAGTCTTGCCGTCCCTGGTTCTTGGTCTCCCACCCAGCTGTTCCTCAAGAGTCAAGGACAGATAAAGCTTTATATCTGCTCAGCAAGTATCCCTACAGAACATGGTACGTGCTCAACAGTCTGCGAGGCACTGCAGGGTCTACGAAAAGACACTTTCCTTTTCTCAAGGGCATGATGGTTGGGACAAAAGGAGACCAGTGTGCTTTCAAGTGTTTCCATTCGTTCAGCAAATATTTACTTGGTGCTACTATATCCAAAGCATTGTATTAGGCCCTGCGTGGGGTCCGAAAGGGATCCCATGGTAGGCTCCACCCTGAAGGAACAACACTGTAGCCAGGATATGAGGCATATATGCAGGTAGCTAAATCGAATCCAGAGCAGAATCTGATGAGTGCTGTGAGAGTGGCCCCGTTGAAGCCTGGGGAATAAGGAGAGAGGAGATATGGAAATTCTAGAAGCAGCAACATCCAGGGCAGTCCATGGAGGATGAGTAGAATTTGGACAAGTGGAGATATGGAGGAAAAGATGTTTCCAGGTAGAGAAAACCAAACAGAAAACCAGTGGTAGGCAGTGCCTGTTTGGGAGCAAGGGGGTGAGTGAGTCCAGCAGCAGCACAGAATGTGTGCAGGGCCCCATGGAAGAAGAGGTGGGAGAGAAGCCCCGGGAAGTCCTGACCACCACATGCGTGTGCTTCCAAGTGTTGATTGTGCTCAGGGTTGTGAAGCTACCCAGGCAGTGCTAGCCTTTGATGCTCTCCATCCTGACAGCCACAGCCACCTGCAAAATGGCCTGAAGGCAGTGTCTGGGTTTGTGTTCCCCTAGAAGCAGACCCTGAAACAGTGATTCTAGGGAGGTGTCCCCGGGAATGATCAGTAGGGGGGTGGAGCCATGAGAAGGGACAGAAGTCATGCCAGTTACCCCCATGGGCATCAGGAGCCCAACCCTCATGGGGCATTCTGCGGGGGTGTAGATGGAACACAGAACACAGCACTCTCACAGCCACGGCACAAGGATGCTGTGTGTTTATCCATCAGCTCCCTGTCTGTCACTGGTTGAGGGCTGCTTCTGGGCTTGTTAACTCTGTGGCTCTTCCAATTTGCCTTCCACACAGTTCAAGAGAGCACACTTCCCTCACCACCCCAGACACAGAAATCCTCAAGCAGAAAAGCTGGAAGTGGGGAAACCAGGTGGGACTCAACTTGCTATCACTGAAGTGAAGAGTAATGAGTTGAGAAATACAAAATGATGGCAAATAACTCAAGTCAATGTGCAGTGTGGTGCCAGAAACCACAGGCACCAAGGAACCCAAACTAAAGAGAGTGCAAGGGCTTCCTCGTTGAAATGCTGTTTGAGCTGGGTCTTGAAGGAGGAGTGGGGTTCATCAGCAGTGAGGGAACAGCAGTTTAGAAGGGATTTTAAACCTCCGTGAAGAGTGTGTCGATAAGAACACACAAGGACTTGGAATTATTGCCCACACTTCAGGTCTCTACTGCCCGTAAGGCCCCTGGTCTGCTCTCAGCCTCTAAAGTTCAGGCTAATTTGGGCACTTTGACATTTTCTGTCCTGCCTTCCAGGAAGGGCGAGAGCTCACCCTTGAGAAGCCAGAGCTGAAAGCCCTGGTGTCGGAGAAGCTGAGAGACCTGCACAGGCGCTGGGACGAGCTGGAGACCACCACCCAAGCCAAGGCCCGCAGCCTCTTTGATGCCAACCGAGCTGAGCTGTTTGCCCAGAGCTGCTGTGCCCTGGAGAGCTGGCTGGAGAGCCTGCAGGCCCAGCTGCACTCGGATGACTACGGCAAGGACCTCACCAGCGTCAACATCCTGCTCAAGAAGCAGCAGGTGTGCTGTGGGCCTTTGATGGGGATGGTGAACAGCAGAAGAAAGGGGCTGCAGCTTTCAAGATTTGGGAGGCCAGCTGAGGCCTGGCAGATAACACCTTCACTAGCATTTCCCAGAGTCATTTCTTTGGGCAGCCAGTATCAGAATCTCTAGGGATATGTCGCAGTCAGGGTTAGAGTTAGGAGACAGACCCCCTAATAATTTGACGATGAGAACTTCAGTAAAAAGAAATATTAATTAGGCCAGGCACAGTGGCTCATGCCTGTAATCTCAGCACTTTGGGAGGCCAAGGCAGGCAGGTCGCTTGAGGTCAGGAGTTCAAGACCAGCCTGGCCAACATGGTGAAACCCCGTCTCTACTAAAAATACAAAAATTAGCCAGGCGTGGTGGCGCACGCCTGTTATCCCAGCTACTTGGGAGGCTGAGGGCTGAGGGAGGAGGATAGCTTGAACCCAGGAGACAGAGGTTGCAGTGAGCCGTGATCATGCCATCGCACTCCAGCCTGGGCAAGCCTCTGTCTCAAAAAAAAAAACAGAAGTATAAATTAGTAAAAGGTGGTAAAGAGAACTCTATAGCAGGGGTCAGAAAACTTTTTTCAGTAAAGCACCAGATAGTAAATTTTTGGGGCTTCATGGGTCGTAAGGTCTATGTCACAGCCCTTCAACTCTGCCCTTGTAAGGAAAAGCAGCTGCGGATTATATGTAAAATAAGGGGTATGGCCAGGTGTGGTGGCTCACACATGTAATCCCAACACTTTGGGAGGCCGAGGTGGCCGGATCACTTGAGTCCAGGAGTTTTGAGACTAGCCTGGGCAACATGGCAAAACCCCATCTCTACAAAAACTACAAAAATTAGCTGGGCGTGGTGGTGGTGTGTGCCTGTAGTCCCAGCTACTCAGGAGGCTGAGGTGAGAAGATTGTTTGAGCCTGGAGAGTCGAGGCTGCAGTGGGCTGTGATCGTGCCACTGCACTGCAGCCTGGGTGGCAGAGCGAGACTTGTCTCAAAAAATTTTTTAAAAAGGGGTGCAGCTGTGGTCCAATAAAAACTTTATAAGGCTAGGCAGTGGGCTGGACTTGCTGGTCCCTGCTCTGAAGAATGCAGAATGGGAAGTGTAGGGAGCAGCTGACACCTCTGGGGTTGAGGAGTCCCCCAGGAAGGAGCAAGATGGCTGAGTCTCAGACCTCCTTGGAGAGGGCGGAGGCCCACTGAATGGCCTGGAAATTTGCTGGGGTATCACAGGCCAGAGCATGTCTGAAGCCAGCAAGCCAAGGCTGGCCAGCAGGAAGTGGCCACTAGAGTGCAGCAAAACTTGCCAGAGAGTAAGAGCCACCGGATCTCTTGCGCACTGTGGACAGTTTTGCTGTAGGAGGAAGAAAAGCACCTTGGAACCGTGGAATGCCCCACATCTGCTAGGCATTGTGGTGTCCCTCCAGCGCCCTCTGCTGACAAGGCCTAGATTGTGCCTGCTGGCAAAGGAGGAATGTTTCCAGGGGCCAGTTCCAGTGTCTCAAAGCAGGGCCACGATGGATTGGGGATGGAGAGACAATGAATTGATAATGGGCACAGTTATCACACTACCCTGGATTTTTTAATTTCAATCTTTTAGATTCGCGGGTGTGGGTGCAGGTTTGTTATAAGTTATATTGTGTGATGCTGAAGTTTGGGGTGTAATTGAACCCATCACCCATGTAGTGAGCACAGTACCCAATAGGGATTTTTTCAACCCCTGCCCTTGGATTCTTGTGCATATAAAGTTCGAGATCCACTGATCCAGCCCATGAGGGGATGCTCTCCCTGGGTGAGCTGCAGTGATGAGCAGCCACAGTGGGCTGGATAGAGACTGGTTGGTGTCTCTGCTGGGCATGAAGGCGGAAATGCAGAGCTAACATGTCCTTCCTCCTGGCGGTTTGCAGATGCTGGAATGGGAGATGGCTGTGAGAGAGAAGGAGGTGGAGGCAATCCAGGCCCAGGCCAAAGCACTGGCCCAGGAGGACCAGGGTGCAGGGGAGGTGGAGAGAACCTCGAGGGCCGTGGAGGAGAAGTTCAGGGCCTTGTGCCAGCCCATGCGGGAACGCTGCCGGCGCCTGCAGGCTTCTCGCGAGCAGCACCAGTTCCACCGCGATGTGGAAGATGAGATTGTGAGTCACTGGGGCCAAGGACGGCAAGCTGCCCCCAGCCATGTGGTTCTCCAGCCTCCCTCCTGGATGCCAGGGAGATGCCAGCAGGGCTCTATTCCCTCTTCTCTTTGGCATTGACCATCTCCCCTATAGGGAGACTTGGAGATGCCTCCCAGAACCAGAGATGACTGTTCCCCACACACAGGGCGGTAGCCCCAGGTGTCCCCACTCCCACTAATCAGTCCCTGCTGCTTGCCTTGCCCTCTGGGCCTCCACTGACCCCCTCTTCCTCTTCCAGTTGTGGGTGACAGAGCGGCTGCCCATGGCCAGCTCCATGGAGCATGGCAAGGACCTGCCCAGCGTCCAGCTTCTCATGAAGAAAAACCAGGTGAGGCAGAGGCTGAAGGCAAAAGAGAAGTTCCCAGGAGCCTGCCCAGACTTGGACGTGTTTTTTCTTAAGACCAGGCCCCCCTCGATGCTGAGTGTAACCCTGGACTTCAGTGGCTGTCTTTCCTCACCTTGGGAGGGTGGGTCCTCTCAGTAGGAGATAGTGGGGGCTGGGCGGCTGACGGGTGTTACCATCGCACCCCCAGGCTAGGAGAGGGAGCAGAGGACCCAGGAAGGAGAGAGGCACAGGGGTGAAGGGTGGTCTCCGGGAGCACGTGGGGCTGGGGCAGGACTTTCAGCATTTTCTCTTCTGTGGCCATGGGCAGACCCTGCAGAAAGAGATTCAGGGCCATGAGCCCCGGATCGCGGACCTGAGGGAGCGGCAGCGTGCTCTAGGTGCAGCAGCAGCAGGTCCAGAGCTGGCTGAGCTGCAGGAAATGTGGAAACGCCTGGGCCACGAGCTGGAACTTCGAGGGAAGCGACTGGAGGATGCCCTGCGAGCCCAGCAGTTCTACCGCGATGCCGCCGAGGCGGAGGCCTGGATGGGCGAGCAGGAATTACACATGATGGGCCAGGAGAAGGCCAAGGTGAGGGCCAGGACAGAGCCCAGTGTATGTGACCAGTTCTGCCCTCCCCTGACCTGATGCTGGATGCCACTGTCCCTTCCCCCAGGATGAGCTGAGTGCCCAGGCAGAGGTGAAGAAGCACCAGGTGCTGGAGCAAGCCCTGGCCGACTACGCGCAGACCATCCACCAGCTGGCGGCCAGCAGCCAGGACATGATTGACCACGAGCACCCAGAGAGGTGGGTGCAGCGGCAGCCCGGCCCAGCCTGGGGGTGGAGCCGGCTGCAGGAACAGGAAGGTGCAGGGAATGTGGAGCCTTCAGTGCTGTGTGCACGGAGCCTTCTAGAAAGCTGGAACACAGGGTGGGCGAGCTGTTGGGAGACTCAGAGGGACAGGGCTCCACAGAACAGACCGGAGGTCAGAGCTACACCCCTAAGTCCCACAGTGCCTCCCTCACTCTTCTTGCAGCACTCGGATATCCATCCGCCAAGCCCAGGTGGACAAGCTGTATGCCGGCCTGAAGGAGCTGGCTGGAGAGCGGCGGGAGCGCCTGCAGGAGCACCTCCGGCTGTGCCAGCTCCGCCGCGAGCTGGATGACCTGGAACAGTGGATCCAGGAGCGCGAGGTGGTGGCGGCCTCCCACGAGCTGGGCCAGGACTACGAGCATGTGACTGTGAGTGTAGGGAGGGCACCCAGCTCAGATCAACCGTGGGAAGAGTGGAGGACCCACAGGGAGACTAGGACCTAGTCCCAGGCAGAGCACTGAGGGGCTAAGGGGCAAGACCAGGCTGAGCAGGCACTGTCCTCCTGGTTTTGAGGTATATGATTTGAAGAGGCCGGGCATAGGCTCACACCTGTAATCCTAGCACCTTGGGAGGCTGAGATGGGAGGATTGCTTGAGTCCAGGAGTTCAAGACCAGCCTGGGCAACATAGTGAGACCCCCCATCTCTACAAAAAAAATTTTTTTTTATTAGCCAGGCACAGCCGTGCATGCCTGTAGGCCCAACTACTTAGGAGGCTGAGGTGGGAGGATCTCTTGAGCCTGGGAGGTCGACACTGCAGTGATTGCGCTAGTGCACTCCAGAGCAAGACCCTATCATCTCTAAATACATACACACACACACAATTTGAAGAATTGTACAGAAAGGGGACATGAAGCTGAGCTGAGACAAGGGCAAACAGGAAATTATCACTCACACTTTTCAACAGAATTCAACAAAACGGAGTATGATCCACCCCCCCGACAGTTTGGGGGCTTGGACCCTCAGTCGTACAGAAATATGGACCATAGTTAGGGTATCCTTGTCTGAAGCCTAAGGGTCCCAAGCACCTTGAAACGCCTTTGCTGGGGGTGGAGGGAGTCTGTCAAATACAGGGTCAGTGGGAAGCAGCTGCACCTACTCCTTAACCACAGGGAAGAAACCTGTCCCGGCCCCCATGCAGCGGGGAGAGGTGGGTTCTGAGTTTGGAGTGGAGGACTCGCTCCATCAGGCAGGGACCACATCCCCTAACATCACGGCATGGTCTGTCCATCTGCTTCCTCTACCAGATGCTCCGAGACAAATTCCGAGAGTTCTCCCGGGACACAAGCACCATCGGTCAGGAGCGCGTAGATAGCGCCAATGCGCTGGCCAATGGGCTCATTGCTGGGGGCCATGCTGCACGGGCCACCGTGGCCGAGTGGAAGGACAGTCTCAACGAGGCCTGGGCTGACCTGCTTGAGCTGCTGGACACACGGGGTCAGGTGCTGGCCGCGGCGTACGAGCTGCAGCGCTTCCTGCACGGGGCACGCCAAGCCCTGGCGCGGGTGCAGCACAAGCAGCAGCAGCTTCCGGACGGGACTGGCCGCGACCTCAACGCTGCCGAGGCCCTGCAGCGCCGACACTGTGCCTACGAGCATGACATTCAGGCCCTCAGCCCCCAGGTCTGACCCAAGCATGAGGAGGTGGGGGAGGCTTAGAGGAGGCCATGGGGGAAATGCCGGGGAGAGTTCCCAGGAGCTAGGGTAGAGCTCAGAAATGCTGGGAGGACGGCACTCTTTCGAGGGCCATTTCGAGATGAGGAAATTGCTCCAAGAAAACATCTCTGTTTGGCCAGGCGCGGTGGCTCTCGCCTGTAATCCCAGCACTTTGGGAGGCCGAGGAGGGCGGATCATCTGAGATTGGGAGTTCGAGACCAGCCTGACCAACATGGAGAAACCCCTTCTCTACTAAAAATACAAAATTAGCCAGGCATGGTGGCGCATGCCTGTAATCCTAGCTACTCAGGAGGCTGAGGCAGGAGAATCACTTGAACCCAGGAGGCGGAGGTTGCAGTGAGCTGAGATCCCTCCACTGCACTCCAGCCTGGGCAACAAGAGCGAAACTCCGTCTCAAAAAGAAAGAAAACATCTCTGGCAGGGGACATCTAGCCACTGCATTCACACTTTTGATGACAAGCCCCCTTGAGAGCCCATGATGTCTTCAGGGGTTCCCAGTGGCCAGGAGACTCTTCATGCTGCGCTAAATCAGCCTGTTAGTGCTTCCCAGGCTTGAGCTCTAGGCTCACACTCAGTAAGCATGGATCCTTCCTTCAACCACTAGAACCCATCAGCCCCTGCCTGAATCCCCTTTTCAGGCTAAGTAGCACGTTCTAGCAATCTCCAAGGTCTATCACATCCTAGACAGGCCTCTGAAAGTTCAACTGGCCAATGGCTCTTTTCCAGATCCTCCCCCAGTTAAGCCCAGGTGTCTAGATGAGACCCAACAGGGCAGAGTGTGGCCAGCCCCTGCCTTCATCTTTCCCAGCACCCCCACTCCCTGGCTCCTCCCCCTGCTTCTTTGGCTGTGAGACAGGCAGGAGGTGAGAGTGGCAGCCAGGACTGAGGCAGGCTGCGGCTCCTTGGAGTCCCCCGCTCTGCCTGACTCTGACCCGGGGCTCCGCAGGTCCAGCAGGTGCAGGACGACGGCCACCGGCTCCAGAAGGCCTACGCTGGAGACAAGGCTGAGGAGATCGGCCGCCACATGCAGGCCGTGGCCGAGGCCTGGGCCCAGCTTCAGGGAAGCTCTGCCGCCCGCCGGCAGCTGCTGCTGGACACCACAGACAAGTTCCGCTTCTTCAAGGCTGTCCGGGAACTGATGCTCTGGATGGATGAGGTCAACCTGCAGATGGATGCCCAGGAGCGTCCCCGGTGAGAATCCCAGGGCTCAGGGCCTCCACGGGTTGTGTGGCTGGGCTGTGATGGGGCTGTGGGCAGCAGGTGATGCTGTTTCTGCCTCCCCCCAGGGATGTGTCCTCCGCGGATCTAGTCATCAAGAACCAGCAAGGCATCAAGGCAGAGATAGAGGCCCGGGCAGACCGCTTCTCCTCCTGCATCGACATGGGGAAGGAGCTGCTGGCCAGGAGCCACTATGCGGCCGAGGAGGTGGGTGAGGCCTGGGTGGCCGGGCCATTCTCACTGTGCAGTGCTGAACGCTGACTTCTTGGTGGCTTTCTGCTTCCTCTCATTCTCTCTTTGCAAGAAACCTTTCATTCTCTCCCCTCAGTGCCATTCACGGGTTTCTCGCATTCTGGAAATCTCTCCCCAGAACCGTCTGCCTCTTGACATCAGAAATCACTGGTCCTGGGCCAGGCATGGTGGCTCACGCCTGTAATCCCAGCACTTTGGGAGGCCCAGGCGGGCAGATCACCTGAGGTCACGAGTTCGAGACCAGCCTGGCCTCCATGGGTTGTGTGGCTGGGCTGTGATGAAACATGGTGAAACCCCGTTTCCACTAAAAACACAAAAATTAGCCGGGCGTGGTGGCGGGCACCTGTAATCCCAGCTACTCGGAGGCTGAGGCAGGAGAATTGCTTGAACCTGGGAGGTGGAGGTTGCAGTGAGCTGAGATTGCGCCACTGCATTCCAGCCTTGGTGATAAGAGCGAAACTCCGTCTCAAAAAAAAGAAAGAAAGAAAGAAATCACCTGTCCCCCTGGATGACTCCCCAGGGGCCGTGGAAAGATCTCACATCCTGGTGCTAACTCATATCTCTGCCCCCCGCCCCCAGATCTCAGAGAAGCTGTCTCAGCTGCAGGCACGGCGCCAGGAGACAGCTGAGAAGTGGCAGGAGAAGATGGACTGGCTTCAGCTGGGTGAGCTGCCAAGGGGGCCCCAGGCCCTGTGGGGAGTGGGGGGCATCCTGCACCCTGTGGGTTCCAGAGTAGGTGAGACTAGGAACCCTGGGTGTGAAACTCACGATGCCCAATCTTCGTGCTGCCTGGCACAGCTCTGGGGCAGTGGCTTTCTCTGTGTCCCTGTTCTTGAGGTTGCCATGGCCACTGTGCCCTGCCAGTGGCCACTCTGACCCACCATCTTCCTGCAACCCCCGATCCTGCCAGTTTTGGAGGTGCTTGTGTTTGGAAGAGATGCAGGGATGGCAGAGGCCTGGCTCTGCAGCCAGGAGCCACTGGTGCGCAGCGCTGAGCTGGGTTGCACGGTCGACGAAGTTGAGAGCCTCATCAAGCGGCACGAGGCCTTCCAGAAGTCAGCAGTGGCCTGGGAGGAGCGATTCTGTGCGCTGGAGAAGCTTACTGCGGTGAGGGACACAGGACCCCGGATGCCCACTCCAACCTGCTCCCCTGACCTGTGCTGGCTTCTGCTTGGAGAAGACATGTCTTCTCTCTTCCCACTGCACCAGTGGCCCCCAGATGTGAGCTGAGAGTGCCATTGTCACCACACCTTTAGGAGGTGTCAGTTCCCCTGGGTGATGCCGAGACACCTTCTCCCGCTTTGTTTCTTGTCCCCACCATCTTCTCAAATTCTGTTCTCCTCTTATCATATTTCATCAAATTAGAGTTGAGACATTTCAGCTCTCCCTGTTTCCCTGGCCCTCTTACACGCAACCTTCTACACGCTGAATGCAGCATTTTTTGACAGCTAGAGGAGCGGGAGAAGGAGCGAAAGAGAAAGAGGGAGGAGGAGGAGCGGCGGAAACAGCCGCCTGCTCCCGAACCCACAGCCAGTGTGCCTCCAGGGGACCTGGTGGGCGGCCAGACAGCTTCTGACACCACCTGGGACGGGTGAGAGCCAGGATGCCTGGGTAGGAGGAGGCGGCTGAGCCCAGGCCACCCAGGGACTAATGATTCTGTGTTGCCTTTGGTCATCCCAGAACCCAGCCACGGCCACCACCATCCACACAAGCACCCAGTGTTAATGGAGTCTGCACAGATGGAGAGCCCTCACAGGTGACCCCACTGTCCCTCTGTGCCCCCATCGGAGTCGTAGCCCCTCCACCCCCGCACATCCTTTTACAGATTCTTGTCCTTGCAGCCCCTGCTGGGACAACAGAGACTTGAGCACAGCAGCTTCCCCGAAGGGCCGGTGAGTTCCCCTGCAAGTGTGGTGTTGATAACTGTGAGGCGAAGGGTCCAGAGGGGGTGGTGAGTGCGGGTGGGGGAGTACTGGGGATGGGATGGGAGAGGGCAGAGGCTCACAGGCAGCTTGGGGGCAGGAAGACCAACTCCTGGACACGGAGCTTCCTGGCACCCAGGTTAGGGATCTCCCGTCTCAACCTTTGACACTGACACTGATTCCCCCCCAGGGACCTGGCTCAGGGGACGAAGCCAATGGGCCCCGGGGAGAGAGGCAGACCCGGACTCGGGGCCCGGCCCCATCTGCAATGCCCCAGAGCAGGTCTACCGAGTCAGCCCATGCTGCCACCCTGCCGCCTCGAGGCCCAGAGCCATCTGCCCAGGAGCAGATGGAGGGGATGCTGTGCCGCAAGCAGGAGATGGAGGCCTTCGGGAAGAAGGCTGCCAACAGGTACAGCCTCTCTGGAGCCTGCTCTCAGAGGGCACTTCCCCAGAGCCTCTGCCCAGATAGAGGGAGGGATGCCCTTTAGAGTACATCTTCTGGGCAAAGGGTAGGACTTGGGACCAGAGCGGGGCCTCAGGGGAGGACCAGAGGGTGTGAAGACCGTGGCCTAAAGATGGGAGCAGAACTGGAAGTCCTAGGACACCCAAGAGGGCTCCAGGTTGCGGGCGCCACTGAGGCCGGCCAGTCAGCACCGCGTCCCTCGCAGGTCCTGGCAGAACGTGTACTGTGTCCTGCGGCGTGGGAGCCTCGGCTTTTACAAGGATGCCAAGGCAGCCAGCGCGGGAGTGCCATACCACGGAGAAGTGCCTGTCAGCCTGGCCAGGGCCCAGGGCAGCGTCGCCTTTGATTACCGAAAGCGCAAACATGTCTTCAAGCTGGGGTAGGAACAGGGAACAGTGCTCTCGGGATGGGAGGAGAGTTGGGAGTGACACAGGTGAGCCATGAGTCAGGTCCAGAGGGAGGGGAGTTCCTGTAAGGAGCCTGAGTGGAGTAACCAGGCCAGCCACTTGGGGATAGTGTAGATGAGGGAGGCGGAGATTCTGGTTGTCTCCACACCAAGGGGAGCAGGAGAACCAAGACCCAGGCCTGACGGCTGCCAATGTCAAGGTGAAAAATTACCCAGGGTGGGAAATCCAAAGGTAGGGATCTGGGAAGACCTCCAGGGGCCTGTCCCTGCCTGCCAGCAAGCAGCCGGAGCAGGAGGCCCGGGCTGGGGTGGAAGTGAGCTCCCCCTGCCTCTGGGGCCAGTCAGAAAGGATGTGCTTCTGCACAGTCTGGGGAAGCTGAAGAATGTGCAGAGCGTGTCTGGTCCGGCTCTGAGGGCTGCAGCCAGATGTCCCAGCCTGGTGTTGGGTCATGATTACGCTCTCACCAGCAGCTACCTGGCAGATCCGGATTCTCAGCTCTGCCCTGTGGCCTCTCTCTCCCAACAGCTTACAGGATGGAAAAGAATATTTATTCCAGGCCAAGGATGAGGTGAGCTGTCCTTCGTGTTCCTCTCTGTCCGTGCCATTCCAGAAGCTTCCAGCTGCAGACTCCCCTTCTTTCCCTGTCCTCCCTCTTTTTCCTGGTCTTGTCCTTTGTGGTAAGACTGGATGTGTGCGACGGCCGCACCAGGCCGCACTCCCTGTCTAAGCCGGCCACATTCTCCTAATAGCATGAAACAGTCAGCTCACTTTCTGCCTCCTCCTCTTACACTTCCCTGCTGTCCACTGCGGCCAACTCAGCACAGTGTCCTTGAAGCTGATTGAGGGTCTTTCCATCCACAGGCAGAGATGAGCTCGTGGCTACGGGTGGTGAATGCAGCCATTGCCACAGCGTCTTCTGCCTCTGGAGAGCCTGAAGAGCCGGTGGTGCCCAGCACCACCCGGGGCATGACCCGGGCCATGACCATGCCCCCAGTGTCACCCGTCGGGGCTGAGGGGCCTGTTGTGCTCCGCAGCAAAGACGGCAGAGAACGAGAGCGAGAAAAACGCTTCAGCTTCTTTAAGAAGAACAAGTAGTTGGGGGCAAGGTCCCAGGCCAACTCCCTCCCTCCGTTCAGGAAACTGCCAGGGACAGTCGACAGGGACCGCCCTCTTGTCAGGACAACTGCCTGCTGCTAGGGTCTGTTGCCAAGGTCAACCCATCACCAGGAACTGTCACTGGGGACGAGTCCATGTTCCCAAGGGCAGCCCTTCTCTTCTGCTGTTTAATTCCAGACTGGTGGTGGGACCCAGGTAACCCCCTCTCCCACCCCCGCCGACTTCTCCCCTTTCCCCAGCCTCGTGCCTCTGTCCCTCACCACGGTGTGGACAGTGCCGCACCCTCAACATAGGCCATGTGGGGAGTGGCTGCCCCTGCCTCAGGGTCATTCTCCTGCCATGCGAGGGCACTCGCCTTCTGCCTTCTGGTTCCTCACCCCTCAGACCAGCCAGGAACCTCTCAGAGCTGAAGCAGGCCCTGGGGGCAGAAGTGCCAGATGACAGTCAGAGGCGCAGGAGCCCTCCCTCCCCACCCCCACCCTGTAACTCCAGCTGCCACTCCATCTCCAGCTGCTCTCAATGGCTTCCAGGTGTGTTGTTCGGGGACAGCCACCGCCTTGAGTCTGGCCAAGGAGGTGATTAAACAGCTCAGCTTCTCTCACCGCCTCTGGGTGTCTTTGCTTTCCTGACCACAGCCTCTCTGCCCAAGCCTGTGTCCTCTCCTTCCGTTCTGGTCTCCTTCATCTCACGTTTCCCCAGCCTCCAAGCTCTTGAAGAGCCGTGTCACACTGAGAGCTTCCCTGACCTGGTCTCATTTCCCTCTGACAGTGACCTCCAGTGTGCTGGGTTGACCAATGCCAAGCCTCTTTTTAAACCAAAGTAGTTCACCATGGGTTGGGATGATGTCAACAAGCAGTATTCATGTTAAAAAGCAATGAGGGACTCCTTCCCTGGTGCACAATTTTCTTCACTTGTGATCTCTAAACTGTTTTCAAATTGGAAGACTGGGAAGCATTGCTACAGCCCCAGCCAGTCTCAGCCACTGCTCAGCCCAGTGGTGGAAAGCTGAGCACACAGCGGGTGCTTACTGCCCCCACTTGCCGTCTGCTCTCCAGTAGATCAAGGGACCTCAGACAGGGATCTGAGAAGTGGCAGGTTCCAATAAACTGATCAACAGAATGAAGTCACTCTGGGAAGCCATGAGGTGACTTTACAGCCCAAGCATGTAAATATACACACAGAGGATAATATATATTCTTTTTTTTTTTTTTTTTTGAGACAGAGTCTCACTCTGTCAGCCAAGCTGGACTGCAGTGGCGCAATCACAGCCCATTGCAACCTCCACCTCCTGGGTTCAAGCAATCCTCCCACCTCAGCCTCCCGAGTAGCCTGAACCACAGGCACATGCCATCATACCCGACTAAGTCTGTTTGTTTTTTGTAGAGACGGGGTCTCACTATGTTGCCCAGGTCGGTCTCGAATTCCTGGGCCCAAGTGATTCTCTCACCTTGGCCTCAAACTGTTGGGATTACAGGCGTGAGCCACCATGCCCAGCTGAGACTACCTTCTGGATCTGATGAAGTATTAGAAAGGAGCGGGTGGCTTCTCCTTTGTCTCTGGTTTGGCAATCGGAGCTTTCAGGGCACAGTGTTTGTCTCCAGATGTTGATGGAAGTGGGCACTCCTTGGTGGCCTCCAACAGGAAAAGCGTGTTCTTTCATTGTTTCCTATACACACAGACAACCGTTTTTCCAGGAAGGCAGCCCCATCTTTAGTCATTGACTGCGGGCCTATCATCAGTCATGACGAAGACCGAGTTAGGTGTGTGCAGGCCCAGAACTAGCACATCACAGCCCCAGAGTGGGCTCCAAACCGGTAGACCAGAGAGCCTGCAGGATAATTTCCCCCTTAAGATGGGTAGATTTACTGTTCCACAGCCAACAGGTGGATACGCGTAACTAGAACAATCTGTCATGGGACTAAGTGGAAGAATCCATCAGCACTACACAGCATCTTTTCTTCAAATACAACTGTAAAATCTCCACTGAAGAGACAGTCATACCTTGGGGGTGCTCAGGGAATCTAGGTATTTGCACTCCAAGCTGGCAAGCCTGGGGGCACTGAAGGGAAACAATAATTGGAAATGTCAGAAGGAAATGTATATGGAGAAATTAATAGAGAAATGATTATTTTAACACGACACGTAAGTGTAAATAGGACAGCCAATTGAAGCAGTCCTGCAGTAGGGGCAGGCATTGTCAACGGAGAGGTGAGACTGAAGACCCCGAGCAGCATCTGCATATGCGGCAGCAGGACTTCAGGGCATGATTCCTTAAGAACAGGACATAGAAGAGGGGAAGCATAGTGTCAGGAATTAAGTCAGAAAACACCTTCAGCTGTGAGTGGAAGAAAGAAAAAATTCCAGGAAAGACAACAGGATGGAATGGGGCGGTGAGGGCTATGAGACAAGTTAGACACAAAAATACAATAAATGCAGGCAGCACAAATCAATGGAGAGAGATGGCAGATAAAAATGGATTACTTGGGCCGGGCGCGGTGGCTCACGCCTGTAATCCCAGCACTTTGGGAGGCCGAGGCGGGCGGATCACGAGGTCAGGAGATCGAGACCATCCCGGCTAAAACGGTGAAACCCCGTCTCTACTAAAAATACAAAAATTAGCCGGGCGTAGTGGCGGGCGCCTGTAGTCCCAGCTACTTGGGAGGCTGAGGCAGGAGAATGGCGTGAACCCGGGAGGCGGAGCTTGCAGTGAGCCGAGATGCCGCCACTGCGCTCCAGCCTGGGTGACAGAGCGAGACTCCATCTCAAAAAAAAAAAAAAAAAAAAAATGGATTACTTGGCCAGGCATGGTGGTTCACGCTTATAATCCCAGCACTTTGGGAAGCCGAGGTGAGTGGGTCACTTGAGCTCAGGAGTTCAAGACCAGCCTGGGCAACATGGTGAAACCCCATCTCTACAAAAATTAGCCAGGTGTAGTGGCATGTGCCTGTAGTCTCAGCTACTTGGGAGGCTGAGGCAGGAGCATTGCTTGAACCTGGGAAGCAGAGGTTACAGTGAGCCGAGATCATGCCACTGCACTCCAGTCTAGGCAATAAAGTGAGACCCTGTCTCAAAAAAAAAAAAATAGGATTATGTAGAGAAAAATATATTTGCATTCTTAACATCACCTACAAGAGTGGACTTTAGGTCCATGCTGTCCACAGCAGCAGCCACCCAGCCATGTGTGGCTACTGAGATGTAGCCAAACCAAGTGTGTCATGACTCTGAAACACCAGGTATGAAGCATGGAAGAGGACAACAACTTTAAATACCTTAATTTTTATATTGATTATGTGTTGAAATAATATTTTAGATATATTGGGTTTCAAAAGTATCATTAAAGTGAATTTCAACTATTTTGATGACTTTTTAAATGTGTTTGCTGGAAATTTTAAAATTGCATATGTAGCTAACATATTTTTATTGGATAGCACTGCTATAAATGGGCTCCAGACCTAAATGCAAAAGGCAAAAAATATGTTAATAGGCCGGGTACAGTGGCTCACGCCTGTGATCCCAGCACTTTGGGAGGCCAAGGCGGGCAGATCACCTGAGGTCAGGAGTTCGAGACCAGCCTGGCCAATATAGTGAAACCCCATCTCTACTAAAAATACAAAAATTAGCCGGGCGTGGTGGCACGCACCTGTAGTCCCAGCTACTCGGGAGGCTGAGGCAGGAGAATGGCCTGAACCTGGGAGGGGGAGGCGGAGGTTGCAGTGAGACCAGATCACACCACTGCACTCCAGCCTGGACAAGAGTGAAACTCCATCCCCCCAAAAAACAAAAACAAAAACCTAACGTTAATAGAATAAAATGTAGGAGAATATCTTGTGACTAAGGAGGCTACAAAAGAACATCTTATACAAAAGTTCAAAAGCAGGCCAGGTGCAGTGGCTCACCTGTAATCCCAGCACTTTGGGAGGCGAGATGGGAGGATCACTGGAGCTCAGAAGTTCAAGACCAGCCTGGGCAACACAGTGAAACTCTATCTCTACAAAAAAAATTTCTTAAATTAGCCAGGCATGGTGGCATGCACCTGTAGTCCCACCTACTTGGGAGGCTGAGATGGAAGGATTGCTTGAGCTTGGGGGGTTGAGGCTGCAGTGAGCCATGATCACACCACTGCACTCTAGCCTGGGCAACAGGCTGTCTCAAAAAAAAAAAAAAAATTCAAAAGCACAGCTTTAAGATAAAAATTAATTTCATTGCACAAGAAATAAGGATTTCTGTTCAATGAAGGACACCATGGACAGAGTTAATAATTAGTGGAATGAGAGATGGTATTTGAGACCAATAAGAGATTAGAATATATGAAAAAGCCTTACAAATCAACAACAAAAAAGGAGCCTACAACCTGAAAAGAAAGATGGGCAAAAGATATGAACAGGAAATTTACAGAAGCATAAACTCGAAAATTCAAGAGGCCAGGTGTATTTGCCTCACACCTGTAATCCTAGTGTTTTGGGAGGCTGAAGTGGGAGGATCACTTGAGGCTAGGAGTTTGACTAGCAACATAGTGAGAACTCGTCTCTACCAAAAACAAAAAAATTAGCTGGGCATATAGTCCTAGCTACTTGGGAGGCTGAGGGCTGAGGGCTTCAGCCTCCTGAAGCAGGAGGATTATTTGAGCCCAGGAGCTAGAGGCTACAGCAAGCTATGATCGTGCCACTGCACTCCAGCCTGCATGACAAAGCAAGACCCTTTCTCAAAAAACAAGTCTGGGCACAGTGGCTCACGCCTTTAACCCCAGCAATTTGGGAGGCTAAGGTGGGTGGATCACCTAAGGTCAGGAGTTCGAGACCAGCCTGACCAATGTGAAACCCCGTCTCTACTAAAAATACAAAAATCAGCCAAGTGTGGTGACACGTGCCTGTAGTCCCAGCTACTCAGGAGGCTGAGACAGGAGAATTGCTTGAACCTGGGAGGCGGAGGTTGCAGTGAGCTGAGATCGCACCACTGCACTCCAGCTTGGGCGACAGAGCAAGACTCCGTCTAATAAAAAAAAAAAAAGGTTGTGCGTGGTGGCTTACACCTGTAATCCCAGCACTTTGGGAGGCCGAGGTGGGCGAATCACAAGGTCAGGAATTCAAGACCAGCCTGACCAATATGGTGAAACCTCGTCTCTACTAAAAATACAAAAATTAGCCGGGCGTGGTGGTGGCACACGCCTGTAATCCCAGCTACTCAGGAGGCTGAGGCAGAAGAATCGCTTGAACCCAGGAGGCAGAGGCTGCAGTGAGCCGAGATAGTACCACTGCACTCCAGCTTGAGCGACAGAGTGAGACTCCATCACACACAAAAAAAAGACAACAAGAAGGGATGCTTAAAATCATTAGTAACCAGAGAAATACAAATTAAAGCAACAATGAAATATCACTTTATATCTATTAGACTGACAAAAATTAGAAAAGCGGATAATGTCTATCACTGGCAGGGATGTAGAGATACAAGGCCCCTCATATGCTACAGGTGGAAGAGTATGCTGGTGCAGCTTTTCCAGAGAATTCAGTGCTACTTAGACAGGTGAGTTCTACGTATACTCTATGACCCAGCAATTCCACCTCTGGTTTTATATCCCCCCAAATTCTCACACAGAATTAGGGCACATACTTAAGCATGTTCACTGCAGCCTTGTTTATAATGACAGAGAGCTGGAAGCTGAGTGCCCTATGCCCAGAGATGAACAGGTACAATATGTGACTGTACACCACAGAGGACTGCGTTACTCGCTAGTTAGACATCATGCGGCGACATAGCCCTTAGTGGAAAAATAGTAAGACACAGCTATACAACTCAAAACACACCATTTACATAATGCATACAAATGTACAATGTTTAAGTCCAGATTAGAAGAAATCAACTGTAAAAAGACATTTGTAACAATCCAGGAGAAATTTGGGCATAAACATTAGATAATATTAACATAGGATAGTGCTATTTTAAATTAGCAGCACATATAAGCCGGGTGCAGTGGCTCACACCTGAATCCCAGCATTTTGTGAGACTGTGGTGGAAACATCTTGAGCCCAGAAGTTTGAGACCAGCCTGGGCAACACAGTGAGACCCCCATCTCTACAAAAAAAAAAAATTTAAATTAGCTGGATGGGGTGGCCCACACCTGTGGTCCCAGCTGCTCCAGAGGCTAAGATAGGAAGATCACTTGCGCCTGCGAGGTCGAGGCTACAGTGAGCCATAATGGTGCCACTGCACTCTAGCCTGGACAACAAAGTGACACCCTGACTCAAAAATAATAGTAATAATAGTTAAGGGCCGGGCGAGGTGGCTCACGCCTGTAATCCCAACACTTTGGGATGCCAAGGCCAGCGGATCGCTTGAGGTCGGGAGTTCGACACCAGCCTGGCCAACACGGTGAAACCCTGTCTCTACTAAAAATACAAAAATTAGCTGGGGGGTAGCGCACGCCTGTAGTCCCAGCTACTCGGGAGGCTGAGGCAGGAAAATGGCTTGAACGCAGGAGGTGGAGGTTGCAGTAAGCCGAGATCGCACCACTGCCCTCCAGCCTGGGCGACACAGTGAGACTCTGTCTTTAAAAAATTAAACAAAAAATAAAAATAAAATAAAATTGGAAGGACAGTGCCTCTTCTGAAATGGCTGAGAAACAAAAAGAACTCAGGTAAAGAACATATCCAAGTAGCTGGGGTGGAAGAGGGCAGCCTGGGGAATGTGTCCCAGATGGTATCAGAGAAGCCATTATGGAGCCACTAAAATGAGGAATGGTGGCTGACAACCTCCCTGGCGGGCTCTACTAGGAGATAAACCCAATCCATCAATCTCCATAAAAGGCTACTCTTTGCTGGAAGGTGACAGTGGGGAATCAGCCTAAACTTCTTTTTTTTTTTTTTTTGAGACCGAGTCTTGCTCTGTCACCCAGGCTGGAGTGCAGTGACGCCATCTCGGCTCACTGCAACCTCCGCCTCCCGGGTTCCAACGATTCTCCTGCCTCAGCCTCCCGAGTAGTTGGGATTACAGGCGCCCGCCACCACGCCGGGCTATTTTTTGTATTTTTAGTAGACACGGGGTTTCACCATGTTGGCCAAGCTGGTGTCGAACTCCTGAACTCGTGATCCGCCCGCCTTGGCCTCCCAAAGTGCTGGGATTATAGGCGTGAGCCGCCGCACCTGGCACGCCTAAGCTTGTTTTTACCGCCAGGAGGTGCCCTTGGACCACAGCTGAATTTTGAATGCTAGACAGTCGGGAAACTCAGTTGCCTAGACTTCCAGCTTGGTGTGTACGAGGAGACCCTGTCCCACCCAGAACTAGGGACCTCGCTGGGCCTCTCCACCAAGTATTCCTCTGGCGTGCTCACCACAGACCAGGACTGTGATGGACACACAATGAGTGAGAGAGAATCAGACCACGGATACTCACGAGCAAACAAAACATGACTAAGCGTAGCCTGGGTAGCAATGCCTCTTAGGCCTGTCCCAGTTCTGCCAGGTTATCTTTCTGCCCCTTGGTTCTCAGTTTCCGTAGCAATAAATAACACCTCTGCAATGACAAACTTTAAAATAATGTTTAAAGCGCTACAAAACAATGACTAGTTTTGCTTAAAATGTGGCGCACCTGTATTTTTGAAATGTTGCCCCAAGCTGCCACAGAAGCCGGCCAGCCCGCTACAAAAGCCCCTTTTTAGGGCCCTCGGGGAGATTCCTCTGTCATTAGCTCCCCGCCCCCCTCAAAGGGCCCAAGAGCAGGACCCATTGTGGTGAGCGACTCCCCAAGGCCTCCGCTTTTCTAGGCAGTGGTTGCGTTCAGAGCCCCTCTGACGCAGCAGTGGCGACCCTTTCCAGGGTGGTGACTGGCTGGCTGGGGCTGGGGGTGGGCTGACCTCCGCGGCGCCGCGCCACCACCAACAGGCCCCGCCCCCGTGCTGCGTGGTCATTTGTATGCAGCCTCGGGATTGGTCACTCGGCTCCCGCGAGGGGAAGGGGAGGGAAGCAGCGCGCACTCGCGCGTGCGTGAGCTGGCGCGCGAGAAAGGGCCCGGTCGCGTCCAGGCTCGAGCGGCCGTCGCCATTTTGTAAGGTTCTCTCTGACGTGGGAGCCGCCGTCGCTGCCGCCACCCGGAGGTGCGAGGGGGTCGTGTGTGTGTGATGTGGGGAGCTCGGGGGCGGGTCGGGCCGGGCCTCCGGCAGACTGCACGGCCCGGATTTGGGTTTCTCATTTTGCAGCGGGAGGTCTGGGAAGACAACGGGAGGAGGCGGGGCCGGGTCTCCGGAAGGAGGCGGGGCAGGGGTCGGGTCGAGTCTTTGTTGGGGCGAAGAAGCTGGAGGGTGGGCCGCTGGGGGCGAGGTGGTTGGTCCCCGGTTTGGGGGAAAGGGGACTTTTTTCTTTTTAGAGTATCTTGAAAGGCGCTAGTGCGCGCAGGAGAGGTACACAGATTTCCCTCCAAAACCTTGTTACCAGGCGCACTGCGATTGATGCCCCTTGCCTTTGCTTGGGCTTTTCTCTTCCCTCATTTTAAGACATGAAGCAGCTAATTCTGGTATTTCATTGCGCTCCACTTCACGGAGATGATAGACTGGGCTATGCATGCTGACCCTCGACCTCCTGTTTGCATGTCACGCATAGCTCGCACTTCTCGAGAACAAACCGCCCTTCTTCTATTGAGGAAGAATAATGAATGTCTGTACGAGGGTCTTGAAGGTGCAAGAACTTTGGAGGATTAGACGAAAATGCTGCAGTGCACCGAAATTTCCCACCACACCCCTGACTTTTGAAGTCTTGTGTTTCTCTCCCAGGCTCTTGTCAGGATGGTGAAGCTGTTCATCGGAAACCTTCCCCGGGAGGCTACAGAGCAGGAGATTCGCTCACTCTTCGAGCAGTATGGGAAGGTGCTGGAATGTGACATCATTAAGAATTACGGCTTTGTGCACATAGAAGACAAGACGGCAGCTGAGGATGCCATACGCAACCTGCACCATTACAAGCTTCATGGGGTGAACATCAACGTGGAAGCCAGCAAGAATAAGAGCAAAGCTTCAACCAAGTTACACGTGGGTAACATCAGCCCCACTTGTACCAACCAAGAGCTTCGAGCCAAGTTTGAGGAGTATGGTCCGGTCATCGAATGTGACATCGTGAAAGATTATGCCTTCGTACACATGGAGCGGGCAGAGGATGCAGTGGAGGCCATCAGGGGCCTTGACAACACAGAGTTTCAAGGTGAACTGCTCTGGGCCTGGGTAGTAGCGCCGAGTGGGGTCTAGCTCAAAACAGGCAAGAACACAAGACTATAGAACTTGCTGGGTGGTCTCTTCCATTCTGTTTTAGCTGGAAATAATAGATTATGTTTACCGCTCTTAAGCATAATTTACCCCTGGGGAAGCAAACACTTCCCCTTTTCAGGTTTGCTAAGATGTTGCTCACCGACTGCATAGAATCACAAACTGTGGGTTACTTTACCCTGCGGGATTCTTGCATTGATTCGAGTGCTGTTGGAAGTGTAATCTGCTTGGGGAAACGAGTACCTCATGAGAGAAGGGAGGATAAAGGTCCGTGGCTTACCTGCTTCTTTGGTGATGATCAGGAAGCCTTATATTTGAGGGTTTAAGTGCTTAAGATTTATATTCTTTACTGCTTTGGGTGGATACTGGTGGGAAAGAAGAAAAAAGACATCTAGAGGAAGCCCTATATTATAAATCTGGGTGGCAAGTCTGGATCTGCGGGAGTATCTTTTTGTTGATCAAAGTTGTGCAGTCTCTTCAAGCAGAGTCAAAAAAACATGCCATGGAGTGTTCTGCTCCACCTGTTCATTTCACCCTCAGAAAAGGAAATTTCTAAATATATCAGACTCAATGGGAATGATGGTCCCGCTTCTGAAGAAATTTCAGTACAAGCATCGTAGAGCATATCATACTATTTATACCGATAATAAAGGTACATATGTTGTCATTAATACCACAAGAGGTTGTCAGAAGACTCTAGAACTGTGCTAATATGGTAACCACATGCGGCTTAGTAAATTGAAATTAACAGATTAGATAAAATTTAAAATTCAGTTTTTCAAGTGTATACCAGACACGTTTCAAGCACTCAGTAGTCATGAGGCCTGTGGCTACCGTATTAATAGAGACACAGAACATTTCCATCATCATAGAACATTCTTTTGGATAGCACTGTTCTACAAGTGTTTTGTTAACAGTATCGTCTTGGACCTCATGTTCATAGCCACTTTTGTGGTTCCTAAGTCAACACCTTTTTTGCCCTGAGTGTCATTAAAGGGGTTGTTAAGAAGTACTTTTGGGTCTTCTATTAAAACTAAAAAACAAAATGAGAAAAATAATGGGAGAAGAGGAAAAGTTGACCAGAGAAGGGTAAGAAAGTTTGCATAGTGGAGATGGGTAGAGGAGCACCATCAAGTATCTCCAGCTTCAGCCAGTGATGCCTTGGCCTTTAGCTGCTCTTTAAAGCATAGGGCAAAGGTTGCAGATACTTCCTACCATTAACTAGTGTGTGACCTTGGACAAGTGTTTTAACATTTCTCTGCTTCATTTTCCTCACTAAGATTGTCCCCACTTATGGAGTTAATGATCCCTACTGTACCTCCCTCACAGGATTGTAGTGGGGCTAGAATGAAGAAATCGATGTGAAAGTGTTTTGATAGTAAAAGCTCTTTATGATGACAGGTGATTGCTCTTTGCAACCATGAGTGTTTCTATTCTGGTTAGAAAATTATTGAAAGTGTGATAGCGAAGCTTTCCTTATTGGTTTGCTTTTCTTACATTTGTTTTTCTTTTTCTTATTTTGGAATGTTGTTGCATTTTCAGCTTTTAAAAGTATCTTAATTATTTTCATTTGATGGGGGAAATCATCATGATGGACAGTGGAGACTGGGGAAGGAGGGTTTTCTCCTGACAGGTAATGAGCAAAATGTAAAAGAATGTAAAGTTGGGTACAAACTGCAGAGGTATTCTAGTAATGTCATACAGAATGCCCTTACCTTTTAAATATATTTAATACAGGCAGGGTGCGGTGCCTCACACCTGTAATCCCACCACTTTGGGAGGCCAAGGCGGGTGGATCACCTGAGGTCAGGAGTTCGAGACCAGCCTGGCCAACATGGTGAAATCCCATCTCTACTAAAAATACAAGAAAACTAGCAAGGCGTGGTAGTGTGTGCCTGTAATCCCAGCTACTCGGGAGGCTGAGACAGGAGAATCGCTTGAACCTGGGAGGTAGAGGTTGCAGTAAACCGAGATTGTGCCACTGTATTCCAGTCTGGGCAACAGCGAGACTCCTTCTCAAAAAAGAAAAAAAAAAAACCATATATATATTTAATACAACTGAATAAAAGGAAAAGGACAGGCCGGGTGCTGTGGCTCACGCCTGTAATCCCAGCACTTTGGGAGGCCAAGGCGGGGGGATCACGAGGTCAGAGATTGAGTCCATCCTGCTCAACATGGTGAAACCCCGTCTCTACTAAAAATACAAAAAAAAAATTAGCCGGCCATGGTGGCAGGCGCCTTGTAGTCCCCACTACTCGGGAAGCTGAGGCAGGAGAATAGCGTGAACCCAGGAGGCAGAGCTTGCAGTGAGCCGAGATCATGCCACTGTACTCCAGCCTGGGGGACAGAGCAAGACTCCATCTCAAAAAAAAAAAAGAAAGAAAAGAAAAAGAAAAGCTACCTGAAGTTAATAAAAAAAAAAAAAAAAGAAAAAAAAATCAGTTAATTGGGGGGAGTTGGCTTAGGATGAATATGTGTTTTAATAAGGCAGGTATAATTACTTTAGGATGTATCTGAATAATGCAGTGGATCCATAAGATTTTTAAAAACATCACTTCCTTAGAAAGTGCAAACACTAAAATGAATTGGAAAAGAAAAATCCTGTATTTGGTTTTCATGTTCTTAACTTGGCTCCTCTGGAGATAGCACTCTCCTCCTAGTTATAGAGACGTTTTTATAACTAGCTCTGGTTTTTTTTCTCCCAGATGACAAGAGCAAGCTTAGCACTGGATAGTAAGTTGTAGTTTTACAGAAAATACAGTCTGGATACCAGTTTGACACGTTTCAATTTAAGTTATTTTCAGTTGTCTACTAATGAAGGTGGCCTCTTAAAAGGGCCACTTGAGCCCGGGTGAGGTGGCTCACTCCTGTAATCCCAGCACTCTGGAAGGCCGAGGCGGGGGTGGATCACCTAAGGTCAGGAGTTCAAGACTAGCCTGGTCAACATGGTGAAACCCTGTCTCTACTAAAAATACAAAAATTAGCTAGGTATGGTGGCACACACCTGTAATCCCGGCTACTCAGGAGGCTGAGGCAGGAGAATCACTTGAACCCAGAGGCGGAGGTTGCAGTGAGTCAAGACCGTGCCACCGCACTCTAGCCTGGGCAGCAGAGCAAGACTTAGTCTCAAAAATGAACCAACAAAAAAGTGCCACTTGAACATCTTTTGAACCTTTATTTCTATATGTTAATGGCTGCCATTGAGGCTTTTTGCATTGTATGACTTCTAAAAGGAAGTAGCGGAATCTGAGTTTACTTTACTCTTTCAGGATCTGTTTCCTTTTTACAGCCAGCAGTGAACTCAACTTATTTCCTTAGACACATAGTTTGTATTGGAAGACCTAAAGAAGCTATTCCCAAATAACAATCAGGCAGCTTAATTGGGAAGAATGTGTGAGAGTTCAGGTGTCTTTTTTTTTTTTCCCTATATGTAAACAAGCATTAAGTCAGAATACTACTCTGTATTAGCTACATCCCCAGTCTTTTCTGGATCATGGCACTTGATAGGCGCTCAGAAATTAAGACCCCAAGTTTCCCACTTCTCAGCATTTTAATGCTCTTTTCTGTTACAGCTTTCAAAATAAAACACTTATAGGGCTGGTTTTCTGGAAAATGTTGGCAACAAACTTCAGTAACTTTTGGAAGTCCCAGGAAATTTTAAGCTTTTGGCCTACTTTGTCCAAGTGTAGTAGAGTAGAAGAATTAATCTTTCATTTTTCTTTGCCCTGGTTCCTTAAGGTATAATAATAGAGAGGCATAGTCTTTTTCAATTACTATAAAAACTTTAGGGTATTTAAATTTAAAGGCTAGGCTGGATGTGGTGGCTCATGCCTGTAATCCCAGCCCTTTGGGAGGCCGAGACAGGCGGATCACCTGAGGTCAGGAGTTCGAGACCAGCCTGGCCAACATGGTGAAACCTCGTCTCCACTAAAAATAGAAGAAATTAGCCAGGTGTGGTAGCGTGCGCCTGCAGTCCCAGCTACTCGGGAGGCTGAGGCAGGAGAATTGCTTGAGCCCAGGAGGCAGAAGTTGCAGTGAGCCGAGACTGCGCCACTGCACTCCAGCCTGGGCGACAGAGCAAGAATCTGTCCCCCCCCCCCAAAAAAATTAATAAAAATAAATTAAAAGGCTAATTATAACCGTTGGAAGGACTGGTTGTTTTGGTTTTTTTGTGGGTTTTTTTTTTTTTTTTTTTTTTTAGACAGTCTTGCTCTATTGCCTAGGCTGTAGTGCAGTGGCACAATCTCAGCTCACTGCAGCCTCCGCCTCCCGGGTTCAAGTGATTCTTGTGCCTCAGCTTCCCAAGTAGCTGGGACTGCAGGCATGTGCCACCATGCCCAGCTAATGTTTTGTATTTTTTTAGTAGAGAGGGGGTTTCACCATGTTGGCCAGGCTGGTCTCGAACTTCTGGCCTCAGGTGATTGGCTCACCTCAGCCTCCCAAAGTGCTGGGATTACAGATATGAGCTACCACACCCAGCTTGGAGAAACTGTTTGAAAAAATTTTTTTAAACTCGTCACCCCTATTATAGATTTTTTTAGTTCTAGGTTAAAAAATTGGGCCGGGTGCAGTGGTCACGCCTGTAATCCCAGCACTTTGAGGGGGCTGAGGCGGGTGGATCACGAAGTCAGGAGTTCAAGACTAGCCTGGCCAAGATGGTGAAACCCCATCTCTGCTAAAAATACAAAAATTGCTTTAAAACCACACCAATGGTGGCAGGTGCCTGTAATCTCAGCTACTCGGGAGGCTGAGGCAGGGAATTGCTTGAACCCGCGAGGTGGAGGTTGCAGTGAGCCGAGATTTCGCCACTGCACTCCAGCCTGGGCGACAGAGCAAAACTACGTCTCAAAAATCAAACAAACGCAACAAAAAAATTGATACCTGCATCCTTTTCACAACTACACAGAGGTAGATTTTACCACAGATAAACTTGATTTCCCACCCTCTAAATAAAAGCAGGAATGAAGATTGGATTTAGTTAAAAAACATCAAGGTAAAATTGCTGGGTTTTGTTTCTCCAAAAAATGGACCCAGAATCTATAAAAGTAAAGTGCAAATTTAATTGAATTTTTTTGTTAAAAATGTTACTTTTAGGTCTCTGGATTGGCTCCTTTTTAGACTGTCATGGTCACTCTGACTTCACAATTGGAGTATACTTTGTGTCTGTCACATAGCTTAATGTCACCATGTATATTTGAAAGCCAAGTCATTTATAATCTTTTAGTCTAAATTATAGGGAACTATGCATTTGAGATATAAATTGTGGCAGAAATCTGTGTTTCTGTTCAAAGCACAGTTAGCATTGTGGCCCCTAACATCTAACAATTAGGAGCATTTAAATCTCTGAAAACAATGGGATGGCAAAATGCTTTTAGAGATTTAGTGCCATTTTGGGTATCTGCTGACTCTATTGGTGATAGTGGATGCGGCCTGTCTCCTAGCAGTTGGAGGTATAAAGCCTGAGCACTTTTGTTTCTGCTAGAAACTGGAGTGATAGGACTCTTTGACATTGGGCAGAAGGAATTTGACTAAAGTGATATTGCCACACTAACCCGCTCCCCTCTCAGGGTCAGTGCATGGCACTGTTCTGGCTGCCGTCCTCAATAGGGCTATTTCCAACAGGATGGTGGAGCACAAGGCTTCCTCTCGCATAGCTGCATCCAGAAGAAGGTCTGTTAAAGAGAGAGCAACTTGCTGATTGCAGAGGGGGGATTTGTTCTCAGCAGTCCTTAAGAGTAATGAGAAGCCCTGTTCTTTTTATCTGTACTGACTGCGTTTTCCATTTTTTTTTTTTTTTTGAGATGGAGTCTCACACTGTTGCCCAGGCAGGATTGCAGTGGTATGATCTCCACTCACTGCAACCTCCACCTCCCAGGTTCAAGCGATTCTTCTGCCTCAGCCTCCCGTGCATTTTCTTTTGGCTACAATTTGGAAAGCACTGACTTGATCTCCAGGAGAGTCTTGTGCAACCTGGGACTAAATAATGCCAGGAATACTCCTTTTCTTTAACTGCTTTTAAAGACTTCAGATGCTTTCATCAGTAAGGGTCCATGGGTTTGGTGGTTCACAATCCCTGGGCAAAGATTGTTTTCTTCTCTTAGCTGTTCCTCAGTGCTGGTCATTTCCTGGAAGCCAAAATGGATGTGGCCCATTTGTGTGGGTTCCTAGAGGTCTCTAGGCAAATGCTGCATTTTTCTAACTAGTAGTTAATCCCTATAAAAATTGTAAGTTACATGGCAGGATGAAATGACAGTCATTTCATTACATGTCAAGACACTGTCCCTAAGAAAGCAGTACTGTTTCAAGATCTAATTCTTCTTGTTGAGAGACCTTGGTCAGGTAGCTTTCCACAGTAGCCTTGGGGGGGTCGGGGGTGGGTGGTGGGCTAAACTGAAATCTGAAAGGTCTTATAACTCCCAGAGATACTAGAGATGAAGCAGATGACAAGCCAGGTATGGTTTGTGTACCCATCATTGGAGCCTTCTGGTGACATCTGCAAAAATAGCTAGAGGAAACAAGATGGACGGACTATTGATGTGGTTTTTAAGCAGTAGTAAATACTCAGGCCTTAATCCTTAGTCAGTCAGTGAGAGATGGGCAAGATGCCGTCCAAATCTGGCTTAACTGAGGTTTTGTTGGTTGATTTTGGAAGTATTGGCAGAATTTGAATCATTACAAGTAATAACAATCTTAGTGAGAAGTGGAAACTTTTCCAATTGTTGTGTATAAGGGGAAAAAGGAAAGTTGTGGAGACAGAAACAGGAGGGAGTCTGGTCTATTCCTGGCCTAAGTAGAAAGTATTGACTGGTCTCTGAGGAATCAAATTTTCTAGCTCTCATCTGTATTAAACTTCAACTACTGGCAGGGCGCAATGGCGCATGCCTGTAATCCCAACACTTTGGGAGGCCAAGGCGGGCGGATCACCCAAGGTCGGGAGTTTGAGACCAGCCTGACCAACATGGAGAAACCCTGTCTCTACTAAAAATACAAAATTAGCCAGGCATGGCAGCGCATGCCTGTAATCCCAGCTACTCGGGAGGCTGAGGCAGGAGAATTGCTTGAATCCGGGAGGTGGAGGTTGCGGTGAGCTGAGATTGTGCCACTGCACTCCAGCCTGGGCAACAGGAGGGAAACTCCGTCTCAAAAAAAAAAACAAAAAAACTTCAACTACTTTTTAAAGGAGGTTGCTGAAATAGGGTCACAGGTGTGTGCGTCTATGTGTCTTATGACAACTAATTTACTTTCATTTGGGGAGGAGAGGAAAAAGAATGTCAAGTGAGTTAAAATAAATCTTCTTACATCTGTTCCCTCAAGGCAAAAGAATGCATGTGCAGTTGTCCACAAGCCGGCTTCGGACTGCCCCTGGTATGGGAGACCAGAGTGGCTGCTATCGGTGTGGGAAAGAAGGGCACTGGTCCAAAGAGTGCCCAGTAGATCGTACGGGTCGTGTGGCAGACTTTACTGAGCAGTATAATGAACAATATGGAGCAGTTCGAACACCTTACACCATGGGCTACGGGGAATCCATGTATTACAACGATGCATATGGAGCACTCGACTACTATAAGCGATACCGGGTCCGCTCTTATGAGGCAGTAGCAGCGGCGGCAGCGGCTTCTGCATACAACTACGCAGAGCAGACCATGTCCCATCTGCCTCAAGTCCAAAGCACAACTGTGACCAGCCACCTCAACTCTACTTCTGTTGATCCCTATGACAGACACCTATTGCCAAACTCTGGCGCTGCTGCCACTTCAGCTGCTATGGCTGCTGCTGCAGCCACCACTTCCTCCTACTATGGAAGGGACAGGAGCCCACTGCGTCGTGCTGCAGCCATGCTCCCCACAGTTGGAGAGGGCTACGGTTATGGGCCAGAGAGTGAATTATCTCAGGCTTCCGCAGCTACACGGAATTCTCTGTATGACATGGCCCGGTATGAACGGGAGCAGTATGTGGACCGAGCCCGGTACTCAGCCTTTTAAAAACTGGAGGTGAGAGATGGGTGGGAATGGTTAAAAGATTCCATTTAGTTCCCTTGAAAGAGACCCATGCTTCATAAAAGTGGCTAGAGCCACCTGTGCTCTCCGGACAGTATCCAAAAGGTGCAAATTACATGTTAGTCTTCAATATTTCTCTAGCTTAGGCCACAAGTTCCATTTGGCCTGTCAAGGTGTTAGTGTATGACTCCAACCAACTTGTTCCTTCTGAGAGAACAACAAATTCAGTTTGTTAGTGAGAACATTCTTTAATCAGTTGTAAGCATATTTGGGTTACAGAAAAACATTTGAGAGATCTAACATTTGTTATGTGCCCTCTGTATATCATCTACACGATAAGACTGAAATATTTTATTCTTTTACAGAGAAGGGAACTAAAGCTCAGAGAGGTTAAGTACTTTGCCCAAAGTCATTTGATAAATGAAAGGTAGAACCAGAATTCAAATTTGGACCTGTCTGATACCAAAACCCATACTCGCTCTACTACAGAAGTACTGTAGTGGTAAGCTGAAGGGTACAGGTTCAGGGGTTAGTAATGAATATCACAGTGAGAATTTTAACTATTACTTTAGGCTTATAGTTTGCTAATAAAATTGCTACCTGAAGGCAGAGGCAGTGGCTCACTCCTGTAATCCTAACACTGGGAGGCTGAGGCGGGAGGATCACTTGAGCCCAGGAGTTCAAGACCAGCCTAGGCAACATAGCAAGACCCTGTCTCTACAAAGAAAATTAAATTAGCAGGGTGTGATGGGGAGCACCTGTGATCCCAGCTACTCAGAATGCTGAGGTTGGAAGGATTGCTTGAGCCCAGGAGTTAAAAGAGGCTGCAGTGAGCTATGATCACACCACTGTATTCCAGCCTGGGCAACAGAGTGAGACTGTCTCTCCTTTATTTAAAAAAAAAAAAAAACCTACTTCTTGGGTCATTGTCCTTTGTCAAAGGAAACTCTTCTAATATCATACCTACATGCCAGAGGAAGTCCTATAAATTTTAAATGTTTACTTCCAAGACATTTACTTGAAAGTTGAATGTTTTGATGTTCTGTCCCATGGGGTCCTTATTGTAATCTAGACCATCTTGTTCTAGATGGGCACTTAAGCCCTGTTTCTTCATAGTCTGTTATGCTGTCATTTGGACCTGGATGCTTCCTGTTTCTTCCAGCAATTTTTGTTTGTGTTTTTTGTTGTTGAAGAGAGGAACATTTAAGGAGTTAGATAAACTGGTAATTTTCAGATGTGTAGAAAATTGCATAGGTGGTGAAAGCCAATGCCATAGGCTCTGAAATTTTACTATTTCCTACATCAGGAAATGTGTACCAAAAGTGCTAAAATGCCAAGAATAATTTTGAGTATCTAAAGATAGATAAATCTTTTCATCTGAGTGGAAATGGCATTATGACTTTATATTCTCATGGTTTTCCTTGTACCTTGAAATTGAGCATCACTTGAATTGGAGCCCCAGAAGCAAGGTTAAAGTGAGTTACTACTGAGTTTCTGGTGTTCCTAACTTATCCCTTTGGTATATATGTAGAAGATAACAAAGCAGCTGTGTACAGTGGCTTGTGCCTGTAGTCCCAACTATTCAGGAAGCTGAGGCTGGAGGATCCCTTGAGCCCAGGAGTGAGAGACTGCAGTTAGCCACTGCACTCCAGCCTGGGCAAGAGTGGCTCCTCTCTCTCTTAAAAAAAAAAAAAAAAATTAAAAAGCAAAGCCACAGCAATTTGCTCTTTTATGTGAATTGAGAAGCAAATGTTATGAACCTGTAATAAGTTGTACCCTATATGCATGTCAGCAAGACTTGAGATCTCTTGAGACCACCATGCAGCTAGTCTGTGTTTATGTGTGAAGCAAATGATCTTAAAATTTATAGTTTGCCATTAATTTTTACTTTTAATGCAGCTGGATCTAGCATGGGGTGGGACATGCTTCCGAAGTAAGCTGGTATAAATCTATCAGATAACCTGTCTCTTATGTTTCAAAGTTAAATATTAAATTCATATATTGTGGTCTTCAAAAGGTATTGCTAGGACATTTTAAAATGAATTTTGACTGCAAGCAGTGGTTGTTCAACTAACCTCTTTTTAGCGATGACTTTTAAAGAAACTTACCTTCCAGGTGTGAACCTCAAATGGACTGAATAACCCTGAGTTGGTTGCAGTCCCAGGAGCCTGATGTTAATGAGGCTGCCAGGATGAAATACTCCAGAACTGTTGGGGATCCAAATTCGGGTCTCACCCTAGCAGAACTGATCCAAGAACGTCACAACTTTTGAAGTCGATTGGCACAGATCAAGACCAAGATTTGGCCCTTTGTCTGTAATAAGTAGAGGAACTTGGTGTGAGTTAACTTTTTTTTTCCCCCAGCCATTGGTGTCTGGAGTTCCCATCATCAATAGAAGGATTAGAGAATTCTAGGAATGATTTCTTTTGATTTGGCAAGGGAGATTTGGTCAATTAGGGGAACTACTGGAACTGTGGCTCTCACTCTGTGACAGTGTGACATGTAGGTGTGTTGGAATTGGGTGAATGACTGGCTGCTCCTTGATATCCTACCCCTTGTGACCATCATTTCTGAAAGCTTGTTTACTGTGAAAGATTAAAACAAAACACATTTAGAATAGTGCAATTCGCCATATATGACATCTCAGCATCTTCTGCTTTTCCTGGACTCCAAAATTAAATTGCAGTTCTTGAAAATGTATGTATGCCCTTTGTTACAGCAACAGTAGCCTTCTGTCACAGGGGTTATCTTGCCTAAAAGATGGATAAGAAAGATGTATTTATCACCAACACATTCTTCAGCTAGATTGCATCTTGTCCTATATATATAGCCATAAGTGGATTCCTATATATAGCTATTGATAGACTCCTAGGTAATTACATGGGATATGAGTTAGATCCAGTCTGACTTGGTTTTGTTTTGTTCTTTTTTTTCCCCCCGGAATACAGGACAGGACCCAGGGCGCTTGTACGCGGAGCCAGGCTGCTCTCCAGGCATTGTGTAAGCCTCTTGTGTTGTGCTCTCTTTCAGGTAGGATAATTGCGGACTGAACCCTCGGGCTGCGGTCATATATGAGAACTTGCTCCGCGCGGTCCCCTTTGCCGGGATGTTTCCATTGCTTCATGTTTCAGTAAACAAAAGGAGTTTGTGACCAACTATGTTTTCTTTCTTAATTCTTCTAAGTTGACTTTTCTTTCCTCCTGAAACTAGTCTCTGTAGCCTTTCACTCTGTTCCTTATATTCTCAGCCTCTGAGCAGCCCTAGGTAAGGATTATGCTGGCATCCCCTTTTTCCTGTGCAGTGGAACCCCTCTTATCTTGCTTTCCCTAGGAGTTGAATCCTTCTCCCTGCCTACCTGCAGCATCTCCTTTCCCTTTAAAATGACCATGTAGTGGCAAGCAGCCTTTTACTCTTCTGTTAGCTCTGGACTCTTAACACTTAAGTTACTCTTCTGAAATTGCTAGGACCATTGGGGGTTTTGTTGTTTTGTTTGTTTTTTATGTCCGACCTGTGATCGTGGTACAGCATTAGCTGAAATTTACCCTTGTTTTACTCCACTCCTCCCTTTTTTAAAAAAATTTTTTGACAAATAAATGTTTCTAACACTTAAATATCTTTTTATGTTTGTCTTTTTATTCTCTCCCAGTTCTTAAGCTACAAAGTTCAAACTAATAGATGTCAGAAATTTAGATATAGAAGGAAGGATTTAAGCCCAGGCATGGTGGCTTACACCTGTAATCTTAGCACTTTGGGAGGTTGAGGTGGGCAGGTCACTTAAGCCCACTGAAGTTCAAGACCAGCCTGAGCAACATGTTGAAACCCTGTCTCTACCAAAAATAAAAAATCAGTTGGCCAGCTGGGCGTGATGGCTCACGCCTGTAATCCCAGCACTTTGGGAGGCCAAGGTGGGTAGATCACCTGAGGTCAGGTAGACCAGCCTGACCAATATCGTGAAACCCCATCTCTACTAAAATACAAAAATTAGCTGGGCGTGGTGGCAGGCGCCTGTAATCCCAGCTACTCAGGAGGCTGAGGCAGGAGAATCACTTGAACCCAGGAGGCAGAGGTTGCAGTTAGCCAAGATTGCACCATTGCACTCCAGCCTGGACAACAAGAGCGAAACTCCATCTCAAAAGAAACAAAAACAACAAAATTAGTTGGCCAGGCGCGATAGCTCACGCCTGTAATCTCAGCACTTTGGGAGACCGAGGCAGGCAGATCACCTGAGGTCAGGAGTTTGAGACTAGCCTGGCCAACATGGCGAAACCCTGTCCCTACTAAAAATACAAAAATTAGCCAGGCGTGGTGGCGAGTGCCTGTAGTCCCAGCACTTGGGAGGCTGAGGCAGGAGAATTGCTTGATCCCAGGAGGCAGAGGTTGCAGGGAGCCGAGATGGCACCACTGTACTCCCATCTCAAAAAAAAAAAAAAAAAAAAACAGCTGGGCATGGTGGTGCATGCCTGTAATCTCAGCTACTCAAGAGGCTGAAGTGGGAGACTCTTGAGCCCAGGAGGTTGAGGCTGCAGTGAGCTGTGATCATGCCACTGCACTCCATTCTGGGCAACAGGAGGCCCTGTCTCCAAAACAACAAAAAAGGATTTAGGTTAGTGCTGTGGCTTCAGTAATAGGTGGTAGGAAGTTAGCCAGATTCTTGAGACACTGCTAAATTTGCTACAGCTGGTGGTGAGGCTACTTTTCTCTAACCAGAGCTGCTCTTAAACCAGTTTAAAGGCTAACAGACTCAGATTAGTAGTGCTAGGAGTAAGCCCTGCATCAGAAAAAGGCTGAGCCAGATTCTCTCCAAGGACCTATCACATTAACTAAATTTGACTTCATAGTTTTCTGGCTCATATTTACAAAACAAAAAGAAAACATATATACACACACACACACACACACACACACATATACACACACATTTTTGCCTAGTTACCACCCCTCTCCAGTGTTTCTCCTTTTTTAATTTTTAAAAAACAATTAGGCCAGGCACAGTGGCTCATGCCTGTAATCCCAGCACTTTGGGAGGCCAAGGCACACGAATCACGAGGTCAGGAGATCAAGACTAAAATACAAAAAATTAGCTGGATGTGGTGGCGGGCGCCTGTAGTCCCAGCTACTCGGGAGGCTGAGGCAGGAGAATGGCGTGAACCAAGGAGGCAGAGGTTGCACTGAGCCGAGATCACGCCACTGCACTCCAGCCTGGGTGACAGAGCGAGACTCCATCTCAAAAAAATAAAAAATTAAATTCACTTATGAGCTATTAAAAGAGGTCTGTCTTCCCAAGGTGCTAATATTCTGCTAGGATTAGGCTTTGGCTAAAATATTCATACATAGTACTTTGAGCAGAAAAGCAAATCACATATTAATGATTAGCAGTGACATTTTGCAGTAAAGTATGTCTTCTAGATTATGGACATCTTATTTATCTTTGTTTAGATCCCCATAGAACACATTTAATGATGGACTCAACTCTACTTAAGCTTTATTGTACTTTATATGGAAATGTTGATGTGTAAATTCTGACTACATGTGAAATTTTACCTACAATAATAAAGCATTTACCTCACATATTTTATACTTAATCTTGACAGGTGAAGCAAAAATTTTCCCTTATTTCTTAGGGGAATGGTCTGACAATCTACAGAAGTTAACCTGTCCATCCATGCACACATTCCAACCAGTGGTGATGTACATAAGGCTCATGTTAGCGTCAGTATTCCCCAAGGAAGCAAGACTGTCTCTGTTTTACAAAAGGGAAAATAAGGCAAAGATGCTGGGATTTTCTTATGATCTGCAAGGCACTATGCAGAGCCAAGAAAAAAAATTTGCAGGTTTTGCTGGCCTCAGCAAAATCTCTGGTGGTTCTGTGCTAGGTTTCAACCAATTTAACATAGGAAGTTTAACATATACCAGGTGCGTGACTCACGCCTGTAATCCTAGCATTTTGGGAGGCTGAGGCAGGTGGATTGCCCGAGCTCAAGAGTTTGAGACCAGCCTGGGCAACATGGTGAAACCCCATCTCTACTAAAAATACAAAAAATTAGCCGGGCATGGTGGTGTGCACCTGTAATCCCAGCTACTAGGGAGGCTGAGGCACAAGAATCGCTTGAACCCAGGAGGCAGAGGTTACAGTGAGCCAAGATCACGCCAATGCACTCCAGCCTGGGCAACAGAGTGAGACTCTGTCTCAAAAAAATAAATAAATAAATAAAAGTATCTTGATTTCTATGTCATTGGCACAAGAAAAAAAATTTTCTGCAAAAGAGTTCTATATCATCACTGCCCAATAACACTCCTGGCAGTGATGGAAGTGTTCCATATCTGTGCTGTCCAATTTGTGGCTACTGTGGTTACTGAGTACCTGAAATGTGGTTTATTCCACTGAGAAACTGAGTTTTTTATTTAATTATAATTAGCTACATGTAGCTAGTGGCTACTCTATTGGACAGCAGTTTAGATAGTAAAATAAGCTGCTCATAGGTGGAGAAAAAGCCCTGCAGAATTGCATAATTTTTATTTTAGAAAACCTTTCACACCAAAAGAGTACTGTTGAGTAGGACAAATGTATTTTTTTGTTTTGAGATGGAGTCTCGCTCTGTCACTGAGGCTGGAGTGCACTGGCATGATCTCGGCTCACTGCAACCTCTGCCTCCCAGGTTCAAGCAATTCTCCTGTCTCAACCTCCCCAGTAGCTGGGATCACAGTCGCGCGCCACCACGCCTGGTGAATTTTCGTATTTTTAGTGGAGATGGGGTTTCACCATATTGGTCAGGCTGGTCTTGAACACCTGACCTCAGGTGATCCACCCACCTCGGCTTCCCAAAGTGCCGGGATTACAGGCGTGAGCCACCACACCTGGCCAATGTTTTTATTCCTAAACCTTACTTCTTATATGATAAATTGCATATTGTGAATACAAAATTCCTTTAGTTCACCAAGTTTCTCACTATAGACCATTTCAGAGTCCCATGAGGCCTCTCAACGCTAAAAGCTCCTGAATTCATTTATCAACTGTTTGAATTCCTACTATGAGCTAGGATGTGGGAACATGGTGATGAATGAGGCATATGTGGTTTCTGTAGCCTCAGATCTACCCCCTTCCTCAGGTTTCCAGCATGGCACAGAAAGACACTAGGCCCTCAGGGCACTCAAGGTGCTGTTAGAAACTTGTCCTAAGGGCAGAAAAAGGTTGGCTGCCTGCAAGATGGACCAGAAAAGGGAAGCAACTTGCCCCAGATTGGTTTCATAGCTTGTCAGGATTTTGCTTACAAACCTGGTCCTCAGGAAGTCACCTGGCCTAGGAGATTTGGGAAAAGGAAGGAGGGGAGAAATAAATATTCCTGGGAAGAGCTGTCAGTTTGTTGGAAGATCAATCTCGGCTTTCTTCAGACCAGAGCTAGGCTCTGCCGCTGAGGAGAAATGAAATGCAAGAAATGATAGAATCAGCTCCAGGAACTTGCAGGAGAAGAATGAAAAATCTGACGAGATGAATTCAATCTGAAGTGCCTTAGGTTTGCAGGGCCTTTGAGAATCCAGGCCAAATTCAAACCGTGTATCTGTCACCCCTGCAAATCCACAAGAACCCAATGAGGTAGCATCACTGGCTCTCCCAGCAATTAAGGCTACTGAGATTTAGAAAGTTTAGGCCGGGCACGGCTGAGCGCAGTGGCTCACGCCTGTAATCCCAGCACTTTGGGAGGCCGAGTCGGGTGGATCACGAGGTCAGGAGATCGAGACCATCCTGGCTAACATGGTGAAACCCTGCCTCTACTAAAAATACAAAAAAAATTAGCCAGGTATGGTGGCACATGCCTGTAGTCCCAGCTACTCGGGAGGCTGAGGCAGAAGAATGGCGTGAACCCGGGAGGCAGAGCTTGCAGTGAGCTGAGATCGCACCACTGCACTCCAGCCTGGGCGACAGAGCAAGACTCCATCTCAAATTAAAAAAAAAAAAAAAAAGTTTAGGTCGGGTGCAGTGGCCTACCTACACCTGTAATCCCAGCACTTTGGGAGCCGAGGTAGAAGGATCACCTGAGGTCTGGAGTTTGAGACCAGCCAGGACAACATGGCGAAACCCTGTCTCTACTAAAACTACAAAAAAATTAGGCAGAAGCCTGTAATTCCAGCTATTCAGTAGGCTGAAGTAGGAGAATCACTTGAACCCAGGAGGCAAAGGTTGTAGTGAGCCAAGATCGTGCCACTGCACTCCAGCCTGGTTGCAGAGCAAGACTCTGTCTCAAAAAAAAAAAAAAAAAAAGAGAGACTCCCATCTCAAAAAAAAAGAAATTGTGATAAGTACCACAAATTACACAAAATGGGTCCAATGGCAGGGAATAATGGGAGGACATATCTACTAAGCTACAGGTGGTTTGGGAGGGCATTCCAATACTTGATCCTGAAGCTAAGACCTGAAGTTAAGTTAGCTCTAAAGCAGTAAAGAGAAAGGTCCCTTCAGATTTAAAAAAAAAAAAAAAAAAAAGGCCCTGAGGCAGGAAAGAGCTCAGTGTATACAAGGATCTGAAAGGAGAGTCAGTATGGTCAGAAAAGGATAGATAAGCAGGGAAAAGGGCCTGAGATAATAAAGTGTGACAGAGGAAAGGCACGTTCAAACTAAGGGATTGGGCATTTTACTTTAGATAAAAGGGGAAGTTGCTGAAAGGTTCTAAGTAACGAAAGAAACATCTGATTTACATACATTTCACAAGAACATTCTGGCTATTAAATGGAGAATACTTTGAAGACCCAAGGGTAAGAAAAAGATGGACCTGGAGGTCACTGTAGTCATCTTGGTGGGAGAGGATAGCATGGTCTAGACTATGGCTGTGGCAAAGACATGGAGAAAAGAGGCAACATGTGATATAAACATGATCAAGAGCTGCTAATGGTTGGGGAGGGCGTAAGAATGACTACCAGCAATCTGGCTGAAAGAGAGAATGGGATAAGGAAGACTGAAGGAGAAATGATTTTAGAGTGGGGAGTCTCAGGAGCTCTATCTCAGATATACCAAGTTTGAGGTGTATTAAGACAACCAGCCAGGTGCAGTAGCTCATGCCTGTAATCCCAGCAAGTTGGGAGGCCAAGGCGGGCAGAACCCGAGGTCGGTAGTTCGAGACCAGCCTGGCCAATATGGTGAAATCCCGTCTCTAAATTTTGTATCTAAAGATACAAAAATTAGCCAGGTGTAGTGGCACGTGCCTGTAGTCCTAGCTACTCAGGAGACTGAGGCAGAAGAATCACTTGAATCCGGGGGGCGGAGCTTGCAGTGAGCCGAGATCGCGCCACTGCACTACAGCCTGGGCAACAGAGTGAGACTCCATCTCAAAAAAAAAAAAAAAAAAAAAAAAAGAACCAAGAAGAAATGTCAGCTAGGTGTCCAGATCCCTGAATCTTGAGCACAGAAGAGAGGTTTCAAACTGGAGATATCAAGAGTCTTTAGCACCTGGATCAGTGTTACATAACAGAAATACAATGTGAGCCACAAATGCAAACCACATAGGGAACTGAAACAGGTGAAATTAAATTGTATTAATTTTATTTTCCCCAGATAGTCTGGTGGTTAGGAAAAAAAAAAATTTTAATGTATTTTTACCCAATATGTGCAAAAAAATGACCATTTCAACATATAATGAGCATTAAAAACTGAATATATATATATATATATTTTTTTTTTTTGAGAGACACTCTTGCTCTGTTGCCCAGGCTAGAGTGCCGTGGCCCAATCTTGGCTCAATAGAACCTCCGCCTCCCAGGTACAAGCAATTCTCCTGTCTCAGCCTCCCAAGAAGCTGGGACTACAGGCACGTGCCACCACGCCTGGCTAAGTTTTGTATTTTTAGTAGAGATGGGGTTTCACCACCTTGGCCAGGCTGGTCTCAAACTCCTGACATCAAGTGATCTGCCCACCTTGGCCTCCCAAAGTGCTGGGATTACAGGCGTGAGCCACTGCGCCTGGCTTATATTAATTTTTTAAATCCCATAGGTATTTGGTACTCGCAGCACTGTATATGTCTCTGGCTACCACACTGAACAGCACAACTCCATATGGTATACAAAGCCAAAGCAATGAATGAAGTCTTGAAGAGGATTTCAAACTTGGCACTAGTGATAACTGGGAAAGGTGCCCCTCCTGTGCATTGGAGGATGTTTAGCCACATCCCTGGCGGGAGAAACCCCCTAAATTGTGACAATTAACAATGATTTCAGGGAATCTCTGAGCCTATTCTAGTTGCCCATTTAAAACAAAACGAAAAAAAAAAAAAAAAAAAAAAAAAGGTCAGACTAGGCCAGGCACAGTGGCTCACGCCTGTAATCCCAGCATTTTGGGAGGCCGAGGCAGGCGGATTACCTGAGGTCGGGAGTTCAAAACCAACCTGACCACCACGGAGAAACCCCATCTCTACTAAAAATACAAAATTAGACGGGCGTGGTGGTGCATGCCTGTAATCCCAGCTACTAGGGAGGCTGAGGCAGCAGAATCGCTTGAATCCAGGAGGCAGAGGTTGCACTGAGCCGAGATCGTGCCGTTGCACTCCAGCAGCCTGGGCAACAAGAGCAAAACTCCATCTCAAAAAAAAAAAATTTTAAAAAAGGGTCAGACTAGGTGGCTCACGCCTGTAATCCCAGCACTTTGGGAGGCTGAGGCAGGCAAATGGCTAGAGCTCAGGAGTTCAAGACCAGCCTGGGCAACATGGCAAAACCACAACTACAAAATACAGAAATTAGTTGGGCATGCTGGCATGCGCCAGTGGTCCCAGCTACTCGGGAGGCTGAGGTGAGAGAATTGCTTGAGCCCGGGAGGAGGTGGAGGTTGAACACGGCACTCCAGCCTGGGTGACATAGGAAGACCCTGTCTCAAAAAAAAGGTGGGGGAGGGGGCAGGCGAGGTGGCTCATGCCTATAATTTTTTTTTTTTTTTTTTTTTTTTTTGAGATGGAATCTTGCTCTGTCGCCCAGGCTAGAGTGCAGTGGCGCTATCTCATCTCACTGCACCCTCCACCTCCCGGGTTCAAGTGATTCTTCTGCCTCAGCCTCCCAAGTAGCTGGGACTACAGGTGCGCACCACGACAACTGGCTAATATTTTACATTTTTAGTAGAGACGGGGTTTCATCATGTCGGCCAGGCTGCTCTCGAGCTCCTGACCTCAAGTGATCCACCCCCTCGGCCTCCCAAAGTGCCGGGATTACAGGTGTGAGCCACCGCGCCCGGCCTAATCTTAGTAGTCTGGAAGGCTGAGACAAGAGTATAGCTTGAGCCAGGAGTTCCTAACCAGCCTGGGCAACATAGGGAGACCCCATCTCTACCAAAAGATAAAAATAAAAAATAAATTAGCCAGGTGCAATGGTGCATACCTCTGTAGTTCCAGCTACTTGGAAGGTTGAGATGGGAAGACCGCTTCAGCTCAGAAGGTTGAGGCTGCATTGAGCCATACTCATACCACTGTACTCCAGCCTAGGCAACAGAGCAAGACCGCACCTAAAAAAAAAAAAAAAAAAAAAAAAAGACTAAAAAATTGATCAGGGGCTGAGGATTAACTACAAAGGGGCACAAGGGCTTTTTGGCTGACAAAAATGTTCTGTATTTTGATTGCAACAATGGGAACAAGATTGTAACCATCAGTTACCAAAATTACCAGTACATTGTCAAACTGGGCATGGTGGCTCACGACTGTGCCTATAATCCCAGCACTTTGGGCGGCCAAGGTGGTGGATCACCTAAGGTCAGGAGTTCAAGACCAGCCTGGCCAACATGGTGAAACTCCGTCTCTGCTAAAAATATAAAAATTAGCTGGACATGGTGGCATGCATCTATAATCCCAGTTACTCAAAAGGCTGAGGCACAAAAATCGCTTGAACCCGGGAGGTGGAGATTGCAGTGAACCGAGATCATGTCACTGCACTCCAGCCTGGGCAATAGAGTGAGACACCATCTTTTTAAAAAACAAAACAAAAGGCCCCCCAAAAAAGTACATTGTCACAATGTGTCAAATTGTTTTCAAAATTGGTATATTTTATTGTTTGAAAATAATACTTCAGGCCGGGCATAGTGGCTCATGCCTGTAACCTCAGCATTTTGGGAGGCCAAGGTGAGCAGATCAACTGAGGCTGGGAGTTCGAGACCAGTCTGACTGACATGGAGAATCCCCGTCTCTACTAAAAAAATAGAAAATTAGGCCAGGCACGGTGGCTCACACCTGTAATCCCAGCACTTTGGGAGGCCGAGGCGGGTGGATCACAAGGTCATGAGATCGAGACCATCCTGGCCAACACAGTGAAACCCTGTCTCTACTAAAAATACAAAAACAAAATTAGCCAGGCGTGGTGGCAGGTGCCTGTAGTCCCAGCTACTTCAGAGGCTGAGGTGGGAGAATGGCGTGAACCCAGGAGGTAGAGCTTGCAGTGAGCTGAGATTGTGCCACTGCACTCCAGCCTGGGTGACAGAGCGAGACTCCGCCTAAAAAAAAAAATACAAAATTAGCCGGGCATGGTGGCGGGCACCTGTAATCCCAGCTACTCAGGAGGCTGAGGAAGGAGAATCACTCGAACCCGCGAGGCGGAGGTTGTGGTGAGCTGAGATTGCACCATTGCACTCCAGCCTGGGCAACAAAAGCAAAACTCCATCTAAAAAAAAAAAGAATACTTCAGGGCCGTCTCTTCCTGGTTCTTCCCAGAGTCAGGAAAAACTGGGTTGAAAGGGTGTTTAAAAAAAAAACTCAGAAAAGCTGATTTTTTAAAAAAGTAATCACATTATGACACTGCTTAAAAACCTACAAGACTAGTTGACTCAGAGTGAAGGCCAGAAAGGCCCTAGAAGATTAACTACTAGATCTGCTAACTACCTGACCTCTTCTGCTCCTCTCTCCTCCCACTCACTCTTTTGCCACTGGCCTCCTTACTGTTAGAACACTCCCACCTTAAGACCCTTGCTCAAGATATTCTCTCTACCTGGCGTACTTTTCCCCCAGATACCTGTTGCTAACTTACATCTAATTCAACTCATTGCTCAAATCTCACTTTTTTAAAAGAGGCCCAGGCCGGGTGCAATGGCTCATTCCTATAATCCCAGCACTTTGGGAGGCCGAGGTGAGAATCGCTTGAGCCCAGGAGTTCAAGAGCACCGTAGGCAACATAGCGAAACCCTGTATCTACAAGAAATACGAGTGGGATGTAGTGGCATGCCTGTAGTCTCAGCTACTCGGGAGGCTGGGGTAGGAGGACCAACTGAGACTGGGAGGTGGAGGTTGCAGTGAGCCAAGATCACCCCACTGCACTGCAGTCTGGGTGACAGAGTGAGACCCTGTCTCAAAAAAAAAAAAAGAAAAGAAGTGCCGAGTGCAGTGGCTCATGCCTGTAATCTCAACACTTTGGGAGGCCAAAGCGGGTGGATCACCTGAAGTCAGGAGTTCGAAACCAGCAGGGCCAACATGGTGAAACACCATCCCTACTAAAAATACAAAAATTAGCCAGGCGTGGTGGTGCATGCCTGTAATCCCAGCTACTGAGGATGCTGAGGCAGGAGAATCGCTTGAACCTAGGAGGCAGAGGTTGCAGTGAGCCGAGATCATGCCACTGCACTCCAGCCTGGGCAACAAGAGCAAAACTCCATCTCAAAAAAAAAATTTAGCTGGGCGTGGTGGTATGCGCCTGTAATCCTAGCTACTCAGGAGGCTGAGGGAGAAGAATCACTTGAACCTGGGAGGCGGACGTTGTAGTGAGCCGAAATGGCGCCACTGGACTCCAGCCTGGGCGACGTAGGGAGACTCCATCTCAAAAAATAAAAAGAAATTATCTGTAGGCTGGGCACAGTGGCTCACACCTGTAATCCCACCACTTTGGTAGGCTGAGGCAGGATGATCACTTAAGCGCAGGAGTTCAAGACTAGGCTGGGCAAAATGGGAAAACCTTGCCTCTAAAAAAAAAAAAAAAACAAAATTAATCAAAACTGAGCTGGGCGTGGTGGTGCGTGCCTGTAGTCCCAGCTACCCAGGAGGCTGAGGCGAGAGGATAGCTTCAGCCTGGGAGATCAAGATTGCAGTCAGACATGTTTGCACCACAGCACTCCAGCCTAGAGGACAAAGTGAGACCTTGTCTCAAAAATAAAAAAAATTTTTTTTTTGAGATGGAGTCTCACTCTGTCACCCAGGCCGGACTGCAGTGGCACTATCTCGACTCGCTGCAAGCTCTGCCTCCCGGGTTCACGCCATTCTCCTGTCTCAGCCTCCCGAATAGCTGGGACTACAGGCGCCCGCCACCACGCCCAGCTAATTTTTTTTTTTGTATTTTTAGTAGAGACAGGGTTTCACCATGTTAGCCAGGATGGTCTCGATTTCCTGACCTCATGATCCGCCCGCCTCAGCCTCCCAAAGTGCTGGGATTACAGGTGTGAGCCACCACGCCCGGCCAAAAATAAAATTCTTCTAATAGTAGGATTTGGTGGCATATGCCTGTAGTCCTAAGTACTTGGGAGGCTGAGACGGGAGGATCATTTGGGCCTGCGAGCTACGGCTGCAGTGAGATAGATAACACCATGGCACTCTAGCCTGGATGACAGAGCAAGACCTTGTCTCTAAAATAAGTAATATTTTTAGAGAGGGTCTTGCTGTTGTCCATGCTGGACTTGAACTCCTGGGCTGCTCAAGCGATCCTTGCACCTCGGCCTTCCAAGTACCTGAGACTACAGGTGCATGCCATTGTGCCCTGCTTATTTTTTGCCTTTTTAATTGAGGCATATATTCAAAGTGTGAGTCCCTATCCTGGGCGACAGAGCAGGACTCTGTCTCAGAAAAAAAAAAGAAAAAAAAAAAGAGAAAAAAGAAAACCCATGTATAATTTTTGACTTCCCAAAACTTAGTAGCCTGCTGTTGACTGGAAGCCTTACAGGTCATATGTCAATTAACATATTTTGTGTGTTATATGTATACTGTATTCTTACAATAAAAGCTAAAGAAAAGGTTGGGCGCGGTGGGTCACACCTGTAATCCCAACACTTTGGGAGGCCAAGGCAGGTGGATCACCTGAGGTCAAGAGTTCGAGAACAGCCTCACCAATATGGTGAAACCCTGTCTCTACTAAAAATACAAAAGTAAGCTGGGCGTGGTGGCATGTGCCTATAGTCCCAGCTACTCGGAAGGCTGAGACAGGAGATTTGCTTGGACCCAAGAAGCAGAGGTTGCAGTGAGCCGAGATCGCATCACTGCACTCCAGCCTGGGTGACAAAGCAAGACTCCCTCTCAAAAAAAAAAAAAAAAATCATTAAGTAGAAGTGAATCATCATAAAGGTGTTCATCCTGATAGTATTCATGTTGAGTAGGCTGAGGAAAAGTAGGAGGAGGGGTTGGTCTGGCTGTCTCAGGGGCGGCAGAGGCAGAAGAAAATCCATGTATTAGTGAACCTGCACAGTTCAAACCCTTGTTGTTCAATGGTCAACTGTACAAAGGAAGCCCCAAACTCAGTTTGGTGTCAATCTTCCTTACGTTGTGAAACTGAGAAGTCCCATCTTGTTGCATATCTGAATACAAACAATTCTGATGTTGGACAGAGGAACTCAAACCAGCAGGCACACACAACCCTCAATGGAACCACCAGCTCCCAGTGGACAGAGTACTCAGCCTCCCTGTTAGTTGTGACAACTTAAGACAAAAATGAGAGCAGTAATACAATGCTCAATTCACTCATCACTAGCTACGTACTTTCTCCTTTGGTGTCTTGTCTCCTTAAGGGACAGGAAGCACCATCCCTGTTTTGGTGGGGGTGCGGGTGGGGTTGTATGTTTCAGACAGGTCAGGTCTCACTAGGTTGGCCAGGCTGGCCTTGGAACTCCTGTGCTCAATCTTTGCACCTCAGCCTCTGTAGTAGCTGAGACTACGACATGCGCCACCACGCCCGAAACCAACCCAATTTTGTATCTGAAGGGTGCTATTTACCTGCCATAAAGTAACACGAGTCCCTATTCCTGTCAGATTTGCATCTCATGAGAAGCTGGAAGGTTCACTCATGTTAAGCCATCATAATCTGGCTTGACAAAATAGAGTTCTTAGCATGACACAACTTAATAATGCAAGAACATGGTTTAACAAAGCAAATATTAAGGCTTCAAAAAGTCCCCTGGCCCCACCTTCCCCAGAACCCAACTGCTTTTGCCATTTTAGCTGTTTTTTACCTTTATTTCTGAATAAGATGTTCATAATCCATTTGCCACTTTTAAAAATTTCCTCATTTCAGCCAGGTGTGGTGGCTCACGCCTGTAATCCCAGCGCTTTGGGAGGCCAAGGCAGGCGGATCAAGAGGTCAGGAGATCGAGACCATCCTGGTTAACACGGTGAAACCCCGTCTCTACTAAAAATACAAAAAAATTAGCCGGGCGTGGTGGAGGGTGCCTGTAGTCCCAGCTACTTGGGAGGCTGAGGCAGGAGAATGGTGTGAACCCGGGAGGCAGAGGTTGCAGTGAGCCGAGACTGCACCACTGCGCTCCAGCCTGGGTGACCAAAAAAAAAAAATTTTTTCATTTCTATGAGTTTTGCTCTTATACGTATTACCCACCCATCGCCACTTCATCAGATTATTATTTTAATATTCAGAGCTGCTACGATCATAACTAGGTAAATATCACACACAGTTGAATCTTGCTATAGTTTTGAGTGTTTATGTCCCCCCAAAATTCATGTTAAAATCTGAATCCCCATAGTGAAAGTATTAGGTACACTTTTGAGAGGTGATTATGCCATAGAACAGAGCCCTCATCAATGGGATTTGTGCCCTTATATAAAAGAAACTCCAGAGAAATCCCTCACCCTTCCTGCCTTGCAAACTCAAGACAGAATCCAGACACCACGTCTGCCACGGCCTTGATCTCAGCTTTCCCAGCCTCCGAAACTGTGAGAAATAAAATTCTGTTGTGTATAAGCCATCCAGTCTTACGGTCTTTTGTTACAGCACCTCAAACGGACTAAAAAAATCCTCCTGTTGGCGGGGCATGGTGGCTCACGCCTGTAATCCCAGCACTTTGGGAGGCCGAGGCAGGCGGATCAAGAGGTCAGGAGATCGAGACCATCCTGGCTAACACGGTGAAACCCTGTCTCTACTAAAAATACAAAAAAATTAGCCAGGTGTGGTGGCGGGCGCCTGTAGTCCCAGTTACTCTGGATGGTGAGGCAGGAGAATGGCGTGAACCCGGGAGGTGGAGCATGCAGTGAGCCGAGATAGTGCCACTGCACTCCAACCTGGGTGACAGAGCAAGACTCCGCCTCAAAAAAAAAAAAAAAAGTACTTTCTCTTGCTACAACCTGGACTACTGTTCTCCAAATCCACTGCAGAAAGGGAGTCCTGGGACTTCCCATCACCATCATCCTGGGAATTTCCTTTACCTCAGAATGAGATCATGTGTAAGAACACACAAGTACTGAGAGCAAACTGACCTGGGTAATTTGAAACAGCACTTAATACTAGTGCCAATGATCAATGATCTCACTCTCACTACTCCATCCCCCCCCGAGTCTACTTTAGTACTGATGTGTAGCTCTAGGGTAAGGAGCCTGGTTTAATTTAGCATTCACCCAAAACAACCCCAATTTTGAGGATGCCTGGGAAACTTTTGAGACAGGATCCCACTGTCACCCAGGATGGAGTCCAGTGATGCCATCTCTGCTCACTGCAACATCCGCCCCTGGCATCAAGCAATCCTCCCATCTCAGCCTCCTGAGTAGCATGACCGGCTCATTTTTAAATTTATTATTATTATTTTACTTATTTTGAGACGGAGTCTAGCTCTGTTGCCCCGGCTGGAGTGCAGTGGCGCAATCTCAGCTCACTGCAAGCTCCACCTCCCGGGTTCATGCCATTCTCCTGCCTCAGCCTCCCAAGTAGCTGGGACTACAGGTGCCCACCACCACGCCCGGCTAACTTTTTATATTTTTAGTAGAGATGGAGTTTCACCTTGTTAGCCAGGATGGTCTTGATCTCCTGACCTCGTGATCCGCCCACCTCGGCCTCCCAAAGCGCTGGGAATACAGGCGTGGGCCACCGCGCCTGGCCTATTATTATTAAGACAGACTTTCACTCTCGTTGCCCAGGCTGGAGTTCAATGGCGCAATCTCAGCTCACTGCAACCTCCTCCTCCCAGCTTCAAGCAATTCTTCTGCCTCAGCCTCCCAAGCAGATGGGATTACAGGTGCCCACCACCATGCCCGGCTAATTTTTTGTGTTTTTAGTAGAGATGGGGTTTCCCCATGTTTGACAGGCTGGTCTTGAACTCCCGACCTCAGGTGATCTGCCTGCCTTGGCCTCCCAAAGTGCTGGGATTACAGGCGTTGAGCCACCACGCCTGGCTGGAAAACTTTAAAGGCAAAGTTAACAGGGTTAACATCAAGTTAAATTCCAAGATCACCCTGAAAACTGCCCTCACAGGTCCTTTGACCCATGCAGAATCAGGCCGAGGCACATGTCATCAATACAAAATAGTATGACCATTCCCACCCCGAACTGACTTCCAAGGACATACCAGTTATTTGTACACCCAAGGCCCAGACAAGCAGCAGCTTGTGGAGGCACAGTGAGGACAGGCACAATGCCCTATTCATCTTTGTATTCGCCACATGGTAACCTAATTGCAGGTAATCAGGGAGTACCTAGCGAAATACAAAGCCAGCTAGACATTTACTAGACAGAATGAACAGTGAAATGCTATGGGGGAAAAAAATCAGTTTATTAAAGCATTACTCTTGAAAAACTACATTTTGACCAGACGCAGTGGCTCACATATAGTCCCTGCAAAAACTCTGGGAGGCCAAGGCGGGAGGATCCCTTGAGCTCAGGAGTTCAAAGTTACAGTGAGCTACAATCATGCCACCACACTGCAGCTTGGGTGACAGAGCTGGATGTCTAAAAAACAAAAAGCAAGAAAAAGTACTTTATTATTCCTAAGGAGTGGCAGCATAACCTTGTCAATTACACAGAGCCAACTATGTGGCTTCCACTCAAAGATACACTTGATTGGAAGCATAAAAACAACTTCATAATACATTGATGTTGAAAATCAGTGAGTTATAGTCAATCTTTTCAAATCACCTCTTAAAAATAATTCGTCTTGCTCTGTCACCTAGGCTGGAGTACAGTGACACAATCAGCTCACCACAGCTTGAAACTCTTGGGCTCAAACTATCCTCCCGCTTCAGCCTCTTAGTAGCTGGAACTTCAGCTGCGTATCACCACAAAGAGCTAACTTTAAAATTGTCTTAGAAATGGGATCCTACTATGTTGCCTAGGCTGCCATTGTTCTTGATAGAGTTTTTCCTCTCAACAAGTCAATAAATAGCTTAAGGCTGGGTGTGATGGCTCATGCCTGTAATTCCAGCAATTTAGGAGGCAGGCGGATCACTTGAGTCCAGGAGTTTGAGACCAGCTTGGCCATGGTGAAACTCCATCTCTACTAAAAATACAAAAATTAGCCAGGTGTGGTGGCAGGCGCCTGTAATCCCAGCTACGCAGGAGGCTGAGGCAGGAGAATCACTTGAACACGGGAGGCAGAGGCTGCGGTGAGCCAGATCATGCCACTGCACTCCAGTCTGGGCAACAGAGAGACTCTGTCTCAAAAAACAAAAACAAAAACAAAAGCAATAAATGGTTTAAAAAAGAGAAAATGCAAAAGCATCTAGTATGAATATAGCATTAAACCAGGCCAGATTCTGAGTCATGAAAAAACTACTCTTACATTGTCTGTTACAGGGAGATCAGGATCTCAAAGCAGAAAGCAAAAATGACTTGCTCTAATAGAATCAAGAAATTAAAAAAAAAATTTTTTTTTTGAGAGAAGTCTTGCCCTTGTCCCCCAGGCTTGAGTGCAATGGCTCCATCTCAGCTTACTGCAACCTCCACCTCCCGGGTTCCAAGGATTCTCCTGCCTCTGCCTCCCAAATAGCCACAATTAAGGCGCCTGCCACCATGCCCGGCTAACTTATATTTTTCAGTAGAGATGGGGTTTCACCAAGTTGGCCAGGCTGGTCTCGAACTCCTGATCTCAGATGCTCCACCTGCCTCAGCCTCCCAAAGTGCTGGGATTACAGGTGTGAGCCACCGCGCCTGGCAAAAAGTTTTTGAGACAAATTCTTTTTTGAGACACCCAGGCTGTAGTGCAGTGGCCTGATCTTAGCTCACTGCAGCCTTGACTTTCTGGGTTCAAGTGATCCTCCCACCTCAGCCCTCTGGAGTAGCTGGGACCACAAATGCGCACCACTATGCCCAGCTAATTTTTTAATTTTTTGCAGAGACAGGGTTTCACCATGTTGCCCAGGCTGGTCTTGAACTCCTGAGCTCAAACAACCTGCTTGCCTCAGCCTCCAAAAGTGCTGGGATTACTGGCGTTGAGTCACTGCACCTGGCCAAGGACTTAAAATTTTATTTTATAAAATAATTTTTTGAGGAGTTTTGCTCATTGCCCAGGCTGGAGTGCAGTGGCGCAATCTTGGCTCACTGCAACCTCTGCCTCCTGGGTTCAAGCGATTCTCCTGCCTCAGCCTCCTGAGTAGCCGGGATTACAGGTGCGTGCCACCACACCCAGCTAATTTTTTGTATTTTTAGTAGAGACAGGGTTTTTCACCATGTTGGTCAGGATGGTCACGAACTCCTGACCTCGTGATCCACCCACCGTGGCCTCCCAAAGCGCTGAGATTACAGGCGTGAGCCACCATGACTGGCCGGAGTTAAAATTTTAACTAGTTTTGTAATGCAAAAATATATCATATCCATGTTTATCATGTCACTTCTGAAAATCCTTCACTGACCATCCCCATCTAAACAGAATTCTCTACTTGACATTTCTGCATTTTCTGCTCCCTCAGAATAGAAGCTCCAGAACCGTATGTATCGCCAACACTTAAAACACCACCTTCCAGAGTATCACTCAATAAAATATTTGTTGAATCAATGAATACTGTTAGTCTCCAATGTTTGAAATTTGCCAACCCTACCCATCAGATCAAAGGGTATACTGACAAGAGTAAAAATGGCGTTCAGTGGTGGGTCTGTCCTTTAGAGAAAAAGAAACCAAAGTTAGGTATGTACGACCCTCCAAGAGAAATGGCAGAGAACCAACCCAGCCAGGAAGGAAAAACTAAAGGAAAAACATTTGCTGGGAAGATTAAATGAGAACACGAAACACCCAGCACAGGCTTCACGTACAAAAATATTCAATAAATTACATGTTGTATAGAGCTGTTCAAATCTTGGTCATCTATGATTAGAAAGAATCTAACAGGAGGAAACAATTAATTTAAAAAAAAAATCTGAGAAACTATCGAAGTAAAGACCAGCTTCTTTATCTCCCCATCATCATAACCCAACTTCCCTGAAAGGGTAATGCCTGGCATACAGTAGGTGCTCAGTATTTGTTGAATGATTCTGAGAAATGCTCTGACACAGTCCTGTATCTGTAGAAACTGGAGCAAGAAGGTACAGACCAAACATATGGAAGACAAATAACTGTTTCAAGAAAAACGTGAGGCTGAGGCGGCAGTTCTTGCACTCAGCCCCATCATTCAACAAGGTATCTAAAGCCTCATATGTTGGGTCATTTCTCCATGCCTATGATTTAAAGGCTGTAAACCCAAGTAATGAGGTGCTAGTGGGACCATTCAGGCATTCTTTGGATTTTGGCAGAGCTAAACAAATAGATGGTGAAAGGCATCAACACATGTCACTGGCCTAGTTAGCAAAGTACTCTTGGAGCCACAGCTTCATTTTTTCACATGGCACGAAGAGCGAAAACTGACTTCCTCTTCCCCTAAACCCCTCCTTTTCCCTGGAAATTAAGTTAAGCTAGATACACTGACTGGGTGATTGGAATGGTAGTCTTAAGGGAAGGTGGTGACTGTTTCTCTAGAAGAGAAGACCTACATCTGTAAACTAAAAGTAGTTGGTTTTATAACAAAGGTGGACCAGTGGGAAAAGTCTTCATTGGAATAAGGCTGCCTGCCTGGGCTTCTGTATAACCTCCTTCCTCTGGCACCTACAAGTCCTACTTACAATAAACAAAATAACTACAGTGACGTTCACCCAAAGCTGAGTGTCTTAAAACTTTATACCCTCCCCTTCAAGGTACAAATGAACCCCCAAACAAGCCCAAGCAAGAAGTCTCGCAAAGCACACATACCCTAAGTTGAAAAACCATTTATTTCACCGGAAAGAAAAAAAGTGATCCAACTCTATAGGTCTAGCCTTTGGACCAAAAAGAGACCCTGGAGCAGTGAGACTCTCACCAAGGTCATTCCCAAATCCAACAGCCGCAGGAGGCAGGAGGCAGGGAGGAGACAGCACAGCCCCCACCACAGTTTCTGCACACAATGAGGCCTGCTGGGAGAAGAGAACATGAATGGGAAGCTACAGAAGTATTGAAGGACAGAAGAACAGGAAAATGGGCAGGAGAGGAAAGGAAAGGAAAGGAAGAGAAGGTCTGAACTTAGCAAGGTAAATTAAGGTCCACGGTTCCTGAGGGACTGAACGCACAGAGCCGAGAACGTCCCGGAGATGGGGTACCACGAAGGGTGTATTCTCATGCACAACCGCAGCTCGGAATTTCAGCCCACACACATCCCACCTGAAAGAGAGCACAATACAGCGGCTTTACAGCAAAGCTCAAAAGGGCTTTCCCATTTAAAACTTCAACATCTTTACAAAGTCTGATAACTTGACACTCCTTTTAAGTTTACTTGTACCCTTCTCCCCCAGTATCACAGTAATCTCTAACAATGAAAAGAGCTTGAAGGCCAGAGAGTAACTGGGGAGGCTAAACAACCTCAGACTAAGGTCTTAAATTAATAGCAAATCTTGTTTCATAAAAGTAGGCAAAGAGACATTCCTTGCTCTTGATGATGTTAACATTAGCATTCCTCAGAGAAGGTAATTCCACATCACAAGCTGTCAGCAGAGGATAGGAAAAATGGAAAGGTTCCAATTAGCTCCCTGAGGTTTAAAAAAAAAAAATTAACAGTATTTTCTATCTAGGAGTTACTGCCAAGGTCCGAGTTAAAAATCATTCAAAGTCTAGATAGAAGTAGCATCAACTGCACAAGTTTTAAGACCTGAGGACATCCAATTCCAACTAGGGAAGAAACTAACTTTGGAAAGAAGGTGCAGAAGGGCATGTATAAGCTACACATCAAGTCTCTTTTCCAGCCCAATCAGTGACTGCCTACCCAATGACCCTGGGAAAGCCACATACCTTCTGCCCTAACTGCAAAGATGACAGTTATCTATCACTCACACAGTTACTATAATTAAGGATCAATGGTAATGTGTGGGACATACTGGGAGCTATTCAAAACTAAGGGCATTGAGATTTACCCTTAAGTACAACAATAATCTCAAACACCTAGAGCCCAAAGCTGGCAAGTATCAGAAGAGAATATATTCAAGGAGAGCCAAATGGATCATGGGGCTCAAAATGTATGACAGTGGAAAAAGCCAGCGGACTCAGGGTAGAGCTGCTGGCTCAAGAGTATTAAATGCCCAAAACAGCTAGTGAGAAGATGAAGAAGGGAGTGATTTGCTTATGGCAAAGCTCCCAACCCTGGATTTCAACATTACCAAAGGAGTAAAATTAACAGGTGTGCCTGCATTCTTAAAACATATACCCTGAGAAAGTAGATGATGTCAAAACTAGAACTGTGGGAATAGTTACTTAAAAAAAAAAAAAACCCTAAGTAAGTGACAGGCTGGGCTGTTATAGGACAGACTGAAAGATATAGCAATGGAGTGGGCACTCTATTCAGGGAATAAATCTGAGCTGGGCAGAGAAGGTGAGTGTTAGCATCTATGCCCAGACTTCCTTGTGGAACTTTATAAAAGATAAGTTTTGTATTTCTCTCTACCCCAACTTACCATCAAATAAGTTCTATAAAACTCATAAGGGTTGAACGGTTCAGGAATGTCAGAAATACGCTTCAAGATTAAGATGATGCCATTTTGGTAGTCTTCTTAGTAACTGGGACCTGAGCAGTGATGACCAGTTAACTACAGTTATGGACTTTATCATCAGGGGTCATATCAGAACTTTCACACAGCACAAAACAGAATAGGAAACTTGAAGACCTTAGGAATGTCGCACACGTAGGAAACTTAACAAAGGCTCTAAGAAACAAAACACCTGAGCCTGAACGTGTGGGTCCCCAGGTAAGGTTCAATTATAGTATAGTACATAGGTGACCCAAGATTCACCAGCACATCATTCTTTATTTTTCTAGGCACAAATAGAATCAAATTGACTCCCACTACCAGAAGCCCTGAAAAATAGCCATGAGGGCCAAGGAACTCTATGTATTTTAAAGTTAAGCAGTTAGGACTTCTCTCTAGCCTGTGAGCCATCCTAGTAACCTTCCCCTAACCCTGCAAAAGCAAGCAAGCAAGCAGGGCAGCCTAATTGGAGCCCTTTAGGCTGCAGGAGGGATGGCAAAACCAGAAGAGGGAACACCCCACCCCTCTCACCTCAAGCTTTAAAAGGCTGAGTACCGCGCCCGATCGGCATACTGCTCCCGCTCATACCGGGCCATGTCGTACAGAGAATTCCGCGCGGCTGCTGAAGCTTGGGACAACTCACTCTCATGCCCGTAACCGTAGCCCTCTCCAACAGTGGGGACTGGGGCTGTAGCGCGACGCAGGGGGCTCCGATCCCGCCCGTAATATGAAGTGGAAGCTGCAGTAACAGCAGCAGCGGCTGCTGCTGCAGCAGCAGCTGTGGCAGCAGCTCCTGAGGTCGGCAACAGGTGTCTATCGTAGGGATCGAGAGAGGTGGAGGTGAGGTGACTGGCCATGGCTGTATTCTGGACTTGTGGCAGCTGGGACAGGGTCTGCTCTGCGTAATTATACACGGAGGCAGCTGCAGCTGCCACTGCCTCATAGGACCGGGCAGCACGGCAGCGCTTGTAGTAGGCATCGAGCGCTCCGTACGCGTTGTTGTAATACAATGAATCCCCATAGCTCATGGTGTAAGGCGTACGCACTGCTCCGTATTGCTCATTATATTGCTCGGTCAAGTCTGCCACGCGGCCTGAACGATCTATCGGACACTCTTTGGACCAGTGCCCCTCTTTCCCGCACCGATAGCAGCCGCTCTGGTCTCCCATCCCGGGCGCAGTCCTAAGCCGGCTGGTGGACAACTGCACGTGCATTCGTTTGCCTTGAAGAAACAGACGCAAGAAGGGTTGCTATCACTCTTAGTCATAGCCCCAGCCCCTACCCCAGACACTGGTCATAGCAATGGCTTTATCTAGACAATTCTAATGCAGGACTCATCTTTAGGAAAAGATAAAAAGGAAAAAAAAAAAAGACTCAACATATAGATTCAGTATAATGACCTGATTTCAGGAAAAGACCACTTAGATGAAGAAATATTTCAGCTATAACAACAGTTTAAATGCTTAAGAAATAAACTACTCTTGCTCCAATCATCTCCAAACAGGTAAAAATCATCTCCAAACAGCGGCTCAAAGTCAAAAGAAGTCAAAGTAAGAAACAGTGCCCAAGTCTTTTCTGACACCTCCAATCCTTACTAGCAAGATGGATTTTCATTAAGCAAAGGAATATAAGTAAAGGCCAGTTCTCCACCCTCCTCAAAAAATTTAAAAGAACCGAATAAAAGACTCCAATGATTACCACTATTAAAGAATGATCTAGACTCAATCCACAGCTGAATGTGGCAAGCAAATCTCAAGGTACATCTCTGGAAAAACCCTCATGAACTGGGGAGACAGAGGGGCACAACAAGTTGAAGGACAGACTTCTCCCTTAACTGGGCCCTTTAAACTGCTGGTTCTGATCATTGCTTTAACGAGGATTCTTTACAATCTGACAGTTAATTTTAGTGACCCTCTACTAGGGTCAAAGGCAAACAGGGCAAAAACAGGACAGATTGTTCTCAAATGCCTGAAATTTTAGAATACTGTAAAAAACATGGAAGAAAACGTGCCTGAGGAAAGTGGAGAATAACTAGTTATACTAGTCAGTGGACCAAACTGCTCAGTTTAAGCAGAATTAAAGTACTTCTCCTGCAACTACATATCTGAGAGCGTAACTAAGAACATACACCTAATATTTTTCCTGAAAATTAAAATTTGCATTCTGGAAATGAAAAGTATTACTTCTGAAAATGTAATAAAAGCAGAAACTTTTCTAGAAAAGTTAAAACTAAGTTTTAGTAAGTCTCTACAGAAGCAATTTCTACCTAACATGATCTACCAGCTTACTGGTAAGCAAAATTCAGAAGAGATCCAAATCCTGCAAAAACTTCCCAATGCAATTGGTTATGATGCACCTAAACATACACCTGTCAAAGGAGTAAATGGTCAAAAGCAAGGGAGAGTCAACAAATGGATCCTCTAACATTAGAGAAAGTGGTAAACACACAATTTTCCTTGCAAAATTAATGTTAGATTCTGGGAGACCAGAAAACACAATAGGGAAACGGGGGTGGAAGGAACAAAATATCAAGGAGGTCTACACAGCTGGAAGTTTAGGTTGCAGGTTATTAAAAGAGAGTAGATATGCAATTATGCACTTAAGTGCCTTAAAGTGCTAGCTTGTCTCTGGCATTTGCCCAGGGGGCCACTTTGGCACCTAACAAAACCAGAGAAAACAAGTGCAACTAAGCAAGCAACTATGCACATTCCAGACATAAAGATCATTAATAAACGCCTTAATCTAAGGATCTGTTGGTTCTAACGCCAGAAAAAGAAGTTAAATTTTAAAAAATATCTAAAAGAGATTTTAAGTGGGCAAGCAATAGAGAAGATACCCAACACTGAGAAACGGAAAGGAAAAAAGACCACCCTAATAACTACTGCTCATCAATATACATCTATAATTCTACCAGAACAGTATTAAGAAATGAGAAACGCCAATATTACATAAAATAAGGTAAAAATAACTAAGCATAGGTTAGTGTCAGGGGACCTAGGGTTCAGACACCCAGAGTTTTATATAAGGATAATTTGTCCTGAATCAAGACCACACTGTCCTCTCCTTAAACCTAACTGCTACAAGCAGACACCACCTCTTCTGACTGGGCTGAAGTGTGGGAAACAGTCCAAAAATTAGGTATCACACCATAAACCCTCCACAAGAGCAACCTTTGCTCTCAATTAAGTTGTTGACAAAATAATTCTCAACTTGCCAATTAAAAAAAAGAAAGCAAACTAGACCTGAGAGACCTGTGTCACTTTTCTTTACTAACGCACAGCAATGCCCATGACACAGGGCACCCATTACTAGGGGAAATAATGATCAGACTCTCAGCTCTAAAAAAGCCCAATTTAAGGGAAATGGACGCCAAAGGCAGCAATGACTCTTAACAAAGGTAGTACCCAGAAAAAGAATCGGCAAACTACACTGTCAGAACACAGGTTTGAAATATAGCAAGGAGTCACGGAAATACTCCATAATTTGAATAAGGCTTTTTTTATTTTTTATTATTTTTGTTCAGTCCTGCTTAATTAAGCTAAAAAAGGACACCACTCTTTTTGACACTGGGAACCCAAAGGAGGTGAAAGAAGAGTTCAGATAGCAACTCACCATGATCACCACCCCTGAACTGCCACTGTTGCTTCAGACCTCAGATTTTGGAATATTTGCGTTCTACGTACCATTTTAGCATCCCAAATCTGAAAATTCAAAATCCAAAATGCTCTAACAAGCATTTCCTTTGAGCAACATGTAGGCATTCAAAATGCTGGGGATTTGAGATGCTTCCAAATGAAGTGACAATCCACATATCACCCATGCTGCCCTCCAGGCACAAAAGATTCATTTGGTTAAGACTCCAAGATAACACAAATCTAAGTGCTCTATTCACCAAAATCTTATAAAGTCCAGCCCCCCAAACCAATGAAAAGACAGTCATTACCGCCCCTAAAACCCCAGTGCCTCCTCCCCAGGAAGTCCTAAAATCAGCCTTGTAATTCTAGAGTGGCCTTAAACTCAAAATACAATCCCTTGGTACAGGTATAATATAAAAGCAACAAGAGCTGTAACCCTTTAAAGAGTTTGTGTAAGGTAGGACAGCTTAACAAGGATTCTGGTCCTATAAGTGTCGCTTGACATGTTTTTGAGAGGTTCTTCACGTAAAATGCAGAATTCTGATCCTGTGCTGAGGGCAATAAATTCAGAGTGAGGAACTCTGAACTGTGCTCTACTACAAAAAAATAAAAAATAAAAAAGGCCCAGTAACTCAGAAAGCCTTCAAAGAAAAGGGTTTCTGCACTGATAAGCACAAAAGCCGTAGGGGCTCCAAATAAAAGGTGAGTGGCTTTTCTCCAGGAGACATTTGCCTAAGGTAAAGCCCCTAAGTCCCATGCATTCTACATCATAAGAAGTCCATCACCCACACTTATTTCTTCATCACCAGCCAGCCAACAGCTGTTATCTTTACCAAACCTCTCCTTTTACTTATCCAACCATTTTCTGCACACAGCCTTGTGTTCAGCCCTCTACCCAAAGAGGGTGGTTCACCTTGAAACTCTGTGTTATCAAGGCCCCTGATGGCCTCCACTGCATCCTCTGCCCGCTCCATGTGTACGAAGGCATAATCTTTCACGATGTCACATTCGATGACCGGACCATACTCCTCAAACTTGGCTCGAAGCTCCTTATTGGTGCAGGTGGGACTGATGTTGCCCACATGCAACTTTGTTGAGGTTTTGCTCTTATTCTTGCTGGCTTCCACGTTGATGTTCACCCCATGAAGCTTGTAATGGTGCAGGTTGCGTATGGCATCCTCAGCTGCCGTCTTGTCTTCTATGTGCACAAAGCCGTAATTCTTAATGATGTCACATTCCAGCACCTTCCCATACTGCTCGAAGAGTGAGCGAATCTCCTGCTCTGTAGCCTCCCGGGGCAGGTTTCCGATGAACAGCTTCACCATCCTGACAAGAGCCTGGGAGAGAAAAACAAGACATCTGACAAAAGACCTCAGGCCCACATCCGTTCACAAAAGACAACGACTTTCACTCTAATGTATATTTCCAGTTTTCTCTCTCACACGCCTGCACACACACCTCCACACAATAATCAAATGGAAGTGGGAGTGAACTAAGGCCTGCTATAGTAGCCGCCATGAACCTGTAAGAATAAGAAGACGTCTGCAATAGGGAGGTCCTTAGTAGACAAAGGGTTTGGTAAGAACCGATACCTTCCAACAGAAATGGGCATGAAAGACAGCATATGAAGAAATGGGGGTACTAGGCTTTTCTATCCACTAGGAGGACAACAGAAAACAAAAGTCTACTAGGCTTGCTGACTGCCTGCCTGAAATTATCAACAGGCTTTTCCTCACGTAGGAACCAAAGCAGCCATCATTTCCGGGAAAATGGGCCTTGTAATAGCTACATTTGAGTTTCCTTTGGAAGTAATGAACGCGCGACTCGGATCAGACAGCGAGGAGTGGGAGATAAAGGAAATACTGGAGTGGTGAACGCCTCTCTCGGGGCACCGTCCTAGCTCCTGCCGAACACTGAAATGCGCGGCCGCGGAAAAGAGCTTCAGATTCATTAACCAGACGATGTCTCACGGCCCGAGAAATTCCCGAAACGAGAATGTAACTGTCAGATATAAGGGAAAGGGGGTTATCCCAGTGGAAATCTCGAGGCTCCAAGAGCAGCCATGTCGGGCGCGGGACAGGGTGGGCGAAAAAAAGCAAGGTATTCTCAGGGGGCGGTGGGGGAAGGGCTGCTCCCGGCTTACCGCGCAATGCCGAGGACCGAGGTCGGCTCTCAGTGACGGGTGTGGAGACTGCGGACCTACCAGGACACCCCCGAAGCCCAAGGGAGTGAGAGAAGATTTAACACAGTACAAGAAAGGCAGTGGAAAGGCTCGGAGTCTCACCCGCACAGAAACCAGCAGGGCCTCCTCCTCGCGGCGCGGACGCTTCTGACAAAACGCTAAAATGGCGGCGGCCGCAGCAGTGCTCTGAGTAGAAGGGGGAGGTGAGCCTACAACCGGATTGGCCACTCAAGAAAGTAAAAGGCCGGCGTTCCCTCAGATCCTCTTCCTGATTGGTTACCACGGACGCCAATTACCTAAGAGGCCGGCAAGAGGTGGAAACGTCTGTAACCTCGGAGCTTTTATGCGAAAGCCAATGGGCACCAACCTCGCGAAGCCGAACTCGCTGATTGGGCAAGAGATCAGCGTGAGGGCGGACCTACAAACGTGGGCTTCGCCGGCGGGGTGCGGCCCGCCATTAGGCGGAGCGAGCTAGAGCCCCGGGGTAGCAGTCTTTAGCTTCATGGCGCCAACTTCGTTAAGCTTCCACATTTCGCCACCTCCACGTGCACAGCCAGACAGTATTCCGCGCTCCATTTTGCCGTTCACTCTAGGTGTCTCCCTCTAACCTCCCAAGCACCACCCCCCCTCGCGGCCAGGACGCTGTGGAAATAGCTTATGCAGGCACATGCCAGGGAAGAAAAACAACGAAGACCCCCCCCAACCCACCACCCACCACTTCAGGAAACCAACCTTCTCCTTGGGCCAGCAGTCCACACTGTAGCCTTGAGAGTCCCGGAGCTCCCCCAAAATCAAACCTCTCACAGGTGGTGAAAGGACCTCTGTAATGGCCTTCCAGAAGTAGGCCCGGCAGGAGGCTGCACTGTCCAGGAGACGCTGAGGACAAGTTCCCTCTGGGAACCAGCCTCCCAGGGTCCGCGATGAAGAAACCTTTCTGAGACCATGGAGATTTAAAGTATACCCCGACCCCACCCTGAGAAAAAACTGGAGCAGCAAAGGTTTTTTTGTTTTATTTTATTGGGCGCCATCAGCCAGAGCTGTTTTAATCCCCTAGAACCGACTTTAGAGGACAGAGCTTAGTCACAACCAGCTGTAAACAAAATACAAAGTAACATTCTCCAGAGGGTCCAGCTGCTGCCTCGTTTTCTCTCATCCTTAGGCTGCTTCATATTCATTAAGCAAGCAACTTTAGTCAAGACCCTTTGCGAAGCAGCTTTTGAAAAGGGTTAAAAGGTGGAGTGCAGGGACTGGATGGAAGAACTTATAACACGAACAAAACAGGCTAAAAGCAGTGCAGAGTTTATGAGGAAAGGGATCATCAGGAGTGAAGATGACACAAGTACCACACACCACCATCCAAAGCAGCTTCTTCACCACCACCCCCGCCCCAAAAAGAGAACGGTTTCATAAAGAGAAAGGTGAAGTCAGAGTTTGGGGGGGAAAAAAAAGAGTGGGTTTTAAAACCCAACACGAGGGCCAGGTGCGGTGGCCCACGCCTGTAATCCCAGCACTTTGGGAGGCCGAGGCGGGCGGATCACCTGAGGTCAGGAGTTCAAGACCAGCCTAGCCAACATGGTGAACGCCATCTCCACTAAAAATACAAAAATTAGCCCAATGTGGTGGCAGGCCCCTGTAATCCCAGCTACTCAGGAGGCTGAGGCAGGAGAATCGCTTGAACCCGGGAGGCAGAGGTTGCAGTGAGGCAAGACAAGAGTGGCCTGGACGACAAGAGTGAAACTAAAAAAAAAAAAAACCCAACATGATTCAGGAATCTGACTGCAGAAAACTGGTCAATAATTTATCCTAGGGTAGAAAAAGCTAAGGAACTAAAAAAAGAAAATATAACATTTACAGATGTGTTGGTCACTAATCTTGTCCACTTCATTGTGGATTCTGATGCACCTCTGAGCCTGTGTAAAGGCCACGGGATCAGTGATGAAGAAAATCAATTTCGTCTCAGCTGCCACGTGCCCTTCAGAGGTGGCCAGCATTAGAAGGTAACGCATATGGTATAGAAATCCTCTCATCTCCTTCAGTTAGATCTCTTGTCTCAACATGTCTGGGGATAAAACTTTCTTCCAAAATACCAAAGTATAACAAGGATCAACTCATTGTAAGTAATAATCTCTCCAGATTGAAGGAGACTGGGAACATAAATCTCAGGATCACAGTTCAAGCCCAGTGTGCGGACATCAAAACTACTAACCACCTCTGCATGCAGCCCAAAACCTAATTACTTGATTTGACCTCTGAAACCCAACTAGGTCTAGTTAGCTATGTAACACTTTACAAGCTCATCCTGAATGAACCGCATTAAATAATCTCCCTGCCTTTTTTTGAGACAGTTCTTGCAGTGTCACCCAGAGTGGAGTACAGTGGCACTATCCATAGCTCACTGCAGCCTGGAACTCCTCAGCCTCCCAAGTAGCTGTGACTACACGTGTGTGCCACCAGGCCTCTCTATTTTTTTAATTTATTATAGAGACGAACTCTTTGTTGCCCAGACCGGTCTGAAATGCCTGCGCTCAGAAGCAATCCTCTCGGCCGGGCACGGTGGCTCACGCCTGTAATCCCAGCACTTTGGGAGGCCGAGGTGGGCAGATCACCTGAGGTTAGGAGTTCAAAACCAGCATGTCCAACATGGTGAAACCCTGTCTCTACTAAAAATACAAAAAAAATTAGCCAGGCATGGTGGCACGCGCCTGTAATCCCAGCTACCAGGGAGGCTGAGGCAGGAGAATTGCTTGAACCGTGGGGGCGGAGGTTGCAGTGAACTGAGATCACGCCACTGCACTCCAGCCTGGGCAACAGAGTGAGACTCCGTCTCAAAAACAAAACCCACAAAACTATGGCAATTGTTAACATATAATAAGCAAGGATTATGAGAATAGTACTTGGGGTGGTTTAATTTAGAAAAAAGGCTGGATAATAGCCAATAAATTTCCTGCCTTTTTAAGAGACCAGGTCATGCTGTCACCCAGACTGGAGTGCGGTGTCACAATCACAGGTCACTAAAGCCTTGATCTCCTGGGCTCAAGTGTTCCTCCTGTCTCTGCCTCCCAAGTAGCTGGGATTACAGGTGTGTGCCACCACACATGGCTAACTTTTTTTTAATTTTTGGGAGATGAGGTCTCTATGTTGCTCAGGCTGGTCTTGAACTCCTGGGCCCAAAAATAATCCTCCCACCTCAGCCTCTCAAAAGTGTTGAGATTACAGGCCTGAGATTACATGCCCAGACTTGGATTTTTTTTTTTTTTTTTTTTTTTTTTTTGAGACAGAGTCTCCTCTGTCGCCAAGACTGGAGTGCAGTGGTGCAATCTCGGCCTCCCAGGTTCAAGCAATTCTCCTGCCTCGGCCTCCTAAGTAGCTGGGATTACAGGCGCACACTTCCACGGCTGGCTAATTTTGGTATTTTTAGTAGAGACGGAGTTTCACCGTGTTGATCAGGCTGGTCTCCTGACCTCATGATCTGCCCACCTTGGCCTCCCAAAGCGTTGAGATTACAGGCGTGAGCCATCGCGTCTGGCCTAGTTTTTTTTTTTTTAAGGCAATTGAAATAAATTCAAGCGGCCAGGCGCGGTGGCTCACGCCTGTAATCCCAGCACTTTGGGAGGCTGAGGCGGGCAGATCACCTGAGGTCCAGAGTTCGAGACCAGCCTGACCAACATGGAGAAACCCCGTCTCTACTAAAAATACAAAATTAGGTGGACGTGGTGGCGCATGCCTGTAATCCCAGCTACTCCAGAGGCTGAGGCAGGAGAATGGCTTGAACCGGGAGGCGGAGATTGCTGTGAGCCGAGATCGCGCCATTGCACTCCAGCCTGGGCTACAAGAGTGAAACTCCATCTCAAAAAATAAATAAATAAATAAATTCAAACTCCTCTCCTTGCACCGTTAAGACCTTACCCCAATCTGGTTCTTGCCGGAATTTCCCAATATGTTTCTAACAACCACCGCCCTTGACCACCAGCTGTGCTCCCTTCAGACATACTGGCCTTATCCCAAGCTCATTTAGACTAGAATATTCTTTATTCAGGTTCTTACACCAGCCACCGATCTAAAAACATCACCCACCCCAACCCTACCTTGGAACTCTATCCTATGACTCCATGTTGTCTTTCTGAATACTTACTACCACTTGAAATCCTATACTTATTCTAAAAAAGCCTGTTATTAATTCTATATTATATCCTCAGTGTTAGAACTGTACTTGGCACATGGTAAGACCCTCAAATATTTGTTGACTAAGTTAACAAGTAAATGAATGAATGAATGTATGAGTTAACTTCTTGATAGCCGAAAGGAGGGAAATGACTTCGGATCTTCAGTCACTATCAGGTTAAAAACCTGGACACTTATCAGTACTGAAAACACGCACCTTTACTCATCACCTAGTACATGTTCCAGTCTTCCTCAAACAGAAAAGCAGGTACCCAACAGCCAGAGGTAACCCAAGCTAACAGATTTTGATCACCACTTTGACAACTGGAACAAAATGAAGCTTTGGGTAGAGAAGTTTGTAGTTCAAGTGTCTTCATACTGATATACACCTACCTGTATTTTACTGAGTACTAAAAGAACTTAATGCTTGCCCCTTAAAAAAAATATTTTTAACTAAAAGGCCAATTAATCCGGGCGCAGTGGCTCATGCCTGTAATCCCATCACTTTGGGAGGCTGAGATGGGCAGATCACCTGAGGTCGGGAGTTCGAGACCAGCCTGACCAACATGGAGGAACCTCATCTCTACTAAAAAAAAAAAAAAAAAAATACAAAATTAGCCGGGCGTGGTGGCGCATGCCTGTAATCCCAGCTACTAGGGAGTCTGAGGCAGGAGAATCACTTGAACTCAGGAGGCGTAAGTTGCAGTGAGCCGAGATCGCACCACTACACTCCAGCCTGGGCAACAAGAGCAAAACTCTGTCTCAAAAAATAAATAAATAAATAAAGGCCAATTAAAGAGATCTGATCCAAATCCTCTGCCTTACCAGCTCAACTACAGAGAATGACATCAAAAGAGATGTTTTATTTATTTATTTATCTGAGAAGGAGTTTTGCACTTGTTGCCCAGGCTGGAGTGCAATGGCACTATCTCGGCTCACAGAAAACCTCCACCTCCGGGATTCAAGGGATTCTCCTGCCTCAGCCTCCTAAGTAGCTGAAATTACAGGCATGCGCCACCACGCCTGGCTAATTTTGTACATTTAGTAGAAGAGGGGTTTTGCCACGTTGGCCAGGCTGGTGTCAAACTCCAGACCTCTGGTGATCCACCCGCCTCAGCCTCCCAAAGTGCTGGAATTACAGGCGTGAGCCACCATACCTGGCAAAAGGGATGTTTTAAAACCACCTTGTTGGTCGGGCACAGTGTCTCATGCCTTCAATCCCGGCACTTTGGGAGGTCAAGGCAGGTGGAGTTCGAGGCCAGCCTGGGCAACATGGAGAAACCCTGTCTCTACTAAAAATACAAAAAAATTAGCTGGGTGTGGTGGTGCACACCTGTAGTTCCAGCCACTTGGGAGGCTGAGGTGGGAGAATCACCTGAGCTCAGGAGGCAGAGGCTGCAGTGAGCCAAGATCATGCCACTGCACTCCATCCAGCCTCAGGAACCAGAGAGACCATCTGAAAAAATTAAAATAAGTAAATAAAAGCACCTTGTCTGGAACACGGTAGATGCTATTTTGGTGATTCTTAATTTGCTGACTAGGCTACCAAGCTCCTCAGAGGTAAAGTGACTTGTCCAGTCATCTAGAAAGCTGACATTTTTTCAGAGCCAAGAATAAATATGTAATCTGGCTGCCAATCTTCAATAAAAAGGGCAGTGTATACAGAAATATAACTGAGAAATAAGAGATGAGACTCTCGGAAATGAGGGACAGATACAAACTTAGGGTTAAACACTGGTGACAGTGAAAACTACTTAGACATAAAAATGCAAACTATATGAGTTTTTTTTTTTCTTTTTTTGAGACGGAGTCTCACTCTGCCGCCCAGGCAGCCGTACAGTGGCTCAGTCTTGGCTCACTGCAACCTCTGCCTCCCAGGTTCAAGCGATTCTTATGCCTCAGCCTCCCGAGTAGCTGGGATTACAGGCACACGCCACCACGCCTGGCTGATTTTTTGTATTTTTAGTACAGACGGGGTTTCACCATGTTGGCCAGGCTGGTCTTGAACTCCTGACCTCAGGTGATCTGCCTGCCTCAGCCTCCCAAAGTGCTGGGATTACAGGCGTAAGCCACCATGCCCAGTCCAATCTGAGTTTTACAGGCTCAAGGACAAATATGTAACTTAAACATCTTAATATAACTTATACATCTAATAAATAACTCTGGCTCCTGGTCCAGAAATGAGTTACAGTTCTGCTAAGGGTGCAAACTAAAAATCCAGCATTCTCCAGGGATGTTCAATGGGCATCAGGCAGAAGGCTTCCTAGGCCTCCAATCCTACAGCCAATGCAACCTCTTAGCCTTCCTTAATGTCTTTGAAAATCCCCTACACTATCAATAACCTTTATTCTCCATATCCACAAGAATTGCTCCCAGGACACAAAATAGTATTGCCAGAGACTGGAGGTGGCCAAAATTGATGTGGTACAGTAGCCAAATCACTTCTAGGTATCGCTAATTACAAATATTCACTGCCTTCACTACTAGAAGTATGTGCTGCACTCACACCTATATCCAAAATCTTTGGATCAGCTGTGTGCTGCTCTACTAGGCCATCCCAGTGTCCCCAGAATGTTCTAACTCATTTATATGAGATGGCTAACATTTCATGAGAAGTGACTACATACACGTGTCACATGTCCTCATTTGACTCTCCCAACAGCCGTATAGCATAACGATTATAAACAAAGCCCTAGATGGTTCCAATGTCTGGTTCAGTTCCTTGAGCCACCAACTTTGTAGCCATTTGATCTTAAGAATGGCCAGGCATGGTGGCTCACACCCGTAATCCCAGCACTCTGAGAGGCCGAGTGGGAGGATCATTTGAGGTCAGGAGTTCGAGACCAGCCTGGCCAATATGGTAAAACCCCATCTCTACTAAAAATAGAAAAATTAGCTGGGTGTAGTGGTGCATCCCTGTAGTCCCAGCTACTCAGGAGGCTGAGGCAGAATTGCTTGAACCCAGGAGGTTGCAGTGAGCCAAGATCGCACCACTGCACTCCTCCCTGGGTGACACGAGACTCCATCAAAAAAAAAAAAAAGAATAGTCACTTAACCAACAGCCTCAACTCCCATATTTCCAAAATAGGTTTAGAAATAGCTAATGTTGGCCAGGCGTAGTGGCTCACGCCTGTAATCCAAGCACTTTGGGAGGCCAAGGCGGGCAGATCACGAGGTCAGGAGATCGAGACCATCCTGGCTAACACGGTGAAACCCCATCTCTACCAAAAATACAAAAATTAGCCAGGCGAGGTGGTGGCAGGCACCTGTAGTCCCAGCTACTCGGGAGGCTGAGGCAGAAGAATGGCGTAAACCCGGGAGGCGGAGCTTGTAGTGAGCCAAGATCGCACCACTGCACTCCAGCCTGGGCGACAGAGCAAGACTCCGACTCAAAAAAAAAAAGAAATAGCTAATGTTGGCAGGGCATGGTGGCTCACACCTGCAATCCCAGCACTTTGGGAGGCCGAGGCAAGTGGATCACCTGAGGTCAGGAGTTCAAGACCAGCCTGGCCAACATGGTGAAATCCTGTCTCTACTAAAAATACAAAAATTAGCTGGGCGTGATAGCGGGCGCCTGTAATCCCATCTACTAGGGAGGCTGAGGCAGGAGAATCACTTGAACCCAGGAGGCAGAGGTTGCAGTGAGCTGAAATTGCGCCACTGTACTCCTGCCTGGGTGACAAGAGCAAGACTCCATCTTAAAAAAAAAAAAAAAAGAAATAGCTAACACGTGAATTGCTATGAAGATTAATATAATTGTGTTGGCTACACTAATATAAATTTAGTTTGTTGTATTAATATATTTAATTTACTGTAGTTAGCTATTATCCTCATTTTATAGGTAACAAAATAGAGGCAGCGTTCCTAATATGTCCAAGATCACACAGCCAAGAAGAGGGAGAGCCAGGATTCAAATTCAGGAAACCTCCTGTAGTCCCAGCTACTTGGGAGCCTGAGGTAGGAAGATCACTTGAGCCACGTGTTCAAGTGTAGCCTAGGCAACACAGTGAGACCCTCTTAAAAAAAAAAAAAAAACTTAAACTGATTAAAGAGACAACAGTCACTCTTGTCTATACCAAGTCGGTTTACTTTTTTGTTGTTGTTTTTATGTTTTCCTCAGACGGGGTTTTACTCTGTTGCCCAGGCTGGAGTGCAGTGGCATGATCTTAGCTCACTGCAAACTCCACCTCCCAGGCTCAAGAGATCCTCCAGCCTCAGCTGGACTACAGGCACTACTGGTACGTACCACCACGGCTGGCTAGTTTTTTATTTTTTGTACAGATGAAGTTTACCCATGTAGCCCAGGCTGGTCTTGAACTCCTGGACTCAAAAGGATCCAACCACCCCGGCCTCCCAAAGTGCTAGGATTACAAACGTGAGCCATGACACCTGCCCCAAGTCGGTTTTTAAATCAAATCATTTCTCCAAAAAATTTAACTACCTGGGATTACTGCCACATCCTCTCCCTCCTTACCTACCATTTGCCTATCAATACTTATTCATATAAACTCGCTCACTGAGGTAGGTCCTGCCTCCCAGACAATAAATCCCTCAAGGTCAGCCCAAAGCCTGCCTCAGCTAGCTGAGCAAGGCATTTGTTTGTTTGTTTATTTGAGACAGGGTCTTGCTGTGTCATACAGGCTGAAGTGCAGTCGCATGATCATAGTTCACTATAACCTCCAACTCCTGAGTTCAAGCAATCCTCTTGCTTCAGCCTCCCAAGTGGCTAGAACTACAGGTGCATGCCACCACAGCTGGCTTTTTTTTTTCTTTTCTTTTGGTAGAGACAAGGTCTCACCGTATTGCCGAAGCTGGTCTCAAAATCCTGGCCTCTAGCAATCCTCTTGCCTCAAATTCCCAAAGCGCTGGGAATTACAGGTGTGAGCTACCACACCTGGCCACATTTGAAGCACTACAGACAGATACATGATTTAAATCTAGACATAAAACCCAGTTTTAAGAATTATTTTCTGGAAAACTATAGACTTTTACCCTTTATGACCTTTCAAAGGTACCTATAGATTGTAAAATTCAGTTTTCCATCTGTTACATAGTATATACTAGGTCCATAAATCCAGTAAATCTGTTTTCATGATGACCTCATCCATCCCATGATGTCCACCTATTTGGCTTAATAGGACAATATGCCTGGAGGACCAACCGTCTGTGCAGACTGTGGCAGAATTTAAGTGATGGGTATGACTAGAACGGTAGCCTACCTGGATAGGCTGAACCCCTCAGTGATAGTCCCATTACCTCCATTACAAGAGAGTCTCAAGCCCACCATGCACACAATTTAAAACAAGGTCCAAACCTCAGAAGAGGGCAGGCTGACAAGGCTAAAAGCCTCTAGGTGGTCTTGTTCCAGGAATAAGCCAACTAAAACTTCTCCAATGAAGGCCAAGTTGTAGAGGTGATAGGTGGAGAAGCTGAATAATCTGAAGATAGAGAGTCCATTTTTCCAAAACACACATTCAGTGTCTGTCCTCCCATTCACTCAACCTAACTTTCCCCAAGTTATAGAACTTGAAATCAGTAATCCACAAAGCAAAGAAGCAGGCTATAGGATTAACACAGGTGGCATAATTAAAATAAAAGAGGGGAGGGAGATTTTAAAACAATCTGCCAGAGAAAAATGACAAATGATTTGGCTTTGTAGCTCCTTCTGGCTTGAGCAGTTAGGAGCCTGAGGGCTGAGGCAGCAGGGGCAGCAGGACCTAAAGATGACAAGCAGGCAGAGCTCATCTGGGCCAGGTCACTTTCAAGAGCTGGGGCTGCAACACAGAACATCACCACTGGCCCTGAGAGCACATTTAGCTGTTTTTTGCAGGAACCAAGGGATTGAGACAGTGGCAGAACCCTCACTGGAGAAAAAGGAAGATGACAGAAAGCCACACTGACAAAGAAAAATTGCAAATACACAGGCCACAATCATAACCCTACCATCAACCCTCAATTTTCCAGGGTAATAACCAAAGGTAGGCTTATTAACTTGGCCCTCAGACCACCCCATCACCACGCAGAGAACAAGAAACTTATCAAAATCCTCCTCCCATGCTTTCCCAGTCCTGCAAAGAAATAAAAAGGAGCAGCTAAGCACCTGAAAGCAAAGCAGTGAGCAGAAAGAGAAGCAAGGGAAAGAGCCATGGCCCCAGTACTCCCTGAGATTACCCCAGTTAGCATCCACAAATAAGAACTCACGGTCATAAGATCGAATGCTTTTGCACGATGGCAAGAGGGAAGAGGACATCTAGGGCAAGATATTCTGTCACAGGCAAGTTCACATGAAGCCAGTGAAGGAGGCAGAAGATAACCCACCTGACCTCCACTTGACTAACACGTACACCTCCCCAGTCGCCTTGCCCCAGTAGGCTCCCAAATCGAGTCTTTAAAGCACCTTTTCCCAAAAGAGCATCAGTAAGTTCTCCCATTATCATCCCACTCAACCAGTCTTCCATTTACCCATCACTAAGCCCAAGCCTCCATTTTGTCCCTGGTTGGAAATGTCATATTTTTTGCCCAGATCCTCGATCCCCAGCCCTACAATAAAAGCACAGAAGAGTCCTCAATTCCCCACCCAACCCTAGCATCCCTATTTGGTTAGCTTGCACCCCACCCTTTCCCAGATTCTATACCTTCAAATATAAACCCAGCGAGAGGACATCTGAAAACCCTAACAGATAGGGATAGGTAAAGGAGTCTCCGGTGACTATAATGGCAGGGGTTGGCAGGACACAGGAGGATGCTCCATGGTACAGCTCAACAGGCAAAATACGAGCTCTATGGCCAGAATGCCCCATACCTGCTTCAAGTTTTCTCTGCCCTTCCTTATTCCAACCATAGGGCAGTATCAGGCAACGCCATTACCCCCACTCCACTACTGGTTCCTTTCTGGGTCCCAGCCCCAGCACTCATTCCAGCCTACTGCCTAAAGGATCTACTAGCCTGTAAATACCACAGCAGCCCATTCCCCACTTCCTAAGAGGCCAAACCCCAGAACCATCCCATTGGAACACAGGTTATTCCTGAACTGGAGAAAAGTCAGTGAAAATGGTCAAGCACAGGCAGAGGAAAATGGGCATCATTTACTGCATTTTGGTGTGACTAACTCAAGTTGAGGGCTGAGGACCAGGCCACCTGCCCTGGAAAGTCTGAAAGATGGCAGGCTAGCAGGACGACGATGAGCTAAATCCTTCTGGGCCACAGGGCAATCCTTCTAATTCCGACATTCAAACCCCTTTCCTCACCAGTCCTGGGTTCTCTGACTGCCTTCCCTTTAGCTATCATGTCTTCCTGGATGTCAAATTGGCTCCTTTGACACTGAATGCAATCAAGACAATGACAACCAGGTTTCCAAACTGCAAATTGCCCCAAGTTTTATTTGTAGTCCATACAAAAGGGAAAAAAAATTAAGGTTTTCTAACACCACCTACTTGGGGAGATGGGGAAGTGGGACTGTGCCGCTCACCATCAGCTAGAACATTAGTGGTCAGCAGGGACTTGGATACATACCAACTGACTGTCCCAACAGGAACTCAGTCTCAACAGTCTACAGAGGGACAGTCAGGGTACCCTGGACTGCTGGCACAGCTTGGCACATAGGAAATGGTTAAGCTGACCCTTTCCTGGCCTCCTTCCCATCTAAAAAGAAAAAGGCGCCGGCGACCTCAGCTGCAGGTTGCTTCCCCATCCAGACGACCTTAAATATCGCGCACAAAAATAAAAGGGAGCCAGGAAAAAAATAAAAACATAAAAGAAATTCCCATTCTGGGGAGACGGGAGGCAGGGTAGAGGGGAAACCGCAGATCTAGAGCCAGTAGCAAGATTTGCTGCTGAGGCGAAGGAACAAAGTAGGTTACTGCCGAACACTTAACAGGATCATCTCCTGGGGAAGGCCCACATGGTAGAGGGCATGAAAAACCACAACCAGGAAAGGTATGGGCCAGAGTAGTTATAACCTGGATCTGTAACCCTACCCACCTCTTTTCTCCCTCCCTCCCTGTGGTGCCCCATCCCAGGATGGCCCTACATGCGGCGCTGGTAGCCAGAGTGCATCTGAGCCGCCCGCAGGTAATCATTATAGGAGCCCGAATAGCGTGCGTAATCGGAATGGGCATCGGGCAGGCGACGGTAATCCAGCGAGGACTTTGTCGGCGAGCGGCGGAACGAAAGCTGCGACTCTGATAAACGGCGGTAATCAGAGAGCTCGGCTAAACGCCGGTCGGAACCATACCTAGTCGAGAGAAGAAGACAGTTGGTGAATGAGACAATTGAGGGGAGGACTCCAGGTGGGCATTGGGGAGATGCCAATGGGGACAGGGAGGGTGTGATCACAGTGGTCTCCAAGAGATTGGTCTCCTTTTGTCAGAAGGCTCATCACCCTATCCAGGCCAAAAAAATCAAGCCTGGCTTCAACTCAGTGGGAAATCAAACCCTCCACTGAAGTCCTCCCCTCTGAACTAGCCAAGGTGGATTTTGGTCTACATTCCCACACCACAGCAAACTATCTCCGCCCCTGGGCCCTGCAGAGAAAGACCTTGGTTGTTTATCAACAGAACGGCGGATGAAAGCGAGGTCCCCAACTTCCCAGAGTGGACGCACCTCGTAAACTTGCCTTTAGCCAGTGAATGCCAAAGGGACTACTCTTTAACCCACATCCCTGCCAAAGCCAGGACAACCACGTAATAGGCTTAAGGATCCTTGAGACAGTGGGAAAGGATATGGGCCACAGTCCTGCAGGCAGTAGCTCCAATGACACTTGGGCTAGCCTAGACAGGTGACACTGTGCCTGGCCTGACTAGCAGGTACCACCCCAGGCTGAGCACTATGCTCCACCTGAACCCTGGTGACCAGGAAAGTTCATAGACACTGCTCCCCTCGGCCTCTGGACATCCCACAAAAATAGAGAAGAGAAGACCGAGGGAGGGGCCGATGCCTCCAGTTTCCCTCCCATGCCAACCTCAGCCCCTTGCCCTAAGCCCCAGCTGGGGGCAGAGGCGGGGGGGCATACAGTACCTTTTCGACATGGCGACAGCCTTTTTGTAGGGATCGTCGTAGCTGGCCCGGGGTGGGGAGAGGCGGGTACGCTCATAGGGCGGCGGGGTGCTGTTGGCGTTGGCAACGGCCCCCTGGGACATGGACAGGTAGGCTGCAGACGGCTGACCTGCCCCATCGTAGGCATTGCCTGGCTGGCCGCGGTAGGAGGCAGCAGCCTGGGGATGCTGCTGGGCAGCATAGGAAGCAGCCAATGAGGCTGATGACTGAGTGCGGTAAGGAGCTGCCAGGGTGGCAGAAGGTTGGGCCCCGTAGGCTGCTGCGGCACCATAGGAGCCAGTGGCCGCAGCAGCCGACTGAGCCCCATAGGAGCCTGAAAGGCCCATTGATGCTTGGGCCCCGTAACTATTCAGCTGGGTCTGCACAACCGGCTGGGCCCCATAGGAGCCAGCCATTGGGGTAGTGGCTTGTGCGGCGTAGGCTGCTGGCTGGCTGGCATAGGCAGCAGCTGTGGCTGGCTGTGCCACATAGGCAGCAGGTTGGGAAGAGTAGGAAGCAGCCTGCTGTGCAGCATATGGGGCAGACTGGGCATTGTAAGAGGCCGAGGGCTGGGCATTATATGAAGCTGCCTGGGCTCCATAAGCTAGTGAGGAGGCTGCAGACTGGGCCCCATAGGAGGCTGCCTGAGCCCCGTAGGAGCCTAAGGAGGAAGCTGCTCCCTGGGTGTTGTAGGAAGAAGCAGCTGCACGAACCCCATAGGAAGAGGCAGCCTGGGCGCCGTAAGAGGATGGCTGGTTACCATAGGAGGCAAGGGAGGAACCCTGAGCCCCATAGGAGTTGAGCGAAGAAGCTGCAGCTGCCTGACCCCCATAGGAGGAAAGGGCCGAGGCTGAGGGCTGGGCTCCACCATATGGGCCGAGTGAAGAAGCTGCAGCAGACTGGGAGCTAGGACTAGCCAGCTGGCCCCTGTATGGTGCCCCAAGGGAGACAGAGGGCTGAGCGCGGTAAGAGGCTGCCTGGGCTGTCATGGGCTGAGTCCGATAGCCAACACCCAAAGAGGCAGAAGGCTGGGCCCTGTAGGCAGCTCCCAGTGACACGGACGGCTGGGCCCGGTAGGTAGCTGGCTGGGCCGTCAGAGGAGCCACATAAGAGGCTCGGGGAGGTGAACGGCGCAGAGGGCTGCGGTCGCGACCAAAGAAGGGTGGTGTGGGCTGACGGGCTTGCCCATCAAAGCCACCAGTGCTGTTGCCAAAAGCCTGCTGGTAGTCGAAGGTGGCAGAGAAGCCACCAGTTCCAGGGAAGGCCGTATCCCCAGCCCCTGGTTTCTTGGTCTTGTCCCCAGACTGGACAGCCAGGCCAGGCCCCTTCTTCTGACCCTTGGTGGAGAGTTCCACGTTGATGCGCTTGCCCTTCACTTCTTTGCCGTTGAGCTGCGCGATTGCGGCTTTGGCATCTGCTTCCTTCTCCATGTGAACAAACGCGTAGTCTGATAAAGCAGCAGACAGAGGGTTAGCAATTAGGGGGGCAGGGCATGCTACCTGATGGGTCCCAAATTGGACACACAACAGCACCCAGCTGTTGCCAGCTACCTCCAAGGCCTCCAAACCCTCCTCTCCAGGAGTATGTCATAAAATGTAGCTCCCATATAACAAAGCTTCTGACTGTCCCAAGCAGTCATCTTTGCCTACAGCCTTCTTCCCATTCTCCCCTTTACAAACCCTGCCATCTCACCCAACTTCCTGGTGAGAGAAGAAGGAGCAAAGATGAACTGCAACACAGGATAAAAATCTTCACATCTCCTGTAAGTACAAACCAGCAGAACAAAATGCAGAAAGCGTTCCTAGATCACTCAGTTCTTCAGTGTTCTCAACCCAAACTCACCAAACACCTTTGAGGCCTAGCTCACTTTTGAGGCCTAACTCTCAAACACTGGAAATGACCACTCACGTTTTGGTATGACCCATCTCTCAGCCCATGTCCAATTAAGGCAAGAGAGATAGACTGCAACAAGCAAGCAGTTCACAACATTCCAATATGATCTCTCCGCTTTTTCACAGTACTTCCCAAGTTTTCAAAGCACTCTTAGGTACAGGAGGACCTCATTTGGGCCTCACAATCCTGTGAGGTAGGCAGGGCAAAGAATCATTACCTCCATTTAACAGGTGGACATACATGCTCAAGAGTTTTTATATGGCTTGCCCCACTCAAAGTGTGTTAGAGTCAGGACCAGAATCACAGCTCTTCCAATGCCCCTTTGCTACATAATCTATCCCTGAGAAGTCAAGGTATAAGGCAGGACTGTGTAATATGACTAAAAATTTAGGCTTAGAAGCAGAGAAGATGGACCCTGTGTAAGCCAATGAGGTATGGGAATAGAAACTAAGCCCACTGGCTGAGTTCATGCCCAATCCCCCTGTCCCAGACCACACTGCATCCTCCACTGTTTCCTCTTTAAGGGACAGAGGTATACCTTACACCTTGGGCTTCTGTTCACAGAGCAGACTGCTTACCAGAAAGATCTGGTTTCTCACCTATAAGGTATGAAGCTGCAATTACTGCAGCTAACAGGCTCTGCTAACCAGGTTACCCCTGCAGCTCTCATTATGACCTGAATAAGCTGTGGTAGGAGAAGACAGGATGCCGGTCTCAAAGCTATACTTATCTACTACACAGAAGGAGAAAACTTCAGGGAATGAAGGAATGGAAAGAAATTCTCATGTCCACACTCACAAAGCACAGGCAGAATCTGAAGGAGAGAATCCTGCCCCTAGGAAATAAGGCTCTAAGCTTAGCTCCATTCTCGACCTGTGGCTACTCTTAGATAGCATCCAAGTACCAGGATGCTATCTGTCACATCAGCTTAAGAAACAAAGAGCTACCCAGATGACAATACTAAGATAAGAAACATTCTTAATAACCTCCAAACAAGGGTCCTCATTTTTAGAAACTTTCGTACTGGGATGCCTTATCTAGCTGCTCCTACAGAACAAGTCATTTCCCTGGATTTGAAGACAATGACACAAGACTAAGGATAATGGGGAAAAAATGCAATCAATAAGTAGAAGTCAGAAGTGTGGCATAGCACAAAAGGGATCCTTAATTAGAAATTCAATGGTCTCAGTTCCAGACCCAGGTATCACTGACTTGTTATAAGATCTTAGGAAACTTACCATTTAGGCAGGTACAGGGGCTCATGCCAGGGCTTTGGGAGGCCAAGGCAGGCAGATCACCTGAGATCAGGAGTTCAAGATCAGCCTGACCAACATGGTGAAACCCTGTCTCTACTAAAAATACAAAAATTAGCTAGGTGTGGTGGTGCACACCTATAATTCCAGCTACTCAGGAGGCTCTGGGGCAGGAGAATCACTTGAACCTGGGAGGTGGAAGTTGCAGTGAGCCGAAATGGCACCACCGTACTCCAGTCTGGGTGACACAGCAAGACTCCATTTCAAAAAAAAAAAAAAAGAAAAAAAGAAAAGAAACTAGCCAAGCACGGTGGCTCACGCATGTAATCCCAACACTTTAGGAAGCCCAGGTGGGTGGATCACCTGAGGTCAGGAATTCCAGACCAGCCTGGCCAACATGGTGAAACCACGTCTCTACTAAAAATACAAAAATTACCAGGGCGTGGTGGCTGGCACCTGTAATCCCAGCTACTCCAGAGGCTGAGGGAGGAGAATCACTTGAACCCGGAAGAAAAAGAAGGAGGCTGCAGTGAGCCAAGATCACTGCACTCCAGCCTGGGTGACAAGCGCAAAACTCCGTCTCAAAAAAAATAAAAAGAAACTTACCATGTATTTCCTCCGACACATCTATCCTACCTACCTCAAAGTTAAGAGGTTCAAGAGAAAAGACAAAAGTGCCTTGTAAGATATGAACAGCTACAGAATAAGGAATTATGATTATTCAAACCTAGAAATAACCAGAGATTTATTTCCCTATAGAATATTATCTTTCATCTCAAGCAAAACACAATGCCATGCAAACTTAGAAGCTGGCACAGACGATAAAAGAACACAATGAGACCAGGCGCAATGACTCACACCATAATCCCAGCACTTTGGGGAGGCCGAGGCAGGCGGACCACCTGAGGTCAGGAGTTCAAGACCAGCCTGACCAACAAGGTGAAACGCCGTCTTTACTAAAAATATTAAATTAGCCGGCTGTGGTGGCATGTGCCTGTAATCCCAGCTACTCAAGAAGCCGAGGCAGGAGAATCACTTTAACCCGGGAGGCGGAGGTTGCAGTGAGCCAAGATCGTGCCACTGTACTCCAGCCTGGGCAAAAAGGATGAAACTCCCTCTCAAAAAAAAAAAAGAACAAAATGAATTATCACAACTCTGTCCTCAACACTCCCATGGCCAGAGCCTTATCTACCACCTGTGAAAAGCTACGTGTTTCCTTTGGCCTAGGCATAAGGCACTAAAGTTGTCCTGTGATCCTTCATCTCCACTTTGAATAGAGTAAGCTTAAAAAAAAAACACAAAAAACCAGCATGTGGCCTAAGAGCCCTTTAAAAGCAGAGGCTGGGCCAGGAATGGTGGCTCCCTCCTGTAATCCTAATACTTTGGGAGACTGAGGTGGAAGGATGGCTTGAGCTCAGGAGGTCAAGACTACAGTGAGCCACAATCACGCCACTGCACTCTGGCCTGAGCAACAAAGCGAGACCCTAAAGAATGAATAAATATTTTAAAAAATCTTTAAATAAAAAATAAAAATAAAACCAGAGGCTGAGGTAATCCTCGGGAATAGCAAAACCACCTGGAGATGGCAAGCAGAAAGGCCCAAAGTGAAGGGGAAGCAGAGTTGCTGGAGCTCATAGGCACTTGTTGCAGGGAGGGGCCTCCAGACATTCTGAGGGAATATTAAGGAACAATTCTAACAGTCCTGATTATTCTATCCACAACTTCCTGACACTAGAATGAGACAAAAACTTCCATGGGCTTACAAGAGCATTTGGACATCCCACTGTCTGTTTCCCTCCTTAGTGAGTTTTATTCAGACCAAGTGGTGAAATCTGAAAATTGAGATTTCACATGTATGATTCAAATGACTACCCAAATGAGTTTTATAACTGATCAAAAAATTTAAAAATCCAAGCCGGGCATGGTGGCTCACACCTGTAATCCCAACACTTTGGGAGGCCGAGGCAGGAAGATCACCTGAGGTCAGGAGTTCAAGACCAGCCTGGCCAACATAGTGAAACCCTGTCTCTACTAAAAATTCAAAAATTAGCCAGGTGTGGTGGCCTGTAGACCCAGCTACTTGAGAGGCTGAGGCAGGAGAATTGCTTGAACCCAGGAGACGGAGGTTGCAGTGAGCCAAGATCTCACCACTGCACTCCAGCCTGGGCAACAGAATGAGACTCTGTCTCATAAAAAAAAATAATAAATATATAAATAACATAAAAATAAATACAAAATTTAAAAATCCATCTGATACAATTATAACCAAATTGTATCAGGAAGTTTCTAAGCCTGACACTGGAGGGGAAAAGTGTGAATAGGTTGCCCAGCTAACTCAACTGCATCCTGTAGTGATAAGCCCCATCACAGTAAGTGCAAAGCACAGACCTAGCTAGATTAAAGATGCCCTAACACCCAAGTACTCCTAAGACCATTAAAACCAGAGATCTGAAAAATTCCAGGAACCTTCTTGCCCACAGATCTAATTCAAGGAAACTCTGAAGGAAATCACTGCATTGGGACTATCAAGTAATGTTTTACAGAGATCTCCAAATGGTCTGGTGGCATCACAAGTCCTCCAGTAACAAAGTTAAGTGAATCCAGAAAAACAAGTTCTCCTATCTTAAGACTAAAAATCTTAAACTTGAGGGCTAGGCGCGGTGGCTTGCGCCTGTAATCCCAGCACTTTGGGAGGCTGAGGCAGGCGGATCACAAGGTCAGGAGATCGAGACCATCCTGGCTAACACAGTGAAACCCCGTCTCTACTAAAAATACAAAAAATTAGCTGGGTGTGGTGGCGGGCGCCTGTAGTCCCAGCTACTCGGGAGGCTGAGGCAGGAGAATGGCGTGAACCCAGGAGGCGGAGCTTGCAGTGAGCCGAGATGGCGCCAGTGCACTCCAGCCTGGGCGACAGAGCCAGACTCCGTCTAAAAAAAAAAAAAAAGAAAAAGAAAAAATCTTAAACTTGAAACTACAGAGCTCTGTATAGGAAGAAGAAACAGTCACTCACAAAAATGAAGAGAAGATATTTTCCTCTTTTGTCTTTCAGATCTCCCCACAAGTCTGTACATGTTTCCGGAAGCTGTTCATCTTTGAACACCCAATAGGAGGAAGCTGTGGAGTGGTTACAATCCACTGTTGCTATTGAGATTTCTGTTCTACAAATCCTATCTAAGCTCCTGGAGTAACCAAGCAACTATGTTGTTTTTTTTTCCTGTGAAATAAAACAGAGCTGGTTGTCTGGTGCAACACCAAGCTTCTGTGCTTTTCAAAGCCCTGTCAGCCAACACAAGGAGACTCAATCAAATGACCATTCCCAGCATAAGAAATGAGTACGCTCTTTAGAGAGCCAGTCGCTTCTACTACACTCCCAACTTTCAACCCTCACTTTCCGTCATCACAAACAGATAAAAAGACATCAGTGGAGGATATGATGTTCAAATCTTTCCCAGTCTCTTACATCGAAGTATGTCAGGAGCTCTGTTACACAACAATGTAACTGCAAATAGTTGACCACCACTCCCGGAGTAAGTCAATGCATTTTTGCTAATCAAATGTTTACAAAGGAACAAGATGCACAAAACTCCGTCTAACTCTCACAAGGAGTCAGCCAGGAGTTCTAAAAATTCATGTGCAGTTATGCACTTCACCCGCATCGTCACTTGGTGTTGGGTCCCAAGCAAATTTCAGGCAAATTTTTGACTTTCTCTACCACCTGAAAGCCAGCAAGAAGCCTGAGTTCCAGGGAGACTGTCCCTTCAGATGTTTGACTCTAGACTCTCAACCTAGTAGCCACTCTACCTAACAACCACAAAAGAAACTTGGTAAGTCAATTAAACACAAAACTCTCACAAATGAGACTCATATACCCCACCCTTTTGCTGGACAAGTACCCAATCTGAGACCCTCCCCCACCACTCTTTTACTCTAAACAAAAGCAAAAATCCATGCACCATACAGCCTGCCTCAGAGCACCCAGCAGGAAAGCCCGATTCCGGATAGTCGTGGACTTGTATAACCTGAGTTGAGGAAAATAGAATGCAGTATTAATGCAGAACAAGGACTTGTTCCTAGTAGTGGACACTATGACCCTTTATATTTCCCCCACTTAAAGGACTAGGAATGGCCCCAAACATGTGCCTTTCCAGGACAGCAAATGAAATATCTTGGTGGGATAAATAAGCACTTGCACCCACATTTATTTCCTATCCCTGAAACTTCTCACACAGGGTATGAGCAGGTATGAACCCACCAGGAGTAGGGCATCAGATACTCCCAGGCTGCATCTTCCAAAATGACAGGGCAAAGTTAACTCTGATCTGTTCCCAAGTGGAGCAGAGACTGGCCACATACACAACGGCTGTCCCACCAAATCTTGCCAATGTAAAAGATAAAGAGCTTAAGGGATAAAAACTCAAGCTATGAAAAAGTCAACTGGGTCCCTAGTCAGGCTTAAATTATGGTGACACATTTTTCTCGAAGAAAAGGCACCGGGATCTGCCCTGAGAATCAGACTACTCAAGCAATGACTACTACTGATTCAGTAAACCGTGTTTAGCCACTGTTTAATGAAGAGCTCTCACAGACCCCTCCCCAGGACCCCCTCAGCCAGAGTATGCCCCCCTGCAAAGTCACCAAGCTTATAAAAGAATGACACTGCCCTAGGGCACTGGCTTGGCATGTAAAGACTACGCAGAAGGGGACTTCATAAAACAAGCTTTCTTGCACATGCAAAAGGCTGGGGTTTCCAGTTGACAGATGTAAAATCGAGCCCAAAGAAAAACCCCAAGTTTGAGGGAGGAGAAAAGCACAGAGCTGCCACGCCTAACCTACCTAATATTGAAAGGCCAAAGTGATTCGGAAGGGGCCCCTCTCGTACCCACGTGTAACTGTGCCCATGAGTAGACCCATGCCAGACAAGACTAAAAGACCCCAGCCCGAGAAACGTCCAAGGGCCCCGTTACCTTCCGCTTGAGCACATTCATCGGGAGGGAACAGGAGGGCGGCCTTGGGGCGTCAGCCCCCACCTTTTCCCTCTTCCCTTGCTCTGACCGACGTCTGGAGAGGAAGTGGGGAAGTGGAGAAATCTTCCCCGCTTCATGATCCGGCTTGTGCCCGTCACTTCCCAATTTCCGCTGGGTGCCAGGCCCAGGAGACCAGGAGAAGGCGCGCCCCCGGAACACTCGCAAGGCTCTCAGGCGCGTCCCCGGCCCCGTAGCTTGGCTCGCAGTGGCCGCCGCACCCACCCAGAGCCGCTTCCTCCTACTTGGTGGACGGTTCCTGGACCGCAGGGGAGGAGGGTGGCTCTACCCAACGCGCCCCCAACACCTCCGACCTGCTCCCGCGCACTTCCCCACCCCTCCCAACCGCGCAGTGACCGACCCCCGGGTAAGGGGCGTGGCTAACAGGCAGAGTGCCCCGAGCGCGCCCCCGCCCCCGAGCGCGCCTCCGCGTTACCTTTCACCACGTCACACTCGATGACGCGTCCGCGGCGCTCGAAGAGGCTGCGCAGTTCCTGGCTCGTGCATGCAGCCGACACATTGCCCACGAAAATCTTCCAAGTATTAAGAGGCCTTGGGCGCGACATCTCCACCACGAGCGCGCGCCCCGGCCGCAGCTCGTGGCCGTGCAGGGCTTCGATGGCGCGCAGCGCGCCCGCGTTCTCGCGCATGTGCACGAAGGCGAACTGTTTCATGACGGCGCAGCTCATGACCGTGCCGTAGGGCGCAAAGAGGGCTGCCAGCTCCTCCGGAGTCGTATCCGCCCCGTCGACGTTGCCCACGAATATCTTCATTTTGTCGCCGCAGCCACCTTCCTGGAGAGCCCGGACCTCTCCTCCAGCGACAGGCAAGACGTCCGAACGACCGGCAGTCCTCCTCAGGAATGGCTGGCGACCGAGAACCCCGCCGCGCAGGCGCCCTGGCCTAGCCAATGGGGACTCGCATCCCGCGCGTCCAGCGACCAATCAGAAACGCTGAGGGAAGATGTGCTCAGGCACAGCCAATCCCAGAGGGCCTAGAGCCCGCTCGTTAGCTGAGGGGGTGGGAAAGGGACGACCAACCGCCACAGCCCGTGGCGGGAGAGGGGGTTGGGAAGAAGAGGGAGGGCTGAAGAGAGGAGAACGCGCGCGAGCGGCGCCGGCGGCAGAGAGGCCTAGTCTGTAAGGCGGTCTCTGGCCCGGGTGGGGCTGGGACCGGCGGGCTCCCAGGAAAACTTTGTACAATTGGAAGTCAGGGCTCCTCCCATTCTGGAAGCCCTGTCCAAACCCGCGCCTGGGGGTTGCCGCGTGAGTGTACGGGGGAAGGCCGGGCCTGGCGGGAGAAACCAGGACAGGCGCCTTGAGTCGGCAAACGGCTCCCAGGACTGTGCTGAGCACCGCGAGGGGACCTGAGGCAGGCCCCGGAGAAGCCCTCGTGCCATTAATTGATTCTTTGGAAACATTCCCTGGGGTTGCTGAGGTCCTGGCAGCCGGTGAAAAATCAAAGGCCTCTGCCCTGATGGAATTCCCAGTCAAGAAATAATGGAATGACGTTATTGTATGTTGAAGGTTTTCATAATAAACAGTTTAATAAACGAGAAAATTAATTCTGCAGGAAGCAAAAGTTGAGCCTTAAAAAAAATTTTAGTCCGGGAGCGGTGGCTCACGCCTGTAATTCCAGCACTTTGGGAGACCAAGGCAAGCAGATCACCGGAGGTCAGGAGTTCAGGACCAGCCTGGCCAAAATGGTGAAACCCCGTCTCTACTAAAAATACAAAATTAGCCGGGTGTGGTGGTGCGCGCCTGTAATCCCAGCTACTTGGGAGGCTGAGGCAGGAGAATCACTTGAACCCGGAAGGCGGAGGTTGCAGTGAGCCAAGATCACGCCACTGCACTCCAGCATGGGCGACAGTGAGATTCCGTCTCAAAAATTTTTTTAAACAGATTTGAGTATGTAAATAAGATTGTTGCATGGCAGACAACATCAAAAACATAGACATGTGACAAACTCAGGGAAATATTTGCCTACGTGTTCAGTCAACAAATAGCACCTACCATGTGGACACCACCAAGAATATAGCAGTGAACAAAAAAAAATGACAGAAATCCCAACCTTCTTGGATCTTATGGTGGGGAGAAACAGGCAAGAAATAAGTAAAACATAAGCGTGTTAGATGGTGATGAGGACTTGGAGTAATCAAGGGAACTAAGCCATCCTCTGAGGGAAGATCATGCCGGCCAGAAAGTACAAGTCAAAGAGTGCTGGGGCAGAAGCAAATCTGGTTCAAGGAAGAGTCAAGAGCCAGTATGGGCCAGGCCCGGTGGCTCACGCCTGTAATCCCAGCACTTTGGGAGGCTGAGGCGGGCGGATCACCTGAGGTCAAGAGTTCGAGACCAGTCTGACCAACATGGTAAAACCCTGTCTCTACTAAAACTACAAAACATTAGCTTTGCGCAGTGGCAGTATCATAGCCAATGAGGTTTATCCGAGGCGCAATTATTGCTAATTGAAAACAAAACATTAGCCATGCATGATGACTGGCACCTGTAATCCCAGCTACTCAGGAGGCTGAGGCATTAAAATCACTTGAACCCAGGAGGTGGAGGTTGCAGTGGGCTGAGATCACGCCACCACACTCCATCCTGGCCAACAGAGCAGGACTCTGTCTCCAAAAAAAAAAAAAAAAAAGAGCCCAATATGGCCAGAACCTGGAACAGAGAGCAGAATAGGAGGGTGGGAGTTGTGTAGCACAAGGCCATTGAAATGGCATGTGCTTGGGCCAGGCGAGGTGGCTCACGCCTGTAATCCCAGCACTTTGGGAGGCTGAGGCGGGCGGATCATGAGGTCAGGAGATGGAGACCATCCTGGCTAACACGGTGAAACCCCGTCTCTACTAAAATACAAAAAATTAGCCGGGCATGGTGGCGGGGGCCTGTAGTCCCAGCTACTAGGGAGGCTGAGGCAGGAGAATGGCGTGAACCCGGGAGTTGGAGCTTGCAGTGAGCCGAGATCGCGCCACTGCACTCCAGGCTGGGCGACAGAGCGAGACTCCGTCTCAAAAAAAAAAAAAAAAAGAAAGAAAGAAAGAAAGAAAAGGGGCACTACTCTGGTATCTCCTGAAATCCAAACTGCTGGCAGTATTCCCAGAACAGGATATCAGCAAACCCCTAGCTACCCAGTAAGGATAGCCATTTTATTTATTTATTTATTGAGACAGAGTTTCACTCTTGTCACCCTGGCTGTAGTGCAGTGGTGCTATCTCGGCTCACTGCAGCCTCCGCCTCCTGGGTTCAAGCAGTTTTCCCTGCCTCAGCCTCCCGAGTAGCTGCGATTACAGGCACGCACGCCACCACGCCCGGCGTAATTTTTGCATTTTTAGTAGGGGTTTCAGCATGTTGGCCAGGCTGGTCCCGAACTCCCGACCTTGTGATTCGCCTGCCTCGGCCTCCCAAAGTGCTGGGATTACAGGTGTGAGTCACCCCACCCGGCAGGTGGGGTCTTACGTTAACACAGTGAGACCCATAGGTGCTTTTAATTTTTCTAGTAGCTGCATTTTAAAAGGTGAAAAGAAACAGGTGAAACTAATTGTAGGCTGGGTGTGGTGGCTCATGCCTGTAATCCCAGTGCTTTGGGAGGCTGAGGCAGGTAGATCGCCTCAGCCCAGAAGGTTGGGGACAGCCTGGGCAACGACCAAAATCCATCTCTAAAATTTTTTTTTTTTAAATTAGCCGGCGGCCGGGCGGGGTGGCTCATGCCTGTAATCCCAGCACTTTGGGAGGCCGAGGAAGGCAAATTATGAGGTCAGGAGTTCGGGACCAGCCTGGCCAACACGGTGAAACCCCGTCTCTACTAAACATACAAAAAATTATCTGGGCGTAGTGGCGTGCGTCTGTAATCCCAGCTACTCAGGAGGCTGAGGCAGGAGAATTGCTTGAACCCAGGAGGCGGAGGTTGCGGTGAGCTGAGATTGTGGCCGCTGCACTCCAGCCTGGGTGACAGAGTGAGACTCCGTCTCAAAAAATACATACGTACATATTTGTGTGTGTGTGTGTGTGTGTATGTATATACACACACACACACACACACACACACACATATATCTGCGGGTGGTGGTGCACCTGTAGTTCTAGCTACTTGAGAGACTGAGGGGGAAGGAATCGCTTGAGCCCAGGATTTTAAGATTATAGTGAGCTGTAATGGTGCCACTGCACTCTAACCTGGGCAAAAGAGTGAAACTCTGTTTCTAAATACATAAATTAATTAAATAGATGTAAAGAATCTTGCCAAATTTCACAGATCTGGCAAATCAGAATGCTGGGGCTTGAATAAGGATCTGACTCCTTGATCTAGAATAATGGAAATAGCATTAAATTAGCCCTAGTTCAGTTTTATGGTCCAGGTGGGCAACCCTCTTCGCTCCTGCAGCCCTCACTGAGTTTCTCATCTGTAAAGTGTCTAGCTTGGCTTGGCTGATCTCAAAGAAAAGTTTGCAGGTTTTTTCTTTGTTGTTGTTGTTTGTTTGTTTTGGTTTGGTTTGGTTTTTTGGAGACAGTCTCACTCTGTCCCCCAGGCTGGAGTACAGTGATGAAATCATGGCTCCCTGCAGCCTGGACCTTCCGGGCTGGTCTTGAACTCCTGACCTCGTGGTCTGCCCAGCTCAGCCTCCCAAAATGCTAGGATTACAGGCATGAACCACCATGCCCAACCACCCCCAGATAATTTTTTAATTTTTACTTTGTAGAGACGGGGGTCAATTTGTTGCCCTGGCTGCTCTCAAACTCCTAGCCTCAAGTGATCCTCCAGAATCAGCCTCCCAATGTGCTAGGATTACAGGCATGACCCACCACACCCAGCTAGATTCTTTACACATATGAGTATCATCTTACCTATAAAATAACTGGCTTTACCACATTTTTGTTTTTAGGTTTAAGAGTTTTTTAATTGTAAATTTGGGGATGGGTGTGGTGGCTCATCCCTGTAATCCTAGCACTTTGGGAGGCTGAGGCAGGAGGATCACTTGAGCTCAGGAGTTCAAGACCAGCCTGAGAAACATAGACCCCCATCTACATGAAAAGAATTTTAAAAATTAACCAGGTGTGGTGGTGTGTGCCTGTAGTCCCAGCTACTCTGGAGGCTGAGATGGGAGGATCACTTGAGCCCAGGAGGCTAAGGCTGCAGTGAGCTGTGATCGCACCACTGCACTCCAGCCTGAGCAACACAGGGAGGCCTTGTCTCTAATAAAAATTTCTCTTGGCAGGTATGTATGAAGGATAAGGCCATTTTGAGCAATAACAAGTGTTGAACACAATGTAAGACACATAGTAAGAAGTTTGGCCAGACGCAGTGACTCAATGCCTATAATCCCAGCACTTTGGGAGGCCAAGGCAGGAGGATCACTTGAGCCCAGGAGTTTGAGACAAACCTGGGCAACCCAGGGAGACCCCATGTCTCAAAAAATATAAAAATTAGTCCCAGCGCAGTGGCTCACACCTGTAATCCCAGCATTTTGGGAGGCCGAGGTGGGTGTATCACTTGAGGTCAGGAGTTCAAGACCAGCCTGATCAACATGGTGAAACCCCATCTCTACTAAAAATACAAAAAATTAGCCGGGAGTGCTGGCGCGTGTCTATAATCCTAGCTACCTGAGAGGCTGAGGCACAAGAATTGCTTGAACCCGGGAGGTGGAGGTTGCAGTGAGCCGAGATCATACCACTGTGCTCCAGCCTGGGTGACAGAGTGAAACTGTCTGAAACAAAAAAAAAAAAAGAAAAAGAGCAATTAGCCAGGCATGGTGATGTGCACCAGTGGTCCCAGCTGGGAGGCTGAGGCAAAAAGCTTGCTTGTGCCCAGGAGTTTCAGGTTGCACAGAGCTACGATAATCATGACGCTGGGCTCCAGGCTGGGCAACAAACTAAGAGATCATGTCTCAAAAAAAAAAAAAAAAAAAAAAGAAAAAGAAAGAAAGAAAAAAAGAAAAAAAATAGGTCGGCTGTGGTGGCTCACGCCTATAATCCCAGCACTTTGGGAGGCCAAGGCAGGCAGATCACTTGAGGTCAGGAGTTTGAGACCAGCCTGGCCAACATGGCAAAACCAATCTCTACTAAAAATACAAAAAAAAAAAAAAAAAAAAAAATTAGCTGGGCGTCATGGCACATATCTGTAATCCCAGCTACTCAGGAGGCTGTGTCAGGAGAATCACTTGAACCCAGGAAGCAGAGATTGCAGTGAGCTGAGATCATGCCACTGCACTCCAGGCTGGGCAACAGAGTGAGACTCCGTCTCAAAAATAAATAAAGAAAATAAAAAATAAGTTAGCTGGACATGGTGGTGCATGCCTGTAGTTGCAGTTACTCAGAAAGCTGAGGCAGGACTGCCTGATCCCATGAGATGGAGGCTACAGTGAGCTATGATCACACCACCATACTCCAGCCTGAGTGACAGAGCAAGACACCATCTGAAATATACATAAGTAGTGATTTTTCACCTACAAGGGTATCCTGTGGGCTATTTGGTGCAGGACTATCCTGCACATTGAAGGTTGGTAAGTATCCCTAGTCTTCCCCCAATACCAGCAGCATCCCCGCCCCCACCTAGCATTGTCACAGCCAGAAGAAATAGCCCTCACAAACTTCCATAGGGCCATACCATCCCCACTGAGAACCACTGATCTAAATCAAATTTTGTAAACTTAGGTAAACTTAGTTTTGGGTAAAAACAATCTCTGTAATAAAGCAATCTGACAAGTAAAGTCCTTATCTCTTTACAACGAATGGAGAGAAAGGCTAGAGAGAAATTCTGTCATGGAAACTAGAGTACCGTCAAATTTACTTATGAGACCTTTTCCTAAGTTAATTGTATCAATTTACCTGTGGTTTACTAGGTCACTGTAGCAGGTTTATTAATGGCCTCCAAAGATATTAGGTCCTAATCCCTGGAACTTCTGAATGTTACTTTATGTGGCAAAGTCTCTGAAGATGTGATTAAATCAATGGCCCTTGCTAAGAAGAGATTATCCTGGATTACTCTGGTGGTGTTAAATGCAATCACATGCATCCTTGTAAGAGGGAGGCAGAAGGAGATTTGACACAAATACATGGAGGAAAAGGCCATGGGAAGACAGAGCAGACTGAGTGGATGGTGCTGGCCTTGAAGATTGGAGTGAGATTCGGCCACAAGCCAAGGAATGCCAGCGGCCACACAAAGCTGGAAGAGGCCAGGAAGGGATGTTTCCCTATAGTTTCTGGAGGAAGCAAGCTCTTGTCCACACCTTGATTTCAGCCCAGTGATACTAAGTTTGTACTTCTGGCCTCCAGAACTGTGAGAATAAATTTTTGTTGTTTTAAGCCACAGTTTGTGGTACTTTGTTACAGCTGCCACTGTTACAAAGGAAACTGATTACAGGAAACTGATATGAGTTAGTAACAACACAGATAAAGACGTTTTCACAGCTAACTTTCATTATTCCATTGCATAGGTGTTCTTCTCTGCTAGAAAGGAGCTTTTCCCTTTTTGGTCTCCTTCCTTCCAGCTTTCCACCCTATCATGTGAATGTGTGACAATGGGAGGCTTGGTGCTGTGGTAATCACCCTTGCCACCAAAAGGGGAGGAGGGGACATGAAGAGAAACACACAGTTCATGATGACAGTATCCTGACGTTGCCACACCACTGGACCTGCTCTGAATCCTCAAATATCCAGACTGTTGATCTGGTGACATAATTAAATGTCTTAATTGCTTTGGCCACTATTAGGACTGTATTACTTACTGCAGAATTCATCCTAATATAGAATTCCACAGACAATATCAAGACTGAAAATAAGAAACAATGACACAGTCATGTTATTTAAAAATATGGAGGTATAGGCCGGGTGTGGTGGTTCACACCTGTAATCCCAGCACTTTGGGAGGCCAAGGCGGGCGGATCACAAGGTCAGGAACTGGCTAACATGATGAAAACCCATCTCTACTAAAAATACAAAAAATTAGCCGGGCGTGGTGGCATGCACCTTTCTTTAGTCCCAGCTACTCGGGATGCTGAGGCAGGAGAATCGCTTGAACCCAGGAGGTGGAGGTTGCAGTGAGCCGAGATCACCCCACTGCACTCCAGCCTGGGCAACAAGAGAGAAACTCCATCTCAAAAAAAAAAAAAATTTTTTTTTGGAGATGGGGTTCTTGCTATGTTGCCCAAGTTGGTCTCGAACTCCTGGCCTCAAGTAATCTTCCCATCTTGGACTTAAATTTTCCTTTTCATTTATTGATTTATTTTTGAGACAGGGTCTCACTCTGTCCCCCAGGCTGGAGTGCAGTGGCACAATCATGGCTCACTGCAACCTTGACCTCCTGGGATCAAGCAATCCTCCCATCTTGGCCTCCCAAACTGCTGGGATTAAAGGCCTCTTTTTTTTTAATTATTTTTATTTTTTTAGAGACAAGGTCTTACTCTCTCAAGCAGGCTGGAGCAGAGTGGCGTGACCATGGCTCACTGCCGCTGCACACTCCTAGGCACAAGCAATCCTCCTGCCTCAGGCTCCTAAGTAGCTGGGACCATAAGCCTGTGCCACCACACTCAGCTAATGTTTAAGTTATTATCATTATTATTATTATTATTATTATTATTATTATTATTATTTTGAGACAGAGTCTTGCTCTCTCGCCCAGGCTGGAGTGCAGTGGCGCGATCTCCACTCACTGCAAACTCCGCCTCCCGGGTTCACACCATTCTCCTGCCTCAGCCTCCCGAGTAGCTGGGACTACAGGCACGTGTCACCACACCCAGCTAATTTTTTGTATTTTTAGTAGAGACGGGGTTTCACCATGTTAGCCAGGATGGTCTCGATCTCCTGACCTCGTGATCCGCCCACCTCGGCCTCCCAAAGTGCTGGGATTACAGGCGTGAGCCACCGCGCCCGGCCTTTTAAATTATTTTTTGTAGAGACAGGGTGTTGCTTTCTTCGCTAGTCTGGTTTCTAACTAGCTTCAAGCAGTCCTCCTGCCCTGGCCTCCCAAAGTGCTGGGATTACAGGCATGAGCCACTGTTCCTGGCCAAAACAGAGCATCTTTGCCTGCAGTTCCACTTCTGCTTTGCAAATGAGGCTTCAAGATGTTTGAACAGTGTCCTGTGATTTAAAAATAAACTTTGAAAAACCACACAGCCAGAAGTTCAGAAGAAAAGCTAATGAGGATGTTGATCTTTTTTTTTTTTTTTTTTTTGAGACGGAGTCTCGCTCTGTTGCCCAGGCTGGAGTGCAGTGGCACCATCTCGGCTCACTGCAAGCTCCACCTCCCGGGTTCACGCCATTCTCCTGCCTCAGCCTCCCAAGTAACTGGGACTACAGGTACCCGCCACCATGCCTGGCTAAGTTTTTGTATTTTTAGTAGAGACGGGGTTTCACCCTGTTAGCCAGGATGGTCTCCATCTCCTGACCTTGTGATCCGCCCGCCTTGGCCTCTCAAAGTGCTGGGATTACAGGTGTGAGCCACCACGTCTGGCCGATCTCCTTTTTTTTTTTGAGATAAGAGTCTGGTTCTGTCACCCAGGCTGGAGTGCAGTGGTGTGATCTCGGTTCACTGCAACCTCTGCCTCCTGGGTTCAAGCAATTCTCCTGTCTCAGCCTCATAAGTAGATGGGATTTCAGGCACTGTAATCCCACTACACCTGGCTAACTTTTGTATTTTTAGTAGAGATGGGGTTTCGCTATGTTGGCCAGGCTGGTCTCAAACTCCTGACCTCAAGTGATCCACCCACCTTGGCCTCCCAAAGTGCTGGTATTACAGGCGTGAGTCACTGCATCCACCCTGCAGTGAGTCTTGATTGCACCACTGCACTCCAGCCTGGGCAACAGAGTGAAACTCTGTCTCAAAAAAAGGAAAAAAAAAAAAAAGAGGCTAATAGAGTCGTGTCATGGTGAACCGTTTAGGCTTAAAAAGGTTAAAACCCAGGCATCATTCCAGAATGGAGGTGAGAGGATGTCAGGGGTTAGCTGTGGGCAGAATCCAGGATGAATTTCTGCAATGACTTGGAAGTGGGGAAAGACAGCCTGAGTCTGGGCTTAAAAGGGTTTGGCTCCCAGCAACCACAGGGAGCTGGAAAAGAACCAGCATAGGTTTGGCAAGAAAGAGCAGAGTCCAAGGGTTGGGGCTAGAGGTGGAACCCACCCACAGCCTTGAAAGGGAAAACAGACAGGGACTGGGGAATGGGATCCGAGCCAGGGGCTCTGCCTCGAAGCCAAGGACAACTAACTGCGAAACCACCCACCCAGTTCCAAGCAGGCAGTGTAGGGACAACGTTTGTAGTCTGCCAGCTTGGGGCAAAGTTTGTAGTCTGCCAGCTTACCCTGTCATAAAAGCAGCTTTGTCAAGGATGAGCAAGGCACCCCATGGGGATGGGGGTACAGGGAAATAATAGACGAGTAGGGAGGCTCTGAACCCGAGGCCCCACAAACTGTACCCTGGTTAGCAGCTCATCCAACCATAGGAAAGGGGAGCTTGGCTAGGGCTGCCTCCGAGGGTCCCACGCAGCCTCAGAATCATAGCTGCTGCTCCCTTAACTTTATATGACAGGCTGTGTGCCAAGCACTTCACTTATGTTAATTGATAATTTTTACTTATGACTGAAAGGAATAAAGTCAGATTTTTGTTTGTTTGTTTTTGGTTTTGTTTTTTTTTTGAGATGGAGTCTTGCTCTGTTGCCCAGGCTGGAATGCAGTGGCGTGATCATGGTTCACTGCAGCCTCAACCTCCCAGGCTGAAGCAATCCTCCCACCTCAGCCTCCCAAATAGCTGGGACCACAAGCATGCACCATCACACCCAGCTAATTAAATTTTTTTTTTTTGTAGAGACAGGGTCTTACTCTGTTCCCCCAGCTGGTCTCAAACTCCTGGGCTCAAGAGATCCTCCCGCCTTGGCCTTCCGAAGTGCTGGGATTACAGGTGTGAGCTACCGTGCCCAGCCTCAAGCCAGATTATTTTAACAGGGGGATGCATTAGGAGGATTCGGGAGCATCTCTTCAATCCCAGGCAGGAGGCAGCTGGCCTCACGAAAGGCTCAGAGAGGGGACTCCAGAGTGACTGGGATTCTCCAGCAACTCTTAGATTCTCCCTGCCTCATTTTTCCTCCTTAGCCGACTGGCTTTTTCTGATGCTCAGTCAATAAGGCAGGGAGAAGAGGGCCACCAAAACTTCCCATATTCCCATGTTATGGGTCCAACCACAGGAAAAAACTAAAGCTGGATCTGCCCTGATTTCTCAGGGAAAGCATGGGCCACCATGGGTCAGGTGTCCATTTTGGTTCCAATCAGCCATAGTGAGGGGTTGGGGGAGGCCACAAACAGAAATTTGACTGTAGTGGCTCTTCATTATGGCTCCAAGGAGGAAGATGGGGACTTCAGTGTGTGTGTAGGTTTGAATTCAGGTTTGTTTGGCTCCAATGCTAAGGGGTGGCCCTGATACAAAGGAAAGAAGCAGAGCTATGTTCACCAAGCCCATAAGGGGCATGGAGACAAGCACAAAACACCAAGTCCCAAACGAAAATAAAACTTTCATTTGCCAAGGGAACACCACAGCAGCTCCTGCCCTGTACTGAGCTCTCCAAAGACTGGGCAGGCAAAGTCCCTCTGGCCCCCTCTGGAAGTGGAAAGTGCTCGCCCTGGAGGACAGCAACAGAGCCAAGGTGAGGTCCTGCTCAAAGGTGGGCAGGGGGCTGCGCTGACTCCTTTCGGCCCTTGCCAGCGATGGGCCGGCCTCGCTCCTCCCAGATGGTGAGGCCATCGCAAGAGCAGATCTGCTTGGGGTTCTGGAAAAGGCCAGCGGAGCGTGCAATGATGCCACAGGCCAACCTGCAGAAGAATGTGTGGTCAGGGGTGGGTACCTGTTTGGCCCCCACCCCTGGGTTCCTCATGCACCATCCGCAGAGCACAGCCTCCTACAGGGGCCGACACCACTCACCTCTCCCCGGAGTTCCCTGTGATCTTGGATAAGGGATGGCCTCCCCGGCCCAGGTCATCTTCTCCCTCATCAATAATCAGGCTGCGGCCAATCACATCCCACACCTTTGAGGGGAGACGACAGCTTCAGATGATGGACCCTGTTAGGAAGGGTGCCCACCTTCTTTTCCACCTTACCTTCAGCTGCTCATCCTCCATTCTGAAGATGGCGCGGCCGTCAGCATCAGCACGGACATTGCCCAGGTCTCCGCGGTGCTGGAATGAGATCCAGTGTGTGTATAGGGGATGTGTGCCACGTGGTGCCAAGCTGCTATCTTCTGATTTCCTGATTCCGACGCCTCTTCCTGCTTCCCTAAAGTACCCATTTCCTCCTGTGGGTACCAGTCTCGTAGGATCTGAGCTCCCCAAGGACTGGGCAGGCAAGGTCCTCTTGGCCCTGTCTGGAAGTGGAAAGTGGTCCAGGAAGTCCCGGACCATCTGAACACTCCCTCCCTGGAACTGAAATCCTGGGCAGGATGACAGTGGGCTGAAAAGAGCCAGTGGAAGTTTCCCCTGCCTGTGCAGTCATTCCCATTGGATCAGACTGTTTTTCCGGCGAGGCAATTGCCCAGCTCTGCTTCTCAGCCTCCAGTTAGCTCAGTTGTGCAGCCTCCTGATGGCTCTGTGAGCCCTTGGCTGTCTTCAATTCCTATAGGCTTAAGTTGGCCAAGCTTGGCTTCCCTGACCATCATAGGCAGCCAGTGTCATTTCCCTGACTCCCAGATTCCAGGAACAGAAGGAAATGCAAGGGGCAAAGGGCCTGTCCTAGCCCCTCGAAGCTGGCTCTGCCCTCCTTCTCCTTTGACGGTAATAAAAATTGTCATAACACACCTATGAGCACCTCCTAGGTCAGACACACTACCCAACATGGCAGGGAGTATGCAGGTCACCATCCTCAAGGGACTCAGAACATGGTGGGGGCCCAGATACAGAACAGACTAGGGGTGATGACACACAGGGTGAATACAACAGTTGGTGTGTTTTGGGGTGACAAGGCCTTACTAGTGAGCCACAGAAACCCACATCTGTGCAAATAAATTGTCCCCAACCTGACATTTTGGGCAGAAACAAGTGCCTGTGCCAGTACAGGTGGGCTCCCATGACCTTGCTGCTGAGTAACCAGGCATCTCACTGTGCCACCAACTGATGGGCAGGAAGAAGTGGCAGTTCTGCTTTATCTCGTTTTCCAGAGGGATATCTGCTGCCTGCACCTGGTACTTTTTTTTACGCCCTGCGTTGGAGATTTGAACAGTAGAAAGATCAAGAAGGGGGAGGGGATACAGAGCCCTGAAGAGCGGTTTTTTTTGCTTGTTTTGTTTTGTTTTGATACAAAGTCTCATTGCAATGCCCAGGCTGGAATGCAATGGTGTGATCTCGGCTCACTGCAGTCTCTGCTTCCCGGGTTCAAGCAATTCTCCTGCCTCAGCCTCCTAAGTAGCTGAGATTACAGGCACGCGCCACTACGCCTGGCTAGTTTTTGTATTTCTTTTAATTAATTAATTTATTTATTTATTTATTTATTTATTGAGACAGAGTCTCACTCTGTTGCCCAGGCTGGAGTGCAGTGGTGCGATCTGGGCTCACTGCAACCTCCCCACCCCCCAGGTTCAAGCAATTCTCCTGTCTCAGCTTCCCGAGTAGCTGTGACTACAGAGCACGCCACCATACCTGGCCAACTTTTGTTTTGTTTTGTTTTGTTTTGTTTTGTTGAGATGGAGTCTTGCTCTGTCGCCCAGGCTGGAGTGCAGTGGCGCGACCTCGGCTCACTGCAAGCTCCGCCTCCCAGGTTCACGCTATTCTCCTGCCTCAACCTCCCAAGTAGCTGGGACTACAGGCGCCCGCCACCACGCCTGGCTAATTTTTTGTATTTTTAGTAGAGACGGGGTTTCACAATGTTAACCAGGATGGTCTCGATCTCCTGACCTTGTGATCTGCCCGCCTCGGCCTCCCAAAGTGCTGGGATTACAGGCATGAGCCACTGTGCCCGGCCCAACTTTTGTATTTTTAATAGAGACAGGGTTTCACCATGTTGGTCAAGCTGATCTCAAACTCCTGACCTCAAGTGACCCATCCGCCTCAGCCTCCCAAAGTGCTGGGATTACAGGCATGAGCCATTGCACCTGGCCTAATTTTTGTATTTTTAGTAGAGACAGGGTTTCACCATATTGGCCAGCCTGGTCTCGAACTCCTGAACTCAAGTGATCCGTCTGCCTCGGCCTCCCAAAGTGCTAGGGTTGCAGGCGTGAGCCACTGTGCCCGGCTGGAGGAGCGGCCTCAAGGCAGGGGGCAGCCTGGACAGTGTGGCTGGAGGCATGACCCAGCAGGAGTTCAGGGAAAGGCAGCCTTTCCAGGCTGTTTCCTCAGCACACAGGCAGGGGCAATAGGCAGGGGGAGTGGGGTATTGAATGTCCACATCAAGAAGCTAGGCCCAGCTTGTACTCTCAGGCACTGGGAGCCAAGACAAGTTTCAGGCAGGGGCATGGCCTGGTTACTCCAGGCTTCAGAACAATCCTTCTAGTGCAGTCTATGAAAAGTAAAGACTGGAGCAGGGTGAGGAGAGAACAGAAGGGAGCTTAGAGATCAGTTAGGAGATGTGCAAGGGACAACCAGGCTTGAATGCAAATTCCCACATGGAATTCTTTTCCACCTGGGAAAAGCAGATGCTAAAACCCAACAGCAACTTGCCAGTCACCGTGGCCTTGGCTGGTCAGCTCCTGCTCAGTTCTTCCTTGTCTAAGTTAAGGGATTGGGTGAGGTACAGCTGCTGATGCCAGCCCCTTCTGATTCCCTGCCCCACCTGGGGCCCAGGAAGAAAACACAGGTCACAAGACAGGCTCCTGCCCTTCAGAAACACTCCCTGCCATTCCATGCCTTGAGGGCTTTGCCCGGGCAGTTTCTTTTGCTGGGCTTGCCAATCCCACTCTTACCCTCTTCAATGCCTACTTCCTGCCCATCATCTTTCAAGGCTGCATGAGGCGAATGGCCTCTATGATGTGCCTCCCTTGAGTGTGGGCTGGACCTAGTGTCACTTCTAAGATTAGGTTACAAAAAGAATGTGGCTTGAGTCTTGGACGCCCTCTCTCAATCTCAATCTCTCTCTCTCTCGCTCATTCACTCTGAGAGAAGCCAACTGCCGTGTTGTTAGCTGCCCTAGGGAGAGACCCATGTGGCAAAGAACTGATGTCTCTGGCCAACAGCCAAGGAGGACCTGGGGCCTGCCAACAGCAACATGAGCAAACCTGGAAGCAGATTCTCCCCACGTGGGGCCCTGAGATGACTGCAGCCCCGAGAGAGACCCTGAGCTGCAGGCACCCAGCTAAGTCACACACAAATTCCTGCCCCAGAGACAGTATATGTTTGTTGTTTTAAACTCCTAACTTTGGAGTCATTTGATTTGCAGCAGCAGATTACTAATCACTGAGCATAAGCATGGCACTGTGCAATGGACTCTATAAGAAATGCCTCTCCAATTTCCCAGAACAGGGAGTAAAAACTTTTGATCATTAGAAATGTGACAGGGTGGTTGGGCACAGTGGCTCATGCCTGTAATCCCAGCACTTTGGGAGGCCAAGGCAGGCGGATCACTTGAGGTTGGGACTTCAAGACCAGCCTGGCCAACATGGCAAAACCTCGTTTCTACTAAAAATAAAAAAAAGAAAAAGAAAAAAAAAAAATGTGGCAGAGGCCAGGCATGCTGGCTCATGCTCATAATCCTAACACTGGGAGGCCGAGGAGGGAGGTCTGCTCAAGCCCAGCAGTTTGAGACCAGCCTGAGGAACATAGTGACACCCTATTTCTACCACCAAAAAAACAAAAAAAAAAAATTAGCTGGGCATAATGGTACATGCTTGTGGTCCCAGCTATCAGGTGAGGTGGGAGGATTGCTTGAGCCCATGAGTTCAAGGCTGTAGTGAGCCATGATCACAGCACTGCACTCCAGCATGGGCAACAGAGTGAGATCCTATCTCGGAAAGGAGAGGGGAGGGGAGGGGAGGGGAGAAAGGAAAAGGAAAAGAAACAGAAGAAAAGAAAAGCATGATAGGTAACAGAGCTGTGAAAAGTCCAAAAAATCAGTAACATGCATTAAGCAACACATACCATGGTTTCAATTGTTTTGTGGCACAAGGTTGCAAACCCATCAAGATAGAAAATAGCCCAGTCAGAGCCGGGCACAGTGGCTCACGCCTGTAATCCCAGCACTTTGGGAGGCTGAGGTGGGTGGATCACTTGAGGTCAGGAGTTCAAGACTGCCTGGCCAACCTGGTGAAACCCCATCTCTACTAAAAATACAAAAATTACCCGGGTGTGGTGGTGTGCACCTGTAGTCCCAGCTATTAGGGAGGCTGAGGCAGGAGAATCGTTTGAACTTGGGAGGCGGAGGTTGCAATGAGCTGGGACTGCGCCATTGCACTCTAGCCTGGGCAATAAGAACAAAACTCCATCTCAGAAAATAAAATAAAAAAACCAAATGATTGAGTAACTAAAAATACAACTAGTACTCAGATAAGGCAAAAATCATTAAGGCAACACACAATTCCCTGAAGATTGGGAAATGATTCTCTGCTGAAAAATGAAACTCCAGGACCGGGGTGTTAGGGAACACCAGGGACAGCCTTTTCAGTTTAGGTAAAACCCTCAACTTCCATATTTCACTTCCTCCCACTGCCCCTGCCCCTCAGGCAGATGAACTATTCACTGTGGGCTCCAGGACCTCTTGCAGGCTCCTGCAAGGATGATCTCACTGCCTGGAAACCATGGAATTCAGTAATCTCCCCCAGAGACTGTGTGCTCCTTGGGTCAGGCACTGGGGCTGTAATCTATTGTATCCCCTGGGCCTTGATCACAGAAAGTGTCAACAAATGTTTCCAAACTCAGCAAAATAAAATGAGAGGAAAAGACTCCACCAAAAAGGAATCACACTGTTATGATCCCAAGAGCTGCCTGCCCTGCCTCTGAGACTTTGGGTCCTCTCTCAGCCCAAGCCCAAACCCAGACAGACACTTACCCGGTCAGAGTCCTGGGGGCCCCCATGAGATGCTCCATCAGGGTTAAAGTGATTCCCACAGCTAAGAAAGAAAGGAAACAGGTGGGCAGGAAAGCAGCTCACAGGCCAGGTGCTCTACCCTCTCATCTATTTATATTTGCTTCATTCATTCATTCATTCATTCATTCAACAAACAGGCCTACTCTGTGCTGGGCTTTGGGTAGAGGGCACCGAGAAGAATCAGACATGGGTCCTGTCCTGAATAAGCTTCTGGCTCAGGGGACTCACAGATGAGTAAACAACTAGTTATATCACAGCATGACAAACACCATGGCATGGGGACCCTTCCTTTGCTGTGTCCAGAAGTCCCCTTCCATCTCAGAGGCAGTAAGGTGGTTATAAGCAGGACCTTCAAGATCAGATTTTATTTTTTTTCTTGAGACAGAGTTTTGCCCTGTCACCCCTGAGCTGGAGTGCCGTGGTGCAATCTCAGCTCACCACAACCTCCACCTCCTGAGTTCAAGTGATTCTCCTGCCTCAGGAGATTACGGGCCTCCCTAGTAGCTGGGATTATGGGCACATGCCACTGCACCTGGCTAATTTTTTTTTGTATTGTTAGTAGAGATGGGGTTTCACCATGTTGGCCAGGCTGGTCTTGAACTCCTGACCTCAGGTGATCCGCCCACCTCAGCCTCCCAAAGTGCTAGATTACAGGTGTGAGCTACTGTGCCCAGCCAAGGTCAGATCTTGACTCAAACCCCAACTCTACCTTTTACCTGCTGTGGACCTTTGGCAAGTCATTTAACCTCTGTGAGCCTCAGTTTCCTCATCTGGAGGTTGTGCCTGTGTGTATGTGCCTCACAGAGTATTGGTGAGGGCCCAGTGTGAAAATGTGTAGCTGAGAATGCTACTGGGGAGACTTCAGACAACTCACCTGTTGCAGTTGTTTGTAAGGTCCCCGTACTGATGGACGTGGAGTCCATGCAGCCCAGGCTCCAGGCCGTCAATAGTTCCCTCGATGAGGCAGCGCTCAGGGGTCAGCTGTAGGAAGCGCACCACCCCCTGCACGGTGCCAGGCCCCCCCAGGATGGCCACTGCTGCCCCCAGATTCTCTGCAAGGTATTAGACACTTGGGCTGGCTTGCCACCTCACCCAGCACACCTCTTCAGCAGCTCGGGAAGGGCAGGGAGTCTCACATAATTTTCACACCTTCCTCAAAGCCACTCCAACCCAGAGCCTGAGAATCCTATGATTAGATTTGTACCAGCTCTGAGCCACCTCCCTCCGAGAGGGGCCAAGGCCACAGTGGTCACTCACGCAACTGGCCGCTGCCCATGCCCTTGAGTACCGCCTGCCGCCCCGTGCCTTCCAGGAGAGCCTGCACCTCCTGGCTGGGTAGAGTGGTGTGTACCAAGACCATCTGGTCCTCCAAGTGCACCTCCACATCCTGGACACCTGGCAAGAAAGAGAGGGAAGAGGGCAACAGAGGCTGGCACCCAGTGCTGGCAGCAGGGAACAGAAAAACAGACAGCAATTCTCCATCCCCATTTCCACCAAACTTCCCATGGTCAGAGGCAAGCTACTTCGTAACTGTGTAACCCTGAGTAAGCCTCTTCACTTCTGAGTCTGTCTCTTTTCATATAAATGGGGATAATGCCACCTTGCCCCCAGGATTTCTGTGAGTTCTAATACACGCCAGGCATTATTTATAACTTTGGAAACATACATCATTCTTTTTAAAGCAGTGTTTTGTTTTTTTTTTAAGTGGGCTATCCATAGTGGCATTATTCACAATAGCCAAAAGATAAAAATAACCCAAATGCCCATCAACTAATGAACAGATAAAATGTGGTATCCATACAATGAAATACTATTCAGGAACGAAGTGCTGATACATGCTACAACATGGACGGACCTTGAAACATTATGCTACAAGAAAGCCAGTCACAAAGCCACATATATAATGCCATGTATATTAGATATCTAGAATAGGCAAATCCACAAACAGAAAATATTCTTCCTGTAGGAGATAGCTTAAAAAATATTTTTTTTTTTTTGAAACAGAGTCTCTCTCTGTTGCTCAGGCTGGAGTGCAGTGGCACGATCTCAGCTCACTGAAACCTCCATCTCCCGGGTTCAAGCGATTCTCCTGCCTTAGCCTCCCGAGTAGCAGGGACTACAGGCACACACCACCACCATGCCCAGCTAATTTTTTTGTATTTTTTTCTTTTAGTAGACATGGGGTTTCACCATGTTGGCCAGGCTGCTCTCGAACTCCTGACCTCAGGTCATCTGCCTGCCTCAGTCTCCCAAAGTACTGAGATTACAGGCATGAGCCATCACGCCTGGCTGTGGCCTAGGATTTCTTTATGAAGTGATAAAAATGTAAAACTGACAGTGGAGAGATGGTTGTACAACTCTGAAAATACTACAAACAGATGAACTGTATCCTTTAAATGGGTGAATTTTTTTTCTTTTTTTTTTTTTGAGACAGAGTCTCGCTGTGTCACCCAGGCTGGAGTGTAATGGCACAATCTCGGCTCACTGCAACCTCAGCCTCCCAAACTGTTGGGACTACAGGCGTGAGCCACTGCGCCTGGCCTAAATGGGTGATTTTTATAGTACATGAATTATATCTTTTTTTATTTTCAAGATGGAGTCTCGCTTTGTCACCTAGGCTGGAGAGCAGTGGCATAATCTTGGCTCACTGCAACCTCTGCCTCCTGGGTTCAAGCAAGCCTCCCAAAGTGCTGGAATTACAGGCGTGAGCCACTGTGCCTAGCTGCCCAGCCTATGAATTATATCTTTTTTTTTTTTTTGAGACAGAGTCTCACTCTGTCGCCCAGGCTGGAGTGCAGTGGCGCCATCTGGGCTCACTGCAAGCTTCACCTCCTGGGTTCACGCCATTCTCCTGCCTCAGCCTCCCGAGTAGCAGGGACTACAGGCGCCCGCCACCAAGCCCGGCTAATTTTTTGTATTTTTAGTAAAGACGGGGTTTCACCGTGTTAGCCAGGATGGTCTCAATCTCCTGACCTCGTGATCTGCCCGCCTTGGCCTCCCAAAGTGCTGGGAATACAGGCATGAGCCACCACACCTGGCCTTTTTTTCTTTTTGAAATGGAGTCTCGCTCTGTCACCCAGGCTGGAGTGCAGTGGCACAATCTCGGCTCACTGCAAGCTCCACCTCCTGGGTTCTAGCCATTCTCCTGCCTCAGCCTCCCGAGTAGCTGGGACAACAGGTGCCCGCCATCACGCCCAGCTGATTTTTTGTGTTTTTAGTAGAGACAGGGTTTCACCGTGTTAGCCAGAATGGTCTCGATCTCCTCACCTCATGATCTGCCTGCCTCAGCCTCCCAAAGTGCTGGAATTACAGGTGTGAGCCACTGCGCCCAGCCGAATTATATCTTAATAAAGCTATTACACACATAAAAGGCAGGGACTATTGCCATCATTAGTAGAGCTAACACTTACTGGGCATGGACGGTGAGCGAATCCTGTGTTTTACCTGTCTTAACATATTTGGTACTCCTACTAAGCCTCTAAGTTAGGTACAATGATCCCCATTTTACAGATGAGAAAACTGAGGCACAGAAAGATGAAGAAACTTGCTCAAAGTCGCACTGTAGTAAGTTGTGCAACTGGACCTCTGACCATGCAGCCTAGCTCCAGAGCCCCAGCACTTAACCCAGATATTGTACTCACCCTAGGAAGCAGCCCTTAGGCTCCAAGCTGGGTTAGGACCACACCCCTTGTGGTCCTGTAGCAGCTCACACTCCCCCTCCTGTAATTCACATTGCACTGACTACAATCCTGTTTCACTCCTAGGCCGCCAGCTCTGTGAGGGCAGGAGCTCTGTGAGGTCCACAAGGGTCAAGTTCAAAAGTCAGTTGTCGGCCGGGCGCGGTGGCTCATGCCTGTAATCCCAGCACTTTGGGAGGCCAAGGTGGGTGGATCACAAGGTCAGGAGATCGAGACCATCCTGGCTAACACGGTGAAACCCCATCTCTACTAAAAATACTAAAAAGTTAGCCGGGCATGGTGGCGGGCGCCTGTAGTCCCAGCTACTCAGGAGGCTGAAGCAGGAGAATGGCATGAACCCGGGAGGCGGAGCTTGCAGTGAGCCGAGATTGCGCCACTGCACTCCAGCCTGGGCAACAGAGCGAGATTCCGTCTCAAAAAAAAAAAAAAAAAGTCAGTTGTCAGATGGCCAGGCGTGGTGGCGCACACCCATAATCCCAGCACTTTGGGAGGTTGAGGCAGGTGGATCACATGAGGCCAGGAGTTCGATACTAGCCTTGCCAACATGGCAAAACTCCATCTTTAGTAAAAGTATGAAAATTAGCCAGGCATGGTGGTGCACACCTGTAATCCCAGCTACTCAGGAGGCTGAGGTGGGAGAATCAAATGAACCGGGAGGTGGAGGTTGCAGTGAGCTGAGATGGTGCCACCGCACTCCAGCCTGGGCAACAGAGCAGAACAAGACCCTGGCTTTTATGTGCAAAAGCTATTAGAGGGGGCAACAGAAGCAATGGGGAACCCATCAAAGGATGAGGTTCTTACACAGGCTAGGGAGAGGTGGGGTGGCCTGGAGCAGTGTGGAGGCCTAAGTATGTTTTGGACACATAGCAGATAAGATGTCCTGATGACAGGCCTCAGCATAGGAGGGTTCCCAGACCCTCAGGTCTCCAGAGAAGAGCTGATTCTCTGCTCCTGAAGTGGGAAGTTCCTTGTCACTATGTACCTCCTGAATTATTGACTGAGTCTAAACCAAGAGGGAGGCTGGTACCTTAGCCAAGCAGCCATTCAGTTTGCTCCTTGAGTTAAGACTGGTAGACCCTGGAATGTAGCCAGGCCCACCCTTGGTTGGCTCAGAGCCCAGTGAGAGAGAAAACAGAAGGCCACAGAGAACACCAGGGCAAGTGATAGAGATTCAAGGGGGTGAGCCTTGGGCTGGGGGATCCTCCTGCTTACCTCCTGAGAAGGCCTTCCCCCAGGCCTCCTGAGATGGCAACTCTCTTTCTCTGTGTGTGTGTATTCTAGAAAACTACAGCTTCCCTCCCTGGCCCCATGAGAAAGCCAAGCCGGACCAGAAAACACAGAGTCACCAGAAGTCTTTATCTGTTGCCTAAGAAACATGCTGAGGGCTGAAAACTGCTCCGGGTCCAAGAGAAAGGCCAGCTGTCTGCTCTCCTCGCAAGCAAGTAGTACAGGAAGTGGAGGGCCCATTCACCACCCAAAACGCGTAGTCTAAGCAAACCCAGCTTCAACATTGTCCCCTCCAGCCTCCTTCCATCCAGATCACCACCTGTAAGCCCTTCTTCTCATAATCCCCTAGGATTTACTGGGCTGTTATTACATGCCAAAGACTTTTCTAAATGCTTTTTTTGTATTAACTCGGTTACTCTTCAGGACAATCCTCCAGATTAGCTTCTATTATCATCCCCCATTTAACACAGAAGAAACAGAGACACAAAAAGTAACATGCATGAAGTCTTAGTGCCATTAAGTGGCAAAGAGGGGGTTTGAACTCTAGAGCTCATACCCCTAATCACTTTACAGAGTCCACCACTACCAGGGTCCCAGCTTCAGAAGCCATCTTATCTCATTCCCTCTCACCATTGCTCTTTCCACGAAGCATTCTGCGAATGCCATCCAGGCAACGCTTGCATGCTCATTTCCACCTGAGTGCAGGGGATGTGCCTGATACCCATGTGAACTCTTCTCCCTAAAAAGCCCCAGTGTCTGGTCCATACCTGCCGAATGACTGGGTGAACTTGTTTTTTTTTTTTTTTTTTTTGAGAGAGGGTCTCACTCTGTCACCCAGCCTGGAGTGCAGTGGAGCGATCCAACTCACTGCAGCCTCCACCTCCTGGACTCAAGCAATCCTCCTGCTTTGGCCTCCCCAGTAGCTGGGACTACAGGAGTGCACCATGACGCCCAGCTAATTTTTGTATATTTTATAGAGGAGGGTTTTCGCCATGTTGCTCAGGCTGCTCTCAAACTCATGGACTTGAGCAATCTACCTACTTTGGTGTCCCAAAGTGCTGGGATTACAGGCGTGAGCCACTGAGCCTGGCCTGGATAAACACTTAACAGAATCAAAGGAAGCCAGTTCCCAGAGCCATGCTGGTGGCTCTACCTTTCCAGATCTTTCTCATTGTGCCAGGTCACCTCCAGACCAGCTGGCCTTTTATTTATTATTATTATTTTTTTGAGACGGAGTCTCACTCTGTTGCCCAGGCTAGAGTGCAGTGGCGCGATCTCGGCTAACTGCAAGCTCCGCCTCCCGGGTTCACGCCATTCTCCTGCCTCTGCCTCCCAAGTAGCTGGGACTACAGGCGCCCACCACCACGCCCGGCTAATTTTTTGTATTTTTTAGTAGAGACAGGATTTAACTGTGTTAGCCAGGATGGTCTCGATCTCCTGACCTGGTGATCCACCCACCTCGGCCTCCCAAAGTGCTGGGATTACAGGCATGAGCCACCACACCCAGTGGTATAGAAAGCTACCCAGGATGGTATAGGGCCTGAGCTGCTGTTTGCTTTGTCAAGATTATGTTGTTTCCCAAGCAAAAACTGCCTGTTTTCCCAGGAACTCCCTCAGCCTAGCTCCTCAGTCTCTGGGGCACCTGAGGTTCAGGACAACAAGACAGGCAGTTAGAATCTGTCAGGGCAAGCTGGACAGCTGTACTCTAGGCTCTGCCTCCAGGTCTGTGTGTAACTCTGAGAACATGCCTTTCACTCTCTGGGGTTCACTTTCTGCATCTGTAAAATGGGAGTAGGGTTCGCCTAATAGATTCGCCTGGTCCCTCCCAGAGGCTTCTGGACTGTCTGCAGAAAAGTTTACCCTGTTCTTACCTGCCACCCCTTGCAGGGATTTGCGCACCGCGTCCACACAGCTCTGACAGGTCATCTGCACCGCGAACTCCAACTGCAAGGGCGGCAGGGACCAACCGATGATCGCTGGGGAAGTGCCTTGGTATGACTTTGTTTCACCACCTACCCTATGACCACCGCAAGGGTCTGGGAACAAGCCCCACTTAACCCCTCTTCAAGCACCTTCTTCATGATCTCTCATGACCATTCCAGGACCATGGGAGTCACCCCCCAACACTCACGCAGGGCCCCTGCTACCCTCGCACCCTAGTTTCATCCCATGGCCCCAGGCCCCAACCCAAGTGCCCACTCCTTCTCCTCTTCCCAAGGTAACGATCATCCCAGGGGCCGAGGCTCTCTGCCCGGCGAGGCTCCACACGAAGCCTCGACCCTCACCGTGCAGAGGGTCCCCTGGTTCCCCGAATCCGAAGCCATTCTGGACCCAGTCACCACCCCGAGACGCAGAACTCCTCCGGCGCAGGAGCACCAACCAGCGCGGCGTCGCGGGGACTGAGCCTCTAAAGCCACCCTTAACTCCTCCTCCTAGTGCGTGCGCACGCAAGGCCCTGCTTCGTCAGCCACCGGGTGGCGGCCGCGCAGGCGCACTCGGGCCGTCGGGCTCCTGGTTGCCTTAGTAACCCCTCGGCTTTCTGTTCCTGGACGGTGGCGGCCGCCGGCTCTATGATGGAGCCCCCGAAGCCCGAGCCTGAGCTCCAGCGGTTTTACCACCGGCTGCTGCGTCCGCTGTCGCTCTTCCCCACTAGGACGACGTCCCCAGAGCCTCAGAAGCGCCCCCCGCAGGAGGGCCGGATTCTGCAGTCCTTCCCTCTGGCGAAGCTGACGGTGGCGTCGCTGTGCAGCCAGGTGGCCAAGCTGCTGGCCGGCAGCGGGATAGCAGCGGGAGTGCCTCCTGAGGCCCGACTACGTCTCATCAAGGTCATCCTGGACGAGCTGAAGTGCAGCTGGCGGGAGCCGCCCGCCGAACTTAGTCTGAGCCACAAAAACAACCAGAAGCTGCGGAAGCGGCTCGAGGCCTACGTGCTGCTGAGCAGCGAGCAGCTCTTCTTGCGCTACCTGCACCTGCTGGTGACCATGTCGACTCCCAGGGGGGTCTTCACTGAATCAGCCACCCTCACCCGGTTGGCCGCCAGCCTCGCCAGGGACTGCACACTCTTCCTTACTAGTCCCAACGTCTACCGTGGCCTGCTTGCCGACTTCCAGGCCCTGCTGAGGGCAGAGCAGGCCTCTGGGGATGTGGACAAGCTGCACCCTGTCTGCCCCGCTGGGACGTTCAAGCTGTGCCCTATCCCCTGGCCTCACAGCACTGGCTTCGCCCAAGTGCAGTGCTCTAACCTCAACCTGAACTACCTCATCCAACTCAGCCGTCCACCAGAGTTTCTCAATGAGCCAGGAAGGATGGATCCAGTGAAGGAATTGAAGTCCATCCCTCGGTTGAAGAGGAAAAAGCCTTTCCACTGGCTGCCCTCCATAGGAAAGAAGAGAGAAATCGACATCAGTTCCTCACAGATGGTGTCGCTGCCCAGCTATCCTGTGGCCCCCACCAGCAGGGCTTCCCCCTCGCCTTTCTGCCCTGAGCTCCGGAGAGGCCAATCCATGCCCTCCCTGCGTGAGGGCTGGAGGCTGGCAGATGAGTTGGGCCTTCCTCCACTCCCATCTCGCCCCTTAACCCCGCTGGTCTTGGCTACAGAGAGCAAACCAGAGCTGACTGGGCTCATCGTGGCTGAGGATCTGAAGCAGTTGATAAAGAAGATGAAGTTGGAGGGGACTCGCTACCCACCACTGGACTCAGGCCTGCCTCCTCTCCTGGGGGTTGTGACCCGTCACCCAGCTGCAGGGCATCGCCTGGAGGAGCTGGAGAAGATGTTGAGGAACCTCCAGGAGGAAGAAGCCTCTGGGCAGTGGGACCCCCAGCCCCCCAAATCCTTTCCACTTCACCCACAGCCAGTGACCATTACTTTGAAGCTTAGAAATGAGGTCGTGGTCCAGGCGGCTGCCGTACGGGTCTCTGATAGAAACTTCTTAGACTCTTTCCACATTGAGGGGGCCGGAGCCCTGTATAACCATCTGGCTGGTGAACTGGATCCCAAAGCCATTGAAAAAATGGATATTGATAACTTTGTTGGCAGTACTACCAGGGAGGTCTACAAGGAGTTGATGAGCCATGTCTCTTCTGACCACTTACATTTTGATCAAGGGCCCCTAGTTGAGCCTGCAGCAGATAAAGACTGGTCGACCTTCCTGTCCTCAGCCTTTCTACGTCAAGAAAAACAGCCTCAAATCATCAACCCTGAGCTGGTTGGACTTTACTCCCAGAGAGCAAACACTTTACAGTCCAATACTAAGAAGATGCCCTCCCTCCCATCACTCCAAGCTACCAAAAGCTGGGAGAAGTGGTCAAACAAGGCCTCCTTGATGAACTCATGGAAAACCACCTTGTCTGTGGATGACTACTTCAAGTACCTCACCAACCATGAAACAGATTTCCTTCATGTCATCTTTCAAATGCATGAAGAAGAGGTTCCTGTGGAGATTGTGGCCCCTGCCAGAGAGTCCCTAGAGATTCAGCACCCTCCCCCATTGCTAGAAGATGAAGAACCAGACTTTGTGCCAGGAGAGTGGGATTGGAACACTGTGCTAGAGCACAGGCTAGGAGCTGGGAAGACACCCCACCTGGGAGAACCCCACAAAATTCTGAGCCTGCAGAAGCATCTGGAACAACTGTGGTCTGTGCTTGAGGTCCCTGACAAGGACCAGGTGGACATGACCATTAAATATAGCTCCAAAGCCCGCCTGAGGCAGCTGCCTTCATTGGTGAATGCCTGGGAGCGGGCCCTGAAGCCCATTCAGCTGCGGGAGGCATTGCTGGCGAGACTAGAGTGGTTTGAGGGACAAGCTTCCAATCCCAACCGCTTCTTCAAAAAGACCAACTTGAGCTCCAGTCACTTCCTGGAGGAGAATCAGGTCCGAAGCCATCTCCACAGGAAGCTCAACTTAATGGAGTCTTCTTTGGTTTCCCTCCTGGAGGAGATAGAGTTAATCTTTGGCGAGCCAGTGATCTTCAAGGGGCGGCCCTACCTGGACAAGATGAAGAGTGACAAAGTGGAGATGCTCTATTGGCTGCAACAGCAGCGGCGGGTTCGCCACCTGGTCTCGGCCCTGAAGGATCCCCACCAGTCAACCCTGTTCAGGAGCTCAGCAGCCAGCCTTTAGTAGCTCCTGGGAATACCCCTATTACTCCTTGACCAGGCCCAGTGCCCTCAAATGCCTCCCTCACCCCTAAATGGCCAGCAGCTCATCTAGACCTCTTTACTGCTTTGGAAGAAGAAATATTTGTCTATATCTGGGAGTGGAGGGTTCAGGAACATTATGCTTCCAACTATGAAGGGATTGAGACTAAAACTATTGTTTTCTTAGTGAAATTCTCATGAAAGAATCCCCAAGCCTAGTAGTCCCATTATGTCAAGCCTTGCACAATACAAGCCAAATCTCCTATATCAAAAGAACTGAGACCTTGGAGTTAATTGTAGTGGGAAGGGTCAGAGGCAAAGGTGATCTTTGGAACAACTCACTTTAGCATTCCTATCACACTACATTAAATTGTCACCTCTTTTAGTTCTCAAACACTATTAGGAAGAAGAAAATTAATTAAATTTTTACCAGTTACGTGCACATGGTACAAAGTATACCAGGATGTGTACTGAAAAGTAAGCCTTCCCATACCCACCTCCAATGTCTGTTTCGTGCTGTGGGGATAAGTGTTACAATTTTTAAATTTAATTTAATTTTTATTTATGTATTTATTTATTTTTTGAGACAGAGTCTCACTCTGTTGCCCAGGCTAGAATGCAGTGGTACAATCTCAGCTCACTGCAACCTCTGCCTCCCTGGTTCAAGCGATTCTCCTGCCTCGGCCTCCTGAGTAGCTGGGATTACAGGCGCCTGCCACCACGCATGGCTCATTTTTGTATTTTTAGTAGAGATAGGGTTTCACCACGTTGGCCAGGCTGGTCTCAAACTCCTGAGCTCAGGCGATCCACCTGCCTCAACCTCCAAAAGTGCTGGGATTACAGGTATGAGCTACAGCACCTGGATTTTTTTTTTTTTTTCAATTTTAGAGATGGGGTCTTGCTCTGTTGCCCAAGCTGGAGTGCAGTGGCCTGATCATAGCTCACTGCAGCTTGAACTCTTGGGCTCAAGCAATCCTCCTGCCTCAGCCTCCTAAGTAGCTGGGACTACAGCTGCTCACCACTGCACCTGGCTAATTTTTTGAGTTTCTTAAAAAAAAAACAAATATATATATATACACACACACATACACACACATATATATGTGTGTGTGTATATATATATGTGTGTATATATATATATTTTTTCTTTTGAGAGGGAGTCTCGCTCTGTCGCCCAGGCTGGAGTACAGTGGCGCAATCTCGGCTCACTGCAAGTTCCGCCTCCTGGGTTCATGCCATTCTCCTGCCTCAGCCTCCTGAATAGCTGGGACTACAGGTGCCCACCATCACGGTCAGCTAATTTTTTTTTATTTTTAGTAGAGACGGGGTTTCACTTTGTTTTTTAATTTATTTTTTTATTGATAATTCTTGGGTGTTTCTCACAGAGGGGGATTTGGCAGGGTCATGGGACAACAGTGGAGGGAAGGTCAGCAGATAAACAAGTGAACAAAGGTCTCTGGTTTTCCTAGGCAGAGGACCCTGCGGCCTTCCGCAGTGTTTGTGTCCCTGATTACTTGAGATTAGGGATTGGTGATGACTCTTAACGAGCATGCTGCCTTCAAGCATCTGTTTAACAAAGCACATCTTGCACCGCCCTTAATCCATTTAACCCTGAGTGGACACAGCACATGTTTCAGAGAGCACAGGGTTGGGGGTAAGGTCACAGATCAACAGGATCCCAAGGCAGAAGAATTTTTCTTAGTGCAGAACAAAATGAAAAGTCTCCCATGTCTACTTCTTTCTACACAGACACGGCAACCATCCGATTTCTCAATCTTTTCCCCACCTTTCCCGCCTTTCTATTCCACAAAGCTGCCATTGTCATCCTGGCCCGTTCTCAATGAGCTGTTGGGTACACCTCCCAGACGGGGTGGTGGCCGGGCAGAGGGGCTCCTCACTTCCCAGTAGGGGCGGCCGGGCAGAGGCGCCCCTCACCTCCCGGATGGCGCGGCTGGCTGGGCGGGGGGCTGACCCCCCACCTCCCTCCCGGACGGGGCGGCTGGCCGGGCAGAGGGGCTCCTCACTTCCCAGTAGGGGCGGCCGGGCAGAGGCGCCCCTCACCTCCCGGACGGGGCGGCTGGCCGGGCGGGGGGCTGACCCCCCCACCTCCCTCCCGGACGGGGTGGCTGGCCGGGCGGGGGGCTGACCACCCCACCTCCCTCCCGGACTGGGCGGCTGGCAGGGCGGGGGGCTGACCCCCCCACCTCCCTCCCGGACTGGGCGGCTGGCCGGGCGGGGGGCTGACCCCCCCACCTCCCTCCCAGACGGGGCGACTGGCCGGGCAGAGGGGCTCCTCACTTCCCAGTAGGGGCGGCCGGGCAGAGGCACCCCCTCACCTCCCGGATGGGGCGGCTGGCCGGGCGGGGGGCTGACCCCCCCACCTCCCTCCCAGATGGGGTGGCTGGCCGGGCTGAGGGGCTCCTCACTTCCCAGTAGGGGCGGCCGGGCAGAGGTGCCCCTCACCTCCCGGACGGGGCGGCTGGCCGGGCGGGGGGCTGACCCCCCCACCTCCCTCCCGGACGGGGCGGCTGGCCGGGCGGGGGGCTGACCCCCCACCTCCCTCCCGGACGGGGTGGCTGCCGGGCGGAGGGGCTCCTCACTTCCCAGATGGGGTGGCTGCCGGGCGGAGAGGCTCCTCACTTCTCAGACGGGGCAGCTGCCGGGCGGAGGGGCTCCTCACTTCTCAGACGGGGTGGTTGCCAGGCAGAGGGTCTCCTCACTTCTCAGACGGGGTGGCCGGGCAGAGACGCTCCTCACCTCCCAGACGGGGTCGCGGCCGGGCAGAGGTGCTCCTCACATCCCAGATGGGGCCGCGGGGCAGAGGCACTCCCCACATCTCAGACGATGGGCGGCCGGGCAGAGACGCTCCTCACTTCCTAGATGTGATGGCGGCTGGGAAGAGGCGCTCCTCACTTCCTAGATGGGATGGCGGCTGGGAAGAGGCGCTCCTCACTTTCCAGACTGGGCAGCCAGGCAGAGGGGCTCCTCACATCCCAGACGATGGGCGGCCAGGCAGAGACACTCCTCACTTCCCAGACGGGGTGGCGGCCGGGCAGAGGCTGCAATCTCGGCACTTTAGGAGGCCAAGGCAGGCGGCTGGGAGGTGTAGGTTGTAGCGAGCCGAGATCACGCCACTGCACTCCAGCCTGGGCACCATTGAGCACTGAGTGAACGAGACTCCGTCTGCAATCCTGGCACCTCGGGAGGCCGAGGCTGGCGGATCACTCGCGGTTAGGGGCTGGAGACCGGCCCGGCCAACACAGCGAAACCCCGTCTCCACCAAAACCAGTCAGGCGTGGCGGCGCGTGCCTGCAATCGCAGGCACTCGGCAGGCTGAGGCAGGAGAATCAGGCAGGGAGGTTGCAGTGAGCCGAGATGGCAGCAGTACAGTCCAGTCCGGCTCCGCATGAGAGGGAGACCATGGAAAGAGAGGGAGACCGTGGGGAGAGGGAGAGGGAGAGGGAGAGGGAGAGCCGGGGTTTCACTTTGTTAGCCAGGATGGTCTTGATCTCCTGACCTCGTGGTCCGCCCACCTCTGCCTCCCAAAGTGCTTGGATTACACGCGTGAGCCACCGTGCCTGGCCCCAAATATATATATATATATTTTTGAGCTAGGGTCTTGCTCTGTTGCTCAGGCTGGAGTGCAGCCTTGAGTGGGGGATTTCATTTCCTTTTCATTCATCCATCATATATTTGATGTACATTGTCTATGGGTGTGGCAGTGTGCTAGGCAGTGAAGAAGCAGCAATCAGGAAAGCTGAGAAATCTCTGCCCTCAAGGAGTAGGTTCAGACAGAGCCAATAAACACATACAGTGGAAATAATGGGGGAAAGAGGCATGGGGAGTCCTGTGGATCACCCATGACCTGCAGCCTCAGAGACATTCCCTTCCTCCCACGAGAGTCTCGGCTAAGTATAGATTCTACCTGAGCCTAACCAAGCTCTGTGATCTGGCCTTTGTGTTTCTCACCTCATTATAGTTTTATCCTATGCCTACAAGACATCATCATGCTCACTTCACAGGTGAGAAATGCTCAGAGAAGCAGAGCAATTTGCTCAAAATCTTAGCGACCAGGTCCTTCTCTGTCATCCAGGCTGGAATGCAGTGGTGCAATCATAGCTCTCTGCAGGCTGGAACTCTTGAGCTCAAGCCATCGTCCCACTTTGCCCTCCCAAAGTGCTGGGATTACAGGTGTGAGCCACTGCATCAGGCCTGCTCAGGTCTTACAGTTAATAAGTGATAGATCAAAATGTAAAACTTGTGCTTCTGTGGACACCATCAAGCAAGTGAAAGACACAGAATAGGAGAAAATATCTGTGATCATAAACCTGATAAGGGAATCGTATCTAGAATATATAAATCTTAACAATTAAGAAAGGCAAATAACTCAGTTTTTACATTGGTGAAGGATTTGAATAGATATTTCTCCAAAGAAGATATACAAATGGCCAATAAACACATAAAAAGATGCTCAATATCATATTTACTAAAGACAGGCAAATCAAAACCACAATAAGATACCACTGCACACACACTAGGATAGCAATAGTCATAATAAAAAGGACAACATGGAGGCCGGGTGCAGTGGCTCACAGCTGTAATCCCAGCACTTTGGGAGGCTGAGGCTGGCAGATCACCTGATGTCAGGAGTTTGAGACCAGCCTGGTCCACATGGTGAAACCCCATCTCTACCAAAAATACAAAAATTATCTGGGTGTGGTGGTGCACGCCTGTCCCAGCTACTTAGAAGGCTAAGGCAGGAGGATCCCTTGAACCTGGGAGGCAGGGGTTGCAGTGAGCAGAGATTGCACCACTGCACTCCAGCCTGGACAACAGAGCAAGACTCCATCTCAAACAAAACAAAACAAAACAAACAAAAAAAAATCATGCTGAATGAAAGACACCAGACACAAAAGATCACATATTGGATGATTCCATTTATATGAAATATCCAGAATAAGCAAATTCATAGAAATAAAAATTAGATTAATGGTTACCAGGGGCCGGGGGAGGTTGGGGGAAATGAGAGTGACTGCTAATAGGTATGGGGTTTATTTTAGGGGTGACGAAAATACTCTAAAATTGATTGTGGTGGCCGGGCGCAGTGGCTCACACCTATAATCCTAACACTTTGGGAGGCTGAGGTGGGCGGATCACTTGAGCTCAGGAGTTCGAGACTAGCCTGGGCATGAGCTGGTAGATTTTGGGGGTCTTTGTGGGCATTAATGAGCGGAGGTATGGGAAACTCCCTGCTGGGCACAGTGATTGGGCTGCTCAGCACATAGCAGTTGCCCAGTTTGTTTTTTCTTTTTCTTTCCTCCCAGGCCAGTGGCCTAGTCTCTTAGCTGAGTTCATGGTTAAAAGCTGACAACAATTAGGAGTCTACAGGACAGAAGACTTTAATGGTTGGGGCAAAGTGGGGCAGTGGGGCTCTATGAATAGGCAGTGAGCACAGGGCCATGGCAGAAGATGAGTTGGAACCAATGTCAAAAAGGACCTCCTGGCCGGGCGCGGTGGCTCACACCTGTAATCCCAGCACTTTGTGAGGCTGAGGTGTGTGGATCACCAGAGGTCAGGAGTTCAAGACCAGCCTGGGCAACATGGCGAAACCTCATCTCTAATAAAAATACAAAAACTAGCTGGGCATGGTGGCACACACCTGTAATCCTAGCTATTCGGGAGGCTGAGGCAGGAGAATTGCTTGAACCTGGGAGGCAGAGGTTGCAGTGAGCCAAGATCGCACCACTGCACTCCAGCCTGGGCGACAGAGCAAGATTTTGTCTCAAAAAAAGGACCTCCTGGTGCCTTGTTCTCCCTTATCCCCATGGTAGCAGAAAGACACGGGCTTTGGAGTCACCCAATTTCTACTATTTATTTATTTATTTATTTATTTTTGAGATGGAGTTTTGCTCTTGTTGCCCAGGCTGGAGTGCAATGGCACGATCTTGGCTCACTGCAACCTCTGCCTCCCGGGTTCAGGCGATTCTCCTGCCTCAACCTCCCGAGTAGCTGGGATTACAAGCATGCACCACCACTCCCGGCTAATTTTGTATTTTTTTAGTAAAGACGGGGTTTCTCTATGTTGATCAAGCTGGTCTCCAACTCCCGACCTCAGGCAATCTGCCCACCTCAGCCTCCCAAAGTGCTGGAATTACAAGTGTGAGCCACCGCGCCTGGTGAGATTTCTTTTTAAAAATATTTTTCTTGTTTGTTTCTGAGACAGAGTTGTACTCTGTCAGCCAGGCTGGAGTGCAATGGCATGATCTCGGTGCACTGCAATCTCCACCTCCTGGGTTCAAGTGATTCTTGTGCCTCAGACCCCTCAGTAGCTGGGATTACAGGCATGTCCCACCATGCCTGACTAATTTTTGTATTATTAGTAGAGATGGGGTTTCACCATGTTGCTCAGACTGGTCTTGAACTCCTAAGCTCAAGTAATCCACCTGCCTCCCAAAAGTGCTGGGATTACAGGCATGGACCGTTGTGCCCAGCCCTTGAGATTTTTTAAAATTATTATTATTATTTTTTTTTAAAATGGAGATGGAGGCCGGGTGCGGTGGCTCATGCCTGTAATCCCAGCACTTTGGGAGGCCAAGGAGGGTGGATCCCAAGATCGAGACCATCCTGGCTAACATGGTGAAACCCTGTCTCTACTAAAAATACAAAAAATTAGCTGGGCTTGGTGGCAGGCGCCTGTAGTCCCAGCTACTTGGGAGGCTGAGGCAGGAGAATGGCATGAACCCGGGAGGCGGAGCTTGCAGTGAGCTGAGATCATGCCATTGCACTCCAGCCTGGGCAACAAAGCGAGACTCCGTCTCAAAAAAAAAAAAAAAAAAAAGGAGATGGAGTCTCTGTCTCTACAAAAAAAGAAAAAAAGAGAGAGGCAGAGGCAGAGAGAAATATGTTGCAGGTGCGACTGGCTGGAGCCAGTGTTGTGGGCAGTAAAAGAATTTACCAAGACAATCATGGGGAAAGAAAGGCAGATTTATCAGAGGGAGAGTACGATGCAAGGAAGCAATGGGAAGCACAGCAGAGACGGGGCTGTCTGCAAAGAGGCAGGGGCTGGAGGGAAGTTTTACAGGGTTGTCCTGGAGGGGCTACATGCGAAGAGAGGTATTGGGGAACAGAAGTTGTGCCAGTGACTTGTCTGTGATTAACTGTCTCTTGGAACAATTGTTCTCCCCCACCTGGGACTCCTCTCTTGTTGCTTACTGATTTTATAAGTGTAAAAAGTAAAGTAGAGATTCCTCTTCAAAGAGATTTTCCTCCCTGTCTAATTAGGAATAAATAGTAACTTCTCTTAGAAGCAAAATGTATTCAAATATCTGTGCTAACATTCTTAGATATCTGCTAGCTGTAATAAAAAAATCAATGTGCTTTGTGTTCTTAGCTCCCACAATTTAGCCTAAATACTTGCCCTGCCATGCTTATACTGGTCCAAGCAAGCATTAGGTCATAGCCTGTTCCTCCTCCTTATTTGGAGGTGTTTTTACCTTTCTCAGCATTCCACAAGTTACTTCCTTCTTCCTTTGTTCTCTGCCTTTGCCTCTTTTAGAAAGTTCTAAGTTGCTAGCCAATCGGGACAAATACAGAATGTGAGGTCCTCTTCCAGCCAATGGAAATTGGACACAGCAGTAGGGTGGATCCATCAGGTTATAAACAACCCAGTCTCCTTTGTTCAGTGCACTCTCGTGGCAAAACTGCTGGCGAGTATACCCTTTCTGCAGGAAGTAAAAATGGCCTTGCTGAGAAAATTAAATTTATGTTCAAGTGCTATTTCTTTGTGGCACTGGGGAAGAAGCATTTCTAACATCAGGACTCCACAGATATGGCAAAAACAGAGAGAGAGAGAATTTATAATTTTTCCATTTTCTTTAAGAAAATTTTTTTGGGCTGGGCGTGGTGGCTCACACCTATAATCCCAGCATTTTGGGAGGCCGAGGCAGGTGGATCATAGGTCAGGAGATCAAGACCATCCTGGCTAACATGCTAACACGGTGAAACCCCGTCTCTACTAAAAATACAAAAAATTAGTCTGGTGTGGTGGCGGGCGCCTGTAGTCCCAGCTAATCAGGAGGCTGAGGCAGGAGAATGGCGTGAACCCGGGAGGCAGAGTTTGCAATGAGCTGAGATGGCGCCACTGCATTCCAGCCTGGGCAACAGAGCGAGACTCCATCTCAAAAAAAAAATACTTTTTTTGTAGGCTGGGCACAACGACTCAGGCCCATAATCCCAGCACTTTGCGAGGCTGAGGTGGGGTGGGTCACTTGAGGTCAGGAGTTTGAGACCAGCATGGGCAACATGGTGAAACTCCATCTCTGCTAAAAATACAAAAATTAGGGTGGGTGCAGTGGTTCACACCTGTAAACCTAGCACTTTGGGAGGCCGAGGCAGGTGGATCACTTGAGGTCAGGAGTTCGAGACCAGCATGGCCAACATGGCGAAACCCTGTCTCTACTAAAAACTCAAAAAATTAGCCAGGTGTAGTGGTGCGCACCTATAGTCCCAGCTACTCGGGAGGCTGAGGCGGGAGAATCGCTTGAACCCAGGAGGCGGAGGTTGCAGTTAGCTGAGATGGCACCACTGCACTCCAGCCTGGGTGACAGAGTGAGACTCTGTCTAAAAAAAAAAAAAAAAAGAGAAAAATTAGCCAGGCATGGTGGCTCATGCTTGTAATCCCAGTTACTCCAGAGGCTGAGGCAGGAGAATCGCTTGAACCTGGGAGGCGGAGGTTGGAGTGAGCTGAGATTGTGCTGCTGCACTCCAACCTGGGCAACAGAGTGAGACTTTAATCTCAAAAAGAAAAAAAATTTTTTTTTGTAGAGACAGAGTCTCACTATGTTGCCCAGCCTGGCCTCAAACCCCTGACCTCAAGCAATCCTCCCACCTTGGCCTCCCAAAGTGCTGGGATTACAGGCATGGGCCCCCCACATCCGGCCCAGACAGATTTCTTGCAGCTCTTGCATCACAGGCTTCCACACTTGTACCCACCCCCACCCCACAGATGGTGGTGTTAGTCCAGGTGTGTGACTAGCTTCAGGTTTTAAATCAATATACGTAAATCTGACCAAACCTCCAAATGACGACTTGCCAGCTGGTTAAGGCAGGGATTTAATTGTTAAGATGTCATGCCCTCCTAGGTCTGCAGGCCTCAGACCACCTAAGATGACCTTTTTAAATTAAAAGATAATTCCTGAGAAGGATTTCGCACTGAGCCCAAAGCAAGCACTAGCTGAGTATTATTATGATTGTTGTTGAATGTCTCCTCTGAGTTATGCAAAGGTGAAGTGAGTTAGAGGTCATTCTGGGATTATGGTGTAACAGGAAGCTTTTGGAAAGCTCTAAAGTGCTATAGCCTGAGATCTTGGCAAAGAAAGTAGTGAGGAGGATGTGAATCCATTTGTGTATGAGGCCCTGGGGCTTTTAGGGGTGGGAGTGGAGGTGGGGAAAGTCAGTATCCCAATCTAACTCTTGACGTGATTCAGCAGGAAGATCTGGAGGTGGATCAGAGCTGCCCACGCAAGGCTAAGGGACAGTCCCTGAGATGAATTCAGTCCAGGAAAGAAGTCTGGTCTCAAAACATGAGGCCCATGGTCAGGCGCGGTGGCTCACAGCTGTAATCCCAGCACTCTGGGAGGCCGAGGTGGGCGGATCACCAGGTCAGAAGATCAAGACCATCCTGGCTAACACAGTGAAACCCCATCTCTACTAAAAATACAAAAAATTAGCCATGCATGGTGGTGGGTGCCTGTAGTCCCAGCTACTTGGGAGGCTGAGGCAGGAGAATCGCTTGAACCTGGGAGGCAGAGGTTGCAGTGAGCCGAGATTGCGCCACTGCACTCCAGCCTGGGGCCTGGAATGTCTATCCTTCTATCCATCTATCCATTCTATCCATTCATATGCCCATCCATCCCCATCCATTCATTCATTCTACAAATATTAGGGCAAACCAACTAAGGGCCAAGCCGTGCCATTTTTTCACCCTTGTTGACCTTAGTCCCTCTTGGGAGCCCCAACCTTATCATACTTGATCAAATTCACCTATACCCCATCTTAAGTAATGTGATATTGTAATTTTTTTTTTTTTTGAGATGGAGTCTCGCTCTGTTGCCCAGGCTGGAGTGCAGTGGCACGATTTCGGCTCTCTGCAAACTCTGCCTCCCGGCTTCAAGCGATTCTCCTGCCTCAGCCTCCCAAGTAGCCGAGATTACAGGCGCCCTCCACCATGCCCAGCTAATTTTTTGTATTTTTAGTAGAGACGGGGTTTCACTATGTTGGCCAGGCTGGTCTCAAACACCTGACCTCGTGATCCGCCCACCTCGGCCTCCCAAAGTGCTGGGATTTCAGGAGTGAGCCACTGTGCCCGGCAATCGTTGTTTTTGAGGCAGAGTTTTGCTCTCTTGTGCAGGCTGGAGTGCAGTGTCAGGATCTCCCCTCACTGCAACCTCTGCTTCCCGGGTTTAAGCAATTCTCCTGCCTCAGCCTCCCCAGTAGCTGGGATTACAGGTGTGCGCCACCATGCCCAGCTAATTTTTGTATTTTTAGTAGGGATAGGGTTTCACCATGTTGGCCAGGCTGGTCTTGAACTGCTGACCTCAGGCGATCCACCTGCCTTGACCTCCCAAAGCGCTGGAATTACAGGCGTGAGCCACCGTGCCGGCCGGTTTATGTTTAAGGAGGTCCCTCCAGCTGTGGCCTGCAGAGGAGCTTGTTGGAGGCAGGAGTGGATTCGGTCAGGCAAGCAATGGTGAGGGCTTGGTCATAAGCGGCGGCTACGGGAATGGGGAGAAGTGGACAGATTGGAGAGATATTGGGGGGAGGGCTGGACTCCAGGGCACTTGGAGATGGGCTAGACGTGCGGCATGAAGGCAAAGGAAGAATCAATGACATTTCCAATTCTCTGGACTGAAGAGCTGGGGGAATAGTGATGCCATATGCTGGGATGGGAGATTCCTGAGGACGGGTGAGGATGAAAACAATACGCAGCTCTGGCTAAGTTTGACATCCAGGCGTTGATGCTATGTAGGTGGTGTGAAGCGCAGGACCCAGATCTGTCCATTTTAACTTTTAGCCACACGTAGGGGATGTAAATTACGGCTGATTTTTATCCGGTGATGCCAAACTCCTCTCTGGCCCTGCCTCCCTGACTCAGTGGTTGCGCTTCGGAGTGCAGTGGCTGCGTGGGAGGTGAGAAGCCTGCAACTTCTTCCAGGGCTCCTGACACTCGGGAATGCGCAGGACCGAGCCTCAACAGCGCCACCGTGTGTCGATAGTCATGACCGCCGTGGACCCCCGACTCCAGTTGTTCTGCCAGCACCCTCAGAATCCAGTCCTCCCTCACTCCCCTGCTCTTTCGGACGAATTAATCACTGTGGATTCTGGAACGCTTAGCGGTGGGAAGAAGGGGTGGCCTCAAAAGAAAGAGGTAGGCCGGGCGCGGTGGCGCACGCCTGTAATCCCAGCACTTTGGGAGGCCGAGGCAGCGGATCACTTGAGCCCAGGAGTTGGAAACCTGCCTCGGCAACATGGCAAAACTCCATCTCTACTAAAATAATAATAATAAATAATAACAATAATAATATAATAGTGAAATATTGGCCGGCCTCAGTGGCACACACCTGTAATCCCAGCATTTTGGGAAGTTGAGGCAGGTGGATCACTTGAGGTGGAGAGTTCCAGACCAGCCTGGCCAATATGGTGAAACACCGTCTCTACTAAAAATACAAAAATTAGCCATGTGTGGTGATGCTGCGTACCTGTAATCCCAGCTACTAGGGAATCTGAGGCAGGAGAATCACTTGAACCTGGGAGGTGGAGGTTGCAGCAAGCAGAGATCGCGCCATTCCACTCCAGCCTGGGTGACAGAACAAGACTCCATCTCAAGAAAAAAAGAAAGAAAGAAATCTACATTTCCATATGCACAGCCTTGGTCAGGATCACACTAGAAGACATCTGAAATGGTCATTGTGAAGTGGGACTGTTCTCTTTTTTGTTTTCTCTTCCTTCCTTCCTTCATTCCTTCTTTCTTTCTTTTCTTTTTTCAGATGAAATCTCATTATGTTTCCCAGGCTGGTCTTGAACTCCTGGCCTCAAGTGATCCTCCCTCTTTGGCCTCCCAAGCAGCTGTGATTACAGGTGTGAGCCTGGCTTGGGACCACTCTTAAATACAGACTGATACAGGCATGTTAACTTCAGAGACATGATCTTGTGAATGGTGAATGACTCCTTGTAAAGATCTGAGCTCATGTAAGGAAAATTCTTTTGATTTACATTTAGCTACATTCCTGGAAAATTCAGTATATACTAAAACTGTGTATATAATATAATGTGTTTACATAACTAACAGAGTTAGGGTTTTCAGCTCATAACTATAAGCAGGTTTTCCACTCATGTAAATAACTTATAGGACATTAGAAAGTTGTGCAGGACATGGAACAATGATCTGTTTTGCAGGACTGTCCCAAACACTGCAGGGTGTCCAGCATGCCTGGCTCATGTCTACTAAAGATCAGAAGAGCCTAATCAGGCCAGGTGCTCTTTCTGTATGTACAAATAGGCTCCAAAAACAAAGTAACTTGCTCATGGTCACATAGTCAATTCGAAGAGGCAGAACCAGAATTAGAACCCAGGTTGGTCAGTCTGACTCCAAAGGCTATGATTTTACCCTCTTTTAAAATTTTTTATTTAAGAGAGATGCAGGTTTCTCTGTGTTGCCTAGGTTGGACTTGTGGGCTCAAGCAATCCTCCTGCCTCAGCCTCTCAAGTAGCTGGGATTAGAGGCACCCACCACCACACCTGGCAACTTTTTTTTTTTTGAGACAAAGTCTTGCTCCATCTCCCAGGCTGGAGTGCAGTGGTGCAATCTCAGCTCACTGCAACCTCTGCCTCTTGGGTTGAAGTGATTCTCCTGCCTCAGCCTTCTGAGTAGCTGGGGTTAGAGGTGCATGCCACCACCCCTGGCTAATTTTTGTATTTTTAGTAGACGCAGGGTTTGCCATGTTGGCCAGGCTGGTCTCGAACTCCTGACCTCAGGTGATCCACCTGCCTTGGCCTCCCAAAGTGCTGGGATTATAGGCATGAGCCACCGTGTTTGGCAAGAGCCTGTCTTTAAAAAAAAAAAAAAAAAAGAAGGCCCAGTGTGGTGGCTCACGCCTGTAATCCCAGCAGTTTGCAGCAGTTTGGGAGGCCGAGACGGGCGGATCACGAGGTCAGGAGATCAAGACCATCTTGGCTAACACAGTGAAACCCTGTTTCTACTAAAAAAATACAAAAAATTAGCTGGGTGTTGTGGTGGGCGCCTGTAGTCCCACCTACTCAGGAGGCTGAGGCAGGAGAATGGTGTAAATTAGCAAGACTCCCTCTCAAAAGAAAAAAAAAAAGAGAGAGAAAGAAAAACAAAATAAATTAAACTTTACTCCCATGTAAGCGTCTCATGCTCTACCGACTGAGCTTGCTGGGCCCTCCACTCTCTTGTAAAAATTGCTGCAGATTTTCATGCGTGTCCGTGTGAAGAGACCACCGAACAGTCTTTGTGTGAGCAACATGGCTGTTTATTTCACCTGGGTGCAGGCGGGCTGAGTCCAAAAAGAGAGTCAGCGAAGGGAGATAAGGGTGGGGCCGTTTTATAGGATTTGGGTAGATAAAGGAAAATTACAGTCAAAGGGGGTTGTTCTCTGGCGGGCAGAGTGGGGGTCACAAGGTACTCAGCAGGGGAGCTTTTGCTGGTTCTAGGACAGGTAAAATGGGGGAATTGTAAGGAGAGTTTATAGGCTTTAAAAGGCCATGCTGTAGCAGGCGAGTGATAACAGGCTTTAATCCTTTTAAAGCGTGCTGTGGGATGGGATCTTGGCATTGAGCGGGGTAAGGGTGATTCGGTTTTAATGAGATGGTAACGGGTGCGTGATCGGTCTCCAAGGAGGAAGTAGAGGTATCTTACACTTGTGGGTTAAGGTGGGGGGATACAAGAGGAGGACACAAAGGAGGCTTTGGATTGGGAAGAAGGGCAGCAATGAGATGTAGTTGTACTCCAGGAATAGTCAGGGAAGCAGATAATTTAGTTGAAGTGTCTCGGCCTAATAAGGGAACTGGGCAGGTGGGGATAAGTAAAAGGAGTGCTTAAAAGAGTATTGTCTAAGTTGGCACCAGAGTTGGGGAGTTTTAAGAGGTTTAGAAGCCTGGCCGTCAATACCCACAACAGTTATGGAGGCAAGGGAAACAGGCCTTTGAAAAGAAGGTAATGTGGAGTGGGTAGCCTCCGTATTGATTAAGAAGGGGATAGATTTACCCTCCACTGTGAGAGTTACCTAGAGCGTCTGTGATGGTCTTGTAGGCTTCCGAGGAGATCGGGCAGTGTCAGTCTTCAGCTGCTAAGCCAAGAAGATCTGGGAAGGAGTCAGTCAGAGAGCCTAGGGTCAGAGTTCCAGGGGCTCTGGGACTGGCTTCCAGGTGAGTTGAACAATCCGATTTCCAGTGGGGTCCCACACAGGTGGGACACGGCTTAGGAGGAATCCCAGGCTGCGGGCATTCCTTGGCCTGGTGGCTAGATTTCTGGCACTTGTAGCAAGCTCCTGGAGAAGGTGGTTCTGGAGGAACGCCTGGCCACTGCGGTTTAGGCGTTTGGAAGTTCTTGTGTGCTGGAGATGTGGCTGGGGTTTGTCTCACAGTGGAGGCAAGGAATTGCAACTCAGAAATATGTTGCTACTTGGCTGCCCCTATTATTGTACACCTTGAAGGCGAGGTTAATTAAGTCCTGTTTTGGGGTTTGAGGGCCAGAATTTAATTTTTGGATTTTTATTTAATGTCGGGAGCAGATTGGGTAATAAAATGTATATTGATAATAAGACGGCCTTTTGACCTTTTAGGGTCTAGGGCTGTAAAGCGTCTCAGGCTTGCTGCCGAATGAGCCATGAACTGGGCTGGGTTTTTTATATTTGATGAAAAGGAGTCTAAAAAATGCTAACTGATTTGGGAGAGGTCGGATAAAGAAAAAGGAGCATTAACCTTGACTATGCCTTTAGCTTCAGCCACCTTTTTAAGAAGAAATTGCTGGGCAGGTGGGGGAGGGCTACTCACGGAATGAAACTGTAAACCGGACCAGGTGTGAGGAGGGGAGGTGATAAAAAGATTATAGGGTGGAGGAGTGGAGGCTGAGGAAGAATTGGGACCTAGCTCCGCCTGGCAAGGAGCAGCCTGGGGAGCGGGGAGGAGGGAAGAGGTCAGATGGGTCTGCAGAAAAGGAAGATTAGAAAGACTCAGCGACACTTGGGGTTGGGACTGAGGGGACAGATAGGAGGGAAAGTCTCTGTGCACTGGGCACAGAGACTAGGGAGGGACCGATGTGTAAAAGAATGCCTGGACGTCAGGCACCTCAGACCGTTTGCCCATTTTACGACAAGAATTATTTAGATCTTGCAGGATGGAAAAATTGAAAGTGCCGTTTTCTGGCTATTTGGAACCACTGTCGAGTTTGTATTGGGGTCAAGCGGCACTGCAGAAGAAAATAAGGCATTTAGGTTTTAGGTCAGGTGTGAGTTGAAGAGGTTTCAAGTTCTTGAGAACACAGGCTAAGGGAGAAGAAGGAGGAATGGAGGGTGGAAGTTTGCCTATAGTGAAGGAGGCAAGTTTAAAGAAAAGGGAGAGTAGAGACATGGAGGGAAGCGGTTCGGGGGTTCTTACCCTCCAGAAAAGCAGGAAAGGGGTCAGGGCGCAGATACGAGGTTGGGGCACGGAAATAAGGGATCAGGGCGCAGAGACATAAGAGGTTGGGGTGCAGAAATAAGGGATCGGGGCACAGAGATATGAGGTTGGGGTACTTGCCCTTCCCCCAGAAAAGCAGGACTTGCCACTAAGGGTGAAGGAGAAGGGGTTGAGGGGTTCTTGCCTCTCCCCCAGAAAAGCAGAGAAGGGGTAGAGACAAGGAGAGAAGGGGCTGGGGTACTTGCCCCTCTCTCAGAAAAGCAGGACTTGCCGCTAAGGGTGAAGGACTAAGGCAGGCATCCCTGCGTGGTCTGACACCTCTGAAACGTGGGTGAATAATCAGAGAGGCATCCCTGCAATGATTAAACACCAAGGGAAAGCTGCCTTCCCAGTCCGTGACCGGCGCCAGAGTTTTGGGTCCATGGATAAAATGTGTCTCCTTTGTCTCTACCAGAAAATAAAAGGAACTGAAATTAAGAGAAGGGAGAGATTGAAGAGTGGAAAGGAGAAAGTGGTTGAGGGATAGAGAGGTTGGAGAAGAGAGTAAGAAGAGGCTGCTTACCCGATTTAAAATTGGTGAGATGTTCTTTGGGCTGGTGGGTCTGAGGACCTGAGGTCGTAAGTGGATCTTTTTCACGGAGCAAAGAACAGGACAGGGGATTGATCTCCCAAGGGAGGTCCCCGATCTAAGTCACGGCACCAAATTTCATGCGCGTCCATGTGAAGAGACCACCAAACAGGCTTTGTGTGAGCAACATGGCTGTTTACTTCACCTGGGTGCACGCGGGCTGAGTCTGAAAAGAGAGTCAGAGAAGGGAGATAAGGGTGGGGCCGTTTTATAGGATTTGGGTAGATAAAGGAAAATTACAGTCAAAGGGGAGTTGTTCTCTGGCGGGCAGAGTGGGGGTTGCAAGATGCTCAGTGGGGGAGCTTTTTGAGCCAGGATGAGCCAGGAAAAGGACTTTCACAAGGTAATGTCATCAGTTAAGGCAAGGACTGGCCATTTTCACTTCTTTTGTGGTGGAATGTCATCAGTTAAGGCGGGGCAGGGCATATTCACTTCTTTTGTGATTCTTCAGTTATTTCAGGCCATCTGGGCGTATACGTGCAAATCACAGGGGATGTGATGGCTTGGCTTGGGCTCAGAGGCCTGACACAGACCTTTTTTTTTTTGAGACAGAGTCTTGCTCTGTCACCCAGGCTGGAGTGCAGTGGCACGATCTCAGCTCACTGCAAGCTCCGCCTTCTGGGTTCGTGCCATTCTCCTGCCTCAGCCTCCCGAGTAGGTGGGACTTCAGGTGCCCACCACCATGCCCAGCTAATTTTTTGTATTTTTAGTAGAGACGGGGTTTCACCTTGTTAGCCAGAATGGTCTCAATCTCCTGACCTTGTGATCCGCCCGCCTTGGCCTCCCAAAGTGCTGGGATTACAGGCATGAGCCACCCCGCCGGCGGACTGTAACATTATTATGCAGATGAAGCCTACAGGTAGCAAGCTTCAGAGATAATAGATTGTAAATGTTTCTTATCAAATTTAAAAAGATGCCAGAGGCCAGGCATGGTAGCTCATGCCTATAATTCCAGCACTTTGGGAGGCCGGAAAGCCGAAGTGGGTGGATCACCCGAGGTCAGGAGTTCAAAACCAGCCTGACCAACATGGTGAAACTCCATCTCTACTAAAAATACAAAAATTAGCTGGGTGTGCTGGCACATGCCTGTAATCCCAGCTACGAGGGAGGCTGAGGCAGGAACTACTAGGGAGACTGAGGCAGGAGAATCGCTTGAACCCAGGAGGCGGAGGTTGCAGTGAGCTGAGATGGCGCCATTGCACTCCAGCCTGGGCAACAAGAGTGAAACTCTGTCTCAAAAATAAATACATACGTACATACATACATACATATGTAAGATGCCAGATTCGGCTGGGCACAGTGGCTCCCACTTGTAATCCCAGCACTTTGGGAGGCTGAGGTAGGCAGATCACAGGGTTAGGAGTTTGAGACCAGCCTGGCCAACACAGTGAAACCCTGTCTTTACTGAAAATACAAAAAATTAGCCGGGCATGGTGGCAAGTGCCTGTAATCCCAGCTACTCAGGAGGCAGAGGCAGGACAATCGCTTGAACCCAGGAGGCGGAGGTTGCAGTAAGCTGAGATCACACAATTACACTCCAGCCTGGGTAACAGAGCAAGACTCTGTCTCAAAAAAAAAAAAAAAAAAAGCCAAATTCTTAGTGAAGTCTCTCCTGGATCAGGAAAAAGACCTAGAAATGGAAAGGGACTCTGGAGAATGTAGATTTTCCCCACAGGGACAGCTTTGCAGGGCCATTTCAAAGTATGTCAAATAAGTATATTTTAGGGTAAAATACATCAATATCTATCATGTGATACTAAAGTCAGGATAGTGTCTTTTTTTTTTGAGACAGAGTCTCACTCTGTCGCCCAAGCTGGAGTGCAGTGCTGCGATCCCAGCTTACTGCAACCTCCGCCTCCCAGATTCAAGCCTCAGCCTCCTGAATAGCTGGGGTTACAGGCACGCACCACCATGCCTCGCTAATTTTTGTATTTTATTTTATTTTATTTTTTTTTGTAGATGGAGTTTTGCTCTTGTCACCCAGGTTAGAGTGCAATGGCGCAATCTCGGCTCACTGTAACCTCCGCCTCCTGGGTTCAGGTGATTCTCCTGCCTCAGCCTCCTGAGTAGCTGGGACTACAGGCATGTACCACCATGACCCACTAATTTTTTTTTTTTTTTGAGATGGAGTCTCACTCTGTTGCTCAGGCTAGAGTGCAGTGGCGCAATCTCGGCTCACTGCAACCTTCCACGTCTTGGATTCAAGCAATTCTCCTGCCTCAGCCTCCTGAGTGTCTGGGATTACAGGCTTGTGCCACCACGCCCGGCCAATTTTTGTATTTTTATTAGAGACAGGGTTTCACCATGTTGGCCAGGCTGGTCTCGAACTCCTGACTTCAGGTGATCCGCCTGCCTTGGCCTCCCAAAGTGCTGGGATTACAGGCATGAGCCACCGCGCCCAGCCGAATTTGATGTCTTATTGCTACATTCTTGAATGTACTGCAAAAAAGTCTTAAGATCTCTGGCTTTTTTTTTTTTTTTTTTTTTGGAGACAGAGTCTTGCTCTGTCACCCAGGCTGGAGTGCAGTGGCGCAATCTCGGCTCATTGCAAGCTCCGCCTCCCAGGTTCACGCCATTCTCCTGCCTCAGCCTCCCGAGTAGCTGGGACTGCAGGCGCCTGCCACCACGCCCGGCTAATTTTTTGTATTTTTAGTAGAGATGGGGTTTTACCGTGTTAGCCAGGATGGTCTCCATCTCCTGGCCTCGTGATCCACCTGCCTCGGCCTCCCAAAGTGTTGGGATTACAGGCGTGAGCCACTGCGTCCGGCCCTTTTTTTTTGTTTTTTTTGAAACAGGGTCTTGCCCTGTCACTCACGCTGTAGTGCAGTGGCATAATTATGGTTCACTGCAACCTCAACCTCCTGTGATTAAGAGATCCTCTCACTTCAGACTCCCAAGTAGCTGAGACTATAGGCGCACACCGTTATGCCTGGCTAACGTTTGTATTTTCGTAGAAATGGGGTTTTGCCATGTTGCCCAGGCTGGTCTCAAACTCCTGGGTTCAAGTGATCTTCCCAACTCTGTCTCTCAAAGTGTTGGGATTATAGGCATGAGCCACCATGCCCAGCCTAAAATCTCTGTTGTAATGTTAATGCTGGTCAGTTGTGCCTCAATTCCAAAGGGAGGAGAGTATAATGAAACATGCCTAACTTCCACTTCCCATTATGGCCTGAACTATTATCATTGTTGAGGTTAACGTTGGAATGTCTTTGACTGGGAGGAAGGGTCCATTCAGATGGTTGGAGGGGATTAGAATTTTATTTTTAATTTACAGAGGGAAGAGCATAATCAAGGAAAGATTAGTATCTGCTGCAATCCCTCAGATCCTCTCCTCTCAGACCTCAGCTGGCAACTGGAAGCATTGAGATGGCTCCACTCTGGCTCCAGCACTAATGTCTGAGTAGCTGGAATGTCACTTTGTCTCTCTAGACCTCTGCTGCTGTAGCAATTCTGGTTTGAACTAGATGATCTTGTAATTCCCAGATGGGTTCTTCCTGCCTACTGCACAAACAAAATCAATTCAGAGACCATAGCATTGCAGAAAAGAACGAGTTTAACTGACACAAGACCTGCCATGCCACACAGGAGACAGGGTTATTACTCAATCAGTCTCACTGAAGGCTTGGAGGTCGGGGTTTTTCAAAGATAGTTTGGTAGGCAGGCGGCTAGGATATGGGTGCTACTGATTGCTTGGGAATGAAATCATAGTAGTGTGGAAAATGGCCCTCCTGCACTGAGTCTGCTTCTGGGTAGGGGTCACAGGACTGGTGGAGTCACACGTCAGTGTGGGGCCATTCCATAGTCACAAATGCAAAAGCCTGGAAGAGATAGCTCAAAAGATCAGTCTTACATTCCATGATAGTGATGTTAATTACAGGAGTAACTGGCAAAGTTGCAAATCTTGTGACTTCCAGAACAATGGCTGGTAATCCTTTAACTATGCCTACATCTTAGTAGAATTCAGGCCCCTCTCATCCTCCTAACTTGGTGGCCTTTCATTAGTTTTACAAGGGTGGTTTAGTTTTCAGGAAGGCGTATTCTAATTTAAAGTATAAGCTAAATTTATCCAAAAGTTACCTTGGCCCATGCCCAGGAATGAGTGAAGACAGCCAGCCTGTGAGGCTAGAAAGCAAGATGCAGTCAGCCATGTCAGATTTCTCTTACTGTCATAATTTTGCAAAGGCAGTTTCAATTTTTTTTTTTTTTTGAGATGGAGTCTCACTGTCTTACCAGGCTGGAGTGCAATGGTGCGCTCTCAGCTCACTGCAACCTCTGACTCCCTGGTTCAAGCGATTCTCCTGCCTCAGCCTCCTGAGTAGCTGGGATTACAGGCACGTGCCACCATGCCCAGCTAATTTTTTTGTATTTTTAGTAGAGACAGGGTTTCACCATGTTGTCCAGGATGGTCTCCATCTCCTGACCTCGTGATCCGCCCACCTTGGCCTCCCAAAGTGCTGGGATTACAGGCGTGAGCCACTGCGCCCGGCCTAAAAATATTTTTAGTAGTGACGGGGTTTCACCTCGTTGGCCAGACTGGTCTCGAACTCCTGAGCTCAGGTGATCTGCCCGCCTCGGCCTCCCAAAGTGCTGGGATTACAGGCGTGAGACACTGCACCCAGCCCATCTGTCGTTCTTCTCTCTAGACTGTGAGCTCCAAGAACGCAGCACTATTCCTGTAATGCATCTGTGCATGCTTTCCCTTGGTAGACCCTGGAACACAGCAGGTGAATGCTTCAAGGGACAGTCTCAACCCTGTGCACCCTGCCTTAGTGGCTACTGAATGCTTGCATGATTGCATTTGAACCTCACAACAGCCTGAGACGCTGCCAGCACTCAAAAAATTACCTGCCATCTCGCTGTTGAGAAGAGGGGCCTGAAAGAGGCGATCAAGCTGCAAACCCAGGCTCAGAAGCCAACTGCCTGGATTTAAGTTTAGCTCAATTCCTTACCAGATATTTGGCAAGCCACTTAATATTTCTCTCTCTCTCTTTTTTGAGACGGAGTTTTGCTCTTGTCGCCTGGGCTGGAGTGCAATGGCACGATCTGAGCTCACTGCAACCTCTGCCTCCTGGGTTCAAGTGATTCTCCTGGCTCAGCCTCCCAAGTAGCTGGGATTACAGGCGCCCACCACCACGCCCAGCTCTTTTTTGTATTTTTAGTAGACACAGGGTTTCACCACGTGTGCCAGACTGGTCTCAAACTCCTGACCTCAGGTGATCCACCCGCTTTGGCCTCCTAAAGTGCTGGGATTACAGGGCTGAGTCACAGAGCCCGGCCACGCCATTTAATCTCTCCAAGCCTCGTTTCCTCCACTGTACGATGGGGATAGCACCTACTTCAGAGATTGCTACGCCGAATAAAAGGAGCTGGCATATCATGCCTAACATATAACAAGCACGTGATAGAGGTCAGTGACTAGCTTTAGCCTCAGGCCAGCAGCCTCCCGCTCTCCCTACCCTGCGCGCCCCACGTGCCTCCTGTAAACAAGAGAACGCGCAGGCGCCGCAAACCAGCGCCCATTGGTCGGCGTGCCGTCGCCCCGCTGGAGGGAGGACTCAGGCCCCGCTGGCCGCGGGCTCGGTACCCGGTGGGTCGGTGGAGCGTCTGTTGGGTCCGGGCCGCCGGCTTCGCCCTCGCCATGGCGCCCTGGCTGCAGCTCCTGTCGCTGCTGGGGCTGCTCCCGGGCGCAGTGGCCGCCCCCGCCCAGCCCCGAGCCGCCAGCTTTCAGGCCTGGGGGCCGCCGTCCCCGGAGCTGCTGGCGCCCACCCGCTTCGCGCTGGAGATGTTCAACCGCGGCCGGGCTGCGGGGACGCGGGCCGTGCTGGGCCTTGTGCGCGGCCGCGTCCGCCGGGTGAGGACGCGCCGGGGGCGGGGGCGCCAGGCCCGGGTCCAAGGGATAGGAGCTTTGACCTAACATTGGGATGGGGCCTGCCCGCTGGACGAACCGATCTCTGGTGATGGGGAATGGGCAGCGCCGCACGGGCGGGGCCTTGGGCGCCGTCAAGGGCCGACTGTGCCCGCCTCACCTACTCCTCTCTCCAGGCGGGTCAGGGGTCGCTGTACTCCCTGGAGGCCACCCTGGAGGAGCCACCCTGCAACGACCCCATGGTGTGCCGGCTCCCCGTGTCCAAGAAAACCCTGGTGAGTGATGAGGCTCTTGGGGTTCCCCGCCCCGAGGCCGAGTAAAGCAGCAGTTGGATGATGACGGGTCAGGTCAAGACGCAGGGATCTGAGGTAGCTGCTGCCCCACCTTGAGCCACTTCCCAGGCCCCGAGGGCTGGAAACCAAGATGCTATGAAGGGGAGGATGCCCCGGTGCAGGCCGTGCCTCACTGTCCACTGTGATGGGGTGATTGCCTTAGGGGTGGCTCTCATCTGAGGAGCCTCCAGCTCCATCTTGGCCAGATCTTGCTCCCCAGATCCAGATCCAGGCCCCCAGAGCAGCTTCTTCCTCTCCCTCCAGCTCTGCAGCTTCCAAGTCCTGGATGAGCTCGGAAGACACGTGCTGCTGCGGAAGGACTGTGGCCCAGTGGACACCAAGGTTCCAGGTGCTGGGGAGCCCAAGTCAGCCTTCACTCAGGGCTCAGCCATGATTTCTTCTCTGTCCCAAAACCATCCAGACAACAGAAACGAGACTTTCAGCTCAGTCATTTCCCTGTTGAATGAGGATCCCCTGTCCCAGGTGAGGAGCCCTCAGCTTGAGGAGCCCTCAGCTTGAGGAGCCAGCCGCTGCCTCATCACCCTTCTCCCTTCCCTCTGGAGTGGGTTTCTCTGGTCAGCCTAAAGACTGGTCTGCCTATCCAGGACTTGCCTGTGAAGATGGCTTCAATCTTCAAGAACTTTGTCATTACCTATAACCGGACATATGAGTCAAAGGAAGGTGAGGACCCAGCCTTGGCTGTACCTGTTCCTATCAGAACAGGACTTTCCCCCCAACTTGGCACCTTGGTGTGTGGGAGGAGAAAGACAAGAGGCAGTGTACCTGTTCAAGGACCCCATAATTCCTGAGCTCTCCCTAAGCCTTCCCAGCCTGGCAGCCACCCTGAGTACCTGGCCCCTTCTCCTACCTTATCTTCCCGCTCAGAAGCCATGGGTCTTGGCCGGGCGTGGTGGCTCACCTCTGTAATCGCAGTACTTTGGGAGGCCGAGGTGGGCAGATTACCTGAGGTCAGGAGTTCAAGACCAGCCTGGCCAACATGGTGAAACCCCATCTCTACTAAAAAAAAAGTACAAAAATTAGCCAGGTGTGGTGGCGCACACCTGTATACCAGCTACTCGGGAGGCTGAGGCAGGAAAATCACTTGAACCTGGGAGGCGGAGGTTGCAGTGAGCAAAGATTGTGCCACTGCACTCCAGCATGGGTGACAAGCGAAAACTCTGTCTCAAAAAAAAAAAAAAGAAGCTCTGCATCTCCATCACTCTGGCAGGGTGGGATGGGGCAGAGGCTGGATTTTTTGTGCTGGAGAGTCCTTGACAACATGGCCTTTCCCCACCACCTCTTGTGGGTGGTGTCCTTTAGACCCCATTTACTGCTTTTGCACCTGGGAAGTCATCACTTCAGTTTGGCCCTAAAAGTTGATCAGACCTCCCACTCCATCACTTGCATGTCTGGCCCCCACCCCTACCTGCTCCCCGGGGAAACCCCTGCCTGCTAGCCCCAATTGCCCTTCCTTTTATCTGCCTGGGGTCGAACCCCTCCTCTTCTGCTCCTTGGTCCTCAGAAGCCCGGTGGCGCCTGTCCGTCTTTGTCAATAACATGGTGCGAGCACAGAAGATCCAGGCCCTGGACCGTGGCACAGCTCAGTATGGAGTCACCAAGTTCAGTGATCTCACAGGTAGGGATAGTGGCCACAGTCCTCATGGATCCAGGAAGAGACAGGACCTTGCTCGCAAGGCCTCTGGTCAGGTCTGGCTTAGAACACTCTTCCTCCCCATGCCCTGCCCACCTTTGCCCGCAGAGGAGGAGTTCCGCACTATCTACCTGAATACTCTCCTGAGGAAAGAGCCTGGCAACAAGATGAAGCAAGCCAAGTCTGTGGGTGACCTCGCCCCACCTGAATGGGACTGGAGGAGTAAGGGGGCTGTCACAAAAGTCAAAGACCAGGTTGGACCCCTGGAAGTGAGGGTGGGACATGGGCACTGCACTGGGGCTGACGAAGGGGCCCGGCTCTGACTCCAACTCCACCCATCTCTTGTAGGGCATGTGTGGCTCCTGCTGGGCCTTCTCAGTCACAGGCAATGTGGAGGGCCAGTGGTTTCTCAACCAGGGGACCCTGCTCTCCCTCTCTGAACAGGGTGAGCATCTCGCTCTACTCCTCTGTCCCCAGCCTAGCCCCTCAGGAGGGCTTCTTGGGACCAGCCTTCTGTCTCCTAGAGCTCTTGGACTGTGACAAGATGGACAAGGCCTGCATGGGCGGCTTGCCCTCCAATGCCTACTCGGCCATAAAGAATTTGGGTATGCATTAATGGGGTCAGGAGGGGCAACCGGAGCCACTTCTCCCTGTACAAGAAGTTACTTCATAATGGGGGGGAGACATGAGCATGAGAGTTACACAGAACTGGGTCCAGGTCTTAATGCTGACCCAGCCAGGCGTGGTGGCTCATGCCTGTAATTCCAACACTTTGGGAGGCCAACTTGGGAAGATCACTTAAGGCCAGAAGTTCAGGACCAGGTTGGGCAACATAGCAAGACCCCATCTCTACAAAAAATTAAAGACATTAGCCAGGCATGGTGGCTTGCATCTGTAGTCTCAGCTACTTGGGGGGCTGAGGCAGGAGGATCGCTTGAGCCCAGGAGGTTGAGGCTGTAGTGAGGCATGTTTGTGCCACTGTACTCCAGCCTGGGTGAAAGACTGCTGGGATGAGCTCTTGGTGAGGAGTCAGAAGTTGGAGTTGAGTTCTGTCTCTGCCACTTTTCTTGCTGGCTACTGGTCCCTCCTCCCCATCTCTCCCAGCCTCAGATGTGTCATTTCTAGAATGAAGACATTCTTCAGAGGGGATGGCCTGTGGCCTGGGGTGGACGAGGAATGTGAAACCTCGCGTAGAGGGCTTAGTTCATTTCTGGCTGTGAATGGCAAATGGGAGCCTGCCCTTCTCTACTCACCCCCACCGTTCCCCAGGAGGGCTGGAGACAGAGGATGACTACAGCTACCAGGGTCACATGCAGTCCTGCAACTTCTCAGCAGAGAAGGCCAAGGTCTACATCAATGACTCCGTGGAGCTGAGCCAGAACGAGCAGAGTGAGTGAGGGGCAGGGTGAGGTGAGGTCAGGTGGGGCCGGGGCCTGGGTGCCTACTGATGCCACCCCTTCCCATCTCAGAGCTGGCAGCCTGGCTGGCCAAGAGAGGCCCAATCTCCGTGGCCATCAATGCCTTTGGCATGCAGGTGAGGCCCTAGCCCCACTGCCCCTGCCCCATCTCTTGTTGACCTCCCCGACCTCTTCTTGGAGTCGATCCCCTACTCCTTCTCCACCTCCAGTTTTACCGCCACGGGATCTCCCGCCCTCTCCGGCCCCTCTGCAGCCCTTGGCTCATTGACCATGCGGTGTTGCTTGTGGGCTACGGCAACCGTGAGTTCCGCTGCCTGTCCTGCATCCAGCCAGGCCACAGGCAGGGGTGGGATCACAGCATCTCAGGTCCTCTAGAGGGGAAATAGGGGGAATGCCTAGGAACCCTGTCCTTACCCACTGCCTGGGCCATGACCAGCTGGGCATCATCTGTCCTCTCTATGGCAGGGAAGCTGAGCTGTGGGAGGGTAAATATTGATGGCCTAATAACCTGCAATAGGCGGGTGGGTGCGTGCTTCCTCCCTGCCCCAGGGCTTCTCCCTGAGGCTGGTAGGTGGGCCCCTCGCTTTCTGCTCTTTTCCTAGTCCCTGTCACACAGTAGGCCCAGTGCAAGTATTTGAAGGGTGCAAAGTGATTAAGGCTCTGCCTGGAGAATTAAGGACCCTGATCCTTGCGCTCTGCACTGCACCCCAGGCTCTGACGTTCCCTTTTGGGCCATCAAGAACAGCTGGGGCACTGACTGGGGTGAGAAGGTGAGTCTTGCTGGCTTGGCCCCTGGCCCTCCAGCCGCCATCCTACCCTGGTGCCCTCACCAGCTCCCCCTCTCCCCCAGGGTTACTACTACTTGCATCGTGGGTCCGGGGCCTGTGGCGTGAACACCATGGCCAGCTCGGCGGTGGTGGACTGAAGAGGGGCCCCCAGCTCGGGACCTGGTGCTGATCAGAGTGGCTGCTGCCCCAGCCTGACATGTGTCCAGGCCCCTCCCCGGGAGGTACAGCTGGCAGAGGGAAAGGCACTGGGTACCTCAGGGTGAGCAGAGGGCACTGGGCTGGGGCACAGCCCCTGCTTCCCTGCACCCCATTCCCACCCTGAAGTTCTGCACCTGCACCTTTGTTGAATTGTGGTAGCTTAGGAGGATGTCGGGGTGAAGGGTGGTATCTTGGCAGTTGAAGCTGGGGCAAGAACTCTGGGCTTGGGTAATGAGCAGGAAGAAAATTTTCTGATCTTAAGCCCAGCTCTGTTCTGCCCCCGCTTTCCTCTGTTTGATACTATAAATTTTCTGGTTCCCTTGGATTTAGGGATAGTGTCCCTCTCCATGTCCAGGAAACTTGTAACCACCCTTTTCTAACAGCAATAAAGAGGTGTCCTTGTCCCGAGTGTGGTATAAATGCTCAGTCCCCGGGGGTGAGGAGAGATGGCAGGGACTCCTGGCGGGTCAAGGTGGGATAGCTGGTCCTGCCCAGGAGCCTGAGGGGCCAGCTTCTGCTTCAGGAACTAAAAGGAGATGGGGAGAGACCCAGAGAGGGATCTTTATTCAGAAGCACTTGGCTGGCTTTTCTCTTAGGCCCTTGCTCCGAGGGACGGATGGGATCAGCCACAGGGTGCATCCTCTCTCCATCTTGCATAGAGAACCTCAGTGGTTGGGGTCAAAGGTCGCTCTCCCCATAGAGGGCACTGGAGAAGGCCACGTAGTCCAGGGCTCCAGCCGGGGCCCCGGATCCCTTGTAGGGCACCATACGGCGGATGCAGTACTCGGCCTGCTTGGCAGGGAGCTCGCGCCGCAGCTCCTCGGGGGTGATGTAGTTCTGGGGAGAAGAGGCGTTGAGGACCCACAGGTCCCGTGCCCTGCCCTAGCCCACCAGCCCCTCCACCGCCTGGGACTCACCTTGTCTCCTGCCAAGATCTTGAAGGAAGCTACAACTTGCTCAGTCGTGTCAGTCTCGGCTGTCTCTCGGGTCATGAAGTCTATGAAGGCCTGGAAGGTCACCACCCCAGCTGCGTTGGGGTCCACCATGGTCATGATGCGAGCAAACTCCACTTCCCCCTGCAGGGATAGAGGCCAGGCACTATGCCCATGAGCACTAAAGCCAGGAGGGCTCCCAGTGTCCCCTCCTGGGGACTGTCCAACCTCAGCTAGCAGAGCCCCAGTAACAAGGGAGTTCCCTTCCTCCAGAGACCTTAGCCCTGGCTGTAGGAAGTCCTTTATGGTAGGCTGAAATCTGCATCCTACCCACAGCAGGAAGCAGATTTGCTCCCTGGTCCTGATTTTTTTTCCAGGGCCACACCCGTTTCTGTAGTGCTGTTTCCCTACAGGTAAAAATGTTGCAAGCTCAGACTTTGGGTCCACACAGAACTGGGTCCAAGTGAGTTTTACCTCCCTGAGCCTTGCTAGCCCCTGTGTGGATGTAGTGAAGATGCAGGGGATGGTGTATGTGAAGATGGGAGGTGCACAGTAGGTGATCAGCACAGAGGAGGGGGTACTTTGGGACTCCTGGGAAGGAGCTGGGGAGCTCTCACCAGGTCATAGCCCATGGAGATGAGGCAAGCTCGGAAGTCATCAGGCTCCATCATCCCATTCTGCTTCTGTAGGGGGTGAGTGGTTATCAGGCTTGGTCTCCAGCCTCCACCAGCCCCCAAGTGTCTTACCCCACAGGGCCAGGCCCCTGCTGACCCTGTCAAAGTGGTTGAAGGATGCTCGGAACTCGTTGAGCTGCTCCTGGCTCAGTCCCTTGGCGTCTCGGGTCAGTACCTGGTTCTCCACTTCATTGATGGTGCGGGCAATGGAGGTGAGCAGCTGCTCCCAGCCCACGCGGATGTGCTGGCGGTCAGGGGACAGGCCACTGTCAGTGGGCGGCCAGTGCCTGGCCACTGGCTCTAGCTCCACATCCAGTTCACTGAATGACCCTGGGCAAGTCCTCCCCCTCACTGGGCCTCCATCCCCATCTGGAGGCTCCACTGAGTAACCCACCCCCACCCCAGCAGTCCTTCCTGTCTTTTGATAACCAGCTATGGCCAATCTTGGCCTGGTTTTGGACGGCTTTGTGACTCTGGAAGGGTCACTTTCCATCGCTGGGTCTTAAGGGACCTGGCCAAGCTGAACTGGGGACTCTGCTGGGACACACATGCTCTGTCCAGCTGTGATCTCCCTGGGCCTCCTCAGCCAGTGCTGCCTCCCCACTCTCCTGAGAGGGTGTGATCCCACCTCCATGCTGTAGACGGTGTGCTTATTGTCGAACACCAGGCTCTCCTGCAGCAGCTGGTGGTCACCCTCCAGCCGGTCAATGTTAGTCTTGTAGTTGATAATGTTCTGCTCCTGCTGCCGTAGCCCAGCCATCTGCTCCTCCAGAGAGCCAGCTAGCCCTGCTGCCAGCCGCCCCACTTCCTGCAGGGGTTCCCAGGCAGCATGAGGGCTCCCAACTCCCTGTGGCCCAGCCCTGGCCCCATCCCCCCAGGTTGGACCCACTATCCCAGCCCTTACCTCCACCTTCGCCTGGATCCAGGGTCCAATGGCATTGGCCTGGGCCGCAAACTGTCGCCGGAGCCTCTCGTTTACCTGCTGCCGTGCCAGCTCCTCCTGCAGTGTCTGGTCACAGCTGGGCACCAGCTTTCGGACCTGGGAGGAGGGCAGTTATGCCAGAGCCAGCTCTGGGGGCTGGGAAATGGCTTTAGGGGAGATGGGCTCCAGCCCCTCAAACCTCAGCCCCTGTTGCTTTGAGCCAACTTGTCTGGGATATACGAGAAAGCTCTTGGGCAAGTCACTAACCCATGTGGGCTTCAGTTTTCTCATCTGCAAAATGGGGCTGATGGCATCATTTACTAATATGGGTGGATTTATAAAAGATGTCCACACACAAGGCTTAATTCTACTTCACATCAGTCCTGACAGGAGAATGCTGCTGTTACAGCTCATCATATACAGATGAGCCCGAGACAGGCAAGGCGATTTATCCAATCCCACGTGGAGTCTGTGGCAGACCCCACATCTGAAGATGGACTTTATTCTCCATATCTTGGGCCACCCGAGATTTCAGGGTGGTCACAGTATGCAGGAGGGGGTGGGAGGAAGGCTGCAGGTGGCACTGACCATATCCCACTTGGTGTTGATGTCCTGCGGGCTGAGGGTGATGTAGGGATTGGTGGAGCAGGGCCGCAGCCCATACGTCTGGCAGATCTTCTGGATCTCACCCTGGATGCCCATGATGGCACCTCGCTCTCGGTCAGCCTCGGGCAGTGTTGCCTTGAACTGATCGTGCGCTGTCAGCAGGCTCTGGGGACGACAGGCAGGAAGTGTCAGCTGGTGTCCCCCACTTACCACAGGCAACAGAAAGGGCAGCAGTGTGCCCCAGGCCACCCACCAGTCCTGGGCAGTCCTGACACAAGAACCCCGGCCTCCTGTCTTCCAGCCCAGCACTCGGGAACTGGGGTTTTCCTCCCATCCCTATGCCCCAGGAGCCTAAAGTTGTGGGTGGCAGAATTTGGGGCCAGCTTTCCTGTCATCCTATCCATCCCCTGCAACCCTGGCACCCACCTGGGTCTCCTCCACAGAGTGTACCAGCCACACGTCCTGCAGGTCCTCCACGGCACCATCCAGCCAGTTGTTGAAGGGCGCGGCCCGCCGGGCAAACTCCAGTTGCAGCCGGTCAATGGTCTCCAGGAGCTTCTCCATCCGCTAGAGGTGGGAGGCGTAGTGGGTCAGAAGCCTGCCCTGCAGACCTGGCCTCACCCACCTACCCACCCCCCAGCTCCCCGGCCCCCAGCCCCACCTCTAGCGCATCCCGCCTCTTCTGGGTCAGGGTGCCCAGGTTGTCCCACTGATCGCAGATGGCCTGGCAGCGGCTATTCACTGAGGCTGCCTCGTGGTAGTCCAGCTCACTGGGAGCGAGAAGTAGGGCGAGTGTGGGGCCAGCCCCAGCCCAGATGTCCTAACTGCACTCCCAGGGCTGGAACCTGCTCCCCGGATGGGGGTGAAGGCGTGCGGGAGCCAGGGCAGGTGGTGGGTAAAGCTGGGTGCTTTCCAAGAGGGGCGGTACCAGCGCATCCCTCTGGGCAGGTGGGCGCCCGCGGGTCCTTAGCTGCAGTCCATGGAGGTGCTTGGGTGGAGGGGCGGGGTTGCGCAAGAAGGGGCGGGTTCATGGGAGGGGGTGGCCAGGCCAAGGCTGATGGGGAGGGTTTGGAGCAGTAAGCCGGGTGAAGAGAGCGGGCAGGTTAGAGGGCAGGTCACGGAGTGAGACAGGTCAAGCGCCAGTGGGAAGAGTGTGAGCAGCAGAGCGGGGTCCGGAGGTGGGGGTGGGGTTCCAGGAGGGGCGGAGCGAATGGGACCTGGGTACCACGGCGGGGTTACAGAACCCAGGAGAGCCTAGTGTCTTGAGAAGGGCAATGGGGATCAGGGTGGGGCTCGCCACCGGGGGCGGGGCCGGGGGTGTTGGGGGCGGGCCCCGCGAGGCCCCGCCTACTTGAGCTCCTGGGCCAGCGCGGCAATGTGCTCCACGCGGTCCTGGTGCGCCGCCAGGTCGCTCTCAAAGGCCTCGTGGCGCCGCAGCAACGCCCGCACCTCCTGTAGCAAAGCCGAATCGTAGTCGCGCTGGCTCAGCATCTCCTCCTTTCCTGCTCAAAGAGATGCCGGCTCCGGTCACCCAGTGGCGGCAGGGGCAGGGGTGCGCGGCGGGCTGCGTGACCATGAAGCCTCATCTGCTAAGGTGGCGATCGCACCGGCCTAGCTCGTCCTAGGGATTTGCTCTGCGGCGTCGGTGTAATAACGTAGGTGAAAGTCCTCTTCCGTGGCGTGATCCGCAAATGACATCAGCGTCCCCTGAGCGAGCTACGTCCAGGGGGCCCTTGGTACAGTTTTAGCATAATTTGACCTTAAAATAGCTCTCAACGATTCTGTAACCCCCATGAGCCCCTGACCCGGCCTCCTTTGTTCACTACAGAAATCCTCGACAGAACAATGAATGGATGTTTCTATCCAGAGTAATATATTTGACTCGTGCAATATTTTAGCGTCAGTATACTTTGAGTATGACATAAGTGATGTTAGGGTGAGGAATGGACTCACCTTTGAACACCTGACACATATAAAATAAAATGCTAAATTGAATTAATCAGAGCAGATCTACAGAAGACCAGAGCAGGGCTGGGGGGTGAGGGGGAAGGCTGAGTTTATAGAAAACAGGCGGGTGTGCGGTGGCTCATTCCTGTAATCCCAGCACTTTGGGAGGCTGAGGTGGGTGGATCACTCGAGTCCAGGAGTTTGAGACCAGCCTGGGCAACAAAGTGAGAACCCATCTCTACAAAAAGTACAAAAAGTTACTGGGCGTGGTGGTGCACGCCTGTGGTCCCAGCTACTTGGGTGGCTGAGGCAGGAGGATCGCTTGAGCCTGGGAGGCAGAGATTGTAGTGAGCCGAGATTGTACTAGCCTGGGCAATAGAGCAAGACTCTGTCTCAAAAAACAAAACAAACTGTGGTCCACAGAGGGGCAGTGGCCAAAAGAGAGGCCTAGGTTGCACCACAGCAAGTCAGGGTGGGACTAGAAATCCAGTCTCTGGCTTTCCTGCAGAGCACCTACCCTTGTCCTGTGCATTTTGCCAAGAACCTCCCCTCCTGCCCCTGCACACCAATCTCCACCCCAAGAGACAGTCCAGCCCCATGAGGTAGGTCTACCTACCCCGGGTCCAGGCTTCGTGCAGGGAGGCCTTCTGCCGGAACTTCTCAGCCAGGTGCTGGAGTCGCTGCAGGCGCCGGATCTCCGAGAGCAGCCAGTCCTCATAGCCCTTTTCCACCTGCTCCAGCCCCCGCCAGGCGTTGGCGATGTCCTGTGGAGCAGGCAGGGGTGCGCTCCATCACGGTTTGCCCATTGTACAGATGGGATACGGACCTCAAGGTCACCTAGGGAATGTGTGTAGAGCTCACCGAGACCAGCTTGCCCTCGGAGGGCATGAAGGCAGGCCGGTGGCTGAGCCGCAACTTGGTCTGCAGTGTGTTGAAGTTGATCTCCAGCTGGCACTTTTCCTGAATGCGGGGCGGCTTGTGCAGACGCCGGTAGTCCCGAAAGTCCTCTAGTTTGCGCTGCATGGCACTCATGCTGGGCTCACCCACACGGTTCTCCAGCCATGGGACAGTGCGGCGGATCCACTCCAGCAGCTGACAGGGCCAGGCAGGGGCAAGGCAGACAGCTCTGCGCTGACCTGCCCAGCTCACCCACCCCTCTCCACCCACACCCAGGCTGTGGCCAGAGTGTAGGTGGGGGTGACTTTGACAACTACGAAAGCAGGATGGGGTAGTCCCCACAAGTCAGAGAAGAAGTGGGATGGTTGATTTCTGAGTCCAGGGGCTAGTATAGGTTGGCACAGAGCAGAGGGCCATGTGACTACTTAAATACAAGTGAATGGATCGATGCAGAAGTAAATGGATGAATGATGAGTGAATCAATGACTGACAGGAGCATGGGTTGGCAGAAGGGCAGGTGATGGGTGGGGATGGACAGGAGGAGGCTGGGAGGAAGCCAGGGCTACTCTGAGCAGAGGGAGGCTCTGCAGGCCCACGCTTGGGGTTAGCAGGGTTGGGAGAGCCAGTAGGGCTGGGGTGGGGAGAGCACGGTGGGAGCCCAGCCTCACCTCACTGGCAAGCTTCTCATACTCCTCCATCAGCTTCTCGTTTTCCTGGTTCACTGCCAGCACCTTGCAGATCCTGTTGGCAGCTGTCTCTGCCTGTGGGGGGAGTGGGCAGAAGGCTGGCATTAAAGCAAATTGCTTCTGTAAAGCCCTTAAAACCCAGAGCCCCGCCGAGCGCGGTGGCTCACGCCTGTAATCCCAGCAGTTTGGGAGGCCGAGGCGGGCGGATCACGAGGTCAGGAGATCGAAACCATCCTAGCTAACACGGTGAAACCCCGTCTCTACTAAAAATACAAAAAAATTGGCCGGGCGTGGTGGTGGGCGCCTGTAGTCTCAGCTACCTGGGAGGCTGAGGCAGGAGAATGGCGTGAGCCTGGCAGGCAGAGCTGGCAGTGAGCCGAGACCGCCCCACTGCACTCCAGCCTGGGCGACAGAGCAAGACTCCGTCTCAAAAAACAAAACAAAACACAAACAAACAAAAACAGAGCCCCCAGCTGGGCGTGGTGGCTCATGCCTGTAATCCCAACAGTTTGGGAGGCTGAGGTGGGTGAGTTACTTGAGTCCAGGAGTTCGAGACCAGCCTGGGCAACATGATGAAACACTATCTCTACAAAAAATACAAAAATTAGTCAGGTGTGGTAGCACGTGCCTGTAGTCCCAGCTACTGGGGAGGCTGAGGCAGGAGGCTGAGGTCAAGGCAGCAATGAGCCGTGATCACGCCACTTCACTCCAGCCTGGATGACAGAGTGAGACTCTGTCTCAAAAAACAAACAAAGAATGGAGTCCCTGCAAATTGGGAAAGGGATTGGGGGAGCACGGCTCTTAGGTAGGGAGTGAGTTTCCAAACCAGGGTCCTCTGCTCCTGCTGAAGACTGAGTGTGTGCAGCTGGCACAGTGGCACTCCAACCTCCGTGGTCTGGCGCCTCCAATGTTGGACTACAGCCAAGGTTGGGCCCTTGGGTCCACAAGCCCAGGCAGCAGCAGTTGGGCCGCCTTACCTGCTCAGCCCCGGCAAAGGCATGGTAGAAGCAGGACACATAGGTCATGATGGCCTTCTCATCCGGCTTTGGGGTGTTCACAATGTCTAGGGGAGGACAGCACGGTGTCTACTGGCCAAAGCCAGGGGTCCCTCCCCAGGCAGAGAACTCTCTCTGGGTGGGAGGGCTGGAAGCATCCAGTCATGGCCACCAGCAGCCAGCCACCCAAGCCCAGTGTCTTCTCTTCCTTGAAGCCCTCTCTCCTTACCCCAGGGCTCAGCAACTTCCCCATCTCCCCACCTTGGGGTGAGCAAAGTGTGAGGGACTGGGTGGGTGAGTGTGAGTGGGCAGCCACTGTGGCCCTCGTGAGGGACTGGTCCACGCTGTCTCATGCCTTGAACTATCCTATACCTCCCTCGGTCTGTGTGTCTTTCCCCCAAGTCCACAAGCTCCTCAGGGCAAGAAAAAGTTCTTCTCCAGCAGTGCCCACACAGCCTGGGCATCATGCATAGTAGATGCTCAGAAAGTGTTTGCTGCTTCAGTTGACTATTGCCTTGCCTAGGCATGGGGACCACAGGCAGGACGTGCCCCAGGGGAGCTGCCAGTCTTGGGGGACCAACATCCCAGGTAACCCAGGTAACTGGGATGTGAGGCAGAAGGTAGGGCCATTACATAGGGGAGAGGTGGCAGAGGATGGTCCTCTTTGGGGGATGGGGCATGGGACAAGATAGAGGACTCCTGGAGAAGGGGGACTGTGACCAGGGAGTGGGGTGGGGGTGGTCGGAGCATCCCAGGAGGAGGAAAGGGCCGTGCAAAGGTGTGGAGGTTGTACCAGGCCCAGTGTGGAGAATGTGGGGTCTTCCCCTGGGCTAGCTCACTCTCACCTTCTGCATCCAACATCTTGGGGATGTCCAGGTATTTCTCTGCCACCTCAAAGGCAGTGTTCAGGTTTCCGATGGGGTCATCCTAGAAGGGTGTAAGGGAGGAGGGTGAAAGGTCAGCTGCAGGCAGAGGCCTTGGGCTGGGGTGGTGGGGGCCTCTACCTTTCGCAGTTTGGCGTAGTCGATGAGGTCAGGGCGGTGTCGGTGGATGAGGGCACAGAGGGCCAGGCCATCCTTCCAGCTGGACAGAGAGAAGAGGGGGGTCAGGCCTGGGTTCAAGCTGGGGCCCCGTTCTCCCCTCGGCCCAGGAGCACCCCCCAGAAGGACAGCCTCATCTGTAAAATGGAGTAAAGTACAAATCCCTTAGCTTGGCGTTTGAGGCCCTTCATGACCAGATCTGGACCATCTCCTGCTAGCTCATCACGATTCCGTCACACACTCATGCTTAGGCCCGACCAGTTTCTAAATATTTTTGGCCTCCAGCTTCCCTCTGGCTGGAATGGCCTTCCAGGGAAGTCTCAAACACTCCCTCCTCCAGGAGTTACTGGAACCCTCCTGGATTCAATTCCATTCCACTCAACAGTTACTGAGCCCTCTTTTCAGACACTGTTCCAGGAACTGTGACCTTTCCTTCCCTGTGGCTTGTGACAGAGACCAGCTCAGTGCCCTTCACTGACCAGGGAGGGCTCCTCTCTATGCCCAGTACCCCACAGAGGCCCAGACACATTTGGTAACCACCTGACAGACCTGGTGTGGAAGTTCTGCACGTTGACGTTGCGGTACGGTGCTGTCTTCCTCTGGCACCACAGAAGCAAGCCTTCCTTGGCTGAGGTTTCTGGGTCGGGGGGAGGTGGGAGGATTCATTGGGAAGGGGTCCAGGTCAGCCCTCTCACACTTCTTTTTTTTTTTTTTTTGAGACAGGGTCTTGCTATGTCATCCAACTGGAGTGCAGTGACACGATCATGGCTCACCGCAGCCTCAACCTCCCAGGCTCAAGCGATCCTCCTACCTCAGCCTCCCTAGTATCTGGGACTATAGGCACATGCCACCATGGCCAGCTTTTTTTTTTTTTTTTTTTTTGGTATTTTTTGTAGAGATGGGGTTTCACCATGTTGTCCAGGCTGGTCTTGAACTCCTGGGCGATCCTTCAAGTGGTCTGCCCGCCTCGACCTCCCAAACTGTGGGGATTACAGGCCCCAGCCACTGCACCTGGCCCCAACCTCCTTTCCCATTGCTCACCTTCCACAGAGATGTCCTGGATGGCGAAGCGAAGGATGATGGTCCAGATCATGCCCAGGGTCATCTTCAGGTTCCCGTCAACAATCTCTGCAGGGCAGGGGTCAGGGGACAGATTTGCCTGGCATTCAAGGTCTGTGCTATCTGGCCTCAGCTTACCTTCCCCTCTGATCAGCCCTCTGGCCCTTGTCTCCCATTTCAGGGCTGGCACCTAGTAGGTGAGCACCTAGCAGGTGCTCAATAAGCATCTCTTTTTCTTTTTCTTTTTTTTTTTTTTTTTTGAGATGGAGTCTCGCTCTGTCACCCAGGCTGGAGTGCAGTGGCGCAATCTCCGCCTCCCAGGTTCACACCATTCTCCTGCCTCAGCCTCCTGAGTAGCTGGGACTACAGGCGCCCACCACCACGCCCGGCTAATTTTTTTTATTTTTAGTAGAGAAGGGGTTTCACCATGTCAGCCAGGATGGTCTCAATCTCCTGACCTCATGATCTGCCTGCCTCGGCCTCCCAAAGTGCTGGGATTACAAGCATGAGCCACCGTGTCTGGCCTCTTTTTCTTTTCTTTTTTTTTATTATAATTTTTTCCCATGGAGTCTCCCTCTTTGCCCCGGCTGGAGTACAGTGGTGCAATCTCAGCTCACTGCAACCTCCGCCTCCTGGGTTCAAGTGATTCTCCTTCCTCAGCCTCCCTAATAGCGGGGACTACAGGCTGCACCACCAAACCCGGCTAATTTTTTTGTATTTTTAGGAGAGATGGGGTTTCACCATGTTGGCCTGGCTGGTCTCGAACTCCCGACCTCAAATGATCTGCCCACCTCAGCCTCCCAAAGTGCTGGGATTACAGTCGTGAGCCACTGCACCCAGCTGCATCTATTTTTTGGGGGGTGACAGAGTCTTGCTCTGTTGCCCGGGCTGGAGTGCAGTGGCATGATCTCAGCTCACTGCAACCTCTGCCTCCCTGGTTCAAGCAATTCTTCTGCCTCAGCCTCCCGAGTAGCTGGGACTACAGGTGCATGCCACCATGCTCAGCTGATTTTTGTATTTTTAGTAGAGATGGATTTCACTGTATTGGCCAGGCTGGTCTCGAACTCCTGACCTCATGATCTGCTTGCCTTGGCCTCCCAAAGTGCTGGGGTTACAGGTGTAAGCCATCACCCCTGGCCCGCATCTATTTTTTTGTTTAGTTGGTTGGTTTTGGGAATTTTTTGAGATGGAGTTTTCTCTTTGTGTGTGTGTGTGTGTGTGTGTGTGTGTGTGAGAGAGAGAGAGAGAGAGAGAGAGAGAGACAGAGTCTCTCTTGTCACCCAGGCTGGAGTGCAATGGTGCAATCTTGGTTCACTGCAACCTCCGCCTCCCAGGGTCAAGGGATTCTCCTACCTCAGCCTCACGAGTAGCTGGGATTACAGGCGTGCGCCACCATGCCCAGCAAATTTTTGTGTTTTCAGTACAGACAGGCTTTCACCATGTTGGCCAGGATGGTCTCAAACTCCTGACTTCAGGGTGATCCATTTGCCTTGGCCTCCCAAAGTGCGAGAATACAGGGGTGAGCCACTGTGCCTGGCCAAGATGGAGTTTTGCTATGTTGCCCAGGCTGATCTCCAATTCCCGGGCTCAAACAATCCTTCCGCTTCAGTCTGCCAAGTAGCTGAGACTACAGCGCTACCATGCCTGGCTTGTTATTTAGCAATTATTTCACTAAACTCTTACTAGGGTTTGGGGGCTGAGCTGGCACTTTGGGTATATTGGCTTTTCTTTCTTTTTTTTTTTTGAGACGGAGTCTAGCTCTGTCACCCAGGCTGGAGTGCAGTGGCAAGATCTCAGCTCACTGCAACCTCGGCCTCCCGGGTTCAAGTGATTCTCTTGCCTTAGCCTCCTAAGTAGTTGGGATTACAGCCACGCGCCGCCACACCCAGCGTATTTTTAGTAGAGACAGGGTTTTACCATGTTGGCCAGGATGGTCTTGATCTCCTGACCTCGTGAGCCCCACACCTCAGCCTCCCAAAGTGCTGGGATTACAGGTGTGAGCCACCAGGCCTGGCCGGCATTTTTTTTTTTTCTTTCAGACAGAGTCTCTCGCTCTGTTGCTCAGGCTGGAGTGCAGTGGTGTGATCTCGGCTCACTGCAAGCTCCACCTCCCAGGTTCATTCAATTCTTGTGCCTCAGCCTCCCAAGTAGCTGGGATTACAGGTGTGCGCCACCACACCCAGCTGATTTTTGTATTTTTAGTAGAAATAGGGTTTTGCCATGTTGGCCAGGCTGGTCTCAAACTCCTAGCCTCAAGCAGTCCACTGGCCTTGGCCTCCCAAAGTGCCGAGATTACAGGCGTGAGCCACCGTGCCTGGCTGGCATACTGGCTCTTTACAGGCTCTCTTGCGAGGCAGGGATTATTCTCATTGCTGAGATGAGGAAACTGAGGCTCACAGAGGTGATTTGCTGATGTCAAGAGAGGCCCCTGTGCCCTGCCCAAGACCCTTCCTGCCACCTCCTCACCTTCAGCACCAATGGACACCAGTTTAACCCCCTTGCTGGCAATGAAGTCCAGGGCCTTGTTAACGTTGGCGATTTTGTGGAAGCGCATCTTGCCTTTATCTGGCCTAGGCAGCCTCTCACCTGGGTTTAAGAGGAGAGGCCAAGGGCCAAAGGTCATGAGAGGCAGCTGAAGCTATTGTCCGCAAACTCTCCCCTCCCCACCAAGTCCCGTCCAACACTCCGCCACCCTATTCCCCCTGCTGTCCAGATGTTCCTGGGTCCTGGGGCCCAGGTGCACTGATTTGCCATCCTCACCTGAAATGACCTCCAGGAGCAGCATGAGTTTGAGGCCATTGCGGAAATCTTCCTCGATGTTCTCGATCTGGGTGCCTGCCTTGCGCAGGTGTGAGTTGCACCAGGCAGTGAAGGTCTAGGGGCAGAGGACAGCACTCAAACCCTACGACTGGCTCTGGGGGATGTAGGGCACAGTCCTGTCTCCTCAGTCAGGGTAGGTCTCAGAGCCTTGTATTTCTGGATTCAAGTCTCAGCTCAGCTCAGCCACTGACTTGCTGTGCATCCTGGGCCAGTCCCTTTCCCTCTCTGAGCTTTCGTTTTCCTGAGAGGGGAGAAATGGGGTCTGTGACCCATGCAGGTCCCAGTTCAGACTTGGGGCACCCGGCCACCAGCACCCCAGCCTTGGGGGTCTTAAACACTGGAGGGCCCTTAGAAAATGTTAACACATTCAAAATGTGGGGCCCTCTGAGGTTTTGAACCATAGGAGCCAGTGCAGGGTGATATTGCCTTTCTGAAATCTGAAAACTCCTGGACTCAAGCACATCTGGCCCTCAGGGTTTTGCCTAAGGGACTGTCTCTGTGTTTCTGTTTTCTCAGTGCTACTGACCTTCTAGGGTTGTTGTAAATTGGCCTCCAAGTAGACCCTACATGAGTAAGGACTCTGAGGGCTGTTGGAGCGTCAGCTGGCACTCGGGCCCAGCCTGATCTCATTTTGTTTTTTTAGAGAGAGACGGTCTTACTATGTTGCTCAGGCTTGTCTCAAGCTCCTGGGCTCAAGTGATCCTCCTGCCTCGGTCTTATTATGTTGCCCAGACTGGTCTCAAGCTCCTGGGCTCAAGTGATCCTCCTGCCTTGGCTTCCCAAAGTGTTGGGATTACAGGCATGAGCCACCATGCCTGGTCTGATCTCATTTCTAGGGGTGACTGCCCACCCCTTCCCCAAAAGTCAGCCTCAGCCTCAGCCTCCTTCTGAGATGGGAGGGATGGTACAGGGCTGTGTGTCTGTTGGGGATAGGGGTGACACGACACTTGGTACACAAGTTTCTGCCAACCTACCGCCCTTCAGGTCCTGAATTCTGCCTTTCCATAGACTACTTGGTAGAGTCAGGGTGGGCTCCAAGGCCAACTGAGCCACTCATGCTCTGTGATCTAGGGTCAGCCCCTTTCCCTCTTCGGGGCTTGGTCTTCCCATTTGTGTAATTAAAGGATCAGAATCTATGATGTCTCAGGTCTTTCTTCTTCCAGCCTGGCAGGATTCTTGGATTCAGAGCATCCCCACACCACAAAGCAGATACTCCTGGGAGGTGGCCCTGGGAGCCATTTGGAATTCTTCCCCTCAGCCACCTTTCCTTCCTCAGACCAGCTTGCCAGATGCCCTGGGAGCTGGACATGGAAGATGATGCGTTAAATACTTGAGGGGCTGTCATTGCTAAGGAAAGGGAGTGAGCTTCCCATCACTGGAGGTATGTAAGTAGACACTGAGTACAACTTGATGGGAACCTAAGCACTGAATAGGGCAGTTAGATTTCCCACAGTTCCCTCCAACCCTGGAGTCTAAGATGCTTTGAGTTTGGAAAGGGCAGGGGGATAGGCAGGTCTGGGTGGTGCCAAACATGACTCTTTTTTTTTTTTTTTTTTTTTTTGGAGACAGAGTTTCGCGCTTGTTGCCCAGACTGGAGTGCAATGGTGCGATCTCTACTCACTGCAACCTCTGCCTCCCTGGTTCAAGCGATTCTCCTGCCTCAGCCTCCCAAGTAGCTGGGATTACAGGCATGCGTCGCCACGCCCTGCTAATTTTGTATTTTTAGTAGAGATGGGGTTTCTCCATATTGGTCAGGCTGATCTTGAATTTACAACCTCAGGTGATCCGCCCCCCTCCGTCTCCCAAAGTGCTGGGATTACAGGCATGAGCCACCACTCCCAGCCCAAACAAGACTCTTAATGAGATGTGGTTCCTGCCCTAAGGGAGCTCACAGTCCATCCAAGAGTCATTTTGGTCTGAGAAGCGCTGTAAGAGGTTGCCGAGGAATTTATGGGAGGGACGCTGCGGATCAGGGTCCCCTCTTGGGGAAGGCGAGTATTTGATCAGAGCTGTGATGGGCAGGAATTATTCAGGAAGGGAAGGGCAGGCAAGGGCATTTCAGGCAGGGGCTGCCATGCAGGCAAGTGCTCGGTGGCTGTGAGAAACACTTGCTACATTTGTCAGACTACAAGGATCTGGGCACTGCTGGAATGGAGCTGGGATTGTTGGGGTATAAGTGGTGAGAGGCAGGCCGGAGGGGCAGCAGGAGCCAGGTCATGTGTGATCTTGGGTGCTAAGCTGGGGAGTTAAAATTTGATCCGGAGGGCAACAGAGAGTCAGGGAAGCCTCAGGCAGGAGGGAGGTGGGCAGAACTGTCCATGCTGGTTGCAGAGTGGAGATGAATGGCTTGGCGTGGCAGAAGGCAGAAGTGAGGACGCAGTCACTGGGATCAGGGCAAGAGAGGAAGGGTGTCAGTGTGGGGGACAAGGCAGGATTGGATGGATGAGACAGAAATGTTGGAATGTAAGCTCCCATGGCAGGGGCTTTATTTTGTCTGCTGCCGAATTCCAGCACCTGAAACAGCGCTGGCACATGGTAAGACATCAGGTGGGAGGAGGCAGCGTGCTGCTCCAAGACTGTGTGAAGGAAGCCCTTGGATGGAGGAGTCACTGGGGAGAAAGGGAGCATAGAGCAACAGGGAGGGGTCAGGGCTAAAGCTGAGCACAAGGATGTTTATTACCACCTTGCAATAAACAACGCTGGACAAGAAAGAAATGAGCCAAATGTCCAACTACAAGGGATGCTGATTGATTTTCAGATCCTCTATGCTGTGCCAGCCATTGAATGAGTAGATGATGAGATGGTGACTGCAAGTTGGGATGAACAGATGTTCCTGATAATTTGTTAGGTGACAAAGGCAAGTTACAGACTGGCACGTGTCATATGGGGGGCACGCAGACCTGGATCTCGGAGAGGCCCGGGTGGGTGGGGGTAGGGATAGGAGATGTTGCAGAACAGGTGGCAGCTGGAGCCAAGGACAGGGATGACACCACCGGGAAATTGCCAAACCTGGGACTGCAGCCGTGCTTGGAGACAGGTGCAGGGGGAGCCTAAGGGGAGGCCTGTCACCCGGGGCACCCCAGCCGAGTCAGCGGAGCCTCTCGGCCCTTGGGGTCATCTCCTGTCATCTAACCCAGCAGAAGTACTCTGATTCTAAATTCTGGGACTCTCAGGTCATTTAAATTCCACTGAGTACCCCAGTACCCTGCCCTCTCCTGGAGTCATACAGTGTTGGCACACGCTGAGCAGGGTCCAATGGCCTCATAGTGCCCTCCTGGTTACCCCTGGCCTGCCACTCTCCAAAGTATTCTCCCTCTGGCCTGGATCATTTTCCCTTTGGGAACCCAGGTGTCCTGCCCCCTCTACTTGGGAAAGTCTGGGAGTGAAAATAGCTCAGGGAGGGAGGGGCCCTGAGTGCCCAACGGGCTGGGCCTGGGTAGCAGCTGCCCCTGTGCCCCTCTTTGGCGCCCCCGAGGTGCTGCCTCAGCACTAAGTGTCCATCTGGCTGGAGAGTCAGGTTACAGCGTAAGGGGACCCAGGTCTCCCCTCCTCCCCGACCTATGGCCTTTTCAGCAGACTCAGGGCCCCATGCCTGGGGTATCTTGGGAAAGAATGGGGGTAGGGAAAAGGGTAAAGATCCTCAGGTTGCGGGGGTCCTGATGTCTGACAGTCTGTGATGTGGGGCCTGTCTGTGCTCTTTCTGGGCTTCAGTTTCTTCAATTGTTAAATGAGATACAGCGACTATGGACCCCACCCTGGAGACGAGGTGGGGTGGGGTCTGAGAGGACCCTTCTCACTACCCCCACACTCCCAAGTCCACTAGTTGCCTGACTGCAAGCCTTCAGGGTGGGGTCTGGGAATATTTAACTAGAAGAAGATTCTTCTTTCTGAACCCCCCCTAACTTGGATCTCCTGGGGTTTGCCCAGCCTGTTTTCAGCAGCAGAAGTGGGGCAGTGGGCCCAGGGGAATGAACCCTGGTGGGGGTGGGGAGCCCAGAAACTCTCTTGTCATTTTAAACCCCTCTTGAGGGCTCCCAGCCCTCTCCTCCAGCCCTGGGGACAGCAGGCAGCTGATGGGCAGAGCCTGGGCTGGGGATTAGCACTCTAGGTTAAAGACAAGCTCTGCCCCTGCACTGCTGAGATGCCCAGGACAAACAGCCCGGCCTCTCAGGCCTCGGTTTTGCTGTCAGGAAATGGGCGAGCACTCACTTTCCGCTGCTGCTTCTCCCAGGCCGGGTCCAGCAGCAGGTCGCGGTCCCAGTCCTCCTCCTGTTCCATGTACTCGCCGCCCCCGCCGCCGCCCGCAAAGCGCCCCTCCCCGGCCCCCAGACCCTCGGGCTGCATAACCATCATCATCTCGATCGGGCTCCTGGCTTCGCTCCGCTCGGCACGCTCTCGGACACCCGGGCCCCATTAAGTAGGGCCCAGCCCAGCCCCAGATCGAATTCGCACTAAATATGGGGGAGGAGGGAGGGGCCGGATGGGGGTGAAGGAGCTCGGGTTGGACCTGGCAAGGGGTTGTCCTGAAGCCGGGAACTGCGGGACTCGGGGGCGCCGGGGTGGATCTCGCGGCGGAGATCCTGGGTTTGCATTCCTGCTCCGCTGCTGGGGCGCTGTGTGACCTTGAGAAATCCACGGGACCTCTCTGAGTCTGTTTACTCCTCTCCACAATAGAAAGGCCGATAATAATAGTGGCCGCGGGCCGCTCTAGAGGCTGCCCTCTGGAGCTCCTCGTGAGCCTCTTCCAGCACCTCGCTGGTGGGACACAGAGCCCTATCCCCATTTCACAGTCAGGAACACAGAGGCGCCGAGCTGTTTTGCATGTTTTCTGGGGTGATGGAGACACCCGGGCATGGGGAACGGCTCTGAGCCAGCTGGATGGGCTGCGGCAGGGCTATTAATATCGGGGCGGCTGTGGGGAGTAGGGGAGAATGTGCTGAGCCGGGAAACCCCGACACCACCCCGGCTGCAACTCAATCCCCCGGGCACTCCTGGCCCCCGCGCCAGCGGGCGGGGCTCCGACGGGATGGGAGGAGCCTCCAGGGTGGGCGGGTCAATCACTCCGCGGCGTTATCCGGGCTCCAGCGCCGCGGGATTCCGAGCGCCTCCACTGCTGGTCCGTTGGCCAGATCAACTCGCCGCGTGGGCCGGCCGTTCCCTGAGAGTCTGAGCGCTCGCCGCACCCCCTTCCGAGCTTCTATTGGCCGTAGCAGACGTCCGTCTGCCGCTATCTCCGCCCCAATACGGAAGCGGCCTAGTCCTCCGGCTCCGACAGCTGGGTGTCCAGGCCATGGGGCAGCCCTGGGCGGCTGGGAGCACGGACGGGGCGCCCGCGCAGCTGCCTCTCGTGCTCACCGCGCTGTGGGCCGCGGCCGTGGGCCTGGAGCTGGCTTACGTGCTGGTGCTCGGTCCCGGGCCGCCGCCGCTGGGACCCCTGGCCCGGGCCTTGCAGCTGGCGCTGGCCGCCTTCCAGCTGCTCAACCTGCTGGGCAACGTGGGGCTCTTCCTGCGCTCGGATCCCAGCATCCGTGGCGTGATGCTGGCCGGCCGCGGTCTGGGCCAGGGCTGGGCGTGAGTGGGGTGCGGGATCGGGCGGGGAGAAGTGGGAGCCTTGGACAGGGGGGAGGGGCCCCAAGACCTGAGATGTTAGAACCGGGTTACATTAGGATCCAGGTTGTTAGAATCAGACATTTTTTTAGAACCTGGGATGGAAGAGCTAGAATTGAGTGTTATTTATTTACTCGCAAATACTTATTGGGAGCCTACTAGGTGCAAGGTTTTGTTACAGGGACGAAGGGTACAATAGAACAAATTCCTGATTTGAGGGGGGTGCAGATGAGAAACTAGAGGAATAATAAGCAAATCATATAGAATGCTAGAAGGTGATAGTAGTTTGGAAACAAGAAGTAGAGCAGGGTAAAGGGGTTGCAAGTTTCAATATTAAATAGGTGGTTAGGCCGGGTGCGTTGGCTCACATCTGTAATCCCAGCACTTTGGGAGGCCGAGGCCGGCGGATCACTTAAGGTCAGAAGTTTACCAGCCTAGCCAACGTGGTGAAACCCCGTCTCTACTAAAAATATAAAAAAATTAGTCGGGCATGGCGGCACGTGCCTGTAATCTCAGCTACTGGGGAGGCTGAGGCAAGAGAATTGTTTGAACCTGGGAGGCGGAGGTTGCAGTGAGCCGAGATCGAGCCACTGCACTCCAGCCTGGGTGACAGAGCAAGACTCCCTCCGTCTCAAATAAATAAATACATAAATAAACAGGTGGTAAATTCTCATCACAAAAATATGAGTGTTTGAGGTAATGGCTATCCTAATTAGCTTGATTTATTCCAAGCTGTACTGATAAATCATAACATCACTTGGTATCCCATAAGTATATACAACTGGAATTTGTCAATTTATAATTAGAAAAAAAAATTACACCAGGTACAGGCTCTACACACACATTTTATGCCAGGCAGAGGCTTTTGCTGAGACTGAGGCTGTAGTGTGCTATGATCACACCTGTGAACAACCACTACACTCCAGCCTGGGTAATGTAGCGAGACTCTGTCCCTAAAAATTTTTTTTAATTAATTTTTAAAATAATATACATAAATGTGTGGTCAAGGTAGACCTCATAGAGAAGGAGGCATTTGAGCAAAAAACTTGGAGGGCGTGGGGGGCGGTTAGCCATGTGGGAATCTGAGGGAAAGGTGTTCCAGGCAGAGGTAACAAGTGGTGCAAAGGCTCTGAGGCAGTTGTGTACCCAGCATGTATGTTCCCAGAACAGCAAGAAGGCCAGTGTGGCTGGAGTGCAGTAAGAGAGGGGAAGAGATGTCACAGATAGAAGGATGTTGTAGGACACTGAAGGCTTTGCTTTTTACTAGAAATAAATTGGAGAACCACAGGAGGGTTTTAAGCAGAGGAGGGTCAGTTTGGTTGCTGGGGTGAGACCGTACGAGGTGGGGCAAAGGTGGAATCGGAGACCAGTCAAGAGGCTATTGCAGTAATCCAGAGAGTTCCTAGTGACCTGGACAAAGGGGTGACCGTGGAGGAAGGGAGGGATTTGCTGCTGGATGTCAGTGGCTTGAGAGAGGTCTCAGGACTGGGGATGTTAGGGCTGGAAGAGACCTCAGACCTGTAGTGCTAGAACTAGAAGGGCCTGGGACATCTTGTTTAGCCTGCATTTACTTGTAAAGAAATTGAGGCTTAGCCAGGGCAAATGGCTGTTGCCACTTCCGCAGGATGGGCTCTGGGGCAGCCCTGTGCACAATATGGGGCATCTGAGCTGCTGGGGGAACTGACGCTGTGGTTCCTTCCTGCAGTTACTGCTACCAATGCCAAAGCCAGGTGCCGCCACGCAGCGGACACTGCTCTGCCTGCCGCGTCTGCATCCTGCGTCGGGACCACCACTGCCGCCTGCTGGGCCGCTGCGTGGGCTTCGGCAACTACCGGCCCTTCCTGTGCCTGCTGCTTCATGCCGCCGGCGTCCTGCTCCACGTCTCTGTGCTGCTGGGCCCTGCACTGTCGGCCCTGCTGCGAGCCCACACGCCCCTCCACATGGCTGCCCTCCTCCTGCTTCCCTGGCTCATGTTGCTCACAGGTGGGGAGCCTGGGAGGCCTCTGCACAGAGGCAGGGGCCCTGGTATTGGGCTGGGGAGTACAGCCCATTCTGGTGGGAGACGGGCTTTCTGGCCTGGGGGACCCAGCCCCAGTGTCAGTGATGGCCAGTAAGGGCAGCTTGGTATTCACCCGGGGGTGCAGTATGGAAACTGGTGTGTTGAGACAAGTGCAGCGTTCTGGCTGGAGAATTGGGAGATTCCTGGAGTTGTTGAGAGAGGAGAAAGACTCGTGGGAGTCTCTGCATGGCGGGATGTGGAAGTGCATTCTAGGAGCATTTCTAAGTGAGAGAAGCAATAGGAACAAAGGCTTGGAGAGTGGGCAGGGAATTGTGAGAATTAAGGCCAGATTGGTAGGGGAGGCCTGGCTGGTGGGGTCCTGAGAACTGGTGTGAGGAGATGGCTCCTATTTGACTGGACAGTGGGGAGCCAGTGAAAGTGACAGGCAGGAGAAGGCCCAGTTATGGGAAGCTGGGGAGGGCAGACTTGGATCAGCAGGCTGCCTGAGATGCCATGTTCTAGACGACACATATGTTCCTCTTCCCCCATCTACAGATAGAAGCCTCGCTGGTCCTTTTTACTCTTTGTTCTCTACCCCCAGAATGCTTTGGCCTTTCTCGCCCCCATTCCTTCCTCCTGACCTTTCCATGGTTCCCTCTGTCACTTTGATCTGTGGTTGAGGAACCTCCCCGGCTACTCCGGGTAGTCACTGTGCCTCCTCATCCTATCCAAGCCCAGCTCTGTGCATGGACCCCACCTACAGCCCAGGGGAGGCCTCGGGAAGCGGCCCACTGGGGTTATCAGAATCTTCATCTGCCCACACCAGCTTCCCAATGGGTCCTCCTCTGCCTCCCTCCAGGAGTCCCGGCCCTTCAGCCGCACTGCCCTACCACCTTGTGGTCAACACTCACTCCCCTCAGTCACGGAAGACTCTGGCTCCAGTCACAGACTCTCTCTTCGCCCTGGGCCCTGTGGAAATCAAGGGTGTCTGGAAGTTTGCATGAACAGCCCCCTCAATGCCTGGATGGCTTAGCTCTTGGCCTCCTCCTTCATTTTTCCTTCCTTTCCCTCCTCCCATGTCCACACCCCAGTCCTGGTCAGAATCCAAAAATGAGTCACCCTCACAAACCACCCATCTTCCTCTTTCTGCTGCCCACCTCCTCTTCTCTCCGTCTTTTACTCCTCCACGCCCTGGCACCTGCTCCATGAGCCTGCAGGCTCGTGGCCCTCACCGCCCGTCTGTACCTTTCCACCTTCGCCACCGACGTCCAGCTCAGAGCTCATCCTTCTCACCATTCTCCTGCCAGCATCGCAAACTTCCTCCCTCATCTTCCTTCCACAGTGCTTTCCTGGCTTCTCTGTGTCTGCCTCTGGCTGCTGAGAGCCAGAGGCATTGGCAGTCTGTGGCAGGTTGATGCCATGCCATGTTCATGGCTGCTGACCTCAGCAGGCCCTCGGCTATGCCTGGCCTTCCCGTTTGCTTGTAAGCTTGCTACTCCCAGCAACAGCAGCTCAAACCTTCCCTGCTCTCCCACACTCCAAGCTCCAGCACTGAGAAAGTGAGACATCAGCTGGCACATCCCAAATTGTGCTGTCCTCAACTCCCCGAGCCCAGCTGACTGCCCCCAGCTTCTTGTATTTGGTGCCTACCTCCCTGCTTGGAGGCCTCAGGCTGTGGCATCTGCCTCTCCTGCAGGCCAGGCCTTCTCTGCCCTCCTGGTTTGCCACCTTGGACAAACCCTCCCTTGCCCTCATATCCTCCTCCAGCGCTTGCCCTGCTCTAAGCTTCCCAAGGGACTTGCCCAGGCTCATGGCTGCTCATTCCCTGCCTGCTCCAGCCTGGCTTCTGCCACCACCACTCACTCAGGGATCTGTCTCCACACACTCCAGGACCCTTTCTTGCTTTATGAGACCTTTTAGACTCATGACACTGCTGGCCCCCAGCCCCCGTGAAGCGTTCTCCGCCTGGCATCACCGATGGCTGGGACCTTGGTGCGTTCACCTTCCTTTGTGGTTGCCCTTTCTCATCTTTTATCTGATCCCCAAGAACCGATTTCCCCGTGCTCCTGTCTAGGTGCCATTCCCCCCTCACTCTACACACTTTGGCAGGTCTAGCTGCGCCCACAGTCTCAGGGTTGCCTTGCACCCCCTACTCGCAGAACTGTTTGTCCAGCCTGGGCTTCTCCCTGTGCTTGCAGACCTGCAGACCGTCCACCTGCTTGTCTCACAAGTGCCTCTGGCCTGCCTCAGGACCTTCAAACAGAATGGTTTTTTTTTTTTTTTTGAGATGGAGTTTTGCTCTTGTTGCCCAGGCTGGAGTGCAATAGCGCGATCTCGGCTCACCACAACCTCCGCCTTCCAGGTTCAAGTGATTCTCTTGCCTCAGCCTCCCGAGTAGCTGGGATTACAGGCATGCGCCACCACGCCCGACTAATTTTTTGTATTTTTAGTACAGACGGAGTTTCTCCATGTTGGCCAGGCTGGTCTGGAACTCCTGACCTCAGGTGATCCACCTGCCTCAGCCTCCTAAATTGCTGGGATTACAGGCATGAGCCACCACACCCGGCCCATTTTAACTATTTTAAAGTGTACAATTTAGTGGCTTTTAGTACATTCATGATGTAGTGCAACCATCACCACTGTCTAATTCCAGAACATTTTCATCCTAAAAAGAAACCCCGTACCCATTAGTGGTCCCTCCATGTTCCTCCCTAATCCCCTTAGCCCCTGGCAACCACTAATCTTTCTGTCTCTGTGGACTTGCCTATTCAGGATGTTTCACATAAGTGGGATGATAAACATGTGACCTTTGGTGCCTGGCTTCTCTCACTTAGAGTAACATTTCATGGCCTCTCGTAGTCCGTTAGTTCAGCAGGTACTTGTTGCTGACTGTGGGCCAAGATGGCACAGGATACTGGCTTTTCTGTGGCGGCACACATTAAGTAACTGAGAATGGCTTTTTTTTTTTTTCTCACTCTGTCACCCAGGCTGGAGTGCAATGGCGCAATCTTGGCTCACTGCAGCCTCCACCTCCCGGGTTCAAGCGATTATCCTGCCTCAGCCTCCTGAGTAGCTGGGATTACGGGCGTGCGCAACCACACCCGGTTAATTTTTGTATTTTTAGTAGAGACGGAGTTTCACCATGTTGGTCAGGCTGGTCTGGAACTCCTGACCTCGTGATCCACCCGCCTCGGCCTCCCAAAATACTGGGATTACAGGCACGAGCCATCGCGTCCGGCCTTTTTTTTTTTTTTTTTTTTGAGATGGGAGTCTCGCTATGTTGCCCATGCTGGAGTGCAGTGGCGTGATCTCAGCTCACTGCAACCTCTGCCTCCCAGGTTAAAGCGATTCTCCTGCCTGAGCCCCCCAGCCTCCTGAGTAGCTGGGATTACAGGCGCCTGCCACCACGTCTGGCTAATTTTTGTATTTTTTAGTAGAGACGGGGTTTTACCGTGTTGTCAAGGCTGGTCTCAAATTCCTGACCTCAGGTGATCTATCTGCTTCGCCCCCCCAAAGTGCTGGGATTACAGGTGTGAGCCACCGCATCCAGCCAAGAATGGCCTCTTTAATGTCTGTGAGCTCCCCAAGGGCAGAGACACCCTCTAGTGCCTGGCACCGCCTCCAGGGCTGAGGAGGTGCTCACCAAGTCTGTGATGCAGGAATGAAGCCGTATCCCAAGTAGGGGGCTGCGTCTGCCCAGTTTACCAGTGCGTTCTTGTCACCCAGCACGGGCTGGCCAGCGAGTATCGACACAGGGTTTGCTGAGCGGAGGAATGAGCCCTGCTTTGTGGTGGAGGGGAGCAGGTGGCAGGAAAGCCGGACCCCACTGCCCCTCCCTGACCCTCTCTGCTCTTTTATTGCAGGCAGAGTGTCTCTGGCACAGTTTGCCTTGGCCTTCGTGACGGACACGTGCGTGGCGGGTGCGCTGCTGTGCGGGGCTGGGCTGCTCTTCCATGGGATGCTGCTGCTGCGGGGCCAGACCACATGGGAGTGGGCTCGGGGCCAGCACTCCTATGACCTGGGTCCCTGCCACAACCTGCAGGCAGCCCTGGGGCCCCGCTGGGCCCTCGTCTGGCTCTGGCCCTTCCTGGCCTCCCCATTGCCTGGGGATGGGATCACCTTCCAGACCACAGCAGATGTGGGACACACAGCCTCCTGACTCCAGGAAGAGCCAGAGCTGTGCAGGGAGGAAGGGGTGAGAGGGGGGCCCCCACACCTAGACTCAGTAAGGAAGTCGGGTTGGACCTTAACATCTGCATTGGACAACTCCACCCCTTCCTTGGCCTTGCCCCTGCCCGCCTACACTCCTACGTGTCCAGGGCTTGGGCCGTGACTTAGGCAGAGGAGTGCAGAGGAGGGTCTGGCAGGGGCTGCTCAGGCCGCCTAGCTGCCCCTTTGCCAGGTTAATAAAGCACTGACTTGTTTCTCAGCCTCCCTCCATCTTTGCATAGTTTCTGGCCCCTCACTTTGTTGCTGGGGCTGTTTCTGGGACCCTCTGTAGGGCCTGGAAACTGCAGGATGCCTGAGGGTCTCAGGGGCTGGGGCTCTACCTCCCCTGGCCTGGGTGAGTTGGGGGTGGGGCACCAGCACGCCAAGGCAGTGTCCTACTGATCCAGGCTATGAGAATCCAAACATTCTTTCCCAGGTTTGGCATTTTATAGTTAGAAGCATTTCTGCAACAGCAGTTTCATGGAACCTCTCTTAGCTAACCTGGTCCATGGGGCAGCAGTTACGCTCTAAGAATCCATGTGGTAAGATCATGGTGCGGCAAATGGAGGCAGGGTCCAACCCAGGTCTTTGTGCTTTTGCCTTTACCCTTGCACAGCTGGAGGAAATGAGTAGGAAAGAAATCAAGGTAAAGAAATGCGCTGGGGCTGTTTGGGCATCTGTGGAGGGTGGTGCTGACAGGGCTAGGCCTGCACCTCTCTGGCCTCCTCAAGAGCTGCTTGTTAAATGTTTCCGTGTAAATAGAATGAATAGAGACCGCCATTTCCACATGGCAGGCCTAAACACATGTGTTCGTCTCAGTTTTCTCTTAGGATCTCTCTAAGATGATAGTAAAGAAAATCAAAAATAATACAAAGGGAAAGAAAACAGGAGGGAAGACAGTAGAACACAGAGCCTGACCACATTTTCTTTTTTCTCTCTGTTGCCGGGGCTGGAGTGCAGTGGCACGATCTCGGTTCACTGTAACCTCCACCTCCCGGGTTCAAGTGATTCGGCCTCCCGAGTTGCTGGGATTACAGACACCCGCCACTATGCCCGGCTGATTTTTTTTTTTTTCTTTTTTGAGACGGAGTTTTGCTCTTGTTGCTCAGGCAGGAGTGCAATGGCGTGATCTCGGCTCACTGCAACCTCCGCCTCCTGGGTTCAAGCGATTCTCCTGCCTCAGCCTCCCGAGTAGCTGGGATTACAGGTGCCCGCCACCATTCCTGGCTAATTTTTGTATTTTTAGTAGAGACGGGGGTTTCACCATGTTGGCCAGGCAGGTCTCAAACTCGTGACCTTGTGATCCGCCCGCCTTGGCCTCCCGAAGTGCTGGAATTACAGGTGTGAGCCATTGCGCCTGGCCATGCCCAGCTAATTTTTTTGTATTTTTAGTATAGACAGGGTTTCACCATGTTGGCCAGGCTGAACTTGAATTCCTGGCACCTGCCTCCACCTCCGTCTCCCAAAGTGCTAGGATTACAGGCGTGAGCTACCGTGCCTGGCTGACAATTTTTTATTATTTTATTTTATTTTATTTTATTTTATTTTATTTGAGACAGACTCTTGTTCTGTTGCCAGGCTGGAGTGCAGTGGCACGATCTCGGCTCACTGCAAGCTCCGCCTTCTGGGTTCACGCCATTCTCCTGCCTCAGCCTCTCAAGTAGCTGGGACTACAGGTGCCTGCCACCACGCCAAGCTAATTTTTTGTATTTTTAGTAGAGACGAGGTTTCACCGTGTTAGCCAGGATGGTCTCGATCTCCTGACCTTGTGATCCACCTGCCTCGGCCTCCCAAAGTGCTGGGATTACAGGTGTGAGCCACCACTCCTGGCCGGCCAGGATGGTCTTGATCTACTGACCTCGTGATCTGCCCGCCTTGGCCTCCCAAAGTGCTGGGATTACAGGTGTGAGCCACCGTGCCCGGCCGCCTGGCTGACATTTTCAAAGATGGAAAGTGGATGGAGAATTAAGAGCTGAAATTATGTGTTCCCAAAAGGTGGGGCCAAAAGGCAAGTGGAATTACCTGCCAGAGCCCCGGAGGGGCTCAGGAACTCCACCAGGACCATGGAGGGTGAGGTGAGGCTTCGGCCAACAATGGGGACCGATGGAAAGTCTATGTAAGGATCAGTGGGGTGCCGCTCCCCCACATCCCACCCACACCCCACCCACATCATGCAGCCAGCAGCTACACCTCTGGGTGGGGTGGTGTGACGTGAGGATTATTTGAAGGATAAATGGAACCAGAGAAGCTTCGGGTCTTAGGCGTACTGGGGAGGGGTGGGTGAGAGGCTAGACCAAAAAATGGGGTTAAGTGAAAGTCCATAGATACTGCTGGGGGGCCTCCCATGAAAGAACATGCTTGACCCCCAAGAACCTTCAGAGAAACCCACCCTCTGACAGGCTCTGCCCATGCCCACAAAGATCTGAGCTGCTTGGCTGGTTGTTTTTGTAACAGGCATGCTCTGTTGCTATTTTTTAATGACAGGAGGAACTTGGTGTACCTGGCACTTTGGGCTGCACAGACGCATTAGCAGACTCACCTTGTCCTGTTTCATCCCTCGCCCTCCACAATTTCTTATTTTCTTTCTTTCTCTTTTTATTTTTTGAGACAGAGTTTCACTCTTGTTACCCAGGCTGGAGTGCAATGATGCGATCTTGGTTCACCGAAACCTCCGCCTCCCGGGTTCAAGCGATTCTCCTGCTGCAGCCTCTCGGTAGCTGGGATTACAGGCATGTGCCACCATGCCCGGCTAATTGTTTTTGTATTTTTAGTAGAGACGGGGTTTCTCCATGTTGGTCAGGCTGGTCTGGAACTCCTGACCTCAGGTGATCCACCTGCCTCGGCCTCCCAAAGTGCCGGGATTACAGGTATGAGCCACTGCGCCCAGCCCACAATATCTTATTTTCATGTTTTTTTGTGTGTTTTGTTTTATTTTTCGAGATGGAGTCTCTCTGTTGCCCAAGCTGGAGTGCAATGGCGCGATCTTGGCTCACTTCCTGGGTTCAAGCGATTCTCCTGCCTTAGCCTCCCAAGTAACTGGGATTGCAGGCACCCACCATCATGCCCTGCTAAATTTTGTACTTTTGTAGAGATGGAGTTTCACCATGTTGGTCAGGCTGGTCTTGAACTGCTGACCTCAGGTGATCTGCCCACCTTGGCCTCCCAAAGTGCTGGGATTACAGGTGTGAGCCACCATGCCTGGACTCGTTGTTGTTGTTGTTTTTAATTAGTGAGGAGCTACAAGAACACATTTATAAAAATTAAGAGGAAACAGCCCCACTGCATTTGAGAAGGTTACCATTTCCTTCGAAGTTCCTGCTGTTGCCCCTTCCTGGTGGGGGAGACACTGTCCTGTTTCAGTCATTCCGTTGCTTTGCTTTATAGTTTTATTAATGTGTTTGTGTTGGCTTTGCATGTTTTCAAATATATGAATGAAATCATGCAGAGTTTATTCTTTTACAGTTTGCCTTTTCACTTGATTATGTTCCTGAGATGTATCCGGATTATTGTGTGTAGCTGTATGGCATTCCTTTTCCCTGCTGCCTAGTGATCCATTGAAAATACAATAATTGATTTTTCTATGTGGTTCCACTGGTCATTTTTCTGCCCCTGTGCCCTTTGGGAATCATCTCCTAAACTCTAGTCTCGGCCCTTGCTCTTCCATGTAACCTTGAGAATCAGCTTGTCAAATTCCCCCCAAAAACCCCTTGAGATGTAGAATGGAACCCAGCTGAATCTATAGATCAGTCTGGATAAAATCAGCACCTGTGTAAAATTGAATTTTCCCATTCATGAGCAGGGTTTATTTCTGCACTCAATGTTTTCAATAAAGTTGTGTACCTTTTCCCATAAAGATCATGCCTTTTTAAATTGGATTAATTCTTAAGTATCTGATATCGTATGCTATTATACATGCACTATCAAAATAGACTGTGAGCCTGGGCAACATAGTGAGACCCTGTCTCTGCAAAATACAAAATTAATGGGGGCTGGGCACTGTAATCCCACACTTTGGGAGGCTGAGGCGGGAGGATCACTTGAGGCCTGGCGTTTGAGACAAGCCTGGACAACATAGTGAGACCCTGTGTCTTAAAAAAAAAAAAAAAGCCTTGTGTGGTAGTGCGTCTGTAGTGTGGGGGATGGGGGTGGGCTGAGGTGGGACGATGGCTTGAGCTCAGCAGGTCGAGGCTGCAGTGAGCTGTGACCGTGCTTCTGCACTCCAGCCTGGGTGACAAGAGCTAGACTCTGTCTCAAAAAAACTAAAACAAAAACAAAAGTTGTGTCCAGGCCAGGTGTGGTGGCTCATGCCTGTAATCCCAGCACTTTGGGAGGCTGAGGCAGGCGGATCACCTGAGGTCAGGAATTCAAGGCCAGCTTGGCCAACATGGTAAAACCCTGTCTCTACTAAAAATACAAAAATTAGCCAGGTGCAGTGGTGCATGCCTGTAATCCCAGCTACTCGGGAGTCTGATGGAGGAGAATCACTTGAGCCCGGGAGGCAGAGGTTGCAGTGAGCCGAGATCACGCCAGCACACTCTAGCAGATCACGAGGTGAGGAGATCGAGACCATTCTGGCTAACACGGTGAAACGCTGTTTCTACTAAAAATACGAAAAATTAGCCGGGCATGGTGGCAGGCGCCTGTAGTCCCAGCTACTCGGGAGGCTGAGGCAAGAGAATGGTGTGAACCTGGGAGGTGATGCTTGCAGCGAGCCGAGACCGCGCCACTGCACTCCAGCCTGGGCGACACAGTGAGACTCCGTCTCAAAAAACAAATAATAAAATAAAATAAAATAAAATAAATGAAAAAAATCTTTAAAAACTCTAATGACTTTATTTTTTTTGGTAGGGACAGGGTCTCACCATGTTGCACAGGCTGGTCTCCAGCTTATGGGTTCAAGCGATCCTCCTGCCTTGGCTTCTCAAAGGGCTGGGATTACAAGTGTGAACCACTATACCCGGCCTCTAGTGACTTTTTTTTTTTTCTTTTCTTTTGAGACAGAGTTTCGCTTTTTTTTTTTTTTTTTTTTTTTTTTGAGACAGAGTTTCGCTCTTGCCCAGGCTAGAGTGGTGTAGTGGCGCGATCTTGGCTCACTACAACCTCCACCTTCCTGTTTCAAGCAATTCTCCTGCCTCAGCCTTCCAAGTAGCTGGGATTACACGCGCCTGCCACCATGCCTGGCTAGTTTTTGTATTTTTAGTAGAGATGGGGTTTCACCATGTTGGCCAGGCTGGTCTCGAACTCCTGGCCTTGTGATCTGCCTGCCTCGGCCTCCCAAAGTGCTGGGATTACACGTGTGAGCTACCACGCCCAGCCAGTTTCGCTCGTTTTGCCCAGGCTGGAGTGCAGTGGCACAATCTCAGCTCACTGCAACCTCCGCCTCCCGGGTTCAAGCGATTCTCCTGCCTCAGCCTCCCAAGTAGCTGGAACTACAGGTGTCTGCCACCACGCCTGGCTAATTTTTGTATTTTTAGTAGAGACAGGGTTTCACCATGTTGGCCGGGCTGGTCTCAAACTCCTGACCTCAGGTGGTCCGCCTGCCCCGGCCTCCCAAAGTGCTGGGATTACAGGCGTGAGCCACAGTGCCCAGCCTTCTGGCCATGACTTTTTAAAGAAGATATTTGAGGATATGTTTCACCAAATGAGGGTGAACTGAGAAATAGGAAGCCATCAGGCCCAGGAATCAGGATCTAGCCCAGGAGAGAGGCAAAGGCAATTTACCTGGAAAACAAACAGTCCTCAGTGAAGCAGGGGATGAAGGGAAGTGTCTAGAAAAAAGAGGAGCTGTCAGATGGTGGGGGAAGAATTAGCAATCAGTCCATCAGAAAACAAAGTAAATGAGAAACTCAGGGCAACTCATTAACTCCATTAAAAAGAAAGTACAAGGAAGGTAATTTAATTATAGTCCAACTCTTGGCTCCGCAGTTAACTTTCACATAGTAATAGAAATAGTAATCTGAGTATTTTTTAACCTAATAACTAGGGATGGGGGAGGGTTGCTGACAAAAGAGAGCTAAAGCCTCATGTATGACAACAGGGAGTCAACAGGTAATGTCTAAGATTGATATATCAAGCAAGAGTCATATAAGCACATTTTAAAAATAGCTGAATGAACTGGAAGTGACTGCTGGGTAGGGGAGCAGTACTAGAGAATGGGAGAGACTGTTTTCTTGTTACAAACTGTGTAATTCCACATTAGTAAGTGGGTATGTGTTTTTAAATAAGTATGTTTTAGAAAGACACCAATTCTCCTTGTCCTTAATGTTCACAATTTCTCTCTAGTGTGTGCACTGGGCACCCTGCACTGTTTCTTGCTTCATGTTGCTTTATGAACACTTACTGTCCTCATGGCACGGTTCATGTATTTCTTAGTGGTAGGTACATAATATTACATTATATAAACTTACATCAGGTGCTGGGCATATGTCTCCCATTTCATCCTCAGAAATAGCTATGACAAGAAAGGCCCCGCCTTTCCTGCTAATTCTCACGATGTGACCACTGCCCTGGGAACTTCCCACCCACATGACTGATTTGGGCTCCAGGATGTAGAAGGGCATCTATATGGGCAGTTCTGGACTTCTGCCTCCCGTGGCACTTCTCTGGAGCCCCAGAAACGCCTCTCCTGGTGCGCCTGGCCCTGGCTCTGCTCTGTCACACTCTGCCTTCCTCTCCTGGGCTTGCTTTCTGGGCATGAGCATCCCTGTCAGGAGCAGCTGCTGTGTGATCTTTAGGAGCTCTAGTGGGGCTGGAGCCACCAGCTCCCTGCGGGGCACCCTCTGCCTCCTGCACCCCCTTCTCCCTGAACAACCTTTGTGTGGCATCGTAGGCCTAAGACTGGCTAAGTCTAAGATTTCAGAGAAGTTTCCTGGGGAGAGGAGGGCTATTCCCTGGGTTTGCTCAGCTGACAAGGAGAGAGGAGAGCACGTATTTTGCCCGCAAGCTGAGTGGGCTGCAGCCCAGCCTCCGGAACTCCAGGGAGCAACAGGAGGCTCAATCTCACCCAAGAAGAGCTTCTGATTTCCCTGGCCAGGACTAGCCCAATTTTGGCCTTGGCCTGCAGCAGGAGATGAGTGATGTGCATGAGGGACGTGGCAGTGGAGAAAGGCTGGGCCTGTCCTGCTCAGCTCACTTTGACCGCTTCGGAGCTCTGATCTGAGCCCAGTATGGTTTCTGGAAAAGGCTGGGGAGGGGAGGGCGTAGTAGGACTTCAGTGGGACCATGCTGGGTTGGTGCTGTGGGAGGAGTTGAGCCGCCCTAGGTACTCACTAACCTGCTACTATAGGCCCAACAGTGGGGGTGGTGAGGAAGCGGGTGCTTAAGAGAGGGGAGACGAGCTGTCGCCCCAGCACACTGCTGCATGAGGAGTGGGCCTGGGGCCACTAAACCCGCCCAGTTCTCCCTGGCTGATTGTGCAGGGGCTTTCACAGCAGCTCAGGTCTCAGGCGGCCGCCAGCCCCTCGCTCCCAGGCATGTTGACGTGGGCACTCAGCAGGGGTGCACTTTGGCCTTCTCGAAGCACCAGCACCTATGGAGGAGTGGCCATGGCAGCAGGGGGCATACACCCCTGACCCCTTGCCTGGTCTGCGCTGGCCCTAATGACAGGCCACAGGGCTCCACTGTGCAGATACCCCCACCCCCACCCAGGAGCCCCCTAAGGTCTTTGTTGGCACTCACCCTTACTGTCCTCCCCAGGGTCCTGCTCACCTTCCACGTGGTACAAGTGCGGGGCCTACCTTGATGATGTCTGAGATGCCCTTGTTACTGAGACTCTCCACAAAGGTCTCCAGGGGGTAGTTGAGCCCTGGCACCAGCAAGGGTACCTAAGTTTGGGGACAAAGAAGTAAGGAAACCAGCCCTCGTGCCAGTGTTTGGCATATTCCAGTGCATTCAGGCCCGCAGTCTCCACTGAGCCTCAGCACCCCTGCAGGGTGGGCAGGACAACTGCTGGGTGGAGGAGGATGCAGGTGTGGTGGGGAAGTGAATGGCCCAGGGCCTCATGGTGAGTGATGAAACCTAGACCTCTGGACTCCCACCAAGTCTGGGGCTGTTTATTGCATATTCCAGCCTTTTGCATTTTCTGGTCCTCCCAACTTGGGGTCAGACCTGGGCCCTGGGGGAAAACCAGGCCCTTCACACTCTGGGGTCCCCCAGACCCTTCTGGGAGGTGTAGGTGGGGTTCAGGCTCTAGCAGTTTTCCCAGCACCTTCTGTATGGCTCGTGGAGACCCCTCACAGGCTGCAAGAAAAGCAGCAGAGGCAGGGCTTGGGGCTCCCTCCAGAGGCCCCTACTGGGGCCTTGGCCTGGTCTGTGGTGGGAGAGTAGGTCTGCTGGCCACCTGGCAGCCACCCGCACGCTCTGACCCTGACCTGGCGGGGCTCTGTGGGCATCTCATCAGGCCCCTGCCCTGGCCTTTCCCACTCCATATCTAAGTGAGGAGCATCCAGTACCTTGAAGAAGGCCCGGGGCAGGGAATAGAGCGCCTCGTTGTACAGGAAGCAGACCAGCAGCCCCAGGACAGGACGGGTTGTTGAGGTGTTCTGCAGGTGAAGTGTGAGCTTAAAGGTGGGGCCAAGGCCCTGAACCTATGGAGAGGGTGGGTGGAGAAAGCCCTTAGGACCTGGCAGCCTTGGGCACGGAGTACAGTGTGCTCTGCCTGCCTTCCACCAATGCCCTCATGTCCCCTCCTCCTACTCAATCTGCCTCCCAGCAGACACAGAAGACCAGAAGGGGCAGAGGGATCAGAAGAGGCCAGAGAGGGCAAGAGCCTGAGGGAGGCCAGGCAGCAAGTCAGAGGCAGAGCTGGCCTGGGACTGCAGGCCCCGACTCTCACCTGAGCCCCTCACCCCCACCCCCTGCCTGTTCCACCTCCCACTCTCATCCTAGGGTAGCTTGATCAGTTCATTTTTCTCCTGCTTCCCCAGAGTTGCCTTGTAGCCTCTTCCTCCTCTGCATCTATCCACTCTTTAGGAAAAGAGAACTCAGAACCTGGTTGGGTCAGATGCCACACCTCAGGGACGCATTTAGGGCTGGTCCGAGCCCTGCTGACCCTAAGCTCATTTGCGTCTGAGCCTTGCGGGGTTCCTCCTTTTGCCCGTGCTGGTCTCGGTGCTTGCGGGTGAGGCCGGGATGGCCCCTTCCCTGTACCCAGCAGTCCTAACACGTTGGGCTGCCCACAGTTACCAAAGTGACAGCCTTCTTCCTTGTACCATAGCTGTAAGGATCCCTTCAGGTTCTTGGGAAGAAATGTCCTAATATGACTATTCTGGGGGCCTATCTGAGCTGGAGAGTGTCCCACGGCATGGCCAGCCGAGGGGAGAGGTGGCACAGGAGGGTGGGAAGGTGAGGGCTGCTCTCACAAAGGAGGACATGAGACTCGGTCCCCAGGTCTGCGGGAAGGTGATGGGGAGCACGGGCTGAGTTGGCTTGGAATTGGCTCTGGGGCTTAGCTGTGTGGCAGAGGGGTTCCTGCGCATCCTGGCCTCTGCCCCTCTGGCCCTGACTCTGCCCTCACCCAGATGCTCACCACGGCGTGCAGCTTGAGTGGCTCTCGGGCTGTCGTGGACAGGGGGCTCAGGCTGGACTCGAGGGCCTGCAGGTAGGCGCGGGCAGCACGTAGGCGCAGCAGGTATAGGTCTGTCTGGAAGGCCCGGTGCATGGCTGTGGAGAAGGGTCCCAGAGGCTGACGGTGGAGGTGGGGGGTGGCAGGGAGGAGGCAGCAACGGGGCACTCCTGCTCAGGTTGGTGTGGGGAGGGTGCAAGAGGAGGGTGCTGCAGGAGGAGTCTGCAGGAGCTGGGGAGGAGGGAAAGAGCCCAGCCTTCTGGCAAAACTCGACGCCGTGGCCTCGCCCTGCCTCTTCTCACTCTCTTACCACCTCCCTGCCTGCACTATCTAGCTCCTTCACTGGCTTCTCTGTCCGGCCCTAGAGGCTGGTGTTCTCCTGAGTCTGGTCCATGGTCCTCTTCTCATCCTCCATCTTCTTCCCCCAGACAATCCATGTCCTGCCACAGCTCTGACCACCACAAAGAGGAGTCCTTGGTGTCCACGCTCGATATTGTGCATGTGTCTCCAGCAGCTTAGTGAGCACCCTCGCCTGCCTCCTGCTCATCTCCACAGGGAGGTCCCATCAACACCTCAGGCTCAATGCTGCGGAAACCAGCCTCATGGTCCTGCCTCCGTCACTGCCTCCCTGTCCATCAAGTCACCTAGGTCCACCCCTCACATCTCACCGTTTGCAGGATCACATGACTCTTCCCCAAGCCACCTCCAGGGCCCACCCCGCCCCCACCCCACTGTCCCTCCTCTTCCAGACTGGGCACCTCGGTCCCCCAGGCTGGCTTCGCTCTTCCGTTTATGTGTGAAGTGGCTTCTGCCATTCAAGAGTTTCACATTTTATGTGCTTTTTCTCTAGTACTTTTACAATTTATTTTTAATCTATCCAGAATTAATTTTTGTGGCTGGTATGAAGAAAAGGTCTGATTTTCTTCCTTTTTTTTTTTTTTTTTTTTTGAGACAGAGTTTCACTCTTGTTACCCAGGCTGGAGTGCAATGGCGTGATCTCAGCTCACTGCAACCTCTGCCTCCCGGGTTCAATCGATTCTCCTGCCTCAGCCTCCCGAGTAGCTGGAATTACAGGCACGCGCCGCCAAGCCTGGCTAATTTTTTGTATTTAGTAGAGACGGGGTTTCACCATGTTGGTCAGGCTGGTCTCGAACTCCTGACCTCAGGTGATCTGCCCACCTCGGCCTCCCAAAGTGCTGGGATTACAGGTGTGAGCCACCGCACCTGGCCGAAAAGGTCTAATTTTCTTTTCTAGAAGCAAGTTGTCCTGATTGTGTGTTTTTGGACAGTCTCACATCTCCCTGCCAATTCAAAATGACACCTTTCACACACTCTGACTTTCCACATGTTCAGGGTCAGTTTCTGGACTTCCTAATCCTGCCCTGATCTCCATTCTATTTCTGCATCCACACCACAGCTTCTGATTCCCACAGCTTGAGTTCATTTTGCTACCTGATAGGGTAAGTCCCCTCATTCTTATTTTCCCCAATCTTCTTAGGTTTACTCTTTGAATCAACTGGCCAGGTCCTTAAAACAAACCCCACTGGGATTTTAACTGCAACTTCAAGCTTTACAGCATTAGGTCTTCCCATCCTGCAACTTGGTAACTCTCTCCACTTAAGCATTCTTGAAGGTGGTCTTTTCTGTTCTTGAAGATAGTTTTACAACTTTATTAGACTTTGTACATTTTCTTTTTCTTTGAGACGGAGTCTGGCTCTTGTCACCCAGGCTGGAGTGCAGTGGCGTGATCTTGGTTCACTGCAACCTTTGCCTCCTAGGTTCAAGTGATTCTCCTGCCTAAGGAGATTACAGGCGTGTGCCACCATGCCCAGCTAATTTTGTATTTTTAGTAGCAAGGGGGTTTCACCATGTTGGCCAGGCTGGTCACGAACTCCTGACCTCAGGTGATCTGCCTGCCTCGGCCTCCCAAAGAGCTGGGATTATAGGCATGAGCCACCGAACCGGGCCTGCTTTCTTGAATCCAGGTCAACACCCTGTGCCTCTGCCTATATTACCCTGCCCTGCCCTGTCTGGGGGTCTGGCTATCATCTTTTAGGGTGAAGCCCAAAGTCACCTCGCTCTGAAGCCTTTCCCAAGCTTCCCAGGCAGAAGTCCTTACTCCCTCTGTGTGCTCCAAAAGCTCTTTGCAGAAACCCCTTCTACACATGATCATGAAGTTGGCCCCAGGTAGACTGAGTTCCTAAGGTAGGGACTATTATTTATTCTTTTTTTTTTTTTTTTTTTTTTTGAGACGGAGTCTCGCTCTGTCACCAAGGCTGGAGTGCAGTGGCATGATCTTGGCTCACTGCAACCTCCGCCTCCTGGGTTTAAGCGATTCTTCTGCCTCAGCCTCCCAAGTAGCTGGGACTACAGGTGCATGCCAACACGCCTGGCTAATGTTTGTATTTTTAGTAGAGACAGGGTTTCACCATATTGGCCAGGCTGGTCTTGAACTCCTGACCTCATGATCTGCCCATCTCCGCCTCCCAAAGTGGTGGGATTACAGGCGTGAGCCACTGCACCTGGCCCAAGGTAGGGACTATTCTAATTAAAGGCACCTGGCACAAGGCCTGGTGTAATCATAGGTACTGAATGAATGAATGAACGAACGATGAATGAATGAACAAATAAACGGGCAGGAAAAACTGGACAAGATGACACTGGTCAAATTCTACTTTTCTCTTTCTCTCTCTCTCTTTTTTTTTTTTTGAGAAAGAAGTATCATTATGTTACCCAGGTAGGTCTTGAACTCCTGGGCTCATGCTGTCCTCCCACCTCTGCCAAAGTGTTGGGATTACAGGCGTGAGCCACCATGCCCAGTCAAAATTCTACTTTCCTCATGAGAATTCCTGCGTTTGGAAGTGACTGCTCCCTTCCCTGAATTCTAAGGGCTCTTGCTGTCACCCACAGCACCTTCCAGCCTGAGGAACAGTGATTTGCAGGCAACGTGTACCTCCTAGGCTGTCCCTGGATTTGCAGAGGTGAGTGACCTACCTAGTTGGCCGAGATCTCCTCCCAGTGCACAGGGAGGCTGGGCAGCATTCCCCCAGCTTTGCTGTGTAGGAGCAGTGGAGGAGGAAGAAGGGAAAGGACCCAGTCTGAGGCTCACCGGTGCCAGCCTCCCGCTCTCGCAGTGTCTGATCCACGTAAAGCCGGGTCTTTCGGGGCACATTGAGTTTCATGGCCTGGGCTGGTGGGGGACCCACCTCACTTCCTCCCTCTACAAACACTGCTGTACGCTTCAGGATCTTGATGATCAGGCCACCACCTAGGGAAGTGGACAGTGGAAATGGATTTGTCCTCCCCAGTTCTACCCACATTCCCATTCTTTCTTCCCCAAACAATCTGCCTCCTATAGAGTTGCTTCTGTACACATCCGTCTTCCAGACGAGACTGTTTCTGGAAGTAACAAAGTGCATCTTAATAGTCTCTCATCATTAATTCATTAATCCACTTAGCAGTTATTTGTGGAGTACTGTGATGTTCCTGGCATCGTGGCAGGCACTGGGGATGCTGGGTGAACTAGAAAGATCGAATCCAGCCCAGGACCCAGCCCTTGGGCTGTCCCAGTGGAGGCCTAGCTCCAGAAGGACACTTCTGTAGGCCTTACTTTCCACACCCAGGTCCACCCATGCTTCATTTCCACCTCCTCCTCTTTCCCCAGAAGCAGGCCTGTCCCTTCACTCCCGACTTCAAAGCCCTTGCCAGGTCTGACTCCACTCACCTCGAGTGGTCATGATGAGGGTGTTGTCCTCCCGCCCGTACCGGCCAAAGCAAAGGCTGGTCACTGCATCCTATGTGGAGACGTCAGAGTTTAGTTGGGGAAATATCTTGGAGAGGAAAGCAAGACAGGGGATGGGTAGGGGAGGCCCCAGATATAATAGGTGAGAAGTGATAGAGACAGGCCTGGGGAATCGCTGCCTCTGAAATATTTCCTATATTTCTCATCTCCCCTCCAATCTCACTACCTCAGTTCCAGACCAAATATCACTGGCCCTCACTTTTGGGGTCAACCTCCTAATAGATCTCCCAGACTCGTCTTTCGGGTCTTTCTCCCCAGTCTGCCCTTCACAATGCTGCCTTTGCTACCTTTCAAAAACACAAATATGTCTGGTCTCTGATAGAAAACCTCCAATGGCTTTTGTTCTCTTTCTTAGGACACTGAAGGCCTTCCACATTTGACTCCAACCCGCCTTTTCTGTCAGTTCTCTCCTCTTTACCCTTCTTTCAACGAGCATACCACCGGCCCTCCCAGCACCTATGGCCCAAGCCAGTTGTTTGCAAATTTTATACTGTGACACAGGACAATTTACACACACATACACAGTTTCACTTGTGACATACTTTTTTTTTGAGATGGAGTCTCACTTCATTGCCCAGGCTGGAGTGCAGTGGTGTGATCTCCAGCTCACTGCAACCTCTGCCTCCTGGGTTCAAGTGATTCTGCCTCGGCCTTCCCAGTAGATGCGATTATAGGCATGCACCACCATGCTTGGCTAATTTTTCTATTTGTATTTGTAATTATTTATTTATTTTTGTTGTTTTGTTTTTTTGTTTTGAGACAGAGTCTTGCTCTGTGGCCCAGGCTGGAGTGCAGTGGCGCGATCTCAGTTCACTGCAACCTTTGCCTCCCAGGTTCAAGTGATTCTTCTGCCTCAGCCTCCCAAGTAGCTGGGATTACAGGTGTGCCATCACACCCGGCTTTTTTTTTTTTTTTGAGATGGAGTCTCGCTCTGTCACCCAGGCTGGAGTGCAGTGGTGCGATCTCGGCTCACTGCAAGCTCCACCTCCCAGGTTCACGCCATTCTCCTGCCTCAGCCTCCTGAGTAGCTGGGACTACAGGCACCTGCCACCATGCCCGGCTAATTTTTTGTATTTTTAGTAGAGACGGGGTTTTACCGTGTTAGCCAGGATGGTCTCCATCTCCTGACCTTGTGATCTGCCTGCCTCGGCCTCCCAAAGTGCTGGGATTACAGACGTGAGCCACCGTGCCCGGCCCATACCCGGCTAATTTGTTTATTTTTAGTAGAGATGGGGTTTCACCATGTTGGCCAGGCTGTTCCAGAACTGTGATCGCCTGCCTCAGCCTTCCAAAGTGCTGGGATTACAGGTGTGAGCCAATGTGCCTGGCCCTCACTTGTGACATACTTTGAATTTACTATTCTATTTTTAAAAATGTTGCTGGTTGTGATCTACTAAACTGATTTAATGATTCACAACTTAGAGTCTGAAAACCTCTGGTCCAAACTCATCAAATGACCTGGATTCCTTAATCAAGAGCCTTCATACTTCTCAGGCTTTGTGCATGCTATTCTCTGTGCAGAATGTTCTTCCTCCATTTGTCCACCTGACAAACTGTTCTGAGGCCCAGTTGAACTGTCACTTGTTCTGTGAAGTGTCCCATGGAGTCCATCCCCATTTATCTCACCCCCCACCCTTGTCACTCAGCACCCTCTGCGCTTTTTAGCACTTTGCTCTGCTTCAGTCGGCCCTTTTAAATTTGCTATGTCTCTGGCTGGCTGTTACCTTAGACTGTAAGCCTCCTGAAAACAAGGACTTAGTCATCATTTTACCCCCCACCCCTACCAATATGGTGACTGGTACATATGAGGTGCTCAACACATTTTTTTTTTTTTTAAGATGGAGTCTCGCTCTGTTGTCCAGGCTGAAGTGCCATGGTTTGATCTTGGCTCACTGCAACCTCCGCCTCCCAGGCTCAAGCGATTCTCCTACCTCAACCTCCTGAGTAGCTGGGATTACAGGTACGCACCACCATGCCCGGCTAATTTTTGTATTTTTAGTAGCAAGGGGGTTATGCCATGTTGGCTAGGCTGGTTTTGAACTCCTTACCTCAGGTGATCTGCCCACCTTGGCCTCCCAAAGTGCTGGGATTACAGGCATGAGCCACTGTGCCTGGCCTCAACAAATGTTTTTGAAATGCATCAATGTGTGGTCGGAAGAGGCAGCTAAGAAGCCCCAGAGGTGAGACGAGGGCAAGGAGGAGTGAGTGGCAGATGCCGGAGATGGGGCTCACCGGGGTGTGGATGACATTGAGCAGGGCCTTGTCACGATAAATGCGGACCTCTCCATTGGCCAGCCCAGCCATGACGGCCTGCAGGCCCCGGGAATGCTGCTCCAGGAGGTTCATGGTCAGGATGGCTGCGGGCATCTGCACTGTCCACAGCTTCTTCCCCTGGCAGGGAACAGCCAGCGTCTGTGGAGGGCTCAGGGCTTACAGTGGAAAGAACGGTTTCTGGGGTGGGGAAGCCAGAGGACTCTCTTGCCAAGTGGGGGCTAGGGACATAGGCGTGGAGGGGCTGCTGCTTGCTGGGGGCTGCACCTTGTGGGTGAAGCCATGCAGGCTGTCTTGGGTGCTGCCCACCACTAGGACCTTGTGTACCCGGATAAGTCCCACAGGCTGGGCGCTCAGCTCGATGCAGTACTTGGGGTGCTTGGAGTCTCTGTGGAATAAACAACACACTGTCTGGCCCCAGAGAAATCCTCTCCACTTCTATGGCTGACCCTCCTCTGTCTAAACCTCATGGACTCACCTGGGAGGAACACTGGCCCCAAAGCAGATGACCCTGGGATTATTTCCACTTCTGCCACCTTAGTAAATGTGTGGCCTTGGAAAACATCAAGTGTGTCTTCCTCCCACCTTCACTATGGTGTCTTGTCTTCCTCCCACCTTCACTATGGTGTCTTGTCTTCCGCCCACCTTCACTATGGTGGCTTGTATGATCATCTAGCATTTAACAGAGTTTTCAGTGAGTTTACCTTTGGCTGGACTAGCCAGGACAAGTGGACTTAGGCACTTTATTATGAGAAAAGGATGAAGAGCTTTGCCCTGTGTCAATGCAGTTTTTAGTTTACTGGCCTCTCAATTTTAGTTTCCCTTTCCAGAAAGTACAGTTAGTTCCTCTCTATTCGAGGAGCACACGCCAATGTCTTTCCCACTTTGAGTTGGCCTACAACACTCTTCCCGACTTTCTCACCAACTGGTTCCTTTTTAACTTTCAAGCCATCTCCACAGAGAGGTGTTCCTGATCACCCTTACCTGTTATTTTTCCCCATTGAGCTTGTATTTTTTCTCCATAGCACTCATCCAATTTGTAGTAACATCTTGGTTTCTTCACTTTAATACATCTGTCTTCGCCATGAGGACAGGGACCATATTTATCTTGTTCATCAATATATCCCTAATACCACACACTGCATAATGCATAGTAGGTGCTCAATAAATATTTATTGAATTAAAAAAATGCATGTTAGGCCGGGTGTGGTGGCTTATGACTGTAATCCCGGCACTTTGGGAGGCCGAGAAGGGTGGATCACAAGGTCAGGCGTTCGAGACCAGCCTGGCCAATATGGTGAAACCCCGTCTCTACTAAAAATACAAAAATTAGCTGGGTGTGGTGGCACGCACCTGTAGTCCCAGCTACTTGGGAGGCTGAGGCAGGAGAATCGCTTGAACCCAGGAGGCAGAGGTTGCAGTAAGCCGAGATCGTGCCACTGCACTCCAGCCTGGGTGACAGAGTGAGACTCTGTGACTCTGTCTCACAAAATAAAAAAAAAAAAAAGCATTTTATATGGAATATTAAACTAATGCATAAACAAGTGTCATGTCATGTACCCTAGAAAGTAACAAATATGGGAAATTTTTTTTTATTTCTTCCCATCTGTTTCCTTTTCTTTTTTTTTGAGACAGAGTCTCGCTCTGTGCCCAGGCTGGAGGGCAGTGGCGTGATCTCGGCTCACTGCAAGCTCCACCTCCCAGGTTCACGCCATTCTCCTGCCTCAGCCTCCCGAGTAGCTGGGACTACAGGCGCCCACCACCATGCCCAGCTAATTTTTTGTATTTTTAGTAGAGATGGGGTTTCACTGTGTTAGCCAGGATGGTCTGGATCTCCTGACCTCATGATCCACCCACGTTGGCCTCCAAAGTGCTGGGATTACAGGCGTGAGGCAATGCACCCGGCACCCCCCTGCTTTTTTTTTTTTTTTTTTTTTTTGAGACGGAGTCTCGCTCCGTTACCCAGGCTGGAGTGCAGTGGTGTGATCTTGGCTCACTGCAACCTCCGCCTCCTGGGTTCAAGCGATTCTCCTACCTTAGCCTCCCGAGTAGCTGGGGCTAGAGGCATGCGCCACCATGCCCAGCTAATTTTGTATTTTTAGTAGAGACGGGGTTTCACCATGTTGGCCAGGCTGGTCTTGAACTCCTGACCTCAGGTGATCCGCTTGCCTCGGCCTCCCAAAGTGCTGGGATTACAGGCGTGAGCCACAGCGCCCAGCCTGTCCTCTCATTTCTGATCACTCCTGTACTATAGCCACCCAGCCTAGTCTCTCACTGTGCCAGCCCCTATCTCACAAGCCTCCAGGTATCCTCCCCTGTGTTTGTGGGCTCAGCCTCCTTTATGAAGTTCTCAGCTCTTTGCATTTCCAAATTCCAGCCTTAAAGCCCACTCTCATCTTGCAAGCCTCTGAAGCCACCAGTTTTCTGAGATGTTCCTCCCGGCCCCGGAGACCACGGATGTGGCTACCTTCTCAGAATATAGATGTTTCCATTGCGGCAGGCCGCGGCAAGCCGGAACTCAACATCAAACTGGCCAGAAACCTCTAGGAAGACGGGGACGCTGGGAAGGCTCATCTGCAAACAAGAAGCGCAAACACTCCAATTTCTCTGGAGCCCCCGTCCCTCCCTGCCCTGTCAGTAACTCCTCTGAGTGAGTGCCTGGTCTAAAGTCCCAATCTCCTCACTTACACCCAGTTTAAACTCATACAGTTTTTCAGGAGGGAAACTTGGGGCAACATTTAGCAAAAGCCTTTTAGTCTGTGCCTTTTGACTAAACGATGCCACTTCTAGGACTGCATCCTAAGGATGTACTTAAACAACCGTGCAGCTGGGTGTGGTGGCCCACACCTGTAATCCCAACACTTTGAGAGGCTGAGGCGGGTGGATCGCTTGAGCTCAGGAGTTCAAGACCAGCCTGTCCAACATGGCAAAACTTTGTCTCTACCAAAAGTACAAAACTTAGCTGGGCGTGGTGGTCCCACAGATGAGAAGATGAGGTGAGAGGACTGTTTGAGCCCAGGTGGCATAGGTTGCAGTAAGCTGAGATTGTACCACTGCACTTCAGCCTGGGCAAGAGAACAAGATTGTCTCAAAAACAAACAAACAAGCATGCAAGGATATTTGGGTAAAAAGGTCTATAGCATTGGTATTAATAGCAAAAAATGAAAAACAGTTTAAATGTACAATAGGTGACAGGGTAAATAAATTATGGTACCTCAATATGATGGATATTGCGTGGTCTTTAAAAAGGCTGATGTGGGGTCAGGCGTGGTGGCTCACGCCTGTAATCCCAGCACTTTGGGAGGCTGAGATGCAGAGATCACTTGAGGTAAGGAATTTGAGACCAGCCTGGCCAACAGGGTGATACCCCATCTCTACTAAAAATACAAAAATTAGCTGGGTGTGGTGGTACATGCCTGCAGTCCCAGCTACTCAGGTGGCTGAGGCATGAGAACTGCTTGAACCCGGGAGGTAGAAGCTGCAGTGAGCTGAGATAGAGCCACTGTACTCCAGCCTGGGTGACACAGCAAGATTCTGCCTCAAAAACAAAAAACAAAACAAAAGAAAATAAAAGGCTGATGTGGTTTTATAGATATAGAAAGACACTGATGATATACTGCTACATGAAAAGAACATGTTACATGATCCTCCTGCTTTTATTTATTTATTTACTTATTGTTTTTAGAGACAGGGTCTCACTCTGTCGCCCAGGCTGGAGTGCAGTGCCACAATCATAGCTCACTGCAGCCTGAAACTCTTGGGCTCAAGCCATCCTCCTGCCTCGGCCTCCCAAAGCACTAGGGTTAGAGGCATGGGCCACCACACCCAGCTAATCCTGTTTTTATAAAGAGAAATATTTACATAAAGTTATATATCTATGTCTAAATATGAAAATGTCTAGAGAGACCTATGCCTCAACTTTAACAGTATACATCCATAGGCGGTAGGATTTTTGGATATATATCTTTTTTAATGCTTATCTAGTTTCTAATTTTTCTACAAGGAACATATATATTACCCAGAACTAACTGTGGAGCATGGGGAGAGAATGCAGCCTGGGCCTCCAGCGGGCCCAGGGCCAGACCTGACGCTGACCTTGGCTAAAATGGTGAAGGCCTCGGGGTCAAGCACCAGGAGCTCCTTGTTCTCGGTGCCCAGCACCAGGCAAGACACAGCATCCTCGTCAGCCAGGTTCTTCTTCAAGGTGGTCATGGTGGTGATGACTGTCTACAGAAGGACTCCAGGGGTCACCCAGGGAACCTCCACACACCACCCCCAAGATACTCCCAGAATGCCACATGAGGGAAGAAAGAGGGCAAAGGAGGATGAAGAGGAAATATCAGAGATGTGACAGAAGATTTAAGTACAAAGGTGTTTATTGCAACAAATCTAACTTTCTAACAAAAGAGGATTGTCTAAGTCAATTATGAGCCATCCATATGATCAAAAACTATGCAGTCTTTTTTTTTTCTTGAGACAGGTTCTCGCTCTGTCGCCCAGGCAGGAGTGCAGTGGTACAATCTCGGCTCACTGCAACCTCTGCCTCGCAGGTTCAAGCAATTCTCCTGCCTTAGCCTCCCAACTAGCTGGGATTACAGGCGCACGCCACCGTGCCCAGCTACTTTTTGTATTTTTAGTTTCACCATGTTGCCCAGGTTGGTCTTGAACTCCTGACCTGTGATCCACCCGCCTCAGCCCCCTAAAGTGCTGGGATTACATGCATGAGCCACCATGCCCGGCTGCAGTCATTTCTTAAAAGTCATATTTAAAAAGAATATTTGGGCCAGGCTCAGCAGATCATGCCTGTAATCCCAGCACTTTTGGGGACCAAGGCAGGTGGACTGCATGAGCCCAGGAGTCCAAGACCAGCTTGGGCAGCAAAGTGAGACCCCAACTCTACAAAAAATAAAAATAAAAAATCAGCCAGGTGCGATGGCATGCATCTGTAGTCCCAGGTACTCAGGAGGCTGAGGCAGGAGGATCCCTTGATCCCAGGAGTTCAATGCTCCAGTGAGCTATGATCCTGCCACTGCATTCCAGCCTGACTGACAGAGTAAGACCCTGTCTTAAAAAAAAAAAAAAAAAAGAAAAGGGCTGGGCGTGGTGGCTCACACCTGTAAGCCCAGCACTCTGGGAGGCTGAAGTGGTCAGAAGTTTAAGACCAGCCTGGCCAAAATGGTGAAACCCCATCTCTACCAAAAAATATGAAAATTAGCCAGGCATGGTGGCATGCACCTGTAATCCCAGCTACCCAGGAGGCTGAGGCAGGAGAATCGCTGGAACCCGGGAAGCAGAGGCTGCAGTGAGCCAAGATTGCACCACTGTACTCCAGCCTGGGTGACAGAGCAAGACTCCATCTCAAAGAAAGAAAAGAAAAAAAAAAAAAAAAGAAACCTCATCTGTACAGAAATACAACCATTAGCCCAGGCATGATGGCGGGTGCCTGTAATCCCAGCTACTTGTGAGGCTGAGGCAGGAGAATTGCTTGGACCTGGGAAATGGAGGTTGCAGTGAGCTGAGATCATGCCATTGCACTCCAGCCTGGGTGACAGAGCGAGACTCCGTTTCAAAAATAAATAAAAGAAAAGGCCGGATGCGGTGGTTCACGCCTGTAATCCCAGCACTTTGGGAGGCCGAGGTGGGTGGATCACGTGAGGTTGGGAGTTCGAGACCAGCCTGACCAACAGGGAGAAACCCTGTCCCTACTAAAAATACAAAATTAGCCGGGCGTGGTGGCACATCCCTGTAATCCCATCTACTCGGGAGGCTGCGGCAGGAGAATCGCTTGAACCCAGGAGGCGGAGGTTGCGATGAGCTGAGATTGCGCCATTGCACTCCAGCCTGGGCAACAAGAGCAAAACTCCATCTCAAAAAAAAAAAAGAAAAGAAAAAAAAAAGTGACGTTAGTATAATCCTAGTTTTAAAAATATATGAATATAGGCTAAATAAGGTGGCTCATGCCTGTAATCCCAGCACTTTGGGAGGCCCAGGTGGGAGGATCACTTTAGATCAGGAGTTTGAGACCAGTCTGGGCAACATGGTGAGACCCCATCTCTTAAAAAAATAAATAAATAAATAAGATGGGCGTGGTGGCTCACACCTGTAATCCCAGCATTTTGGGAGGCTGAGGCAGGCAGATCACGAGGTCAAGAGATCGAGACCATCCTGGCCAGCATGGTGAAACACCATCTCTACTAAAAATACAAAAATTAGCTGGGCGTGGTGGTGTGCGCCTGTAGTCTCAGCTACTTGGGAGGCTGAGGCAGGAGAATAGCTTGAACCCAGGAGGTGGAGGTTGCAGTGAGCTGAGATCACACCACTGCACTCCAGCCTGGCGACAGAGCCAGACTCTGTCTCCAAAAAAAAAAAAAAAAGGACAAAAATTTCAAAATAAAAAATACATGAATGCAAAAACATGTGGAAGGCTAAACCCTTAAACAAACACTAGTTATTGTTAGACAATGATATCACAAGTGATGTTTAATTCCTCATGATGCCTATCGTTTCTACAGTGGGCACATGTTTCTTTTGTAATTATAATTGGAGGGAAAACAAAAAAGATCCCCTTGTAAGGAATTTCTCCTACAGAAATTAGCAGAAGCAAAATGTTTTTCTTTTTTTTTTTGTTTTTTGGTTTTTTTTTTTGAGATAGAGTCTTGCTCTGTCACCAAGGCTGGAGTGCAGTGGCGCAATCTCGGCTCACTGCAAGCTCCGCCTCCCGGGTTAACGCCATTCCCCTGCCTCAACCTCCTGAGTAGCTGGGAGTACAGGCGACCGCTACCATGCCCGGCTAATTTTTTGTATTTTTAGTAGAGACAGGGTTTCACCATGTTAGCCAGGATGGTCTCGATCTCCTGACCTCGTGATCTGCCCGTCTCAGCCTCCCAAAATGCTGGGATTACAGGCGTGAGCCACCGCGCCCGGCCAAGATGTTTTTCTTTAGATAAAGGTGCTCATTGTGTGATTATCATCAAGATTGAAAAAGACAGCTGGGCACAGCAGCTCATTCCTGTAATAGCACCACTTTGGGAGGCTGAGGTAGGAGGACTGCTTGAGTTCAGGAGTTCAAGACTAGCCTGGGCAACATAGTGAGACTCCATCTCTACAAAAAATAAAAATAAAAAAATTAGCTGGGCATGGTGGCATGCACTTGTAGTCCCAACTACTCAGGAGGTTGAAGGGGGAGGATCACTTGAATCCAGTAGTTTGAGGCTGTAGTGAGCCACGATCACACCACTGCACTCCAGCCTGGGTGACGGAGGAAGACCCAGCTCCCTACCCTTCCCCAAAAGAGATTAAAAAAGAGGAATGATTTTCAGTGCCTAATGGAAGGCGAAAGCTTACAAAAATGTGGACAAATATTAGTGGTAACTATTCCCATCCCAAATGTTAATGATAACTCAAAAATGTGAGTGGTTGGCATGGCACGATGGCTCACACCTGTAATCTGAGCACTTTGGGAGGTCAAGGTAGGCGGATCACCTGAGGTCAGGAGTTCGAGACCAGCCTGGACAACATGGTGAAACCCCGTCTCTACTAAAAATACAAAAATTAGCTGGGTGTGTTGGTGCATGCCTATAATCCCAGCTACTTGGGAGGCTGAGGCAGGAGAATCGCTTGAACCCAGGAAACAGAGGTTGTAGTGAGCTGAGATTGTGCCACTGTACTCCAGCCTGGGTGACAGAGCAAGACTGTCTCAAAAAAAAAAAAAAAAAAAAAAAGCTGTCACTACTAACTGGAATGTGGAAGTCACTGCAGCTTTATGACTACACACACATGGCATGGCTGGAAGGGATATAGCAAAGAGATACTGGTTGGGTTTGCTTATAGAATTTACCACTGATGTTAAGTGGTCTTTTAAAAAAATGTAAATTTTTTTACAGGGAAATAAAAAGAGAAGGGGGTATTACCTGCCGCTTGATGGAGTTGGACTTGTGTTGGTTTACAAATGCCTCCATTTCACTTAGCTCCAGCTGCAGAAACCTAGACACACAGAGAACTGGCATCTGCAGGCCCCGGCCTCGCTGCCCTCCTCCATCATTCTGGCACATTCTGGCGGCTGCTTCCTCTCCCTGGAGCCTCCCAAACCCTGGCCCTCCACAGGGTCCTTACCTGAGTGACTGGATGGACAAAGGCTCCTCTGCCGTCTCCCTGCAAGGAAAGGGGCCAGCATGGCAGCCGAATGGAAGAATGGGGCCCTGGGGCTCAGATGGGATGAAGGAGTGAGGGGGGTATGAAGGGGAAGGCAGCCTCTCACCGGATGCTCTCCAGCATCTCCTTCAGGGTTAAGGGGTCGATTCGGTCCTGTGACAATGTGGGAAGAGAGCCTGTGAGCTCAAGCCAGGCAGGAAACCCAATGTCTACACCCCCAGACAGCTCCACACTTCTAGGGGTACCTCTTGGTCTCTGCCTCCCTGCCAGCCTACCTCTGCACTGAGCACCAAGCTCACGTCCTTTATCTGAATCCAGTCTCATGGCCATGTACATCATCCCTCCCCAAATCCATGCCTCCCCAAATTCCCCTCCTCTCTTGGTGTTTCCAGTCCTCCTTCTTCTCTGACAGGCCCCTACCTTCTTTGGTTTCATCTTCCTCAAATTTGGGCAGGGATGTGGCTAGTGCAGAGAAATTTTCTGGGTTCCACTCTCCAAGAGAACTGGCTCAGTGCCTCTCTGGGAGCCATGCTGAGTAGCCAAGCACAACACCTTGTCCAGAAGTGCCATCACTAGGCTGGGCACGGTGGTTCATGCCTGTAATCCCAACACTTTGGGAGGCCGAGGTGGGTAGATCATATGAGGCCAGGAGTTCAAGACCAGCCTGGCCAACATAGTAAAACCTTGTCTCTACTAACACATACAAAAAATTCGCCAGGCGTGGTTGCTGGTGCCTGCAATCCCAGCTACTCAGGAGGATGAGACAGAAGAATTGCTTTAACCCGGGAGCCAGAGGCTGCAGTGAACCAAGATCACGTCATTGCACTCCAGTCTGGGCAACAAGAGTGAAACTCCGTCTCAAAAAAAAAAAAAGTGCCATCACTGCTGCTGTCAGAGATGGACTATAGCTGACCTCCTGCCACCAGCCCACGTTCTTCCCAGGAGCCCAGCCCTCTTCACCCAGTGGCTGCCATCTTTGCCTTCTGGTTCCCAACTCCCATGTTATTTATTTACCTCTTTGGCCTGGTTCCAAAGGTCTTGTTCCAGAGGATTTGGAGGCAATTGGGGCAGGCTGAACTTGAAGTAGGGTCTGAGATTCTTATACACATAGACACAAGGGCCTGAAGCAAGTGCCAGAGCTGGGGTCCGGGGCTCATGTTGCTCCATGAGGAAGGTGGCAGCAGCAGCTGGCAGAGCAGGTAGCGGGCTTTCGGTCATCACCAGTGGTCCTTTGAGCACCTTCAGGCGGGGCTGCTGCCCACCAGGGCCAAGGTCCCCTACCACCAGCTGCAGGGAGAGGATGGCTCATTCTAGGCTCAGGGTCTGAAGACCTCTCCACTGACCCTCTTCTTGCCTTATTGCTGGTGCACATTCATTCATTCCTGCACCAATAAAGGCTTTGCCCTCAGGCTTTCAAGCTGCCTGACCTTGGGAAAGTTGACTAACCTTTCTGAATCTCAGGTTTCCCGCTTGCAGAATGGTGATACTTTCATGGTATGTGGTGAAAATCAAGTGAGATAATGAGTTACAGAACCTGGTAAGTGCTACTGAGGAATAAGTGGCAGTTGATGTTTTTATTATTCATTCAGCAAACATTTCTTCCACACCAGGCACTTCTAGAGAGATACTGGGACAGTGGTAGAGGTCAGTGTGGGAGGGGACGGGGACACCCATATCTGGGCTGCTGAAGCCTGGTTTCCAAATGCAGGGCAGGATGTGCTCTGTGGACACACAGAGGGGAAACAAGCTCCTTGATCTCAGCTTTCCACCCTCTAATCCATCTTCCAAGCTGCTGGAGCTGCCACACAAGCCCATTTCCCTGAATGAGGCCTGGAAGGCCTCTCTGATCTAGTTCCCAACTTGTTTCCTATCACCCTTCCCATTGCTGTGCTCCGGCCAGAAAGGGGGTACCCAAGAACTCCTGGATACTGAGCATGCAGTATATGCCAGGGACCACATCAGAAACTGCATGCATCGTTTCATTTAACCCTCTCAACAGTCTTATTATTTTTAAGCGACTGGGTCTTGCTCTGTCACCTAGGCTGGAGTGCAGTGGTGCGATCATGGCTCGCTGCAGCCTCAAACTCCTGGGCTTAAGCAGTCTTCCCACCTTAGCCTCCCAAGCAGCTAGGACTACAGGTGTGTGCCACTACACCTGGCTTTCAACAACCTTATGAAGTAGGCACCATTATTAGCCTCATTTCTCAAATGAGGAAGCTGTGTCTTAGAGAAGTTAAGTAAAAGTCATACAGCTATTAAGTGGTAGAGCTAGTTCTGTCTGAATCCAAAGCCATAGTCTTAACTACTATTTTATGTGGTAGTTATTTTATATGGGTCTCAACTTTCTAACTTCACATTTATTCTTTCCAAATATGCTATGAACTTCTAAGTCTCTGTCCTTCTGCTTGTGCTGTTTCTTCTACCTGAAATGCCTTCCCCATCCTCTCATCCTTGACTTCTTGATAGACTTCATTCATCCTTCAATGCCCAGTTCACACATTACTACCTCCTGGTGCCTCCAGACAGAATCCATTGTTCTCGTTGGCGCTCCCGTAATACTTTCTACATGTTCAATTTTAGCATCTACTCACTTCCCCACAAATATTTATCAAGTACCTACTTTATGTCAGGTACTGGACTAGATGCTGGGACTCAATGGTGAATAAACTAGCCATTAAACATTCTATTATGTGAAGATATTTAACATTTCTTTTTTTTTTTGAGATGGAGTCTCGCTCTGTCACCCAGGCTGAAGTGCGATGGCGTGATTTCGGCTCACTGCAACCTCCGCCTTCTGGTTTCAAGCCATTCTCCTGCCTCAGCCTCCCGAGTAGCTGGGATTACAGGCGCCTGCCACCACGCCCGGCTGATTTTTGTATTTTTAGTACAGACAGGGTTTCACCATGTTGTCCAGGCTGGTCTCAAACTCCTGACCTCGTGATCCACCCGCCTTGGCCTCCTCCTAAAGTGCTGGGATTACAGGCATGAGCCACTGTGCCTGGCTAACATTTCTTATTAGCTACTGTGTCTGTGGTTTCTCTTCCCTCACTATTGTAAGCCCAGAGCCAAATACAAACTAGGTATTCAATCAATATCATGGAATAATTGTCGACAGTGTATCTCCTCCTGACCACATGCTGATGCATTTCTGAGTGTAGTGTCCCCATGATGCCTGACACACAGTAGGGACTCACTATACACTTGCTGAATTACTGAATACATTATGGATAGGAATTTGGGGGCAAAAACCACTGAGTCCTATTGCACTCTCTGTGTGGGGTGGGATTCCAGGACTATCTTCTAGCCACCCACATGATATATCCATTGTGGTGTTGTTGCCCATGGTGAGGGCTGAGCTTTGGTAGAAAAAGCACAAAACTTGGAATCAAACAGACCCAGTTACAAATTCAGTAAACTTCACCTCTTTGAAACTATTTTCCCATTCACAAAATGGGAATAAATAAAATCCATGTTTATGTGCCTCCATGGAATGTCTAGTCCAGAAATGGATACTGAATCCATGCTAACTTCCTTTCTTTTATCCCAATATATTTCTCTACCTTTAAAAAACTTGTATCTTTTTAAATTTACATTTTTATTTAAAATTAAATATATGTATATATATATACATATATATACACATATATATACATATATATACATATATATACACATATATATATATATATTTTTTTTTGAAACTGTCTCACTCTGTCATCCAGGCTGGAGTGTAGTGGCATGGTCTCAGCTCACTCAACCTCCGCCTCCTGGGTTTGACCAATTCTCCTGCCTCAGCCTCCCAAGTAGCTGGGATTACAGGTGCCCATCACCATGCCCGGCTAATTTTTGTATTTTTAGTAGAGATGGTGTTTCACCATGTTGGACAGGCTGGTCTCGAATGCCTAAGCTCAAGCGATCCACCCACCTCAGCCTCCCAAAGTGCTGGGATTGCTGGCCTTAAAATTAAATTTAAAATGTAACATTTTTACTATGGAAAATTTTCATTCACATACAAAAGTAGAGAGACTCATATAATGAGTCCCCATATATCCCATTATCCAGCTTCAAAAATTGACAGCTCATGGCCCATCTTAAAATCTTTTGATAAACATCAAACGTTCACTTCCCTCCTTTTTACTTTCCCTCCAGATTCTAGTGCCCACCCCCAACCAAGGGATTTGCCCTTCCAACAAAGAAATCAGGTTAACTAAGAGGCTTTGTCTTAGTAGAATCCCCAGAAATATTTGATCTGCTTTACTTTCTGCAGTCTGTATTATGAAATCAATAAGTTCTCTTCACTTTCCATATAAAAACAAAATTTAACGCTAAATGTGCTTTTTCACAGTATATGTGAATTCCAGAGTATGCTGGGCCTATTTTCAGCCGTCAGGAAATCTCATTTCTGGGTACACCCCCCTACCCTCAACTCTCCTGGCTAGGGTGATATGCTTACCTTGTATTCCCCATCCCCATGTAAATCTGCCAGCGCTGGAAAACAAAAGGGCCAAAACCAGAGTCTCAGAATCCCAGAGGCTTCACTACAGGACCATTGTCTGACTCCCCATCCCACTAGAACCCAGGGTTCCTGGTTCCAGAGACTCACCTAGGCAGGCAGAAAAGGTGTGGATATTGGCCATTGGGTCGTAGTGCGCATCCAACCACTTCGAATTGGCCTCATTGCTGGAAGTGGGGGAAAGACAGTTGGGGAGTGAGTCCCATGGGAGGGGAAAAAAAAACTTTGAGGAAGCTGGTACAGGTCACTCTGAACATAAGGTACAGAACGTCTGGGTACAAGTCCAGGCTCCGCCACTGGCTCACCGAGCGACCTCCAGACACACATATGCACATCTTAGGCCTCGGTTTCCCTATCTGACCTCTTAAGAGTCCTTCCAGACTGCCCGAGAACAGCAGGAGCCCAGAGCCCGGGGACCAAGGGACCCTCTTTACACGGGTGGGAAAAGAGGCCTTGAGGAGCCCTGCCTTCACCTCTCAGCTCCGCAGGCGTCGGAATCCGATGAGGACGCAGCGGCCATCTTCGCAGGCGTCGTCCTGGCAACCGGCCCCGCCCTCGCGTAACGCCCAATAGTGCCCGAGCACAGGGAAGGGCGAGTACAAAGGTTCCGGGCGCCAAGCTTTCCCACCCAGGCTCAGGAGGACGCGCTGGCCACCTTCCTGGGTTGAGGAATCTGTCTCAGATTCCTCAAAGATATTTATCTTTGCTCCTTCCCAGTCAGAGCCACCTTTCCAGGCGTCTGGGTCCTACAATCTCTGGGTCAGCCACAGAGCCCTCTGGCTTCCAGGGTTGGAAAGAAGCCCCTTCTAGCATTTATGAGCAGCAAAAAGAACTCCTCCTGTCTCCATCTTCATGGTTACCCGGTTGAAAAGGACCATGTCCTGCCTTGCTGCGTTACTGTAGAGGTCCAGGCCCAGAGAAACAAAACACGAGGGTTATGGGACAAATGCAGAGGATTCTGACTGAAGTTGAGTTTGTAGGTTCCCAGAACTTTTTTTTTTTTTTTTTTTTTTTGAGACGTAGTCTCGCTCTGTCGCTTGCGCTGGAGCGCAGTAGCGCGATTTCGGCTCACCGCAACCTCCGCCTCCCGGGTTCCAGGGATTCTCCTGCCTCAGCCTCCCGAGTAGCTGGGATTACAGGCGCATGCCACCATGCCCAGCTACTTTATTTTTTAGTAGAGACGAGGTTTCACCATATTGGCCAAGCCGGTCTCGAACTCCTGACCTCGTGATCCCCTCGCCTCGGCCTCCCAAAGTGCTGGGATTACAGGCATGAGCCACCGTGCCCGGCCCCAGAACATTTAAAAATGCAAGGAATGCCACAAAGGAGAGCTGCAAAAATTGTGCTATGTTCAGCTCTGTGACTGCGTATCCTCATCTAGAGATAATGTCAACATCCTGTTGTGGAAGGGAGGCTAAAAATGGCCCTCCTTGCCCCCTCCCCAGGCCTTGAGCCCATCACTCTGCTGGGAGTAAATGAGAAGACAGGCAAAGGCAAGGAGGAGCCACACACGCCGCAAAGATGGTGGTTGTCTCTAATATTTATTTGTCTGGTTATAAAATTAATATGTGAGGAGCATTGGATTTGGTGAGAACGTTTTGAACCCTAGCTGTCACGTGCCACCTGCGGGATCTAGACCAGTGACTTCTCAGAACTGCCATTTCCTCATCTGGTAGACAGGATGGTAAGCCCTGTCTTGCTCACTCCACGTATGGCAGTGCAGATGAAATGAGATCACAGAGGGGAAGCAATTGGCAGGCTGGAAAGTGCTGACAAATGGAAGGGGTTGTGTCACCACCCTCAGCTGAGGTAGTACCAAGGTCCAAGCTCCTGCCCCTCCCCCTCCCCAGCCCCTAAATACACACACGAATGGAGGGCCACTTGCAGCCTTGGTCTGATGGAATTGGGGGCAAGGCCACACATCTTCCTCAAGCTTGGCCAGATGGGGCCTCACTGGGGCCCTTCCAGAATCGGGCATCGGCTGTGGCCAGCTGTGTGAGGATCTCCTCCAACTCGGGTCCATCCTCTGGGAAACGCTCAGAGAAGGATCGGATGAGGCCAGCAGCTGACGCCTCGTATTCCAGAAGCTGCACGTCTGAGCCTGGGGAGGAGATGGAGAGAAAACAGCAGGGAAAGGTCTGAATAGGGAAACTGAATCATCATAAAAATCTTAATAATCACAATTACAGCAGCAGCTGTTTCTTACTGAGCTCTGCCAAAAAAACCTGTGCTCTACGTTTTAGGTTAATTACTTAATTTACTCTTTACAGTAACCCTGTGAGGAAGGAAATACTACAGGGGGAGTATTAAATGCATTGCTGCTTTCGTTCATTCAGTCAATCAAATAAAGATTTAGGCTGGGCATGGTGGCTCATGCCTGTAATCCTAGCACCTTGGTAGGCTGAGGTGGGAGGATCACCTGAGGTCAGGAGTTTGAGACCAGCTTGGCCAACATGATGAAACACTGTTTATACTAAACATACAAAAAAATTAGCTGGGCGTGGTGGCATGAGCCTGTAGTCCCAGCTACTCGGGAGGCTGAGGCTGGAGAATTGCTTGAACCCGGGTGGCAGAGGTTGCGGTGAGCAGAGATCGTGCCACTGCACTCCAGCCTGGGTGACAGTGAGATTCCACCTCAAAATAAATAAATAAATAAATAAATAATAAAAGACACCAGGTGCCACACTAGGTGAAACAGATACAGTCCTTGGTGTCCTGAAGCTCACAATTCAGCAACGACTTCATCTGTCTACTGTGGGACCTGGGGCAAGTGTTGCAACCTCCCAAGCTTCAGTCTCCTCATCTGTAAAGGAGCTGCAGTGATGACATAGTCACACATCGAGGGGGTGCTCAACAAATGCTAGCCACCATGGCATCATTATCTCCGAACCTGTTTACTGATTTATTAAATGGGCTGTTCTGAGGGTCCCCTGAATACCCCCGGGAAGCACTGCCCTCAAACACACTTCAACTGCTCTACCCTCTCTGTGCACCTTGTCGTGTTCCATGACATCACAAGCTGCACAGCAGCAAAGAGCACAAGCTCTGGAGTTCAAGTTCTGGCTCTGCCACCCAACAGCTTTGTGACCGCAGGCAAATACACAGCCCCTCTGTGCCTCATTTTCCAGATGAAAAATGAGGATAATAACCATTTCTCTCTGGGTTGTTAGGAGTTAAGCCATAGAAAGCTTTTACAGCGACCTGGCTGGGTGTGGTGGCTCACACCTGTAATGCCAGCACTTTGGGAGGCTGAGGCGGGTGGATCACTTGAGGTCAGGAGTTCGAGATTAGCCTGGCCAACATGGTGAAACCCCATCTCTACTAAAAATACAAAATTAGCTGGGCATGGTGGTGGGTGCCTCTAATCCCAGCTTTTTGGGAGGCTGAGGCCGGAGAATCATTTGACTCCGGAGGTGGAGGTTGCAGTGAGCCGAGATCTCACCACTGCCTGCGGGACAGAGTGAGACTCCACCTCAAAAAAAAAAAAAAAAACTTTTTACAGTGCACCACCATCACAACCTTTGAAAATCCAACCTGTTCTTCAGATCTAGTGGGAACCACCCCTTCCTCCCCAGAACGTTCCCGGATACTCTTGAAGATGGATGCGATCTTCCCTCCTCTAAGTGTTCAGAGTTCTGTTTATATGTTTTGGCCACTCATTAACACTTCCCTTGTATGATTATGATGATGATTATTATTATTATTTTTTTTTTTAGATGGAGTCTCGCTCTGTCACCCAGGCTGGAGTGCAGTGACGCAATCTTGGCTCACTGCAAGCTCCGCCTCCCGGGTTCAGGTCATTCTCCTGCCTCAGTCTCCTGAGTAGCTGGGACTACAGGCGCCTGCAACCATGCCTGGCTAATTTTTTGTATTTTTAGTAGAGACGGGGTTTCACCGTGTTAGCCAGGACGGTCTCGATCTCCTGACCTTGTGATCCACCTGCCTCAGCCTCCCAAAGTGCTGGGATTACAGGTGTGAGTCACCGCGCCCGGCCCCCTTGTATGATTATTTATCTCCATATCTTATCATCCCCAGTGAGCTGTGATCACCTCCGGATCCCTAGTGGCTCCCCCATGGCTCGCACAGGGCTGGACATATCAAAGCAATTGAGAGTATTGTCCATGTGGCTGGCATGATTTATTAATGCACTCATTTGACAGTCACTGAGCAACTCCAGTGTGCCAGGCTGTGCATGAGGCACTGGGGTATGCTGCTCCTCCCATCATGAGAAGTGACCACCAAGAAAATGGGCAAGCGTGATGGGCGCTAGAAGAAAATGAAACTGGGTAGCAGAACAGAGAGGGACCGAAGCAGTTACTTTAGGTGGAGGGGTCAGAGACAACCTCTCTCACAGGGTGCCGTTTTACAAGGAGCGGAAGGACAAAAAGAACCAGACAGGCAAAGATCTGGAGGAAGATCATGCCAAGCAGCAAGAACAGCTTATTCAAAGGCTGTAGGAGTGGACCCAGCTCAGTGGGTAGAAGAAACAGAAAGGTCGGGAGACTGGAGTACAGTGAGCCAGAGAAGGGGTGGTGAGGCTGGCAAGGGTTGGGGCCAAATCCCAGGAAGCCTCTGGAGAGCATGGAAAAGCATCTAGAATGAGCGTCTTAATAAATGCTTTTTCCGGCTGGGCATGGTGGCTCACGCCTGTAATCCCAGCACTTTGGGAGGCCGAGGAGGGTGGATCACCTGAGGTCAGGAGTTCGAGACCAGCCTGGCCAACATGGCAAAACCCTGTCTCTACTAAAAATACAAAAATTAGCCGGGCATGGCGGCACGCGCCTGTAATCCCAGCTACTCAGGAAGCTGAGGCAGGAGAATCGCTTGAACCCGGGAGGCAGAGATTGCAGTGGGCCAAGATCGAGCCACTGCACTCCAGCCTGGGCAACAAGAGGGAAACTCCGTCTCAGAAATAAATAAAATAAAATAGCCGGGTATGGTGGCTCACGCCTGTAATCCCAGCACTTTGGGAGGCTGAGGTGGGTAGATCACTTGAGGTCAGGAGTTCGAGACCAGCCTAGCCAACATAGTAAAACCCCGTCTCTACTAAAAAAAATACAAAAATTAGCTGGGTGTGGTGGCGGGCGCCTGTTATACCAGCTACTCGGGAGACTGGGGCAGGAGAATCGCTTGAACCCAGAGGCGGAGGTTGCAATGAGCCGAGATTGTGTCACTACACTCCAGCCTAGGCGACAGAGTGAGACTCCGTCTCAAAAAAAACAAAAACAAAAACAAAAACAAAACCAACCCAAAAACCAAATAAATAAATGCTTTTTCCTCACCAATAATAGGTAGTGACTTTTTGCAAATATTATTCTATGTAACCCTCACAACTGCCCAGGACAATGCTTTTTTTTTTTTTTTTTTTTTAAAGAGTTGAGGTCTTGCTCTGTAGCATTGAACTCCTGGGCTCAAGCAATCCTCCTACCTCACTCTTTCAAGTAGCTGGGACTATAGGCAGGGGCCACCATGCCTGACTCAACCACTCTTAATTTGACTCTTGGCTCCTCCACTAAAAAGCCATAAGCCTTGTGCAAATTACTCTCTGTGCCTCAGTTTCCTTACCTGTAAAATGGGGATAACAACAATACCTACCTTATTGGGCTACTGCAAGGATTTAAAAGGTTAATCCCCAGAAAGCACTTAGAAACTCTAAGAAGGAATTCAGGTTCACGATAACATCAGCAAGCAGTCCACACTGCCTTTATGAATGAAGACACCAAAGTCTAGAAATGTCAGGTGACTAGGCCAAAGTCACAGGGTGGTTCTGAAGCTGGTGCTCTAACCTCTCCATAACACACATCATCTTAGGTATCTCAAGTGACAAGTAGCAGGAAAGATGAGTCAAGGGGTGAGAGGAAAGTGAAGGCAGTAAGGGGCTGGAACCCCAGGGGGTCTGAATACGAAAGATACAAGCACCGTGTGGCCAAGGCTCTGGAATTGTCGCTTGAGAAGGAAGCGGGATGATGCAGCTGTTGATCACCATCCTGGATGTGACCGAGTCCACTGTCCCCTGGGTTTCACTAGGCTTGCTGGATCCCAGCTCCCTCCTCACCTGACCCCCAGCCTGGGTACCCAACAGGTCTAATTCTTTGGTATGAACGCCTGGCTTCCCCCTAAGTCTGCATGTTCTGCTATCCCCTGCTCTGGTGGTCTTCTTCAAATCTTCTGTCACTGTCTTACAACTTGCATGACTGTGTGTGTGTCGGGGGGGTGGTGGGTGGTGACAGATACCAAGATAAGGGCCTGAGGTTTGGCATGGGAAGGACCTTGGCAGAAAGGGAAGGGCCATCCCAGGCTGGGTTAGGTTCTTATTGAGCCCTGGGATGGGTTCTTACTGCTTCCCAGAGGGCCCTGTGTGGTGCTCATCAAGGGAGCTCAAGAGCTCCCTCATTACCTCATTACCTTCAAGGCGAGTGTTGGGCTGAACAATGAGCTTCCGAGATTCCTTACGCAGCAGCACCGTGTCCCTGAGGGTGAGGAAGCACTCGGGGGGCGCATCAGTGACTGTTGCATACCCCTCGTACAGGGCCCGCCCTCCGGCCACATCCCCTGTGGACTTCAGCACCTGTGAGAAGGATGGAGTAAATGTCTAGGATGGGCAGTTACCCGGTGTCCACAGGGCTCTGCCATAGGCCACAGCTGATTGTGGTCAGCCCTGGACAGTCTGTGCTATGGTTTGAATGTGTCCCCTCCAAAATTCTGGTGTTGAAACTTATGGTTAAGTTTCAACTTAACCATTAAGGCTCCTTCCTCTTGAATGGGATTAAGGCCCTTATAAAAGAGGCTTCAGGCTGGGTGTGGTGGCTCACACCTGTAATCTTAGTACCTTGGGAGGAGGAGGCAGGGGATCACTTGAGCCCAGGAGTTTGAGACCAGCCTGGACAATATGGCAAGACCATATCTCTATGGAAAAAAAAAGGCCAGCCATGGTGGCTCATGCGTGCAATCCTGGGCACTTGGGGAGTCCGAGGTGAGAGGATTGCTTGAGTTTGAGACCAGCCTGGTTAACATAGTGAGACCCCGTCTCGTCTCTAAAAAAAAGGAAAAGAAAGAAAGAAAAAGGAAAACAGGCTTCATGCCTGTTTGGCCCTGTTGCCATTTTGCTTTCCACCATGTGAGGCCACAGCATTCCTCCCATTCCTCTCCTACAAATAAGGTATCTTCAACAAGGTATCATCTTGGATGGAAGAGAAGAGCAGCCTTCACCAGAAAATGAACCAGCTGGTACCTTGATCTTGGACTCCCCCACCTCCAGAACTGCCAGAAATAAATTTGTGATCTTTTTTTTTTTTGAGACAGAGTCTTGCTGTCACCCAGCCTGGAGTGCAATGGCACAATCTTGGCTCACTGCAACCTCTGCCTCCCGGGTTCAAGTGATTCTCCTACCTCAGCCTCCTGAGTAGCTGGGACTACAGGTGCGTGCCACCACGCCCGGCTAAATTTTTGTATTTTTAGTAGAGATGGGATTTCACCATGTTAGCCAAGATGGTCTCCATCTCCTGATCTCGAGATCTGCCCCGCCCCGGCCTCCCAAAGTGCTGGGATTACAGGCGTGAGCCACCATGCCTGGCCAATTTCTGTTCTTTATAAATCACCCAGCCTCTGGTATTTTTGGTGTGTTACAACAGCACAAGACAGACTAAGACACTCTGCAAAATGCTGGGCCCTGTCACTTACAGGCAGTGTAACCTTGGACAAGTTACTAAACCACTCTGACCTGTTATCTCTAAACAAGAATAGTTCTACTCTCTCATAGTGTTACTGTGCTGAATGAGTGAGAAACACAGATCAGTGATTAGCATAGAGTAAATGCCCACAAAATTAAAGCTAATGTTTCTCGTTTGATTATCTCATTTGACATGTAGACAAGGCAGGTATGACCATTACCCTTTATAAAATAAAACATTTCTGGCTGGGCACGGTGGCTCATACCTGTAATCCCAGCACTTTGGGAGGCCGAGGCAGGCGGATCACCTGAGGTCAGGAGTTCAAGACCAGCTTGGCCAACATGGTGAAACCCTGTCTCTACAAAAATATAAAAACTAGCCAGGTTTGATGGTGGTGCCTGTAGTCCCAGCTATTCAGGAAGCTGAGGTGGGAGAATCGCTTGAACCCAGGAGGTGATGGATGCAGTGAGCCAAGATTGCACCATTGCACTCCAGCGTGGGTGACAAAGTGAGACTCCATCTCAAAAAAATAATAAATAAATAAAATAAAACATTTCTTACACATACAAGATACAGTATGTATACCGTAAAGAATATTAAAACAAACACTCGGGCCGGGCGGGTGGCTCATGCCTGTAATCCCAGCACTTTGGGAGGACGAGGTGGGCGGATCATGAGGTCAGTAGATCAAGACCATCCTGGCTAGCACTGTGAAACCCCGTTTCTACTAAAAATACAAAAAATTTGGTTGGGCGTGGTGTCTCACGCCTGTAATCCCAGCACTTTGGGAGGCCGAGGCGGGTGGATCACGAGGTCAGGAGATCGAGACCATCCTGGCTAACATGGGGTGAAACCCCATCTCTACTAAAAAATACAAAAAATTAGCCAGGCGGGTGCCTGTAGTCCCAGCTACTCGGGAGGCTGAGGCACGAGAATGGCATGAACCTGGGAGGCGGAGCTTGCAGTGAGCTGAGATCACGCCACTGCACTCCAGCCTGGGCGACAGAGTGAGACTTGGTTTCGAAAAAAAAAAAATTAGCTGGGCATGGTGGCACACGCCTATAATCCCAGCTACTCGGGAGGCTGAGGCAGGAGAATCTCTTGAACTCGGGAGGCAGAGGCTGCAATAAGCCAAGAACTTGCCACTGCATTCCAGCCTGGGGGACAGAGCGAGACTCCCATCAAAAAAAAAAAAAAGACGGACACTCATACAACCCCCACCTCACCTCAGAGTTAGTTCAGCTGCTTCTGCTTGACTGCACTCTGTGGCTGTCCCCATCTAAGGAAACCACTATCCTTGATATTGTACTTTCTTTTTTTTGAGATGGAGTCTCGCTGTTGCCAGGCTGGAGCGCAGTGGCGTGATCTTGGCTCACGCAACCTCCACCTCCCAGGTTCAAGCAATTCTTCTGCCTCAGCCTCCTGAGTAGCTGGGACTACAGGTGTGCACCACCACGCCCAGCTAATTTTTGTATTTTTAGTAGAGACGGGCCGCCATGTTGGCCAGGATGGTCTCAATCGTTTGACCTCATGATCTGCCCATCTTGGCCTCCCAAAGTGCTGGGATTACAGGCGTGAGCCACCGTGCCCAGCCGATATTGTAGTTTTTAAAAAACTCTCTTGCTTTCCCTGAGTTTTACTCTCAATCATATATTAAGTTCTTGCCTGCTTTTTTTTTTTTTTTGGAGACAAAGTCTCAGTCTATTACCCAGGCTGGTGTGCAGTGGCAGATTATCAGCTCACTGAAACCTCCACCTCCCAGGTTCAAGTGATCCTCCTGCCTCAGCCTCCTCTGTAGCTGGGACTACAGGCACCTGCCACCATGCCCACCTAATTTTTGTATTTTTAGTAGATGTGGGGTTTCACCATGTTGGACAGGCTGGTCTCGAACTCCTGACCTCAGGTGATCCTCCCGCCTCAGCCTCCCAAAGTGCTGGGATTACAGTGGTGAGCCACTGTGCCCGGCCGGTTTTTGAACTGTATATATTGTGATTTTCTTTTTCTGCTTGGATTATGTTTGAGATTCATTTGTGCCAAAACATTCAGCTATAGTTCCCCTTCTCACTGCTGTGTATGTAGTCTTTTACTTATAAACACACAACTTCATCTCCTCTACTGTTCATGTGTAATTTGGTGCTTTTTTTTTTTGAGACGTAATTTTCACTCTTGTTGCCCAGGCTGGAGTGCAGCAGCACGATCATGGCTCACTGCAATCCCCACCTCCCGGGTTCAAGTGATTCTCTTGTCTCAGCTTCCCGAGTAGCTTGGAGTACAGGATGCGCCACCATGCCTGGCTAACTTTTTTGCACTTTTTTTTTTTTTTGAGACAGAGTCTCACTCTGTCGCTTGGGCCGGAGTTCAGTGGCACGATCTTGGCTCACTGCAACCTCCACCTCCTGGTTCAAGCGATTCTCCTGCCTCAGCCTCCTGAGTAGCTGGGACTACAGGCAAATGCCACCATACCCGGCTAATTTTTTATTTTTAGTAGAAAAGGGGTTTCACCATGTTGGCCAGGCTGGTCTTGAACTCCTAACCTCAGGTGATCTGCCTGCCTCGGCCTCCCAAAGTGCTGGGATTACAGGTGTGAGCCACCATGCCCAGCCTTTTTGTACTTTTAGTAGAGATGGGGTTTCACCATGTTAACTAGGCTGGTCTGAAACTCCTGACCTCAGGTGACCTGCCCGCCATGGCCTCCCATAGTGCTGGGATTACAGGCGTGAGCCAGTGCGCCCGGCCGGTGCTTTTTGCTAATAATGCTGCTGTGAACATCCCTGTATGTCTCCTGATGAACAGATGCAAGTTTTTCCAGAACTGATTCTGTGTCGGTGACAGGAGTGCTCAACTTTAAGAGATGACGCTGCTGTTTCTTAAAATTCGTATGTAATTCAGCCTTCCAAAAGCAGTGGATGGCAGTCCTCATTGCTCAGTCTACTAAGTGGATGCTGGCAGTTGTTAATTCCTGCCATGCTGGTGGGTATCAATTGTAACTTATGCAGTTTAGGTTGAGGTTGCCTAATTACTAACAAGGTTGAGCATCTTCCCTTAGTTGATCAAGGGCTATTCATTTTCCTCTTCTGTTCATTTTTGCTTATTTTATGTTGGGTTATCTTTTCTCCTTCACTTTTTTAAAAAAAGTTTCTTCTTTCTTTATTTTTTGAAATGGAGTCTTGCTGTATTGCCCGCGATGGAGTGCAGTGGCATGATCTTGGCTCACTGCAACCTCCACCTTCCAGGTTTGAGCAATTCTCCTGCCTTAGCCTCCTGAGTAGCTGGGATTACAGGCACCTGCCAATACGCCTGGCTAATTTTTTATGTTTTTGGTAGAGACAGGTTTCACCATGTTGGCCAGGCTGGTCTCGAACTCCTTACCTCAAGTGATCTGTCTGCCTTGGCCTCCCAAAGTGCTGGGATTACAGGTGTGAGCGACTGTGCTCGGCTGAAAAGTTCTTTATTTATTTTAAATATGAACCCTTTGTCAGTACAGTAGTCCCCATATATCCATGGCGTATATGTTCCAAGACCATGTAGTGGATGCCTGAAGCCATGGACAGTACAGGGCACTATATATACACTGTTTTTTTTTCACCATACATACACACCTATGAGAAAGTTTAATTTATAAATTAGGCACAGGAAGAGATTAACAATAACTACTAATAAAATAGAACACCTGTAACAAAATAACGCGATAAAAGGTGAATATAGCCTCTCTCTCAAAATATGTTTTTTTTTTTCTTTTTGAGGCAGTGTTTCGCTGTGTCACCCAAGCAGGAGGGCAGTGGCACAATCTTGGCTCACTGCAACCTCCAACTCCCAGATTCAAGCGATTCTCATGCCTCAGCCTCCTGAGTGGCTGGGATTACAGGCGCCTGCCACCATGCCCAGCTAATTTTTGTATTTTTAGTAGAGATAGGGCTTCACCATGTTGGCCAGGCTGGTCTTGAACTCGTGACCTCAGGTGATCAGCCCGTCTGGGCCTCCCAAAGTGCTGGGATTACAGGCGTGAACCACCACACCCAACCTAAAAATATCTTGTTGTATTTTACTGTGGCTAACTGCAGCCGCATAAAGCAAAACTGTGGATAAGCGGGGCCTAACCATATGTGTTATAAATATCCTATCCTAGTGTAAGACCTTTTTTTTTTTGAGGCGGAGTTTTGCTCTCATTGCAGAGGCTAGAGTGCAGTGGCGCAATCTCGGCTCACTGCAACCTCCGCCTTCAGGTTTAAAGAGATTCTCCTGCTTCAGCCTCCCAAGTAGCTGGGATTACAGGCACCAGCCACCATGCCCAGCTAATTTTTTTGTATTTTTAGTAGAGATGGGGTTTCACCATGTTGGTCAGGCTGGTCTCGAACTGCTGACCTCGTGATCCACCCGCCTCGGCCTCCCAGAGTGCCGGGATTACAGGCGTGAGCCACCGCGCCCAGCACCTAGTGTAAGACTTGACACCTTCTTTATGGTAACTTTTGATTAATATGTTATCTTTTCTTTTTCTTTTAGAGACAGAATCTAGTTCTGTCACCCAGGCTAGAGTGCAGTGGTGATCAGGGCTCACTGCAGCCTCTACCTCCCATGCTCAAGTGATCCTCCCATCTCAGCCTCCTGTGTGGCTGCGACCACAGGCGTGCATCACCACACTTGGCTATTTTTAAAATTTTTTGTAGAGATGAGGTCTCACTATGTTGCCCAGGCTGGTCTTGAACTCCTAGACTCAAGGAATCTAGCCTCCCAAAGTTCTGGGATTACAGGCATGAGCCATCACGCCAGGGAAACTGAGCAGTTTTATTGGTGTACAAAGTTCATATTGTATATTTACTCTCAGCATCACTCAGCCATATATCTTATGGCTTATCAAACCTTCTCTCTGGGGCTGTTTCTTTTTCCTAAATTATATCCTGTAGAAGTGTTGTTACTGAGGGTTTATTAACGGTAAACTGTTTTTGTTTGTCCAAAAATGTCCTTCGTTCTTAAAAGATGTCCTGGCTGGGCACAGTGCCTCACACCTGTAATCCCAGCACTTTGGGAGGTCAAGGCGGGTGGATCACCTGAGGTCAGGAGTTCGAGACAAGCCTGGCCAACATGGTGAAACCCTGTCTCTACTAAAAATACAAAAATTAGGCCAGGCCCGGTGGCTCACGCCTGTAATCCCAGCACTTTGGGAGGCCGAGGCAGGCAGATCACGAGGTCAGGAGATCGAGACCATCCTGGCTAACACGGTGAAACCCTGTCTCCACTAAAAATACAAAAAATTAGCCGGGCATGGTGGCGGGCACCTGTAGTCCCTGCTACTCGGGAGGCAGAGGCAGGAGAATGGTGTGAACCCAGGAGGCGGAGTTTGCAGTGAGCACAGATCACGCCACTGCACTCCAGCCTGGGCGACAGAGCGAGACCCTGTCTCAAAAAAAAAAAATTAGCCGGGCGTGGTGGTGAAAGCCTGTAATCCCAGCTACTCGGGAGGTTGAGGCAGGAGAATTGCTTGAACCCAGGAGAAGGTTACAGTGAGCCGAGATCACGCCATTGCACTCCAGCCTGGGCAACAAGAGCAAAACTCTGTCTAATAAATAAATAAACAAACAAATAAATAAATAAAAGATGTCCTTATTCTTTTTTTTTTTTTTAGAGATAGGGTCTCACTCTGTCACCCAGGCTGGAGTGTAGTGGTGCAATCATGGCTTACTGCAGCCTCGACCCCTCAGGCTCAAGTGATCCTCCCACTTCCGCCTCCAGAGTAGCTGGAACTACAGGTGCGCACTACCATACCTGGCTAATTTTTGTATTTTTTGTAGAGACGAGGTTTTGCCATGTTGCCCAGGCTAGTCTCGAACTCCTGAGCTCAAGTGATCTGCCCTCCTTGGCCTCCCACAGTGCTGGGATCACAGGCGTGAGGCACCCGGTGCGCTTACATGTTTACTGGCTACCTTTCCTCACTGCAGCATAAGAAACTGCTCACAGCTTATTCTCCGTGCCTGGTAACACTCAGTGCCCCTGGAGAGGTTGGTGGGGACCCATCCAGACGAGAGGCCTTTGCTTACCTGAAGTCTCCGCAGGAAGCGCTCTAGAGCAGGCTTGCCCACAGACCGGATCTTGCTGCGGTCGAGGCGGACCCGGGCATCTGGGCGCCCATCGGAGCCTGTGGTGGGAGTGATGGTAACGAGTCCCTCGCCAGCCTCCAGCAAGACTCTCAGGATCACAAACCGGGCCTGCATATGGGCCTGCCGGAGCAGGGGAAAGACAGCATTTGTAGCCCGTATCAAGTGCTTGGTCCTAGGCTTGGTCCTTGGCTTGGTCCTTGGTCCCAGGCTTGGTCCTTGGTCCCAGTTGCCCATTAACTGGCAACTGTTATTGTCATTCTCCCCAACCCTGCGGGTCCTTTTCTGCTTATTCTCCTCCCCTCAAATGCTTCCTCCTTCCTCTTCTCACAGAGAGGGCAGGCTGCCCTAGGAGACAGGGAGGCCATTTCCAGGCGGGACCTGGTGCCCATGCTCCCCATGTCACCCACTGTGATCCCTGCTGCTCCAGATCCCCTGCTGAGGACAGCAGCTACCCCCTCCAGGGTCCCCAAACACTTTCTCCTCCACAACCTTGTTTGTGCTCAAAAGGGGAACCAAGTAGGCATCATTATCCCCAGTTTACAGATGATAAAACAGAGGCCCAGAGAGGTAAAGGGACTTCCTTAGGGGCACACAGCTAATAACGGAAGAGCCAGGACTCAGACCCACATTTCTGGACCCTGAATGACGTCACATCGCCTCCTCAAACCACACCTATTTGATTTTGTCAAAAAGTTTCTATTGCTGGTGGGATGCGGTGGCTCACACCTGTAATCCCAGCACTTTGGGAGGCCGAGGCGGGCGGATCACAAGGTCAGGAGATCGAGACCATCCTGGCTAACACGGTGAAACCCCATCTCTACTAAAAATACAAAAAATTAGCTGGGCGTGGTGGTGCATGCCTGTAATCCTAGCCACTCGGGAGGCTGAGGCGAGAGAATGGCGTGAACCCAGGAGATGGAGTTTGCAGTGAGCCAAGATGGTGCCACTGCACTCCAGCCTGGGTGACAGAGTGAGACTCTGTCTCAAAAGAAAAAAAAAATACAAAAAATTAGCCGGGTGTGGTGGTGCGCCTATAGTCCCAGCTACTCGGGAGGCTGAGGCAGAATTGCTTGAACCCGGGAGGCGGAGGTTGCAGTGAGCCGAGATCCGGCCACTGCACTCCAGCCTGGTGACAGAGCGAGACTTTGTCTCAAAAAAACAAAAACGAACAAACAAAAAAGTTTCTATTGCTTACCCCATATCCAAAGGACACATAACTGAGCCGTGGCACTGAATGGCCCTGTAGGCACTGTATGGATGCGAATCCTGGCTCTGCCACTTAGTGGCAAGTTGCTTCATCTCCTTGTGCCTCGACTTCCTCATCTCTAAAATGAGGGTAACAATAGCACCTACCTCCTGGGGTAGTTAATTCATGGAGGGCGTTTAGAATTGTGTGTGGCAGAGAGTGCGTCAACTGCGAGGAGTCCTAATAAAGTCACCTCATCTGATTCACCGTGAAATGGTGGCCGGGGAGAGTCCTACTCCCATTTCACAGAGAGGAACTCTGGGGCTCACAAGAGTGATGTGACTTGCCTCCCAAACAGTGGAGTCTAGCATTAAACCCAGTTCATCTGCCTTAAAGGTACAGTGGTCCCATCCTTGCACCCTGATCTTGGCACCCACTGCAGGCTCCCTTCCGCCTCCAGGGGGCTCCACCTAGGCCCTACCTGTCGCCAGTTGAAGGCCTCAGGTGTGTAGAACTCCAGAGCGAGCAGCCCGGCCCGAACCATGTTGAGCCAGTTCACGTAGATCACGTCCTCCGCATCAGCCCCCTCAAAGCCAAAGATCCTGTGAGAGGGGCAGGCAGGTGGCAGGATGGTCAGAGGCTGCCCTGTCCCCATCCCACTGGCCACTACCACCCACCCTCCACGCCCCCAGGGCTGGCCACTGCAGCGGGACAGCCCGCCCCTCGGCCCTGCTGCTCTTACTCCAGCACTTGCGGGTGGAGACAGAGGTAGAGACCCACGCTCTCAGCCCGGCACTCTTCGTAGCTGGAGGCGATGGTGCTGAACTTGCTATCCCAGGTCTCCCCGCTCCGATACCAGCTCTGAATCTGGAAAAGGAGCTCCACTGTCGGGCTTAAGGTGGCCACTGCCCCACCTGTGCCCACCCTCCCAGTACCCTGGGGCTCTGCTGAGGCCTCCCTCACCTGCTCGCCCGTCTCTGGGTTGATCACTGTTTCCTGGTCAAAGTTGAATGCTCCTTTTTCGTCCTGCAGAACACACGGTGGGTGAGGGAAAGGCGCCCCCAACTGGATCCAGGCCTCCAGCCCCAGAATCCACAGGCCGGAAAGTGGCTCAGGAAGGCAAGCGGGAGCGCAGGAGCGGGCGGCGGGAGCAGCAGGTCTGTCCACACACTGACGCCTGCACAGCCCTGAGCCCTGTGACGCTGGCTGCCTCCTCAGAGCCATTGGGAGCCTGAGAACCTGAGCTGCCTACCCCACCACACAGAGAGGAAAACTGAGGACCAGACAGCCGAGGGACTTGCCCCAAGTCCTGTGAGGACCCAGATCTGGTGTCTCCAGACCCCAGTGGGAGATGCCCCAATGGGTAGGCCAGACAGCCCAGCTGTGCCCACCACGGGCTCCTGGCACTGCCAGAGGAGGCCACGGTGTCATTCTCACCCTCCCACTGCATGCCATGCGTCTTTCATGCAGCATCCTTTGAATCCTCACAACCATCTTCCGAGGACAGTGCCACTATCACCCCACTTCACAGATGAGGAAACTGAGGCTCAGAGCCTAAGAGCCCCACACTGGAGTCAGAGCACACAACCTCCGTGGACGCTGTCTCTCAACACTAACACCTGTTTGCTGTCAGGGCTTACTGTGTGTTAGGGCTTACTGTCTTCACCTTTACTCCTCACAACAGCCCACACAGCAGGGGTCAGGAATCTCATTTTACAGATGGGCCAACTGAGGCTCGGTGAAGGTGCTGAATTATCCAAGGCCACACACAGCCTTGATAAAGTCTGGACAAGGCGTTTCGCCAGACTGCTGACCCAGCAGCTGTTCTGCGCATCCTCCTGACCCCAGGGCCCAGTTCCAGCCCTTCCTGATCCAGGGAAGCAGCCCCACACCCCGAGAAGCAGGACCCACCCAGAACCCCGCCCTCGGAGGGGAGGGGCCACACCTCACCCCATTTCTGGTCATCTTCATGCTGGGGGTCCACATCAGCTTTTCAGCCCCCCATAAATGACTGTCTGTGTTTCCATATTCCCTGGGTAGGTATGGAGGGGGCTCCAGCCACTCTGGCCGGCTGGCAAGAAGGGTCTGCTCTGGGGAGAAGTGGCTCCCTACGATACCCGGAAAAGCCCAGGTTCCACGGAACAGCAGCGCAAACAAAGACAGCACTGCTGCCTCAGATGGGAGCACCCAGAGATGCCCCCTGCCCCAAGTGTCTGTCCTGGGGCTGCTGGAGCCACGCCCTAAGCACGCCCTTAGGGTGTGCTTCCTTAGCCTGAGCCAAACAATTCCTCCTGGTGCGGGGAACAGCAGCTGAACTGTCCCGAAGGGCCCTCTACATCCAGGCTCTACATCCAGGCTCTACACCAGGCTCATCCCTGAGCCCCAGATGTACACCCAGGCTCTACATCCAGGCATCTGAGCTCCTGGGACATCTTGAGGGAGGGCAAGACAGGGTCTTCTCTGCCTAAGGGGCCATTTTCCCCACTCAACCCATAGCTCCTGAGGGCAGAGGCTGGAGCAGCTTCACCGCTGGGTAGGGCAGGTTGTGGGGAGTGGAGCTGTAGGCTGGGGTGCCAGGGCTGGCCACTGCCTTCTCACCTGTACGAAGAGCTTGCCACTGCCATGGCCCAGCAGCTCGTGCAGGCCCACCTGCACATCGAAGGAGGGCCCCTTCCAGAGGATGTACAGGTCCTGCCAAGACAAGCAGAGACCCGCGCTGTCCACTGGCCAGCCCTGGCTATACAGCCTGTCGGCCTCCCCTCCCCTGGGCCATGGACCCATCTCAGTGCATGTGCTTGGTAAAGGCCAACTGTGCTCCACCCCACAGCCCATTTCATCCTTGCAACAACCCAGGAGGAAGGGAGGGATGCCTCCCTAGTGTGACCCAAGAGGAAACTGAGGCTCCAAAGTCCACACGGTCACATGGTTGGGAAGTGGCAGAGCCAGGACTGAAGCTATGTGCTTTCCTCTCTACTGCTCTGGGCTGTCTCTCTTCCTGAGTCTGCTGAGGAAGGTGAGGCCCAGCCCCGACCCTCCGACTGCTGGCGCCCACCTTGTCATCCTCCTCCAGAAAGGTAAGCTTCTCCCGCTGCGTGGCGTAGGCCACAGCCAGCACATTCCCCAGCGACACGTTCTTAAAGCCTTCCGTCTGCCTCAGATCATCGTCTGGAGAAGGTGGAGAAGGACCAGAAAGAAGAGGTGAGGGTCAAAGGTAACAGACAAGAGGCACAGAGCAGTTTGTGGAGGGTGTGTGTGTGGACAGGGAGGGGCGACTCTAAAGGAAGGTTTCTGGGGCTCGGGGGCTGGGCCTGAGACACTCACAGTTGGGGATGTTGATGCCGGCAGGGATGCCGGAGCCAGCGAAGGTGAGAACATCCAGGGAGGTGAAGTCAGGGGTGAGGAACTTGTCCTTCTCAAAGGTTGGGGGCCAGGGCAGCTCCTTCAGCAGCTGCTCTGCGCTCGCCACCAGCCGCTCAAACTTGGCACTCATGGCCTTGTTCACCACAGCTACGAAACCTGCAGAGGAGGGAGGGGGTTGTGGCTTGGCAGGGTTCCAGGAGGGCTCCCACTTCACCCTACTCCAGCCATCACGCATGTACTGAATGCCTACTGTATGCAGTCACCCTGGGCTGGAAGATGGGGATAGCAGTGACCCAGGCCTGGGCCCTACTGGGTCAGGACCTGGACAGGAAAGATGCAGCTGCACAAACCCGTCTCTCCCTCAGGCCCCTGGGCCGCCTGCCCCTTCTCCCTGGGCCTGGGTCATCCCTGAGCCCCAACAGGTGTGTGCTCTCCTCCCAGGCTAATCTCTCCAGCTTTAGCAGGCAGATGCTCAGACTCTTCTAAATCCAGGGGCTGGGGAGGATTAGGGCAGTCAGAGAAGTGGCTGAATCCTCAGGCTGGATGCCCTGCCTTGCACAGGTGGGTCCCCTGGGGAAGGGGGTGGGGGCCGCGGCAGCCTGCCACCAGCCTGGGATGACAGCCCCGGGTCAGGTCCACAGTCACAATGTCCATCCTGCTTCCAGCCACTGAGTGCAGCAGTCTGCATCCTAATCACATTGGTGCTCAGAGGTCTGGCTATTTGGCCCAAGATCACACAGCCTAGGAGTGGTAAAGCTGGGCTTGGGAGGCACATGGCTACCTGGAGCCTGTGCCCTGACCAGACACCAGAGGCAGCACAGCAAAATAGCTCAGAGCCAGGGTTCCTGGGCCACCCCCCAACTGTGCCCCAGTGCTCACATCTGCAAAGTGAAGATAAATATCCTCATGGGATGATGGACTCTAAATTAGTTAATATAGCTAAGCTTCTTACAACAGTGCCCAATACATTGTAAACGGTGTTTATTTACCATGGCTGTTCTTACTGTTATGGTTATGGCTGAGCGGGGGTGGGGAGAACCATCAGGGGACACTGGAAACGTGGACTTGGATGTGGGGGAAGGGACTGTGACTGACCTCCTCCCTGAGGAAGTTACCTTCAAATTCTCCTCGGGAACCAAAGGGGTCGCGGTAGCTCTCGATGAACCCGATGTAACTGGGGGAGAGAAGGGCAGAGGTGGAGGAGGGGCAGGCAGGAGGGGGCAGGTGGGGTGGAGCTGGCGCCTCACCTCTCCACGATGGGGCCTTTGTCCTGGATCCAGAAGCGGGAGCCCCTCTTGTGGGCCTCGATGGAGCCCTGGGTGAAGCTCTCTATATACTGGGCCAGCATCTGCCCCTGGTGGCTGTTGGCTGCATAGGCCTGAGGTGAGCGGGGGTCGGTCAGCCTCGGGCCACCCACCCACCTCCACACCCGCTCTGCTGCCCAGAGGGGTCCTCAGCCCGCACCCCTCAGCCCCCAGCCAGTCCAACCTTGGCTTTCTCCAGCTGCTCCACCACCTTCTGGAGGATGGGCGCGTAGTCCCCCCGGGTCACCTGGAAAGGGCTTCCCCGGAATTCATAGCTCTTCAGCTTGGAAGTCACCTCAGAGTCCAGGGAAGGCTCTGGGGAAAGAAGGTGTCATTCAAGAGAAAAGGCTGGAGTAAGAGGCCTCACTCAGAGAAAAGGCCTGAGTAAGACACCTCAGCCGGCTTTTCCCCATAGCACTCTTTCACTCTAAGATTTTCAATGGCTCCCTGTAGCCAACAGACATGAGCATAAACTCTCAACTTCAAAAAAATATATATCAGCCGGGCATGGTGGCTTACGCCTGTAATCCCAGCACTTTGGGAGGCTGAGACGGGCAGATCGCCTGAGGTCTGAAGTTCGTGACCAGTCTGGCCAACATGGTGAAACCCTGTCTCTACTCAAAATACAAAATTAGCTGGGCATGGTGGTAGGTGCCTGTCATGCCAGCTACTCGGGAGGCTGAGGCAAGAGAATCGCTTGAACCCGGGAGACAGTGGTTGCAGTGAGCTGAGATCGTGCTGCTGCACTCCAGCCTGGGCAACAGAGAAGAGACTCCATCTCAAAAAAAAAAAAAACAAAACAAAAAAAACAAAACAAAACCCCAAAACTAAAAAACAAAAATATATGTATCACATAACATGTGCTTTCCGTGTGTTAACTCCTTTAAGCCTGACTCCAACTCTGGGAGGAGGCGGACATTATCATTTCCATTTCACCGATGGGAAACTAAGGCACCGAGAGCTTAAGTGGATAGCAAGTGGCAGACTGGATTTAAAAAGACAGCCACATCCCAAATGTAATCGACAGTCCCATGGGGAGACAAGAGGGTGACTGGGAGGAGGAGCTGTGACGATAGCAGAGGGGAGCTGGAGTGAAGTTGGGGGGCTGGACAGCCTTCCAGAAGCTGGAAAAGGCAAGGAAGCAGGTTCTTCCTGAGACTCCAGAAGGAATGCGGCCCAGCCTTGCTTTTAGACTCTGGACCTCCACAACTGTAATAGAATAAGTTTGTGTTGTTTTGTGCCAGTAAATTTGTGGTAATTTGTTACAGAAGCAATGGGATGCTTACACACTACTGTATTTTCCTTGTTGTCTCTGATCAATAAAATATACTTCAAGGCTATGTAAAAACAAACAAACAAGCAAAAATAGCCACAGTATTTCCTGTCTTACTGCCTTTTTTTTTTTTTTTTTTTTTTTTTTTTAGATAGGATCTTGTAAGGTTGCCCAGTTGATCTCAGACTCCTGGGCTCAAGCGATCCTCCTGGCTCAGCCTCCTGAGTAGCTGGGATTACAGGTGTGAGCCATCATATCCAGCTCAACTGTGACTTTGCCCATGGAGATGTGGGATCTGTGTTCCCTCCTCCTGAAGCCAGGAAGGCTGTGACTTCAGCAGCAGGGACACCATGTGCTTAGGCCAGGTCACACAAGGTGAGCAGGCTTCTGCCTGGCTCTCCTGGGATGCTCACTCTTGGAGCCCAGCTACCACGAACAATAGGAGGGTGCCACATGAGGTATTTTAGTCAACAGCCCAGCTGGGTTCCAGCCGGCAGCCAGCACCTGCGTGTGAGTCAACAAGCCTGGGGATGCTTGCGGCCCCAAGCTGTCGTCTTCCCAGCTGAGGCCCCAGACATGGTCACCCAGCGACCGGCTGTTCCTACTGTGCTCCACCTGCATTCCTGACCCAGAGTCCATGAGCATGAAAAGGTGGTTTTGTATCACTAAATTTGCGGAGCATTTGTTCCACAGCAATAGATTATGACCCACTCGGGCAGTCCGGCTCCAGGGCCACATTCAACCACTGCCCGAAACTGCATCTTGTACTCTAAGTATAGGCCCAGCTTATGTTCCAGTGAGATCCACTCCTGTTCCTCTGAACCCACATCTGCCATCATCTCCCCAGTGGATGCTCGGATCCACCAAGCGCTAGGCACCAGGGAGACAACAGTGGATGAAACACACAGGCCCTCCTCTCGGGGAGCTTGTAGTCAGGGAAGCTACTGAATGTGCCGATGGGAAGAAAGAAGGGCACAGACTCAGTTATGGGAAGATAGGGAAAGGTCCTGGGGAAGGCAAGTCCATGCATGGCCTAGAGGATGGGGAGGAGGTGGCCAGGGGACAAGGAGAGGCTGGAGGGGGTTCCGCATGAGAAGCAGGGAATGGATTGTGCAAAGACCTGGACAGGGGCCAGGCGCGGTGGCTCACGCCTATAATCCAGCACACTGGGAGGCCGAGAGGCACGCGGATCACCTGAGGTCAGGAGTTCAGGACCAGCCTGGCCAAATGGCGAAATCTCATCTCTACTAAAAATACAAAAATTAGCCAGGTATGGTGATGGGCACCTGCAATCCCAGCTACTGGGGAGGCTGAGGCAGGAGAATTGCTTGAACCCGGGAGGCAGAGGTTGCGGTGAACCAAGGTCGCACCACTGCACTCTAGCCTGGGCACTCCAGCCTGGGCGATACAGCAAGACTCTGTCTCAAAAAACAAAAACAAAAAGACCTAGAGAGGGTCCATCAGAACTGGATGCTGTTGAGCATGGCCAGAGCACAGAGTCTGAGTGGGAGGATGTGGAGATGAAGCAGGGGCTGGGGTGCGAGTGGGGAACAAAGAGCCAGGTGGCAAAGGTCTTCATAAAGGCCTGGACACTTCTGTCCATACTATTTCCTCTCTCCTGGGAATGGACCCCAATTTCCCCTTGAGAATACCACCCCAGGCCCCACTACTACTACCCCAAGTGCAGGTGGTTTGGGAAGGGCCAGCCTCTTTTTTTTTTTTTTTTTTTCCTTGATCTGGAGCTTCGCTCTGTCACCCAGGTTGGAGTGCAGTGGTAAGATCTCGGCTCACTGCAACCTCTCCCTTCCAGGTTTAAGCGATTCTCCTGCCTCAGTCTCCCAAGTAGCTGGAATTACAGGCACACGCCACCACGCCCGGCTAATTTCTGTATTTTTAGTAGAGATGGGGTTTCACCATGTTGGCCAGGCTGGTCTCGAACTCCTGACCTTAGGTGATTCGCCCACCTTTGCCTCCCAAAGTGCTGGGATTACAGGTGTGAGCTGCCATGCCCGGCCTGAAGGGCCAACCTCATCGCCTGACTCCAGGGTAGGCTTGAGACCAGGTTGAGCCAATCAGAGACCTGTCCCTTGCCAGCCCTCAGGGATTGGTTCACAGACAAATAGGGGACTGATTTAGAGAAACTAGAGCCATTCCCAGGACTTATGTAGAAAATCCTGGGAGAGAAGGATGCTCTTTCTGAAGGAGTGGCAGAGTTGGTAGGACCTGAGCCACCCAGGTCCGGAAATGCCCAGGAGGGAGCAGAAGGGAAGCCTGGGGCTAAGCTCACCTGAGCCAAGCACAGAAGCCAGCCGCACCTCGTAGTAGGGCTTCCCTTCTCCATCGACCTCTTTGAAGAGCCGGGTGTTGTAGGCACTGAGGTTCTAGAAGAGACCAGGACAGGGGTTAAGAGTGAAGTCTGGAGAGGGCAGTGGGGTGGGAGGAAGGAAAATGGGTCAACCCTAGGGGAGAAGGCATGGAGGCAAAGCAGGCTGGGCCTTCTGGGTTGGCTGGGAGCAGGAGTGGGAGAGAGTGGGAGTGGGCAGCCCAGGGCCGACTCTCCTGCTCTGCTCAGGACACTGTGCACTTCTACTAAGCACTGACTGCAACCACTGTGCCAGGCACTGCACGGCCTCTGCGAACCCAGGGCTACTGGAGGTGGGTACCACTTCACAGACATGGAAACTGATCACATGGCTGGTGAGTGGCTGAGCTGGGAGCACCACTGACACATGGACCCCGGAGCCTCACACCCCTGTGGCCTGAGGTCCTGGTTCCTCGCCCTGCCCTGAGGCTGTCATTAGGCTCTATAGCCTGGGGTGGGCAGGGGTCGCGCCTTCCCTAGTACACAGGGAGTAGTCAAGCAGAGACCCAGGAGTGGTCACCAGTTGTGAGGGGGCTGGGACTAGGAACCCCACCAAACCTCTGCTACCTTGAGCTCCCCTAACCCCAAACCTGTGAGTCCAGAAAGTCCTGGGCCAATTTGGCATCTTCCATGGTACAATTCCCAGAGAAATAGGTGGTGATTCCCTGTTGGGGAAGACAGGGGACATGAGAAAGAGGAGTTGCCAAGGTCAGGGCTGCAGGGACGTCATATTCCCAGGCTTCCCGCCCCTCCCTCCTTTCAGCAGCCTCTACCCCTTACCCCTCCATCTACCTCCAGGGGAAAAAGTTATAAAACAAACAAACATGCTCATCTCCAGTGTTGCTGCAGCTCTGCCCAGGCCTCTCTCTGGCTGGCCCACCCCTAAGGCTTGCCAAGGTCCTCATCCCATGCAACGGATGTGGCCTCCAGAGGTGGGAAACCTGGGACCCCCCTCCTTCCCTGCCATCCCCTCCTCAGCTCCCTCCACCTCCAGCCTTCCTCTCCTTCCCTCCATCAGCACATGGCATCCTGTGTACAGAATGTCAGATCTGGGAGGGCATTCAGAAAGCATTCGACCCAACATGCTTACCATTCTACAGATGACAAAACTGAGGCCTGCAGTGGGGAGCAGCATTGCCTCAGGAGTGTGAGGCAGAGCCCACTGCCTCCCCATCCCGTGTCCTTCCCTCCTTACCAGGTGGCCTTGAAGGATTCCCTCCACTCCCTGTCCCCTCGGGGGAGTCAGGGGCCTCACCTCCTTCCCCAGTCCGAGGTGTCGAAGCCTTGGCTCCAGAGAGAACATAAGCTCCCCGCAGGTCTGCCAGAGGCCCCTGACTTCTTCTGGGTGCTGCTGAGCAGCCTCACTCCCTAGGATCACCCGTTCCAGCTTTTCCTGCAAGGAAAGGGAGGCCAATGGCCCAGTCACACCACCCAAACCTGCCTTCCAGAGCCTCCCTACCCACTCCCAAGCTCTTCTCCTATGATCTAAGAGCTCTGGCTCATTGTGTGGTCCATGGACCAGCAGCACTTGTAGGTCCTGAGAAATGTCAAGCGTCCATGTGTGGTGGCTCACACCTATAATCCCAGCACTTTGGGAGGCAGAGGAGGGAGAGATGCTTGAGGCCAGGAGTTCAAGACAAGCCTGGGCAACACAGAGAGACCCCATCTCTACAAAGAATAAAAAAAATTAGGCCAGACGCAGTGGCTCATGCCTGTAATCCTAGCATTTGGGGAGGCCAAAGCATGAGGATTGCTTGAGCCCAGGAGTTCAAGACCAGCTTGGGTAACACAGTGGGATTCTGTCTCTACAAAAAATTTTTAAAAATTAGCCAGGTGTCATGGTGACAGGCATCTGTGGTACCAGCTACTCTGGAAGCTGAGGAGGATCACCTGAGCCTAGGAAGTTGAGGTTGCAGTGAGCTGTGTCCGTGCCACTACCCTCCAGCCTGAGTGACAGAGTGAGACCCTATCTCAAAAAAAGAAAAGAAAAGAAAAGAAAAGAAAAGAAAAGAAAAGAAAATTTAGCTGGTGTGGTGCTGCATACCCATATTCCCAACTACTTGGGAGGCTAAGCCAGGAGGATCACTTGAGTCCAGGAGGTTGATGCTGAAGTGAGTCATGATCACACCACTACACTTCAGCTTGGGTGACAGAGCAAGACCCTGTCTCAAAGAAAAAATGTCAAATCTTGGGTCCACCACAGACCTGCTGAATCAGATGCTGCATGTCAGCATGACTGCCAGGTGACTTGTGTGCATATTGAAGTCCCGGCTCTTATACCTGCTATAAGAACCACCTCTGCCCGAGATAGGCTCAAGTCTCATAACCCTGGGAGGGATGCCCCCGGCCCAGCACTTCCCACTGTTCCTGGTGATGACCAACAAGCTCCATTTTTGAGAGCACCTAAAAGTTCACAGAACACTTCCACATCTCGCCCTTGTTCAGCCTGCGGATCAGCAGTCAGGGCGAGTGGTGCTTTTCCTTTATACACGAAGAGGCCGCAGCACCCAGTGAGGCTGGTGACACCCACAGTCATGCAGGGTGGAAGCGACAGGGTCCATGCTCTGCTCAGGGCTTCTGACACTCCAGTTGGGGCTCCTTCTACTGCATTTTCCATCTCTACCCCACCAGCCCCCCATCCCCACCTTCCCCAACCCTCCCTTGGCTCACCTTGGGCAAGTTGGGAACAAACTTGGTGTCACCAAAGGACTTGTAGTTGCCCATGTTGGAGTAAACACCCGCGGCATAGACCAGGAACGCCTGAGGGGGAGGCAGGCATCAGAGACCCAGGAAGCACAGCCTCCCTGACCCCAGCGACACCTCCTCCTGAGATGCGAATGCCCCAGCAGAGCCAGTGTGGGTGAGGCTGGGAAATGTGTGGGCAGGACCTAGGTCCTGGGAAGCCCCAGTCTGGCCCACACTCACTTCCACAGACCCATTTTCACACCCCCGTTGTCTGGCCTAACTGATCTTCTGGGCAGTTCCCAAACACACCCAAGCATTCGTCTGCCTTTTCCCTCCCCACCCCAGCACCCTCTCAGCCACCTGAAGCTACTGTGTCCTTTAAGGCCCAGTTCCAGCAGCACCTCCCTCTTTCTCCAGAGCCTGTCCTCAGCCTCTGACCTGTCAGGCAGCTGGCCTTGGAAGCATCACATGTTAGAGCCGGAGAGGCCTTAATCATCTGTCTATTCTATGGCTTCTGCTGGCCCCAGATCTTCCTCTGGTAACAAGACCTCAATCCTCCTTTTGTGGGTGGGAGGGTGGGGTGGGGGATCTCCCTTCCCCCAGCTCCAGGGGTGGGCATGTAACCTGGCTCAGTCAGTCTGAGAAACCACCATCCTTGGCTACAGGATGGACACAAGGCTCAAGCTGGCATAAGAGAGCTACCCAGGACATTTCCCATTGGCAAAGAGCCTCTGTACACCAGGGATCATCAGGCCTGGAACTCCTGGAGCTCCCCTCCAGGAGTAAGAAAAGCAAGCAAGCTGAGAGACGAAGACTGCATCCCAGTGGTAGCACTGAGTCCGAGTCCAGCCATGCCTGAAACTTCCTCTAGACCTGGACTTTTCAAGCATGTGACCCAACAATTCTCCTTTTCATGTAAGCCAATTTGAGCTGGGTTTCTGCCACTTGCAAACATATGAATTCCCCTAAATGGCCAGGCGTGGTGGCTCACACCTGTAATCCCAAGCACTCTGGGAGGCCGAGGCGGGCAGATCACGAGGTCAGGAGATTGAGACCATCCTGGCCAACATGGTGAAACCCCATCTCTACTAAAAATACAGAAATTAGCTGGGCGTGGTGGTGCATGCCTGTAATACCAGCTACTCAGGAGGCTGAGGCAGGAGAATCGCTTGAACCAGGGAGTTGGAGGTTGCAGTGAGCTGAGATTGTGCCACTGCACTCCGGCCTGGTGACAGAGCGAGACTCCGTCCCCCACAAAAAAAAAAAAGAATTTCCCTGAAAATAATAACGCTTGGGTTGCACCTTTCTGTTTATAAACATTTCCACGGATATTAGCTCTTTTAATGAGTAAGCCAAGGCCTCAAGATGGGAAGTGAATGCCCAAAGTTCAAAAGAGGTAGAATAAACAGTACATCAGCTCAGAGAGAAACAATCCAATCCCTTTATTTCACATATAGAAAAACAGGCCATATTCTTGTACATTCTTGGTGGGAATATAATGCAGTGAAGCTTTTTTAGAAGATGATTTAACAGAATCAGTCAATTGTAAATGTACAGAGCCTTTGACCCAGCAGTTCTTCTAGAAATAGATCCTCCTCACATGTGTGCACAAGTATGCTCACCATGGCACTGTTTGTAAGAAAAACGGGACAAGCTAAATGTCCAGTAATGAAGATTAAATTGATTATAGTGTACACTGCTGTGGAATGCTTTACAGTCAATAAAAAAGAATGAGGTACATTTAAATGTACCCCATTCTCCAAGTTCTTCAAGACATGGCATTCAATGGAAAAAGCAGGACACAAAGCAGGAAAAGAACATTATCTCATTTCTATAAAAAAGAAAATAAGGAACTGATTCACCATGCATATACACATAAATGTATGTAATACACAGATGGGATTGAAAAGGCTGTAACCAAGGCTGGGCACGATGGTTCACGCCTGTAATCCCAGCACTTTGGGAGGCTAAGGCAAGTGGATCACTTGAGGCCAGGAGTTCAAGACCAGACTGGGCAACATGGTGAAAACCCACCTGTACTAAAAATACAAAAATTAGCCCGGTGTGGTGGCACATACCTGTAGTTCCAGCTACTTGGGAGGCTGAGGCATGAGAAGTGCTTGAACCTGGGAGGTGGAGGTTTGCAGTGGGCCAACATTACGCCACTGCACTCCAGCCTGGGTGACAGAATGAGACTCTGTCACAAAAAAAAAATAAAAAATAAAAAAGAGAGAGAAAGAAAAGGCTGTATCAGCCTCAGTGGGTTACCTCTGAGGAGGGCACTGAGAATGAGTGATCTTTGTGTTTTCTTTTGTGTCTTTCTGCATTGCTGCAATGCACTAAGAATTTGTGTATTACTTGGCCAATACATCCAAAAACAAAAACCAAGGGACAGGCAGAACATTCTGCCCAGGGCCACACAGTGTGGTAGAGAAGAACTGGTCCTGAACTCAGACCTCCTGATACCTACTCTGGACTCCTTCTTCTGCCTTCCCTGAATCTCCACCACAGTTTCTTTTGTTATAATCACAGCAGCCATCATTTATCTTGAAGTCAGGCACTGTTCTAAGTGGGTCATCACAACACTAAGAGGTACAGACATCCCACATGCATATTTTACGGGTGAGAAGACTGAGGCTCCAGAGAGGGGAAGTGCCTGAATTTGTAACCTTTGGTCTAATCCTCCACCTACCCCTTGAAAGAGACAGACATTTGCATCCTGGTCTTTCACACCCAGAAGCCACTCAGGTAATGTGGGTTGGCCCAAGAGAACTGACCTGATACTCCTCCTCGGTAAGGCCTTCAGCCAGGGCATGTTGGCGCAGCTGGTCGGGGTCCTGGGCGCGGAAGAGGCGGCTGAGCAGAGCATAGATGTAGGGGGCCTCAGGGGAGGTCTGAAGCAGCACAGCCAGGCCTCCGTACCAGGCGGCACGGGACAGGTGGTAGGCATAGAGGCGCTCTGTGGGTGACAGCAGGCGGAAGGCCTCACGGCAGTCCAGGCTAGACACGCCGATGTCATTGGGCAGGATGTACTGGGTGTCCGCCATGGGCCCTGCTGAGAACCATCACTGTCATCACAGCTGTTGTTTACCCCATACCAATTGCATACCTGGCTCTGAACTCTTATGATCTCATTTAATCCTCCCAAAAGCCCATGTGGAAGGGAATACTATTGTACCCATTCACCAGATATGCTAACTGAGGCTTAGAGAAGGTGAGATGACTCACCCAAGGGGTCACAAAATACACTGGTGGACCATATTTGGTCTGTAGTCCCTAAACCTTAAAGATTGACTCTAAGGTCAGGCATGGTGGCTCACACCTGTAATCCCAGCACTTTGGGAGGCCGAGGTGTGTGGATCACCTGAGGTCAAGAGTTCAAGACCAGCCTGACCAACATGGTGAAACCTCCTTTCTACTAAAAATACAAAAATTAGCCAGGCTTGGTGCCAGGCACCTGTAATCTCAGCTACTGGGAAGGCTGAGGCAGGAGAATCACTTGAACCCAGGAGGTGGAGGCTGCAGTGAGCTGAGACCGCACCATTGCACTCCAGCCTGGGCAACAGAGTGAGACTCCACCTCAAAAAAAAAAAAATTGATTGACTCTAACTACCTAGTATTACAGATGGGGAAACTGAGGTTCAGAGAGGCTAAGAGCCTTGCCTAATCCCACAATGGAGACATCAGCAGCAGAGATCCTCATCTCTAGGCTCCCAGCCCAGGCCCCTCCCTGCTTCCTTGTTCAGTATTATTTTTTTAAGACGGAGTCTCACTTAGTTGCCCAGGCTGGAGTGCAGTGGCATGATCTTGACTCACTGCAACCTCCGCCTCCCGGGTTCAAGCGATTCTCCTGCCTCAGCCTCCAAAGTAGTTGGGACTACAGGCGTGCATCACCATGCCCAGCTAATTTTTTGTATTTTTGATAGAGACGGGGTCTCGCTATTTTGTCCAGGCTGGTCTCGAACTCCTGGCCTCAAGCGATCTGCTTGCCTTGGCCTCCCAAAGTGCTGGGATTACAGGCGTGAGCCACCGCGCCTGGCCTTTGTTCAGAATTCTTTACACTTTCCACTGTGCTCACAAGGATAAAGTGCCAGGCCGCCAGCTGGAAGGCTCAGCCTTTAGCCAGGACTCGGCCCCAGACTCCTAAAAGTCAAGTCCATTGCTTCACTTTTCTGTACCTCCGTTTCCTCCTCTATAAAAGAGAGAATAACCCCAATATTACCAGGTGGGTGCGCTAATCAGATGAAGTCGCCCTGGACGGAAAGTATCCACAGCAATAAATGATTTTGCTTGAAACTGTCCCATTCTCATCCCTCTAAATGCCTTTTCCTTGGCCCTCCATTCTCCTGCTCGCTCCCTGTGCTCCACCAGGGAAGCCACAGAAGTTCACAACCAGAAGAAAGCCCATTTTACAGATAGGGAAACTGAGGCTTGGAAAGGGCAACAATTTACTGAAGGTCTGACAGCCCCGTTGGAACCCGGGGATTCCCCAACCCGGGGCATTCTCCCCGCCACGCCCCGTCCCGGCTGGGACAGAGTGTCCAGCCTCCTCGCCCTGCCCCGGCCTCCAGAAGCCCCGCCCCAATAGCACAGCCTCGAGGTTCGGAAAGGGCTGTTAACTCTTTGCTCCCCGGAGCACTCCTTGGCCTCGAGGGCGGGGTGAATTTGGAGGGGGTACTGGAGAGTGGGCAGAAAGGGAACGATTTTGCGCTCAGTATGGATTCGCCTTGGTCCCCCGGGATGACACGCTTTGACCCCAAAAGCCCAGGCGCCGCGCCTCACCTGCAGCAGCTGCTCCGTTCGCAAACTCACTTCCTGCTTCCGGCTCCCCCATTCATTGGGGCTCTGCGAACCCCGCCCCCCTTGGCCAACTGCCTGGCCTCGGGGTCCGGATGGGCGTCAGTACCAGCCAATAGACGCGCCAAGACGAGCTTCTCGGCTCGCCCGCTCCCGCCCCCAGGCGCTACGGGGTGGCGCGCGGATTGGCCCTGCGGGCTCGGCCTTTTGTCAGCAGGCCGCACACGCGCCGGACCGGGTACCGCTGTGCCCGGCCTGGCCGCGGCCTAGTCCCGGCAGACGGGACTGACGAGGTCACCAAGCCCAGGCCGAGACGGCGCGGGTGTCAGGGACTTGGGAATCCCCCTCCCCCAGTCCCGATCCCGCTTTCCTTTGGGGTTTCACCTCAGAGGACCCGACAGCACTCTTGCAGGTGGGAACCTACACAATAGGAGTAATGTGGCTCCACCTTCCTCTCGGGACTCGGGACCTGGGGGTGGAGACTTGGAAGTTGCAAAGCTCTCGGTGCCGGGAATCGGGGCTACGGTTGAGTGGGATCGGGCCAGGGCTGAGGTGGTCCCACCCGTGTAGGGGCGCGGAGAAACGCCTCGACTGCTTCACTGTACCACCACCCACCCGCCACGGGCCTGGAAGGAGCCGCTAAACATTCCCGAGCCTCAGTTTCCTTAGCACAAACAGGCTGGTAGTTTCCTGGTGCTTGCCAGATGCCTGATGGATGAGAAAGCCTCCTGCGGCCCCGAAAGGGAGTCCAGAGCAGAGGCGGGCCCGCGGTCCACTTTTACAGGTCTGGACGGACTCACGGGACCACGGTCTGGGTGGGGCATGCGGAAGGGCCTAGGCCAAATGGGGAGTAGTGGTGAGGGCCCAGGGTCAGACTGGGGGGTGGAGTGAGGTTGTCTGGGAGTCTTGGCTTTATGAACCGGAAAACCAGGCTAATAATTGAATCCAATCCAAGGGATATTGTAAGTTGTGATGTGTTGACTGCAGTGCCGCTCCCTATAGTTGCGCAGGGTGAGGGGCGTTTGGGTACTGAAATCCCGCACGGTCTCCTTGCTACGCCCGTGTCTAGGCCAGACAGCCTCTGCTTACCATAGACACCAGTTTCTCATCCACAAAGGTGCCCAAGGCCCTGCTTGACACAACAGTGTTACAAGCTGTTAGCTTTGATGATTACTTGTTATATGGGGGAGTTCAACAAGTTGGTCGGTGTCCTTAGGAAAGTCACCCCTCTTCTTTCCTGTGCCTCCGTTTTCATTGTCTTTAAAATGGGTATAAAGTTGGCTGACAGGTGAAGTTGAAATGTGCACAGGTAAGGGAGGTAGTGCTGCCCACTGCCAGCAGGGGGCAGCTCAGGCAAGGAAAAGACCCCAGTGCTCTCAGGACCCCCCAACCAGCTACGTGATCACATTTTTATGATCACAGATAAGATGAGCATATACTGAGGTCCCTTGCTAGCAGTTTGGCATGGAGGACCTCATTTAATTCTTGCAAAAATCCTGAGGTATGATCACTTTACCCATTGTACAGATAGGGAAACTGAGGCTAAGAGGTTCGCCGACTCCTATAACACCACACAGTTCAGATATCCCTGGCCCCAACATAGAGATACACACACACAGTCACTCACATGGAGCAGTCTATCACTGGAGTCATAACTCCCCAGCCTTGGCTCTTCCCCATGGGAATGCAAAAGGGGTCGGTGAGGAGCAACAGTTACGAATCAACTGTGTTACAGGTGCTCTCTGTATATTCACAACCACCTGGCGAGGTAGTGACTGTTATCCCCTTTAGCACTGAGGAAACTGAGGCTCTAACAGCTGGCAAAGGCAGAGCTGGGACAAGACCAGGGCTCTGACCTCCTCCACCAATACCTCTGAATCCTCCCCAGCATCTACTGTGGTGCCCTTTGCTGGTCTTTCCTCCTAGGGTCTGAGGTTCCCCACTGGAAATGGGATCAGAATGTTCCCCTGCCTGGTTCCCAACAGGGTCAGAAGAGAGAACTTGGAAGAGTTGGATTTTGAGTGCTTTGTGTGTTGTGTGTATGTTGAGGGGAGAGAAGTTGGAATGCTCCCACACCTCCTGCAGCATCCCCACCCTCCCCTTCACCCCCACTGCAGCAGTGCCATGCTCTGGAAGCAAGAATCTGATCACACCCTCCTCCTTCTCTCATCACATTCGGGTGCCCTCTGTCTTCTCAATAACCCAGGTCTGATCTCCCTGGCCGCAACCAGCTGTGTGGCCTTGGTCAGGTCCATCCCTCCCCTTGGAATCTGTACTTCCCTAGGCTCTGTCATCTATTGGGGACGATGCCCAGGTCAGGCCTATACTCAGAGCCTTCTTCTCTTCATCTCCAGAACAGCCGTCTGCCTGTCTTCCTGGCTCGCTCCCTGCAGGAATGGTCTGGGGCAACCCCAGCAACACGCCCACCTGTGGCCAGGATGAATAGGAATCCAGTTCAGGCTTGGCTTCCATGGCAATCAAGGCCCACCAGGCCCCAGCAACCTTCCCTACCCCCCATTCCTTTTTGCTGCCCCCCTCCACACCAGGCATGTTCCCTGCCACACCATGCTGTTCCCCTCACCTGGGCTGCCCTCCCAACTCCTCTCTGCCTCTGGAGATGCTCTGCCATTCAAGACTTGGCTCAGGCTCCAGGTCCTCCCTGGGCCTTCTAGAGCCCCTGGTTCTCACTCCTCTGAACACTTCCAGCCTGGCTAATAGCCCACTGCATCCTGGCCTGGGGTACAGGTGGCCAGCACAGGTGTGGGGGCCAGCTTCCAACACAAGCACGGGTAGGTCCCTCTGCAGACCATGGGCTGCAAGAGGCCCGGCCTTGCCCACTGCAGGGGCCCTGCGCAGGGCTGGGCACGAAGCAGGTGGGTGTCCACCAATCTAGTATCCAAAACCCTGCTTGGTTCACCCCCACCTCTGTTGAAGGAAAGCAACACTGTGATGGAGAGGAGCAGCTGTGGATTCAAATCCTGGCTTGGCCACTTTCTAGTTGTGTGACTTGGTGCATCTGCCCTCATCTCCTCAGAGACAAAAATGGCAACACCTCCCTTCTTGGGTTACTATGAGGATTAAATAACAAAACCTCCAAGAAGCAGAGCCCGGTGTCTGGAGAGTGCTCAATGGACGTAGTTATTATTATCATCATCAGCACAGTGCGGGGCACATGGTGGGCATTCAGGGATGATGGCCCTTGTGTCACAGCCGACACTCTTGACCAGTGAGTCCTCTCTCCTCCCTTTGTTGACTCCTGACCGTCCACAAATGAGGTTCAGAATCCTCCATCCAGCATCTTCCCTGGTCACATGGTCCCAACCTTTTGCTCCACCCCCTTCTCTGTTCCCCCCGCAGTCCATGCTCCAGCCATCCTGACTCTGTCCCTGGATTTCTGGCTTACTGACACCTGAGCCTGTGCACAGGCCCTCCCTTCTGTATAGAGCACGCTTCCCATCTTGTGGACTTGCTTCCCATCTTGTGGACTCGGAGGGTTCCGAGCAGCCGTTGAGGCTGAGCTCCTATGACACCTCCTCCGTGAAGCCTCCCTCACTTTTCCATTACCAGTGAGGCCTGCCACAGCCTGATTTGTACTCTGATCCTGGCACGCATGAAGCCGTGTTGCCATTTGTTAACAGTCTGTCCTCCACTAGACTGTGAACTCCACCAGGGGGGGAACCAGGTCTGATTGCCTCTGTGTCCCCAGATACCACTTAGCACAGAGTCGAGCCCATAGTGGCTATCAGCAAGTGCTAGGCCCAGCCTGCCACCCACCCACCACTCACTTGGGGGCTGGAGGCATTGCACGCATGCGGGGCATGTGGGACTTGTGGGGGCAGCTGAGCAGCGAGGTTTATAGAGGAACCCAGGGCGGCAGCAGGAAGGATGAAGGATGAGTGTCTGAAACTGGGTTGGCAGGCTCAGGGCATAGCCAGCCTAAGCTGGGGGTCAAAGGCCCCTGGCCCCTTCACTCCCCCAGGGGCACACAGTGTCGGCGGCACGATGTGGGATGCCCCAGGAAGGGCAAGGCCATGGGGCTGGGCTTTCCTCCATCGACCCAGGACAGAGCTGGTGCTGAAGGCCCCATCAGCATGACTGGGGTGGAGATCTTGGGGACCTCCTTGGGGGGCCACAGTTGGGGGGAAGGGCACAGCCCATCCAACATGTCCATCTGGTGTGGCTGTGCCAGCAGGGAGTGTCCCACATGCAGAGCTCCCTCTGGGCTGCAGGAGGTGGGGACCTGGGTGGGCAGGTGGGCACAGCAGCAGGGGGCCCCAGGGAGCCTAATCCAGCGGGCCCTGGAAAATGAGGCGGACGCAGCCATGCTCGCCGGTAAGCCAGGCCCCGCAAAAGGGGCAGGCGGCATGGAAAGCATGGGTGCCGTGGGGCAGTGGTGTCTGGGCCCAGTAGCGGGCAGTCTTCTCAGAGCAGACGTGGCCGCAAGGTGCAAAGGCATGGCTAGGCGGCCCAGGGTCCAGGCAGAGGCCGGCCTCCTGGCCAAGCCATAGAGGCACATAAGGCCCCACAAGGCGGCAGAGAGGACATTCGCGCTCCTGGGGGCCCCGCTCCCGCCGGCAGCCCCAGCCGTGGTAGCCATGGACGTGCCCGCAGCGGACGTAGACCCAGGGCTGCTGTTTGTCGGGCGCTGTGCGGCCACGGGCTGGGCTGGGGAAGGCCAGAGTGCTGAGGCCCACGGGGCACTGGGGCCGCGCTGCATTTGCCTCCTGCCGCTGGGCCTCCAGTTGCTTCAGTGTGGGAGCCCGCAGCAGCCCCGCCGGTGTGCGCCACAGCAGTGTGGCCCCACACAGGTCGATGAGAGAGCCGTCCTGCAGCACGTTGGACTCGTTTTCCACCTGCCAGAGGCAGTAGAAGGGCCTTACTGCCCAAGAGGCCCCTGCTGAGCCGCGGGTCCATCCCACAGAGCCTCCCTGGAGAGGACACCCTGGCGGGCAGGGCAGGCAGGGCAGAGGAGCAAGGCAGGCTAGGAGGCCAAGTGGGCAGGCAGGTGCATCCCAGGCACATGCTGATCCCCCCTCCCAACGGGGCATGGGCCTTGGTTTCCCCATCTGTCTAATCAGGAAGTCTGACCCAGACAGGGTTTTTCTAAAATAAGATGTTTTCTGAAGTGCCCTCCTCCTGACAGAGGCAGGAAAGGCCTCTAATGAGGAATGCTGGGTACTTAGCTCAAAGCTAACGGGGAATGCTGGGTACTTAGCCCAAAGCAGCTGTCCCAGTAGTTACAGTTAAAAGCAAAAACTCAGGAGCTAGGCTGCCCAGGCTGAATTCTGGCCTCACCGTTGACTAACTGTGTCCCTTGTCGAGTAACTTAACCTCTCTCCATCTCAGTTTCCTCATCCTCAAGATGGACTGCACCTTCTGGCATCTCAAGTGGTTCTTGTGAAGATTAAATGAATCCATCAGGCCGGGTGCGGTGGCTCACGCCTGTAATCCCAGCACTTTGGGAGGCCGAGACGAGCGCATCACCTGAGGTCAGGAGTTCCAGACCAGCCTGGCCAACAAGGTGAAACCCCATCTCTACTAAAAATACAAAAAGTTAGCCAGGTGTGGTGGCTCATGCTTGTAGTCCCAGCTACGTGGGAGGCTGAGGCAGGCGAATCACTTGAACCCAGGAGGCGGAGGTTGCAGTGAGCCAAGATTGTGCCATTGCACTCCAGCCTGGGGGATAGAGTGAGACTCCATCTCAAAAAAAATAAATAAATAAATAAATAAATGGATCAATCAGTTTAAAAACTTAGAACAGTGCGTGGCAAATAGTGCTCAAGAAGAGTAGGCTTGTGAAACATTCACATGCATTGTTTTAACAAACAATGCTTCCCCAGACCTCCCCACAGAGTTGACGCTCTGGAAAGAAAAGCCAGGCTTTTCTCTGAGGTTTTGCATCTCCTTGGCCAATGTGCTCATGCCAGAGAAGAGCAGTGCATGGCCAGTTTGAGGAGCACGGCCATGTGACCTTGGACAGCCCCTGCCTCTCTCTAGGACTCACTCCCGGTCCCTAACCTCAGCTCTCTGATCTGTACCACAAGGAGCTGCCACTAACACCTGTGTCAGAACTACTGTAAGGACCCTTTCCTCCTGCGAGAGGAGAACAGTGCTAAACCTGTCTGAACGTGATAGACATGCTACAAACTGCCAACCCTTTAGGCTATAAACTGCTCACACATGGGCCAAGTGTCACTCTCATAAGAAGGTGTGATTTTTTTTAAGCTGCCAGCAGCCTTGAAGCCACCTGGGACTGCACAGTATGTCTGTGTGTGCCTTGATCGCATCACCCCCTGGACCTCCAGTGGTATGCATGCTATGCTTGGGGACCCTGGTCTGTCTGCCTGTCTGTGGGACAAGTGGCTCATGCTAAGAACCCCCTGGGCCTGGGATTCCCTGATATGGAGCCTGTTGGGGCTCCCTGGGGCAGAAGGACTGGAGATCATCTCCTGGCTTGGGCAGGGGGATGGGCAGCTTGTGAGGGCCTGGCAAGGATAGGGGTGGGGAATGGAGCGGGCCACCTACCAGCTTGCCCCGCTGCTGGGCTGAGCGGCTGTCCCGCAATGTGTACACATTCCCACAGACCGAGATCTCCCGCCAGACACCCGGGGCTGAGTCCTCGGAGAAGCCGCCTGCCGGGTGCATCACCAGGACTCCATTGGTGGTCAGTCCATCCATCAGGCCATCTGGGGTCCGCCATTTGGCCGCTCGCTCCTGGGACCACATGAGGGATCAGATCACATCCCCCAGGGGCCCCCCAGCAGGCCATGTGCCAGAGGCACTGCCCCCGCTACCTTCAAGTTCAGAGGCGGCCCAGAGAGGACTGGCATTGAAGCTGCATGACTTGAGCGTCTCTCTGGGCCTCACTTTGCTCATCAGTTAGGTGGGGTTGCTAACTGCCAGGACCACCATTTGGATTACTGTGGGCTGGTTCATCACCTCAAGATGCTGCACCTCCCAAGCCTACCCCTTGCCTCACAGATGAAGAGTTGGTCCCTTCCTGGGGCTCACTCACTCCAAGGAAGATGTTGCTAGAGGCATCGAAGCCAGCGGCATAGATGCGGGCAGTATAGGGTGGCCGGCGGTCACAGAGGATGCGGCAGGCATAGCGGGAGATGGTGCTCTGGGCAGAAGGGCCCTCGGCAGCCCCTCCTCCAGGGGACGTGTCTGTTACCACGAAGTCAATCATGTTCTCTGTGGAGCGGCCAATCTGTGAGGACAGGGAGAGCAAGCAGGGACTGTATGTACATAGGGGACTCTCATGGGCCTTCCCTCCCAGAGTACCAGCAGCTGCTCTGTATGCAAGGTCACCAAAAAAGGAGGCTGCCAGGCCCTGGAGAAGGGGCAGCACCAACTCCATAGGCCCTCTAGGCTCCCAGGTGGGGTCTCCAAGTCCAAGAAGCCGTGGCCTGGAGCAGCTTCTCCTTCTCTGTTGCCCCCACAGCACTAGGGATCGCCCCATTCAATAAATACAAGTTGATTTGCTGATATAATTATAAGAGGGTGCTCAAATGTTAGCAGCAGATAGTGACTTCTAAGTAACTATTTGCTATATGCCAGCCACCATGCTAAACATTTTATATGCAATGCCTAAGTTAATCTTCCCGTGGGGTGGGTACTATTATGGGCCTCATTTTACAGATGAGTAAACCAAGGCCCAGAGAACTTAAGTGATGCTTCCCCAAAGTCACCCAGTGGTAAGTGATGGAGCCAAAATCTGAACCCAGGCACTAGGCCTCTCACACCTGAACTCCTGAGCTGTGTGACCTCCCACAGTCTAGGAGTCTTGAATTTGATCCTTGATATAGCCACTGACTTGCTGTGTGACTCTGCAGTCAACAGCCCACACCGGGACATCCTGCTTCCTCGTCTGGAGAGAAGCAGCTTTCCCATGGCCTCCCAACCCGTAGCCTCACCTGAAATGCTTGCAGAGCCTAGAGGCCTGGTGGCCAGGAGGTGTGTGGAGAGGCCTGAGCATACCTGGAACATGTCTGTGTCGCTATCATGTGTATACTCCACTATGACCGAGTGGCTCCGGGACAGTGTATACGAGATGCTGTGCTGACCACGGTTACTCAGTGCCTGGTGGGGAGAAAAAAGTCACTTGCCAGGGTGTGCAGCCATGATAAGTGTATGCCTTGAGCAAGCACCTGGAGCTCAAGGCCCAGCAGCCACTCCCTGGGAAGGGGGCAGCTCCATCCTTCTCAGAGGGTGGACAGTGCAGCAGATGTTTCACATGATTTAAGCCCTACAGTCACCCTAAGGATGGGGTTATCAGGCTGGGTGCGGTGGCTCACGCCTGTAATCCCAGCATTTTGGGAGGCTGAGGTGGGCGGATCACTTGAGGTCAGGAGTTCAAGACTGGCCTGGCCAACATAGTGAAATCCCGTCTCTACTAAAAATACAAAAAAAAAAAAAAAAAAATTAGCTGGGTGTGGTGGTACACGCCTGTAGTCCCAGCTACTCGGGAGGCTGAGGCAGGAGAATGGCTTGAACCCGGGAGGCAGAGCTTGCAGTGAGCTGAGATCGCACCACTGTACTCCAGCCTGGGTGACAGAACGAGATTCCGTTTCAAAAATAAAAAGAATGGGGTTATTGTTCCATTTTAGAGTTGAAGAAACTGCAGGTCAGAGAGAAACTGGCCTAAAGGCACACAGCTGGAAATATCAGAGGCTGAATTCTAACCCAAATCCTCTAAAGTCAAAGGTTTTTCCTTTATCATTGCAGTATGACTGTCACCTCCCACTCTCTGAACCTTGGCTGCCTCTAAAATGGTGCAGCTCATTTCCACCCATTTCCATTTCCATTGGATGGAAATAAGCAGCACCATCTTAGAGGCAGCCAAGGTTCAGAGAGGTCCAGTGGTTAAGGCAACATTTTGCAAACTGTAAAGAACTGCGCACACTGCAAAGGATTTTTCATCACCATTCTCGGATGGCCCAATAAGCAGTGAGTGATGACACAAAGTGGGCTCCCCTGTTAAGGTGTGGGGGCTGTGGGCAGGTAGGACCTGGAAGGCCGAAGACCTGGGCCTTGGGCAGGGAGGGCAGGACCTCAGGTCTATGGGTCAGTTGCTTGCCTTGGAGACGAGCGGCGTGGAGATGTGGTGCATGACGTCTGGCTTCACCCCGTTGGCGTGCGACCGGCGGCTCAGTGCCAGGCGGCTTCGCCGGCGGCCCTTGTCCCCACTTGCCAGACAACCATTGTAGCTGTAGATGTCGGGGGTTAAGAAGAAGGGGTTGCAAGAGGAGAGAGAGAAAGAGAGAAAGTGAACCCCTGATGAGACTTGGAGGAAACTGCCAACTTCTAGGCAGATCCTACCTTAATAAACAAGCTCTACAAGCACCTGAAACTAGAAGACCCTACAATAACAAATTGGTACCTTGGGGAGTGGGAGGGGGGTGTCAGAGCAGTTTCAAAAGCACTTTCATTCAGTTAACCAAGTATTTCCTGGACACTTGAGCCATGCCTGGATGGGTGCTGTGCACTGGGGCGGTAGAGGTGATGCACCACGGGTCAGTTGTGGGCCCTCAGTGGAGGGGTTCCTCAGCTTCTCCAGGAACCTAGGTGCCACCTGCCACACCCAGGCACAAGCCAAGGATGCCATAAGCCTAGAGGAAGAAAAGGGAATTCTCGCCCTAGGATCAGGTTTCTGGGAGAGGGAACACCTCTACTGGGTTTTGAAGAACTAGAAAGGGTTCACCTGTAGTAAGCTGTCACTTATCACACCACTACTCAAAACCAAAATGGAAGGAAAAAATGACACACAATGCCAGTACCTCCATATGTCCATACATGTCAAATTTCCACCTGCCTTTCCAGCTCTTGTCTGGAGGGCATGGCTGTGAGAGGCACAGAGGAGGTGAGGCATAGCTCTCATCGCTGCCATGGGCTGCTGCCTCTGTGTTCCTGGCCTTCATGTTATCAATCACCTAATGGAATCTGTGCAGTGGCCTGCCAGGCAAGTGGCTTTCTGCCCATCTTACAAATGAGAGAAATCAAGGCTCAGGGAGGTAATGTGACTTGCCTCTGGCTAGTAGGTGAAAATGTCCAGATTTGAGCCCAGTCTCTCTGACTCCAGAAGCCCCTCTAGATGGAGGCTCACCCTAAGCAAAGGGCCCAAGGCTGGCAGGGTCTGATGAGATCAGGGAATGGTGGCTTTGGTGGTGAAGTATGTGGGGGAGATGACACTGGTGGGAGGGCTCTGAACTCCAGGCTGAGGACATTATTCAACAACCAGTGGGGTGCCAGGAAGGTCTGGGAACAGGAAGTGACAGGACAAAGAGCTGCCAAATACAGACAAGGCCACTTGAATCAGAATCTTCTAGTGAGTTTGTTAAAATCCAGATGAGGCCGGGCGCAGTGGCTCACACCTGTAATCCCAGCACTTTGGGAGACCGAGGCAGGCAGATCACTTGAGGTCAGGAGTTCAAGACCAGCCTGGCCAACATAATAAAACCCTGTCTCTACTGAAAATACAAAAACTAGCCAGGCATGCTGGTGGGTGCCTGTAATCCCAGCTACTCAGGAGGCTGAGGCAGGAAAATCACTTGAACCCAGGAGGTGGAGGTTGCAGTGAACTGATATCGTGCCACTGTACTCCAGCCTGGGTGACAGAGCAAGACTCTGTCTCAAAAAAAAAAAAACAAAAAAAAAAAACAGATTCCCTGGTCCCACCCACTGCGACTGTGATTCTGTAGGCTTGGAGAGGGCCTGTCAATGTGTATTTTCAGTGCCCTCCAGCCAGCTCTGATATGCAGCCAGTGTGGACTCTGCTCCCCAAGGGGGCTGACAGGAGGGTCCATACCCATGGGTCTGCAGCCTCCCACATTAGTGGCCTTGCCTTGGGCTGGAAAGCCAGTCCTGCCTTTGGGATATGAAGCAGCTGCTTTTCCAAGGCAGCTTCTCCCAAGGGAGACATCACTTTTGCCCTTGTGAGCTCTTCTCACACATGGGGGGCAGGTCTTGAGGTGGGACAGTTCAGGACACAGGCTTGGGACACAGATGGGCCTGGCTTAAATCTGGCTCTTCCACTTATCACATGACCTCTGTAAAATGGAGCTAATTTTTTAGGACCTACCTCGCAGGTTCATTTTGAGAACTAAATGAGACAAAGCATTTAAAAGCGCTTGGCACAGAGTTTGGCATATTTATAGGAAGCCCTTGATAAGTGTTCACTATTACTGCTTTTTTTTTTTTTAAAGCATGTGTCAACAAACAGCCATTAAAAAAAAATCTTAATGATAATATAGCTTATCAAATAGTTTCTTTAGGACTGATGGCAAAGAGAGGCCAAAAGGAGATCCAGATGGGGGAGGAGGAAGAGGGTCTGTCCCTGGGGAAAGATCTGAGTGGATGGTGCAGGGATCCTGGTCAGGCAAAGACCAGGAAGGGATGAGGTTGGCCAGGCCGCCAGATCACGTTGCTTCCTCTCTCCTGGCCTTGGCTTTCTCATCTGTAGTGTGAGGGTCAGCTGTGGCTTAGTGAAAGCGCACTAGACCTAGAGTAAGAAAGACCTGGGTCCAAATCCCAGCCCTGCCACTTACCAGCTGTGTGCCCTTGGGCCAGTCACTTCCCCTCTCTGAGCCTCGGTTTCCTCACCTCCTTCCTCACAGCATCTTTGTGAAGATTGAAATGAAATAATGTCCATGAAAGGGCTTGGCACAGGCCTGCCTCCCAGAACACTCGATATGTGCTAGGCGCTGTTCTATGTACTTTACAGAAATCACCTCATTCATTTCTTCCAACAACCCTCTGAGGAAGGGATTATTATCATCCCCATTTGCAAAACAGGGGAAACAGAGGCACAGGGAAGTTCAGCAACTTGCAGAGGCAGGATTTGAACCAAGCAGTTTTGCTGGAGAACCAGAGTTCTTCACCCCACACCACACACACTAGGTGCTTTAGGAAAGGCAGCTGGTGTTAACATTTTTCTCATCTGATCAGGAAGTTGGGTGGTTAGAGTTGTCACAGTACTTTGTGAAAAATGGGAAGATAAAATAATAATTATGAATTGAGGTGGGTTTGGTCAATTTTGTCTTTCAGCTAGGAAGGTGAGGAGGGACAAACAGCTGAAGGCCCTATGTGGGGGGAGGAGGGGTCGGGCCCTTGTTCTGGCTGCGTTGGGTGGGTGTCTGGTGCTTCACCCCTTCTAGGCCAGGGATGCTCACCCCAGGACGATGAGTTCACCATACTTGATGGGCTCCTCGCCTGGCTGCGCATCTTCACCGGGAGAGGAGAGAACGCAAGAGCCCTTGTTCCCCCGGTGCTGGAGGTCTGAGGTTCGGGGGGACCCCACTTCAGGGTTTCCTTCCAGCACCATTCTGGGCAGAGTGGGAGAGAAAAGAGCTTTGTAGGTTCCCACCCCAGCCCGGCTCAATTCCAGCTGCAGCCTGCTGCAGGGCCGCCTAGGCTAAGGCAAGGGTGACCTTTCACCGCCTCTACTGCTATGGCAACCACTTCCCCTCTGCCTCCTCTAAACTGCCCGAGGTTGCTGGGATACCAGGGAGGGGTGGCACAGTGAAGAGAGTCAGGATATTCAGTGGTGCCAAAGAGATGGACCAACTTGGGGTGGCCAGAGGCTGCTTTTTGGCCAAGATCCCAGTCTGGGATGTGCTTCAAAGCGGGGCACCCAATGAGTTGGGGGCCGTTACCCCTCATCTCAGACTCAGTTCCTGCTTATAGCTCTTAGCCTCTGGACCTCTGATTTAGCCTCTCTGACAGGTTCTTTGAATCTACCTGTCCATCTGAATCTTTCTTGCCCCTTTGAGGTCTAGGCCTCTGTCTGTCCATCTGCTTTCTCAATGACTCTCTGTCCTCCCAGCCGCTGTCCTTTTTGCCGTCTCTCTCCCCCCATTCCCCATCTCTGCCTGTCTGCCCGCCTCCGCCTCACCATCTGCCTCAGTCTCCCCATCTCGGCCTCCCCCTGCGGGTAGGCCAATAGACTCCTCCTGGGTGCGCGCTCTTCCCTCCCTCAGGTGTCTGTCTGCGTCCCCAGCCGCCCGGGTCTCAGGAGGCCTGCGGAGGCGGCGCTCCCCCCTCGAGCTCGGGCTGCAGCACAGCCGTCTCCCGCAGGCAGCCCGTTTGGAAAACATCCCCGCGCCAGAGGGACCGCGCCGGGGCAGGCCCGCGCCCTGCGCCCCGGGCGGGCAGAACGGGAACCGCGGCCCAGCACCTACGCAGGTCCACACCCGGCGGCCCCTCCGCACAACACGCGCGCGTGCACGGCCCCGCACGCCCCGGGCCCGGACGGCGCAGAGACCACCCGCACCCGCGACCGCAGGGACGCGCGGGCGCGCAGCAGCCACCGGCGCCCGCCCTCGGACCCACTCCCTCCACCACCCCCAGACACGCAAACACGCCCCCCGCGCCCGCCGGGGCCCGCCTGGCGCAGCCCCCGCCCCCTCCGCCCCGGCGGCCTCACCTGGCCACGCTCCGGGCCCCGCTGGGCGCCGCTCCCTCCCCGCCTAGCCCCTGCTCGGCCCCGGGCCGCTGCGGCGGGATGGGCCCGGCCCGCGGCGGCTCCGCGCTGCCTCGTCACGGGGACACCCAGGGCCGGGGGAGGGGGATGAGCGCGAACAGCCACGCTCCGCCCCCTGTCCGGAGGCCCCGCCCCATTTTCCCCGCCCCTAGGAGAGCTCCGCCTCGCTCCAGACTCCGCCTCTTGCGGCGATGCTCAGCCTTCGTAGGCGGAGCTCCGCCCCTTCGCAGGAGACCACGCCCTTCCCCTGGTACCGCCCTCTGACCAGGGAAGCCCCGCTCTCCACTCCGTCTGAGGGACTCCCTTGCCCCTCCTAGCCGGCTCAGGACTCCCCCGTAGTCTACACGACCCCTCCCCCATTTCAGACTCCCCAAACTCCGCCTCCATTTCCGGGGACTCCGGGGTTCTCCCAGAGACATGGGCGCCCCTCCCCACTGTCGGTCAGGGCCCTCACACGGCGCTGGAGGCCCCTTCCCTAGCCTTAGGCCCGGGACTACGCACCCCCAGCTCCGACACCCCGCCTACCATCTGGGGACGCCACGCAATTAGAGGAGAGGAGGAAAATGCTAAAGGCAAAGGGGGTGTGCGGCAGCGGTGGAGGCCGGGGAAAGCAGCTGCAGTTGACCAGAGTCGCAGACCTGTCTTCCAGCCCAGCTCGGGCACCCCCCATTCCCCTCCCCTCAGTCCCCTCCCCTCCGCCAGGATGCACACACCCCCCGCTGTGCTGCAAAGGAAAGAGAGTTTTGGGGGAGCACCGCCCCTTCTGGGCCTGGGGCTTGCGAGAGATCTATCAGTCTACGTTAGGCGCTGTGCGCTGTGCTTTGAGCAAATTAAACCCTTTACTTTAATCCTGGGAGGCAGGCACGATAGTTGCCCATTTTACAGATGAGGAAATAGATTTACAAAAGTGACTTGCTTGTTGTAGTTTGCTAGAAACGGGCCAAGAGAGAATCTCAGCTGTATGAGTGGCTTCAGTCTCAACTCCTAACTTCGTACCTTGTCGTTCTGACTAGGGATGGAGCCTCAGAGGTGCAGAAGAGAAACCTTGTCTGCATCAGGTAAGGTCCCTATTGCTCAGTACTCTTGGTCTGGAACTATAAAGGCTGGATTATAGTTCCAGATCAAGTCTTTGGTCTTGTGGGGGGCGGTGGGGGTGTTTAATGAGAAAATCAAGGAAGACTGCACAGAGGAGGTGGCTTTTGACTTCCATTATGAAGGATGCATGTTTAGTTTGCCTAAACATTCCTGAGAGGGAGCCGCTGCCACTCCCACCCCCACAAACTTGTTGCACCTGAAGTTCCCCATCTACCAGACTCCCCTGGGGCCCTACTATATCCACCCCGCTAACTCCTCCACCTAAAAATAGCCAAAGATACCAACTGCTTTGCCAACTGTTCTGGGGCCCAGCGGCTAGATGAAACAAGAAAGCAGCCGACGGCACATCCTTTAGGGGAAAAGACACTCGTTAGTCACAGAGAATCTCCCTGCGAGACTTCCACCAAGCAGGACACCACCAGACCGCTGGGCTGCTGGCTGCAGGTCACACAAACCCTGTGACACAGGATAGCTGCCCTCACTGATGCCACCAGAGGCGTCCATTGTGCTGGGTGTGCACGGGGACCCTGGGACAGCCTCACTCCCTTGTGTACCCCCAGCTTTTAATGCATTGCCTGCCAGAGCAGGTCCTCAGTGAATATATACTGAATCCCTGTTATAATCCCCAATTTACACACCAGGAAGCTGAGGCTCAGGCAGAAGAAGAAACTTGCCCCAGGTCACAAGCCAGGCAGATGTGGAGCTGATGCTTCACAGGAGCCCCAGTGCTTCCACCTGACACTGGACTGCATGGAGGAAGGTCTGAGAGGGATCACCAAGACTCACTGGAGGAGGAGGCAGGGATTTCTCCTGGGGCAGTACTGGGATTGGAGCTGCATGGTGGCACAGCCAGACCATCAGGCCTCAGGGAGGCTGAGGTGGGCCCGACACCAGGATTGCCCAAGTAAGGGAGAGGAAGGGAGAGTTAGGACACCAGTAGCAGATGCCTAAGTTCCAACCTTGGCTTCTGGCTCTAAATCCAGCGCTCTGCTCCAAGAACTCCAGCTTCTTAATCTCACTAAGCTTCAGTTTCCTTATGTGTAAAATGGGAATAATAATGATACTTGTGGTGAATAGGATTTTGCAGTATTGCTTTGAAATTCCTTTGTCAACCCTCCCTTTTCTCTCTTCAATCTAGATCTTGTCCCTGTTGGTTCAAAGAAAGGAATAAAATAGAAACTTTATTTCTTTCTTAAAAAATTTTATTATTATTATACTTTAAGTTTTAGGGTACATGTGCACAACGTGCAGGTTTGTTACATATGTATACATGTGCCATGTTGGTGTGCTGCACCCATTAACTCATCATTTAGCATTAGGTATATCTCCTAATGCTATCCCTCCCCCCTCCTCCCACCCTACAACGGTTCCCGGTGTGTGATGTTCCCCTTCCTGTGTCCATGTGTTCTCATTGTTCAATTCCCATCTATGAGTGAGAAAATGTGGTGTTTGGTTTTTTGTCCTTGCGATAGTTTGCTGAGAATGATGGTTTCCAGCTTCATCCATGTCCCCTACAAAGGACATGAACTCATCATTTTTTATGGCTGCATAGTATTCCATGGTGTATATGTGCCACATTTTCTTAACCCAGTCTATCATTGTTGGACATTTGGATTAGTTCCAAGTCTTTGCTATTGTGAATATTGCCGTAATAAACATACGTGTGCCTGTGTCTTTATAGCAGCATGATTTATAATCCTTTGGGTATATACCCAGTAAAGGGATGGCTGGGCCAAATGGTATTTCTAGTTCTAGATACCCCTTTTTTTTTTTTTTTTTTTGAGACGGAGTCTCGCTCTGTCGCCCAGGCTGGAGTACAATGGCACAATCTCGGCTCACTGCAAGCTCCACCTCCCAGGTTCACGCCACTCTTCTGCCTCAGCCTCCCGAGTAGCTGGGACTACAGGCACCCGCCACCACGCCTGGCTAATTTTTGTAGTTTTAGTAGAAACGGGGTTTCACTGTGTTAGCCAGGATGGTCTCGATCTCCTGACCTTGTGATCCGCCTGCCTCTGCCTCCCAAAGTGCTGGGATTACAGGTGTGAGCCACCACGCCCGGCCGAAACTTTATTTCTTTAATTCTTGGGTTCTAATGCCTGAAGGGGAGAGGCTTGGAATAGTTTGGAAAAGTAGTTGTATATCTAGTTGAGAAAACATGTGGAAAAAACAAAACAGGGCTGGGCGCAGTGGCTCACCCCAATGCTTTGGGAGGCCAAGGCAGGAGGATCGCTTGAGGCTAGGAGTTTGAGACGAGCCTGGGCAACATAGTAAGACCCTGTCTCTACAAAATTAAAAAAATTAGCTGGGCATGGTGGTGCCTGCCTGTAGTCCCAGCTACGCAAGAGGTTGGGTCAGGAGAATCATTTGAGCCCAGGAGATCGAGACTGCAGTGAGCTATGATCACATCACTACACTCCAGCCTGGGCAACAGAGTAAAATCCTGTCTCTAAAAAAAATTAAGAAGAGAAAAAAACAACAGCAGCACATTCTTTCTGGGCTGGGAGATTTGGAGAGGAGAAGGAAGAGCTAAGATGCTAGGTTCTGCCCTTGAGGCCATGCCAGACGGGGAGGGTGGGGTTGGGAAAAGACAGATCCCTCACATGGATTTGGGGATCCAGAGCAGAGGCGACCTGGGCTTCAGTTCTCGGTCTCTAGCTTTAGAGGAAAGCCCTTGAAGCAAGGCCTGAGAATAATAATCCATGGCTCTTGGTCTCTTAGTTCTACTTCCTGAGTCATCTTTCATTTTCCATAAAAGGTAGTCTGTGTTTGCAGCTGAGTAATTTTCTTGGCCTGCATCCTGTCTATAGAAGTTTGAGGGTTCGAATGCCTCTTTTCCATTTCTGTTGTCTCTGTCCTTTACAGTCCAAGTTGTCAGTGTTTCTGCCAATACAATTCTCTTAAAAACTTTGTAGATTTCTATGGACCTTATTCACTTCATTAGACTATGCCCACAAATCTCTTTGAGATAAGCCCCCCTACCTTGGGCTCATGCTGATAGACAAATCCTTTAACGTTTCTAGAAGCCCTTATTGTTTGAATGGTTCTATTGCCTTAGACCTGAAGTCTTAGGGAATTTACAGGCATACTGTTGGCCTCTTGGCTTCAACTTTATACCATGTTTTTCTGATGTGATCTTTTTCCAGAAGCCATTTCTTAATTTTAGCATTGTTTTTGGCTGGAGAGGCTGGGAATTTTCTTCTTCTTCTTTGTTTGTTTGTTTGTTTGTTTTTGAGACGAAGTTTTGCTCTTGTTGCCCAGGCTGGAGTATAATGGTGTGATGTCGGCTCACTGCAACCTCCACCTCCTGGGTTCAAGTGATTCTCCTGCCTCAGCCTCCCAAGTAGCTGAGATTATAGGCATGCATCACCACTCCTGGCTAATTTTGTATTTTTAGTAGAGATGGGGTTTCACCTTGTTGGTCAGGCTGGTCTTGAAGCCCTGACCTCAGGTGATCCACCTGCACAGCCTCCCAAAATGCTGGGATTACAGGCATGAGCCATTGCACCTGGCTGAGGCTGGGAATTTTCAAAATCATCAAATTCTAACTATTTTTGGTTTAACAGAGCTCCTGTCAGTTTATAACTTGCCTCTCAACTCTCATGTTTTACTCTAAGCAGGAAGAAGAAATAAGGTACTACCTGTAACATTTTGCCTGGAAATCTCCTTAGCTAGATCACATATTTCATTAGGCACATCTTCTACCTTTTTCTTCTTTCTTCCCTTCCCTTCCCCTCCCTTCCTTTTCTTTCCTTGCCTTTTGTCAGAGTCTTGTTCTGTTGCCCAGGCTGAAGTGCAATGGTGCATTACTTGCAGCCTTGAGCTCCTGAGCTCAAGCAATCCTCCTGCTTCAGCCTCTGCAGTATCTGGGACTACAGGCACATGCTACCATGCCCAGCTTAGTTTATTTCTATTTAAAAACATTTTTTTAGAGATAGAGTCTAGCTATGTTGCCCAGGCCGTTCTGAAACTCCTAGTGATCCTCCAGCCTCAGCCTTCTGAGTTGTCGAGATTGCAGGTAGGAGCTACCATACCAATCTACACATTATGAAGGATGACAATGTTGCTAAATTACCTGCCACTATACAACAAGGATCTCCTTCCCTTGAGATCCAATAATATTTTCCCACTTTCCTTTCAGCTTTCACTATCAGCCTTCTCTAAGGCCATCAGTCTTCTTAAAGTAGTCCCATGATCCCTCACTCCTGGTATTCACACCTTTATGTCAACCCCTTCCCTTGAATGTGGGTGGGCAGGACCTATGACTTTCTTCTAACCAACAGTATATGGCAAAGGTGATGGGTTGTGCCTGATTACATGCACATAGTGATGTTATTATGTTATATAAGTTTGTAGCACCTGTCTTGCTGGGGTCTCTCTCACTCCTTGCTGGCTTTAGAAAAGCAAGCTGCCATTTTGTGCACTTCCCATATGGGGAGGCCCATGTATCAGGGACCAAGAGTGATCTCTAAGAGCTGAGAATGGTTTGCAGCCAGCAGCCAGCAGAAGGAAAAAAAAAAAAACAAAAAAAAAACCTCAGTCCTGGAGCTGCAATTGAATCTGCCAACAAAAGTGATTCTGGGCTGGGCGTGGTGGCTCACACCTGTAATCCCAACACTTTGGGAGGCTGAGGTGTATGGATCACCCGAGGTCAGGAGTTCAAGACCAACCTGGCCAAAATGGTGAAACCCCATCTCTACTAAAAATACAAAAATTAGACAGGTGTAGTGGTGCACTCCTGTAATCCCAGCCACTAGGGAGGCTGAGGCAGGCGAATTGCTTGAACCCAGGAGGTGGAGGTTGCAGTGAGCCGAGATCGTGCCACTGCCCTCCAGCCTGGGCAACAGAGTGAGACTTTGTCTCAAAAAAAAAAAAAAGAGGATTCTTCCCCAGTTGAGTCTCAGATGAGACCACAGCCCTAGCAGACTCCTTGATTGAAGTCATGTGACACCCTATGCTGAGGACTCTGCGTAGCCATGCCTGGACTCCTGATCCCACAGAAACTGAAGTAATAAATGTGTGTTGTTTTAAGCTGCTATGTTTGTGGTATATTGGTATACAGCAGTGGATGACTAATACAAAGGCTTTCAGACTTTTGCTAACACTATACTTAAAGTCTTTCTAGCCTCTGCTCACTACTCCCACATTTTTAGGTATTTTTTATTGTCCTCACTCCTGGCATTAAATCTTTTTTTTTTTTTTTTGGCTGGGCACGGTGGCTGACGCCTGTAATCCCAGCACTTTGGGAGTGAAAGTGAAACACAGTGAAACCCCGTCTCTACTACAAATACAAAAAAATTAGCCGGGTGTGGTGGCGGGTACCTGTAGTCCCAGCTACTCGGGAGGCTGAGGCAGGAGAATGGTGTGAACCCAGGAGGTGGAGCTTGCAGTGAGCCGAGATAGCGCCACTGCACTCCAGCCTGGGCGACAGAGTGAGACTTTGTCTCAAAAAAAAAAAAAAGAGGATTCTTCCCCAGTTGAGTCTCAGATGAGACCACAGCCCTAGCAGACTCCTTGATTGAAGTCATGTGACACCCTATGCTGAGGACTCTGCGTAGCCATGCCTGGACTCCTGATCCCACAGAAACTGAAGTAATAAATGTGTGTTGTTTTAAGCTGCTATGTTTGTGGTATATTGGTATACAGCAGTGGATGACTAATACAAAGGCTTTCAGACTTTTGCTAACACTATACTTAAAGTCTTTCTAGCCTCTGCTCACTACTCCCACATTTTTAGGTATTTTTTATTGTCCTCACTCCTGGCATTAAATCTTTTTTTTTTTTTTTTGGCTGGCTCTGTCGCCCAGGCTGGAGTGCAGTGGCATGGTCATGGCTCGCTGTAGCCTCAAACTCTTGGGATCAAGCAATCATCCTACCTCAGCCTCCTGATTAGCTGGGACCACAGGAGCATGCCACTGTGCCTGGCTAATTTTTATTTTTATGTTTTGTAGAGGCAGAGTTTCACTATGTTGCTCAGGCTGGTCTTGAACTCCTGGGCTCAAGTAATTCTCCTGCCTCAGCCTTCCAAAGGGCTAGGATTACAGGTGTGAGCCACTGTGCCCAGCTGGCACCAAATCTGTCTTAGTTATTGCTGAGTAGCAAATTATCCCAATCTAAGCAGCTTAAAAGAGTAAGTGTTTAATCTCATACAGTTTCTAGGAATCACGAACTTGAAAGCAGTTTAGCTGAGTGTTATGAGCAGTTCCATGCAAACCTACCCCCAAAGTCCAAGAAAGCTGAGAGGCTGAAGAAAGAGACTGACAAATCCAGTTTCTCAGAAAGAAACATTTAATGACTTAGAAACAGAAGTGATGTCTTAGGCGGCTGCAAGACAATGGATCCCTGCACCCACACTCCAGAAGGTATCCTTTCTCTTTTAGGGTAAAACATGTGCAGCTGGTCACGTCTTCAGACTTCTTTTTGCCAAGATCCATGACCACTGGCGGGGTTTAGATAAGCATCTTTGTGAGGGGCTTTCTATGCTAGAAGGTGTTGTTTAAAGAGCTTACTGCAGAGCACCTTGGTATGTGGGGGTCAAACATCAGTCACCACAAGAGTTTCACTTCCAGATGGTGTCATATTTGCCATGAAATACACTGTTTTCCTATGCTGGGACCTGAGTTCTGGCTCAAGTGTCTCATGGGGTTGCAGTTAAGAAGTCAATTGGGACTTTAGTCATAAGAAAGCTTGAGGGCCGGGTGATCTACTTCCCAGAGGCTCACTCATATGCCTGGAAAGTGAGCGCTGGATGTTGGCAGGAAGCCTGGGTTCTTCTTCATGTGGACCTCTCTGGAGGACAGCTTGAATGTTCTTACAACACCAACACGGCAGCTGGATTCTCCCAAACAAGTGACCCAAGAGTCTAAGACAAAAGCCACAGTGAGGCTGAGCAGTGGCTCATGCCTGTAATCCCAGCAGCTTTGGGAGGTCGAGGTGGGAGGATTGCTTGAGTCCAGGAGTTTAAGAACAGCCTGAGCAACAATAGTGAGACCTCGTGATATAGTTTGGATATATGTCCCTGTTCAAATTTCATGTTGAAATGTAATCCCCAATGTTGGAGATGGGGCCTGGTGGGAGATGATTGGTGGGGCAGTTCCTCATTAATGGTTTAGCACCATCCCTTTGGTGCTATGCTTGTGATAGTGAATGAATTCGCATGAGATCTGGGGTTAAGTGTGTGGCACTTCACTCTCTCTTGCTCCTGCTGGCCATGTGACATGTCTGCTCCCCCTTCACCTTCCACCATGATTGTAAATTTCCTGAGGCCTCCCCAGAAGCTGAGCAGATACCAGCATCATGCTTCTGGTATAGTTGGCAGAACTGTGAGCCAATTAAACCTCTTTCCTTTATAAATTACCTAGTCTCAGGTATTTCTTTCTTTTTTTTTTTGAGACAGAGTCTCCTTCTGTCACTCAGGCTGGAGTGCAGTGGTGTGATCTCGGCTCACTGCAGCCTCCACCTCCCAGTTCAAGCGATTCTCCTGCCTCAGCCTCCAAAGTAGCTGGGATTTACAGATGTCTACCACCACGCCCGGCTAATTTTTGTATTTTTAGTAGAGATGGGATTTCACCATGTTGGCCAAGCTTGTCTTGAACTCCTGACCTCATGTGATCTGCCCATCTCGGCCTCCCAAAGTGCTGGGATTATAGGCATGAGCCACCACGCCTGGCCATCAGGTATTTCTTTATAGCAATCTGAGATTGGCCTAACGTGCCTTATCTCTATGAAAAATTAAAATACTAGTCAGATGTGGTTGCACATACCTGTAATCCCAGCTACGCTGGAGGCTGAGGCAAGAGGATTGCTTGAACCTGGAAGGTAGAGGGTACAGTGAGCTATGATTGCATCAGCCTAGACGGAAGAGTGAGACCGTGTCTCAAAAAAAAAAAAGCCACAATGTCACACAGTGTCACTTCTGCTTTATTCTATCAATCAGAACAATAACATGCCCACCAGATTCAAGGGGAGGAACTTAGACCCCAACCTTGATGAGAGGAATTGTTGCCTGTGGGCCAGTTCAGGTTTTTGACTTCACGATACAAGAGAATTTGAGAGCGAGTCCAAAGTAGGAGTAAGCAAGAGAGTTTATTGCAAAGCAAAAGTACACTCTGGGTCAGGCACAGCAGCTCACGCCTGTAATCCCAGCACTTTGGGAGGCCAAGGCGGGTGGATCACGAGGTCAGGAGTTTGAGACCAGCCTGACCAACACGGCGAGACCCCGTTTCTACTAAAAATATAAAAATTAGCTGGGCGCAGTGGGGCGCACCTGTAATCCCAGCTACACAGGAGGCTGAGGCAGGAGAATTGCTTGAACCCAGGAGGTGGAGGTTGCAGTGAGCCGAGATTGCACCAGTGCACTCCAGCCTAGGTGACAGAGTGAGATTTCGTCTCAAAATAAATAAATAAATAAATAAATAATAAAGAGAAATTACACTCTGACAGCTGATCAGAACTGGCTGCCCAAAGGTGAGACAGCACCAATTGACACTGGGGAGACTTTCTTTATGAGAGTCTTACATGATTATTCATAAAGGGGGGAATCATTATTCATGATTATTCATGTTCTATGTGGTCCCCTGCATGCACATGTGCTATTATTGTGCATGCTAGTACATACATGGCATATCTCATTAGCATCTTAAATCTCCACCCAGGAGTGTGTTTTTTACTATTATAATGAGCATAGGTCAGCCCAAGGACACTAAACAAGGGTTTCTGCACTTACATGAATTTGGGGATTTTCCCTTCTACTTTTTTTTTTTTTTTTTTTGTGATGGAGTCTCACTCTGTCGCCCAGGCTGGAGTGCAGTGGTGTGATCTTGGCTCACTGCAACCTCTATCTCCCGGGATCCACACCCGACTAATTTTTGTATTTTTAGTAGAGATGAGGTTTCACCATATTGGTCAGGCCGGTCTCGAACTCCTGACCTCAGGTGATCCACCTGCCTCGGCCTCCCAAAGTGCTGGGATTACAGGCATGAGACATCATGCCTGGCCCCCTTCTGCTTTTCTTTTTTTTGAGACCGAGTCTTGCTCTGTCGCCCAGGCGGGAGTGCAGCGGCGTGATCTCGGCTCACAGCACGCTCCGCCTCCCGGGTTCATGCCATTCTCCTGCCTCAGCCTCCCAAGTAGCTGGGACTACAGGTGCCCCCCACCATGCCCGGCTAATTTTTTTTTTTTTGATTTTTTAGTAGAGATGGGATTTCACCGTGTTAGCCAGGATGGTCTCGATCTCCTAACCTCGTGATCTGCCCACCTCAGCCTCCCAAAGTGCTGGGATTACAGACGTGAGGCACCGTGCCCGGCCCCACTTCTGCTTTTCTACCTCATTGATGCAGGATGTTCTAACCATGAGCCCAGGATGCAGTTTGTGCATTGTTGGGTGGTTTGTTTTCTCCATCTATTTAGCAAGTTTTATTGTCCTTTAAGGGAGGCTATTACCACCCTGTCTAATCTACCTCAGAATGGGAAAGAATTCCAGCCAGGGCAACATGGCGAAACTCTGTCTACAAAAAATACAAAAAGTTAGTTGGGCATGGTGGTGCGTGCCTATAGTCCCAGTTACTTGGAAAGCTGAGGCAGGAGGATCACTTGAGCCAGGGAGGTCAAGGCTGCAGTGAGCCATGATTGCACCACTCCACTTCAGCCTGAGCGACAAAGTGAGAGCCTGTCTCACAAAAACAAAAAACCAAAAATATAGGCCTCCCTCCCTCCCCTGCTCCAGGTCAGGGGGCTATCTTTTCAGGAGGGACTGGACATCAGCATTTTTCATCCTGCCCCAGCTACCTGTTATTGAGGCTGAGTTCTAGGTGAGTGTATCTGAGATGTGGAGGTGCCCCTCTTCCACCCAGCCCCCACTGGTAAGATGGATACCCAACACTGGGCATGGCACTGCTGAGAACACTGGGGCACAATTCACTCTTACCCCACTTGTGGAGTGGGGGTTCCATTCAGAGGGTGGAGGAGGGGAGCTGAGGAGACCTGGGGCTGCTGCACTTGCCCTCCTCCAAGCACTCAGCTCCTAACGTGGGGGTGTCACTCAGAGAGTGGCAAGCTATTGTTCCTGCCAGCGCCAGAGCCCTGGCTCAGAGATTTCTCTTCGGAACAGAAGTGGGTAGTAAGGCCGGGGCATGGTGGCTCACGCCTGTAATCCCAGCACTTTGGGAGGCTGAGGTGGTTGGATCACTTGAGGTCAGCAGTTCGAGACTGGCCTAGCCAACATGGTGAAACCCCGTCTCTACTAAAAGTACAAAAATTAGCGGGGTATGGTGGTGCATGCCTGTAATACAAGCTACTGAGGCAGGAGAATCACTTGAACCCAGGAAGCAGAGGTTGTAGTTACCAAGATTGTGCCACTGCACTCCAGCCTCCTGGGTGACAGAGCAAGATCAAGTATTGAAAAAAAAAAAAAAAAAAAAAAAGTAGGTAGTAAGAGAGAGAGCTCCAGATCTTTCCCTAAAGGAACATTTGTTACAGGTTGTAGAGAAGTTTAAGTTCAAGCCCAAGAGCACTCTCAAAATACTGGAGGTTATGGGGAAAAGCAATAGAGGGGAGATTGATGGACTTTGGAGATACAGGTTAAATTGCAGGCTGGCTAGTTTGCTGGAGAGAAACTGGGGAAAGGGAAACTGGAGAATCCTGCTAGAGTCAGAACAAATCTCAGACACTGACCTCCAGGACTGTTTCTTCAAAGGCATCACCAGGTTTGACTGGATCCATTTGTGGAGGAGTTTATACCCCAGAGCTTTGTTGAAAATACAGTAATAGACAACTCAGCTGGCAATTACTGGAGCCTAACAGCTGGGTGTGTCAGGGGACGAGTCAGTCAAAGAGAGTCCTGTCAAAACCCTTGTTAACCCATGATGACTGGGTACCCAAGGCTGTACCCCCTGAGAAGTGACATCTGAGGCTTCACACTCTGGCAGCAAGAAGGAGGAGATAGACTTCACTAAAATAATCCCTCCGGTAACCAAATGAGCAAGTAAGGATAACAAGCCGGAGATTTGTAGCTATCATACACAAGCAACATCAGCCTCTTGCTTGGTACCTGGGGAGCCCCCAGGAGGAGCAGGGAAGAGCAGACAGAGGAGGGGGAAGGCAGATGAGAGCGAGGAGTCTGGGCTCCCTTTTTTTTTCCCCCATCAACCAAAAGAGGAATGTCAACATTTATTTGGCACCACTGAGTTCAGAATATCCTTAGGGCTCTGTATAGGTGACAAAAGGAGTATCAGGCCATGGTCATTTCCTTAGGAAGATGCCGTATAGGAAGAGAGGGTGGAAAATCATGAGGGCATTCGTCAGCCTCCGGTACTTTGCTGCTCAAGTTTCAGGAGCTGTTTGTCAAGTTTTGAGGTGTTTTCTTGATGCATCATCAGAAACTGGCCACACAAGTGAAAGACAGGAATGTCAAATTTATACCTTTCATACCAGGCAGAGTTTTCTGGAAGTGTGACGTTCACTTCCTGTAAAATAAACCTGTTACTATAAGGCTTGAGTACTTCCTTGGCTTCACCACAAAGGGGGCGTGGGTCCTTTGTGAATAAGGTCAGCACGGGCAGAGTTGTCTTAGAGACAGAGCAGTTTATCAAGAAGAGTCCAAGGGAGGATCTGGCAAGCTGCATGCTATTTCCTTGAAACCAGAGCATCTTAATTCCAATCCAGATGATTTCTCCCCTTCAAAATAATTGCAAGCAAGGTTAAAACTGTATTCAGGAACTATTCCAGCTGGCTTTTGGCTTTCTCTGATGTATACTCCTGAGCTTCACGCCGCCAACATCTCTGCTTCTGCCCCACACCCAGGCTGGGCTCCCTTTGACCTTTGATTGGTGACATGGAGAGTTAGGGACCCAGAACTGCCTGCAAGTAGTTCATACCCCACCCCTGCCATTGCCCACATTCAACCTGTCACAAAGTCCTGCCTACTATGTCCCCACAGCTCCCATCAACCTTGCGATCCCCTCTGCAACTGTCCAGAGAGGCAGGGCTGAGATCTAGGTTCTGCCTCTCCTGACACACAGACAGACAACTCTCCCTAGTTGTGACCTTGGGCAAGTCTTTTCACCTTTCTGAGCCTTGGTTTTCTCAACTATGAAATAAAAATAAAGAGGCTGGGAGTGGTGGCTCACGCCTGTAATCCCAGCACTTTGGGAGGCTGAGGCGGGTGGATCACGAGATCAGGAGTTTGAGACCAGCCTGGCCAATATGGTGAAACCCCATCTCTACTAAAAATACAAAAAATTAGCTGGGCGTGGTGGCGGGCACCTGTAATCCCAGCTACTCAGGAGGCTGAGGCAGGAGAATTGCTTGAACCTGGGAGGCAGAGGTTGCAGTGAGCTGAGATCACACCATTGCACTCCAGCCTGGGTGACAGAATGAGACTCCATTTCAAAAATAAATAAATAAATAAATAAATAAATAAATAAATAAATAGGCCAGGCGCGGTGGCTCATGCCTGTAATCCCAACACTTTGGGAGGCCAAGGTGGGCAGATCACAAGGTCAAGAGATCAAGACCATCATGGTGAAACCCCATCTCTACTAAAAATACAAAAATTAGCTGGGGGTGGTGGCATGCGCATGTACTTGGGAGGCTAAGGCAGGAGAATCGCTTGAACCCGGGAGGCGGAGGTTGCAGTGAGCCGAGATCACGCCACTGCACTCCAGCCTGGTGACAGAGAAAGACTCCATCTTAAAAAATAATAATAAATAAATAAATAAATAAAGACACTGGCCGGGTGTGGTGGCTCATGCCTGTAATCCCAGTATTTTGGGAGGCTAAGGCAGGAGGATCACTTGAGCCCAGGAGTTTGAGACCAGCCTGAGCAACATGGCAAAACTGTCTCTACAAAAAAGCACAAAATTTAGCCAGGCATGGTGGCATGTGCCTATAGTGCCAGCTACTTGGGGGACTGAGGTGGGAGGATTGCTTGAGCCTGGGAGATCGAGGCTGCATGAACCATGTTTGTGCCACAGCACTCCAGCCTGGGTGACAGAGTGAGACCTTGTCTCAAAATAATAGTAGTAATAATAATAAAGATACCTACCATACAAGACTGTTGTGAGAAATCAGTAAGATTACCCAGGAAGGGTGCTTAGCTCAGGCCTGGCTCATGGCATATGTTAAACACTCTCTAAAAGTCAACCACTATTAGTATCAATTCAGACTTCATCATTTCTTGGCTGGGCACTCAGGACAGCCCCCTTGATGGCCTCTCTGTCTCCATTCTTGCCCCTCCAATCTATCCTCTCCAACTGAGCCAGTGTCAAGCCCCTGTTTACATCTCGTCAATGGCACCTGCATCTTCTTTGCTGAGGGTGGGTCTTGGTCCATCTGAGATACTGATTAAAGTGCAGCTTTCTAGGATGTCCCCTCCAAGGATCCCTGCACTTGTCACAATGTCCCAGGCAATCTTGCGGTGCACTGACACTTGAGATTCACCCCTCTGCAAGCTAGTCTACATTCATTGGTGCAGGATTCAAGGCCCTTCAGATCCAGCCCCTGCCAACATTTCCAGCCTGATACTCCCTACCTCACACCATACCCTCCACTGACACCACAGCATGTGCCCCTCCCTCCTGCCCCACACTATCCTGTACCTCTGCTGTTCCCTCTGCTTCCCTGTCCCCCAGGCTGGGGAACATGCCTATTTTGGGCCAAATTGTGTCTCCCGACCCCTGCAAATTCATATGTTGAAGCCCTGGCTCCCCAGTACCTCAGAATGTGACTGTATTTGGAGAGAGGGCCTTTAAAGAGCTGATTTAACTTAACATGAGGCCAATTAGGGTGGGCTCTGATCCAATCTGATTAATGTTCTTATCAGAAGAGGAAATTTGGACACACAGAGACACCAGAGCAGAGGGAAGACCTTGTGAAGACACAGGGAGAATGTGGCCATCTTTGAGTTAAGGTAAGAGGCCTCAGAAGAAATCAACTCTGCCGACATCTTGCTTTTGGACTTTCAGCCCCCACAACTGTGAGAAAATAAACTTCTGTTGTTTCCGTGCCCAGGCCGTGGTGTTTTGTTACAGCAGCTAGCTGAGCTGATGCACAGAGAGCACCTCCCTGCAGGGCAGCAGCTGTGCCTGCCCCTCACAGAGAACTCACCATGTGGTTCTGCACCTAGTGCTCTATTCATGTATTTACCTCTCCTGTTAGGTCAAGGCTTTTTGCAAGGTAGGGTTGTGAGTTACCAGCGAGTTATGAAATTGACTTCATGGGTTCAACCAGCATTTTTAATGAAAGAATTAGAATAGAATAGAATAGAATAGAATAGAATAGAATAGAATAGAATAGAACAGAATAGAACAGAATAGAAAATAGAGTACACTACCTAGAGTAAAGATATGAACTGTCTCATGAAACTGGTATTTCCCTGTGTATATGTCACATATGTGCATTGGGCCACAATGTAAAATGCATTTTTTTTTTACTAATACTCATGGCCAAGAAAGATAGAAAGCCAGTGCATAGCCTGTGTGACCCTCAAAGATGATGTCAAACCTTCTCATTTCTGTATGTCCAGTGGCTGACCTAGGACCTGGCATGCAGTAGGTCTTTGGGGAATATTTGTGGAACCAATGTGCACTGACACTTGCCTAAATGATCTTCTCTACTTCCCCCTTCATGACCCTAGTTGCAGCACCAAAATCTCTCACCTGGAGGACAACAGCCTCCTAACAGGTCCCTGCTTCCATCTTGGCCTCTCTGTAGCCTCCCTTCAGCAGCCAAGAGTCATCTTTCTACAGCATAAGTTGCATCCCATCACTTACCTATTCCAGTGACTTCCTACTGGAGCCCAAGTAAAGTCCTACGTCTTTACCTGCCCTCCAATGCCTGCCATGATCTGCTTTCCCCATCCTCTCCAACTTCCTCTCCTTCCCCTGCCCCCTCCCTCATTCCTTCCAGCTGCACTGACCTCCTTGGTGGTCTCCAGAGCCAACCAGCCCACGCCTGCCTCAGGGGTCCACACACACTTACTCCTGCTTGGAAGGCTCTTCCCCGAAACAAGTCCCTTGTCTTCCTTCTCTCAAGTCTAATGTCACTTCCTCAAAGAGGCCATCCCTAACCGTTCTAGTCAGTAAAATCCTATTTAGGAGGGATATTTCATAACATAGAAGACACTTGTTGATATGTTTTGGCTCTGTGTCACCACCCAAATCCCATGTTCAGTTGTAATCCCCAGTGTTGGGGATGGAGCCTGGTGGGAGGTGATTGGATCATGGGGGTGGATCCTCCTGAATGGTTTACCACTGTCCCTTTGGTGCTATTCTCATGATAGAGTTCTCACGAGATCTGGTTGTTTAAAAGTGTGTAGCACCTACCTCATTTCTCTTTCTCCTGCTCTGGTTGTATAAGATATGCTGGCTTCCCCTTCACCCTTTCACCATGGTTGTAAGTTTCCTGAGGCCTCCCCAGAAACTGAGCTGGTGCTGCCATGCTTTCCTTTTCTTTTTTCTTTCTTTCTTTTCTTTCTTTTTTTTTTTTTTTTTTGAGATGGAGTTTTGCTCTTGTTGCCCAGGCTGGAGTTCAATGTCATGATCTCAGCTGGCCGCAACCTCCACCTTCTGGGTTCAAGCAGTTCTCCTGCCTCAGCCTCCCAAGTAGCTGGGAATACAGGCATGCGCCACCACACCTGGCTAATTTTGTATTTTTAGTAAAGATGGGGTTTCTTCATGTTAGTCAGGCTGGTCTCGTACTCCTGACCTCAGGTGATTTGCCTGCCTCGGCCTCCCAAAGTGCTGGGATTACAGGCGTGAGCCACTGTGCCAAGCCACTGCCATGCTTCCTGTACAGCCTGTGGAACCATGAGCCAATTAAACTTCTTTTCTTTATAAATTACCCAGTCTCAGGTATTTCTTTATAGCAATGTAAGAATGGACTAATACACTTGTGATATAGCATTAAATGTTTGCTATGGCTTGGATGTTTGTTTCCTCCAAACCCACATGTTGAAACTTAATCCTGTCAATGGAAAGAGTCAAACTCTGTAACATATTTGAAGAGATTTATTCTGATCCCAATATGAGCGATCAATGGCCTGTGACACAGCCCCAGGAGATCTTAAGAATATGTGCCCAAGGTGGTTGGGCTACAGCTTGGTTTCATACCTTTTAGGGAGACATAAGACATTGATACATGTTAGATGTACATTCGTTTGGTCCAGAAAGGTGGGACAACTGGAAGCTGGGGGGAGGTGGTGGCAGCCTAGGGAGGGGAGCTTCCAGATCATAAGTGGATTCAAAGATTTTCTGATTGGCAATTGGTGGAAAGAATTTATCTAAGGACATGGAATTAATAGAGGGGGGTGTCTGAGTTAAGATGAAGGGTTGTGGGGACCAAAGTTTTTTTGTTTGTTTGTTTTTTGATACGGAGTCTCGCTCTGTTGCCCAGGCTGGAGTCCAGTGGCTCGATCTCGGCTCACTGCAAGCTCTGCCTCCAGGTTCACACCATTCTCCTGCCTCAGCCTCCCAAGTAGCTGGGACTACAGGCGCCCGACACCATGCCTGGCTAATTTTTTGTATTTTTTAGTAGAGACGGGGTTTCACCGTGTTAGCCAGGATGGTCTCAATCTCCTGACCTTGTGATCCGCCCATCTCGGCCTCCCAAAGTGCTGGGATTACAGGCGTAAGCCACCGTGCCCAGTGGAGACCAAAGTTTTTATTATGCAGATGAAGCTTCCAGGTAGCAGTCTTCAGAGAACATAGATTGTAAATTTTGCCTGTCAGATTTTTCTCCTGGATCAGGAAAAAGACCCGGAAAAGGAAGGAGATTCTCTTTAGAATGTCGATTTCCCCCATGACAGGACTATTTCAATATATGGCAAAGAAACATAATTTGGAGTAAAATACTTTACTTTCTTTCAGGGCCTGCTATCTGTCATGTGATGCTATACTAGAGTCAGGCTGGAATTTGGTATCCTATTGCTACAAAGAGTCTGCTTTATCAGTCTTAAGATCTGTTTTTACTGGTGAGTTGTGCCTGAATTCCAAAAGGGAGAAGGGAATAATGAGGCATACCCGACTCTCACTTCCCATCAAGGTCTGAACTAGTTGTTCAGGTGAACTTTGGAATGCCCTTGGCTGAGAGGAGAGGTCCATTCAGATGGTTGGGAGGCTTAGATCTTTATTTTTGGTTTACATTACTAAATGAGGAAGTGTTGAAATGTGGGGCCATTAAGAGGTGATAGGTTCTGCCCTATAGATGGATTAATCCATTTATAAATGAATGGATTAATGACTTAATGAATTAGTGGGTTATCACAGGAGTGGGACTGGTGGCTTTATAAGAAGAATCGGTCGGGCACAGTGGTTCACACCTGTAATTCCAATATTTTGGGAGGCTGAGGCGAGTGGATCACCTGAGATCAGGAGTTTGAGACCAGCCTGGCCAACATGGCAAAACCCAGGCATGGTGGCAGGCACCTGTAATCCCAGCTACTCAGGAGGCTGAGGCATGAGAATCACTTGAACCCGGGAGGCAGAGGTTGCAGTGAGCCAGTATCACACCATTGCACTCCAGCCTGGGGGATAGAGTGAGACTCTGTCTTGAAAAAAAAAGAAGAGGCAGAGAGACGTGAGCTAGACACTCAGCCCCCTGGCCATGTGATATCCTGCATCACCTCAGGACTCTGTAGAGAGTCCTCATCAGCAAGAGGGCTCTCACCAGTTGTGCCCTCTCAACTTTGGACTTCCCAGCATCCAGAACTGTAAGAAATAAATTCTATTTATTATACTCAGTTTCAGGTATTCTGTTATAAGCAACAGAATACAGATTATTATAAGCAACCAAAAACAGATTAAGACAGTGCTCAAAGTAAAATACCAATACACAACACACAAATTTTGTATACAGTGTGATTGCGATTGTGTTTCAGTTTCCTCATCTGTAAAGTGGGAATAGAAATAGTAGGCTGGAAGTGGTGGCTCACGTCTGTAATCCTGGTGCTTTGGGAGGCCGAGGCTGGTAGACTGCCTGAGCTCAAGAGTTCAAGACAAGCCTGGGCAACATGGTGAACCCCGTCTCTACTAAAATACAAAAAATTAGCCTGGTGTGACGCCGTGCGCCTGTAGTCCCAGCTACTTGGGAGGCTGAGGCAGGAGAATTGCTTAAACCCAGGAGACAGAGTTTGCAGTGAGCCTAGATCATGCGACTGCACTCCAGCCTGGGTGACAGAGTGAGACTCTGTCTCCAAAAACACAGAAATAGTACCTACACTTCTTAGAGTAGTGATGAGGTTTAAATGAATTACTGTTCATAATACAAACATTAGCTGGGTGTGATGATGCGCGCCTGTAGTCCCAGCTACTCAGGAGGCTGAGGGAGGAGAACCGCTTGAACCTGGGAGGTGGAGGTTGCAGTGAGTCAAGATCAAGCCACTGTACTCCAGCCTGGGTGACAGAGTGAGACTCCATCTGAACAAAAGAATTACTGTTCAGAGACACAGTTCATACTGCACAAGCATTGGTTGAATAAAATAAATTCTGTCTTCTAAATAGCTCATGAATGGGTGCCCCTCCTCTTCCCTGGTCCAAGTCACCATTATCTCTCTACCCTATTCCTTCCTTGGCCTAATGGGTTTCTTTGCATCCACTATTATGCTCCTCCAATGCCTCCTACCTACCCAAGCTCTGGTGACCTTTTCAAAATGCAAATATGATGCATATGGTTAACACCCTTCAATGGCTTCCTATTGCACAGTCCACACTCCTTAATAGGGCTGACAAGGCCTGAATGATTTGGCCCCTACCCACCTGTCCAGGCTCATCTTTACTATTGCCACTGAACCTCACACATGACCTCACTTTGATTTCACATATTACTGAGGTACCCTGGGGAGTTGCTTCCTGGTAGTCTATAAGAGCCAGAATAATCAAAACTGTGTTTCCATTGACCGGAAGTGGAAATTGCACCCCTAGAGCAGATTGCCCCAGATTGCACTCTTGGCTCTCTAGCCACCTGCTATGCCAGTCAACTTCCTGATTCTGTCAGAAGTGTTTGAACCAGAGTGACTCCATCTTGAATAGAGTCTGGGTAAAATGTAGATGAGACCTTCAGAGCTGCATTCCCAGGGGAGCAGGCATTCTTAGTCACAGGATAAGGTAGGAGGTCAGCAGGCCGATGTCATAAGATATAGGTCATAAAGACCCTGCTGATAAAACAAGATGTTGGAAAAAAAAAAAAGCCCCAAACCCAGTAAAATCAAGCTGGCAATGAAAGCAAACTCTGATTGTTCTCACTGCCGAAAATACGCTAAATATAATGCATTAGAATGCTAAAAGACACCCCCACCAGTGCCGATACAGTTTACAAACGCCATGTCAACGTTTGGAAGTTACCCTATGTGGTCTAAAAAGGGGAGGATCCCTCAGTCCTAGAAATCTCTACCCCTTTCCCAGTGTGAACTCCAAAGTATCTGAGACAGATCTCAGTCAATTTAGATGGTTTTATTTTGCCAAGGTTAAGGATGCACCCATGACACAGCCTCAGGAGGTCCTGACAACATGTGCCCAAGGTGATCAGGGTACAGCTTGCTTTTACACCTTTTAGACATAATACATCAATCAATACATGTAAGAGGCCAGGCGCAGTGGCTCATGCCTGTAATCCCAGCACTTTGGGAGGCCAAGGCAGGCAGATCACCTGAGATCGGAAGTTCAAGACCAGGCTGGCCAACACGGTGAAACCCTGTCTCTACTAAAAATACAAAAATTAGCCAGGCATGGTGGTGCATGTCTGTAATCCCAACTACTTGGGAGGCTGAGGCATGAGGATCGCTTGAACCTGGGTGGCAGTGGTTGCAGTGAGCTGAGATTGTGCCACTGCATTCCAGCCTGGGTGACAGAGAGAGACTCCATCTCAAAAAAAAAAACAAAAACATGTAAGATGTATATTGAGGTATTCCGTTATAAGCAACAGAAAGGTGGGAAAACTTGAAGTGGGAGAATTTGAAGTGATTTGGAAAGGTGGGACAACTTGAAGTGAGGGCTTCCAGGTTATAGGTAGATTTAAAAATTTTCTGACTGGCAATTGGTTGAAAGAGTTAAGTTATTATCTAAAGACCTGTTATCAACAGAAAGAAATGTTTGGGTTATCACAATAAGGGGTTGTGGAGACCAAAGTTTTATGATGCAGATGAAGTCTCCAGGTAGCAGGCTTCAGAGAGAATAGACTGCAAATGTTTCTTATCAGACTTAAGGTCTGTGTTGATGTTAATGCTGGTTGGCTTTTCCTGAATTCCAAAAGGGAGAAGGGTATAATGAGGTATGTCCAACCCCCAATTCTTATCATGGCCTAAACTAGTTTTTCAGGTTAACTTTGGAATGCCCTTGGCTGAGAGGAGGGGTCTATTTAGATGGTTGGGTGGGGGGGCTTAGAATTTTATTTTTGGTTTACACCAGAAAACTAATAAATAATCCACCCCTTGTTTAGCCTATAATCAAGAAATCACCATAGGTATACTCAGTCAATCAGCCCGCCCATGCCACTGCTCTACCTATGGAGTAGCTACCCTTTTATTCCTTTACTTTCTTAATAAACTTGTTTTTAGGTCAGGTACAGTGGCTCACACCTGTAATCCCATTGGGAGGCCAAGGTGGGTGGATCACCTGAGGTCAGGAGTTTGAGACCAGCCTGGCCAACATGGTGAAACCCCGTTTCTACTAAAAATACAAAAATTAGCCAGGCGTGGTGGTGGACACATGTAATCCTAGCTACTCAGGAGGCTGAGGCAGGAGAATTGCTTGAAACTGGGGGGCAGAGCTTGCAGTGAGCTAAGATCATGCCACTGCACTCCAGCCTAGGTGACAGAGTGAGACCCTATCTCAAAAATAAAATAAAATAAAATAAAATAAAATAAAATAAAAATAAAAAAACCAAACTTGCTTTTACTTTCCTCTGTTGGCTTGCTCTTGAATTCCTTCCTGCATGAGGCCAAGAACCCACGTGGCCTCCTAGGTCGAACCCCAGTTTTGGGGTTTGCCTTGTGACAATTCCTTCATTCAGGAGGGATTTATTGCACTGTGGGCACACAGAGCTAAATCAGACCCAGCCTTGCTTCCTCTGGGCCAGGCTGTTTTCTAAGTGCTTTACATGAATTAACTAATTTCCTGCCAGATAGGTACTATTTTTTTTTTTTTTTGAGATGGATTCTTGTTTTATCATCAGGCTGGAGTGCAGTGGCTTGATCTCAGCTCACTGCAACCTCTGCCTCCTGGGTTCAAGTGATTCTCCTGCCTTAGCCTCCCGAGTAGCTGGGACTACAGGTGTGTGCCACCACGCCCAGCTAATTTTTGTATTTGTTTAGTAGAGACGGGGTTTTGCTATGTTGGCCAGGATGGTCTCGCTCTCTTAACCTCATGATCTGCCCACCTTGGCTTCCCAAAGTGCTGGGATTACAGGCATCAGCCACTGTGCCTGGCCCAGATAGGTACTATTATTGGTTCCATTTTACTGGTAGGGAAAGTGAAGCACAGGGAGGTTAATTACCTTGCTCAAGGCTTTGTAGCTTGGCTCCAGAGCTGTGGTAAGGTTAACAAGCCTGAGTGCTATAAAGCCCTTGATGGACTTCAGAGGTAGAGACAATCATATTTAATTAGTGGGAGTCCAAAAGTATTCCTAATAAAAATTTTATATGTGTCCACAATTTCCAGGGTGGTTTTATGTGGATTCTCTGATTCTACTACATGAGGCATGTTAATGGAAAAACCAAACTCTGTAAAACATTTTAAAGAGGTTTATTCTCTGCCAATATGGGTGACCATAGCCTGGGGAACAGTCTCAAGATGTTCTGAGGAAGTGTGCCCAAGGTGGCTGGGTTACAGTTTGGTTTTATATGTTTTAAGGAGTTAGGAGTTATAAGCAAAGACAATAAATCAATACATGGAAGGGATACATTGGTTTGTGAGAAAACATTTTAAATGGTTCATTTTCAAGGCATGATAAATCTAAGCACTGAGAGCCAGCCTGCGAATGTAACAAACCGCATGGCTCATGCACCCAGAATGTCATAATAAGTGAACAGAATGTAGAGGATGAGTCAGCCCATAAAAGGGAAGAAAGTTTTGTTATTGGGAAATTGAAAAGCAGAGAAGGTCACCAGTGTATATCCTTATGAGGGGGATGATGAAACTTAGGCAATGTCTGGGATGATTGTAACGCCATAGTACTCAACCAGTGAGGAACTGGGGAAGGGAAGTGGGTGCTAGGAGATAAATTACCTGCTGTAGCTGCCCCAGGTATGCCTGCCTATCAGACACCCGATCTTGCAAGATGGCTATTAAATGTCTCACTTTCACTGTTCTTCGTGCCTCTGAGTCCGTTCTTTGGGTTTGGACGGGTGAGCTTGTTTCTCACAAATCTGGGGGCTCATCCGGGATCTATGTGCCTGTGCAGAGTGGGACTCTGGGAGAGAGGGGAGATGCATCCCACCTGATTTAGGTGGCCCACTGTTTCTGGCCATCCCGGCTCCCCACAGAGGCCATAGACAAACCTGAGACTGTTATTCAGGAGGCAGCAGAGGTGACATAGGGAGAAAAGCAGGGACCATGGCAACCAGGCAACCTCGTGCATGACCCAAGGTCAGAAAATTGGAGAGCCAAGGACAGAAAATTGGAATATAAGTACTGCCTTGTTGGATGGGCATTTTTGGAGGTCAAGTGTGTGTGACTGAGAAGTATCTTCGATATGAAGTGAGTGTGGAGTCCCAATCCATGGTCCCCTTCTCCTGCAAGGGAAACAGCTGGAGACAGATGAAGCGATTCTTGTGGTGTGCAAGAAACCTCTGGGGTGGGGGGAGGGTTGAGTACACAGAGAAAAGCTCCAACACAGAGACTGACCGAAAATGGGAAACAGGAATTCTAGGCCTAGGGAAAAAAGGAAAGATGGAGACAAATAAACTTTCTCTGACATTTCCCCAGATAGTCCTTTGGGGAGAATGTTGCAGGTTTGGAGGAATAACCCTCGAACCAGGGACAAGGAAAAGCAAAAGATGATAAAGTATTGTTCTTTTATCTGGCCCAAAGACCCTATTCGTAAGCCTTTGGTCTTTTGGCCTAAGTTTGTCTCAGATGAGGATTGGATGTGCCAAGCCTTAATTCTCTATGTAAATGATAAAATCCCATCCTCACAAGAAGAGATAGGTTACCTCTCTGTTGGATCAAGGAATTAGCCCCCATGAAGAGGAAAAGGAACCTAGTAAAAAGCCCTTGCCCACCAAAAAGCCCTGGGACCCCATATCATGCTTACCACCTTTGTACATCTCACAGAATAGGGGACAGGAAGATCAAGGGGCAGCAGGCGGGTTAGAGGAAGAAAGACTCAGAGCCAAACCAACTGCTCCTTTAGATCCTTATCCAAATTTACGAAAAGAATTAGAACAGTATTGGGAACAGGCCCCCAAATCTGGCCACAAACTGGCCCCAAAACTGGCCATAAACAAAATCTCTGCAGCACTGTGACATGTTCGTGATGGCCATGACGCCCACACTGAAGGTTGTGGGTTTACCGGAATGAGGGCAAGGAACACCTGGCCCACCCAGGATGGAAAACCACTTAAAGGTGTTCCTAAACCACAAACAATAGCATGAGTGATTTGTGCCTTAAGGTCATGTTCCTGCTGCAGATAACTAGCCAGAGCCCATCCCTTTGTTTCAGCCCATCCTTTTGTTTTCCATAAGGAATACTTTTAGTTAATCTATAATCCATAGAAACAATGCTTATCACTGGCTTGCTGTCAATAAATATGTGGGTAAATTTCTGTTCATGGCTCTCAGCTCTGAAGGCGGTGAGACCCCTGATTTCCCACCCCACACTCTATATTTCTGTGTGTGTGTCTTTAATTCCTCTAGTGCCACTGGGTTAGGGTATCCAAGACCGAGCTGGTCTTGGCAAACAGTGTAAGAGGGATATTCAGAACTTCCCTATCCCTTCCACACAGCAGGCATCTAGCATGTTCCCTCTTAGGGAAATTCCCATGGGACAGGGAGAGATTGACTTTTTAAAAAAATTTTAAATTATTTATTTATTTATTTATTTTAGACAGAGTCTTGCTCTGTCGCCCAGGCTGGATTCAAGCAATTCTCCTGCCTCAGCCTCCTGAGTAGCTGGGATTACAACAGGCACGTGCCACCACACCCAGCTAATTTTTGTATTTTTAGTAGAGATGGGGTTTCACCATGTTGGTCAGGCTGGTCTCAAACTCCTGACCTCGTGATCCACCTGCCTCGGCCTCCCAACGTGCTGGGATTACACGTGTGAGCCACCGTGCCGGGCCAGAAAGTTTTATTAGAAAGAACACTGCAGAGGAGTGCAGAGGGATGCCTCAGCAAGAGAGGACTGACCATGCTGGCGGATTTTCCTTAGGGGTATTTATGGACCTTAAAGAGGGAGCTTGAGGGCAATTTGGACCACACTAGCCACTTAGGTCTGATAAATGATTACATTTGTAGTAATTCTGGTGCCTTAATGTCAGCAAGGGTTGCAAAGTGAGTTTTGGCATGGCATTCCCGAGATGTTTAGAAATTCTAGTTGCTTATAAATTTTAAGTTGAAGAGTCCTGGAACCAGATGCCAACATTGGATACTAGAGAGAGGTGACAGCGTGCTGGCAGCCCTCACAGCCCTCGCTCGCTCTTGGCGCCTCCTCTGCCTGGGCTCCCACTCTGGCCCCGCTTGAGGAGCCCTTCAGCCCGCCGCTGCACTGTGGGAGCCCCTTTCTGGGCTGGCCAAGGCCGGGGCCGGCTCCCTCAGCTTGCAGGGAGGTGTGGAGGGAGAGGCTCGGGCGGGAACCGGGGCTGCGTGCGGTGCTTGCGGGCCAGCGCAAGTTCCGGGTGGGCGTGGGCTCGGCAGACCCCGCACTCGGAGCGGCCGGCCGGCCCCACCGGCCCCGGGCAGTAAGGGGCTTAGCACCTGGGCCAGCAGCTGCTGTGCTCAATTTCTCGCCGGGCCTTAGCTGCCTTCCCGCGGGGCAGGGCTCGGGACCTGCAGCCCGCCATGCCTGAGCCTCCCGCCCCCGATGGGCTCCTGTGCGGCCCGAGCCTCCCCGACGAGCACCACCCCCTGCTCCACGGCACCCAGTCCCATCGACCACCCAAGGGCTGAGGAGTGCGGGCGCACGGCGCAGGACTGGCAGGCAGCTCCACCTGTAGCCCGGGTGCGGGATCCGCTGGGTGAAGCCAGCTGGGCTCCTGAGTCTGGTGGGGACGTGGAGAACCTTTATGTCTAGGATTGTATGGGATTGTAAATGCACCAATCGACACTCTGTATCTAGCTACTCTGGTGGGGACTTGGAGAATCTTTATGTCCAGCTAGGGGTTGTAAATTCACCAATCGGCACTCTGTATCTAGCTCAAGGTTTGTAAACACACCAATTAGCACCCTGTGTCTAGCTCAGGGTTTGTGAATGCACCAATGGACACTGTATCTAGCTACTCTGGTGGGGACTTGGAGAACCTTTGTGTGGACACTCTGTATCTAGCTAATCTAGTAGGGACATGGAGAACCTTTGTGTCTAGCTCAGCGATTGTAAACGCACCAATCAGCACCCTGTCAAAACAGACCACTCGGCTCTCTGTAAAAGGGACCAATCAGCAGGATGTGGGGCGGGGGCCAGATAAGAGAATAAAAGCAGGCTGCCCCAGCCAGCAGTGGCAACCCGCTCGGGTCCCCTTCCACACTGTGGGAGCTTTGTTCTTTTGCTCTTTGCAGTAAATCTTGCTACTGCTCACTCTTTGGGTCCACACTGCCTTTGTGAGCTGTAACACTCACCGCAAAGGTCTGCAGGTTCACTCCTGAAGCCAGCAAGACCACGAACCCACTGGGAGGAACAACTCCAGACGCGCCGCCTTAAGAGCTGTAACACTCACCGCGAAGGTCCGCAGCTTCACTCCTGAGCCATCGAGACCATGAACCCCACCAGAAGGAAGAAATTCAGAACACATCCAAACATCAGAAGGAACAAACTCCAGACACGCAGCCTTTAAGAAATGTAACACTCACCGTGAGTGTCCACGGCTTCATTCTTGAAGTCAGGGAGACCAAGAACCCACCAATTCCGGACACACTAGGGAAGTTTAATTACTTTTCAATTCCTCAGATAAGGAGTTTTTGTCTCTGGTCACCAGGTGATTTTTGCTCTCCTCATGATTCAAAGGTCACCAGGTGATTTTTGCTCTCCTCATGATACAATAAGATGCTGGCTTATTTGGTCACAGATGATATATCGAATGTTCTGGGTCTGTTAAGCCTCACAACAACTCAGGTTTTATCTTAATCGTACGGTTAATAATAGCACATGCTGACTAGGTGCCGGGCATTGTTTTAAGCACTTTGCTAACTTAGTCCTCACAGCAATCCTAAGAGGTAGGTGCTACATATTACAATACCTGCTGTAGTGGGGAGGAGACAAAGCATAAGAAACTTGATTAAGTTCACATGCAGTGGCGCAATCCTGGCTTACTGCCGCCTCCAACTTCTGGACTCAACTGATCTTCCCGCCCAGTAGAGATGGGGTCTTGCTGTGTTGCCCAGGCTGGTCTCAAACTCCTGGGCTCAAGCGATCCTCCTGCCTTGGCCTCCCAAAGTGCTGGGATTACAGGCGTAAGTTACCGTGCCCAGCTCAGGGTCTACACTCAACCGTACTGCCTTTCAACAGCATGTGAGGAACAGAGAGAGGAGAGACTTCCATTACCAATCAGGAGCTCCAGGTGTATTTCAAACCCTAGGATTATCACCGTGTGCAGCAGATGGCGCCCTGGCGCATAGCAATTGGCCGGACCTGCACACGGAGTCAAAACTACCATACCCACAATGCTATGGGGTATCAAGGTCCCACCCTACTGGTTAGCTGTCCGAGGTAGTGCCTGTGCGCGTTCCTGTGGGAATGTGTGTACCTAGGCCATTCGGGCCCTTCCTTTATCTGCATAAAACAAGTTAAAAAGTGTTTTATCCTCCTCTCATCCTCCTTGTCTTACTAGTTGGCGAGCAATAGGGTTGAAACAAGGCTGCTGTTTGTTGGCCTCACCTGCCCTAGCCTAACGTGAGGACCCTTGACCTCTGGCCCAAGATGGTGGCGCCCAGAGCTTCGCTCTTGCTGCTCCCCTGAGGTGAACTGAAGCCAGCAGCCCCGCATCATGTCAAAGCTCGGCCGGGCCGCCCGGGGCCTCAGGAAGCCCGAGGTCGGCGGTGTGATCCGGGCGATCGTGCGGGCAGGCCTGGCCATGCCCGGGCCCCCACTAGGCCCAGTGCTGGGTCAGGTGCGGCCGTGGCGGGAACCCGACGTGGGGGTTGTCTAGGATGGTGGAAGCTAGGACGCGGATGGAGGGCGCTGGCCCTGGAACCACCCGGGCCTCGGTTCAGAGCTCGGCTCTGCTTCTCACACGCTTTATGTCCTTGTGCTGGTTACAAAGTGTCTTCCACCTGGGCTTCCTCATCCCTTCTTCAATGTGCTGTAATGAGGATAACGTGGGAAGATGCGTACGATCTTCTGGCTCACGGAGGGGTAGTTGAATCTGGGTACAGATGGGAACCCAGAGAAGTGAAGACGAAGGAGGGAACGGACGGCGCCTCCTGGGCGATAGGAAGCCGTCCCCTCCTCTCACCACTAACCCCCTCTGCTTCCCTCACAGAGAGGCGTTTCCATCAACCAGTTTTGCAAGGAGTTCAATGAGAGGACAAAGGACATCAAGGAAGGCATTCCTCTGCCTACCAAGATTTTAGTGAAGGTGGAGTCTGGACTCTGATCCCTGGTTTCCTTCTCCCTCTGTTCTTCCTCGGCCCTGGGACTGGTCATCTGGGGTTGTTTCTCTGCTCCTGACTTGACTTCCTATTACTGGGCTCCACTTTCCCCATTTAGGACTAGATCATATTTTTTCTGAACCAGCCCCATCTTGCCATGTTGCAGTTCCTCCCTTTGCCCCTCCATCTCACTGGGGCTTCCAGAGCAGAATGAGGGCAGGAATAGAGGGGACAGGGATGTTTGCTGCAGATTTATTTTTTTCTTTCTTTTTTTCTGAGATGGAGTTTTGTTCTTGTCGCCCAGGCTGGAGTGCAGTGGCACGATCTCCGCTCACTGCAATCTCCTCCTCCCGGGTTCAAGCAATTCTCCTGCCTCAGCCTCCCGAGTAGCTAGGATTACAGGCGCCCGCCACCACGCCCGGCTAATTTTTTGTATTTTTAGTAGAGATGGGGTTTCACCATGTTGGTCAGGCTGGTCTTGAACTCCTGACCTCAGGTGATCCACCCGCCTTTTCCTCCCAAAGTGCTGGGATTATAGGCATGAACCACTGCGCCTGACCCCGATTTATTTTTTTCTTGTGATTCTGTGGTCTTTTTGAGGGATGCCATTGGAAAGTGAGATGAAGGAAGCAGGGGGCAAGACATTAGAAGTTCCCTGGGATGGGGCAGTAGGAAGAGAGAATCTCATATTTCTTTTTTCTGTTAAGCCTGACAGGACATTTGAAATTAAGATTGGACAGCCCACTGTTTCCTACTTCCTGAAGGCAGCAGCTGGGATTGAAAAGGGGGCCCGGCAAACAGGTGAGGGCCAGGGTAAGCATCTGAGATTCTGGGGGCTCCAGAAGGAAGCAGTAACACCTGAAGAGCCACTTGTTCCTTCCTCCCAGGGAAAGAGGTGGCAGGCCTGGTGACCTTGAAGCATGTGTATGAGATTGCCCGCATCAAAGCTCAGGATGAGGCATTTGCCCTGCAGGATGTACCCCTGTCGTCTGTTGTCCGCTCCATCATCGGGTCTGCCCGTTCTCTGGGCATTCGCGTGGTGAAGGAGTAAGTATCCTGGCATGTGCAGTGTGACGAGAGGGCCCAGAAAGCTCTGGACTCGGGCAGAGCTGAGAGGGCCCATTGCAGTGGGAAAGTCAGCTTTTAAGTCAAGGGACCCTAGATTCTAGAGGATGGGGTGGGGGTGGGAGGCCACATTCATTGATCTGGAATACTCTTATTGGGCACCTGTTATGTATTAGACGTTGTTCTGCAAATGTTCTAAGAAATGGAAAGATCTCCATGAAGGATCCAAGTGGGAGAAGTTCAGTGTGACCTGGGTCTGTCGTCCTAGAGGCAAGTGGAGAATGGTATGAGGGAAGGACCAGTGCGAAGGACTTTTGAGCTGTGTCAGGTTCATGCTTGCTCCTGAGGCAAACAGGGACCCCTGTCATGGGGCTTCGGATGACTTCAGGAATTGTTTCATTGAAGTAAGATGTTGGGTGGGAGGGTGTCTGGCCTAGACAACCGCCGGGACAGAGATAGCATTCAACCCTTTACTGGCCTCTTGCTGCTGTGTTACATCCCATGTCAAGGCTGACAATTGATTATTTCCCAAGAAGAATGGGGTTAAGCATGGAGCAGACACAGACTTGAATTTTCTCAAATCTTTTTTTTTTTACTGGGAGCATGGAGATGGGTAAATCTGACCCCTGTCCTGGGAGAGACACACATGCTCAGCCCCGTGACGTCATTGTACAGCATATTCTGGGGCACAGAGTACCCCAGTTAATCTGGACTGGGGCCTGGCTGATGCCTCAAAGGATGAGTAGGGATTTAATAAGGGAACAAAAGATAGGGGTGTTGGGGGTTGGGAGATGTTGTCCCTGGAGAGGAAATGAGCAAAGGTATGGAGGCTGGGAAGTCAGGGAGGCAGAAGGGGCCAGGCAAGCTGGGCTTGGAGACAGGGGCCCCTTCAAGCCCCTGCAAGACATAGGGTCCTGTGAGCTCCCACTGGTGACCAATCATGCGCCAACCATTTGTCTTTTTTCACTTGCAGCCTCAGTTCAGAAGAGCTTGCAGCTTTCCAGAAGGAACGAGCCATCTTCCTGGCTGCTCAGAAGGAGGCAGATTTGGCTGCCCAAGAAGAAGCTGCCAAGAAGTGACCCTTGCCCCACCAACTCCCAGATTTCAAAGGAGGTAGTTGCAAAAGCTGTGCCCAAGGGGAGGAAGGAGGTCACACCAATATGATGATGGTTTTCATGACTTTGAATGATATATTTTTGTACATCTAGCTGTATCGAGGCATCAGGCCTGAATAAACATCCTTTCTTACCCACTGTCATCTTCTATCTTGGGACCTCAGGGAAGGGAACCAGTACTGGTGGTAGCCAATATGGGCAGACATTAGGAAATTGGGGTCTTCATACTGCTTCTCAGATGTGCAAACTGAGGTTCAGCCAAGCAAAGTAACTTGCCCAGGTCCTTTTTTTTCTTTTTTAAGTTATAATTTTGTTTTATTGCCCAGGTTCTGAATTGGTGCCAGAGGTAGGAATAGAACCCAGGCCTTCTCATTTGAAATCCTGTGTTCTTCCCCTCCCCAGGGTGGGAACTATGGTTGCTAGGGCTGAGGTGTATTGCTTACTTCTTCCATCAAAAATCTCTTTTATCTCTGAACAACTTGCCACCTCTGCAGAAACAAGTCCCTGTGGAGATCTCAGTTCAGCCCCAGGCAGGGTTACTACATGGAGTACCCAGATCCCAGGGGCTACTTCAGGCCCTTCTACTAAGCTCCTGACCCTGGCTCTGGGTCAGATGTTGGCTGAACATGAACTATTGTAGGGCTGACAGCTACAGACCACAGAAAGAGCAAAGCTTCAGTAGGTTCCTGCCTGATGGAGAAGTCCTCGGGAAGCCCTTGGCCTTCTATTTCCTCATTGTCCTTTCAGAGAAGAGAGCAGGAGTTGGGGGAGAAAGGAGATTCGCATTTACTGACCATCTGTTATGTGCTAGACACTTCATTTTACACTGAGAAAATATGGAAAGCATAGATAAACACCTAAAAGAAAATAAAAACCTCATGTTATCCCACCACCCAGATGAGACTTCTGCCAATATTTGGTGTATATCTTTTCTGCTCCTTTTTTTCTTTGTGTGTGTATTTATGTATAATGCTTTTTGAAAAAACAAACTGGGGTCATACTCTATATAGCTGTACAACGCTGTATACTTTCAAGTTAGCAACTATTTAGAACATTTAAAAATTGTCTTTCTTTTTTTTTTTTTGAGACGGAGTCTCGCTCTGTCACCCAGGCTGGAGTGCAGTGGCGCCATCTCAGCTCACTGCAAGCTCTGCCTCCCAGGTTCATGCCATTCTCCTGCCTCAGCCTCCCAAGTAGCTGGGACTACAGGCGCCTGCCACCACACCGGCTAATTTTTTTTGCATTTTTAGTAGAGACGGGGTTTCACCATGTTAGCCAGGATGGTCTTGATTTCCTGACCTCATGATCTGCCCGCCTCGGCCTCCCAAAGTGCTGGGATTACAAGCGTGAGCCACTGCACCTGGCCTAAAAATTATCTAAAACAATTTTAAATGATGGCTTAGTGGCTTAGTTTTTTTTTTTTTTTTGAGATGGAGTCTCACTCTGTCTCCCAGGCTGGAGTGCAGTGGCACAATCTTGGCTCACTGCAACCTCTGCCTCTCAAGTTCAAGTGATTCTCCTGCATCGGCCTCCCAAGTAGCTGGTGTTACAGGCGCTTGCCACCACACCTGGCTGATTTTTTTGTATTTTTAGTACAGACAGGGTTTCACCATGTTGGCCAGGCTGGTCTCGAACTCCTGACCTCAGGTGATCCACCCGCCTTGGCCTCCCAAAGTGCTGGGATTACAGGTGTGAGCCACCGTGCCTGGCCAAGACTTCATTTAAAAAAAAAATTTTTTTTTAATTAATTAATTTTTTTTTTTTGAGACAGAGTCTTGCTCTCGTCACCCAGGCTGGAATGCAGTGGCAGTGGCACGATCTCAGCTTACTGCAGCCTCCACCTCCCAGGTTCAAACAATTCTCCTGCCTCAGCCTCCCAAGTAGCCAGGATTACAGGTACCCACCACCACGCCTGGCTAATTTTCGTATTTTTAGTAGAGACAGGTTTTGCCATGTTGGCTAGGCTGGTCTCAAACTCCTGACCTTGTGATCTGCCTGCCTCGGCCTCCCAAAGTGCTGGGATTACAGGCGTGATCCATCGCGCCTGGCTTTTTTATTTTTAAATGTTTTAGAGACAGGGTCTTACTCTGTAACCCAGGCAGTGGTGCAGTAATAGCTCACTGCAGCTTCAAACTCCTGGGCTCAAGGGATCCTCCAGCCTCAGCTTCCCAAGTAGCTGGGAATACAGGTGCATGCCACTATGCCTGGTGAATTTTAAATTATGTTTATTTTTTATTTACTTTTATTTTATTTTTATTGTTGTTGTTATTTTTGGAGATGGAGTTTCATTCTTGTCTCCAAGACAAGAAATGGCACAGTCTTGGCTCACTGCAACCTCTGCCTCCCACGTTCAAGCGATTCTCCTGCCTCAGCCTCCCGAGTAGCTGGAATTACAGGCATGTGCCACTACACCCAGCTAATTTTTGTATTTTCAGTAAAGATGGGGTTTCACCATGTTGGCCAGGCTGATCTCAAACTCCTGACCTCAAGTAACCTTCCCACCTTGGCCTCCCAAACTGCTGGGATTACAGGCGTGAGCCACCATGTCTGGCCTATTTTGTTTTTTTAAAGAGACAGTATCTTGCTATGTTGCCCAGGCTGGTCTCAAGCTCCTGGCCTCAAATCCTCTCGCCTCAGCCTCTCAAAACACTGGGCTTACAGGCATTAGCCACTGTGCCAAAAGAAGTCTCTTTCTTTCCTTCTTTCCTTCCTTCTTTCTCTCTCTTTCTTCTTTTTCTTTCTTTCCTTTTTTGAGACAGGGTCTCGCCCTTTTGCCAGGCTAGAGTGCAGTGGTGTAATCATAGCTCACTGTAGCCTCCAACTCCTGGCCTCAAGTGATTCTCTCACATCAGCCTCCCAAGTGGTTAGGACCACAGGTGAACACCACCATGACTGGCTAATTTTTTTTTGTTATTTTTTCTGTAGAGATGAGATTTCGCCATGCTCCCCAGGCTGGTCTCAAATTTGTAGGCTCAAGCGATCCTCCCACCTCGGCCTTCCAAACTGCTGGGATAACAGTCATGAGCCACCATGCCTGGAATCTTGTTTAACTTTTTCTTTTTTCTAAGAAATGTCAGGCTATAAACCATTCTTAGAGCTCACTGGTTTCTGAACACCAAGTGTAGAAATAGCCACTTCCTCTTTGCCCAATATCACGGGCACAGCAGACTGCCAGCATCTGCGGTGCTGGCATGTTCCGGAAGGCATCTTCAGGGTAGTCACCCACACCTACTCAGCAAGCCAGAGACACCCAGCCTGTGGCCAGGGTGGGAATCCTTTCTTATCTTTTAAAGCTTTCTTGGCCAGACGTGGTGTTGCATACCTGTAATCCCAGCACTTTAGGAGGCCGAGGTGGGTAGATCACCTGAGGTCAGGAGTTAGAGACCAGCCTGGCCAACATGGTGAAACCCTGTCTCTACTGAAAAAAAAAAAATTAGCTGGGGATGGTGGCGGACACCTATAATCCCAGCTACTCAGGAGGCTGAGGCAGGAAAATCACTTGACCCCGGGAGGCGGAGGTTGCAGTGAGCCAAGATCATGCCACTGCATTCCAGCCTGGGCAACAAGAGCGAAATTCCATCTCAAAAAAAAAGGAAAACAAAAACAAAACTTTCTTATCCATTTTTCCATCTTTTTCTCTATTTTTTTTTCTTTTGAGACACTCTGTCACCTAGGCTGGAGTGCAATGGCACAATCTCGGCTTACTGCAAGCTCCACCTCCCAGGTTCAAGCAGTTCTCCTGCCTCAGCCTCCAGAGTAGCTGGGACTACAGGTGCGCACCAACACGCCTAGCTAATTTTTGTATTTTAGTAGAGATGGGGTTTCACCATATTGGCCAGGCTGGTCTTGAACTCCTGACCTCGTGATCCGCCCAGGCTCCCAAAGTGCTGAGATTACAGGCGTGAGCCACCGTGACCAGGCAGTTTTTTCTAAGTAAACAACAACCCTTCACTCACTCACTAAAGTCAGAAACAGGAGACTTCTCTTTTCCTCACCCCCATTTGAAATCCATTAGCAAATCCTGTCAGTTCTGCCTCTGAAGCATTCCAAAGCCAGTCACTCACCTCCGCCTGGACTTGAGGGAAGCACTTGGGTGTGAGTTCTCGTCCTATTTGCCTGGATCACTGCAGAAGCCTAAACTGGTCTCTGCTTCTCCTCCTACCTCATTCAATCCATTCTCCACACAACTTTCAGTGGGATGGCTTAAAAATGTGAATTATATGTCGTTCTCTCACTTAAATTTCCCCAGAGGATTCCTATTGCACATGAAATAAAATCTAAGTTTCTTATCCTGGTCCAAAGGCCCTGGGTAATCTTCCTTCTCTCCAGCCACTCTTCCCCTTGCCACACTGACTTCTTTCCTATTCCTTAAACAGGTCAATCCTTTCCCATTTTGATACCCTTAGTTTTGCTTTTCTTTGACCTGGAGCACTCTTCTTCCTCTTTCCTTCCTTCTTTCCTTCTTTCCTTCCTTCCTTCCTTTCTTCCTTCCTTTTCTCTTTCTCTCTCTCCTCTCTTTTCTTTCTTTCTTTCTTTTTTCTTTCTTTCTTTTTCTTTCTTTCCTTCTTCTTTCCTTTTCTTTCTTTCTCTCATTCTGTCACCCAGGCTGGAGTGCAGTGGCACAATCTCAGCTCACTGCAACCTCTGCCTCCTGTGTTCAAGTGATTCTCCTGCCTCAGCCTCCCGAGTAGCTGGGACTACAGGCGCCCGCCACCACGCCCGGCTAATTTTTTATATTTTTAGTAGAGACGGAGTTTCACCGTGTTAGCCAGGATGGTCTTGATATCCTGACCTCGTGATCCGCCCGCTTCTGCCTCCCAAAGTCCAAAGTGCTGGGATTACAGGGGTGAGCCACAGCGCCCGGACTTTTTTTTTTTTTTTTTTTTTTTTTTTTGAGACGACGTCTCACTCTTGTCACCCAGGCTGGAGTGCAGTGGTGTAAGTGCAATCAAGGCTCACTGCAGCCTCGCCCTTCTGGGCTCAGGTGATCTTCCCACCTCAGCCTTTTGGGTAGCTGGGACTACAGGTGCACACCACCACACCTGGCTAACTTTTTGCTTTTTTTTTTTTTTTTTTTTTTTTTTTGTAGAGACGGGGTTTTGCCTTGTTGCCCAGGCTGGTTTCAAACTCCTGGACTCAAGCTATCCACCTGCTTCAGTCTCCCAAAGTGCTAGGATTACAGGCACAAGCCACCGTGCCCGGCCTCTTCTTCTTTCTTATCTTTTAGGTCTTAGCTCAATGTCACCTTAGAAGAGCTTTCTGATGCCACATTCTAAATTAGCACCCCCTCCTCAGTTCCGCTCGGCCACAGTACACAGGTTCTTTCTTTCACTGCACGCACTGCATGCTCCCTTTAAAGAGTTATTTTACTTTTTGTTACGTCTCCCCACAACTTCAGTGTAAGGTCTGTGAGTCCAGGGACCTTGTCTGTCTTGTTCAGTTTTCCCCAGGACCCAGCAAAGCCCTTGGCGCATGTAGGTGTCATAAGTGTTTATCACATGCAAAATGAAGTGCCAGAGCCAATATTTGACCTCAGTCTTTGTGACTCCAAAACTTCAGCCCTTTCTCATACCTTTTTGCTCCCAGGGCAGCAACCTGGTGTTGGTGGCAAGGGTGCTTGAGAGTCAGATTTGGCTTCTGCAGCCACTTTGGAAGTGCCATTGGGCAATTCCTTTCTTCTCTCTGGGCCTCAGTTTACCCATCTATTCTAAGATGCAATATTGTTGATGCTCTGAGCCACAGGGACCGTGCCAGGGAAGGGAACAGAAGCAGATGGTTCTATGTCCAGCAGGGGGCGCAATGGGCTCGCTCAACTTCTTTCTCCGCATGGGTCGACGGCCTGGCTCTCCAGTTCTGAGTGTCAGGGTGCCTTCTTGTCCACACACACTCTACCATCTCCTGTCACTGCCACCAAATACCAGGGAGGGGTTTCTTTTTTTCTTCCATAATTTTTACCTTTTAAAGTTGTGGGGCGGCTGGGCATGGTGGCTCACGCCTGTAATCCCAGCACTTTAGGAGGCTGAAGCTGGTAGATCACGAGGTCAAGAGATTGAGAGAAGCTTGGCCAACATGGTGAAACCCCGTCTCTACTAAAAATAGAAAAATTAGCCAGGCGTGGTGTCATGCGCCTGGAATCCCAGCTACCCAGGAGGCTGAGGCAGGAGAATCGCTGGAACCCGGGAGGCAGAGGCTGTAGTGAGCCGAGATCGTGCCACTGCACTCCAGCCTGGGCAACAGAGCAAGACTCCATATCAAAAAATAAAAAATAAAAAAAGTTATGGGGCTTTTTTGTTTTGTTTTTTTTTTTGTTTTTTGAGACAGAGTCTCACTCTGTCACCCAGGCTGGAGTGCAATGGCATGATCTCAGCTCACTGCAACCTCCGCCTAATGGGTTCAAGTGATTCTCTTGCCTCAGCCTCCCGAGTAGCTGGGATTACAGGCTCACGCCACCATGCCCGGCTAATTTTTGTATTTTTAGTGGAGACGGGGTTTCACCATGTTGGCCAGGCTGCTATCGAACTCCTGACCTCAGGTGATCCACACACCTCGGCCTCCCAAAATCCTGGGATTACAGGCTTGAGCCACCGTGCCTGGCCTATTATAGATTTAGACTTAGAGAAAAGTTTTGAAGATCCTACAAAGTTCCCACAGACCCCACAGCCATTTCCACCTGTTACCAACATCTTACACTTACATGATACATTTGTCACAATTAATGAGTCAATGTTGATACAGTATTATCAACTGAAGTCCATACTTTATTCAGACTTCCTCATTACCTTGCATCCTTTTTCTGCTCTAGTATATTACATTCTATTTCATCATTATGTTTCCTTAGGTTTCTCAGATTTTCCTTTTTGTTTTGTTTTTGTGGCAGGGTCTTGCTCTGTTGCCCAGGCTGGAGTGCAGTGATGTGACCATAGCTCATTGCAGTCTCTAACTCCTGGGCTTAAGCAATCCTCCCACTTCAACCTCTCAAGTAGACGGAACTACAGGTGCATGCCACCACGCCCAGCTAATTTTTGTTTGTAGAGATTGGGTCTTGCTTTGTTGCCCAGGCTGGTATTGAACTCATGGGCTCAGGCCGTCCTCCCACCTCGTCCTCCCAAAATTCTGGGATTATAGGCATGAGCTGCCACAATTGTGTGGCCAGACTTTCCTTTTTTTTTTTTTTTAATGACCCCAGGGAGGTTTTTATATGGGACTCCAATGCATGTCTTGAGCTCATGGTCACTTAAGATTCCCTCTGGGGAACTTAGGAACACATTTTTACAGTAGAAACTGATGAGTCTAATGAAACCCTTTGACTGAACTTCAGAAGTGTCCTCTCAGCCATGTGCACCTGCAATCCCAGTATTTTGGGAGGATGAGGCAGGAGGATCACTTGAGCCCAGGAGTTTGAGTCCAGCAATATAGTGAACATTGCCAACAAAGAAAGAAAGAAAGAGAGAAAGAGAGAAAGAGAGAAAGATTCCTTTCAAGAAGACATTTTGAGTGTGTCTGTTATGTGCCAGTCCTGTGCTCCATGCCAGGGTCCTCCTGGGGCTGACAATCCAGTTATTTTGTCCAAGTTGGAGAACAGATGCACAAGGAAGGCAGAGGGCAAAACTCCACCCTCCTTTTCCACCCAAGGACCCATCCAAGTTGGAAAAATAGTGACAGGTCCCTAGGAGTGTCTTCCTTCCCATGGGACTGTCTGAAGGGCATGGCCCCAGAGCTGGAGGATTTGGAATAAAAGGAGGCTTAGGGGCTTTCTCAGGTTGTGCCCTCAGTTCCTGGAACCCAGCCTCTGTACTTCACTGGGGAAGCCTTTGAGGTCACCGTTGCCTTCTAATTCAATTGAATAACTTAAGTCAATTCTGTGCTTCTCTGCTTATAAATGGACACTATCAAGTTCTAACAGCATCTTTGGGAGATAAGTACCATGTTTGTCAGCCCTGCTTCACTTGTGGAGAAACTGAGCCTCAAGTCCCATTTGGCAAATAATTGGTGGAGATGAGATTTGAATCCAGGGTTCGCTCTGTCGCCTAGGCTGGAGTACAGTGGTGCAGTCTTGGCTCACTGCAACCTCCACCTCCCAGGCTCAAGAGATTCTCCAGCCTCAGGCTCTCATGTAGCTGGGACTACAAGTGTGCACCACACCCAGATAATTTTTGTATTTTTTGTAAAGATGGGATTTCACCATGTTTCCCAGGCTGATCTCAAACTCCTGGGCTCAAGCAATCCTCCTGCCTTGTCCTCCCAAGGTGCTGGGATTACAGGCGTGACCCACTGTGCCCAGCCCATCTCCTCATTTTCATTTGCCCCTCACCCTACCTTGTGGCTGTTTGGGCTTCAAGCTTGGAGGAAAACAGCATTTTTGGAAACTTTTTTCTCTTGACTTACTGAGTTATATTCTGCTCAGCTCTACTTTACAGACCTGGAGAGCAAAAAGAAGGGGTTTCTCACCCCACACTTGGGAGAGAGGACCCTGCTCCAGCCCACATTTGCCCTTCTTGAGTAATCTGGGATGAGATGATTTGGGATGGGTGGTGATTCACTGGCTCTGCCAGCAGAGAAAACAGCCCAGGGCTGGGATGCAGATGCTCTGGGTATGTTGCCCATCCACCCATGCCTGTCATCAATTGTGGGAACAAATAACTTTTTACCTGTGGTCCTCAGTTTCTTCATCAGTGAGATGGGCTAATATGCCTGCCCAGAAGAATTGTTGCAGCAAATAAGAGAGGTAAAAGTGTGTGTCAGCTGAAAGCCCTGTGCAAGGATAACAGACGTGGTTATAATTTCCAGTGAGTCGATCCAGGGCCCCACAAGGAAGTTGCTTCCCTGAAGGACCAGGTGAAGAAAGAACTTGTGAGCAGAAGCTTCAAACCCATGCCCAGACCCAACATCAAATTGAATCCTCATGTCCACTCCTAGGCCCTCTGTCCCCTCCCACACCACGAGCACTGCAAGCCTGGCGCAGAGAGGAGATGCCAGTATTCTCTAGTACTGGACGCCAAGCACCTTGAGGGCAAGACATAACATCTGTTTCAGCCCTAAACTTTCCAGCTTCTAGCACAGTATGGGCCACACAATGTACATGTGGACGTTGAGTGAAAGAATGAATGAATGAGTGAATGAATGAATGAATTCACAAGTGGATGAAGAAATGCTGGGGCCATAAACAGGTCCAGCTTTTACCTCCTGGCCCCCAGGCTCCCATCCAAGCCTCCCAAACTTATCCTCCACCCTTCCTTTTACACAGCAGCGCATGACACCAGAGGTACCAAAAAGGCAAACTGGACTTTATTATAAAGTTGGCTACAAAGTCACCGCAGCACCACGAGGTGGCCATCTGGGCAGGCCCAGGCAGTCTGGCGGCCGGGTGAGTCCCGCACCAGGTACACGCACTCGTGCAAGCACACGTGTGACGGCAGGTCTGCCTTCCTCCATCGGAAAGGAACGTAGCGTCTCTTCGCACCCCCCACCCCAGGCGCGGGGCGCAAAAGTCACAGGAAGGGCCGCCAGGGCGGCAGAGTCCATCGGAATTGAAATCCCGTTACTGGTGTGTAGAGAATTCTACGTGGGTGTCAAGAGCCCCTCAGGGCACGGGCTGGCCCGGGTGGGCCCTGCCTTTCCCCCACCAAGGCTAGGGGTGGCTTGGCCCCTAGGAGTGGAGAACTGGCCCAGGCCAATGGGGCAAGGCGGCGGGGAAGTGAGACTCCCCCATTCTCCGCTTGAAATCCCATTCAAGGAAACTCACTACGAGTGAATACAGATTGAAATGGAAACTGGGATCGCTCGAAGTCTCTTGATTTTAAAAAGAAGCTCCCCTCCCTTGCCCTCCCACCTCCCCCCCCCCAAAATCCTGCAGGGCCTGGGGAATCATATATATCCCCCTCTGGCCCTCAGAATCCCCCCAACAGTCCCGGGGGGGTGGAGAGCGGCTCCACGTCTTGATGACAATATGCCATACTTGACGACGTTAAGTCACAGACTTATTCAAAACGTTGGTTCCCCTCCACTTCCATCTGCAGAGAGATAGATAGAGAGAACACAATCAGTTAGACCAATTAGCACAGAGGATCCTGGGGCTGAGAATGTGTTGGTATTAGTATAGGCTTCAAAGATATTGGCTCAATGATGAAATGATGGCCAGAGGCTCAGTAGATTAGGGGGCAATTTGGATGGACGGAGTGAAACTGTGGCTGTAGTTTAGGAAGGATGGGGCTGTAACCAGGGAGCTACCTCAATGGAGTCAGGGGCTGAGCCTCGTCTTTCTTTTACCAACTTGCATAAATTCTTGCTCTGTATCCCCTTCAGGGAGCTAGGATACTAGGATAGAGCTCTAGTCCCTCTTCCATCAGTTTGTTGTGCACCCTAAGGAAAGTCTGTTTAACTCTGGGACCTTGATTATTTTCATCTGTAAAATGGGGTGCTGAAGACTGATCTAGGCCTCTCATGGAGTTAAGCACAAGCCCTTACTTAAGAATTCCCTAGCACTCTATCCCACAGCCCCAACCCCTGCCAAGTCTGCTTGTTCAAACTTTCATATTAAGTCTTTCATTTTTTCTTATCTCCACTGCTACTCTCTTCAGCAGGGGATGTCATCCCCTTAATAAAATCAATGTACAGAGAGGGGGAATTGATTTGCCTAAATCTACCCAGCATTTCATTGGCAGGACAGGGACTTGAGTTCTTGGACCTTTTGGCTGACTCACCTTCATGGAAGCTGTCTTGAACTTGGCTCTGGAGTTGATGCAACTCATCAGTAAACCCATCATAGGGGAATGCTGAGACACCTGTCTCAAAGGCGGTTTCATATGTGGCCAGGTCCTCCAGGAAGCTGTGGTCTTCTGGGGACAGGTTGTTGCAAGGCGATGGGGCCCCTCCTGGGCCCTCTGCCTCAGGATCCCCTGAGCCCCATTCCTCACTGGGATCTGGGGTAGAGAGATCCATGAAGATGTCTTCCACGGGCGTCTCTTCCAGGAACATGTTATCAGGGTCAGCCAGGAAGTCCAGCTCCTGGCATTTCCAGGGTTTCAGGTCCAGGCTGAGCACAGGGGGGCCTGCCCCTGACAGGGACAGGTTGGAGTCCAGGGGCTCCAGTCCTCCAAGTGGCTCTAGTCCGCCAGTGCCAGCCTCAGCTGAGAAGGGTCTGTCCATGCCCTGAGCCAATTGGCTAATCTGCTGGATGAGACGGTCTATCTCATTCTGCTCCTTTTCAGAGTAGTGGAAGAAACTCTGCTTGACTGGAGAGGCCTCAGGTGTGAGCAGGCCTTCGGGCACCAGGGGGACATCCACAGAGAGGGGGCCCCGGAGCTGGGCTAGGGCCAAGAGCGTGCAGTCCCCATTACCAGGGCTGCTAGGACTTGGGGGCAACTTCTCATAGAGAAAACTGCATCCCTCCTGGGCAAAGTAAGTCTTGGTAGGGTTGGGGCTCAGTTGCTCTGGGAAGGTTTGGCTGGGGCTGTCCAGGTGTGCTTGGAATGCTGTGCTGGGAGGAGTCAGCTGTTCATGGGCAGGGCTGCCCAGAGGCTCTGGGAAGGTGGCTGTGCTGGGAAGCAGCTGGTCTGGGAAGGTGGAGGTGCAGGGAGTCAACTGGTCTTCATAGCTTCTGACCGAGGTTTCAGTCAACTGGCCTTGCAGTGGGCTAGTTAGTGGATCTGGGAAGGTTGCACTGCTGGGCGTCAACTGATCAGAGAAGGTCGCAGTGCTTGGAGTCAGCTGTTCTTGAAGAGTGCTGGATGGGGTGGGCAAATGGGTCTGGAAGGGCTCATGGAGGCTGAAGAGGAAGGCACAGCCTCCTGGCTGATGGGGCGTGTAAGGTGGAGTGCACACAAGATCCTTGCTTAGTTCTGCTTGGAGAGAAGGCTCAGGCCCAGAAGGGAATGTCAGGTAACTGAAGTCCAGTTCTTTGGAGGGTCGGGGAAGCTCTTCTGATGCAGAGACAACACTCAGTTCAGGAGCACTGGGGAAGCTGGTGCTTCTGGGAGCCCCCAGTGCTGCGGTGAAGAGTGGGTTAGTGCTGGAGCACTCTTCCTGGGAAAGAATGTTTTCAGGGAATGAGGGCAGCATGGTCGGAGTGCCCAGGACATAAGCTGCCTGGGTGTCTTCAGAGTTCAACTGCTGGCGGAGGCTCCAGGCTTCCATGTCACTGGAGAGGAGAGAAGAGGCAGCTGGTAAGGGTCCGACGTCCATATCCAGAGCAGTTCCCTGATTTGTGTCTCCTCCATGACGACCTCAGCTGCCCCCTAGTCCCCTGGCTTGTGGCTTACCTGATTGGGTAGTTATTGGCAGTAATGGGTCCCTCTGGACCTTCTGAGTATAACAGGCAGTAAATCCATGCCCAGCCTCCAGTCTTGGCCTGTAGCCTCACCACCATCTCTGCCTGAATATCTCCACTCTCAGCCACTGGGGAGAAAGAAGATGCAGAGTTAGGATGTCCACCAGGCAATTCTACCTACTCCCCACCCTTGGTCACCTCTCCACTGAATTGAGATAGCCGTGACATCCTCTCTTCTGACTACCCTCACCTGAACCACTCAGCTCTCTACCTTGACCTCACCACTCAGAGTCCCCCAGTTCTGATTTGATTATTGCCTTGAATCCTCACCTTCATGTTCACCCTATAGCATCCGAAACTGTTGGCCTCTGTTATCTCCCCAGCATCACTCTTGACTACAGATCATTCTTTGTCTGGTCTCCCATGCCCTTTCCCAGCTTGCTATCTTGTCCCCAGCCTCTCTGGACACTCACACAGGCGGTAGTGTTGAGCAGAAGCGTGGGCCAGGTCCTCGGGGTGCAGCAGTCCATACCATGATTTACAAAGCAGTTCACTGCGCTCAAAGCCCAGGTAGATTAGGACACTGGGAAGGTGGAAAGGGTGAGGTCAGCTTTCTGTTTTCCTTGCTTGATACCCATGCATCTCACTCCCTCCCAGATCCTCTGCCCCCCTAAACCCCATCCTCCCTGCCCCTGACTCCAGAATCTAGGGTCCCTTCATCTCTGGCCTGCCTTTCTCTTGGAATCTGAACACTCCAGGCTTACCTCTCGGAGATGTCCAGTAGAGCCAGGTCTTTAGCATGGCGGCTCTGGAACATGGCCAGGAAGAGCGAGGCAGGGCCAGGGCCAGGGCCAGGACCTGGGCGGGGTCTCGGCTCCAGAGGGGCACAGAAAGCTGTGAACACGGGATTTCCTGCCCAGTAGGCTCCAGGTGGGTGAGCATGGAATCGGCCTCGAATAAGCACGAGTTTGTTGCCTGCACTCTGGCGCCTGAGGGACTTGGAGGTGTTGAAGCGGCAGCGGAAGAGGCGATCTAGATAGATGAAGAGAAAAACAGATAAGAGGGTGAGTGGCTGAGAGAGAGACAGTGGATGGTGGGGAGAAGGGCAGCAGGTGGGAAATTGGACCGAGGAAGGGAGAAGGGAGTCCTTACCAGTGTCCAGGGCAGAGGGCAGGGTGAGTTGCTGGCGCACAGTGAGGTGGTCAGCTGGGTCAATGATGTCGTAGATGCTGTCACCCTGGGCAACCAGGTCCACCTGGAGGGAGGAAAAGAAGAGATGACCATTAGGGAGAACAGCAGGAGCCAATCTTTGATCTACAGTATCTTGTAGGGTATAACCTCTCCCTCCATAGTAATTCCCAGTTCCTCAGGAGTGGAAGGCTCACGGCACCCACTCCATGCCCAGCCTCAGCTGAAAGGACCCTTAGCACTCACCATGGAGTGGCCCAGATGCTCGCTCACACTCTCAGACAGGTAGAGCAATTTCCCCTCGGCTGTGAACACAAGCAGAAAGCCGGGTAGTGCCGCTACGATGTCCTCAAGCTCTTGAGCTGAGAGAAGCCCCGTGGGGCCCGCCAGAGGAGTGCCTGTAGGGCGAGAAGACGTAGTGCGTCAGGAGTAAGACTGGGAGGCAGAGAAGAAGTGAGGAAGGCATGGTCTGAGTTTCAGAGAATCCAGAGGAATTTCTCATGGACCTGCCTCTGCAAACACCTGTTGACCCGCTGCCCGCAGCTCTTGGCCAGGGAACCTGTTGCTGTATCTCCATAGCCCACAAGCCCTCGACTTCTAAAGCGGGGTCGGCTCCTCTCGGCTCTTAATTTCAGAACCGCGGACAGAGCTCCAAAGCGGCTCTGAATTTCAGAACCGCGGACAGAGCTCCGAAGCCGACTGTGGGTTCAGAACCATGGACAGAGCCATACACGGCCGGCGCAGCCGTCAGCACCATGGGCAGCGCCCCGAAGGCGACAGGAGATCCCTTTCAGCACCGCGGACAGTAGCTATGTTCCCCTAGGCTCAGGCAGCTCCATCCCTGCAACTTCCCGGGCTTCCCTCCCCGGCTCCCGGAGCGCTTCTGCACTGGCGGGCACCGAGGCCGCTCTGTCCTGGCTCTTATCCTCTCATAATCTGGTGTTAGGGACACCGTCCAGGCTCTCTAACTCTCATTCAGAACTAAGGTGAGGTCTGGAGGGAGCTCAGGAGGAAAAGTAGAAAGTCCCGAATCTCCCGAGTCCCGAATCTCCCCAGCTCGCCAGCACGCTGCCCTAGACATGCGACAGCCCCAGCGGGTTCCCTCAGCTCCAGGGTCTCCGGCGCCTGGCAGCTCGGATCTGCGGTAGCCCCAGCATGCTCACCACCAGCGAAGAAGACGCCCTTGCGAGTGTAGATGCAGGCGAGGCTCATGATGTGCAGGTAGGACAGCCGGACCTTGTCCGCTTCGGCCAGCGGCAGCAGCTCCTTGAGGTTCCGGATCTCGGCGTTGATCTGGTCCCGGCGCGCCTTGGAGGCGCCCTTGGTGGAGCGGTACATGACCGGCGGCTGCGGAGCTCCAGCTCGGGTGCCCGAGCACCTGCGCTCCCGTCCCGACGCACCGGCGGCTTCCTCCTCCGTGCTTCCCCGTCTCTCGCTCAGGCTCGCTCTCTGCTCTCCTGGGCTCCGCTCGGCTGCGCTGCCCCCCTCGCCTGCCTCACGCCGCCTTATATAGCTCCTGCCAGGCGTGGGGGGCTCGTTTTAGAGCCGGGGGGGCGGGAGAGCGGGAGGCTGGGCTAAGCAAGCTGCAGCGGGAGCCGCTGACTGGGGAGGGGGGCTCCTCCTCCCGCCCGGCTTCCGACGTCATCTCATGACGTAGAATGAGAGAGGGAGGGAGGCGGGCGAGGGGGGAGCAGGAGGCTGCGGAGGGGGCCAAGCCTGGCGGGAGCTGAGCGGAGAGGAAGGCGCTGCGTTAGGAAAGCTTGAATGGAGTGTGGGGACCCTGGCGTCTGAATGCGTTCAGTTGAGGGAAGCGACAGGGCCAGGTTTAGGGCGGCCTGAAGCCCGCGGCAGGAGTCCGCAGAGGGCAGAGAGGGGCCGGCACTGACACTAATTTTTCTGAGGAGTTGAGGGAATGGGGAAGAACAGGGTTGTCTACAAATCCCCCTCGTTACTTGACAGACAAGGTCACGTTCACATGCAGGGAAGGAGGACTTTCCTTGGCCTCCGTGGGACAGGTCACTGCTGGGGTTCCTCTCTGGGGACTATTTAACCTGGGATTCCCTTGGCCATTTTTAGAGAACAAATTCCCGCCCCCGCTTCCCAAATCGGGCCTTGGCGGCTTATCAGGGGGTGTTCATGGGGGTCTAAGTCCCGAGGATGGGTGGAAAGGGAGTCCGGTGGGAAAGGGACCAGCTGAATTTGGCGTTGATCCTGTTTTCCCACAGCCAAGAATAGAAACCAACATCAGCGCTGTAGTCTGCAGTGATTCGTGGTTTCCCTCTCAGCTAATTAACCTTACTGAAGGGGAAACTGAGGCAGGGACGTGGGGGCACGGCGAGGACCTGGGTCTGCACTTAGGCATCCCTTCCCCCCGTTGCCGGCCCCCAAGCGAGCGCTTCCCCCCGCCCTGCTGCCAGCCTCTGTCTCCCCGCGGGCCGGGGGCGGGGGCGGGGCCGGGGGAATCCCAGCTCCATATTAGGACAGGAATCCTCCGGCGGCTGCCGCGGCTGCGGCGGGCGGGGCCTGGCTGCCTCCGCACCGCTCCGGAGGGCTCCCCGCCCTGCCTAGGCGGGCAAGATGGGGGAGCAGCTGAGAAGCGAAGGGGCAGCGCCGGACCCTCCATGACCCCTGCACCTACCAGGGACCCTGTATTTTTGCCAGGTTCCCTCCACCCCTCTCCACATTTGCGCCTCTAAGGCTCCTGGCTCTGCCTCTCCACCTTCAGCTCTCCACTTTCCACCTTCGTTTCTTTTTCTGTCCTTTCATATCCTTTTCTATCCTTTTCATATCCTGTCACCTTTGCCCTATCCCCACCCCCCCACACACCCGCTTTTTTTCTCTTTTCACCACAGATGATTGCTCTCTACAGGGGCGAGGATGTGCCGTTCTTATCCTGGGATTCAATAATGCAAGAAGCAAGTGGGCTAGGGAATGTTCTTATCTGAAATCTCGTTTGATGGAGTAGCTGTGTGCGCATGGAATCACTTAAGTGGCTGGAAATGAGGCCACTTAAAAATTGGAGGGTGGGACTGGGAAGTCCCAGTCACACAGGAAGCATGGAGATGAACTTTGACATCAAAAAGGACAATTTGGGGCCAGGGAACTCTCCGCTCCTCATGGAAAGGGGTGGTAGTAAGAGAGGTAGAGTGGGAGGAGAGGCGGCTGAGGAGAAGTATGTCTTAGAAGAGGTGTACAAGGTGTGGAGACCCTATTCTGGTGTCTTATGCATTTTGGCAGAGGTTGGGGCCATCCTGTGGTCAGTGTCACAGCTGAGGTGGAGGGAACGATGTCCGCTTATCTGTCTGCCACTGTCTCTAACCCCATTGACCTGGATGACAGAGAGATGATTCCTCCTGGACATGGGTCTGTGTTGCTTCTTTCTTCTCAATCTGACCTCTAATGTACCTACCCACCCCTCTCTCAATCTTCCATTTGAACAATCCCTTGATCTTTGGATCCCCTTCCGTATGAAATTCCAGGGGGGTTGTTCCTGTGTTCTTCATTCACTGATGCTAAAGCTGCCTGTGAGGCATTCTGAGTGTCCCCCTCCACAATAAGAGGAGTCTACTGGCTGGGTGTCATGGCCTCCAGCAATCTGAGCGAATCTGCAGTGAAGGAATACTGCGCCGACCGCTGTCCGTGGTGCTGAAAGAGTCACCATGGAAGTCATGCTACGGTTTGCCGGGGACATCGACGTAGGGCTTGGGTACCCACAGGCCTCAGAGTGAGCCTACTCTTTGACTGTCCCCTTATTCTCTGTGAATGAATATGGAGGGTTTGCAGGGGGCCAAGATTTCTGGGCTCTAAGGGTGAAGTAAGCAAGGGAGGAGAACTGGGCTCAGGGGAAGAGCCCCTGGCTTTTTCCAGGAGAATGGAATGGGAAGAAACACTTTGGAAGGGAAGAAGGGTCTAGAAAGGGACAAGGGAGGGGGTAGAGAAGGGCTCATCCTAGTTCGCCCACTCTGATTCAAGTTGAGAAGCTCTGTGTGCCCCAATGTCTCCTCTCCCTAGGCCAGCTCCCACTCCCCTTGCCTCCCACCTCCGTGAAGCTATTTTTAACTGTGCAGAACCAAAAATAGCTTGGCAGCAGCTTCAGGCCGTGGGAGAGGAGCTATTTATATCACCAGTGACGGTTCCGAAATAGCAAGCAGGAGGAGGGGGGCGGCTGGCACACTAGAGAGCTCCTGGCCGCTGCTAAAAATACTGGCAGTGTGAGTCATCCTGGCCTGGCTGAGTCACCCCACTCTCTCCCCCAAGTGGCAGGCAGCAGCAGAACAAGCTAAGAATTAGAAGCCTGAGATGGGGGAGGCATCAGAGCCTGCTGGCTGTGGGAAAGTGGGCAAGGGAGTGAATTGGGAGAGGGGCTTTGGGGTGAGCGTGTAGAAGGAATGGGAGAGCAAGCCTCTCAGCCAAACCTACTGGGCAAGCGTGCAGCATCCTCAGCTATGCACTACTGCTCAAGGATGCTTGGGCAATTGAAGGAAAAGAGCCAGACTCTGTGTGTGTGTCTGTGTGTTTGTGTGTGTGTGTGTTCATTTGACTGAGACTGTGTTTGTGTGTCCTGTGTGTCTGCCTCCAAACCTGTCTGGAGGTGGTTGGATGTCTACATCTCTATCTGTTTGCATGTGTCTTTGTAGCTGCGAGTCTGTACCCCTGTATATCTATGTTTACCTATGCCTGCATCTATGCTTGTCTTTTTTTTTTGTCTCCAACTTCCTATGTTCTGTGCAGTTCTATGTTTGTGCCTGTGTGTATTTATGTCTACAATTTTCCATATGCCTTTCTGTCAGTGTCTGTGTTTGTGTCCATATCTGAGTCTGCTCTGGGTCTTTCAGCATCTGATGGTGTGGTGGGATGTACATGCGTCCCCAGACTCAATATAGCTTCTGTTGCCCTCTCTGAGGTCACCCGTTGAGTTCCTGCACCATCTATATCTTGCTCACCTCTTTCCACCTAACATCTTCTCCTCTTTCCAAAGGCCCCCTAACCATTTGCAAAGCTCTCTTGTTGCATGCAATCTCTAGTAAAAACATGGAGGAAAGGAGCCCCACATGACCTCTCCCTTTTCTCTTGAATCATCCTGAATTCTCCCTGGCCTGCAGGAGTAAGTGGTTTTCCATCACTCCATATTTGGAGAGCTGAGAGAAGAGAAGGGCTTTCTTTAGTTCTAAAAAAAAAAAATTCCTGGTGTGGGCACAGGCATGTGTAGCGCGCATGCACACACACACAGGCGCACATACACATGCACGCACACACACACAACTGAGAGAATGAGAGAGAGAAAAAAATATCAAGGTCCCTTCTTTACTGAGACGAGCTCGCATCTGTTGCCATAGCAACCCACCCACTCCTTCCCCGAAAAATCACCGAGAAGAGGTGATGGCATCGAGGAGGGATTGGCTGATTCCTTTCTTTATTATTTTTTCCGAAAAAGGGTTTTTGTAGCAAAAACAGGCCGTGAGATCCCTTGCTCCTGTCTTGCATAGCTTTATTGGGAAACTGGGGGAGGGGCATCACCCCCCAGCCTTTATCAGAGAAGAGGAGGTGTATCTTTTCCAGAGATTTGGAGGAGGATTACCTCCTGGGAAGGAGTTGAAGGGTGGGTGAGGAATCTGCTTCTTCAGAACAGCATGGAGACTCCTGGCTGCTAGTCTGGAGATTTGGAGCAAGGATCTTGACAGAGGGCTGTCAAAGTGTGATCTTGTCTTGCTCTGGACAAATGTGTCTATGAGAAAGAGAAAGGGGGAGGAAGGGAAGGGAAGTGGGGAGAGACAGAAAGAATATGAATGAATGAATCACTGAATGGGGCTTCAGAGAAAATGACAATATGCCAAAGGATGCAAGCTTGCAGTAGTGGTCAGACCAGACAGGTGGGCAAGATGGTCCAAGAAAGATGCATTGATGCAATTGGTGGTGCTGCAAGTTACCAATGAGACCACAGCTGCAACTACTTAACTTATGGCCATAGGTTAATGTTCCAGAGGAGCACTGAAGCCCATTTTTCATAGTTCTATTCCCAGCCTGAGTCTCCAAGGCCTCCTCCAAAGCCTGGCCACCAGCCACTGCAGCCATATCACTCTCTCAAGTGAACTGTAGCTTGTTGCCAAATGACTGGATGGTGGAAAGAAAGGGATTCCTTGTTTCCTCCCGTGCTTGGCTTGCTACAGAAATGGGGTCACTTGGGGCTCGAGCTTGGAAAGACAGATGAAGAATCTGACCCTGGAGAGAGACACCTTCCTTTCTGGCAGGCTGCTGCTACCCTCAGCAGGCAAGGGCATGGCCAGCTGAGGTTGGCATGGGCAGTGGGTGCAAATCCACTTAACGTTATGAAGCAGAGGGACAAAAAGACTTCAGATTTGCTCTGGCCTGTTAGACACATTCTCACGACAAATCTGGCTGATATCATTATTGTTATTTATATACAGTCTTGCTCTGTCATCTAGACTAGAGTGCAGTGGCCTGATCATAGCTCACTGCCACCTCAAACTCCTGGGCTGAAATGATCTTCTGTGTCAGGATCTCGAGTAGCTGGGACTACAGGCATAAACTACTACACCCAGATAATTTAAAAAAATTTTTTCTGCCCAGGCTGGTCTTGAACTCCTGACCTCAAGCAATCCTCCCACCTTGGCCTCCCAAAGTGCTGGAATTACACGTGTGAGCCACGACACCCAGCCTTGACTGATATTATGATGCTCATTTGATAGATGGTGAAACAAAGGCTCAGAGATAGATAATGACTTAATCAAAGTCACACAGCAAGTCTGGCAATGCTGAGCCTCACCCCTAGTTCCTGCTCCCAACCCAAGCTTTCTCTTTTGCACCACGTGATAGGGCTAGGGTTTACAAACTATGGACTGCAAATCTAGCCACATCTAGCCTGCTGCCTCCTTTTGTAAATAAAGTTTTATTGGAACACAGTCACATTCATTCATTTACTCATTGTCTATGGCTGTTTTCACATTACAATGGAAGAGCTGAGTAGTTGCAACAGAGACCATATGGTTCAAAAAGCCTAAAGAACTTTTTGACACTTTTTACTAATTGATCCTTTAGAGAAAAAGCGTGCCATCCTTAGACCAGAGGATGAGTTCACACCAGGAATATCTCCACTTGTTTCTCTTTCTCACCCAGAAAGCTCTCTTAACCCAGGGTATACCAAGCTATCATTTCAGCCCCCTTTACTGTTCCAAAGGCCATGGAGAAGTAGTGCTCCTGGACAACTTAAAGGAGGAGAGGTGGGAAGCCCAATGGGTCAGGCTCCTTATTGGTTTCCAGCCCCTTTTGTGGCTGTGGAGATGTACCCTCCCCATGCAGGATGATGCTCCACTTCCTGCACCAGGAGTTGGAACAGGCAATGAGGAGGCAGGGTACCCCATTCCATCCCTATTCCGACCCTAGTCTTCAGGACTGCATTTTGGGCAGGGGGGTCTCAGGGCTGGTGATTAACGAATTGTCAGGAAGACAAAATTTACATATGGGAGGAAAAGGAAGGTATTGTGGGATATTGGGCCTCCCGAAGCCTCCAGTCTGACCCAGGGGGGAAGAATCTCTCTATGCCTTCTCAGAGAGGTTGATTAACTTGCCTAGGATCACACAGCTAGAATGAGATAAATCCACAATTGAACCCAGGTTTTCCTGACTTCTACTGTTTTTTTTCTAGGTTGTTCTTTTGAATTGGTGGATTTGAAACCAGGGAAAGGTTTTCTAACAGATTCCTAAGCACCTCCCCATCCTGCGTCCATGGCTCCGCGGTCAGTGCAGTGAGAATAGGAAACCCACGCAGAGCTGGCTTGTGCAGTGACCGTGTTGTCTTCCGCTGCATCTTAGCAAGCTGTTTTCCTTTTCCTGAGGCCTTTTCATTATGCTATCACTCCCTCAATTCTACTTGCACATGAAAGCATTCAGAACATTTTATCTATTTATGGTTATGAAATCAACAAAGCTCATGTAAAGAGGGTGCAGGCTGGCACCCACGCATTGAGACGGCCAGAGCTGGGTGAATGAGCTGAAAGCCAGGAAGGTGAGGGACATAGAACCATGGAGGGGGTGGGAGAGGGAGAGTAGAGCCCAGGTGGGAAAAGATGAAACTTTTGTGGGCAATGTCCTGAAGGCAGGGCTGAGAGAAGAGGATGCAAGGAATGCAGTGAGGAGCAAGTCAGAGCAGCCACATTCCAAGAGGGGAAAGAAACCTAATCAACTAAAGCCACTTTTCAAATGCAGAGCAGCGACCAATACTCTTGACCTGCCCTGGGGAGGCTGGAGGAGGCGGATTTTCCTCACATTCATTTTCAGAGTCCTCTCCACCACCACTCCCAGCTGGCAAATTCTGGCCCTTCTGGTCCTCCAGTGAGGTCCGGGGACCCCCTCAGTGCCCCCCAGCCCCTGTGCTTCCTCGTCACCGCACTCTGCACCCTGCATTGTCCCTGTGTGTTTACTTGGCTGTCTCCCCTACCAGCATCTACAACTGGTCTTCATGTTCCCAGCATCCAGCACAAGGCCTGGCACAGGGCAGGGGCTCAGGCATGTAAGTCATTCATGCAACAAACAGCTGAGGGCAGAGTTTGTGCCAGCCTCTGCAGTGATGTGATGGTGCCCACAGACAGCTGGTCTTGGCCTCATGGAACCTGCAGGCTGGTGAGAGAGCAAGGGGTCCATCCAGCCACTTCAGTGGGATACTGCTGTCAAGGAGGCATGCTGGGAGTTTGGGGAGAGCAAAAGGAGGGGTGACCCTGCCTGAGGAGTTGGCACCGGCCTCCCCAAGCAGGTGCATTTGAGTTGAGCTGCTGGTGGCAAGTCAGTGTTGACTGGGCCAGGCTGTGCTGGGTGGGTGGCTGGGTGGACAGAGGAGTGTGGCCTCATAAATGAGATTCAACACAGTGCCAGGTAGCCACAAAAGAAGCCACTGTAGCTGAGGTTGTGTTAACAGGGACATGCAGCAAAAGTGGAGAGAGGGCAGCCTCTGTCAGGGCCAGGAGGTTTGGCTCTAGGACTTATGCTATGGGTCCAAGCCTAGCCTTGAGCAGAGCAGCCAGTGAGGAGGAGCCAACTGCACCCAGGGCTGTGAGGCAGGGCCCAGGCCATCCCCCAGGCCTGCCTCTGGTAAGCCCTCCAGCCTGTCTGGCCTCATGCACCCCCTTGCCTCTCTTCCAGCTGCATAAGCCTTCTTCCAGTCCCTGGCCTGCCACCCTCCCGGCCGCCACAGTGCTTTTGCACATGCTGTTCTCTCTCCTGGGGTGCTGCTGCCTCTCTCCTCTGCCGAGTTCTTCCTAATTTCCCGTTAGTTCAGCCTAAATATCGTCTCCTCTGGAAAGCCTTCCCTGACATTACCGCTGAGGCCAAATCCTCAGTTACAGGTTTGCAGGCACCCCAGGCCTCTGTTGGCACTTGGTGAAATAGCGATTTAATCCTTTATTTTGGTGAGGAATTTATTGTCTCTTGTCCACTAGACTGTGGTCACCATGGCAGGGACTGTGACTGCTTTGCCCACTGTCAACTCCAGCGTAAAGTGCTTCATAAACATTTGTAAGAAATTTTTAAAAGATGGAAGGAATGGAGAGATGTTCCTCAGAGAAGAGGAGGCTTGAGGAGGTGGTGTGGCATTTGCAGATGTTTGAAGGACCATCAAGAGGCAGTGGGAGAGACACGGTCCACGTGGAAAGGCCAGTGGGAGGGGATGTACCTGAGGCAGGAGAGGGTGGCGGGGGAGGAGAATCTGGGCTGAGTCCTGCCTCCTCCACAGACTGCCTTTGTGACATCGGTCAGTTAAGTGACTTAACCTTTTGTGCCTCAGTTTACCGATTTGTTAAATACAGAAGTGGGGAGAATGATGGCACCCCTATCAAGGGACTGATGTTAGCATTAAAGGAGTTAATTAGTTAAAACACTCAGAAAATGCCTGATGCATAAAAGGAGCACAAGAAATGCTCACATGGCAGAATGTTGGTCATTATCTTAACTTTATGAAAAATATAATTTTGAACAAGGCTATGCAGAGACGGCAGGGGCTGGTTCAGGAGGCAGCACATGTCCTGGCACTGCAAGTGTAGAAATAGCCTGGGTACCCACCGGCAGCTTTGATCCAGGCCAGGTCTGAGAGCACCAGATGGAGTAAACCAGGCTAAGGCTGCAGCCTGGAGAAGTGGAGGGATGCACATAAAGTGCCCCTCAGGGCTCTGGCTCGGGCCCCAGCAGGCTCCTTCCCCGGGCAGCAGCTGCCCCCTCCACTGCTCACCAAAGCCAGAGACGGAGGTCCCGGGCCGGGCCCAACACACCCTTCTGGTGCTCAGCAGCCCAGCTCCCCTTGCCATTCTTCCGGAAGCCAACCTGACCATGTTCTTCCCAGCTTAAGACCCTTGTGGCTCCCATTATCTCCCATTACTAAAAACTCCTCCAGGCTGGCACCTCCTTTCTTCCCCTTCCACCAACAGATACCTCAGCCTCCAGAGGCTCCAGCTTCAAGTCTCTCCTTGTTACTATCAGGGCACAGCTCGTAACATAGGAGTTTACAGATGAGGCACCTACCCACACCTTGTGTACCTGATGAGTGTATTAATTCATGAAAACCTCACAGCAGCCCTATGACATGCCAGCCATCATTACTCTCACAGGCCCTGGGCCAACAGAGAGGAAATCTACAGGGAACAGTCCGGGGGTCCCAGGAAAGACTGATGGGATTTAAGGCTCCAGTGGTCAGAGAAGGTCAGGGACTGGGCCGAGGGGCAACAAAGAGGAGACCCCCACGAGCAGGGAGAATGGTGCTCCCCATGCTGGGGAACGCGGGAACCACAGGGAGTTGGGTGAACCATGGTGAGCAGGGGAGAGTGACCCTTACGGCTGCTGATGGAGCAGCTTCTGAAGCCAAGAAGGGCTGAGCACTGGTGGGAGGGGAGGAGCACCAGGAAGCTTTGGTGGAAAGGACCATCAGGTTGAAGGGAAAGCCCCTGAATTGCCATCCCTGACAGGCTGTGAGTTGGGAGAGCCTTCTGCCAAGGAGTCCAAGGTCCAGGAAGAAGACGAGCTGAGCTCAGTCTAGATGTCAGCGGATTATGTTTGGTGCAGGGGAATAGTTCTGAATAGGAGCAGCAGAAGATGCAGATTCTGTTCCCAGCTCTACCACTAGCCTGCTGGGCGTGTTCTGCAAACCTCTCTCCCTCCCTGGGCCTCAGTTTTTGTATTTGCAAAATGGCAGTGGGTCAGACCCCTTAGCCTCAAAGGGCCCTCCCAACCTCTGGCACTTGAGCATCTCTGAGCCTGCTGGGCCACCTGTCCCAGTGCCTCTTGGGCTTTGGAAGTTGAATGCTGCAACCCCAAGCCCCAGTTTCAGGTAGGGATGAGCCCATTGCCCAATGCTGGGGTCCGAGTGGGCCTGAAGGCTCCCAGAGGACCACGTTCTCAGCCCTGGATGGGCAGGGACCCTGGAGACCTGGCCTGTGTGGACACAGGGGAGTAAGTACTGGGACTGAGCCTGTAGTTTTGCTTCTTCCACCCAACCCGTTGGGGGTCGTTCTCACAGCTTGGTGCTGGGTACACCAGGGGACTCACCATTGGAGGGATCCGATGGGTTCCAAGGTGCACAAAACAGACCCCCAGGTCATCCTCAGGTGGTCTACACAGCCTGTGGCTAAAGCAACTGCTGTCTCCAGCACTTCTTAGCTTCAGTCTGGTGAAAGGAAGAAAGTCCCCTTGGCAGTGTCTTACAGGCAGTCATAGAGGGACCCCACAGCCTGGCCAAAATGCTCAATTTCAGAAAATCCCAGACTCATAATTGGAGTGACGGCCCTTGAAAGATGGTCTTGGATGACTGAGACCTAATGCAGAGAGTGGAGTGACCCCAGTGACACACGGCCAGCACTTGGTGGAGGTGGACCCGGACCAGGTCCTTGGTTCATGGTGCAGTGGCCATGTGGGCCTCCCACAGGCTGTCCTCTGGGGCCCAGGTGCTGAGGAGCCTGGGCCAGGAGGCAGAGCTGTAGGTCCTAGTCTTAGCGGCACCCTGACTTGCTGTGCGACCTTGGCGAATTGTGTCTGAGGGCCGCCTGAGTCTCCCCCTCTGCACTGAGGGCTTGGCGCTGGGAGCAGACGCTCTGTTAAAGCACCATTCAAGGTCCCAGAGCTAGGCGCTGGGAGTGGACGCTCTGTTGAAGCACCTTTCAAGGTCCCAGGGCTGTACCAGAGCAGGAACTTCTCTCCTTGCCACCCTCGGAGCCCTCAAGTGCTGCTTGTGTGTTCGGCTCCACCTCTGGGTCCCCCATCCCGGTCCAGAGACCAGCCCAGAGATGTCTGGAATCCACGCAGCTCCTTGAGAATGGTCAGGCACTTCTCAGCTGCCCTCCCAGGTCCCGGTCAAACGCCTCCAGGAAGTGCTGCAGGGAGAGAGCAGAGGTCAATAGGACCGGGCAGGGGGTCCAAAGGGCTGGGTCCACTTGACTCTGGGGAGCCCTGCCGGACCCCTGCAGGCCACACCTACATCCAGAGGCCAATTGGTCCTTGTAGGCAGTCTGGGGAAATGTTTGGTTCCAGAAAGTTCCAGAGCTGGTGGCTGCAGGAATCCTTCAATGGAGGCGATGTTTGCAAGCAGCAGCAACCTAGTTGGTTGGTCGTGGAGTCCGTGGCATCCAGAAGCTTTTCCAAAAAGTCCGCCCAGGTCCAGACTGTGCTGGGGAAGGAGAGGCAGCTGGTGCCATGACAGAGGTGTCCAGCCCCTCTGCTTGGTGCAGGGCAGGGGCTGGATACTGGCACACGGGGCTGGCTATGCTCAACCATAAGGAATGCCTTGACCTCTGGCCAGGAGGTCAGCATCTGTGGGTTCTGGCCCATGCTCTTCCTCTAGGAACGTGCCATGTGGCCCTAGTCAATCACTACTTTTCTCTGGGCCTCAGTTTCCCTTCCAGTTTAAGGAGGGGGTTGGAGCAACTGGTAAGGGGCTTTCCCAGGATCCTAACTCTGCTCCAGGCTGAGCTCAGGGAGAAAAAGTTTAAGGGGTCGGGGGCGCCTGGAGGGAGGCAAAGGTCTCCAGGGTCCCATGGTGGCCCCAAGGGTAGTGAAGTCCTCACCTGGTGTTTTCACCCTGTGGCCTTGTCCAGAGAGGATCCCCGAAGGCGCTAGGCCTGGCATCTCGTTTCTTTCCAAGGTTTGGACAGAAGTCTCCCCTGTTGGAGGAGCAGGGCGGGGGCGAGGGGCAAGGGCAGGACTTCCCTTCTCCCTGGTTGAAATGTCTCCATAGAGGGTGGGGGGCGCTAAGATGGGGGTGGTGGGGGCGTGTGGCGCCGGGGACTCCCCGGCCCGGCGCGGGGCTCGCGGCTCGGGGGCGGGGGCAGCTCCCAGGCTCTGGTGGAGCCGCCACTCCGCCAGTTGCCTTAAAAAGGCGCCAGCGCGCGCGCATCAGCAGAAGGGCTGCGGCTCTCTTCCAAATTAGGCAAGAATTGGGAGGCCGCGGGAGACTAGCTGCGAGAAGAGCGCGGACGTCACCCGGGGCCTCCCTCTCCCTCCCGCTCCCCGCGCCTGCATCACGTCCCCATGGCAACGGCGTGCCTCGGCGGCGATGAATGAGCCACTGCGAAGACCGGCGCGCGCCGAGATGCGCGCCCCCTCCGCCAGGCGTCACGGCCCCGCGGCTGCCCAGGGTAAGGGGGTGCAGCCCGGCGCCCGGAGGAAGGGATGCCCCACTCAGATTCCCAAAAGCCCAGGACCCATTCATTCCCAGCTGATCTTGTTGTGTCCCGGGAGCCCGGGGAATACTCCGTCCAGGGGTCCTTGACCCTCTGGTTCAGGGCTCCCTGGCTCCCAAGGCCCCCCTTACCCGGTCTCCGCTCTCCCCCGGTCAGCCCTCTGCTCCCCAAAGCCTGCGGCAAACCAAGCATTGTGTGGCTTAGCGCCACCGCGTGGCCGATTGTGGGGCTGCGGCGGGCGTGCTTGGCGGCTGGAGTCCCGCCGTCTATGTCGCCCTCTGGCGTCTGCAAGAGGGGAAGAGCATAAAAGAACTCAGCAATTTTCACACCAGAACCCTGATTAACGCGGGACTCATTCTTACCACTTAGGATTAACTTGTGATCAATCACACTTGTGATTAACGTTCAGCGAGCGCGCTCCATGTGTTAGGCACTTGCTACGTGCTTTCCTCGTATTACTCCATTCTCACAGCAACTCTGTAATGCAGAATATTATTATCATTTTATTTTACTTATTTTTTGAGACAGGGTCTCACTCTGTCATCAAGACTGGAGTGCAGTGGTGCGATCTCAGCTCACTCCAGCCTCTGTCTCCTGGGTTCAAGCAATCCTCTCGCTTTAGCCTCCTGAGTAGCTGGGATTACAGGCGCGCACCACCACACCCAGTTAATTTTTGTATTTTTAGTAGAGATGGGGTGTTGCCATGTTGCCCAGGCTGGTCTCGAACTCCTAGACTCAAGCAATCTGCCTGCCTCAGCCTCCCAAAGTGCTGGGATTACAGACGTGAACCACCGCTCCTGGCCTATTATCATTTTAAAGTGAGAAAAACTGAAGCCGAAAGAAGTTGTGGCTTTGCCTAAGATCCCATAGCAGCACGGGGCAGAACGGCCTCCTGCACTCAAGACTGTGAAAAGTGCTCTTGGGCCCTTTCACTTCCACACCCCTTGTCTCTTTTGACCAGCCTCACAGTCTCTTGAGATAAGCAGGACAGTGAGCATTAAAATCATTCCCATGTACAGATAAGGAGACTGAGACTGGGAGAAGTGAAATGGTTTTCCGGAGGTTTCAGACAGCCAAGGGTGGAACTCAGGTCTCTGGGCCTCTGACCCAGAGCTTTTTAGGATGAGGTAGCAGGGTGAAAGTGAGTCCAACACATCTCTGTGAGCCCCTGCTCCTTAGGATGAACGAAGGAGCCCATCCTAAGCTACTCCACCGTTAACAAACCAAGCAGCCCACAGTCAGGAGAGGGTCAGGGGGTCTCCCTATCTTCCAGCGTTTTGGGTGTTCATAGGAGCTAGATGCTCCAGTCTCTCCCCCTCCTCCCCAATTATCAATATCTCTAATTTTATTTTATTTTATTTTGAGATGGAGTTTTGCTCTTGTTGCCCAGGCTGGAGTGCAGTGATACAATCTCGGCTCACTCACTGCAACCTCCACCTCCTGGATTAAAGCAGCTCTCCTGGGTCAGCCTCCCAAGTAGCTGGGATTGCAGGTGCAGCTAATTTTTGTATTTTTTAGTAGGAACGGGGTTTCACCATGTTGGCCAGGCTGGTCTCAAACTCCCGATCTCAGGTTATCCGCCTGCCTGGGCCTCCCAAAGTGCTGTGATTATAGGCATGAGCCACTGCACCCAGCAATATCTCTAATTTTATATATACTGTGTTTCGTGTTTGAATGTTGTTGTCTTACGATGTAATCTTCCTGCTGTGGTGGAACCCTTGTACGTATCTACTATTTAGTGAGAAAAATGCCTCCTCTTTGCTTGCTGTTCTTAACGGGTTGGCGTTGTTTTTCAATGAATCTTCTTGGGTCTATTGCTTTCTTGATTTTCTTGCAGAAATACTGATCTTATGTAAGTCTTTGGAGGCTGTTGATAGCTTGTTCTTACTGGCTTGTATTTTCTTTTTTCTTTTTTTTTTTTCAGATGATGTCTCACTCTGTCACCCAGGCTGGAGTGCAGTGGTGCGATCTCAGATCACTACAACCCCCACCTCCTGAATTCAAGCGATTCTCCTGTCTCAGCTTCCCAAATAGCTGGATTACAGGTGCCTACCACCACACCTGGCCAATTTTTGTATTTTTAGTAGAGATGGGGTTTCACCATGTTGGCCAGGCTGGTCTCAAACTCCTGACCTCAAGTGATCCCCCCACCTCGGCCTCCCAAAGTGCCAGGATTACAGGTGTGAGCCACAGTGCCCAGCCTGTGCTGATAACATTCTATGGCTTTCTCTGTGCACCATTAGGTGAGAGAGGTTGGGAGGCACTGCTTCAGGACTACTTAGGGGCATCATCAAAACTGTTGATCTGGTGGATGTGAAAATGTATCTCGTTGTGGTTGCCCTTAATACTGATGGGGTTGAACATCTTTTCAAGTTTATAGAACATTCTTATTTTTTCCCTCTGGAATATTCATGTCTTTTACTTAATTTTCTCTCTCTTTTTCCTTTTCCTTATTGATAAGTCATTGTGGATACTATTTATTGCTGTATCGATCAGGGTTCTATTGCAGAAACCACTCTTACCATTTTAAGCATTAAGGGATTCTGTATAGGGTTTTAGTGTTTATAAAATAATTGGAAGAGCTGGAGAAATGGGCTATTAATTGGACCTTCAGAAATGACATAAAAAACAACCCTGCAGAATCAGCCCACCCCAGGGTACTGTGAACTCTGCCGCAATCTGAGGCTGGAGAATCCTCTGTCCTAACCGCTGGCTCTGAGTGACATCACTTTGGCCAAGGATTGGGAAGCTGCTATTGAGAGCGTTGATTCCAGGAATGCACTGCCTTGGCTGGCGTCTGAGGGATAGAAAGTCAATGTCAGGACTGTTGGCTCCAAAACTGGTTGTGCCTGAGCATTGCACGGCAGGACAGATGCCTCCTGCACAGCTGCCCATCTCACGGGAGTGCCTCTGGCTGGCGGGATCTAAGTCCCTTGCTGTAAGCAAGTCTGGGAAACAGAGTGTTTCTCTTTGTAGAATCTGAAGAACAGGAAAGCACACTGGAAAGAGATTGGGAGAGATCGTGAGTTAACCAATTTACCACGCCTGCCGAATCCCACCCTTTCAGACACTCAACATTCATTTGTGCCCTCATCCTCAAACATCCAAACAATGACATCAACCACCATCCGGCCCCAACACAAAAACTCTCTCTTTCTCATACAAAGATAAAAGTACTAAGTCACTCTGTATTAGTCTGTTCTTGTACTGCTATAAAGGAATAACTGAGACTGGGTAAATGATAAGAAAATAGGTTTAATCGGCTCATGCTTCCGAAGGCTGTACAGGAAGTATGGCAGCATCTGCTTCTGGGGAGGCCTCAGGGAACTTACAATCATGGTGGAAGGCAAAGTGGGATCAGGCTTCTTCACAGGACTGGAGCAGGAGGAAGAGAGAGCAGGGAGAGGCGCTACACACTTTTAAACAACCAGATCTCACTCACTTACTATCACAAGAGAACAACATGGAGGGGACGGCGCTAACCCATGCATGAGAACTTCACCCACCTGGTCCAGTCACCTCCACCAGGCCCCACCTCCGACATGAGATTCGGTGGGGACACAGATCCAAGCCATATCACACTCCTTAAAAGAGAACATAGTAGCTCAGTCATCACACCCATTTCTGGGTATTATTCAACCTTCTTTGGTTCAATCCCAATTCCATCTTGATATCCTGTAACTTGTGGACTTAAAATATGAACCACCATCTGTACTCTCTATCAGTTCTCCACCTTGAGAACACTGACATTTTGGGCCAAATAATATCTGTTGTGGGGGACTTTTCTGTGCATTGTAGGATATTTAGCAGCCTCCCTTACTCTACCTGATAGATGCCAGTAGCGCTCCCCTTTCCCAAGTCATGGCAATTGAAAATGTCTCTAGACATTGGCAAGGGTCCCTGTATTAGTCCGTTTTCACACTGCTATAAGGAACTTCCTGAGACTGGGTACTTTATAAAAGGAAAGAGGTTTAATTGACTCACAGTTCTGCATGTCTGAGGAGGCCTCAGGAAACTTACAATCATGGTGGAAGGTGAAGCAGGCACCTTCTTCACAAGGCGGCAGGAGGGAGAAGTGAGAGCGCAGAAGAGCGCAGGTTTTAAAACCATCAGATCTCGTGAGAATTCCCTATCATGAGAAGAGCATGGGGGAAGCCATCCCCGTGATCCAATCGCCTCCCTCCCTGTAAACATGGGGATTACAATTCTAGATGAGATTTGGGTAGGGACACAGAGCCAAACCATATCAGTCCCCCATAGGTCAAAATCACCCCTGGCTGAGAAGGATCACCATATATAAAACAGAAGAGGAAAGGGAGAGGGGAAGAAAAGTGAAAAGGGTCACATAATAGGACAAGGACAAAGCATTTGATGCCTGTTGGAATCTTTATTTCTGCAACAGGCCTAAGGCTGTAGTTGATATTTACAACTACCTTTCTTCATAACCCCCTCCACCTTCTCTTTGCCTTCAGCCTGTACCATGCTGATCAGCATTCTTTCCCTGGTGGGGGAAATTTTCAACCCTATAGGATTTGAACCATTTGTGAATCTGCCAGAATTTTTTGTTATGAATCCTAGCTCTGTTCCTTCCAAATCCCTGACTATTGGGCATCATCATCACCATCATCATCCATTGCCGATAAACTTACACAGTGTTTACTGTGTTCCAGGTGCTAAGTACTTTACCTATATTAATTCAGTCCTCACCACAGCAACTCTATGAGGTAGATGGTATTATTACCTTCTTTAAAATGGTAAGAAGAGGTAATAGGGGTACAGAAAGTTTAATCACTTGCTTAAAGTTGCATGGACAGTAAGTAGCAAAGCCGGGACTTCAACCCAGGCAGTCAGCTCAAATCCAAGCTTTTAACTCCTAAGGTAATAATATTTCTCACAACAGCTAAACTGTTATTCACAGCCCTTGTGTAGAACCACAGTTCAGAACTACTCTCCATCAAAACAAAGTGGACAGATGTACCCCTCAAAACTCTATCTGCTTGGAGATATCTCTTTGCATTGTCTTTCAGTGACACCCATGCGTGCGCTGTGATGCCATAGCAGTCCACTACCAGCTGGTGCCTTGTCACACAGAACCCTCTGTGTGCTGGGCTCAGAACTCCCCATCAGGCCATGGGTGTAAGTTGAGGGAGACGTGGCCAGGCAGGGAGAGTCTGGGGACACTGGAAGTGGGAGCCCCCTGCTTGTTAGACCCACTTCGGCTTCCAGGCTATGCTTGAGCTTGAGGTCATGTGCACAACTTTCATTAAGGATGGGGAATAACTTTGCAAGCCCAGCCATGGCTTGGTGGATCAGGCAAAACTCAGTTCTTTATGAGTATCTCAGCTTGTGTTCTGAAGGGGGCATGGTGCCACAAAGTACCATAGACTTGGGGAAAGCACTGTGAGAAATTTATATCTCACAGTTCTAGAGGCTGGAAGTCCAAGATCAAGGTGTCAGCAGGATTGGTTCCTTCTGAGGGCCTTCTTCTCTCTATCTTCACATCATCTTCCCTCTGTGTGTGTCTGTGGTCAAATTTCTTCTCCTTATAAGGACATTGGTCATAATGGATTAGGGACCACTCTAATAATCTCATTTTAATTTTACTTCTTTAAAGATTGTATCTCCAAATATGGTTATATTCTGAGGTACAGGGGGTTAGGACTTCAATACATGAATTTTGGGGCAGAGGAGAAGAGGGACACATAAGCCCATAACACAGGCTAAAGAAAAAAAATCACATGATCATATCAATTGATACGGAAATTGCATTTCAGTCCAGGTGCGGTGGCTCATGCCTGAAATCCCAGCACTTTTGGAAGCCAAGGTGGGAGGATCACTTGAGCCTGGGAGTTTGAGACCAGCCTGGGCAACACGGTGAAACCTCGTCTCTACAAAAAATGCAAAAAAATTAGCCAGGCATGGCCGGGTGCGGTGGCTCACGCCTGTAATCCCCTTACTTTGGGAGGCTGAGGCGGGTGGCTCACTTGAGATCAGGAGTTTGAAACCAGCCTGGCCAACATAGTGAAATCCCGTCTCTACTAAAAATACAAAACTTAGCCAGGCATGGTGGTGCATGCCTGTAATAATCCCAGCTGCTTGGGAGGGTGAGGCAGGAGAATCGCTTGAACCCAGGGGTGGAGGTTGCAGTGAGCTGAGATCGCGCCACTGCACTCCAGCCTGGGCGACAGAGCAAGATTCCATCTTTAAATAAATAAATAAAAATAGGAATAGGGGAAACTCTCTCAACTTGATAAAAAGCATCTACAAAAACTCGACAGCTAACACTATACTTAATGGCAAAAACTGAACGGCTTCTAAGATTGGGAACAAGGCAAGGCTGTCAGATCTCCCCGCTTTTATTCAAAAATTTTTTTTTTTTTTGAGACAGAGTCTTGTTCTGTCCCCCAGGCTGGAGTGCAGTGGTGCAATCACAGCTCACTGCAGCCTTGATCTCCTGGGCTTAGGCAATTCTCCCACCTCAGCCTCCTAAATAGCTGGGATTACAGGCGTACTCCAGCATCTTAATTCAATTTAGTACCAGAAGTTCTAGCCACTGAGATAAGTCAAGAAAAGGAAATAAAAGGCATACAGATTGAAAGAAGGAATGAAACTGTGCCTGTTTGCAAATGATGTGGTTATTAACATACAAAAATCCCATGGAATCGGCCAGGCGCGGTGGCTCACGCCTGTAATCCCAGCACTTTGGGATGCCAAGGCGGGCAGATCATGAGGTCAGGAGATCGAGACCATCCTGGCTAACAAGGTGAAACCCTGTCTCTACTAAAAATACCAAAAATTAGCCGGGCGTGATGGCGGGCTCCTGTAGTCCCAGCTACTTGGGAGGCGGAGGCAGGAGAATGGCGTGAACCCGGAGGCGGAGCTTGCAGTGAGCCGAGAATGAGCCACTGAACTCCAGCCTGGGCAACAGAGCGTGACTTTGTCTCAAAAACAAAACAAAACAACACAACAACAACAAAACAACAACAACAACAAAAACAAAAACAAAACACTCAACTCTAGAAGTAATAAGTAACAAAACTGCAGGATATATGGCTGGGTGTGGTGGCTCACGCCTGTAATCCTAGCACTTTCGGAGGCTGAGGTGGGTGGATGGCTTGAGCTTAGGAGTTCAAGACTAGCCTGGGCAACATAGTGAAACCCTGTGCTTATTAAAAAAAAAAAAAAAAAAAAAAAAAAAAAAAAAAAAAAAGCTGGGCGCAGTCGCTCACACCTGTAATCCCAGCACTTTGGGAGGCCGAGGCGGGCAGATCACGAGGACAGGAGGTCGAGACCATCCTGGCTAACACAGTGAAACCCTGTCTCTACTAAAAATACAAAAAAAATTAGCCGGGTGTGGTGACTGGGGCCTGTAGTCCCAGCTACTCAGGAGGCTGAGGCAGGAGAATGGCGTGAACCCGGGAGGTGGAGCTTGCAGTGAGCCAAGATTGCGCCACTGCACTCCAGCCTGGGCGACAGAGCAACACTCCATCTCAAAAAAAAAAAAAGATTGTAGGATGTAAGCTCAACATACAAAAATCAATTGTATTTCTATGTACTAGCAATAATCACATGGACACAGACATTAAAAATATGATGTTATTTGCTTTATTTATTTATTTGGTTTTTGAGATAGAGTCTCGTTCTGCCGCCTAGCCTGGAGTGCAGTGGTGAAATTTTGGCTCACTGTAAACTCTGCTTCTCGGATTCAAGTGATTCTCGTGCTTCAGCCTCCCAAGTAGCTGGGATTACAGAGATGGATGCACCACCACACCCAGCTAAGGTTTTTTTTTTGCATTTTTAGTGGAAATGGGGTTTCGCTATGTTGGCCAGGCTGGTCTTGAAATCCTGGCCTCAAGTCATCTGCCTACCTCGGCCTTCCAAAGTGCTGGGATTACAGGCTTTAGCCACCGTTCCTGGCCATATAATGTCATTTACAATTGCTTAAAATAGAAAGGAAATACTTAGGTGTAAATCTAAGAAAATATGTAAAGGAATTGTAGGCTGAAAATTACAAAATGCTCATGAAAGAAGTCAAAGAAAATCTAAATAAATGGAAAGCCATAGTGTGTTCACGGATTGGAAGATAGCATAATAAAGATGTCAATTCTCTCCAAGTTGATATATAGATTTAATTCAACTCCTATCAAAACCCTGCAGGATTTTTTATAGGTATAGACAAGATTATTCTAAAATGTATATGAAAAGGCAAAATAACTAGAATAGCTAAAATAATTTTGAAAAAAAGAATAAGTTAGTGGAATTACTCTAAGAATTAAAGACTTATTATATAGCTAGAGTCATCAAGACTGTGTGTGGTGTCAGCAGAGGGATGGACACCTAGATCAATCAAATGAAAAGAGAACCCAGAAATACACCTGCACAAATACGCCCAATGATTTTAGACAAAGCCTCCTCAGTGGAGGAAAGCCAGCCTTTTCAGCAAGTAGCATTGCAGCAATTGTACATACATAGGCAAAGAAATAAAATCACAAGCTAGGTTTCACAATCTAACGGAGGAATTAACTCTAAATGGATCACAGACAACACCAAATGCTAGCAAGTTTACAGAGAAACTGGGTCACACACATTGCCGGTGGGAATGTAAAATGGTGCAGCCATTCTGGAAAAGAGTTTGGCCAATTCTTTTTATTACTTATTTATTTATTTTTGAGATGGAGTTTCGCTCTGTCCCCCAGGCTGGAGTGCAGTGGCACGATCTCGGCTCACTGCAACCTCCACCTCCCGAGTACAAGTGACTCTTCTGCCTCAGCCTCCTGAGTAGCTGGGATTACAGGTGCCCATCACCACATCCGGCTAATTTTTGTATTTTTAATTGAGACGGGGTTTCACCATATTGGCCAGGCTAGTCTCGAACTCCTGACCTCGTGGTCCACCTGCCTCAGCCTCCCAAGGTGCTGGGATTACAGGCGTGAGCCACTGTGTCTGGCCTGCCAATTCTTGAAAAGTTAAACATGCATCTACCAGACAACCCAGCAACTGCACTCCTGGGCATTATGAAAACTCATATCCACATGAAAACCTGTACAGGAATGTTTGCAGCAGATTTATTTGGAATAGCTCAAAACTGGAAACAACCCAAATGTTGTCCAACAGGCAAATGGTTATATAGCCTGTTAAACAATCAATACCATGGAAGAGTGCTAGCAATAAAAGTGAATGAACTTGGCCGGGCATGGTGGCTCACGCCTGTAATCCCAGCACTTTGGGAGGCTGAAGCAGGTGTGTCGCCTGAGGTCAGGAGTTCGAGACCTGCCTGGCTAACATGGTGAAACCTCGTTTCTACTAAAAATACAAAACTTAGGCCGGGCGCGGCGGCTCACGCATGTAATCCCAACACTTTGGGAGGCCGAAGCAGGTGGATCACCTGAGGTCAGGAGTTCAAGACCAGCCTGACCAACATGGAGAAACCCTGTCTCTACTAAAAATACAAAATTAGCAGGGCATGGTAGTGCACGCCTGTAATCCCAGCTACTCAGAAGGCTGAGGCAGGAGAATCGCTTGAACCTGGGAGGTGGATGTTGTGGTGAGCCGAGATCGTGCCACTGCGCTCCAGCCTGGGCAACAAGAGTGAAACTCCTACTCAAAAAATAAAATAAAATAAAAATAAATAAATAAAAATACAAAACTTAGCTGGGCGTGGTGGTGCGTGCCTGTAATCCCAGCTACTCAGGAGGCTGAGGCAGGAGAATACTTGAACCTGGAAAACAGAGATTGCAGTGAGCCGAGATGGCACCACTGCACTCCAGCCTGGGCGACAGAGCGAGACTCCGTCTCAAAAAAAAGAAAAAAACGGAATGAATTTCTGACACACAGAACAACCTAAATGAACCTGCAGTGGATGCTGCTAAGTGAAAAAGGCCGATCCCAAAATGTTGAATACTGTATGATTCCTTTTTTTTTTTCTTTTTTTCTTGAGACAGAGTCTTGCTCTGTTGCTGAGGCTGGAGTGTAGTGGCTCGATCTTGGCTCTTGGCTCACTGCAACCTTCACCTCCCAGATTCAAGTGATTCTCCTGCCTTGACCTCCTTAATAGCTGGGACTACAGGTACACGCCACCATGCCAGGCTAATTTTTGTATTTTTAGTACAGATGGGGTTTCTCCATGTTGGCCAGGCTGGTCTTGAACTCCTGACCTGAGGTAATCCACCCACCTCGGCCTCCCAAAGTGCTGGGATTACAGGCATGAGCCACCACACCTAGCCTATGATTCCTTTTATATAATATTCTTGAAATGACAAAGTTATAGAAATGGAAAACTGATTAGTGATTGCCAGGGGTTGAGGATGTGGGGAAGGAGAGGGGAATGGGGAAAGAAAGTGAGTATGACCATAATGGGCAGCATGGGGGATCTTGAAGTGATAGCAGTGTTCTGTATCTTGACTGTGTCAATGTCAATATCCTGGTAGTGATATTTTACTATAGTTTTTTGTTTTGTTTTGTTTTTGAGACAGCGTCTCGCTCTGTCGCCCAGGCTCGGAGTGCAGTGGCACGATCTTGTCTCACTGCAGCCTCCGCCTCCTGGGTTCAAGCAATTCTCCTGCCTCAGCCTCCAGAGTAGCTACTGGGACTACAGGCGCGCGCCACCATGCCCGGCTAAATTTTGTATTTTTAATGGAGACGGGGTTTCACCATGTTGGCCAGGCTGGTCTCGATCTCCCGACCTCATGATCCACCCGCCTCGGCCTCTTAAAGCTCTGGGATTACAGGCGTGAGCCACCGCGGCCGGCTTCGGCCTCTCAAAGTGCTGGGATTACAGGCGTGAGCCACTGCGCCCGGCCTCGGCCTCTCAAACTCTGGATTACAGGCATGAGCCACAGCGCCCGGCCTCGGCCTCTCGAAGCTCTGGGATTACAGGTGTGAGCCACCGTGCCCGGCCAATATTGTACTATAGTTTTGCAAGATATTATCAATGGGGAAAACTGGGTAAAGGATCGCTCTGTATTATTTCTTTGAACTGCATGTACATCCACAATTATCCCAAAATAAAAAGTTTAACGGCCAGGCGTGGTGGCTCACGCCTGTAATCCCAGCAGTTTGTGAGGCCGAGGCAGGTGGATCACTTGAGGTCAGGAGTTCAAAACCAGCCTGATCAACATGGCGAAACCCCGTCTGAACTAAAATACAAAAATTAGCCGGGTGTGGTGGTGGGCGCCTGTAATCCCAGCTACTTGGGAGGCTGAGGCAGGAGAATTGCTTGAACCCAGGAGGCGGAGGTTGCAGCAAGCTGAGATTGTGCCACTGAACTCCAGTCTGGGCAACAGAGTGAGACTCTGTCTCAAAAAAAAAAAAGTTTAACTAAAAAAAAAAAAAAAAAAAAAAAGACAGGGAGTCCAGTCACAGTGATTCACACCTAGAATCCTAGCACTTTGGAAGGACAAGGTGGGAGGATCGCTTGAGCCCAGGCGTTCAAGACCAGCCTGAGCAACATAGTGAGAACTCATCTCCACAAAAAATTTAAAAATTAACCAGGTGTGGCAGCGTGTACATGGAGTCCCAGCCACTCAGGAGGTTTGGGCTGGAGGATTGCTGGAGCCCAGGAGGTTGAGGCTACAGTGAACTATGATGTGCCACTGCACTCCAGCCTGGGTGACAGAGTGAAATCTTGTCTCAAAAACAAAAACAAAACAAAAAACAAAAAAACAGGCCAGGCACAGTTGCTCACACCTGTAATTCCAGCACTTTGGGAGGCCGAGGCATGAAGATCATTTGAGGTCAGGAGTTCGAAACCAGTCTGACCAACATGGTGAAACCTTGTCTCTACTAAAATACAAAAATTAGCTGGGTGTGGTGGCAGGCACCTGTAATCTCAGCTACTCGGGAGCTTGAGGCAGGAGAATCTCTTGAACCCAGGAGGCGGAGGTTGCAGTGAGCTGAGATCATGCCACTGCACTCCAGCCTGGGCAACAGAGTGAGACTCTCTCAAAAAAAAAAGAAGAAGAAAGAAAAAAAAAGAAAACAATAAAACCCCACCAAAACCAAATAAAACCAACAAAACACAGGGCACGTGCTCCAATTCTCCCATACAGCCTTTCCCTGAGCTCCATACAGTTTCTCCATCTGGTGTCATTGGCTCCACAGAGTAATAAGAGACAAGAAGAGGATTGCTTAGACTGCAGCCTGGTTTGGCTGGAGAATCTTTTCTCAGTCTGGGCCACACTGTAAACCATAAGGTTGGCTGTAACAAATTACCACAAACTTAGTGACTTAACAAACTTTTTTTTTTTTTTTGAGATAGGGTCTTACTCTGTTGCCCAGGCTGGAGTACAGTGGCACAATCTAGGCTCATTGCAGCCTCGACCTCCCAGGCTCAGGCAATCCTCCCACCTCAGCCTCCTAAATAGCAGGGACCACAGGCATCCACCACCATGCCTGGTCTTTAAACTGGTGATTTTAACCTTGAGTGCTTGGTTAAGGCAGTGTTTGCTCTGAGTTCCTCCACTGCAAAATAACTACGTTTCTCTTTGCAATTAATAAATATATTTTGAGGAGCAGCTGATGCTTTTAACTACCCTGGAGAGTTTAAAGAAAATGAAAAGCTCTGGCCAGGCACGGTGGCTCACACCTGTAATCTCAGCACTTTGGAAGGCCTAGGGGGGCAGATCACAAGATCAAGAGATCAAGAGATCAAGACCAGCCTGGCCAACATGGCGAAACCCCGTCTCTACTAAAAATACAAAAATTAGCTGAGTGTGGTGGCGCACCTGTAGTCCCAGCTACTCGGGAGGCTGAGGCAAGAGAATCGCTTGAAACCGGGAGGCAGAGGTTGCAGTGAGCCAAGATCACGCCACTGCACTCCAGCCTGGCAACAGAGTGAGACTCCATCTCAAAAAAAAAGAAAGAAAAGCTCAGGTCATTAAATGCTTGGCTCAAGACACAGAGCACCAAGTACTTCGCATGCCTGCCGTATGAGAATTTCTTACCCCTCTAACCACAGGGCTGCTGCAGCTGCAAATCAAAGGTATAATTAACAAATAAGTTAAATTCATACTATTTCCAAGTCTTTTCTGTGAAATCTAGGGCATTGATGGGAAAGTCTGGAAACCTCAAGAATTCAAATGACAACTTTAAAAGGAATCAGATAACTCCAAGTATCATGCACCTTCAAATTATATGCCAATTGAAGTATATAATGACCTTACCAGGGGATACCAGTTTTCTTCATGCCCAGTCCCTACCTATTGATAGTATTAATTCATGTGAATAATAAGCTACACATATTTAAAGTATACAATTTGGCCAGGCGCGGTGGCTCACGCCTGTAATCCTAGCACTTTGGGAGGCCGAGGCGGGCAGATCACCTGAGGTCAGGAGTTCAAGACCAGCCTGGCCAACATGGCGAAACCCCCATCTCTACTAAAAAAAAAAAAAAAATACAAAAATTAGCCGAGCGTGGTGGTGTGCACCTGTGAACCCATCTACTCAGGAGGCTGAGGCAGGAGAATCACTTGAACCTGGGAGGCGGAGGTTGCAGTGAGCCGAGATCGTGCCACTGTACTCCAGCCTGGGCAACAGAGTCAGACTCTGTCTCAATAAATAAATAAATAAATAAATAAATAAATAAATAAATAGTACAATTTGATAAGTTTTGACGTATGTGTATACCCATGAAACTGTAACCACAATGAAGATAATGAACATATCCATTACCTTCAAAAGTTTCCTCTTGACTTTTTTTTTTTTTTTTTTGAGACAGGGTCTTGCTCCCTTTATCGGGCTGGAGTGGAGTGGTGCGATTAAAGCTCACTGAGCCTCAGACTCTCAAGCTCAAGTGATCCTCCAACCACAGCCTCCCAAATAGCTGAGACCACAGGCGTGCACCACCACACCCAGCTAATTGTTTTACTTTTCGTAGAGAGGGGTCTCACTATGTTGCTTAGGGTGGTTTCAAACTCCTGGCCTCAAGCAAGCCTCCTGCCTCTACCTCCCAAACTGCTGGAATCACAGGCATGAACCACCATGCCCAGCCTCCTCTTGACTGTTTGTAATCCTTCGTCTACCCCCTGCCCAGCCCTATCTCTAAGCAACCACTCACCTGCCTTTTGTCACTATAGATTATTTTGCATTTTCTAGTATTTTATATGAATTGGATTATACAATGCATACTATTTTTTTTGAGGGGGGAATCTGCTTCTTTCAGCATTAGTATTTCGTGATCCACCCATGCTGTGTATGTATCAATAGTTCATTACTTTTATTTATTTATGTTTTAGACAGTTTCACTCTATCACCCAGGGTGGAGTGCAGCGGCACAATCTCAGCTCACTGCAACCTCTGCCTCCTGGGCTGAAGCGATTCTTATGCCTCAGCCTCCTGAGTAGCTGAGATTACCGGCACCCACCACCATGCCCAGCTAATTTTTGTATTTTTAGTAGAGATGGGGTTTTGCCATATTGCCCAGGCTGGTCTCCAACTCCTGGGCTCAAATGATCTGCCCGCCTGGGCCTCCCAAAGTGCTAGCATTACAGGCATGAGCCACTGTGCCCGGCATCATTGCTTTTAAATTGTGAAAAGTATTCCTGTGATTTGTTTATCCCTTAACCTATTTATGGACATTGGGTTGTTTCCAGTTTTGTGCCATCACAAATAAAACTACTATGAATATTTTTGTACAAGTCCTTGTTTGGACCTATGCTTTAATTTCTTTGGAACTATACCTAGAAGTGAAACGCTGAGTCATGTGGTAGTATGTGCTTAATTTTTTCAGAAACTGCCAAATTGTTTTTCCAAAATGTACCACTTTACATTCTCATCAACAGAGTATAAGAGCTCTAGTTTCTCCTTCATAGCCAACACTCAGTATAGTCAGTCTTTTTAATTTCAGTCATTCTAATAGGCGAGTAAGTGGTAGTTCATTGCATTATTTAAAAAAAGAAATTTGACACAGTAAGCCAGGCATGGTGGCTCCCGCCTGTAATCCTGGCACTTTGGGAGGCTGAGGCAGGTGGATCACGAGGTCAGGAGTTCGAGATCAGCCTGGCCAATGTGGTGAAACCCTGTCTCTACTAAAGATACAAAAAATTAGCCAGGTGTGGTGGTGCGCACCTGTAATCCCAGCTACTCAGGAGACTGAGGCAGGAGAATCGCTTGAACCTGGGAGGTGGAGGTTGCAGTGAGCCGAGATCGCATCACTGCATTCCACCCTGGGCGACAGGACAAGTCTCCATCTCAAAAAAAAAATAGAAAAGTAAAGAAAAGAAAAAAAAGAAAGTTGACACAGGAGAAAGCGCAAATGCAGTCCCCCACTGCCACAAACAACGCAGTTGAGTTTCCCACGTTGAGGGAAATTGCAAGGGTTAGCACACCTGGAGTGCAATGGATGCACCTCACCCTGGGAAAACCACCTATGTGATCATGGCATCTCCCCTGCCAGGTAAGTCATTGTGGTTTAAATTTGCATTTCTCTAATGACCAATGACATTGAGCATATTTTATTTGCTAACTTATCATCTATATACCTTCCTTGGTATGGTGTCCGTTCACATCATCTCGTTTTTTTGTTGTTGTTTTATTTTGTTTTTTGAGACAGAGTCTCACTCTGTCAACAGGCTGGAGTGCAGTGGTGTGATCTTAGCTCACTGAAACCTCCGCCTCCCAGGTTCAAGTGATTCTCCTGCCTCAGCCTCCCAAATAGCTGGGACTACAGGCACGCACCACCACACCCTGCTAATTTTTTGTATTTTTAGCAGAGACGGGGTTTCACCCTGCTGGCCAGGCTGGTCTCGAGCTCCTGACCTCAAGTGTTCCACCAGCCTCAGCCTCCCAAAATGCTGGGATTACAGGTATGAGCCACCGCACCCAGCCAATCATCTCCATTTAAAAATGAGGTTGTCTGAATTATTATTACTTAGTTATATGAGTTATTTTAATATATTCTAGGTCCAAGTCCTTTGTCAGATATATGTTTTGCAAATATTTTCTCCCAGTCTGTGGCTTGTCTTTTTATATTCATAACAGTGTTTTTTAAAGAGCTAAAGTTTTTGTTTTTGTTTTTGTTTGAGACGGAGTCTCGCTCTGTCGCCCAAGCTGAAGTGCGGTGGCGCGATCTCGGCTCGCTGTAACCTCAGCCTCCCGGGTTCAAGCGATTCTCCTGCCTCAGCCTCCTGAGTAGCTGGGAATACGGGCTCATGCCACCAAGTGCGGCTAATTTTTTTGTATTTTTAGTAGAGACAGGGTTTCACCATGTTAGCCAGGATGGTCTCGATCTCCTGACCTCGTGATCTGCCCGCCTCGACCTCCCAAAGTGCTGGGATTACAGGCGTGAGCCACCGTGCCCGGCCAAGAGTTAAAGTTTTTAATTTTGGTGAATTCCAATTTATAATGTTTTCTTTTATGGATCATGCTTTTTGGTGTCATAACTAAGAAAATGGTCCCTTAACTAGATCAAAAATATTTTCTCCTATGTTTTCTCTTAGAAGTATCATTTGTAGGCCCGGCACGGTGGCTCACGCCTGTAATCCCAGCACTTTGGGAGGCCGAGGCAGGAGGATCACGAGGTCAGGAGATCGAGACCATCCTGGCTAACATGGTGAAACCCCGTCTCTACTAAAAATACAAAAAATTAGCCAGGCGTGGTGGCAGGCTCCTGTAGTCCCAGCTACTCAGGAGGCTGAGGCAGGAGAATGGCGTGAACCCGGGATGTGGAGCTTGCAGTGAGCCGAGATTGAGCCACTGCACTCCAGCCTGGGCGACAGAGTGAGACTCTGTCTCAAGAAAGTAAAAGTATCATTCATATAGTGCTTACAAGTAGATTTGCTGTCTCATACTCCACTGTTTTGATTACAGTTCACTTGTAGTCTAGATTAGGGTTTGTATTAGAAATATGCGCTTAGAGGTTTTTTGTTTGTTTTGTTTCTTTGTTTGTTTGTTTTTAAATGGAGTCTCCCTCTGTCGCCCAGAGTATAGTGGCGTGATCTCGGCTCACTGCAGCCTCCGCCTCGTGGGTTCAAGCAATTCTCCTGCCTCAGCCTCCTGAGTAGCTGGGATTACAGGCGCCCAACACCACGCCTGGCTAATTTTTGTGTTTTTAGTAAAGGTGGGATTTCACCATGTTGGCCAGGCTGGTCTTGAACTCTTGACCTCAAGTGATCCACCCACCTTGTCCTCTCAAAGTGCTGGGATTACAGGCGTGAGCCACTGCACCCGGCGTACTTACAGTTTTAATTAGAAATGTAAAAATGTTATTTCTTCTGATTTTAAAAATAGAAAATGTTCTCGATTTGGTTTTTAATTCATTTATTTTTAATTACATAAATGACATCAGAGAACAATCTCTTTGTACAAAAAAGAACAAAAGCACATAGAATGGGGAAGCGAAAATCACTGACAAGCACTGTTGATTCAAGAAATCTGGTTTAGCTCACCATTTACGTGTTATTTTCTTGTCTTTATTTTTTTCTTTTTTTAAATTTAGAGACAGGGTCTTACTCTGTCACCTGGGCAGAATGCAGTGGCAGGATCATAGCTCTGTGCAACCCCAGACTCCTGGGCTCAAGCAATCCTCCTTTCTCATCCTCCTGAGTAGCTAGCACTACAGGTGCATGCCACCATGCCCAGGTAATTTTTAAAGTTTTTGCAGAGACAGGATCTCACTATGTTGTCCAGGCTAGTTTCAAACTCCTGGGCTCAAATGATCCTCCCTCCTCGGCCTCCCAAAGTGATGGGATTACAGGCATGAGCCATTGTGTCCAGCCTTACATATTATTTTCACGATTCATTAATCTCCATTTAAAAAAAAATGCTGTATACAGTATGCTGTTGATATATTTTTTCCGTAGCTGTTTTTCTTATTCCAGAAATAACATGAAAGTCTTTGTGTTGGCCGGACGTGGTGGCTTACGCCTGTAATCCCAGAACTTTAGGAGGCCAAGGCGGGTGGATCACCTGAGGTCAGGAGTTCAAGACCAACATGGTGAAACCCCGTCTCTACTAAAACTATAAAAATTAGCCAAGTGTGGTGGTGGGCGCCTGTAATCCCAGCTCCTTGGGAGGGTGAGACAGGAAAATCGCTTGAATCTGGGAGGCGGAGGTTGCAGTGAGCTGAGATTGCGCCATTGCACTCCAGCCTGGGCGACAGAGTGAGACTCTGTCTCAAAAAAAAAAAAGAAGAAAGAGAGAGAAAGAGAGAAAGGAAGAGAGAGAAAGAAAGAAAGAAAAGAAAGAAAGAGAGGAAGGAGGGAAGGAAGGAAGGAAGGAGGGAGGGAAGGAAGGAAGGAAGGAAGGAAGGAAGGAAGGAAGGAAGGAAGGAAGGGAGAGAAAGGAAAGAGGCCGGGCGCGGTGGCTCACGCCTGTAATCCTAGCACTTTGGGAGGCCGAGGCGGGTGGATTACGAGGTCAGAAGTTCGAGACCAGCCTGACCAACATGATGAAACCCCTATCTCTACTAAAAATACAAAAATTAGGCGGGCATGATGGTGCACACCTATAATACCAGCTACTGAGGCAGGAGAATCACCTGAACCCGGGGGACAGAGGTTGCAGTGAGCTGAGATTGTGCCACTGTACTCCAGCTTAGGCGACGGAGCAAGACTCTGTCTCAAAAAAAAAAAAAAGAGAGAGAGAGGGAGAGAAAGAAAAAGAGAAGAAAGAAAAGAAAGAAAGAAAATTCTTTTTGTCACCACAAAAACTTTGTACGTGCAAGTTTAAGTTTAAAAAATAATTCAGAGGATTCAGGCTCTGGAGACAGAAGAAATTCCTATGAGTTACGACTATGTCTTATTGTTCCCTGAGAGGAGGCTTCCCAGGTGGTGCAAAGGCTTTCGGATGTGTTAGAAAACTGAGGTTGAAAGACCTCCTCATCACGTCTGCGTTTCCTAAAGATATTCCAAGAGTTTAGCTGTTGTTTCTCATCTAACTTCAAATGGCTTTCGCCATGGTGCAATTTCTTTTGTACTTTCCCCAATGAACTAAGCATGGAAATAGCAAAAGAAACATACAATATGATTTCTTTGACATAAAGTCCAGAACAGAGCTGCTAGCATCTCCAAGGGAATCACCAACCTTGGCTTCATCTGTAGGTCAATGGAATGTTTCTCCTCTGCTTCAGCTGGAAAATTATCTTGGCATGATCCCACTTGTAATTGAGTCCTGCCACTCATCCACCTGTTTCTCACCATAACTCTGATGTCCCTCTCAAATTTCTGCAGTCTGCTCTTTGGAGATGAAACAGATCAGTTTCATTTCAACAGATTTTAAGTCATCACATAATAAATCATTTTGCATTGATTCCCGGGTTCAAGTGGTCCTCCTGCCTCAGCCTCCCAAGTAGCTGGAACTAAAGACATGCGCGACCTCGCCCGGCTAATTTTTGTCTTTTTAGTAGACACAGGGTTTCTCCATGTTGGCCAAGCTGCTCTCAAACTCCCGATCTCAGGTGATCCACCCACCTCGGCCTCCCAAAGCACTGGGATTACAGGTGTGAGCCACCGCGCCCGGCCCCTCCTACCATCTTTGAAGCCTAGAGTAGTAAGACCAAGGAGCAACTTCCTTGAGTGGGAGCTCACATCCACTGAGTAAGGTTTTCCCCTTTGGCTTTAAGATCTGACAGGTAAACTACACAGTTCAGTTGACTTCCATCTTCATTGCTTATAGAAGCCCATCTTGCTAGAAATCCCGTCCTCGGCCTCATCAATAGAGGGCGCTGAAGAGACACAGGAGGAGACAAGCGCAGCACCCACTTTCTGTGGCGCTCAGCTCTTGGGTAGGCAAAGTTTTCCACACCTGGGTCCTGCAGGCCACAGCTTTCCATAGCCTCTGGCCCACACATAATAGTTTTTGCAGGGACCAGATCCTGCTGAGGTCACCTTCTCCAGCTCCCAATTCATGAGCATGCAGTGACCAGCAGCACCCAGCAGCCAGCAGCTTCCCCTGGCATAGCCTCCCGCAGCTTTGCAGTGTTGCCCGAGGCACTTCAGATGTCTCATCAGCCATGGCCTTGCTCTCTCCAGCATGGTCTGGATCCCTGTCTTGGAGTGGGGCTCTTCCTTGGGTGCTCTATGTTAGCCCTTAGGGCAGCGGCTTCTCCCTGTATCTATTTCTTTCTTTTTTTCTTTTTTCTTTTCTTTTTTTTTTTTTTTTTTTTTGAGACAGGGTCTTACTTTGCCACCCAAGCTGGAGTGCATGGTGTGATCACAGCTCACTGCAGCCTTGACTTCGGGGGCTCAGGCGATCCTCCCACCTCAGCTTCCCGGTTAGCTGGGACTATAGGCACAAGCCACCGCACCCAGCTGATTTTTAAAAGTTTTTATAGCGACAGGGTTTCACTATGTTGCCTAGGGTGGTCTCAAACTCCTGGGGCTCAAGCAATGTGCTCACCTTGGCCTTCCAAAGTGCTGAGATTACAGGTATGAGCCACTGCGCCCGGCCTATGTTTTCGTTCTTTAGTGTTCTCTTCAACTCTCATTAGTCAATCCCCCATGATTTCAATCCCCTAATCATTCCTTATGTTGGACTTTTGCTTCAATGACTGTGTGGATTCTGTCTCCTGATTAGCCCTTGACTGATATAATACTGTAGTAGTGTTCTTTGATTTTCTTGTTCTTTTTTTTTTGACAGGATCCTACTCTGTTACCCAGGCCAGCAGGCCAGGGTGCAGTGGCATAATCATGGCTCATTGCAACATTGACCTCCTGGGCTCAAGTGATCCTCCCACCTCAGCCTCCCAAGTAGTTGGGACCACAGACATGTGCCACTATGCCTGGCTAATTTTTTTATTATTTTTTTGTAGAGATGGGGTCTTGCCATGTTGCCCAGGCTGGCTGCGAACTCTTGGGCTCAAGCAATCCACCTGCCTCAGCCTCTCAAAGTGCTGAGATTACAGGTGTGAGCCACCATGCCTAGCCCATGGTTGTTTTTAAATCTGTCATTAGGCCGGGCGCGGTGGCTCATGCCTGTAATCCAAGTACTTTGGGAGGCCAAGGTGGGCAGATCACTTGAGGTCAGGAGTTCAAGACCAGCCTGGCCAACATGGTGAAATCCTGTCTCTGCTAAAAATACAAAATTTAGCCGGACGTGGTGGCAGGCGCCTGTAATCCCAGCTACTCAATGGGCTGAGGCAGGAAAATCACTTGAACCCAGGAGGCGGAGGTTGCAGTGAGTCAAGATTGCACCACTGCACTCCAGCCTGGGCAACAGAGTGAGACTCTGTCTCAAAAAAAAAAAATTAAATCTGTCATTAGTTATTCTCTCTCATGTCTTCTCCAAGATGAATTTCAAAAGCAGTTTTCATATGCTATAAAATAACCCTAAGAGTTTAATTATAACATTAAAATAACATGTTAAGTTGTTGAGAAAATAACAAGTTAAGTTGTTGAGAATTTTTTTTTTTTAATGGAGTCTCACTCTGTCACCTAGGCTGGAGTGCAGTGGTGAGATCTTGGCCCACTGCAACCTCTGCCTCCCAGGCTCAAAAGCAATCCTCCCACCTCAGCCTCTCAAGTAGCTGGGACTACAGGTGCATACCACCAGGCCAGGCTAATTTTCTGTATTTTTGGTAGAGACAGGGTTTTGCCGTGTTGCCCGGGCTGGTCTGGAACTCCCAAGCTGAAGTGATCCTCCCACCTCGGCCTCCCAAAGTGCTGGGATTACAGGCCTGAGCCACTGCGCCCAGCCTGTTGAGACTTATTATAAAGCTTCTACCCAGAAACATGAGTTAGCCCCTAAAGGAGGTAATGCTTTTGATGGCTGTCTGCTCATTCTTGCTCATGGGAAGTTGTTTCTTCATATGGCTGTGAGCATGTTGAGAAGGGCTGTGTTCCACCAAAGTGTTCTTGTAGTTGCTTCTGCTGTTTTAGTCTGTTAGAGCTGCTGCAACAAAATACCATAGACTGAGTGGCTTGTAAACAACAGAAATTTATTTCCCAAAGTTCTGGAGGCTGGGAAGTCTAAGATCAAGTCACTCTCAGGTTCTTTATCTGGTGAAGACCTGTTTCCTGGTTCACAGATTGCACATTCTCACGTGTTCTCACATGATGGAAGGCGTGAGGGAACTCCCTGAAGCCTCTTTTATACAGACGCCATTCCATTTATAAGGAATCTACCTTCATGATCTAATCACCCCCCTCCATAGTATCACATTGATGATTATGTTTCAACACATTTATTGGAATAGGAGGACAAAAACTCAGACCATGATATAGAAACAGCCTGGGATTAATTTTTATGATAATGTATCAGCTTGAATTTCCCACGGAATAGACTGATTTAGGCTCCTTGCCCGCCTGGAGATTAGGAAACCTTGTTTTATTCCCAGCCAAGGCAACAGCTGAGATGAGCTTCCCGGTTGCCTCCCTGGCCAGTGGGAAGTTTACTGGTCTTCCTTACAAAGTGATTGCAGCCCTTCAAGGGTTCTGGCTTTGTGCAAGGATCTTATTTCTAATTTATCGACCGTCAAAGCCCGAGATTCCATCTTCCGTTCCTGAATGAGGTTAAAAACCGATCTTTCGCCCTTGGGGAACTCGTAAGCAAATGTTCGACTGCCCCCTTGTGGACACTCCTGGCAAGGCCGAGCTGGTCTTTTTAGCCAAGCTGTTTTTGTTTTTCTTTGAGATGTAGTCTCGCTCTGTTGCCCAAGCTGGAGTGTAATGGCGCAATCTTAGCTCAGTGCAACCTCCGTCTCCCGGGTTCAAGCGATTCTCTGGTGATTAACAAATTAGAGTGGTAGACACCCCCTCCCGGCCATCCATCTATAATCTGAGCTCTGGAGGACCCTAGGATGTGAAATCGTGTGATGTTCTTGGTTCCTGTCCCTCTGCTTATGTGTGTGTGTGTATATATATCTATATCTATATATATAGATATATAGATATAGATATAGATATTTGTTTTGTTGTTGTTGTTTGTTTGTTTTTTAAGAAACATGGTCTTGGCCAGGAGCGGTGGCTCACGACTGTAATCCCAGCACTTTGGGAGGCCAAGGCAGGTGGATCACCTGAGGTCAGGAGTTGGTGACCAGCCTGGCCAACATGGTGAAACCCCATCTCTACTAAAAATACAAAAATTAGCCAGGCATGGTGGCTCTTGCCTGTAATCCCAGTTACTCGGGAGGCTGAGGCAGAAGAATAGCTTGAACCTGGGAGGCGGAGGTTGCAGTGAGCCCAGATGGCGCCACTGCACTCCAGCCTGGGCAACAGAGAGGGACTCCATCTCAAAAAAAAAAAAAAAAAATTACATTAGCTGGACATGGTGATACATACCTATAGTCCCAGTTTCTCAGGAGGCTGAGGTGGGAGGATTGCTTGAGCCCAAGAGTTCAAGGCTGCCATGAGGTATAATCACACCCCTGCACTCCAGCCTGGCAACAGAATGAGATTCTGATTATTAAAAAAAAAAAAAAAAAAAAAAAAGGCCAGGCGCGGTGGCTCATGCCTGTAATCCCAGCACTTTGGGAGGCCAAGGCGGGCAGATCGCCATGTCAGGAGATCGAGACCATCCTGGCTAACACGGTGAAACCTCGCCTCTACTGAAAATACGAAAAAAAAATTAGCCGGGCGTTGTGGCAGGCGCCAGTAGTCCCAGCTACTCAGGAGGCCGAGGCAGGAGAATGGTGTGAACCCGGGAGGCGGAGCTTGCAGTGAGCCGAGATCGTGCCACTGCACTCCAGCTTGGGCGACAGAGCAAGACTCTGTCTCAAAAAAAAAAAAAAAAAAGCCTGTCACATGTCACAGGGCCATGGAAGCCAACTTGAAAGAAATTCCAGCAGCCAATGCTGGAACAATTTGAGCAACAAAGTAAATAGCATGGTATTGAATTATAAGTCAAAGTATGAAATATATCCACATGAGTCTATACTGATCATACTGATATAAAATAATTGAATAAATAAGCAAATAGGGGAGAAGAGACAAATCATCCTTACAGAAGAATTTCAAATAATATGTAATATATAGAGATACTCCTTAATCCAAGAGGTAGAGCTTAGTACCATCCTCCTGTAACTGTAGGCTGGACTTAGCAACTAGCCTCCAAAGAATAGGGTATGGAAAGGACAAATAATAACTTTTTTTTTTTTGAGACGGAGTCTTGCTCTGTCTCCCAGGATGGAGTGCAGTGGCATGATCTCAGCTCTCTGGCTCCCAGTTTCAAGCGATTCTCCTGGCTCAGCCTCCCAAGTAGCTGGGACTACAGGGGTGTGCCACCATGCCTAGCTAAGTTTTGTATTTTTAGTAGAGACGGGGGTTTCACCGTGTTGGCCAGAATGGTCTCGATCTCTTGACCTCATGATCCGCCCGCCTCTGTCTCCCTCCCAAGCTAGGATTACAGGCGTGAGCCACCGTGCCCGGCTGACAAATAGTAACTTTATACTAGATAAACTTGGCAAACGTGACTTAACCAGGTGACCAAAGTCGACATCAAGAATATCTGCATAGGCCAGGTGCAGTGGCTTATGCCTGTAATCCCAGCACTTTGAGAGGCCAAGGCGGGCGGATTGCTTGAGCTCAGGAGTTTGAGAACAGCCCAGGCAACATGGTGAAACCCTGTCTCTACCAAAAATACAAAAAATTAGCCGGGCATGGTGGCGTGCATCTGTAGTCCCAGCTACTCAGGAGGCTGAGGTGGGAAGATGGCTTGAGCCTGGGAGGTGGAGGTTGCAGTGAGCCGAGATCATGCCACTGCACTCCAGCCTGGGTGACAAAGTGAGACCCCATCTCAAAACAAAAACAAAAACAAAAAGAATCCGCAGAGAAAAACCACCATCAGCAAAGTCAAGTGACAAACTAAGAAAAAATTCACAACTCGTATGACACACAAACGTTTAATTTTCCCAAAATAAAGACCTCTTGCCGGCCGGGTGCGGTTGGCTCACGCCTGTAATCCCAGTACTTTGGGAGGCCACCTCTTGCCGGCCGGGTGCGGTGGCTCATGCCTGTAATCCCAGCACTTTGGGAGGCCAAGGTGGGTGGATCATGAGGTCAGGAGATCGATGCCATCCTGGCTAACTCTGTGAAACCCCGTCTTTACTAAAAATACAAAAAATTAGCTGGGCGTGGTGGCAGGCGCCTGTAGTCCCAGCTACTTGGGAGGCTGAGGCAGGAGAATGGCATGAACCCGGGAGGCGGAGCTTGCAGTGAGCAGAGATTGCGCCACTGCGCTCTCCAGCCTGGGCGACAGAGCGGGACTCCGTCTCAAAAAAAAAAAAAAAAAAAAAAGACCTCTTGCCATTCACTATTAAGAAGCAACAAAAAGAGCAACAACCCAGTAGAAAAATGGACAAATAACAGAAACAGTTCTCAGAAAAAGAGGCTTTTAAATAGATTAGCTTGAACCATATATAAAGTTGCCAATATTGACTTTTGACTTATAAAACTGACAACTTTATATGATTTAACTATTAAAAGTTGCTAACCCACAGCAAAAGGTTAATGCCAATTGAAACTATACTGATACCAGTTTCCACCTACAGTTTGGTTAAGAACAAAACATTTAGGCTGGGCACGGTGGCTCACGCCTATAATCCCAGTACTTTGGGAGGCCGAGGAGGGCAGATCGCCTGAGGTCAGGAGTTCGAGACCAGCCTCACCAACTTGGTGAAACCCCATCTCTACCAAAACTACAAAAAATTAGCCAGGCGTGGTGGCGCGCTGCTGTAATCCCAGCTACTCGAGAGGCTGAGGCAGGAGAATCGCTTGAACCCAGGAGGCAGAAGTTTCAGTGAGCCAAGATCGCCCATTGCATTCCAGCCTGGGCAACAAGAATGAAACTCTGTCTCAAAAAAAAAAAAAAAAAAAAAAAAAAGTGCTAGGTGCAGTGGCTGACACCTATAATCTCAGCACTTTGAGAGGCTGAGGTGGGCGGATTACCTGAGGTTGGGAGTTCAAGACCAGCCTGACCAACATTGAGAAACCCCGTCTCTACGAAAAATACAAAAAAAAAAAAATTAGCCAGGCGTGGTGGCGCATGCCTGTAATTCCAGCTATTCAGGAGGCTGAGGCAGAGTTGCTTGAACCCGGGAGGCAGAGTTGCTTGAACCCGGGAGGCAGAGGTTGTAGTGAGCCAAGATCGCGCCATTGCACTCCAGCCTGGGCAACAAGAGCAAAACTCTGTCTCAAAAAAAAAAAAAAAAAGAACAAAACATTTAACAACATCCTGCTGGCTGGATAACAGGCACCAACATATATAGCTGGTGGAACTGTGAACTGGTGCAATCTCTGTGGAGAGCAATTTAGCAGCATCTATTAAAATTACAGGTGTAAAAAAAATTTAGCTGTATATATCCTCGAAAGCATTTCCACTTCTAGGAATTTCACCTACAGATAAACTCCCAAATGTTATTCATTGCACCATTATTTATAATAACAGATGAATGGAAATCATCTATTTTATTTTTGTGTTTGTTTTTGTTTCTTGTTTATTTTATGCTTTTTTTTCTTTTTGTACTTTTTTCTAGATTGGAAACAATCTAACGTAAATGTCCATCGATAGGGGACTACTTTTTTTTTTTTTTTTTTGAGATGGAGTCTCGCTCTTGTTGCCCAGGCTGGAGTGCAGTGGCGCAATCTCGAGTCACTGCAGTCTCCACCTCCCGGGTTCAAGCGATTCTCCTGCCTCAGCCTCTCAGCCTTTTTTCTTTTTTCTTTTCTTTTCTTTTTTTTTTCTTTTCTTTTTTTAAGACGTAGTCTCGCTCTGTCACCCAGGCTGGAGTGCAGTGGCGTGATCTCGGCTCACTGCAAGCTCCGCCTCCTGGGTTCCCGCCATTCTCCTGCCTCAGCCGCCCAAGTAGCTGGGACTACAGGCCCCAGTCACCACGCCCTGCTAATTTTTTTTGTATTTTTAGTAGAGACGGGATTTCACCATGTTAGCCAGGATGGTCTCGATCTCCTGACCTCGTGATCCGCCCGCCTCGACCTCCCAAAGTGCTGGGATTACAGGCATGAGCCACCGCGCCCGGCCATTTTTTCTTTTTTTTAAGAGATGAGGTCACACTATGTTGACCAGACTGGTCTCGAACTCCTGGTCTCAAGAGATCCTCCCATCTTGGCCTCCCAAAGTACTGGAATTACAGGCGTGAGCCACTACACCCAGCCAATAGGGGACTACTTTAAAACATTATGGTTTAGCTATACAATGAACAACGTTATTAAACAAAAACAAGTTTAAGGAGTCAGGCAATATGATTCAGAGAAACTGCTCCCGGTATAGTGCAACTAAAATGCCGGAGAAGGCCAGGCACGGTGGCTCACGCCTGTAATCCCAGTACTTTGGGAGGCCGAGGTGGGCAGATCACCTGAGGTCGGGAGTTTGAGACCAGCCTGACCAACATGGAGAAACCCCGTCTCTACTAAAAATACAAAATTAGCTGGGCGTGGTGGCGCATGCCTGTAACTCCAGCTACCTGGGAGACTGAGGCAGGAGAATCGCTTGAACCCAGGAGGTGGAGGTTGTGGTGAGCTGAGATCACAGCATTGCACTCCAGCCTGGGCAACAAGAGCAAAACTCCATCTCAAAAAAAATGCTAGGGAACATATAAAAACATCTTTCTTTCCAGCACTTTGGGAGGCCAAGGCAGGTGGATCACGAGGTCAGGAAATTGAGACCATCCTGGCTAACACGGTGAAACCCCGTCTCTACTAAACAAAATACAGAATATTAGCCGGGCGCCTGGTGGTGGCGGGCGCCTGTAGTCCCAGCTTCTCGGGAGGCTGAGGCAGGAGAATGGCGTCAACCCGGGAGGCGGAGCTTGCAGTGAGCCCAGATCGCGCCGTTGCACTCCAGCCTGGGAGACAGAGCGAGACTAAGTTTCAAAAAAAAAACAAAAACAAAAAACAAAAAAAAAACACTTTCTGACGAATGGTTAAATAGGAAAAGTAAGAGAAATTCTTACTTTTTAAACTTTTTTTCATAGAAAGCTTTGAATCCACAGAAAGATAGAATAGCACAATGAACACTCGTAAACCCACAACCTAGGTGGCAATTGTTGATATTTTGCAACATTTTTCCATCTATATGAAAAAACATAATAATACATAATTACATATAAAGTACATATAATATATAAAGTAAAAACCAAGTATCATGATATTTCAACCCTAATTACTTCCCATACATGCTGAATAGTTTCCTCTTAAATTACCAATGTTCAGAGTTAAGAGTTGGTGTGATGCAGCCAACCGCTTCCAGCAGTGGCAAAGAGGGTTGGTTTTTATTTTGTCTTGTTTTTGCTTGTTTGGTTTTTATTTCTATTATTATTATTATTATTTTTTGAGACAGAGTCTAGCTCTGTAGCCAGGCTGGAGTGCAGTGGTGCAATCTCTGCTCACTGCAACCTCCCCCTCCCAGGTTCAAGCAATTCTCCTGCCTCAGCTTCCTGAGTAGCTGGGATTACAGGCACGTATGTGCTGCCACGCCTGGCTAACTTTTGTATTTTTAGTAGAGACGGGGTATCACCATGTTGGCCAGGATTGTCTTGATCTCCTCACCTCGTGACCCGCCCACTCAGCAAGTTACTGCATTGTTCATCGACAATACTTGGCCATCAAGAATGTTCACAAAATACTACAAATCAATGAATGTTTTCCCACGTTGTTATTAGGTTGAATCATGGGAAATAGACATTTTGTGGGTTAGAAAGCAACTTGATGAAGAGCATCCACAAAAAAACTACAGCTAACTATATACTTTATAGCGACAAACTTGAAGCTTTTCTGGTAAGATCAGGGACAAGGCAAGAATGTCCCCTCTCACCACTGCTTTTCAACATCCTACTGGAAGTTTTAGCCAACACAATAAGTTAATAAAAGGAAATAAAAGGCATACAGATGGGGAAAGAAGAAATAAAACTGTCTTTGTTTGCTAATGACATAATTTCCTAGGTAGAAAACCTGAAAGAATCAAAAAAGCTTTGGAAATAATAAGCAATTATACCAAGGCTGGAGGATACAGGTTAATATTCAAAAGTCAATCTTTTTTTTTTTTTTTTTTTTTTTTTGAGACAGAGTTTTGCTCTTGTTGCCCAGGCTGGAGTGCAATGGCGCGATCTTGGCTCACCGCAACCTCCGCCTCCTGCATTCAAGCGATTCTCCTACCTCAGCCTCCCGAGTAGCTGAGATTACAGGCATGCGCCACCACGCCCAGCTAATTTTTTTGTATTTTTAGTAGAGACGGGGTTTCTCCATGTTGGTCAGGCTGGTCTCGAACTCCCGACCTCAGGTGATCCGCCCGCCTCGGACTCCTGAAGTGCTGGGATTACAGGCGTGAGCCACCCCGCCCCGCCCCATATTCTTATATATAGCAATGAATGAGCAAAATTTAAAGCACATTATAATTTTTTTACCGCATTAAGAATGTACTCCATAGCCGGGCGTGGTGGCTCACGCCTGTAATCCCAGCACTTTGGGAAGCCAAGACGGGCGGATCACGAGGTCAGGAGATCAAGACTATCCTGGCTAACACGGTGAAACCCTGTCTCTACTAAAAATACAAAAAAATTAGCAGGGCGTGGTGGCGGGCGCCTGTAGTCCCAGCTACTAGGGAGGCTGAGGCAGGAGAATGGCGTGAACCTAGGAGGCGGAGCTTGCAGTGAGCCAAGATCGCACCACTGCACTCCAGCCTGGGCGACAGAGCGAGACTCTGTCTCAAAAGAAAAAAAAAAAAGAATGTACTCTATAAAAAGAGGAAAAAAATGCAATTTTTTTTAGCAACTTGTACATTTCAGAAGGTACAAACTGCTTTGTGAAATCAACCAAACATTTTTAGTGGGTGCTCCTCTTTTCTTTTTTTTTTTATTATTATACTTTAAGTTCTAGGGTACATGTGCACAACGTGCAGATTTGTTCCATAGGTATACATGTGCCATGTTGGTTTGCTGCGCCCATTAACTCGTCATTTGCATTAGGTATTTCTCCTAATGCTATCCCTCCCCCTGCCCCCCACCTCACGACAAGCCCCTGGGTGTGACGTTACCCACCCTGTGTCCAAGTGTTCTCATTGTTCAATTCCCACCTATGAGTGAGAACACGCGGTGTTTGGTTTTCTGTCCTTGTGATAGTTTGCTCAAAATGAGGGTTTCCAGCTGCATTCATGTCCCTGCAAAGGACATGAACTCATCCTTTTTTTTTTTTTTTTTTTTTTTTGAGACGGAGTCTCGCTCTGTCCCAAGGCTGGAGTGCAGTGGCACGATCTCGGCTCACTGCAAGCTCCGCCTCCTGGGTTCATGCCATTCTCCTGCCTCAGCCTCCCGAGTAGCTGGGACTACAGGCGCCCGCCACCGCGCCCTGCTAATTTTTTTGTATTTTTAGTAGAGACGGGTTTCACTGTGTTAGCCAGGATGGTTTTGATATCCTGACCTCGTGATCCGCCTGCCTTGGCCTCCCAAAGTGCTGGGATTACAGGCATGAGTCACCGCGCCCAGCTGAACTCATCCTTTTTTATGGCTGCATATATTCCATGATGTATATGTGCCACATTTTCTTAATCCAGTCTATCATTGATGGACATTTGGGTTGGTTCCAAGTCTTTGTTATTGTGAATAGTGCTGCAATAAACATACATGAAAGCACATTATAATTTACATTACCATCCCAGAAATGGAAATAGTTACGTGTAATGAATATAACAAAATATGCAAGATCCATATGAGGAAAACTGTAAGACTCTGATGAAAGATATCAAAGAAGAATTAAATAAATGGAGAGGCCTGGGACCGGTGGCTCATGCCTAGGATTCCAGCACTTTGGGAGGCCAAGGTAGAAGGATCACTTGAGTCCAAGAGTTTGAGATGAGTCTGGGAAACATAGTGAGACTTATTCTCTACAAAAAATTAAAAAATTAGCTCAGTGGTGGCACATGCCTGTGGTTCCAGCTACTCAGGAGGCTGAGGAGGGAGGATCGACTGAGCCCGGGAGGTTGAGGCTGCAGTCAGCTGTCACTGCACCGTTGCACTCCAACCTGGACATCCGAGTGAGACCTTGTCTCAAAATTAAATAAATAAATAAATAAATAAATAAATAAATAAATAAATAAATAAAATGGAGAGATATTCCCTGTTCATGGATAGGAGAGCTTCATATTGTCAAGATATCTCTCCTTCCCAACTTGATCTATAGATTAAGCATGATTCCAATCAAAATCCCAGAAAATTATTTTGTGGATATTGACAAACTGATTCTAAAGCTTAGGTGAAGTGGCAAAAGACTCAGAATAGCCAACACAATATAGGAAAAGAGCAAACTCAAAGGACTGACACTACCCAAGTTAAGTATTTAATATAACGGCCAGGAGCGGTGGCTCATGCCTGTAATCTCAGCACTGTGGGAGGCCGAGGCAGGCAGATTACGAGGTCAGGATTTCAAGACCAGCCTGACCAATATGGTGAAACACGGTCTCTACTAAAAATACAAAAATTAGCTGGGCATGATGGCATGTGCCTGTAGTCCCAGCTACTCAAGAGGCTGAGGCAGGATAATCGCCTGAACCCGGGAGGTGGAGGTTGCAGTGAGCCAAGATCGCACCACTGCACTCCAGCCTGGGCAACTGAGCGAGACTCCATTTCAAAAAAAAAAAATTAATATAGCTACAGTTATCAAGAGAGTGTGCTATTAGTGAAAGAATAGACAAATAGATCAATGAAACAGAACTCAGAGCCCAGAAATAGAGCCACATAAATATAGTCAAATGATCTTGGTCAAAGGAGCAAAGGAAATACAACAGAATAAAGACAGTCTTTTCAACAAACGGTGCTGGAACGACTGGACATCCACATGGGAAAATTGAATCTAGACACAGACCTTAAATCATTCACAAACATTAGCTTAAAATTGGTCATGTAAAACACAAAGCTATATAAAACACTTAAACTGTACATAACTATATAAAACTCCTAGAAGATAACATAGGAGAAAACCTAGATCATCTTGGATATAGTGATAACTTTTTAGATACAACTCCAAAGGCACAAGGCATGAAATAAGTAGTATAGGTTGGACTTCGTTAAAATTAAAAACTTCTGCCCTGCGAAAGACACTGTTGAGAGAATGAAGAGAAAAGCCACAGACTGGATAAAATATTTTCAACACACACATCAGATAACAGACTGTTATCCAAAATATACAAAAAAGGGCCAGGCATGGTGGCTCACATCTGTAATCCCAGCACTTTGGGAGGCCGAGGCAGGTGGATCACCTGCGGTCAGGAGTTCAAGACCAGCCTGGCCAACACGGTGAAACCCCATCTCTACTGCAAATACACAAAATCAGCTGGGCATGGTGACGTGCACCTGTAATCCCAGCTACTGGTGAGGCTGAGGCAGAGAATCACTTGAACCCGGGAGGCAGAGGTTGCAGTGAGCCGAGATTGAGCCATTGCACTCCAGCCTGGGCGACAGAGTGAGACTCCGTCTCAAAAAAATACAAAAATTAACAAATAAATAAATAAATAAAACAAGATATCGCTGCACACTTATTAGACTGGCTAAACTCTAAAACATTAACACCAAGTGCCCACAAAAATGTGGAGCATCAAGAATTGTTTCATTGTTGCTGGGAACAAAAAATGGTACAGGCACTTTGGAAGATAGTTTGGCAGTTTCTTACCAAACTAAACAGTCTTACCATATGACCTAGCAATGGTGCTCCTCGGCATTTAACCCAAATAAATTGAAAACTTATGTCCACACAAAAACCTCCACACAATTGTGTATAGCATCTTTATTTGTGATCACCAAAACATGGAAGCCACCAAGACGTCTTGAAATAGGTAAATGGATAAACAAACCATGGCAATTCATACAATGGAGTATTATTTAGCAATAAAAATAAATGTGTTGCCTGGGCGCGGTGGCTTATGCCTGTAATCCCAGCACTTTGGGAGGTCGAGACAGGCAGATCACTTGAGGCCAGGAGTTCGAGACCAGCCTGGTCAACATGGGGAAACCCTGTCTTTGCTAAAAATACAAAAATTAGCTGGGCATGGTGGCAGGCACCTGTAATCCCAGCTACTTGGTAGGCTGAGGCAGAAGAATCACTTGAACCTGGGAGGCAGAGGTTGCAGTGAGCTGAGATCATGCCACTGGACTCCAGTCTAGGCGACAAGAGTGAAACTCCATCTCAAAAATTTAAAAAATTAAAAAAAAAAGAAATGAATTATCATGCCAAGAAAAGACATGCAGGATCCTTAAGCACACATATAAATGAAAGAAGCCAGGTTGGGCCCAGTAGCTTATGCCTGTAATCTCAGCACTTTGGGAGGCTGAGGCCGGTGGATCACTTGAGGTCAGGAGTTCGAGACCAGCCTGGCCAACATGGTGAAACCCTGTCTCTACTAAAAATACAAAAATTAGCCAGGTGTGGTGGCTCGCACCTGTAATCCCAGCTACTCGGGAGGCTGAGGCAGGAGAATCGCTTGAACCTGGGAGGTGGAGGTTGCAGTGAGCCGAGATCACGCCATTGCACTCCAGCCTGGGCAACAAAAGCAAAACTCCATCTCAAATAATAATAATAATAATAATCATCATCATCATCATCATCATCATCATCATCATCATCAATGTTGAATGAAATTCAGTACACAGGTTTAACATTAGATTAAGTACAACCTAAAAATAAAATCTATTATTTATTTTTTAAAACCATGTTGATAATTTTTCTGAGCCTAGACTCTAAATCCTTTTTACATTTAGACAAAATGTATTATTTGCAAGGCTTGAATATACACAGCATTCTTCAGTAACACAGCTACTGTCTGTGTTGACGGACAGCTGCCCTTTGACTTCTTTGGAACTTGACCAGGACTTGGTCACATTTAAGAAAATCACATCCTAGCATAAAGAAAAGACAAATATTTAAGGTGATGGACATCTCAGTTGTCCTAGTTTGATCTTTACACATTATATGAATAGATTAAATTATCACATACACCCTGAAAATATGTACATCTATTATGTATCAAAAAAATAAATAAATAGGGCCAGGAGCGGTGGCTCACGCCTGTAATCCCAGCACTTTGGGAGGCCGAGGCAGGTGGATCACGAGGTCAGCAGTTCGAGATCAGCCTAACCAACATGGTAAAACCCTGTCTCCACTAAAAATACAAAAAAATTAGCTGGGCGTGGTGGTGGGCGCCTGTAATCTCAGCAATTTGGGATGCTGAGGCAGGAGAATTGCTTGAAACCGGAAGGTGGAGTTTGCAGTGAGCCAAGATTGCACCACTGCACTGTAGCCTGGGCAATAAGAGCAAAACTCTGTCTTAAAAAATAATAATAATAAGTAAAATAAAATAAAATAAATAAAAATAAAATTTAAAACATAAATGAGGAAAAAAGTTTTTTTTTAGGCCGGGCACTGTGGCTCACGCCTGTAATCCCAGCACTTTAGGAGGCTGAGGTGGGTGGATCACGAGGTCAGGAGTTCAAGACTAGCATGGCCAAGATGGTGAAACCCCATCTTTACTAAAAAATACAAAAATTAGCCGGGCATAGTGGCTTGTGCCTGTAATCCCAGCTACTAGGGGAGGCTGAGGCAGGAGAATCACTTGAACCTGGGAGGCAGAGGTTGCAGTGAGCTGAGATTGCGCCAGTGCACTCTAGCCTAGGTGACAGAGCAAGACTGTGTCTCAAAAAAAAAATTGTTTTTTTTTTTAAAGAAAAGAGGCTGGGTTTAGTGGCTTATGCCTGTAATTACAGCACTTTAGGAGGCTGAGACGGGCAGATCACCTGAGGTCAGGAGCTCGAGACCAGCCTGGCCAACATGGCGAAATCCTGTCTCTACTAAAAATACAAAAATTAGCCAGGCATCATGGCACACGCCTGTAATCCCAGCTACTCAGGAGGCTGAGGCAGGAGAATCGTGTGAGCCCAGGAGGCAGAGGTTGTAGTGAGCCAAGATCCTGCCACTGCACTCTGGCCTGGGCAACAGAGAGAGACTCCGTCTGAAAAAAAAAAAAAAAAGAAAAAAAAAGAGAAAAAGAAAAGAAAAAAAAAGGTAAGAAAAGAAAAGAAAATCCTGGCAAACTAGTGGGTCTCTGAGTGGCCAGTTTCACTGCATGCCTGTATCGCATGTGAGTTTGTAGCCGTGGATTCACTGCAGTTTTAGAAAGAAGGGCAAGCATTTGACAGCTTCATGTACCATGAATATTAACACATTCACACACACCATGTTATTACTAAATAATTTCCCTTATGATTCATCTGCAGTAAAATCAGGATATTATCTCGACATCAAATGTTATTGTGTATAGGTAGGTTTTGTTTTATATGAGTTTCATTGCAGGATAGTAACAAAATATTTATTACAAGGACGATGGAATCGGCTCCAGCTGACCGTCTGTGCTTTGAAATGAAATCTGAACTCCTTAATCAGCCCTCAGACTTGCCATAACCAGCCTGGCTGTTGTAGAGGCTCTGTCCCCTCCTCCCACCAATGCCAGCCAAAGGGATCTATTTGTATGTCCCAGAATGTGTCAGCACTCTCTTGTCCCTTGTCTTGGGACAGGCTGTTCTCTCCCTGAAATGCCCTCATCCTCTCCCTTCACTGTCTCAACAAATTCAGTGCTCCCTAGCCTCCATTCTCAAGTCCTTCCTTCACAACCTGTGCCATAGCTGTGCTGCACCAGCGGCCTCGCTTTTCTTTAAATAACTCATTTTCCATAAATAAATTGATTTTTCAAAGAAAAGTTGATATCATAATCATAAATAGGAAACCAGTATGAGTAGCCCTGAAAATAAAGTTGCTATAAAAATAAATATAAGAAAAATACAAGTTAATAACTTTTGATAAAATTGTCAGCAGACCCTCTGAGGCTAACTGAGGGGAAGGGATGGGAAGGCAGATTAAGAAGTGTTAGCAACCTGTTAACACCCTTGACATATTCAGAGGCTTGAAAGAAAATGGGAAGAATAACTTTCTCTTTCGGTGTAATTTAATGCTGTCTCTGTTCTCCCTAAAATCACCTGCATTTTACTGCAACCACCCATTTATCACTCAACGGCGCTAGATGCTGCCAGTAAACCAATGGACCAGATAAGCACAGCCTCTGCCCCTACAGACTCTCAGTCGGCTGGAGGAAAAACATAAGCAACCTGGGAATGGCTATAAAATGTCATTGCTTAAGAAAATAGTTTGTGGCCGGGCGTGGTGGCTCACGCCTGTAATAGCAACATTTTGGGAGGCCGATGCGGGCGGATCACCTGAGGTCAAGAGTTCGAGACCAGCCTGGTCAAAAGATGAGTTCGAGACTAGACTGGCCACCTCTTCAGTAGAGCTGGTGAAGCCCCGTTTCTACTAAAAATACAAAAATTAACCGGACGTGGTGGCATGCGCCTGTAGTCCCAGCTACTCCTGAGGCTGAGGCACCAGAATCGCTTGAACCTGCCTGGGAGGGGGAGGTTGCAGTGAGCCAAGATCACGCCACTGCACTTCCGCCTGGGCGACAGAGCGACACTCAGTCTCAAAAAAACTAGTTTGTGTTTTGGAGCCTCTCACTTCTCCAGCGTCCCCGATACGCCCGGGGATTGCAGAGAACCCACACCTATTCGTAGATTATGAGAGTAGGAGCAAATTAATGATTTATAGTCTTTTCAAATTTTTTTTTTTAACAGAAAAAGAGTAGGGAGTTGAAAGTAATGCTGTTTTTTTCCAGGCACTCCCGGGGACCCAGCGCGGCGAAGCCCGCCAGGATCGCGGGCGACCTGTGGCAGCTCTGGTTCCCCCGCCCGGGCCCGGCTCGGGTTACGCTCTGGGCGGGGACTCCGCAGCGGCTCCCTAGTTAGGGGGCGCCCCGGTGGGTTCCAGCTTTAGGGGTCGCAGGAGCGGCTCTGGCATCACCTCGGAGCTGACGAAGCGGGAAGAGCCCCGCACCAGTGCTGCCCCTACAGAGCTCTCGGCGGGGGGTGGAGGTGAGGTTACACCTCGTCCCTACCCCCGCCTTCCCCTCCGCCGCAGGGATCCGGGACCCGCCCCCGCGGAGAGGACGGGGGGCTGCGGGGAGGGGCTGTGCGGGGAGCGGGCGGGTTCCGCAGGCCCCTAGGTGGGGCGGGGCCCGAGCCAGAGTCGAGTCCCTGAGGCGGGTGGGGGAAGGAGAGACGGGTGGCGCGACCCTCTGTCCCCGCCTCGGGGCGGAGCCCAGGTCCCAGCCTGCGGAGCGCGAGACACGCCGAAATCCGCCCGAGGCTACCTGTGCGACTCCAGCCGCCCTGCACCGGAATCTGGGGAGACCCGCCCCCCGCCCCACCGGTCTGCGGCCCTCCGCCCCAGCGCAGGTGCAGGTGCGGCTTCTCTGCCCCTTTCACCCCAGGCGCATCCGCCGCGGCGGCCATGGCGCGAGGAGACGCCCCGCGGGACAGGTGAGTGGGCCCGGGTGCGTTGCAAGTGGCCGGGGGCGTTGCAGACCCGCTCCCTGAAGGCGCTCCGAGGCTCAGAGAAGACCGGATCGAACTACAATTCCCATCAGCCGACTCCCTCGGCCGCCGGAACCGGGGTGATCGGGGTTGTAGTCCGCTCCGGAGGGGGTGGCCTGGGAGGCGGGAGGGCCTGCGGAGGCGGGTGCGTCCTCGGGGTGACCTTCCCACCGATCCCCACAGCTACCACCTGGTCGGGATCAGCTTCTTCATCCTGGGGCTGGGCACCCTCCTTCCCTGGAACTTCTTCATCACCGCCATCCCGGTGAGACTCCTGGCGGCGTGGCAGCCTCGTGGCCACAGCCAGCACCCCTCCCTCCAGCCCTTTGGATGAAGCTTAGCGGGCGCTTCCTCACCGCGCACCTGTGACCCCTCGTTGAGCTCATTATGGGCTGAAGCTCGGAGAGGGGAATGCTTCCCCCGTGGCTAGGAAAGTAGAACTTCAGCAATGCCCACATCTCAGAGGGGCAAGGCCACCAGCCCACAGGGTCTGGAATGAGCAAAGGCGCTGCCACCCCTCTCTGTGTGTCGTTATTCCTGAGTCAGTCACCCCAAAAGTCGGTTATCGAACGTTTGATTTTCTTTGAAATACCATGAATTTCATTCATTCACTCATTCATTCAACAAACTTTTTTTTTTTTTTTTTTTTTGAGACAGAGTCTGGCTCTTTCGCCCAGGCTGGAGTGCAGTGGCGCCATCTCGGCTCACTGCAAGCTCCGCCTCCCGGGTTCACGCCATTCTCCTGCCTCACCCTCCCGAGTAGCTGGGACTACAGGCGCCCGCCGCCACGCGCGGCTATTTTTTTTTGTATTTTTAGTAGAGACGGGGTTTCACCGTGTTAGCCAGGATGGTCTCGATCTCCTGACCTCGTGATCCTCCCGCCTCGGCCTCCCAAAGTGCTGGGATTACAGGCGTGAGCCACCGTGCCCAGCCTCATTCAACAAACTTTTAATGTGCATCTACTGTGGAGCAGGCACTGGGGACACAGGAGGAAACAGCAGGGAGGCTCTTCAGGGAAGGCAGAAATGTGGGGTTTGCATTGTCTTTGGGACCGGGTTATTCATCTGTATTCACTGCAACAACTTTGCAAATGCTTCTTGGGTACTGGCTCTGTGCTGGGCCCTGGAAACCCAGAGATGAATCAGCCCCTGGGCTTGAGAGCAAGAGGGGGCCAAAGAGCTATTAATAATGTAACATGATGCGTGACATTCCAGGCTTGCAGCAGAGTGCAGTGGGTCCCCAGGGGAGGGAGAAAGTTCCTTCTGCTTCATGGAAGAGGAGATTTGTAAATTGGGAGTAGGGTAGGCAAAGTGCATGTGGAGGGGTGTGGTCAGTAGGGCATTCCAGGCCGAGGCGACAGCCATGCCAAAGGCAGGCAGGCAAGAGACGATCAGCCTGTTTAGAGGGAGATCCACAGCCAGGGCTGCCTGGAGCTTAGCAGGATGGAGCAGAAGATGGGGCACAAAGGGAGACTAGGATCTGATTCTGAAGAGCTGTTCCATTTGGGGCTTTGCCCTGCAGGCAATAGGGAGGCATGAATCGGGGTGTTGAGGAGTGAGGAGGTTAAGCAGAGGAGTGGCAGGCTATGTGCTCTAGAGAGAATGCAGTTGTTCAGCACCTAGGCCAAAGCCTGGCTGACAGTAGGCGCTCAATAAATACCCGTGGAATGAATGAATGTAGCAGCTGCTGCAGGAGTGGGGATGGGGGCTGGAACCAGGGCACTGAAGAGGAGGGGCCGTCCAAGGCTGGATCGAGGCTCTTGCTGGGGGCTCTTAATGCTTAGGCTGTGTCCCAGACTTCAGCCATTTAACTCAGCACACATTCATGGAGCTCCGACTGTGTGCCGGCTGCTGGGAACAGAACAAGGACAAGGCAGACAAGTCCCCACAGACATTAGAAAGCAATCACAAGTGAGGGGGAAGGCAGCGGGGGAAGGCTGAGAGGTGCTGACCCTCCACCACCTCCCCACCTGGCAGTACTTCCAGGCGCGACTGGCCGGGGCCGGCAACAGCACAGCCAGGATCCTGAGCACCAACCACACGGGTCCCGAGGATGCCTTCAACTTCAACAATTGGGTGACGCTGCTGTCCCAGCTGCCCCTGCTGCTCTTCACCCTCCTCAACTCCTTCCTGTACCAGTGGTGAGAGGCCTGCCCTGGCTCCTGCGCCCTCTGCCGAGGCAGCTTCATTGAGGCCCTCCCCTGCGCCCCCTGCCCCCCAGCCCTACTGCCCAGCCCCAGGTGTCGAGCCTCCTTCCCCAGCCCCCTCTGGCCTGGGCCCCACTGATGCACTCTGCCTGCTTCTGAGCAGCGTCCCGGAGACGGTGCGCATTCTGGGCAGCCTGCTGGCCATACTGCTGCTCTTTGCCCTGACAGCAGCGCTGGTCAAGGTGGACATGAGCCCCGGACCCTTCTTCTCCATCACCATGGCCTCCGTCTGCTTCATCAACTGTGAGCACCTCCACCCCCTCTCCAGCCAGCCTATGCAGGGCTTCAGCCTGGCCTCATCATTGAAAGGGCCCAGCATATCCGAGAAGGGCAGACAGCATCATGGTCGCTCATATCCCTGGTGAAGAAACTGAGGCCCACAGGGAGGGGAAGAGTCACTTGTCCGGTGACCTAGGAGCAGGCCTCCTGGTCAACAGCCCCACAGACCAATGGCTGCACCTCAGAAGAGGACTGAATAGCGGGTGTTGCCCCCGAGTGCTCAGAGTCCCTAGGGAAGCTCACACCTGCGCAACCTTGTCCAGAGTCCCCTGTGTATCCTGCCGGCACCTCCTCCAGGGAGCCTCTGAGTCTTGCCTAGTTGAGCAGCAGCCCCCATCCCTGTCCTCCACAGCCTTCAGTGCAGTCCTACAGGGCAGCCTCTTCGGGCAGCTGGGCACCATGCCCTCCACCTACAGCACCCTCTTCCTCAGCGGCCAGGGCCTGGCTGGGATCTTTGCTGCCCTTGCCATGCTCCTGTCCATGGCCAGTGAGTGCACTTGGGTGGCTGGAGGGCTGGGGTGGCCTCTGAGGTTTGGGGAAGAGAGAGGGCATGTGAGAGCAAGACACATGGGTTCTGGGTGAAGATGGAGGTAAGCAGGTGATATGGAAATGGGGATTGGGTCTGGGGCTAGGGAGTGGGGCTCATGGGCCCTGCAGTGAGGAGTAATAACCAAGTGAGGACTGGGTTAACTCAGGGACAGGGGCAGGATTCCTGGGGCTAATACTGGCATGTGGCAGCAGGTTGAAGTTGAAGGATAAGGGGATGGGTTTGGGATTCAGATAGTCTTGGGTTTGAATCTGCTTCACCGCTTACCAGCTAGGGGTGTTGGACAAGGCTTGTCACCTCTCTGTGCTAGCTTCCCCACCGACGTGATTGGTATAGCTCCCTGCTCAGATTGTAATGAGCATGCAATGAGAGAAGGCTACTGGCACATAGTACGTGCTCAACAAAAATGACACATGGGGAAAGTGAGAGAAGTGCAGGGCTGCTCTGGGGCCCTGTACAAGATTCCCATTTGTCAGTGAAGGGAGGAGCGGAAGAGGCTGGGAGTGGGTCTGAGAAGTACACAATGGGAAGTGGGACAAGAGTTGGAAGCCCCGTGGGAGCCGGCGGGACCAGGTGCCTCTCTTCTGCAGCTGAAGTTCCTCCGCAGGTGGCGTGGACGCCGAGACCTCTGCCCTGGGGTACTTTATCACGCCCTGTGTGGGCATCCTCATGTCCATCGTGTGTTACCTGAGCCTGCCTCACCTGGTGAGCCTGCTGTTGGGCTCGAGGCCCCACCTCAAAGCATCTTGGATAGAGTCCTGAGCCTGAGGCCCTGAGAGAGGCCAGGGGAGGTGGAGGAGACCTGGTCTCAGCCCTGACCCCCAGAGAAGACACTGAGGGGCCCCAGCCTCCAGGCCAATGGTATGGGGAGGGATCCAGACACCTCAGGCAAGCCAGGCAGGCCCAACACTTTCCTGTCCTTCTGCAGAAGTTTGCCCGCTACTACCTGGCCAATAAATCATCCCAGGCCCAAGCTCAGGAGCTGGAGACCAAAGCTGAGCTCCTCCAGTCTGGTAAGCCCTGAGACCCTCCTGGGGAGGTGGGAGATGCAGAGGAAGCTAGAGCCACCTCCCCTGGGAAGCTGTTCCATCTGTTCCCAGCCAGAGCCCACCCCTAGTAGCCTTGTGCAAACAGGAAGATCATGAAGGGAAGTTGGTAGGATTAAAGTCATCCCTGCTGTTGTTTGGGCCTCAGTTTCCACCTCTATAAAATGGGGAGGCGACAGAGGTTCCATGCATGCAAACTTTGGATCCGAAGACCTCTGAATTGGAATACTAGTTTCACAACATCCCAGCTGTGTGGCCTGAGACAAACCACTTAGCCACTGCACCCCTCTGAACCTCAATGTGTCATTTGTAAAGCAATGGTAATGAGATAATCCATCTAAGGTGCTTCGCTCATCACCCGACCCATGCACGCGCTTCCTGGTAGCTATGCATATTTCCATCATGAATTCCCTTCGCCTGCAGCCTCAGCTTAGGCTGGAGGAAGATCACCTTTTTTTGTTTTGGGGTGAGGGGGTTGTTGTTATTTTGAGTCAGGATCTCACTCTGTCACCTAGGCTGCACTGCAGTGCTATCACAACTCAACTGCAGCCTCGACCTCCTGGGCTCAAGTGAGCCACCTCAGTCTCCCGAGTAGCTGGGACTATAGGTGCAGGCTGCCATGCCCGGCTAATTTTTTTATTTTTGTAGAAATGGGGATTCACCATGTTGCCCAGGCTGGTCTCGAACTCCTGGGCTCAAGCAATATGCCCGCCTCGGCCTTCCAAAATGTTGGGATTACAGGCGTGAGCCACCATGCTGAGCTGAGGATCACTTGTTTTAACTGCTGGGAATCTCCCTTCGTTGGGCCTGGCTGTCGGGAAACCTGGGTCACAAGCATGACCCTTCCCCGTCCCCCCTCACCCCAGATGAGAACGGGATTCCCAGTAGTCCCCAGAAAGTAGCTCTGACCCTGGATCTTGACCTGGAGAAGGAGCCGGAATCAGAGCCAGATGAGCCCCAGAAGCCAGGAAAACCTTCAGTCTTCACTGTCTTCCAGAAGGTTTGGCTTGGATACAGCCCCCAACCACCATCTTTGGGGAAGAATGGGGCTCACATTGACTCCAAGGTCATAGGGTCACAGTGGGTCAGGGACACAGCTGGGCCAGGCCCCAAGTGTCCTGCTCCCACATGGGGCTTGGGCAAGAGGGTGGGGCCCTGGGACTGCCCTGCCTGCTCACACCCCTGCCTCTGGCTCCCAGATCTGGCTGACAGCGCTGTGCCTTGTGTTGGTCTTCACAGTCACCCTGTCCGTCTTCCCCGCCATCACAGCCATGGTGACCAGCTCCACCAGTCCTGGGAAGTGGAGTGAGTGTCAGGGTGGAGAAGACGGCAGGGCAGGGGGTACAAAGGGGAGAGGACGGGAGAGGGGAGTTGGAGACCAGTATGAGCTGCAGCCGTTTCCCTCCCAGGTCAGTTCTTCAACCCCATCTGCTGCTTCCTCCTCTTCAACATCATGGACTGGCTGGGACGGAGCCTGACCTCTTACTTCCTGTGGGTAAGCACACCAGGGCTGGGTGATCCGATGTTTTAGGAAGCAGTTTGGGATCCGAGGGCTTGAAAGAGCATGGAGGTGATTTTCTGGTAGTCCAAATGGCCTGGTAATGCAACCACTGGCCAAGCAGCAGGGAGCACTTGGGCCCTGGAGGCGTGCAGGCCAGGGCTTGCACTGTGAGCTCCCTGAAAGCAAAAATCATGTCCAGCTGACCTCTGTGTCCCCAGCATCCAGCCTTTGCTGCTCAGAGAATGTTACATGGAGGTTCCTGCACCAGGTGAGGGACTGAGCAAGAGTCTTAGTTTTGGGGTTGGTTTTAGCCATGGTACTGTATCTTTAAATGAAATCTTCCAAAGAGACAATACATAACGCAGGTGAAAGAGGAGCTGGTCTCATCCAAGTCAGGACAGGAGCTGATCTACAGCTTCCAATCCCACTCAGAAACCCCATCTGCCCCCAAGGGGGTCTGTGGAACCACCAGTGGGTGCTCTGAGGAACCGAGTACGTAAACTGTAGATGCGGTGGAGAGCACAAGCTGGAGCCTGGGAGAGGCAGAGGTGAGCCCCAGGCCAGTCCCTGATTTCTGGGTGGACTTGGCCCAGGCCCCAGTGCTGGGTCCTCCCTCACTGGCTCACAAGGTAGGTCAGGTCAGAGGAGGTCAGGGGGTGACAGATGGGTCTATCCTATGGGTGGGCCAGGCGTGGTGGCTCACACCTATAATCCTAGCACTCTGGGGCTGGACGCGGTGGCTCACACCTGTAATCCCAGCACTCTGGGAGGCCGAGGCGGGTGGATCACGAGGTCAGGAGTTCGAGACCAGCCTGGCCAACATGGTGAAACCCCGTCTCTACTAAAAAGATAACAATTAGCAGGTGTGGTGGTGCACACCTGTAATCCCAGGGAGGCAGAGGCTGCAGTGAGCCGAGATCGCACCACTGCTCTCCAGCCTGGGAGACAGAGCGAGACTCTGTCTCAAAAACAAACAAACAAAAAAACCCCTAAAATCCGAGCACTTTGGGAGGCCAAGGCAAGAGGATCGCTTGAGCTCAGGAGTTCAAAACCAGCCTGGGCAACACAGTGAGACTTTGTCTGTACACACACACACACACAAATTTTTAATGAAAAAAATAGAGGCCGGGTATGGTGGCTCACGCCTGTAATCCCAGCACTTTGGGAGGCTGAGGCAGGTGGAACACTCGAGGTCAGAAGTTCGAGACCAGCCTGGCCAACATGATGAAACCTGGCTCTACTAAAAATATAAAAATTATCTGGGCATGGTGGTGGCAGGCGCCTATAGTCCCAGCTACTCAGGAGGCTGAAGCAGGAGGATTTCTTGAACCCAGGAGGTGGAGGTTGCAGTGAGCTGAGATCAGGGCCACTGCACTCCAGCCTGGGCAACAGAGCGAGACTCCATCTAAAAAAAAAAAAAAAAAAAGTACTCTATGGGTGTCCTGAGATGCCCTGGAGCAGAGACCTGGCTCCAGGGACCATGCTGACTTCAGCTTCTACCACAGCCAGACGAGGACAGCCGGCTGCTGCCCCTGCTGGTCTGCCTGCGGTTCCTGTTCGTGCCCCTCTTCATGCTGTGCCACGTGCCCCAGAGGTCCCGGCTGCCCATCCTCTTCCCACAGGATGCCTACTTCATCACCTTCATGCTGCTCTTTGCCGTTTCTAATGGCTACCTGGTGTCCCTCACCATGTGCCTGGCGCCCAGGTCCGGGGCAATGGGGTGGGGTGGGGGGCTGGGAGTAGGGAGGTGGGTTCAGTCTTTGGGAAGGGACCGCCTGCAATGGAGGGACGGCCCATCCTGCTTCTGGCCAGCCCAACCCTAGCTGTCTGCAGGCCTTGCTGGCGCCCCCTACTGGGCCAAGCCTTAACTGCAGGGGAGAGAACTGGGCTAGGGAGGTACCCGCCCAACCAAGTAGCCCAGGCACTGGTTCTGGGGCCGCCTCAATGTGCCTCAGTTTCCCCATCTGTAAAAAAAAATGGGTTGAACTGTCATCCCTCAGGGCCCATCTAACTGTAAAATTCTCAGTTGAAGGAGAGCTAAGGTTTTGACCAAAAACAAGGTCATGGGCTATTTCCTCAAGGGGCAATGGAGTGGAGAATCCAGAGAGAATGAAGCTGGCAGGGCAGACAGGCTGAGAGCACTGTGGAAAGGGCAGGCTGTGGAATCTGGAATCCCATCATGTTAGACTCAGAGGCCCTGAGAGACATCCTTATCCAGCAGCCTCATTTACAGACCAGGAAACTGAGGCCCGGAAAGAAGGGGCCAGTTATGGTGACAGAGGGGTTGGGTCAGAGCCCAGACTGGATGGGCAGAGGGCAGTGGAGCTGGGTCCAGATTTAGACCCAGCATTTTCTAAGAGCTCCTGTTCCCGGGTGTTCTAGGCAGGTGCTGCCACACGAGAGGGAGGTGGCCGGCGCCCTCATGACCTTCTTCCTGGCCCTGGGACTTTCCTGTGGAGCCTCCCTCTCCTTCCTCTTCAAGGCGCTGCTCTGAAGTGGCCCCTCCAGGCTCTTTGGCAGCCTCTTCTCGACGTCTCCTTCCGGAGCTGAGATCCAGCCCAGGGCGAATGGCGAGCTTGGCTCAGGCCTCTGCGGGGTGGAGGCCCCTGGGCCTGAGGCTGCCAGCAGCGGGCAGGAGCTGCTCTTCATCCACTTGGAGTGCTGTGGGGAAGAAATCACCACCGGTCATTCTAACCCTCACCCAGGAATGGGGGTGACTCGCACAAGACCTCATGGAAAGGGTGATGACTAGGGAAAAGAGGGTGCAGGGCACGGCTGCTCCCCACCACCAGGTCTGCATTTGTTCATCATCATCAGGAGCAGAGGTGACCAGAGGGTTCAGAGTGGGAGGCGGGGCCAGCCCAGGCCAGGAGCGCCTCATCTTCCCAGGCCTCAGCCACCCAGGGTAAAAGGTGCCAGGGAAGTTGTGGGCACCTGAGAGGAGGAACAGATGTGGAGGACCTGAGGGTGCTCAAAGGGCCAGGCTCAGCCTCAAGCAGTGTTTTCATTGCCAACACTTACTGTACCCACTCCGCAGAGCCCAGCTGGGCCTGGGCCCCAGGGCCACAGCTAGCCTGCATGTGTGTACTGCACTTTACAGTTTGCAAAGCTCTTCCATACCCACTCTCTCACCGAAGCCTAATTGAGGCTCTTGGAAGGAGTCAGGCAAGGATTGTGCTTCCCCCATTATACAGGTGACAAAACTGAGTCCTGGGGAAAGTGACTGGTCCGTGGTAGAGCCGGGACCCAATCCCCTCTCTCTCCTCCCTGTTGGTGCTGTTCTTCCTGCCCAACACCTGTTTCTCTTTTCCTCAAGGGGTTTGGGGCAGGAGCCTGGGCACTTACTCCCCGTTTTTGCTGTTTCTCCTTCTGACCCTGCTCTTGGGTCTAATAACCCCATTTATTTGTATGATGCGTTCACCAAGTCTTTATTTCCGAAGTGCTGTTGGCTCTATTGGCCTCAGTGAACTGGGTGGGGTCGGAAAGATTGTACCCCCTTGACAGGTGGGATGACTGAGGCCCTGAGAGGGGTAGGGATTGGTGGGCATCTCTGTGCTGGGTCCTCTGGACCACATGATAGCTGGGGGGTACTGACCTGCAAGGAATCCTGAGCTCCTGGGCAGAGCACCTAGTTGGATGGACAACTATTGCTCTCCCACTCCATGAGCCCCTGGGCTCTCACCAGCATCCTCTGCCTCCCCAGGATAGCTCCTCCTTGGAAATCTGGCCTTAGAGAGGCAGTCAGTGTGGGCAGGGCTTTGGCGACCCCACCAATTCTACACACGGATGGAGGAAAGGCCTGCTTCACCACACACCTATACTACCCTGCCCGTCCCAGAGAAAAGCAAGGGTTTTCTGCCCACCTGCCTTTGTGAACATTCACTGAGCACCTATTAGATATTAGGTGCTCAGCCAGCACAGGGTACCTGCTCAGAAGCCAGGGGCTTTTTGGCATCAAGGAGGAAGACAGGCAAGATATGACCTTGGTTGCTGAAATAAGCCACAGGGCAGACCCCAAGGAAGGATTCATTCCTTTGAGCACTGTTCACAGACAGCTGCCCCGAGCCAGGCCCTGCCTGGTCTGGAGACTTTGAAACAAAGGAGACACAGTCCCCGCTCCCAAGGCCACAGGAAGCCAAATATAACTTGTGATACGTCTTGTGAGGGCCCTGCAGAAGCATGTCGAGGGAGCCACTGATTCCACCTGAGAAGTCAGGGCAGCCATTCCAGAGGAGGTATTTCCCCAGCTGGGCCCTGAGGGATGAATATGAGTTTGCTAGTCTGAGGTGGAGGAGGAGCAGAAGCAGAGAAGCCACAGAGGAGTTGATCCCAGCAGTCCAGCGGGGAGGTGATGGGGCCTAGACAGTGGCTTAGAGAGGACGACTGATACAGGAGATATGAGGGAGACTGCCTCTATGGAGGCCAGCTAACCTCGTGGATAAGTGCATGCATGCTGAGCCAGAGTCCTAGGTCAAATCCAGGCCCTTTTCTTTATGACCTGCCTGAGCTAGAGTCCTGGAGTGAGGTTGGAACTAAAGTACCACCTCTGATGATATTAGGGAAACGGTTGTTGGAGTCTTGGAGTCTCTTGCAAGACCAATAGGCCTACTTGTGCTCTCTGGGACTGTTGGAGGCAGGACCCCAACACTTGCTGAGTCTCCTTCTCCTCTACCTTCAGAGGAGAGTACAACTGTTGTCCGTTGTACCTAAAAGCTCCCTAGAAGCCAGGCGCGGTGGCTCACATAATCCCAGCACTTTGGGAGGCTGAGGCAGGTGGATCACCTGAGGTCGGGAGTTTGAGACCAGCCTGACCAACATGGAGAAACCCCATCTCTACTAAAAATACAAAATTAGCCGGGCGTAGTGGCGCATGCCTGTAATCCCAGTACTTGGGAGACTGAGGCAGGAGAATCGCTTGAATCCGGGAGGCGGAGGTTGCAGTGAGCCGAGATCGTGCCACTGCATTCCAGCCTGGGCAATAGGAGCGAAATTCTGCCTCAAAGAAAAAAAAAAAAAAAGCTCCCTAGACCTGCCAGATCCACCTGGGACCAGGAAGGCAGACACCCACCTGCCCACCTCCCAGGCCAGACAGTCCCAGGAAACCCACTGGGGCCACCCGTCACCCACAGCAAGCCCAGGTTCGGGCTGGGCAGTGGAGGATGGGGCCCAAAAAGAGGACACTTACCCCTCAGGATCATGATGTCACAACCTGGGATTCCGTCTTCCCATCCTCCTTCCCAGTAGACCCAGCACAACTTCATCAGCTCAGGGTGCAGGGGCTTTGATGTTGGAAACAAATTCTTGGACTGGTTGGCTACACCTGCCTGCCCCTCGCCTGATGCCTAGTCCCCAGCTACTGCTGCCTGCCCACCCTGTTACAGCTCTGCCGACAGGCCCGGATTCCCACAGAAGCAGCCAGTTTCCATCAGCAAACACTCGCACTGCACAGGGCACTGAGCTGGGCTCAGTGGAGACAGACATCCTTACCCTCAAGTTGCTGACCCTTTTATGGAAGAGGAGACTGGTAGTTAGAATTATACTACGTGAGGCCAGGCATGGTGGCTCACACCTGTAATCCCAGCACCTTGAGAGGCCAAGGTGGGCGGATCACTTGAGGTCAGGAGTTTGAGACCAGCCTGGCCAACATGGTGAAACCTGGTCTATACTAAAAAAATACAGAAATCAGCCGGGAATGGTGGCAGGCGCCTGTAATCCCAGCTACCTGGGAGGCTGAGGCAGGAGAATCACTGGAACCCGGAAGGTGGAGGCTGCAGTCAGCCGAGATTGCGCCACTGCACTCCAGCCTGGGTGACAGAGCAAGATCATCTCAAAAAAAAAAAAAAAAAAAGAATTCTACTACATGAAAAGCATTTGACATTTGTGATCTGCTTTTCCACCTGCCTCAACATGCCACATGTTGTCAGAGTTTGGCCCCTTTTGAGTGGCCCCAGAGGCCCCCCTACCTAACCCTCACGCCCTGCTTTGTATGGGAATGGCATCTCTAGCCAGGGCTGACTGGACCAGGGCTGGGGTCTGAGCAATGGCAGCCACTCACTGACTGGCCAGCAGCCTATGAGGTGGCCCGGTCCAGCTTCCCTGATGAGAGGAACCAATCAGATCATCTCTCTTGGGAGAATGAAGCCACAACATGAGTGGGGGTTGTCTCGAGGTTACTGGCACATTAGAAGGAATAGGTCATAGGCAGGGTCAAGGTCACAGGCAGGGTCAACAACATAATAGAATGGGGAATTGCTTTGTGGTCACTAGAGTCATCATGATATCCTAGATGGAGCCAGGTGGCATCCTTGTTCTTCTTGCTCTCTTTCTTTCTTCTCAAGGTTTCTTGAACAAACTACTGTTGACTGAGGTCACCTGGCTAGACTCCCCCTTATTTATTTATTTTTTTTGAGATAAGAGTCTTGCTCCATCACCCAGGCTTGAGTGCAGAGGTGCGATCTCGGCTCACTGCCACCTCCGCCTCCTGGGTTCAAGTTATTCCTCAGCCTCCTGAGTAACTGGGATTACAGATACGTGCCATGATGCCCGGCTAATTTTTTTGTATTTTTAGTAGAGATGGGGTTTCACCATGTTGGCCAGGCTGGTCTTGAACTCCTGACCTCAAGTGATCTGCCCGTCTTGGCCTCCCAAAGTGTTGGGATTACAGGCATGAGCCACTGCACCCGGCCTGGACTCCCTTTTCATTGCAGCCCCAGAGTTTGTGAAGTAGAAGCCCTGCGCACTACCACATTTTACAGATGAATAAACTGAGGTTCCATGGGGCTCAATATTAATAGAATGTAAGCAAAAGTAGTAAAACAGACAGCTCCAAGGGCCTGTGCCTTAAAAAAAAAAAAAAAACGGAAAACATGAGCAACGACTGTTGGAACAACCTTTGTCGGAACTCTGGAAAATAATCAAAGATTTACAACAACCAAGCAAGTGCTGAATCAAGAAAGTGGCAACTTAATATAATGAGAGTTTTGCAGTATTTTACCTGCCCTTGCCCCATTTCCCTTCTGAGTTAGTGGTGGTGTGAAGATGGCATTCCCATTGTGGGACCCTAGCCTTTGGTTCTCAAGGGAGCAAAGCAGACTTTGTTCTCAAAGGATTGTATCTATTAGTTCCGACCTGTCTGGGGACTACCTAAAGAATGGATGCCAGACATTCGCTTTTGTTTTGCCTGACTCAGAAATCTCTCAAGATGGAAAAGCTTCTACTTAAGAGGACAGTTCTCCAAAACACTGAAAGGCAAATTAACAAACCTCTGCTGTCCAGAGCAAAGATTACAGTTTACATGAACAACAGACAAGCTGAAAGGTTGTAAGGAAAAGGTGGGGAGACATTCTCTGGGGAACTGAAAAGCTCCCTCAAATATGAGGGAATTGAGAAAGCCATATACATGCAGGGCAAGATGCATGCTCATAAAAGACTCAAGAAGTCCAGGTGTGGTGGCTCACACCTGTAATCCCAGCACTTTGGAAGGCCAAGGCGGGAGGATCCCTTGAGGCCAGGAGTTCGAGACCAGCCTGGGCAACATAGCAAGACTCCGTCTCCACAAAAATAAAAATAAAATAAAATAAAATAGCAAGACACATGGTGGTACATGCCTGTAGTCTTAGGTACTTGGAAGGCTGAGGCAGGATAATCATTTGAGGCCAGGAGTTCAAGCCTGCAGCAAGTTGTGACTGCACTGCTATACTTCAGTCTGGGCAACAGAACAAGACCCTATCTTTTAAAAAAGGAAGGCATTAATGGAGGAAATGAGGAACGAAAAGATACAAGACGTAGAAAACAAATAGCAAAATGGCACAAGTAAGTCTTTCCTTATCAGTAATTACTTTTTTTTTTTTTTTAAACAGAGTCTCACTCCGTCGCTCAGGATGGAGTACAGTGGTGTGATCTCGGCTCACTGCAACCTCCGCTTTCTAGGTTCAAGCAATTCCCCTGCCTCAGTTTCCCAAGTACCTGGGACTACAAGTGTGCACCACCACACCCGGCTACTTTTTGTATTTTTATTAGAGACGGGGTTTCACCATGTTGGTCAGACTGGTCTTAAACTCCTGGCCTCAAGTGATGTGCCCACCTTGGCCTCCCAAAGTGCTGGGATTACAGGCGTGAGCCACTGCGCCCAGCCTCAGTAATTACTTGAAATGGAATTGACTCAACTCTCCAATTAAAAGGCAAGATTGTCAGAATGGATTTAAAAAAATTTTTTTTTTAGAGGCAGGATCTCTCTGCCCAGGCTGGTCTCAAACTCCTAGAGCTCAAGCAATCCTCCTGCCTCAGCTTCCCAAAGTGCTGGGATTATAGGTATAAACCACCGTGCCTGGCTCAAGAATGGATTTTAAAAATGATTCAACTAGGGCCGGGCGCAGTGGCTCACGCCCGTAATCCCAGCACTTAATTTTTTTGTTTGTTTTTTTCTTTTTGAGACGGAGTCTCGCTCTGTCGCCCAGGCTGGAGTGTAGTGGCGCGATCTCGGCTCACTGCAAGTTCCGCCTCCCGGGTTCACGCCATTCTCCTGCCTCAGCCTCTTGAGTAGCTGGGACTACAGGCGCCCGCCACCACGCCCGGCTAATTTTTTGTATCATTTTTAGTAGAGATGGGGTTTCACCATGTTGGCCAGGATGGTCTCGATCTCCTGACCTCATGATCCACCCGCCTCAGCCTCCCAAAGTGCTGGGATTACAGGCATGAGCCACTGCGCCCCGCCAATCCCAGCACTTTAGAAGGCTGAGGCGGGCGGATCACCTGAGGTTGGGAGTTCGAGACCAGCCTAACCAACATGGGGAAACCCCATCTCCACTAAAAATACAAAATTAGCCAGGCATGGTGGCGCATGCCTGTAATCCCAGCTACTTGGGAGGCTGAGGTAAGAGAATCGCTTAAACTCGGGGGGTGGAGGTTTCAGTGAGCCAAGATGGCACCATCGCACTCCAGCCTGGGCAACAAGAGCGAAACTCCGTCTCAAAAAAAAAAAAAATGATTCAACTGGGATTACAGTGGCTCACGCCTGTAATCCCAGCACTTTGGGAGGTCAAGGAGGGCAGATTACTTTAGCCCAGGAGCTTGAGACCAACCCAGGTAACATGGCAAGACCTCATGTCTACACAAAAAATTTAAAAATTAGGCACACATGGTGGCGTGCGCCTTTAGTCCCAGCTACTCAGGAGGCTGAAGTGGAAGGATTGATTGAGCCTAGGCAGTAGAGGCTACAGTAAGCCGTAATTGTGCCATTGCACTCCAGCCTAGGTGACAGAGCAAGACCCTGTCTCAAAATTAATTAATTAAACAAAAAGTGATTCAACTATAAACTGTCTATAAGAGACTCACTTTAGATCCAAAACCACAACAGACATATATAGAATACTCTACCTATAAACAAAAGAATATATAACCTCAAGTGCTTGTGAAATATTCTCCAGGACAGATCCTATGTTAGGTCACGAAACAGTCTCAATAAATTTTAAAAGACTGAAATCATATAAAGGGTCTTTTCTGATCACAGTGGAATGAAACTGGAAATCAACAACAGAAGAAAAGCTGGAAAATTCACAGATACGTAAAAATTAAACAACATATTCTTAAAAATTAATGAGTCAAAGACATCAAAAGGGAAATTAGGAAATACTTTGAGATAAATGCAAACGAAAATACAACATAGCAAAACTTGCAGGATGCAGTAAGAGCAGTGCTTAGAGGGAAATTTATAGCTATAAATGCCTACGTTAAAAAAGAAGATCTCAGAACAATAACCTGACTTTAGAACTTAAGGAACTAGGGGTCAGGCGCAGTGGCTCACACTTGTAATCCCAGCACTTTGGGAGGCCAAGGTGGGCAGATCACGAGGTCAAGAGATTGAAACCATCCTGGGCAACATGGTGAAATCCTGTCTCTTCTAAAAATACAAAAATTAGCTGGTCGTGGTGGCACACCCCTGTAGTCCCAGCTACTTGGGAGGCTGAGGCAAGAAAATCACTTGAACGCGGGAGGTGGAGGTTGCAGTGCAGTGAGCCGAGATTGCACCACTGCACTCCAGCCTGGCAACAGAGCAAGACTCCGTCTCAAAAATAAATAAATAAATAAATAACTTAAGGAACTAGTAAAAGAAGAGCAAACTACACTCAAAGGTAGCAGAAGGAAAGAAATACTAAAGATTAAAGACAAACAAAATGGAGGGAAAAAAGCAATAGAGAAAATTAATGAAACCAAAAGTTGGTTCTTTGAAACGATCAACAAAACTGACACACCTTTAACTAGATTGACTAAGAAAAATAGAGAGAAGCCTTTAAGGTACTAAAATCTAATACTAAGAAATGCAAGTGGTAATATTACTACCAATTATAGGCACACCTAAAACATATTGCAGGTTTGGTTTCAGACCACTGCAATAAAGCAAATATTGCAATAACTTGGGGTTTCCCGGTGCATATAAAAGTTATGCTTGGCCGGGCGCGGTGGCTCATGCCTGTAATCCCAGCACTTTGGGAGGCGAGGCGGGTAGATCAACTGAGGTCAGGAGTTTGATACCAGCCTGACCAACATGGTGAAACCCTGTCTCTTCTAAAAATACAAAAATTAGCTGGGCGTGGTGGCAGGTGCCTGTAATCCCAGCTACTCGGGAGGCTGAGGCAGGAGAATTGCTTGAATCAGGGAGGCGGAGGTTGCAGTGAGCTGAGATCGCAGGATTGCACTCCAGCAAGACTCTGTCTCAAAAAAAAAAGTTATGCTTATGCTACATTGTAGTCTATTAAGTATGCAATAGCATTGTGTCTAAAAAACAATGTATATACCTTAATTAAAAATATTTATTGTGGCTGGGTGCGGTGTCTCACACCTGTAATCCCAGCACTTTGGGAGGCCATGGTGGGCTAGGGCAGATCACCTGAGGTCAGGAGTTTGAGACCAGCCTGGCCAACATGGAGAAACCCCGTCTCTACTAAAAATACAAAAATTAGCTGGGCATGGTGATGCGTGCCTGTAATCTCAGCTACTCGGGAGGCTGAGGCAGGAGAATCACTTGAACCTGGGAGGTGGAGGTTGCAGTGAGCTGAGATCTCGCCACTGCACTCCAGCCTGGGCAACAGAGCAAGACTCCATCTCAAAAGAAAAAAGAAAAAAAAAAAACCTTATTGCTTAAAAATGCTAGTGATCACCGGAACCTTCAGTAAGTCATAATCCTGAAACCTTTAGCAAGTTGTAATCTTTTTGCTGGTGGAGGGTCTTGCCTCGATGTTGATAGCTGCTGACTGATCAGGATGGTAGTTGCTGAAGATGGGGGTGGCTGTGCCAATTTCTTAAAATAAGGCAACGATGAAATTTGCTGCACTGATTGATCCTTTCATGCAAGATTTCTCTCTAACATGCGATGCTGTTTGATAACATTTTACCCACAGTAGAAGTTCTTTCAAAATTAAAGTCAATCCTCTCAAATCCTACAGCTACTTTATCAATTAAGTTTACATAATATTCTAAATCCTTGTTGTCATTTATCAATGTTCACCGCATCCTTGCCAGGAGTAGATTCTATCTGAAGAAACCACTTTGATGATCCAGAAGAAGCAACTCCTCATCCATTCAAGTTTTCTCATGATATCGCAGCAATTCAGTTACATCTTCAGACTCAACTTCTAATTCTAGTTCTCTTGCTATTTCCATCATATTTGCAGTTACTTCCTCCACTGAAGTCTTGAACCCTTCAAAGTCATCAGCGTATTCCAAGGTCTCCAGTGCAGTGGCATGATCATGGCTCACTGCAGCCTAGACCTCTGGGTTCAGGTGATTCTCCCGCCTCAGCCTCCTGAGTAGCTGGGACTACAGGTATGCGCCACCATGGCTGGCGATTTTTTTGTATTTTTAGTAGAGACGGGGTTTCGCCATGTTGCCCAGGCTGTTCTCAAACTCCTGGGCTCAAGGGGATCTGCCTGCCTTGGCCTCTTGAAGTGCTGGGATTACAAGCGTGAGTCACGACGCTCGGCCTCACTTTCTTATCTTTTGTGTGTTCACTGGGGTAGCACTTTTAATTCCTTCAAGAACTTTTCCTTTGCATTCACAACTTGGCTGACCATTTGGCACAAGAGGCCTAGCTTTCAGCCTATCACAGTGTTTACCATGCCTTCCTCACTATGTGTAATCATTTCTAGCTTTTGATTTAAAATGAGAGAAGTGCAACTCTTCCTTTCACTTGAACACTTAGAGGCCAACATAGAATTATCAGCCTAATTTCAATATTTTTGTGTTTCAGGAAATAGGGAGGTATGAGGAAGGGGAGAACAGTCAGTCGGTGGAGCAGTCAGCACACACACAACACTTACTGATTTTTTTTTTTTTTTGAGACGGAGTTTCGCTCTGTCACCCAGGCTGGAGTGCAGTGGCACGATCTCGGCTCACTGCAAGCTCTGCCTCCCGGGTTCATGCCATTCTCCTGCCTCAGCCTCCTGAGTAGCTGGGACTACAGGAACCCGCCACCTTCAATCTGTAAAAAAAAAAAAATGCAATTATCTGTGACGTGCAATAAACCAAAGTGCAATAAAGTGAGGTATGCCTGGCTGGGCGTGGTGGCTCACGCCTGTAATCCCAGCACTTTGGGAGGCGGAGGGGGGTGGATCACAAGGTTAGGAGATTGCAACCATCCTGGCTAACAGGATGAAACCCCGTTTCTACTAAAAATACAAAAAAATTAGCCAGGCGTGGTGGCAGGCACCTGTAGTCCCAGCTACATGGGAGGCTGAGGCAAAAGAACGGCGTGAACCCGGGAGGTGGAGCTTGCAGTGAGCCTAGATTGCACCACTGTACTCCAGCCTGGGCAACAGAGCGAGACTCCATCTAAAAAAAAAAAAAAAAAGTGAGGTATGCCTTTACCCAGAAGTAAAAAGGACTATAAGAGAATACTATGAATAACTGTATGCTAACAAATCAGATGAAATGGACAAATTCCTGAAAACACACAAACTACCAAAACTGATGCAAGAAGAAACAGGAAATCTGAACAGACCTATAACAAGTAACCAGATTTAATCTGTAATCAAAAACCTCCCAACAAAGAAAATCCCAGGACCAGATGGCTTCACAAGTGAATTCTACCAATCACTTAAAGAATTAACATCAATCCGGCTGGGCGCGGTGCCTCATGCCCGTAATCCCAGCACTTTGGGAGGCGGATGAGGGCAGATCACCTGAGGTCAGGAGTTTGAGACCAGCCTGCAACATGGTGAAACCTCGTCTCTAGTAAAAATACAAAAATTAGCCAGGCATGGTGGCGCACACCTGTAATCCCAGCTACTCTGGAGGCTGAGACGGGAGAATCGCTGGAACCCAGGAGGCAGAGGTTGCAGTGAGCCGAGATCATGCCACTGCACTCCAGCCTGGGTGACAGAGCGAGACTCTGTCACAAACAAAACAAAACAAAACAAAACAAAAAGAATTAACAACAATCCTATAACAGTGTAGTGTGCAAAGTAAAAAGAAATTTACAACAATCCTTCTCAAACTCTTCCAAAAAATAGAAAACACTTTACAACTCATTCTATGTGACCTGAGGCCAAACTAATATACAGACCATCCCAAGAAAACTACAGACCGTATCTCATATGAATATAGATGCAAAAATCCTCCACAAAATACTAGCAAACCTAACCCAGCAACATATTAACAGAATTATACACCATGACCAAGTAGGAATTATTCCAGAAATGCAAGATTGTTTAACATACAAAAATCAATCAGTGTGGCCGGGCACGGTGGCTCACCCTGTAATCCCAGCACTTTGGGAGGCTGAAGCAGGTGGATCACTTGAGGTCAGGAGTTTGAGACCAGCCTAGACAACATGGTGAAATCCGTCTCTACTAAAAATACAAAAAATATTAGCTGGCTGTGGTGGTGCACACCTGTAATCCCAGCTAGTCAGGAAGCTGAGGCAGGAGAATCACTTGAACCTGGGAGGTAGAGGTTGCCATGAGCCAAGATCGCGCCACTCACTCCAACCTGGGTGACAGAGCGAGACTCCATCTCAAAAAAAAAAAAAAAAAAGAAAGGCTGGGTGTGGTGGCTCATGCCTGTAATATCAGCACTTTGGGAGACCGAGGCGGGCAGATCACTTGAGGTCAGGATTTCAAGACCAGCCTGGCGAACATGGTGAAACGGCATCTCTACTAAAAAATACAAAAATTAGCCAGGCATGATGGCGCATGCCTGTAATCCCAGCTACTCCGGAGGCTGAGGCATGAGAATAACTTGAACCCAGGACGCAGAGGTTGCCGTGAGCCAAGATCGCTCCACTGCACTCCAGCCTGGGAAACAGAGCAAGAACGTCTCAAAAAAAGAAAAAGAAAATCAATCAATGTAATACACCACATTAATAGAATGAAGAGGAAACACCAAGTGATCACCTCAATTTATGAACAAAAAGCAAGTGACAAAATCCAACACGCTTTCAAGATAAAAAGCATGTGACAAAGTCCAACACTCGTTCAAGATAAAAAGCATGTGACAAAGTCCAACACTCGTTCAAGATAAAAATGCTGAATAAACAAGGAATAGGTGGAAACTTCCTTCACCTGATAAAGGGCATTTATGAAAAATCCACAAATAACATCATACTTAATGGCGAAAGACCTAAAGCCTTCCCCCAAAGATCAGGAACAAGAGAAGGATACGTGGTTTCACCGTTTCATCTCCTCAACATTGTACTAGAAGTTCTAGCTAGAGCAATTTGGCAAGAAATGAACTTCTGCACTGGGGTGGGAAAAAAAATGGCAAGAAAAAGAAACAAAAGTTAACCAAACTGAAAAAGAGGTAAAACTATTCATAGTCACAGATGACATAATATATACATATATAGAAAATCCTAAGGAATACATGCATACACACAGAGACACACACACACACACACACAGACACGTACACACATACACAAACTTTTAGAGCTAATAAAGTCAGCAAAGTTGCAGAATTCAAGATTAACACACAATAGCCTGGCTCAGTGGCTCGTGCCCGTAATCCAAGCACTTTGGGAGGCTGAGGTGGGTGGATCACTCGAGGTCAAGAGTTCAAGACCAGCTTGGCCAACATGGTGAAACCCTGTCTCTACTAAAAATATAAAAATTAACTGGGTGTGGTGGCGCACGCCTGTAGTCCCAGCTACTAGAGAGGCTGAGGCAGGAGAATCACTTGAACCTAAGAGGCGGAGGTTGCAATGAGGTGAGATCACTCCACTGCACTCCAGCCTGGGAGACAGAGTGAGACTCTGCCTCAAAAAAAAAAAAAAAAAGTTAACACACAAAATTCTGGTTGGGCACAGTGGCTCATGCCTGTAATCCTACCACTTTGTGACGCTGAGGCAGGTGGATCACCTGAGGTCAGGAGTTTGAAACCAGCCTAGCCAACATGGCAAAACCCCGTCTCTACTAAAAATACAAAAATTAGCCGGGTGTGGTGGCATGCACCTGTAGTCCCAGCTACTCGGGAGGTTGAAGCTGGAGAATTGCTTGAACCCGGGGGGCAGACGTTGCAGTCAGCCAAGATCGCGCCACTTCACTCGAGCCTGGGTGAAAGGGCGAAACTCCATCTCAAAACAACAACAACAACAACAAAAATTCAGTTATATTTCTATACACTAACAATGAACAACGTGAAAAGGAAATTAAGAAAACAACTCCATTTACAATAGGATACAAAAGAATAAAATACCTAGGAAAAAATTAACCCAGGAAGTAAAAAACTTGTCCACTGAAAATACAAACACTGGCTGAGCTTGGTAGCTCACTCCTGTAATCCCAGCACTTTGGGAGGCCGAGGTGGGCAGATCACCTGAGGTCGGGAGTTCGAGACCAGCCTGACTAACATGGAGAAACCCTAGTCTACTAAAAATACAAAATTAGCTGGGCATGGTGGTACATGCCTGTAATCCCAGCTACTCCGGAGGCTGAGGCAGGAGAATCACTTGAACCCAGGAGGCAGAGGTTGCAGTGAGCCGAGATTGAGCCATTGCACTCCAGCCTGGGCAACAAGAGCGAAACTCTGTCTCAAAATAATAATAATAATAATAGGGCTGGGCGCAGTGGCTCACACCTGTAATCCCAACACTTTGGGAGGCCAAGGTGAGTGGATCACCTGAAGTTAGGAGTTCGAGACCAGCCTGGCTAACATGATGAAACCCCATCTCTACTAAAAAATAATACAAAAAATTAGCCAGGCATGGTGGTGCACTCCTGTAATCCCAGCTACTCAGGAGGCTGAGGCAGGAGAATCACTTGAACCTAGGAGGCAAGGTTGCAGTGAGCCAAGATCGCGTCATTGCACTCCAGCCTGAGCAAGAAGAACAAAATTCTGTCTCAAATAATAATAATAATAATAAATAAAAAATAAAACACTGAGGAGGTCAAAGAAAATCCACATGGCAGCATGTCTGACTTCTGAGCCTCCAGTCTATAAGGCCTGTGCTGAAAGGATCTGCACTTACTTTTCTCCTCTTTACAGCCAAGGTCACCAGTGGAAACTCTCAAGGACAATACCTGTGTCTCCTCCAAGGCCCATCCCTCGTGCCTAACACAGTTCCTGGCAGAGACCAGGTACTCAGTGTGTGTTTTTGCTCTGGGCTGCAAAATAAAGGTTTTCTGATCACTCTTCAACTCAACAACCTTGGCACCCTACTGCCTGTGGAATAGTGGGACAAACACTTTATCCTTATTTGAAGCCCTGCCCAGTCTGTCCTGACATCCCAAGATTCAGAGCACTCTGCCCTATAGGGGCCTCCCTGGCTCAGCCTAAAAAGTTGAGTAATATACGGTAATTGATTTAGCAGTGGCAGTGTCTGCCCTTCCCACGGCCTCTCCTGTTCTAAAGAGTCCACAGATGAATTAATCCACAAATACTTATTAAGAGTATAGTGGCCTGATATTGGAATGTTCAAAGCCTTCTGCTTAAGAGTTTGTGTGCGGCCGGGCGCGGTGGCTCACACCTGTAATCCCAGCACTTTGGGAGGCCGAGGTGGGCGGATCAGGAGGTCAGGAGATCCGAGACCATCCTGGCTAACACGGTGAAACTCCGTCTCTGCTAAAAATACAAAAAATTAGCCGGGCGTGCTGCATGCGCTAGTAGTCCCAGCTACTCGGGGCTGAGGCAGGAGAATCGCTTGAACCTGGAAGGCAGAGGTTGCAGTGAGCCGAGATCGCGCCACTGCGCTCCAGCCTGGGCGACAGAGCGAGAATCCGCCTCAAAAAAAAAAAAAAAAAAAAAAAAAGAGATTGTGTGTGTTGGGGAGCAGGGCATGTGGACACAAGGTCTCCGCCCTAGGAGAAGTGCTGGAGAGTAGGACAAGTACCACTACTTCGGACGGGGAGGGCGATGCCTCCAATGGGGGGCTTCCCTGATTCCTGCAGATCATACGTTGGCCCCCAACTTCACACTGGCCAGAATCCCGGTTCTAGTCTTTTCCGTGCCACCAACCCCTGGGCCCTCTTTCTAGAAGGAAAGAAAACACCTTTGGCCTCTGCCCAGAGCTACAGACACCTGAAGTAGGAGCAGGCAGGAGATGCGTGGTGGATAAAGACCAGAGAGACTTGGGATCGAATTCCACTCTCACCCCCAGTTCAGTTTTCTTCAGCTTGCTGCTCCACAGGCAGGATGTGAAAATTTAGATGCCTCACCCCTCGCACCTCCAGCTTGCTGCTCCAAATAGGCAGGATGTGAAAATGTAGATGCTTCCCCCCCAACCTCTATAAAACAGGGCCGACGAGGATGGGATTCGAACCCACGCGTGCAAAGCACAATGGATTAGCAGTCCATCGCCTTAACCACTCGGCCACCTCGTCCTACGTGACAGGTTTGTCCACATTCACTTATCTCTCATCTACTCCGCACCTTCCAAGCACTACCACGTAAGTCGCAACGCAGACCTCTTCGGACACAGGGAAAGAAGAAGCCGCGGAAGGAAGGGAGCGTTTTGATTTCCTTTCTGCTGAGCCCGCGCCATCCTTTACCACGCTGCAGCCGAGCTCTGCCGCGGTTTCCCTCCGAGTCCGGCCGAGCGCGCCGCGCGTTCAGGGCGCGCCCGGTCCAGGGTGCGCGCGCCGGCGGGGAGGGAGAGGAGTGCGTCCCGGGAAGCCGGCGGGGCCCGGGCGGGCGGGCGTCTGCACGGCGCGCGGCCGAGCGGCGGGGCCGTGGCTCCTCCTCCCTCGTAGGGGGCGAGCCGGCGCGCCGGGGGCTGGGGGCGGTGGCGGGCGGCGGGCGGCGGGCGGCGGGCGGCGGGCGGGGCGGCGCTCGGGGCTCGGCTGGCCTCGGCTCGCCTCGGCTGCGCTCGGCAGGCTGCGGTAAATCCGGGCTTGCGGCCGCTGGCGTAGTCTGTGGCCGGGTGGTCGTTGCTGCGCGCCCCGAGCCCCGAGAGCCATGCAGATGTCCTACGCCATCCGGTGCGCCTTCTACCAGCTGCTGCTGGCCGCGCTCATGCTGGTGGCGATGCTGCAGCTGCTCTACCTGTCGCTGCTGTCCGGACTGCACGGGCAGGAGGAGCAAGACCAATATTTTGAGTTCTTTCCCCCGTCCCCACGGTCCGTGGACCAGGTCAAGGCGCAGCTCCGCACCGCGCTGGCCTCTGGAGGCGTCCTGGACGCTAGCGGCGATTACCGCGTCTACAGGGGCCTGCTGAAGACCACCATGGACCCCAACGATGTGATCCTGGCCACGCACGCCAGCGTGGACAACCTGCTGCACCTGTCGGGTCTGCTGGAGCGCTGGGAGGGCCCGCTGTCCGTGTCGGTGTTCGCGGCCACCAAGGAGGAGGCGCAGCTGGCCACGGTGCTGGCCTACGCGCTGAGCAGCCACTGCCCCGACATGCGCGCCAGGGTCGCCATGCACCTCGTGTGCCCCTCGCGTTACGAGGCAGCCGTGCCCGACCCCCGGGAGCCGGGGGAGTTTGCCCTGCTGCGGTCCTGCCAGGAGGTCTTTGACAAGCTAGCCAGGGTGGCCCAGCCCGGGATTAATTATGCGCTGGGCACCAATGTCTCCTACCCCAATAACCTGCTGAGGAATCTGGCTCGTGAGGGGGCCAACTATGCCCTGGTGATCGATGTGGACATGGTGCCCAGCGAGGGGCTGTGGAGAGGCCTGCGGGAAATGCTGGATCAGAGCAACCAGTGGGGAGGCACCGCGCTGGTGGTGCCTGCCTTCGAAATCCGAAGAGCCCGCCGCATGCCCATGAACAAAAACGAGCTGGTGCAGCTCTACCAGGTTGGCGAGGTGCGGCCCTTCTATTATGGGTTGTGCACCCCCTGCCAGGCACCCACCAACTATTCCCGCTGGGTCAACCTGCCGGAAGAGAGCTTGCTGCGGCCCGCCTACGTGGTACCTTGGCAGGACCCCTGGGAGCCATTCTACGTGGCAGGAGGCAAGGTGCCCACCTTCGACGAGCGCTTTCGGCAGTACGGCTTCAACCGAATCAGCCAGGTGCTCATAAGGGAGAGGGCAGGGGTAATGGGGCAGGAGGGGTGGTGGGATCAGGGAGTTATGAGGAGTGGCCCTGGATGGAAAGGAGGCAATGAAGCAGGAGGGATCATAGTTCAGGAGGTGGGTGGATGGTGTGGAAGATCCAGGATACTTCCAGAGGGGTGAGGACGCTGGACTGTGGCTTTAGGGAAGTCAGTCTCAGGCCTGTCAATGTCATCAAACTTTGCTAACCTGTCTTTCCTCCTGCAGGCCTGCGAGCTGCATGTGGCGGGGTTTGATTTTGAGGTCCTGAACGAAGGTTTCTTGGTTCATAAGGGCTTCAAAGAAGCGTTGAAGTTCCATCCCCAAAAGGAGGCTGAAAATCAGCACAATAAGATCCTATATCGCCAGTTCAAACAGGAGTTGAAGGCCAAGTACCCCAACTCTCCCCGACGCTGCTGAGCCCTTCCCTCCCCTAATCTGAGAAGTCAGCCTCTTGGCTCCTCAGGCCACCATTTAGGCCTGACTGGGGTAAGAAATGTCGCTCCACTTTACAGAGGTAGCTGTGGTGTTGAAACACTGGACTTGGATATGGGGTGCTGGGATCGATTCCTAGCTTTACCACTAACTAGCTGTGTGGCCTTGAGTAAATCCCGTTACCTCTCTGAGCCTCGGTTACCCTGTCTGTAAAAAGGGAGGTGAGAATACCTACCTCACGGAACTGTTGGGAGGCTCAGATGAGATGCTATATGTGAAAACATTCTGTAAGCTTCGTACAAATGTGAAGTATTAATATTATCGCAGTATTATTGTTGTTATTATTATTGTTATTATTAACAATCTTGGGTGGGTAGTAGGAGAGCAAAAAGTATGAATGGGATGGAGCTAAGAAGTCTGAATACTTAATGAAATGGACTTTTTGGAAAGAAATCAGATGAAGGCATAAAATTTAGTTCTTAGCTCTTGAACAGAAGCCTAAAATTCCTGGTTCTCTCAGGGCTTCGCCTTCAAGGGTTCTGGAGGAGGGAAGGGTCTGCAGGTTCCATGGGTGACAGCCTGAGATCTGTCCCTTCAACGGGCTGGGCTGGGTATGTGCCTACCGATGACAATGTGTAAATAAATGCGTGTTCACACCCACAGCTGGCTCCGTTACTCTCCTGAGCTGGGGGTGGGGGGATCGGGGCCGGCTTCTCCCCTTGCACGCCGTGGGGAGATGGCCGCGGACGAAGGGCACCGTCTGCAAAGCACTGAACCATCAGGGCCTTCCCTGCAGGCCGAAGGCCTGCGCGAATGTCGGCCAGTTACTATGGAGACCGGCCCGCGGTATCCCAGCATGCCTCGGGACCAAACTGTCCAACTGTGAGCATCCCCGACGGTCGCCTCCTGATGACGCACACGGAAGCACCGATAGGCTCTGCCTCCCGAAGAAAAGGGAGCCGCGCAGCGCCTACGGGAGTCCGGCGGCAGCAGCCGGTACCGGCAACCACGGGCAGCTCTCAGGGAATCTCCGTCGTGAGGCCAGAGGCTCCAGTCCCCGCGGTGCGTATCGTCATGCATGGCTTTTGGTTCGCCCTCTCCGGTTAGTCGAGCAGGGCCGGCACAACCTCCTCCTCCGAGGCCGAAGCAGAGATTTAACCGGCCTGACGCGTGCTGGGCTGCGGGCGAGCCAGTGATATTCCGGCCCGCTCCGGCGCATCTAGAAGGGAGCGGGAGGCCCCCTGGGCGCTGCGGAGAAGCTGGATTGACCTCTGCGAGAGTGGGGAGGGTCTGCCTTCCCTAGGGGCCTGCCCCGGAGGAGCTGCCATTCTGAAAAGATAAATTGCCTGTGTACAGCGCTTTACAGTGTGCTTTTCCATCCCTTACCACCTGTGAGCTCCTCAACACTCAGAGCAGGAATGGTTATCCGCTTTTTGCACCCGGGGTAAGGTGGGAAGGTTGTGACTTAACTCACTCATAATCAGAACCAGGGGGAGGAAAGAAAGGCTTCTGGAAGAGATAGACTTAAGCTGCATCTTACAAAGTGAATATACTAACAGTGAAGAGGCATTGCAAATGTTGGGAACTGAGGCTTGATAACGGGAAGATGAAGCTGGTTTAGAGAACCGAGCCTTTCAAGTCAGGTGCAGGTCATTAGTGAAATTGTTGAGGAATATGACTAAACACTCACCTAGGCCAGGCTTACTATACACAACTTGAACTGGTGTCAAGGAAAGCTTGCTACCATTACAGGGACCTGGGACTACCGAAAAGTAAAAACTAATGTCTGTCTCACAAAAAATTTTTTTGTTAAATTTGTATTTGCAAATCCTCCAGTCATCAAGTGAACCAGCACTGTGCTAGGTAAATAAGTTACATGTGCAGCCCCTGCCCTAGTGAGGCTCATAGACTGATTGCGGGGACAGATATGAGAACAGGCAAATAGATATAAACAAAGCTTCCTGGAGGGAGTGGTGTCTGCACTGTTCTAAAGGACTACAAAGCAGTGTCCAGAGAAGTTGGAAGAACACAATAAAATAGAAGCCTGCAGGAGGTTGAGAGATTATCTGCTGAGAGGACTGTTTTCTTCTTCTTAGGTGATCTCTTGGCAGTACTTGGCACTATCAGTGCAATTACTCCTTGGCAGTACTTGGCTTTCTTCTAAAACTCTTTCTCCACCACTTCGGGTTTTGCCTCCTCCTTTGTAGGGGTCTCCTCATCTGCCCCTTTGGTGACCCTGGGCGTCTTCTGATCGCACACATTGTGCCTTGCTGGTTGCACCTTCTCCTGTGGCATGAAGAACTTGCTGTATGCTGACGACCAAATCCCTGCAGCTCAGATTTCTCACTGAGACTTAGACCCATGTTCCCCCAGCTGCTTTCCTTCTCTTATTTCTGGGTCTTTGCTACTGACTCTACCTGGAATGTTCCCTCAATAAGTGCAGCTCACCCAGCTGGTCCATCTTTGTCTGGAAGCCTCCCTGCTGCATCGGGCTCCAGGTCCTGGTTATATACCCCTCCCTTATGCCCCTGGTCTTAACTCTCCTCCTATCATGGTTATAGTGTGCTCCTTTGCCCCTGTCTCCCAGGAACTTGTAAACTCCGTGAGGTCAAAGACATTCACACTTGGGCGCCTGCATACCATAGCGTCTGACGGTACCTAGCATATGTTAGATGTTCAATACATGTTAGATGAGTCAGTAAAAGAAGGAATGCTTACCAGTGTTGGATGTTGCCGAGCAGACAATTAAAATAAGCACTGAAAAATATTGGCATTAGCCACAAGGAAGTCATTGGTTAATGCTACGGGATCAGTTTCAGCTGAGATTGAGGACATCGAACAAGTGGGAGGTGAAAGTAGGAACAGCCAGTGTTCATGAGACCTTGAAAAGTGTAACTGTGAAGTGGCAAATGGAGCAGTTAGGTGGAATGGGTGAGGTTTTGTGTTTCTGTGTTTTGTTAATGCTAGGAAGTACCCAAGCACATCCAAAGTTTCATGGGAAGGAGGTTGCTAAGAGTTAGAAGCTGAAGACACAGAAAAGAGAGGGGAGCACTGATGACCTGCGGTCCAAGAGGAAGCAGAAGGAGATGGGATTTGACCCAGAGCACAATGAAAGACAAGGAGATTGTAACATTATCTGGAAGAGAAGCCGAGGACATTATAGGCAGAAGGAACAGCTGAGGCAGAGGGTGGATAGTGGAAGTGCAAGCACTAGCCATTATATGTTGGGATGAAGGAGCTGGACCGGTAGGTCAAGTCCAGTCTGGGAAAGACCTTGAAAGCCCCAGTTAGAAATTTAGGTCCAGTTTGGGTGTGGTGCGGGCGCCTGTAATCTCACTACTCAGGAGGCTGAGGCAGGAGAATCGCTTGAACCCAGGAGGAGGAGGTTGCAGTGAGCTGAGATCGTGCCACTGCACTCCAGCTTGTCAACAGAGCGAGACTCTGTCTCAAAAAATAATAAGAAGAAAAGAAATTTAGGTCCAGTTGCAAAGGCAGTGGAGAGTGCCCCCTGGGCCTTTCCTTTCTGTGGATCACAGCCTTGGCCAGTATTGCTAGGATTAGGATCACCAGTGACATCCAAGAGCAGGAGCAGTTCCACAGCTCCCAGCCTTCTGTGAGAGGTGCAGATGGCCATTTGCACCCTTGTCACCCAGTTTGTGCTCAAGGTGTGGCCAGGCCAGTTACTTCCCTGGCTTTCCCCATCTGGGATCGAGTTGTGTTCAGCATCCTGCTGCCTCTTTCCCCCTCTGAGCTGTGGGCAGCCATAAGTGATAGCTCCATTCCTTCTCCCAGAGTCCAGATGCCTGTCCAGCCTCCAAGCAAAGACACAGAAGAGATGGAAGCAGAGGGTGATTCTGCTGCTGAGATGAATGGGGAGGAGGAAGAGAGTGAGGAGGAGCGGAGCGGCAGCCAGACAGAGTCAGAAGAGGAGAGCTCCGGTGAGCCCCTACACACACAGACACACACACACACACACAGAGCCCCTACACACACACATGCACACACACAGCCCCTACACACAAGCATGCACGCACATGCACATACAGCGCCTACACACAAGCACATACACAGACCCTGCACACAAGCGCACACACGCACACACAGCCCCTACACACAAGCACGCACACACAGCCCCTACACACAAGCACGTATGCACACACACAGCCCCTTCACACAAGTACACGTGCACACAGCCCCTTCACACAAGCACGCACGCATATGCACACACAGCCCCTACACACAAGCACACACGCACACACACAGCCCCTTCACACAAGCATGTACGCGCACACACACACAGGCCCTACACACAGGCATGCATGCACACACACACATGCAGGACGCACATGCACACATGCGGGTACCCACCACTCCTCCCCAGAGCTAGCCCTTACTGGCCTCTTGTCCCAGAGATGGATGATGAGGACTATGAGCGACGCCGCAGCGAGTGTGTCAGTGAGATGCTGGACCTAGAGAAGCAGTTCTCGGAGCTAAAGGAGAAGTGAGCGTGGGGACACCTTGGGCTGGGTCTGCGAGGATCTGGGATGAGGAGGTGGTGGGCCTGGTACTGGGCAGGCGTGGTTGGTGCCCAGGAAGTGCGCGCCTAACACCGGGCTTGCTGTGGAATGGGTGCTGGGTATGTGTTTGCCCAAGAGCGATGGGTGAGCAAATGGGTGCACGGCTGCCTTTTTACCACGCAGGTTGTTCAGGGAACGACTGAGTCAGCTGCGGTTGCGGCTGGAGGAAGTGGGGGCTGAGAGAGCCCCTGAATACACGGAGCCCCTTGGGGGGCTGCAGCGGAGCCTCAAGATTCGCATTCAGGTGGCAGGTCTGTGGGTGGTTCTGTACCCTCTTCCCCTCCCAGAACCCGTGGCACCCTGTCCCCTTCCTCTCTCGTTCCTGCCCGGCCTTGCCCTTTGCTCTCAGCCCTCCTATGTGGGCACCGGGCTCCCCAGCCAAGCAGGGACCCTCCTCCCTTTCTCTGCAGGGATCTACAAGGGCTTCTGTCTGGATGTGATCAGGAATAAGTACGAATGTGAGCTGCAGGGAGCCAAACAGCACCTGGAGGTGGGCCTGATTGGGCACACTGGGGGTGAGGCAGGGCACAAAGCCTGAAGTGGCCTCACCCCATCCGTCCTGCTGAGCTATTGCCCCCTCTTCCAGAGTGAGAAGCTGCTGCTCTATGACACGCTGCAGGGGGAGCTGCAGGAGCGGATCCAGAGGCTGGAGGAGGACCGCCAGAGCCTGGACCTCAGCTCTGGTAAGCGCGAGAGCCTGGGCACCCCGGAACTGGGCCCCGCTCAGTCCACGCCCACCCCTCTTTGGGCTTCAGATGTCCTGAAGTCAAGGGGACAGCCAGAGGACCTGCCTGTTGGGGTCAGTGTGAGGGCTGAAGGAGACCAGGCCTGGAAAGGGCCTGGCACATAATGGGGGCTCAAGCAGAGTGGGTCTCCCTGCCTCTTCTGCCCCTGCTCTTTCCAAAACAGGTATCAGTGTGACATGCAGTCACATGCAATAGCTCTAGTCCCCTCCATGTTCATAGTACCTGTGTTCACGTGGAGTCCTGGGGTGGCAGGAATTGTCGTCATCCCACTCTCCACTAAACAGATGAGGCTCACAGAAGTGCAGTGACCTCTTCCCAGGGTTGTGCAGCTGTGCAGGCAGGACCTGAACAGCCCTAAGGGGCTTCTACCCCAAGCCCAGGGTGGTGATGGGACAGGGGAGATGAGGCCAGGCCGGCCCATGGTGGAGGCAGAGGCTACAGAAAAGGGAGTATCCTGTGGGCCAGCACCCCAATTCTAACTCTGGGTCTCGGGGCAGAATGGTGGGATGACAAACTGCACGCCAGAGGCAGCTCCAGGTCTTGGGACTCCCTGCCGCCCAGCAAGAGGAAGAAGGCACCTCTGGTTTCTGGTATCCTTTCACCCAAGGTGGCCTAAAAGTGGGCAGGATGTAAGGGTCAACTCCAGACCCAGGGGAGGGGGTTGGAGGGGACATGGAGGACAGTCACACTAGATGCACTCGTGGTTGCTTGGTGTCATGTGAATATGTCCAGGCAAATCCAGCTGTCAGCAGTTTCTTACGGGGTCCTGGGTCTCTCTGGGCTATGTGAACCCTAGGAAAACAGAAACGGGCTGGGCTCCGTGGCTCACATCTACAGTCCCAGCACTTTGGGAGGCCAAGGCGGGTAGATTGCTCGGGCCCAGGAGTTCTTTTCGAGACCAGCTTGGGCAACATGGTGAAACCCATCTCTAGAAAAAATAACAAAAATTAGCCAGGCGTGGTGGTGTGCACCTATAGTCCCAGCTACTCTGAAGGCTGAGGTAAGAGGATTGCTTGAGCCTGAGAGATCAAGGCTGCAGTGAGCCGTGATGGTGCCACTGCACTTGAGCCTGAGTGAGGTTTGGCCTTTGAGGCCTTTCCATCTCCCGGGGTTGTCCGAGCGGGTCCCCAGCTTTCCCTGGGGAGCCTTTGCTCATATCCCACCCTCCTCTTGGAAGTCCTGCCTGTCCCGACTGTCCAGGGCTCATCTCAAACGTTACCTCCTCTGTGAGGCCTCTTCTGGTCTTACCCTGGTGCCTATGGCTTCACTTTCCTGTGTGCTTCTGTGCCCTACCATGGGGTACCCACATCCCAGAGGGCACTGGCTGCCTCCACCCCTTCCTAGGCAGGGCTAGCTTAAGCTTAGTCCAGGGCCTGCTGTGCTTTCATCTGTCCTGGCAGAGCTGAGTCCTCCTGCACCCCTGAGGGTATTCCTGCAGCAGCCAGTCTTAGTCATTATGGCAACCTGGTGCTGGAGAGCAGGCCCAGGCAGGGAGGGAGGAATCTGGAAGGCCATGACTTGAGTGAATGGAAGGTGAAGGCATGGAGACATCAAGTAGGGAGCACTGGGGGAGGGAGAGTTGTCTCTGAAGGGATAAGCCCTGCGTCTGTCTTTGGATCAGGGAAGGGGCCAGGTTAGGGCCAGTGCTGCAGAGTGAGATGGGATGGGCCTCAGCCAGCTGACCTAAGACGAGGTGAGGGTGAGCAAGGGACAGGGAACAACATTTGGTGTCCTCCATAGACTTGGTTCCAGGACGACCCCTGGAACCAGGGGGTTAAGAGGTAGGAGGTGGAACCTGACCTCGGACCCAGGTCCTCAGCTCCCACTCCATGCTGTCCGCTGTACCCCCACTCCTGAATGTCAGGTGGGTGGCCCTGCCCTCGTCACCTGCCACCTCCACTAGGCTTCCTTGACCCCCACCACAGGCCCATACATCGTGTACATGCTTCAAGAGATCGACATCCTGGAGGACTGGACAGCCATCAAAAAGGTGGGGGCCGCTGCTGCCCACGTGACCTGCCCCACCTCAGGGCCCCCCACCCTGGCAGCAGCTCTGCCATCTGCAGGCCTGGGAGTTCTCTGCTCACCAAGGCTTCCCCATCTTCAGCCCAGAGTCCCTGGATCGCAGTTGGCTCACAAGTCCTCTTGCTCAAGGCGGCCCTGGGAAAAGGGATTTCTAGTCTGTGTCAGCCCCTTCCCGTTCTGGGGCAGGTTTTGATGGGGTGGGAGGGTGGCGGGGAGGCGGGAGAGCCGCTGAGCTGGCCAGCAGTCAGGAGCATGGGAGCTCTGCCTGGGTGGGGCCTATGCTCCCGGTCCTGGGGGCACAGCACTGAGGCAACAGCCCACAAGCCACAGAGGTGGGGGGTGGGGCAGGGATTGCCAAGCTGGAGGTGGGCTCTCAGGGGAGCTTTTCTTCTCACCCACCCAGGCTAGGGCAGCTGTGTCCCCTCAGAAGAGAAAATCGGATGGTAAGAACCATGGCTGTTGCATGGCCTTCCCTGCCCCCTTGCCATCACCTTTCCTCAGCTCAGCTTCCAGGAAGGAGCCCAGAGAAAGGCTGTGACTGTGTCAGAATCAGTGGCTCAAGAAAGTTAGGATGGTCTAGATTTGAGGGGCTTGTGGGAGTTTGAGGAGCAGGAACCAGGATGGGGCTGGGGAAGCTCTGGGTTGATGGAGCTCCCACTCAGGAGGGGTCAGGGAGGGCTGTGGAGCTGCCCAGGAGGCCTGTTCTGGGCCAGCCCAAAGCCACTCAGTAAGTGGCTGCCTCCTTCCTTTCAGCTTCCTAACTGGTGACAGTTTTCTTCTTCCCACATATGCACAGGACCTTGACCCTGCTGTTCACAGCCAGGGGGACCCTCAGAGCAGCTGGCACTGCACCCAGGATTCTCGTCTTCCTCCTGCAGACAGGCGGACCCACAGGCCCCTCAGGGTCTGCCCAGCCAGGCTCCTGTGGTGCTGCTGGGCCCTCCCACTCCATCTGGCACTGGCCTGGACTCCTCCTCTGCCCTCCTCGAGGCCTGCACAGCTGTGGCCGTGGAGCTGACCTGACCAGGCAAGGCTGCTGTCTCCATCCCTGAGCCGCCTGCCACCTCCCACTCCTGAAGATCCATCTCTTGGGGCTCCCCTGACAGAGAAGACAGCCGAAGTCAAAGCCACATCCTCTTGCTGATGTTGGATGCAGGCTGTCCGGCCTCAGGGCCAGGGAGCCAGTTTCCACTGTGCGGGAACTCTGAGTCAGACGTGATTATCTGGGGGTCTGTCCACCCTGGCTGGATCTGGAGGCAAGATGCCAGGCCCCCCAGGTGTTCTCAGGGCAGTTCTTGGTGTCTGCTTCTCAGATTCCAAGGACTGGAATTAAAACCTTTCCTGGGACTCTGGCGTGCCCTGTGTGTGTGTGTGATTTACCTTGCAAGAGAATCAGGGCTCCCGTGGGGAGCACCTGAACCAGGCCGACTTCTAGGGTGCCTGCAGATTGCCACTCCTCACACTACCCAGCAGAGGCTAGAGCACTGTGCGTGGGGCCAGGCTGGGGAGGGGGAGGTGGGCGCTGGGCTGCCTGGCGCTGGGCAGAGTCAACATATGGCACCGGGAGAGTGCCTCGGCGGGGAGGGTGGATGCGTGTGCTTGGAGCCTGGGTCATGTCTGCACCTGTCCCAGTTGCCTGGCAGATTGGCAAGGCAGGCTGGCAGAGCCTGCGTGCGTGGGAGGCAGCCGGCAGCACCGCCATGTGCTGACGACCTCACAGCCAGACTCCCCCTGGTTAGCACTGAGTGTCAGAACCACCCCCAGAACCTCAGTTAAGCAAATAGGTTGGTTTCCATGGAGACATGGCATATTTTCTCCATGGCAACCTAAAATCCTAAAACCCAGGTTCAGGAATGAGTCATCTATGGACAGTAGAGGGTGCTCTCCCACAAGGCTGACCTGAGGCCAGGGGCAGATGAGCAACTGACCACAGAGCCAAAGGTGCCCCCAGAGCATGGCTGGGGCCTGTGGGGACTGAGGCCGCTTAACCACTTCCCGCCCACGTGTGCAATGTGAGTAGCTGGTGAGGCTGCAGGAGGCCGTGTGTGGAGGTGGCATCCCCCAGCTGGGGCCCTCAGAGCAGGGCTAGCATGGAGGGGACCCCTGACCCCCAAAGCAGGGTCCAGAACAGAGGAGGCGGGCACTGGCCAGGCAGGGTGGACACACAAGAGTTAACTGGCGGGTGTGACAGGCGGACCGCCCTCAGGAAGTGTTACTCACTGGGGATGTGCGTGCCTTGCCTTGGGACTGGATTCTCTTCCTGAAGCGAAGGAGCTCCCAGCCATGGAAAGCCCTGGAGAGTCAGGCGCGGGCTCTCCTGGAGCCCCCAGCCCGTCCAGCTTCACTACTGGGCACCTGGCGAGAGAAAAGTTAGTGAAGTTGGCAGGGCAGCCAGGTGGGGCAGGGAGGGGCTGCGAGAGGAGGGCCTATCCGGGGATAGAGAAAGTGGGAAACCCGGGAGTGGGGAAGAGGAGAGCAAGGGTCCCAGCCCCTGGCTCCCTGCTCAGATCTGGGTGCCTGCCCCCAGGCCAGCCCAGGACCCACTGTATGACGTGCCCAATGCCAGCGGCGGGCAGGCAGGCGGGCCGCAGCGGCCGGGGCGCGTTGTGAGCCTGCGGGAGCGCCTGCTGCTCACCCGGCCCGTGTGGCTGCAGCTGCAAGCCAACGCAGCGGCCGCACTGCACATGCTGAGGACCGAGCCCCCGGGGGTGAGTCTTGCCCCACACTCCAGGGACTGGCCAGCCAGGGGTGGGAGGGAGAGGGATGGGACGCCAAGGTCCTGAGCTGCCTGAGCCCTATCCACTTGCAGACGTTCCTCGTGCGGAAATCTAACACCCGCCAGTGCCAGGCCCTGTGCATGCGGTTGCCTGAAGCCAGTGGCCCCTCCTTCGTCTCCAGCCACTACATCCTGGAGAGCCCTGGCGGTGAGGGGCTGGCCTGGCGGGAAGGGGCTGGAAGCAGGGAGGTTCCCCAGAGAAGCACCTCACTTCCCTCCTCTCTCAGGCGTCTCCTTGGAGGGCTCGGAGCTCATGTTCCCAGACCTAGTCCAGCTCATCTGTGCCTACTGCCACACCCGGTGAGTCTGCCCGCAGGGTGCCTGGTGTCCACGGGCCCTGCTCCTTGGGACAGCCCATCCTTCCCGCCCTCTTCGGCCCTCACTCCCTTCTGCTCCCCTCTCTGGCCTCAGGGACATCCTTCTCCTCCCGCTGCAGCTCCCCAGAGCCATCCACCACGCAGCCACTCACAAAGAGCTGGAGGCCATCTCCCATCTGGGCATTGGTAAGGGCTTCCTGCCACCCATTGCACAGATGAACAAGCTGAGGCCGAGGGGAAGGCAAGGCTCGCAGCACACCGCCCGAAGCCCCTGCCTTGCCTTGGTTGGGAAACTTCCCCTAACCAGTCCCGGAGGCCCCAGTCGGTTTCTTGTTCCCTAGAGTTCTGGAGCTCCTCCCTCAACATCAAGGCTCAGCGGGGCCCGGCTGGAGGCCCAGTGTTGCCCCAGCTGAAGGCCCGGTCCCCTCAAGAGCTGGACCAGGGCACCGGAGCCGCCTTGTGCTTCTTCAACCCCCTGTTCCCGGGGGACCTAGGGCCCACCAAGCGGGAGAAATTCAAGAGAAGCTTCAAAGTGCGCGTGTCCACAGAGACCTCCAGCCCCCTGTCTCCACCTGCCGTGCCACCTCCCCCCGTCCCCGTGCTGCCAGGGGCAGTCCCCAGCCAGACAGAGCGGCTGCCCCCTTGCCAGCTGCTACGGAGGGAGAGCTCAGTGGGGTACCGCGTGCCAGCAGGCAGTGGCCCTAGCCTTCCGCCTATGCCCTCCCTCCAAGAGGTGGACTGCGGCTCCCCCAGCAGCTCCGAGGAGGAGGGGGTGCCAGGGTCCCGGGGGAGCCCAGCGACCTCACCCCACCTGGGCCGCCGACGACCTCTGCTTCGGTCCATGAGCGCCGCCTTCTGCTCCCTACTGGCACCGGAGCGGCAGGTGGGCCGGGCTGCGGCAGCACTGATGCAGGACCGACACACAGCCGCGGGCCAGCTGGTGCAGGACCTACTGACCCAGGTGCGGGCTGGGCCCGAGCCCCAGGAGCTGCAGGGCATCCGTCAGGCGCTGAGCCGGGCCCGGGCCATGCTGAGTGCGGAGCTGGGCCCTGAGAAGCTGCTGTCGCCTAAGAGGCTGGGTGAGGCTCCGTCTCTCCATAGCTCCAGCACTGCCCCATCCGACCCTCTGCTCCCCTCCACAGCGCCAGCCTGTCTGATTCTGTTCTGCTGCTTTACAAATCCATCTTGTCTTACCACTGTTCGAGAGAGTTCCATCCCCTCTCTCCCCCAACTCTTCCGTCTCACCCAGGCTACCTCCTCCTGCTTTCCTTGCCTCTCCTCCCCGATTCTACCCCTGCTCCCTTCTCCCCTTGCCTCTGCCCCCCATACCCCCAGTCTTCCCCTGACCCCTCCCTGTCCCTCCGGCAGAACATGTCCTGGAGAAGTCATTGCATTGCTCTGTGCTCAAGCCTCTCCGGCCCATCCTGGCAGCCCGCCTGCGGCGCCGGCTTGCCGCAGACGGCTCCCTGGGCCGCCTAGCTGAGGGCCTCCGCCTGGCCCGGGCCCAGGGCCCCGGAGCCTTCGGGTCCCACCTGAGCCTGCCCTCCCCAGTAGAGTTGGAGCAAGTGCGCCAGAAGCTGCTGCAGCTGCTCCGCACCTACTCACCCAGCGCCCAGGTCAAGCGGCTCCTGCAGGCCTGCAAGCTGCTCTACATGGCCCTGAGGACCCAGGAAGGTATGTCCCTGCCACCACCTCACCCTGCCCTGCCCCTTTGAGTCAGAGGCGGGCCCCCCAGCGGCAGGTCCCCAGGACCCTAGAACAGCCCTGCAGGAGAGAATGAGCCCACCCTCCCCTCTTGCAGATGGCGAAACTGAGGCCTAGAGAGGAGCGCATCCTTTCTGAAGCCCCTCAATGGTTGCTAGGGCATGGGGAGGGGTCACTGCCTAAAGCAAGGACTGTACCTGAAGCTTCTTCCTCTCACCATGTCCCCACAGGGGAGGGCGCGGGTGCCGACGAGTTCCTGCCTCTGCTGAGCCTCGTCTTGGCCCACTGTGACCTTCCTGAGCTGCTGCTGGAGGCCGAGTACATGTCGGAGCTGCTGGAGCCCAGCCTGCTTACTGGAGAGGGTGAGGGACCCCCACCCACCTCCCTGTCTGGGTGGGCCCTGAATAAGCAGGGAAGGGGAGAGGGGATGGGGTGCCCCACACCCAGCCTGAGCCGTGTTCTTCCACCCTGTGTCCCAGGTGGCTACTACCTGACCAGCCTCTCTGCCAGCCTGGCCCTGCTGAGTGGCCTGGGTCAGGCCCACACCCTCCCACTGAGCCCCGTGCAGGAGCTACGGCGCTCCCTCAGCCTCTGGGAGCAGCGCCGCCTGCCTGCCACCCACTGCTTCCAGGTAACAGGCCCTCCACCGTGTCCTCAGAGCCAGACGCCATCCCCGCCTTTCACCTTCCTGTCCTTGGTGAAGAGTCCAGACTCTGTAGACAGATCCTGGGTTCTAATCCTGGCTCTGCCACTGGGTTGTGGGGACTTGGGCGAGTTACTTAACTACTTCGTGCCTCAGTTTTCTCATCAGTAAAATGGGGTAATAGGACCTACCTCCTGGGGTTGAGGTGAAGATTAAATGAGTTAATGCAGGAGAGTGCTTGGGGCACAAATTACTCACTATCAAATCTTCATCTCAGGCTTGTGAGCGCCCCACTGGGCTGTCCTTGCACCTGCGGCTGTGGCCCACAAGCCGACCCCTGGAGCACATAGAGCTTTTGCCGCTTGGTTCTCCCACTGGATCTCCACCTACCCACCCTGTCCCTGCACAGCCCAGAAAGCTGATGTCTCAGCTTTGGAGCCAGATGCATGCCAGCCGGGGCTGAGTACTTGTTTTTGCTTCTCCTCCTGCATAGCACCTCCTCCGAGTAGCCTATCAGGATCCCAGCAGTGGCTGCACCTCCAAGACCCTGGCCGTGCCCCCAGAAGCCTCGATTGCCACCCTGAACCAGCTCTGTGCCACCAAGTTCCGAGTGACCCAGCCCAACACTTTTGGCCTCTTCCTGTACAAGGAGCAGGGCTACCACCGCCTGCCCCCTGGGGCCCTGGCCCACAGGCTGCCCACCACTGGCTACCTCGTCTACCGCCGGGCGGAGTGGCCTGAGACCCAGGGGGCTGTGACAGAGGAGGAGGGCAGTGGGCAGTCAGAGGCAAGAAGCAGAGGGGAGGAGCAAGGGTGCCAGGGAGATGGGGATGCTGGGGTCAAAGCCAGCCCCAGGGACATTCGGGAACAGTCTGAGACAACTGCTGAAGGGGGCCAGGGTCAAGCCCAGGAAGGCCCTGCTCAGCCAGGGGAACCAGAGGCAGAGGGAAGCCGGGCAGCAGAGGAGTAGCTTGAAGTGGCCAGAAGGGTCATTCGGGGCGGGAGACCCTGAGCCTGCTGAGAAATCCTTTTAGCGCCAGCAAGCCCCACCCAGGGCCCTGTCCTGTGTCTGCCACCACCTTTGTCTGATACTTGTTTCCAGGGAAGCTGGGGGAACTGCCACATCTGAGGAACTGGAATAAAGATGAGGGGGCTTCGGGGGCCCCCAGACTGTGTGCCCAAGGCCCCTTGCCTCTTGTTCTTCTCCCCCAGCTGAGGGTGAGCCAGCCTGCAATGAGGGTGTGCCAAGTGGGGGCGAATCCGACAGATGCCCAACCTCTGACGTGGGGAGGGTGACGGTCTCAGCTCCTTTTACCCTTCCCCTCATGGGCATGGCTGAGGCAGGGCTCCACCCAAGTATCTCCCACCAGGCTGGGACTTCCAGACCCTAAAAGGTTCCAATGGCTCTTAGGTGTCAGGAGGATTTAGAGAGGCCACAGAACAGCAGCAAAGGCTTGGGGCCCACCCCTGTCCTGGACACCAGAAGGACCTGCACCTGCAAGCCTCAGTACTCTCATCTGTAAAGTGGGGACACTATTGCTGCCCTGCTCGGCTCCCAGAAGTGTCCCAGTGATCAAAATGGGTGATTTTGCTACAAGCAGAGCTCATGGCAGAAAGGGAGGGAGAGAGCTGGGCTGCTAACTCTCTCCCGGAGTCCGCTCTCTGCCAGACAGGGCTCCCACCTGCTGATGCCCAGTTCAGGGAGGTTATTCCCCTGGAAATCAGGCCCTGGGGAGAAAGTACCCAAGTTACAGTCTCTCCCCAAGATTTGGAGTCCTCCCAGGCCCTCCAGCATCTCTGGGGAGATCCACCAGCTGGCAGATAAGCTTCCAGAATGGAGAGGGGGCTCAGAAACCATGCTCTCTGCACTAAACTCTTGGCCCTCACAAAAGCTTTACTTGGCCATGACTTGTTGGGCCCACTGAGGGTCAGGAAAGTGACTCCCAGGATGTCATATAGCAAGTCCTTAAGGGTTCCCCCGCCCAAACCAGGGCATCAGGTTCCAACTCCACCCTCCATTCTAAGCCACCCACAAAGGCCGGGGCAGCCCCCAAGGAAGCCCAGAGCAGGCAGCAAATCCAAACAAGGAAAAGTGCCGACCACCAACCACGAGGGGGTGTGCACGGCCCGGGAATCTGCCGAGAGGGTGACCACCCAGGGGTGAGGGCGCCTCCAAGGCTGCAGCAGCAGAGGGGGTCCCGGGCCTTGCAGTCCAGCAGCATCAGGCAACCTGGGGACAGCGCAGGGGCCAAGGCCACTGGCCCCCAGGTCCCTTAGATTCTGGGGTCTGGGTAAGGCCAGCCTCTTGGGGGCCATCCCCAGGAAGGAAGGAATTGTCCCCTTATGGAGGATGACCCCAGAGGCTCTCTCCTCGGGCACTGAGCACAGAGGGGACGTCAGCCCAAATGTCAGACATGACAACTGGGAGGTAGAAATCGTGGACATTGGCTTTTTGGGTTTTTTTGTTTGTTTGTTTGTTTGAGATGGAGTTTTGCTCTGTCGCTCTGGCTAAAGTGCAGTGGTGCCATCTCGGCTCACAGCAACCTTCGCCTCCCAGTTCAAGTGATTCTCCTGCCTCAGCCTCCCGAGTAGCTGGGACTACAGGTGTGCACCACCACACCTGGCTAATTTTTGTGTTACTAGTAGAGACGGGGTTTCCCCATGTTGGCCAGGCTGGTCTCAAACTCCCGACCTCAGGTGATCCGCCCGCCTTGGCCTCCCAAAGTACTGGGATTACAGGCGTGAGCTACCACACCCAGCCAGACATTGACTTTCAGATGAGCAGTCCAGATACAGCCCAGTTGCACGGCTCCCATTTTTTTTGTCACTAGGCCACCAGCAGCTCTTCCCTCCCCACTTCCACGCCCTCCCAAGGTTCTCGCTGATAGGAAGTGTCCCGTTGGCTCTTCTATTCCCCTCCCTGTTTCACCACTCACCCCTAGTGCCTCACACAGTCCAATGCTGAGCACAAATGCCATAGGTGTTCAATAAATGTTGTTCACTGATTGGAGTTTGATAACCAGGAGTGAGGGACAGTGAGGCAGAAACCTGGGGAGTATAAGGGAGGACTCGGTTCTGGGAATCAAACACGGGATGTGTCAAGCTCAGTCCCAGAGGAAGGACCTGGAATGTTTGTAGAGGGTGCTCGGAGGATCCCAGGGGCCGGATGTACAACTGGCCTCATGGGAATGAGGCTCTGGGGCCTCTACAAGCCCTTCCCACCCTTGCCAGGCTCAGCATGACCTGACCCCCTCCCTGCCCTCCCCAGTGATGGGGCACCACAGGGAGCTGCTGCCTGGGTCTTGTGGTTTTTCTTCTCAAGAAACTCTGGGCTGGGCCTGGTGGCTCACGCCTGTAATCCCAACACTTTGGGAGGCCGAGGCCGGTGGATCACCTGAGGTCAGGAGTTCAAGACCAGCCTGGCCAGCATGGTGAAACCCCGTCTCTACTAAAAATACAAAAATTAGCCAGGCGTCGTGGCACACACCTGTAGTCCCAGCTACTGGGGAGGCTGAGGCAAGAGAATCACTTGAACCCGGGAGGCAGAGGTTGCAGTGACCCGAGATCACACCACTGCACTCCACCCTGGGCAACAGAGCAAGACTCCATCTCAAAAAAAAAAAAGAAATGAAAAGAAAACAAAAAAGAAACTGATTGGTCAGGGGTCCAGGCCAAATCAGCATCAACAAGATTATGATCCTGGGGCAGAGCCTCCAGGCAAGGCAGACAATGATAGGCCAGTGTAAGACCAGTCTCACTAGCCCCATTTTACAGATGAGAAAACTCAGACTTGCTCAGGGAAAGTGCCTTGTTACAGGACAAAGGGCTCAGACACCAGGTTCTGTAGTCCTTCAAAGCAGAGGGGCTGATTTATATGTCCACTCAGCACATCTATCAAACATCTGTTATAGGCCGGGCAAGGTGGCTCAGGCCTGTAATCCTAGCACTCTGGGAGGCCGAGGTAGGCAGATCACCTGAGGTCAGGAGTTCAAGACCAGCCTAGCCAACATGGTGAAACCCCATCTCTACTAAAAATATAGAAGTTAGCTGGGCAAGGTGGCTCACGCCTGTAGTTCCAGCTACTTGGGAGGCTGAGACTGGAGAATTGCTTGAACCTGGGAGGTGGAGGTTGCAGTGAGCTGAGATCACACCACTGCATTCCAGCCTGGGCGACAGAGCAAGACTCCAAAAAAAAAAATCAAACAACAACAACAACAACAGAAGTGTCTGTTATAGACCAAGCACCAAGCGCCCCCAGCTCCAGCCAAAGGGAAATAGGTCACATCTCTCCATTTGCATGGCGTGATCTGGGTGGTAACTGAAAGCTCACTGTGTCCTAGGGATTCCATGCCACCCCTTCCCCAGCCTTTGTCCTTATGGAAAAAGAAGCCAAGGCTCCAAGAGGTGACATGCCTGGCCCAGCGTCCGCTGCTGCAGGGCAAGACTGGAACTCTGACGTTTGGATCTATGAAAGAGCAGTCGGGTCATTTCCTTACTTGGAAGCATTGACCTTATCACTCCTAAAGTCACGGTGGTTCTGTATGCAAGTTTATTGTCTGTTTCCCTCACTAGAATGCCAGAGCCACCCCCACCTTGTTCGCAGTTAAATCTCAAGGGCCTTGAACAATGGCCGGGCCGGAACTGGCACTTGTGAATCTATGTGGAATGACTGATTCGGAAAGACGCAGCCTAAACTGTCCCTCCGCTTTCCTGGGTTGCAGGGTGGCGCATCCTTCATTGCTGCCACCAGGGGGCAGAGCGCACCTCATTCCTGGCCACGTGCAGGGTCCCCTCTGCTGAGGCGGAGGACCCAGGGGACTCAGTGCTCCCAGCCTGCTGCTAGGAGGAAAGCACCCAGTGGTGGGTCCCTGGGACCCTGCGAATGGGGGGTGAGGGAAGGGCTGCATATCCCTGGTTCTGTGGGCCAGTGTGCTCTAGGAACCAGGGGCCTACTGGTGGCCTGAAAGGGTTGCAGCAGAAGGCAGTCATTGAGACCCACCCTACCCTGCCACACCTTCAACACAGAGCATCTAGCACCCTGCCATGGCCTTGCAACCCATGTTCACACCCACAATTAACACACAGTGACACTGTCTGACCCACATTCCCACACAGGGTGCACATCCTGCCAGCCACGGGCACGTGCAACAACCCTGGGGCACCCCCAGGGTTAACAGGCACACCCTGACACTGTCAGCCATTCACTCCTGCGGGATGGGGTGCAGGGACACACTGGCGCCCCTCCTCCCAGACACACCCTGACACAGACCAGCCACCCACTCAGACATCCCTGGATCTGCAAACACTGAAATATTTCAGCACCCTTGTTCTTGGGTTCAGAGTGTGACTCCTGGACACACACATGGGGACAGGCTGACACAGAGACACATGGTGACCACCTACACTGGGATCCCATGATGCACTAGACCTACCTGTGCAGAACTGCCACCGGCACACTCCATCCCCCACTCAGACGCAACGGCGCACACTCTCCCGAGACACAGCACACGGCTGCCCCTTCCCACTCTCCAAGCATTTGAAGTGCAAACACACACAGAGACACACTCACAAAGACACACACAGAAACTCACAGAGACATACACACACAGACACACAGAGACACACACACACAGACACACATAGACACACAGAGACACACACACAGACACACAGACACACAAAGACAGACACACACACACATAGACACACAGACACACACACACAGACACACACAGACTTTTATACTTTGGAGCACACAGAAGCGGTCCAAGCCCTCTCCCGAGTCTCCTCACTCCAGCCCTGTCCTGTCCCACCACCACTCACCCACCCCAGCCCATGCTAGACCCTGGTGGGAGATGTGGGTTGCTGGAAAAGACCCCCATGAGGGGTGTGGTGACCCCACTAGCCAGGCAGGAGGCAGAGGCAGGCAACGCTGGGTGGGGAGGCCTGAGCTCATCAGATTCCAGCCTGAGTGATTCACAGGAAGAGCCTGGGGAGGACCCTGGAGGAGACACTGGCCCAGGGGCTGGGGCATTTGGGGCCTGAATGGGCTTTGGACCAGAGGGTCCTGGGTCCAGAGCGAGCCTTGAGTCTGGGGGCAGAGGACTTCCTGAGGGGGTGGCCCAGCCTGAAGGGTGCCTGCTGGACGCAGCCCCTGGGAGGGGCTCGGGGCTCAGCTGAGCCGCAGGATGAGACAATCGGCCCTTCCCACCCACCCCACCCAGGGCCAGGGCCCCTGACCCCACGCCTTCCAGGTCCTAGCAGCTGGGTGTCTTTAGCAGGGGTTAGGCCAAGGGTGGGGGCAGGGGTGTGGTGACCCTCTTGGCCCATTTTGGCCCCTCAGGCCCTCAGGCTGACAGCTCAGAGGCCCCAAAGGGCTGGGTCCGCCTGGCTGGGTTGGGGCCAACTGGGTTACAGCCCCGCACAGCCCTGCCAGGCGAGGCCTCTGCCAGAGAGCCGGGAACGCACGGGCTGTCCCCATGCCAGGGATGTTTTCCTGCTGAGATCGAGCCCTGTGCTTCTGCCACCCTCAGAACCCCTGTCTCCCAGGCCAGGCTGATGCTCAGAGGAGGTGGGGCCTGCAGCGCCCAGACCCAGCTGCAGGGTGACAGGAAGAAAGGATGGGGCTGGGGGCAGGGCGGGGGTGCAGGAAGTGCCTTTCTTGGAACTCTGCACAAAAATAGTCCATTCTGTCCCTACGCCGAGTCTCAGGGTCCCACAGGGAGGTGTGTGTCACCAAGGAGACCCTCAGCTGGGAGGGGCCGGTGCTGACCTTAGTCTGGCTTCTGCTAGCACCTCCCTCCCTCCCTCCACCCTCCGCCCTCCACCCCTCCACCCCCACTGCGGCCTCTGCCCCACTTTGAAGTCCTAACATAAATACCATGTCTGCTTGGGTTCCCCTTCCCGGCCTGGTCACAGCCCCCAGACCTGGCTTCCACCCCAGCCAGCCCCGTGGGAGTGTGGTGCCAGCAGACAAGAGGGAGGTCTGGACCACCCAGGGAAGGTGGCGAGCCAGAGACCCTGAGACAGAGACAGGGAGACACCGGTGGTGGAGGGGGAGACCAAAGTGAGCAGAGAATGGAGAGACAGACCCCAGAAACCAAGCAGGGGACGATCCTGAGGGCAGGAGAGGAGAGAGACAGAGACTCCAGAGACAGAGAGGGAAGAGAGGGGAGCAGAGAGAAAGAGACCCCTGCAGCCAGAGAGAGACGGAGTGAGACCCTGGGGACAGTAAGGGGCAGGAGGAAGAGGGCACAAGACAGGAAGCAAAGGGGAAAGTAAGAACCTTCAGAGAAGGTTCCAGAGATGGGGTGGGGGGAGGCAGGGACAGGGGTAGCAGGGGGAAGGATGTGGTGGAAAGAGAAGTGTCCCTGGCAAGTGGGACCAGCCATCTCGATTTCCTGGGATTGGCAGGGGTGTTGAGGGTGTCCCAGGACATGGGACTTTCAGTGCTGAAACCAAGAAAGTGGTCAGCAAACCTGGACGAGTTGGTTGCCCTGGGTGGTAGGCCTCTGGCAGACACCACGGGGACCACAGTGTCCACTCCACAGGCACCCCTTGCACAGGTGAGGAACCTGTGACCCTGAGAAGGGCTGCTCCTACACTGGGGCAGGAGGCCTGGGCCCTTCTAGCTCTGACACGTGCTCTGGGACTCCCTTTCTTGTGGGCAGATGGGGCCAGATGTTCAGGTCAGGCTTCTGCCACGAGAGGGAAGTGGGGTCCCAGCTGGGCCCAGGTTGGACAATCTGGGGGCAGCCATATGCTGCTCCCTCACAGCTGTGGGCACAGGTGTGGACTCGCGGGGACACACGCACATCACCCAGCTGTACACTCACAGCAGTCCCAGGCCTTTGCAAGCACACACATGCACACGCACACACACATGCACACACACATGCACGTGCACACACACATGCACACATGCAAGCATCCAGGAACACGAACATGGCCTCTCACCATGGTAAATACACCCCCAACCCTCAGCCCCCTTCGGTCGGCAAGATCCTTTACCCTCAGGGGCTAGGCCTGGTCTGGACCACACTTTTCCTGGGTCCCCCTTCCCCAAGCCTATTCCTCCCACCCGGCCCACTCCCCAGCACCACTGCCTCCCCTTCCGGCAGGGATCTCCCATCCAGAAGCACACAGGTTGGGGGGGAGGAGCAGGAGGCTGCAGTCGCTCCCTTCCCTCCCCAACTCCTGCCTGGGGTAGATGCCTGGACTTGGGTGGCAGGGACCCCCCAGCGCCCACCCAAGACCAGTGGCCTCCCACCCACCACACATCAAAGCTTCCTCCTGACAGTCCGAAGGCTGGGGTGGTTTGGGAAGAATTTAGGCGTGGAGGGAGGTGGGGGATGGGAACAGAAGAAAAGGAGAAAAGGAGGTGATTTGTACACAAAGCAATGTGCTGGCTCAGCGGCCTGGCGTGCCAAGGCCGTCCAGGACGCCTGCCTGGGGGGCGTCCCCTAATCACACTCGATACCCCACCCTGGCTGTTCCACTGGGCCCTCTCTGGGCCAGCCCTTCTTCAGGCCGCCCTCACCCTCACCCCCACAGGCCCACACATGGCATCCAAAACCACCATCTGCTTCTTGCCTGTCCCAGTAGCTGCAAGACAAGGCTCCTTCTCAGGCCATGGGCCTCTGTGTTCATGCTGTTCTTCAGATGAGCTCCCCTCATATGGGCCATGATCAGAGCAGGGAACCCCAGCCTCCTGACCCCTGATGTGAGCTGAGCCTGGCCTCCTGAGCTTGGAAGGTACATCGTCCCTACCCTCAGCCAGGGAGACATGTTGGCCTCAGAACCCAGCAGAAAACAGGCTGTTTGGTACCACGAGAAGCATCACACCTGATCCCTGCCAGTGGTAGTCTAAGTTGTCCTGTCCTGGGCTGCACTTCTGCAGAGCCGCGGAGTTCTGTTCTGAGCATGTCATTCATCATGGTGGCTGCTAGTTATGACTCAGGACCTCCCACTTCTGCCTGTGGCCCTATATCCAAACATGCATCTCAAAATCTTCTCATCCACACACCTGCCCACCTACCCATCTATCCATCCATCCACTTACTCATTTCTACATCCTTCCATTTAGCCTCCCGTCCACCCAACCACCCATCCACCTATTCTCCACGTAAACATCCTCCCACCCACCCATGCATCCATGCATCCATCCATCTATTCACTCTCCCACCCATGCATCCATCCATCTATCCACCCATGCATCCACCCACCCATGCCTTCATACATGCATGCATGCATCCATCCACCCACCCACCCATGCATCCATCCATTTGCCCATCTACTCATGCATCTACCCACCACGCACCCATGCATCATCTATGCATGCCTCTGCCCACTCATCCACCCACCCATGCATCTGTCCAGCCACCCACCCATGCATCTGTCCAGCCACATACAGCCCTATGCATGCATACATCTATCCATCCATCCATCCACCCATCCATCCATCTTCTGCCCAAGCATCCTTCTACCCACTCATACATCTGTGCATACATGCATTCATCCATCTACCCATCTACTCATGTATCCACCCACCCACACACCCATGCATTCACCCATCCATGCATCCATCCACCCACACACCCACCCCAGATCAACATCCATGTATCCACCCAGCCAGCCACCCCACTCATTCATTATCCATGCATGCATTCATCCATCCGTCCATCAGTCCATCCACTCATGCATGCCTCCATCCATCCATGCATCCATCCATCCATATATCCACCCACCCATCCTCCAAGCATTTATTGTATCAATTAGCATCTTCTCTCTGCTAGGCTGAAAGACTAGCAGGAAGAACAAGACCCCAACCAACCCCTCTCCAGCCCCTTAAACCCAGATCCCTGATGCTATGCCCGCTACATCCTCCAGCCTCACTAGATAAAACAGTTCTTGGGCAGCCTCAACCTTACCTCACACAACCTTGGGGAGGCTGCTGAGTGCTGGGCACCCTCCCGAACTGAGCAACCAGATACCTCTCCAAGTCTCATTCCCAATCCACCAGACGCTTAGCCTCACAGAGGCCAGAGGTGCCCCTTCCTGCCTTCTCCATCCCTCATGCTGGCTCAGGCCTCCTTCCACTTGCAAGTAGGCCCAGCCAAGACATCTGGAATTTGGCCTTTGACCTTTCTTCTCCTGCTTTGCCTGCTTGCCCCCCAACCCCTCACCCCCACAGAGGCTGGACTCCTGACCTCTGATCCCATCCACCCACTTGTCAGACGGCCTGCAGCCATCCGTCCCCTTAGACGCCCTAGTACTGGCCATTGCCCGACTCATGACTGGGCTCACCACACCCTTGGACCAGGCTCAGGACTGCCCCTAAGGAGCCTCTGGAGGCTGCCTCCCCCAGCCCGGCCCGCCCTGCCGCCGGGCTCTCCAGCCAGCTCCCTCCCCTTTCCCAGACTATTGCAACAGCCTCCTAACTGGTCCCTGGCCTCCAAGCCCCCTCCACCCACCACACACAAGCCACAGAGATCTCTCATCATGCCTCTCTTCCCCATGGCCTCCAGAAGGGAGCCCCGGACTTTTAGGGACAACTTCAACACCTTTCAAGACAGGCCCCTACTCCTTTTCTCCACTCCTTACTGTCCCTAACAATGTCCCTCACTTCAGCCTGGTGGAGTCCTTTGTATTCTCCAAACCCATCTTGAGCTCTGCCACCTCAGTAGTCTTGCCCAGGCTGTGCCTTCTTCCTGGTATGCCTTCCTCCCATCTTGTTTTTGTTTTTTCGAGATGGAGTCTCTGTTACCCAGGCTGGACTGCAGGGGGTGATCTCGGCTCACTGCAGCCTCCGCCTCCAGGTTCAAGCGATTCTTGTGCTTCAGTCTCCCGAGTAGCTGGGACCACAGGTACCCGCCAACACGCCGGGCTAATTTTTGTATTTTTAATAGAGACGAGGTTCCACCATATTGGCCAGGCTGGTCTCGAACTCCGGGCCTCATGTGATCGGCCCACCTTGGCCTCCCAAAGTGCTGGGATTACAGGCGTGAGCCACTGTGCCCTGCCCTGTCTTTGGTTTTTGACTTGAGGCCTAACTCTCAGAACTTTGCTCAAATGATGCCTGAGGGTGCTACAGCAAAAAGAGAACTGGAATAAGAATAAGGAGACCTTGGCTCTAGTCCCATTCCTGCCACCGACACTCTTTGAAACTCCTTGTACCTCAGTTTCCCCATCTGCAAAAAGGCCTGCCGATTGCCAGAGGTGGTCTGACTTCATGTGGAAGGCCAGTGAGTGTTGGGGACAAGTGAGCTTTGGCTGCAGGAAGAATCCCAGCTCCCCACTGCATCTCCCTGAGCCAGGTTCATCACTTCTTTGAAGCTCATTCACGAGGCATCGTGAATGAGTCAGGAGCTTTCTAGGCTTGGGGATAGAGCAGGGAACCAAATAACAACCCTGCTCTCATGGAGCTCACAGTCTCCAAGGGCAGAAGTTCTCCCCTGGGGGTGATGCTGCTTCCAGGGAACATGACATTTGGCAATGTCTGGAGACATTTTGGATGGTCCAACTGGAGGGATGCCACTGGCATCTACATAGGAGCCAGGAACACTGCTAAACACCTTGCAATGCACCACGCAGTCCCTACAACAAGTAATTACCGAGGCCTGAATACCAGTAACTCCAAGGTTGAGAAACACTGGCTAGGGGAGATTTGGGCCATAAGCAATAAGCAAATCCACAAGTAAATTTCTTTTTCTTTCTTCCTTCCTTCCTTCCTTCCTTCCTCTCTCTCTTTCCTTTCCTTCCTTCCTTCCTTCCTCCCTCCCTCCCTTCTTCCTTTCCCTTCCTTTCCCTCCCATCCCCACCCCTCCCTTCCTCTCCTTTCCTTCTTCCTTCCCCTTCTTTCTTCTCCTTTCCTTCCTTCCTTCTCTCTTTCTCTCTTTCTTTTTAAAAAATTTTTTTTATTATTATTATACTTTAAGTTTTAAGATACACATGCACAACGTGCAGGTTTGTTACATATGTATACATTTGCCATGTTGGTGTGCTGCACCCATTAACTTGTCATTTAGCATTAGGTATATCTCCTAATGCTATCCCTCCCCCATCCCCCACCCTACAACAGTCACCGGTGTGTGATGTTCCCCTTCCTGTGTCCACGTGTTCTCATTGTTCAATTCTCACCTATGAGTGAGAACATGCGGTGTTTGGTTTTTTTTGTCCTTGCGATAGTTTGCTGAGAATGATGGCTTCCAGCTTCATCTATGTCCCTACAAAGGACATGAACTCATCATTTTTTATGGCTGCGTAGTATTCCATGGTGTATATGTGCCACATTTTCTTAATACAGTCTATCATTGTTGGACATTTGGGTTGGTTCCAAGCCTTTGCTATTGTGAATAGTGCCGCAATAAACATACGTGTGCATGTGTCTTTATAGCAGCATGATTTATAATCCTTTGGGTATATATCCAGTAATGGGATGGCTGGGCCAAATGGTATTTCTAGTTCTAGATCCCTGAGGAATCACCACACTGACTTCCACAATGGTTGAACTAGTTTACAGTCCCACCAACAGTGTAAAAGTGTTCTTACTTCTCCACATCCTCTCCAGCACCTGTTGTTTCTTGACTTTTTAATGATCGCCATTCTAACTGGTGTGAGATGGTATCTCATTGTGGTTTTGATTTGCATTTCTCTGATGGCCAGTGATGATGAGCATTTTTTCATGTGTTTTTTTTGGCTGCATAATTGTCTTCTTTTGAGAACTGTCTGTTCATATCCTTCGCCCACTTTTTGATAGGGTTGTTTGCTTTTTCTTGTAAATTTGTTTGAGTTCATTGTAGATTCTGGATATTAGCCCTTTGTCAGATGAGTAGGTTGCAAAAACTTTCTCCCATTCTGTAGGTTGCCTGTTCACTTTGATGGTGGTTTCTTTTGCTGTACAGAAGCTCTTTAGTTTAATTAGATCCCATTTGTCAATTTTGGCTCTTGTTGCCATTGCTTTTGGTGTTTTAGACATCAAGTCCTTGCCCATGCCTATGTCCTGAATGGTATTGCCTAGGTTTTCTTCTAGAGTTTTTATGGTTTTAGGTCTAACATGTAAGTCTTTTCTCTTTCTTTCTTTCGTTCGTTCTCTCTTTCTGCCGAGACCAGCTCGGTCGGGGAGACCCTAACCCAGCGGTGCTAGAGGAATTAAAGACACACACACAGAAATATAGAGGTGTGAAGTGAGAAACCAGGGGTCTCACAGCCTTCAGAGCTGAGAGCCCCGAACAGAGATTTACCCACGTATTTATTAACAGCAAGCCAGTCATTAGCATTGTTTCTATAGATATTAAATTAACTAAAAGTATCCCTTATGGGAAACGAAGGGATGGGCTGAATTAAAGGAATAGGTTGGGCTAGTTAACTGCAGCAGGAGCATGTCCTTAAGGCACAGATCACTCATGCTATTGTTTGTGGCTTAAGAATGCCTTTAAGCGGTTTTCCGCCCTGGGCGGGGCCAGGTGTTCCTTGCTCTCATTCTGGTAAACCCACAGCCTTCCAGTGTGGGCGTTATGGCCATCATGAACATGTCACAGTGCTGCAGAGATTTTGTTTATGGCCAGTTTTGGGGCCAGTTTATGGCCAAATTTTGGGGGGCTTGTTCCCAACATCTTTCCTTCTTTTCTTTTTCTCTCCCGCTCGCCTCTCCCCTCCCCTCCCCTCCTCTCCTCTCCTCTTTTCTTTTCCACAGTCTTGCTCTGTCGCCCAGGCTGGAGTGTGCAGTGGCGCAATCTTGGCTCACTGCAACCTCCACCTCCCAGGTTCAAATGATTCTCCTGCCTCAGCCTCCCGAGTAGCTGGGATTACAGGTGCACCACCACGTCCAACTAATTTCACAAGTAAATATATTTAATGTCAGATAGTGATAAGTGCAGAGCGAGAAAATGCAGGAAGATCCAGTGGTCAAGGAGCCCCAGGGGGCGGTGTGGGGTGGGGTGAGATGGTCAAGGACTCTGGTACTTGAGCTGAGCCCTGGAGAAGGTAAAGAAGCAGAGCATTTTTATATTGGAGGAAGAGCATTCCAGGCAGCAGGAACAGCCAAGACCAAGGCTGTGAGGCAGAGTGTCTGGAGCATTTAAGGAACAGCAATGAGGCCAGAGTTTGGAGGCAGATGACATAGACCAGGAGGCCATGGCAAGGACTGTGGCCCTTCCTCTAAGCGAGATGGGGGGCTCAGAGGGTTCTGAATGGAGAAGTGATCAGATCTGACTTGGATTTTGAAAGGATCCCTCTGGCAGGATGGAGAGGGCAAGAGAGACACCACGGGAGAGGCTGTTGGGGAAATCTAGATTGGCGTTGCTAGCCACCTGGGCCGGGGGTGGGTGGCAAAGAAGGTGTCCAGGAGTGGTCAGATTCTGGATCTCTTTTGAAAGTGAAGCCAACAGGATTTGCTGAGAGACTGGATGTGGGCTGTGGGAGAAAGAGAGGAGTCAAGCATGACCTCAAGGTTTGGGGCCTGAGCCAACAGAAGGATGAACTCCTCCATCTTGACTTTTGTCTCCTGAGAAGGGGAGTCATTCTGTGTGCTTCACATGTATAGACCTTGTAAGAAGGAACTTCCAGGCATATGGCAAGAACTTCCTAAGCCCTGGTTCTCGAGGGGCTGGCTGGGTCTGCAGGGCCAGCCTAGGCACTGTAAGGTGGTTTGCAAAAACGCACCCTGGTCTCCACCCACCACATATGCTCAGAAGACAGGAACATTTGCTTCAGGCTCCACAGCTGACAAAGCACATTTGCAAACACTGAGCGCTGTGACGCAATATCTCAGCCCTGCTGAGCTAAAAATCCTGGACTCATTGCCCTCATGTTGCAACTGAGAAAAAAGGAGACCCAGAGAGGGCCAGTGACTCCCCTGCAGTCACAAAGTCGATCCATCTGTGGCAGAGGGGGAAGCTGCATCAGGGCAGTTTACTGAAGGGCGGAACCTCTCCCCCACCTCCCCACACTGTTTCTAACTTCTGCTAAGAGTGCAGCGGGTGTGCATGGGTTAATCCGCCAGCCAGCTCCCCAGAGGCCATCCTGGATGATGGGCTCAGTGCACATGCCTCCAGAGGCCTCCAGGAAGGGCGGGAAGAGGACCCTGGCCAGGCCGAAACAGCAGGCCCCGGGGGCAGGGAGGGCTCCACACACGTGATGCCTGTGTCACATATACACATATATGTCACTGTGTGCCCCATGCCCATACATGGCCTTGCATGGGTCCCCTCACAGCCTTCCACATCCTGCGTGCAGCCCAGCCCCCACCCAGCCCCCTAAACCACGCACCCTGCCTTCCTGACGCAGGAGCCCAGAGAGGCATTTCCTGTTTAGGGGCTGCCTCCTCCCCCTCTAAGCCCAGGTTCCCAGGGCCCCAGGCTGAGCTGGGGTGAGGGGAGGGCAGCCCCTGGCCCCCTCACTCCCCCAACACCCCCACACGCTGGCCCAGCTGGAACCAGAAAGCTTGAGTATAGGGGGAGAGGCTGACGCAGGGGCTCAGTAAATAAATGAGAGGCTGAGGATGCCTGTGCCTGGGTGACCAAGCTGTTTCCATTCAGGCCGAATCGGAGGTCTTCATATGTCAGGCCATGTAGAATGCCACACCATTTTTGTATGTGCACCTAGGGTCTCAGCATGTCAGAATGTGTGTACGTGTGGCAAGGGAGTCATCTGCAAGCCAGCATAGGTCCACGGTGAGGTGAAGGGACAAACAGCTTGGCAGAGAGTGCACTCTTGCATGGGGTTGGGGGTGGGGGAGGCGCATGCGCGCGTCTGTGGGGCAAGAAAGGAGTGGGCATGAGGGTGTTCCCGTGCATGGCGAGCAGCTGGGCTGAGACTGCTCCCGGGTGTGATGGGGCTGCTGTGTCCAGATTTGGGTCTCTGAGTCTCTGGGAAGCGACCTCACCCCACAGCCCCGAGCCCCAACTTGAGGGTCACAGAGCTCGGCAGGCAGGCTTTTCCCACCCCCTGACTCTCAGCCCCATGGGGCCTGGGGCAGCCGTCAACTGCGCCTTCTCCCCTCCTCCGCCCCCAACCTTAGAGCCCCCCACCCCACTGCTTCCTGCTCTAGCGGCCCCCGGGGAAGAGGGAGCAGGGAGCTGGCAGCCGCCCCAGCCCACTCCTTACAAGGCCTGAGCCCGGCCCCAGGCCCGCCCCCGGCCCGCCCGCAGGAGGCCCCAGGCCCTCCCCCTGTCAAGAGCTGCCGCCAGCCCGGGGCCGGACCAGTCCGGGGGCATCGCGATGCTGCTGCGCCTGTTGCTGGCCTGGGCGGCCGCAGGGCCCACACTGGGCCAGGACCCCTGGGCTGCTGAGCCCCGTGCCGCCTGCGGCCCCAGCAGCTGCTACGCTCTCTTCCCACGGCGCCGCACCTTCCTGGAGGCCTGGCGGGCCTGCCGCGAGCTGGGGGGCGACCTGGCCACTCCTCGGACCCCCGAGGAGGCCCAGCGTGTGGACAGCCTGGTGGGTGCGGGCCCAGCCAGCCGGCTGCTGTGGATCGGGCTGCAGCGGCAGGCCCGGCAATGCCAGCTGCAGCGCCCACTGCGCGGCTTCACGTGGACCACAGGGGACCAGGACACGGCTTTCACCAACTGGGCCCAGCCAGCCTCTGGAGGCCCCTGCCCGGCCCAGCGCTGTGTGGCCCTGGAGGCAAGTGGCGAGCACCGCTGGCTGGAGGGCTCGTGCACGCTGGCTGTCGACGGCTACCTGTGCCAGTTTGGCTTCGAGGGCGCCTGCCCGGCGCTGCAAGATGAGGCGGGCCAGGCCGGCCCAGCCGTGTATACCACGCCCTTCCACCTGGTCTCCACAGAGTTTGAGTGGCTGCCCTTCGGCTCTGTGGCCGCTGTGCAGTGCCAGGCTGGCAGGGGAGCCTCTCTGCTCTGCGTGAAGCAGCCTGAGGGAGGTGTGGGCTGGTCACGGGCTGGGCCCCTGTGCCTGGGGACTGGCTGCAGCCCTGACAACGGGGGCTGCGAACACGAATGTGTGGAGGAGGTGGATGGTCACGTGTCCTGCCGCTGCACTGAGGGCTTCCGGCTGGCAGCAGACGGGCGCAGTTGCGAGGACCCCTGTGCCCAGGCTCCGTGCGAGCAGCAGTGTGAGCCCGGTGGGCCACAAGGCTACAGCTGCCACTGTCGCCTGGGTTTCCGGCCAGCGGAGGATGATCCGCACCGCTGTGTGGACACAGATGAGTGCCAGATTGCCGGTGTGTGCCAGCAGATGTGTGTCAACTACGTTGGTGGCTTCGAGTGTTATTGTAGCGAGGGACATGAGCTGGAGGCTGATGGCATCAGCTGCAGCCCTGCAGGGGCCATGGGTGCCCAGGCTTCCCAGGACCTCGGAGATGAGTTGCTGGATGACGGGGAGGATGAGGAAGATGAAGACGAGGCCTGGAAGGCCTTCAACGGTGGCTGGACGGAGATGCCTGGGATCCTGTGGATGGAGCCTACGCAGCCGCCTGACTTTGCCCTGGCCTATAGACCGAGCTTCCCAGAGGACAGAGAGCCACAGATACCCTACCCGGAGCCCACCTGGCCACCCCCGCTCAGTGCCCCCAGGGTCCCCTACCACTCCTCAGTGCTCTCCGTCACCCGGCCTGTGGTGGTCTCTGCCACGCATCCCACACTGCCTTCTGCCCACCAGCCTCCTGTGATCCCTGCCACACACCCAGCTTTGTCCCGTGACCACCAGATCCCCGTGATCGCAGCCAACTATCCAGATCTGCCTTCTGCCTACCAACCCGGTATTCTCTCTGTCTCTCATTCAGCACAGCCTCCTGCCCACCAGCCCCCTATGATCTCAACCAAATATCCGGAGCTCTTCCCTGCCCACCAGTCCCCCATGTTTCCAGACACCCGGGTCGCTGGCACCCAGACCACCACTCATTTGCCTGGAATCCCACCTAACCATGCCCCTCTGGTCACCACCCTCGGTGCCCAGCTACCCCCTCAAGCCCCAGATGCCCTTGTCCTCAGAACCCAGGCCACCCAGCTTCCCATTATCCCAACTGCCCAGCCCTCTCTGACCACCACCTCCAGGTCCCCTGTGTCTCCTGCCCATCAAATCTCTGTGCCTGCTGCCACCCAGCCCGCAGCCCTCCCCACCCTCCTGCCCTCTCAGAGCCCCACTAACCAGACCTCACCCATCAGCCCTACACATCCCCATTCCAAAGCCCCCCAAATCCCAAGGGAAGATGGCCCCAGTCCCAAGTTGGCCCTGTGGCTGCCCTCACCAGCTCCCACAGCAGCCCCAACAGCCCTGGGGGAGGCTGGTCTTGCCGAGCACAGCCAGAGGGATGACCGGTGGCTGCTGGTGGCACTCCTGGTGCCAACGTGTGTCTTTTTGGTGGTCCTGCTTGCACTGGGCATCGTGTACTGCACCCGCTGTGGCCCCCATGCACCCAACAAGCGCATCACTGACTGCTATCGCTGGGTCATCCATGCTGGGAGCAAGAGCCCAACAGAACCCATGCCCCCCAGGGGCAGCCTCACAGGGGTGCAGACCTGCAGAACCAGCGTGTGATGGGGTGCAGACCCCCCTCATGGAGTATGGGGCGCTGGACACATGGCCGGGGCTGCACCAGGGACCCATGGGGGCTGCCCAGCTGGACAGATGGCTTCCTGCTCCCCAGGCCCAGCCAGGGTCCTCTCTCAACCACTAGACTTGGCTCTCAGGAACTCTGCTTCCTGGCCCAGCGCTCGTGACCAAGGATACACCAAAGCCCTTAAGACCTCAGGGGGCGGGTGCTGGGGTCTTCTCCAATAAATGGGGTGTCAACCTTACCCAAGGCTTCTGACCCCCACTGGTGCTTAAGGGAGGTTCTGGGAGGACTCAGCAAAAAGGAGGGGATCTTCCTTCAGTTTGTCTGAGTCCTCAAAGAGATAAGGTAAGATCCCTTTAAGGGAGGGTATGCCTCAGAGATTCTCAGGGAAGCAGGAGCCCAGAGAGGGCAGAGCCTTGCCCAAGGTCACACAGTTGAGCCCAGCAGTGGGAGGTTTGGCATGGGGAGAATTTCATATTTATTCCTTATTTTACCAAAGCTCCAAGAAGGTGGGGCTGAATCTGGGGGACGGTTGTGGAATTAGGGCATCTGCTGAACCGGACTGGGGTTTAGGGGTCAAAGTAGGCTCTGGGGCTGGTGATTCAGAGGAGTGAAGGAGGGGTCTAGTGGGTGAGTTGCTCCTTTCTTCAGACACTTCCCTTCCCATCCCTGTAAGCTTCGCGGAAGTTGGGGGCTGGGGCTCAGGGTAACTCAAGGGGACTGCCAACCCCTGGTTTGTGGGTGCTCTTGGAGGCATTCCTCCGCTTGCTCCGGGGAGGAGGCTGGGATGGGAAAGGCCGGGAACCTGGGAGAGATCCCATGCTAACTGCTTGGACAGCCGCAGGAGCAAGGCCTCCTTTTGCCAGGGCCGCACGTTGCTCTTGTCCATGTTGGCTGGGGGTGGTGGGGGACAGACAGAGCTCAGCAGACCTGAGCTTGAGCGAGGGCTCCGGCTGCTCAGGACTGAAGTGTCCCAGGAACTGGAGGGCCTGGTCAAAGATCACAGCCTGGTGGGAGTGACCTCCCTCATTTCGTGCTCACTGCCTTGGGGGGCGGGGGTGAGACCTGGGGAGGGGAGGCGCCAGTTCCCACCGCCTCTGTAATTTTTCAGTTACAGCCTCTTGGGGGCCTCTAATTAGGACGGGGCAGAGCCGCCACGACCACCCGGGCAGGCGAGGAGGAGTGGCCCAGCGCCCCCTTCGGGCCTGGACCTGAGCTGGAAGGCTGAGCTGGGCCCCAGGGAACCAGGAAAGGAGGGGCCGGAGCTGGGGATGAACCAGGGGGTCGCGGAGGGGGCGGAGGGAACGCTACGCACCGCCCCCGGTCCCCGCTCTCACGTTCCCCTAACTCAAACCAGACGTCCCCGCCAGATCCTGCACAGCTTTAACCTCGGAGACGCCGTCGGGCAGGTTTGCTGGATGCCAATGAGGGTTGCGAGGCGGCCCAGACGGCTGAGTCTGGGAAGGAGGTGAGGAAGCCTGGGGAGCGACAAGGCCTGCAGAGACGGGATGGTCTGGAGTCCCCTCCGTGACCTCGGGTAGGGATCTAGAGCGCCTCGAGGGCAGGAAACAGTTAAATACACTGCAGTCGGAGGCGGGGGATGGGAGTGGGGAAGGGGGCCCAGAGCCGGCTCTTTGTCATCTGGTAATGAGCACCAGATGCGGAGCTGCGTGCGGGCCTAAACAGACGGCCTCCCAGGGCAGAGCCCCGGCCTGCGCCCAGCCCGGGCTCAGCCCACTTACTCGCAGGCCCCGCCTCATTCGGGCGCGGCGGCGAACTGCATACTCCAGCGGTATCAGCCCGGACCTGGGAGCTACGAGCCACGCCTACTCGCTGCAGAACAGAAGAGAGCCCCCGGGAGCTCTCCAGAGGCCCCGCCCACAAAGCCACAAGCCCCGCCCCTGCCAACTCAAAGATTCCAGCAGCGATTGTGCCCGCCCCCTGCCCTCTTGGCCCCGCCCAGTCCCCCGCCCACAACCTACAAGCCCCACCTCCTCCGCTCGGCGCGCGCAGATTGGCGGAACTATTAGTCTCGGCTTCTAGGAGGTATGAACTTCGCCCCGAGTTTACACATTCTCTTCACGCGGCGCTACAGGCCCCGCCCAACACAACTGCAAGCTTCGCCTCACAGAGCCCTGGACACTGCAGGGAATCCCTCAGAGGTCTTAACTCTGTTGGGGGATGATGTAAACTCCGCCCTCCAGGGAAACGTGTGAAGTTCCCCTCAACCTCCTCTTCAGGCTCCGTCCCCAGCTACAAGCTCCGCCCCCTCTCAAGCTCACAAAAGTGGAAGAACTGCGCCCTCGTAGGACTGTCACACCTCACACATCGAGCGGAGGTAGCGGTTCACCTACACGGAGCCCCGCCCCCGGGGCCGCCCACGAAAGATGCAAGCCACGCCCCTGGGGGCCCTGGAGTCCCGCCCACCCAGAGCGCCCTGGCTGCGGCGTAGCGCACAAATACGGCTCTGCGAAGAGCGCTACCGAGCGAGCCTCTTATCGCACGCCCCGCCCACACTCAGGCTCACCCTCTTGGCGCAAGCACCGCCCACTCCACCCCTGGGTCCCTTACCACCTTCGCGATATGCCCAGATCCACCAGTCCTCCGAACCCCTCATCTCTCACCACGATGCCCTTGAACCTGGCCCTGGAGCCCTCTTCTTCCTCCACCTACGGTTTCCGTTTGTCCAGATTTCGGGTTCTCTGGGCGAGCCCGGAGACTGGGCCCGGACAGCCGGGCAGATGGCGTCGATGGGCCTTTGGCGCCACCTGGCCTCGGCCCCACGGACTTACAGCCACCGCGAGGCCTCGGTAGGGCCTCTCTCTCAAAGCGTACTAATTGCTCAGTAAATAGAAATAGCTGCTTAATTCGTTAAATGTTAGTGTTACTTAAATATCTGCCGACTCCCCCCACGGGACAGCCCATCCTTTCGCAGATGCCTTTCGTCGTATGTGGAAATTCGTCCCTAAGGGAGCTTCGCACTGGCCCTCGAGCCACCCTATGAGCTGAGCGCCCCTGACAATCTCTAAAGTGGCTGGCTGGTCGAACTCTTGCTGTCTCTCCCCGACAAATCCTTTCGCCTGGAGGGCGAAAGCATCGCCTCTCATCTGGCGGCCTAGAATTCCTAGGACCAGGTTTCCCCCGCCCCCACCTAGTGCTCCAAAGGCTAGACACCTTCCCTGGGGGCTGTGTTGCGAAGGGGTGGGTTTGGGCGGGGAAGCCCTCAATTAGGAGCTGAAGGTCGTAGTTTTTAGGGACAGTGTCTCAAGGGAGACCCTATCTCAGCTCTCATCTCTACCTCTGAAAATAACAGCCTGGAGGGCAGGAGACGCTGAAGTTCAGGGCTAGGAACCCAGTAAAATATTTTTCAAACATTAGTGGGACAGACAGGGAGCAACCCTTGAGGAGGAAGGGAGTTGACACCACTGAGCTCCAGTTGGGCCCTTTGCTTCCTGCCTTAGCTGCCAACCTTGCCCTTACCCACCTCCGGGCAAATCAGGCCTGGGGAGAGGGATACTTTCCAGACCAGGTTCCAATGCTCGTGCACTAGCCATTACAAATGTAAATAGGGTTTAGCGCTAAATACTGACGATAATAATAGTGAATGCTTGAAGCACTTCTGTTTTGTTTTTGTTTTTGTTTTTTGTTTTTGTTTTTGTTTTTTCGAGACGGAGTTTCTCTCTTGTTGCTCAGGCTGGAGTGCAATAGCGCCATCTCGGCTCACTGCAACCTCCGCCTCCCAGGTTCAAGCGATTCTCCTGCCGCAGCCTCCCAAGTAGCTGGGATTACAGGCACCCACAACCACGCCCGGCTAATTTTTGTATTTTTAATACAGACGGGGTTTCACTATGTTGGTCAGGCTGGTTTCGAACTCTTCGCCTCAGGTGATCCACCCACCTCAGCCTCCCGAAGTGCTGGGATTACAGGCATGAGCCACCATGCCCAGCCTTGAAGCACTTCTTACATGCCCGGTCCTTTTTTAAGGGCTTTACTTGGCTTAATCCATGTAAGATTCATAACAACCTCCAAGAAGTAAGTGCCGTTCTTACCACAATTTACAGAGTAGGAAGCTGAAGGCACTTGCCTAACTGCATTAAGCCATCTGCCCTAGTTGACCAACTAGTAAGTGGGGGTTTGAACCCAGGCAGATCCTGTGATCTTTACCCCCTACAGCAAAGCCAGTCCATATGTGATAGCCAAGTCTCTAATCAGAAAATGCCCACACCTGGCCAGACGCGGTGACTCACGCCTGTAATCCCAGCACTTCGGGAGGCTGAGGCGTGGGGAATGACTTAAGGTCAGGAGTTCGAGGCCAGCCTGGCCAACATGGCGAAACCATGTCTCTACTAAAAATACAAAAATTAGCCAGGCATGGTGAGGGTACCTGTAATCCCAGCTACTCAGGAGGCTGAGGCAGGAGAATCGCTTGAACCCAGAAGGTGGAGGTTGCAGTGAGCTGCACTCCAGCCTGGGTGACGAGTGAAACTCTGTTTAAAAAAAGAAAAGAAAAGAAAATGCCCACACCCTGGGAAACTCACTTTTAAGGGTGAGGCTGCAAGACGCAGACTCTCAGAGAGGCTGACGGCACTGAGATTGACCAGAGAGATTGAAGCCTTCTTCCCCCAAGGAGAGTTTGTCGTCTGTGGCTTTGGCAGGTGATGCTGGTAAATAAAGCATTTGCTGGGATCGTGGGATCTGGACCATGTGCCCAGGCGAGGTGCGGCCTTGGGGCATCTGTTGGCTCATGTGTTAGCCTGGTTTCAGTGAGTCCAGTGATTTTTCTGGGAGGCCAACTAGCACAGTGGTAAGAGCTAGCACTCTGCATCAGCCTTGTTTGCATGCCAGCTCCACTGCTTAATGGCTGGGGGAGCTCAGGGACATTCCTTTATTGCTCTATGTTTGCCTCCTCATTTGAAAAGCAGAGATACTATAGAGGAGGAAGGATTCTATATGAGGAAAACTAAGGTTTCCTGCTTGAAGCCTATGAGTATCTTCAGGATGGTGCAGGAAGCTGCTATCAAAGACACCATCTGCTTTAGCTGGCTCTGGGGATCCCTGAAGACAGAGTCCAGAAACTGATCACGGGGAGAGCTGAATCAGCAGAAACTGACGTCTGAAGCCCACCACATCCCTGAGGTAGAGGCTTCGAACACTCTCCTTCACTTGTCTTGGGTGTCTCAGTAATTTTTTCCTGACACCATTGGCCAAAAAATACCTAACAATTTCATTTCATAAATAGGTCCAACAACATAGTAATTTTTTCATGACACTATCGAACTGCTGTTAGGTATTTTTTGGCCTATGAATGTCATGAAAGAATTACTCCACAGTTCCATTTCATAATGCAGTGGCTCACGCCTGCAATTTGGGAGGCCGAGACGGGCAGATCACTTGAGCTCAGAAGTTCGAGACCAGTCCAGGCAACATGGCAAAGTCCTGTCTCTAAAAACAAACAAACAAAAAATACAAAAATACTAGCGGAGTGTGGTGGCATGTATCTGTGGTTCTAACTACTCAGGAGGCTGAGGTGGGAGGATCACATGAGCCCAGGAAGTGGAGGTTGTAGTGAGTCGAGATCATGCCTCTGCATTCCAGCCTGGGTAACAGAGAGAGAGAGAGAGAGACCCTGCTTTAAAAAAAAAAAAAAAAAGTTAGGTCCAAACAACATAAGAAATACTTGTTGGCGGCCTGGCGCGGTGGCTCACGCCTATAATCCCAGCACTTTGGGAGGCTGAGGCAGGCGGAACACGAGGTCAAGAGATCGAGACCATCCTGGCTAACACGGTGAAACCCCCTCTCTACTAAAAATACAAAAAATTATCCAGGCACGGTGGCACGCGCCTGTAGTCCCAGCTGCTTGGGAGGCTGAGGCGAGAGAATTTCTTGAACCCGGGAGGCGAAGTTGCAGTGAGACAAGATTGCGCCACTGCACTCCAGCCTGGGCGACAGAGTGAGACTCTCTCTCAAAAAAAAAAAGAAAAGAAAAAAAAAGAAATACTTGTTGGCCAGGCACAGTGGCACACACTTGTGATCTCAGAACTTTAGGAAGCTGAGACAGGAGGATCGCTTGATCCAGGAGTTTGAGGCCAGCCTAAGCAATACAGCAAGACTTCGTGTCTAAAAAATTAATTAATTAAATAAAAAAGTATTTGTACAGAAAAGAGGTACTTGTGTTTTGGCTTTTTTTTGAGATGAATTTTCACTCTTATCGCCCAGGCTGGAGTGTAATGGCATGATCTTGGCTCACTGCAAACTCCACCTCTGATCTCAGTACACTGCAACCTCCACCTCCTGGGTTCAAGCAATTCTCCTGCCTCAACCTCCCGAGTAGCTGGGATTACAGGCACCTGCCCCCATACCTGGCTAATTTTTGTATTTTAGTAGAGACGGGGGGTTTCGCCATGTTGGGCAGGCTGGTCTTGAACTCCTGACCTCAGGTGAACCTCCTGCCTTGGCCTCCCAAAGTGTTGGGATTACAGGCGTGAGCCACCGCGCTCAGCCACTTGTGTCTTAATACCAGCTAGATAAAAAGTGATGGGCAACTTTTATGTGGCAGTTTCTCTCACTAATAGGCAAATAATAAAGTGTAGATTTCATTTTCTGCCCTCCCAGGTGTTTTGCCCTCCCAGGTGTTTTTCCCTCCCAAGTGTTTTACTGCAGGACTTGCCCACAGAGCACCTAGGCTATTTTCCTGGTTCCTAAGAGGGTAACTTACACTCAGAGTTCCCATATTGCCTTCTGACCCAAGGGCTATTACAGGTAGAGGCCACTGGAGCCCCCTGCACACTAAGATAATAAACTGTGCATTCATTTATTCAATATTAATTGAGACCCTGCTATGCCTCAGAGACTCCACTAGGGATGAGGGATACTAAAGTAACTAGATAGGAGAACAGCAAGTATACTTATGATAAGACCACTTAGGGCACTGCCCAGGCAAGAAGAGACCTTAGGCAGAGGCAGAGTTGGAACAGGAGAAGACGGCAACATTGAGGGGTGGCCGGCAGGAAGATTTGAACAGGACCCAGTGACTGGCTGAATTGAAGGAGAAGAAAGGTCCTCTCCTGGGTAATGCCACGCACGGAGATGGAGACATAGGTGAAAAAGGTGCTTTGGGAAGATAGATGGTATGGTCAGCTTGGGCTATGTTGAGTTTGAGGTGTTGGGAAGTTATCTAAGTGGACTGCTTGGTAAGACACCTGGCTACCCGAATCTGGGGCTCAAAACCGAGGTCCAGGTTCAAGGTCAGATTTGAGTTTCCATTATACCCCACTGCTGGGAGAGTCCCAGAAACCACCAGCACCACCACCTTAAGCATGACGAGGAGTCCTAGCACTCCTACCCGTGGTTTCCCAGTTTGGCTTTGGAAAGCAACAGAGGGCACTCCTACTCCTGACTTCATGTATGTCCACATTGTTTGAGTTTCTACATGATTATGTTTTCATCTCAGAAGTTAATTATGGAGGTTTGAACTTGATCTTTTTAAAATTAGGCTGGGCGAGGTGGCTCACACCTATAATCCCAGCACTGCACTTTGGGAGGCTGAGGCAAGAGAATCGTTTGAGCGCAGGAATTTGAGACCAGCCTGGGTAACATAGTGAGACCCTGTCTCTTAAAATAAAACAAATGAAAAATGTGGTGGTGCATGCCTGTAGTCCCAGCTACTCAGGAGGCTGAGGAAGGAGGATCACTTGGGCCCGGGAGGTCAAGGCTGCAGTGAGCCGTGATCACAGCACTGAACTCCAGCCTGGGTGACAGAGTGAGATCCTGTCTCAAAAAACATTTTTTTTAAACTTAATTTAACTAAAGATAGGGGTTTCGGTATGCTGCCGGGACTGGTCTGGAAATCCTGGCCTCAAGCAATCCTCTGGCCTTGGCCTCCCCAGATGCTGGGATTATAGCCTTGTGCCACCATGCCCAACAGGAATTTGATCTTTATTAAAATAGTCTCTATACTTTTTGCAGTCTTTTTTTCTCTTTTCTTTTTTTTTTCTTTTTGAGACGGGCTCGCTCTGTTGCCCAGGCTGGAGTGCAGTGGCACGATCTCGGCTCACGGCAGCCTCTGCCTCCTGGGTTCCAGCAATTCTCCTGCCTCGGCCTCCCGGTAGCTGGGATTACAGGCACGTACCACGACCCCCGACTAATTTTTGTATTTTTAGTAGAGACAGTGTTTCACCATGTTGGCTAGACTGGTCTCAGACCCCTGACCTCAGGTGATCTGCCCACCTTGGCCTCCCAAAGTGCTAGGATTACAGGTGTGAGTCACCACGCCCGGCCCACTTTTGCAGTCTTTTATAGCACAATGTTATTGTCTTTTATAATGTATTGTGCTTTTTTCTTTTGAGACAGGGTCTCACTCTGTCACCCAGGTTGGAGTGTAGTGGTACAATCATGGCTCACTGCAGCCTCAACCTCCCAAACTCAGGCGATCCTCCCACCTCAGCCTCCCAAGTAGCTGGGACTACAGGCGTGTATTTTTTGTACAGACAAGGTTTTGCCCTGTTGGCCAGGCTGGTCTTGAGCTCCTGACCTCAAGTGATCTGCCTACCTTGGCCTCCCAAAGTGCTAGGATTATAGGCATGAGCCACTGCGCCCAGCCTGTATTGTGCTTTTATAACACATAAATTGAAACTATTCTACTGAAAAAAGTATTCGTATTTTGGTCCGTTTTATTTTATATGTTTTTTAAAAAGAGAAGAAAAATACATCTATGGCCAAGCGCAGTGGCTCATGCCTGTAATCCCAGCACTTTGGGAGGCCGAGGTGGGTGGCTCACAAGGTCAGGAGATCGAGACCATCCTGGCTAACACAGTGGAACTCCGTCTCTACCAAAAATACAAAAAAGTAGTGGGGCGTGGTGGCACACACCTGTAATCCCAGCTACTCGGGAGGCTGAGGCAGAAGAATCACTTGAACCCAGAAGACGGAGGCTGCAGTGAGCCGAGATTGCGGCACTGGATTCCAGCCTGGGTGACAGAGCGCGACTCCGTCTCAAAAAAAAAAAAGAAAAAAAGAAAAAAGAAAAATACATCTATCTTTTGGACTGTGACCATGGGTTACTGAGAACTAGCCAATTTCAGTCTCAGCTGATATTCTGGACAGAAATGCCTCCTTGGAGCAGATGTGGCACAGCTACATTTGATATGTAGTCATCAGTTTAACCAATCTGTCTGTCTTGGTCTCTGTTGAATCTGACTTCCAGGAGCTTTGACCTTTACCCAGAAGGGCAGCAGCGCACCTTCCCCATCCTCACTCAGGGTGTATCCAACTTTTGGCTGGATGCCTGATCCTCCTTGCCCTTTCCAGATACATCCCAGGCCATCTCAGCAGTGACTTCATACTCACGGGCTCTGAAGAACAGAAGGCAGCAGGTGTGATGTAAGAGGGAAGATGAAACTCACAAAAAATGAATGCACCTGGGCCTGCCACCTCGGGGAAGCTCTAGGGGTCTAGTGGTCTGGGGTCTGGATCCAAGGAGGAAACATAGAATGCCATGGTTTGCTGGATTAGGTAGTTGGCAAATGCTTCCCTGGGTGCCCTAAGTTCTCAAGCCCACTAACCAAAGATCAGAAAAGCTCCACTGCAAGTGTGGCCAAGCAATGAAAACTTTGGCTGGTCTGGGCCGTGGTCCACTTGGCCCTCAGGACCCAGCTAACCCCAGGAAGTTGGAAGTGTTGGTAGGAGATCGGGAATCATTCACTTAACACAGATTGACTAGACATCCATTATGTGTGCCAGGCACTGCGCTGGCTGCTGGTGAAGTGTGCGTATGTTGTAAGAGGGAGCGTCCACTTGTAATTTATAATAATGCAAATGATGATGATAGCAATCTTTATTGAGCACTTCCTATGCTTGAGACCCTGATTTAAGCACGGTCACATAGTATCTTTTAAGAAAATATTTATTGGCCGAGTGCAGTGGCTTCTGCCTGTAATCCTAGCATTTTGGGAGGCCGATGCAGGTGGATCGCCTGAGGTCAGGAGTTTGAGACCAGCCTGGCCAACATGGTGAAACCCCATCCCCACTAAAAATACAAAAATTAGCCAGGCATGGTGGCACATGCCTGTAGTCCCAGCTCCTTGGGAGGCTGAGGCAGGAGAATCGCTTGGACCCAGGAGGCAGAGGTTGTAGTGACCCAAGATCATGCCACTGCACTGCAGCCCGGGAGACAGAGCAAGACTCCGTCTCAAAAATAAATAAATAAATAAGAGAGCCTTAGATAAGGCCGTCTATAAGATTAGATGGGGAATAAATAAATATTTAAAAATATATATTTATTTATAGGCCGGGTGCAGTGGCTCACATCAGTCATCCCAGCACTTTGGGAGGCCAAGGCAGGTGGATCACTTGAGGTCAGGAGTTCAAGACCAGCCTGGCCAACATGGTGAAACTCTGTCTGTACTAAAAATACAAAAAATTGCTGGCCATCGTGGCTCATGCCTGTAATCCCAGTTACTTAGGAGGCTGAGGCAGGAGAATCTCTTGAACTTGGGAGGTGGAGGTTGCAGTGAGCCAAGATCTCACCATTGCACTCCAGCCTCTGTGACAGAGCGAGACTCTGCCTCAAAAAAAAAAAAAAAAATTTGACTGGGCACACAGTGGCTCACACCTGTAATCCCAGCACTTTGGGAGGCCGAGGTGGGAGGATTGCTTGAGATCAGGAGTTTGAGACCAGCCTGGGCAACATAGGGAGATCCCATCGCTACAAAATATAAACATATATAGCTGGGCATGGTGGCGTACACCTCTGGTCCCAGCTACTGCAGAGGCTGAGGCAGGAGGATCTTGTGAGCCCAGGAGTTTGAGACTAGCCTAGGCAACATGGCAAAACCCTGTCTATGAATTTAAAAAAAAGTATATATCTCTATCTATCTATCTATCTATCTATCTATCTATCTATCTATCATCTATCTATCTGTCTATCTATCTTTTTTGAAATGGAGTCTCATTCTGTCACTCAGGCTGGAGTGCAGTGGCGTGATCTTGGCTTACTGCAGTCTCCACCTCCCAGGTTCAAACAATTCTCCTGCCTCAGCCTCCCAAGTACCTGGGACTATAGGCACACACCGCCACACCTGGATAATTTTTGTATTTTTAGTAGAGATGGGGTTTCACCATGTTGGCCAGGATGGTCTCGATCTCCTGAACTCGTGATCCTCCCGCCTCAGCCTCCCAAACTGCTGGGATTACAGGTGTCAGCCACCGCGCCCGGCCTGAAGTAAATAGGTTCTATTGTCATCTCTCATTCTGCAGATGAGAAGACTGAAGAAGAGAGAGAATAAGTGACTTGCCCAGGGCTTCTCAGGTTGTAGTGGAGAGTTGGAATTATTCCAACCAACTCAAGGGTCTGGCCGTGTAACTATTCGCCTCCCATGGCCTTGATTCTTTTTTTTTTTTTTTTTTTTTTTTGAGACAGAGTCTTGCTCTGTCGCCCAGGCTGGAGTGCAGTGGCGCCATCTCGGCTCACTGCAAGCTCCGCCTCCCAGGTTCACACCATTCTCCTGCCTCAGCCTCCTAAGTAGCTGGGACAACAGACACCCGCCACCACGCCCCAGCTAATTTTTTGTATTTTTTTTTTTAGTAGAGACAGGGTATCACCGTGTTAGCCAGGATAGTCTCGATCTCCTGACCTCATGATCCGCCCGCCTCGGCCTCCCAAAGGCTAGGATTACAGGCGTGAGCCACCATGACCAGCCCCATGGCCTTAATTCTAATAGAAGAAACAGATAAAGAAACTCGTGCATAAATAAATGAAAATAATTGTAACTTATGGTGAGTGGCCGAAAGGAAATGCAAAGCGAGCTGAGAGTTGGTGGGAGAGAACTTTAGACAGAAACCAATGGGGACGTGATTTGATTTACATGAGGTCTCTGCATAGGCCGCAGGAGTAAGTGGGCGTGGGAGGCCTGTCGGAGTCATGGGGGAGGAATCCTGGGCACTTGGAGCAAGGTGGCTTGGGGTGGAGAGGAGGTGGGGTGTGTTGTGTTCTGAGTAGAATCTTGGGTGGTCGATATCACGCGTGGTGGGGCGGGTGAGGGGAGCTGACGAAATGCTACAGCTTCTAGGTCTTCTTCAAATAATCCAGTTGGAGCTCAAATAAGTGGGGCTGAGTGTGGATGGAGCCCAGAGTGGTTGCAGGTGGATGATCATCACAGCACTGGGTGCTGAGTAGAAGGGGCCTCACTGCACCAATCTTTCTGCTTTTGTGATGTTTGAAATTTTATTTTATTTTTTAGAAAAATTAGCCAGGTGTGGTCGTACACACCTGTAATCCTAGCTACTCGGGAGGCTGAGGCAGGAGAGTCACTTGAACCCAGGAGGCAGAGGTTGCAATGAGCCAAGACTGCACCATTGCACTCCAGCCTGGGTGACAGAGCGAGACTCTGTCTAAAAACAAAAAACAAAAAAAAAAAGAAAGAAAGATATTTTATTTTATTTTTGAGACTAGAGTCTTGCTGTGTCACCCAAGTTGGAGTGCAGTGGCACAATCACGGCTCACTGCAGCCTTGACCTCTTGACCTCCCAGCTCAAGCGATCCTCCCACCTCAGCCTTCTGAGTAGCTGGAACTACAGGTGAGCTCCAACACACCTGGCCAATTGTTAACTTTTTGGTAGAGATGGGCTCTCACTATCTTGCCCAGGCTGGTTTCAAACTCCCAAGCTCAAGTGATCCTCTCACCTCAGCCTCCCAAAGTGCTGGGATTACAAGCTGAAATTTTACATAATACAAAGTTTTAAAGAAAGAACAGGCCAGGCGTGGTGGCTCATGCCTGTAATCCCAGCACTTTGGGAGGCTGAGGCAGGCAGATCACCTGAGGTTAGGAGTTCAAGACCAGCCTGGCCGACATGCAGAAACCTCATCTCTACTAAAAATACAAAAATTAGATGGGCGTGGCAGCGGGTGCCTGTAATCCCAGCTACTCGGGAGGCTGAGGCTGGAGAATCGCTTGAACCCTGGAGGCGGAGGTTGCTGCAGTGAACGGAGATTGCGCCACAGCACTCCAGCCTGGGCAACAGAGCGAGGCTCGGTCTCAAAAAAAGAAGAGACAGCCGGGCGGGGTGGCTCACGCCTGTAATCTCAGCACTTTGAGGGGCTGAGGTGGGCGGATCACGAGGTCAGCAGTTTGAGACCAGCCTGACCAACATGGTGAAACCTCGTCTCTACTAAAAATACAAAAATTAGCCAGGCATGGTGGCATGTGCCTGTAATCTCAGCTACTCAGGAGGCTGAGGCAGGAGAATCACTTGAACCCGGGAGGCGGAGGTTGCAGTGAGCTGAGATCACGCCTCTGCACTCCAGCCCGGGTGACAGCGAGACTCCATCTCAAAAAAAAAAAAAAAAGAGGCGGCTGGGCGCGGTGGCTCATGCCTGTAATCCCAGCACTTTGGGAGGCCAAGGCGGGCAGATCACAAGGTCAGGAGATCGAGACTATCCTGGCTAACACTAACACAGTGAAACCCTGTCTCACTAAAAATACAAAAAATTAGCCGGGCATGGTGGCGGGCACCCATAGTCCCAGCTATTCGGGAGGCTGAGGCAGGAGAATGGCATGAACATGAACCCGGGAGGCGGAGCTTGCAGTGAGCTGAGATTGGCCACTGCACTCCAGCCTGGGCGACAGAGTGAGACTCCATCTCAAAAAAAAAAAAAAAAAAGAAGAGGCTTGCCGTGCTGGTGCCTGGCTTAGGCAACTGGCTGAATGGTAGCTCTATTTCCTGAGATGGAAGACAGAGAGGAGCAGATGGTGGTAGGGGTGGAAATTACAGGTTCTGTTCCTGCCATGCTGTGGGTAGCCTATGTCAGGAGAGAGCAGAGGCAGAGGCCGCTGGGGTTTGGGAGCCAGGCTTTGCACCCCTTCTCAGGCATGAATTCTTCTCTTGAGAACGGTTTAGAACAGAACACCTTGGCTTGATGTTGACTCCAAGAGAGTCTGAACACGTGGCCACCCCATCTCCCATCAGGAGATTGTGAGCTGAGAGCTGTCCATCAAACAATGGGGCTTCTGGGTCCCTCCTCTTCCTGGCTGTGCAGGCCCAGTGCCCTCCCTCATGAGGTGCAGGTGGGTTTAGAGCCTTGTGACAGTGATCATGTAACATGTAACAAATCACTCCAAAATGTAGTGGATTAAAACAAGGATTTATTTCCCCTCATTCTATAGGACAGCAGTCTGGGCTGGGATCAGCTTGGTAGTTCATCTGCTGGTCTCACCTTGGGTCACTCCTGAGGCTCCTGTCATCTGCGGCTCAAGTGGGGCTACAGTGTCTAAGATGGCCTCTGTCATCCCATATCTGGAGCTGATGCTGGCTCTTGGCTGGGGGCCTCAGTTCTCCACGCAGCCTCAAATCTGTCAGGAGGCTTGGCTGGACATCTTTACAGATGGTGGTCTCAGGATTGCAAGAGGGCAAAGGTGGAAGCTGCGAGAGTCCTTGAGGCCTAGCCTCAGAAGTGGGCCAACATCTCTTCCCTCACATCCAATCAGTCACAGCAAATCACAAGTCCAGCCCAGATTTAAAGGGCGAACAGATTCCACTTCTTTTCTTTTCTTTTTTTTTTTTTTTTTTGTGAGATGGAGCCTTGCTCTGTTGCCCAGCCTGGAGTGCAGTGGCGTGATCTCAGCTCACTGCAACCTCTGCCTCCTGGGTTCAAGTGATTCTCCTGTCTCAGCTTCCTAGGTAGCTGGGACTACAGGTGCACACCACCACGCCCAGCTAATTTTTGTATTTTTAGTAGAGTTGGGGTTTCACCATGCTGGCCAGGCTGGTCTTGAACTCCTGACCTCAAGTGATCCACCTGCCTTGGCCTCCCAAAGTGCTGGGATTACAGGCGTGAGCCACCGTGCCCGGCCTGATTCCACCTCTTGAGGAGAGGAGTGGCAAAGAATTTGTGGCCATATTTAATCTACCATAGGCCTGAAGGTCCCCATAAATGATCTGAGCAGCTCACTTTGCCCTGAGCAGGCCCATATCTGACATGCCACCACCTTCCTTCCTTAAACCAGCACTATAAAGAGCTTGGTGTTCATTTTGCAGATCACTTTACAGGTATCAATCAGTTAGGAATGGCAAATGGCATTTGGCTCAGCAGTTGATTGCATTTTTGAAGATGACCACTAATATATCTCCCATCCCGCATGCTTTTCTAACAATGTGACATTGACAAGCCTCCACAGAGAGATGAGATCCTATATTCCCTCCCCTTGAAACTGAGTGGACCTTCATAGTAGCCTTGACCGATGGAAAGGGGCAGAAGTGATGCCATGTGACTTAGGAGGCTAGATCACAAAGTGCAATACAGCTTTCACCCTCTCAGTATACTTGTTCTTGGAACCTAGCCACCATGTTATGAGGAAGGTCAAGCCGCTTGGAGAGGACCTGTGTGGGTGTTCCCACCAACAGCCCTAGTTAGGCTCTCAGCCCTCAGCCCTCAGCCAGCATCAACTGCCAGACATGTGAGTGAATGAGCATTCAGATGATTCAAGCCCCAGCTTTTGAGTCTTCCAGCAGAGGCCCTGGATGTCGTGGAGCATAGAAGCCATCCCCATTGTGTCCTATCTGAGTTCTTGACCCACAGAAGCCAGGAGAGAGCATAATAATTATTGCTCTTTTAAGCCACTAGGGTTAGGATAATTTGTTATGTGGCAGTAGATAATTGGTAAAAGCTGCTGGTAACAGAGACAAAAAAAAAAAGCAATGGGCTTAAGCAGACTTACAGTTTATTTCTCTTTCTCATTGAAGTCTGGAGGTAGGCGACCCAAGGGATGACATGGAAACTTGCATGGTGTCATCAGAAGCCCAGGATCTTTTCCCTTGTTGCTCTGCTGTCTTCAGCATGTGGCTACAATTTTCTTTTTCTTTTCTTTTTTTGAGACGGAGTCTTGCTCTGTCGCCCAGGCTGGAGTGCAGTGGCGCAGTCTCGGCTCACTGCAAGCTCCGCCTCCCGGGTTCATGCCATTCTCCTGCCTCAGCCTCCCAAGTAGCTGGGACTACAGGCGCCTGCCACCTCGCCTGGCTAATTTTTTGTATTTTTAGTAGAGACAGGGTTTCACCGTGTTAGCCAGGATGGTCTCGATCTCCTGACCTCGAGATCCGCCCGCCTTGGCCTCCCAAAGTGCTGGGATTACAGACATGAGCCACCGCGCCCAGCCTGTGGCTACAATTTTCAAGGTCATTTCCTGCTCCAAGATGGCTGCTGGCGTTCCAGCTATCACATATGCATCCAAGGCTGAATGCAGGCTGAAGCAGAGAGGACAAAAATGGCCTTCATCAATACTGCTTCTATTCAAGGGGCATTCTTGGAGATCCCTTCCAGCACCTTCTGTTTATATCTAATATCCTAGAATTCAGCCACACAGTCATACCATATATGCCAGGGAGGCTGGAAATGTTGCCCTTTAGCTGGGCACATTGCCTTCTGCAGCAAAACTGGGGTTCTGTTATTGGGGAAGGGAGGAGAATGGACAGTGAGTGGCCAGTGGGCAGTTGTTGGCTATGGTGTTAGAGCAGAATGGTGGAAAAAGGGTCTTTCCCATGGCAAGGAGCTGAAACCAGCATGCTGGCCTCCCTACCTGCTGGAGCCTTTTTTTTTTTTTTTTTTTTTGACAGTCTCAGGTGGAGTGCAGTGGCGCAATTTCAGCTCACTGCATCCTCTGCCTCTCGGGTTCAAGCGATTCTCCTGCCTCAGCCTCCTGAGTAGCTGTCACAGGTGCCCGCCACCACACCCAGCTAATTTTTGTATTTTTTGTAAAGACGGGGGTGGGGGGTGTCTCACCATGTTGGCCAGGCTGATCTCAAACTCCTGACCTCAAATGATCTGTCTGCCCCGGCCTCCGAAAGTGCTGGAATTACAGGCATGAGCCACTGTGCCTGGCCACCCCCTGCAGCCTTGTTGAATGTTTGGGCACCACAGGGTTTTCCACCTAATTTGCTTCTGAACGAGGAACTGATTTCACACCCAAAGAAGAGAGGCTGTGGGTTAACGCACAGGGAGAACTCTGGTCTTTCACTCCACCCTCCCGACAGAGCCAGCAGGTCGCTGGACTTTTGCTAAATATCCTAAAATGCAGCCTTGACTGTATCACGTCCCTGCCCAACCCCCTTCCATGGTTCCAGATTGCCCAGTTTGCTCCAGTTTAAGGACAAATTCTAGGGTTTGGCATGGAAGCTGCAGCAAAGCCTTCCATGGCTTCTTGCTTCTATCTCCTTGTCACACCTCAGCTCATGCCCGACAACCAGGCCTTTGTCTGGGCAGCATCGGCTGTCCAAGACATTGCTTGCCATGTCTTTGCTTAGTGAAATCCACCCATTCTCAGCACACTTCCCGGGCCACCACTAGCCCTTAAGCCACCTTTGCGTGAAAAGGAAAACGGTCCCCTTTCTCCAAGTGGATGTAGCTCCATGCCAGAGTTTGGGGAGTGGCCTGTAGGCTGGATTCCATGCACGCTTGCCCCTTAGCCCACTGCCCTTGCACAGTGAACACCCTTTACTGCTGCACATGTGACAATGCCACGTCCAGGAATCTTTCAGAGCTCCATCAGGGAGTCAGGACCTTCCTTTTCCCTGATGTTTTCTCTGCCTTTGGATTCCATGCCAGCCTGCCCTGGTTTGGGGCTGCCCTTTCCAGCTTTGTGTCTTCTGACCTGCTTCATGCCCTTTCCCTCAGATTGATAATGTCAGTAGCCGCTGGGGGGGCACCGAATTCGAGTCACAGACCATAGCTCTTTCTCCCCACTTTGGGGACCGGCCACCACTCCCTTAGCCCTCGGCATGCCCAGCAGCAGAGTGGAATGTCCCACTGAGCTGGAACAAGGGCCACCTTGACAATGCCTTAGCAGTGACCCAGGCCCAGATACCGGAGTCAGGGGAGCCAGGTGCTCAGAGCGCCTCACACTTGAGTCTCAGAGGCCCCAGGCTAGGCAGGGGAGGTTTCCTCTCCTCTGCTTACTTGGTTCCTGGGAACACTGGAGCCCAATTCTGAGTCCCTTCCCAGAACCCCTCATCGTGCCCTGAACCATGGGGGCCCATAATGCTTGCAGTGGAGGCCTTAGACCCATGACCCAGGAATGCACAGGCCTTCCATTCCATACCTTTATTTAATCTGCATCTTCTCAGCCTCCTCCCTTCCCCGCCACCCCTTAGAGGGCGTGGAAGCCCTCGTTGAAAGGGAAGGAACTCCTCTCTCCTCCCTGGGGGAGGGTCAGTGTCCCCTGGGCCAAGACTCGTTGATGGGAGAAGCAAGGGCCTGCGTGGTGGAGCAAGGACATCATCCAAGAGGCTGTGGCCAAGGCCCAGCCCCTCGGATGCCCTCTAGGCCTGGGCCCCATGGATCATCAGGAAAGTGAAGAGTAGATAAGTCCGGGAGGGCAAGGAACGGGCGTCCCTGCGTGTGTGTGGCTGATGGAGGCAGACATGGACTTTGGGAGGCAGGAGCAGAGGCCAGGGGATGTGGGGACCAGGTGAGGCCCTGAGAAGGAACCCCAGGTTGTAGGGGTAGCTGCATGTGGGGGGAGTGACTGGCCCTGAGCAGCGGGAGAGAGGGCAGGCAAGGAGGAGGGGCCTATCAGGGGAGGATGGGAATGTTGGGTGAGTAGCAGGGCCAAGGCCATGGTGCCACCACAGCCAGCTCTTCAGCCCCAGGGAAGCCAACCTGGCTGGGCATGGCCCCAAGCCTCCAATTTGTGCTTCTGCGTCACTGGGGGGGCTCCCAGCATGGCCTCAGCCCCGGTAGGGAAGTGTCCACAGGCAGCCTCTGCTGCAGGCAACAGCTGGCCGCAGGACTCCTCCTCCATCCCAGCCTTTCTGGAAGCTTCTTCTCCTGCCCTTTGTGAGAGGCCTTCAGGCCAGATCATCGGCCATCTTGGGGGATGAAGCCATGCTGGGGGCGATTCTTAGGCTTCCACTTCCTCCAAAATGACCACAGGTAACTGCATTTTAGTCTGTTTAAGGACCCCCACCCCCACCCTCACCCCTGCCCCTTGTGTGTGGCTGGTCTGTTTTCCCGCCTGTTTTGGACAACAATCACTCGGGCATCTAAGCCCATGGTGGAATGGTGGGGAGGGGGCCACTCTGGGGGCCGTGGGGGGTCTCAGAGAGCACCCTGCCCATCCCCCTGGCAGCCGCTGTCTCCGTGGACAATGAGCACCGGGAAGTAGAGGGCGTCCTCATAGCAGGGCGGGCTCTCCAGGGGTTCCGTGTCCTCTCCACGGCGCCCCAGCGGCCCCCCGCTCAGGCTGCGGAAGACCCCTGGCGTGGCCCGGCCGCCAGCGCCCAGCGAGAGGCGGCTGCGGCTGAAGGGCAGGCGGGGCCCGCTGGGCCGGGCGGGGGGCAGCGAGTTGCTGCTGACAGAGCGGCGGCAGCGCTGGCAGCCTCTGAGGTAGGCGCCCGAGCCCGCGCCCATGACCACGGCCTCCGAGTAGCTGGGCACCAGCTGCCGGTTGGAGCAGATGTGCCACTCGAGCTCAGTGAAGTCCACTGTGGCCACGCGGGACAGCGGGGGCCCGCTGGGCACGGCCCCCGGCGGGGGCGAGCTGGCGCCAAAGAGCTTCTCCACCTGGTAGTGCACGTGAGCCGTGCCATAGGCGGCCACGACGCGCAGGGGCCACGACAGCGTGGCCGCCGACACGAGCCAGAAGACCCAGGCGCGCGCGTACCAGGGCGGGCTGCGGGGGTCGGCGAAGACCATGAGCGACTCGCGGAAGTCTACGTCCTTCAGGTGCATGCCCTCGCGCGCCTCCAGATAGTCGTCCAGGCCCTCGTTGGCGCTGAAGAAGCGCGCCCGCTGCGTGAGGTACGAGGCCTCGGCCTCCGCGCTGCCGAAGCTGAAGCACTTGGTGAAGCGCAGCCGCGTGGCCGCGTGCTCCGCCAGCCCCACCAGCTCCTTGGAGACGTCGCGGACGCCGTGCGCCGAGTAGTCAAACTCGCCGCGGGCCGTGCGGCTGTCAGCGCGCTCATGGTACACCTGCGTGGTGGTGTAGGCGTCGCCGTTGCGGTAGCGCGTGATCTGGCGTGTGCGCCGCACGTAGTGATAGCTGGTGGCCTTCCACCAGACGCACGGCGGCGCCTGCTGCAGCCGGCGGATCAGCGCCAGCACCGTGTGGGCGTCGGTGCGTGGCGCCTGGCAGGACCGCACGTGACAGTGCCAGCACTCAGCCAGGTAGAGGAGGTAGAGGAGGGAGACGAAGGCCAGCGGGATGTACAGGTAGCCATCGGAGCAGGGGCTGGCCGGGTAGGTCGGTGGCGGGCCCCCGGCTCCCCGGGCCAAGGCGGCCTCGGGCCCCAGGACCAGCCGCGGCACTGTGGCCAGGCGACACCAGGCCACCACGGCCCCGCAGGCGTGGATGAGCAGCGTGAGGAGCAGGCACTTCCAGTGCGACTCGCGGCACAGGGAGCTTCCCAGGGACTGTTTCAGGGGCCGCTGCTGCAGGTGGGCAGAGAAAGGGAAGTCTGTGTCAGGTGGGGCCATCAGTGGGGCCTGCCACTTTGCTTAACCCGGCTGAGGAAGGTGATACCGTGAGCCCCATTTTACAGAGGAGGAAACTGAGGCTTAGAGGGATGAGCAGCTTGCTCCAGGCTTCACATTTCCAGCTCACTCACAGTGGCGCTGCATATTCAAACCCAGGACTCGCTGCCCCAAACCCATCCTCCACTGTGCCGTGCTAGCACTCGGCAAACCGCACACAGGAGACAGCAGGCCCACCTCAGCCAGGAGGGATGGATCCTTGCACTGGCTATTGTGGGTTCTGGTCCTGGCTCTGCCCTGATTTGCTGTGTGGACTTGGCTATATCTCTGCCCTCTCTGGGCCTTGATTCTTGGTCCTGTTGGTTTGGGAAGCCAGGGTGGAAGGGGTCTGAGGTGTAAACAGCATGGGCTTTGGAGTTCCACTGCCCAGGAGCCAGTGCTGGCTCCACTACTTACTGTATGACTTGGGCAGGTCCCTCATCCTCTCTGGACCTCAATTTCCTCATCTGTAAACTGGTTCTATTGTGAGGATTCAACAAGATCATATGTGTGAAGAAGTGAGCACAGGGTCTGGCCATGGGAATAAATATGATCACCATTACCCTGAGACTCCCTCTGGTCCCTTGTTCCATAGGGACTCAGAAGTCTCGGCAGAGGCTTTTGAGTTGATGAGAAAGAGGGAGCCTCAAGAACGGGGGAGGTGCGAGTCTTGGGGTGGGGAGCAGATGGAGGGCCATCCTCCACTCCCCATCTGTGCTGAGCAAGGGGGTGGGACACAGCTACTGGGCAGCAGGGGCCACTCCCTGGCTCAGAGGGCTTGCCACACCCTCCCTGGCAGGGCTGCCAGCCTAGCCACCTCACCCTCAGGTGCCATGGAGAGAGAAGCAGGTAGGGATAAAGTGGGGCGAGGGGAAGGGTAAAAAGGGGAGGAAAAAAGTGGAAACAACAAAAGGGGGGTTAAGGGGCCACCTCTCCTACCCCAGACCTACCAGGCCTCCAGAGGCCCAAGAGGAGAGGAACCACCCCCTAGCCCAGCCCAGATACAGCCTGTCCCCATCACCCAGCATGGGAGCACAGCGCCAGCTGACCTGCAAGGCCTGTCAGGTGCACACACACTTGTCCACGCCCCTCCAACACATGCTCATCACAGACCCACCCACCGTGGAGGGCCACACTGCCTGTCACCCAGGAAACTCCAGACCCTCGCCTGTCCCCAGGGCACAGACTCCCAGAACCGTAGCATGGTACACACACATACACACACACACGCACACACCACATACCCATCCACCACAGGACACACACGTGCACATACACGTTGCACGTGCAGTGAAGCCCAGAGACATACCAGACCTTCACCTGACCACAGTGCACATCTCCCCACCCCCCACTGCAAACTGACCCCCAGGCTCCTCAGACTCCACAGGGAGAGACCTGCCCACAAAGGGACTCACTCACATGCGCACACCTAGACCACTGGGTGACAACCCGAGCCAGGCACCCACTCGCCCCTCACCTGACTACAGGGCGCACACACCCAATTCACACACCCACACAACACACACACAGAAGCAGGCTACATTCACCCAAATGCATGCACAGCCCCACTCACCACCCTATCACCCCACACATCACTCGGGGCCCCAGGTCCTGCAGACCTTCCTGGCTAGGGCTGAGGAGGGGCCGTCGGGGGTCCCAGCCAGCAGAATGGGCCCTCAATCCTCACCTCGAGGACAAGGAGAAGGGGTACCCAGGCGCCTCCCTTCCTCTTCCCCTCCTCCCCTCTAGGCTCTGCGACTGCTGCTGCATTGCAGGCGCTGCCCGGACACCTCGTGAGCGGCTGGGCCGGGCTGGGGACCTGACCCCGCGGCCCTGGGGGTGGGGGCAGCATCCCCCGCTGCGCTGCGGCACTGGGACGCGTGGGGGCCAGGCACTGACGTCACAGGACGGGCGAGGCTGGATGAGGGGACGCCGGGGGCGGAAGTCGCCCCGCATATTGCTGTCCAGCCGCCCCACCCCTACCCCCAACGCGGGCCCCTGGACCCTTGGCAGGGCGCAGGTGACCCCAATGACGTCATTGGCCGTAGGGGCTCTGGGACTTCCCTCCTCAGCCCCTCTCTTGGGGTCGCCTTTTGCACTGGTCCCTCTCACGCCGCCCCAGGCCCGGCTCCGGCCCCCCCAGCGCCGGTACCTCTTCCCGCAGCGGCTCGCCGTCCGGGATGAGCGCGGGCACCTCCCCGCCGTCGCCAGCGCCGTCCTCGGGCATGGTGTCCTGGCTGCTTGGGCGGCCCCAGCCTGGGCACCGGGCATGATAGGGGGGAGCACGGAGGGCTGCGACGCGGCCCCCGGGGGCGTCCGCTCGGCTCAGCGGCCGCGGAGGGAGTGCGCGGAGCTCGAGCCCGAGCGCGGCGGCAGCGGCGGCGGCGGCGTTGGCGGCCCGGGTGCCAGGCGCCCCGCCCTCCGCTGACCCCGCCCCCGCGGCACCGGCGGCGCCGCCGGCAGCGCCTGGCACCGCGGGCGCTCCGCCCGTCCCCGAGAAGCCCCCGCTGGGCGGCTGGACCCCTGGGTTCTCCTCCGGCCGCGCTCGCGCTCGCGACCTTGAGCTGGTCTAACCCTCTGGCGCCTGAGCTTCCCGGGCTGTAAAACCCTCGAGGAAGGAGAATCTCCAAGGTGGGTGGGCGCTCGCGGGGTCCCATCTCTAAGGAGTAGGCCCAGAGTTAAGCCCACCCAGATCCCATCCCTGAAGCCTCACTTGGAGAAGAGGGTAGTTACAGCTGAGAAAAGCGTGACGAGTCTCACTGGCTGGGCAGGGGTGCTGGGCTCAGCTTAGGACAGGCAGGCTGGGGCCAGGACACAAGGGACCCTAGGCTGCGTGACCTTGGGCCAGCATGCTCCACTCTCAACCTCAGTTTTCCCATCTGAAAAATGGGGATAAAAGCTGGACTGAGTGGCTCATGCCTGTAATCCCAGCACTTTGGGAGACCGAGGTGGGAGGATCACTGGAGTCCAGGAATTCCAGCAGCCTTGGAAACATGGCGAAACCCTGCCTATACAAAAAATTAAAAAATGAGCTGGGCATGATGGTGTGGTGTGCACCTGTATTCCCAGCTACTTGGGAGGCTAAGACAGGAGGATCAATTGAGTCTGGGAGTAAGAGGCTGCAGTGAGCTGTGTTTGCACCACTGTTCTCCAGCTGCGTGATAAAGTGAGACCCTGCCTAGAAGGAGAAGAAGAATGAGAAGGAGAAGGAGAAGAAGAAGAAGACAGAAAGAAAGGGAGAAAAAGAAATAAAGAAAGAAAGAAGGAAAAGAAAAGACATAGAAAGGTTTTGGATTCAGTTTACAAGTATCCATTGTGCCCTGCAGTGACATGGGAACTGACTTGCATTAGATGACCCCCTCCCAGGTACACGTGGCCCCAGTGCTACCTCCTAGCCCTCCAGGGCCTCAGATCTTCACATCTGTGTCTGGGTCTGGCTTTGCTCCCAAACTAGACAATATGGGCAGAAAATGAGCTGCAATACTGGTGGGTTAATTCATTTTTGTATGTGCGTGTGTTCAGGCAAAGAGCAACTCAAAGACCATTCAATTAAACATCCTTACCCACTTAAAGATTAGGTAATTGAGATGTGGACACAGGAAAGGACTGGTCCAGGGTTTTATCTATTTATTATGAATTTCTTGGACACAGATGTTTATTGGGTGTCTTCCATATGCAAGTATTGTGCTTGGCACTGGGAAGACAAGGGTGGAAGTGGAGAATGACAACAGGGCCTGTCCTCATGGAACTTACATGCAGGGCAAATTGGGTGCACCCAGAGGGGGCCTAGAACCCAACCTATGACCTCCACCCCTGACCGGGTCAGGTCTCTGTCCCCTTTGTCCCTCTGAGAGGCACGAGATGAACTAACTCTTAAAGATAACTAGGCTTATGGACAAGTGGATATGAGGGGGAAGGGCATCCCAGGTGGAGGGGACCTCTGGGCAATGGCACTGCAATCAGACCACGTGGGCTGAGTTTGGGGAGCAGGAAGGTCATCTGGTGTAACTGGATACCTGGTAGCTAATTAGAGAGGTCGCAGAGAACCTGCTCATGCTCTCTAGAAAGCGGTGGCTGAAGGTCTGTGAGAGGGAGGCCCCTGAAGACTGTCTCCGCGGGGTTGGGAGTGATCAGAACCTGGGTGGAGAGAAAGGAACCCCCGGGACTACAAGTGAGGCTTAGGGGCCTCACTTCAAGAAGACCACAGGCCCGGCGATGACTCAGGAGTTTAGGCTGCAGCTTCAGGACGCAAATCAGCACACCTCTGCCCCCAAATCTGCTGGACTACGGGAGAGTCTATGGGACAGGCCCGGGGCAGGATCCTGCCCCACCTATACCACCCAATCTCTCAGACTTCGGATCCTCTGGGCCCCAGTTTTGCAGTATGCGTGTATGTGTGCGTGCGGCCACGCGCTCGCTAGGAGCGTGTGGTTCGAGACCCCAAATCTTCCCATACGCAGGCCCCCGGGAGTCTACAGGATGGCGGCTGAGGCGGGAGGACATTTTCAGCACCGGACGACGGACAGCACCCGCGCGGAGAAGAGGAGTGGGAGGCGGGTGGAGTCAGCATCCTGGGGCTTGCTTGGCAGCTCTGTCACTGATAGGTCCGGCCTCCCACCACCACCTCCGGGTCTGCCGGGGCTCCGTTCCAAGATTGGGTGAAGTGTAGGTGACGGGGGAGGAAAACAAGCCCAGAGAGGGAGAAACAGGCGCCCCGAAGGGCAGGGCTTGGTTGGAACTCGACCGCCCCGTTCCCTCCTGGAGTACGTCCCACCAAGGAAGCTTTGCTCCTGACTCCGGCTGCAGGTTACCTCTCGACTCCCTGGTGTAGTCGTGGCAGGGTGCGTCAAGTGCCTCACCGCGCAGGCGCGCAAATAATTCTCGCCCACCTTCTTTCTTAACTCTTCTATTGGCTGTTCCCACCGTGAACTGGCAAGCCCGTGATCCAATCCCAGGCACCGCAAGTCGCTCCGCCTGTCCCTCACCCGGATGTTGCCTTCTGCCGAATCCGCTCAGGCCAGAGCTCGTCAGTGGCCAATTGGGAGAGGGGAGGGGCGAGCCGGCGCCGCCGAAGAGCCAATGGCAGGCGCGGGGGATGACGCCACGGACATGGTGGCCGAGACCGGCGGGGTGGGGGACGTGTCGCGCGGCCGGGTGGCCTCGGTCGGTACCCTGGGCGCGGAGCAGCTGCCTCATTAGTATTCGTACCCACGAGGCGGCGCAGCGGGCCCTCGGGGACAGCGAGCGTCGCGGCCATGGCTTATCACTCGGGCTACGGAGCCCACGGTGCGTGGGGCGCGGGCGGGGCGCGGCGCGGCCGGCGGGGGGAGAGTCGGCGGCGTGGCCCGCTCACCCCGAGGGAGATAGCGACTGGGACCGCCGCCCAGGGCGGGGGTGTCACTCGGGTTCCTGCCCCTCGTAACACTCCAACACGTCCCGGACTTCGCCCTCTCGGCCCAGTCCTGGGAATCCCATGCCGGAGTCGGGCAAAAACGGGGTCCGCCTCCTCCTCCAGAAACTCCTTTGACTGTTGTGAACCTGATGAGGTCCCTGATCACTGTCCAGGGCCTCCAGGTAGCCAGCTGTCGCCTCTCCCAGCTTTGTTCACGGAAGGATGCCCTCCCAGTTATTTTCACCTAGCACACTTCTACTCACTGTGGCTCAGTTCAGAGGTCACTTCCAGTGAGAGGCCTTCAGAAACCCCAAGTGGGCAACCAGTTCTAGGCGCTGCCTCAGCTCTTTCTTTGCCTACATTTAGCAACGGATTTCTCGCAAAGGATCCCTCATCACAGTTTTTTCTCAGTTAGCTCCCCCTCACCCAGCTTGGGGTCCCCTCACTGATCGGTGCCTCCAGGACCCGTGCAGGGCTGTCCAGCCAGGGAAGGGGCGGTGGTTTGGGCTCATGCTTGGTATTTCTGTCATCTACTCTGATACCTCCAAACCCACAGGCTCCAAGCACAGGGCCCGGGCAGCCCCGGATCCCCCTCCCCTCTTCGATGACACAAGCGGTGGTTATTCCAGCCAGCCCGGGGGATACCCAGCCACAGGAGCAGACGTGGCCTTCAGTGTCAACCACTTGCTTGGGGACCCAATGGCCAATGTGGCTATGGCCTATGGCAGCTCCATCGCATCCCATGGGAAGGACATGGTGCACAAGGAGGTGTGGCCTGCCCCCGGGGCACGGGTGGCAGAATTTTTGGCTAGGGCTGGGGCATCATGGGATTCCACCCGATTCCTCACAGTGCCCTCAGGGATGGAGCACACAGAGGGGCACCCTGAGGCCTGGGGTGCGGCTTGCCCACAGCTTCCTCTCTCCCCTCCCAGCTGCACCGTTTTGTGTCTGTGAGCAAACTCAAGTATTTTTTTGCTGTGGACACAGCCTACGTGGCCAAGAAGCTAGGGCTGCTGGTCTTCCCCTACACACACCAGGTGAGCTTCCTACCAAGGGAGCTGGTGGGCCTTCCTCATTCTGCCCGAGTCTGGCCCCCAGACCTCAACCCCCTTCTCTCCTCTTTTCTCTTCTTCCCCTCCTGATGTGGCCGCTGCTGCCACTGCCACTGCCAGAACTGGGAAGTGCAGTACAGTCGTGATGCTCCTCTGCCCCCCCGGCAAGACCTCAACGCCCCTGACCTCTATATCCCCAGTGAGTCTCCAACCTGGGCTGGGGAACGTGGTGGGGTGGGGTCGGGGGGGACTTGTGCCTTGAGGGATGAATGGGAAGAGAGGCGCAGCTACTGAGTCAGCATCTGTTCTTGGTGCTTTGTGTATGTGTGGCAGTTGCAAGACACCAGGCAGGCAGTGCAGGGTGACCAGTAAGGAGCTTCCTGAATGCGCCTTCAGTGTCCCCAGGACACCCTTTTGAGACCTTCCTGTTTCTTGATTTGGACTGTATCCCTCCCCAGCCTGGAGCTCTGGGTTTAGACCTGGCTTTGCAGACTCCAGCTATGGGATTTCAGGCTGGTTATTTGTACTTTTCAGTAAAACAGGACTAATGTAGTCCCTACCCCAAAGGACTGTTGGAGAGATTCAGCAAGGTGATGTTTGCTCAGCACCTCACCTGGCACACAGGAAGGACGTAGGAAACATTAACTCTTATCATCGTTATTGCTTGTCCTCCAAGGCGTGCTCTGTTATCCCTTCTTCCAAGAAGCCTTTCCTGACCCCCTGAGCAAGTGGTGGCTCCCTTCTGGGTTCCCACAACTGCCTGTCCACATGGCATTTTTCAGGCTGCCCACACATACAGCTGACTCTTCTCTGTCCTGTTGGCTGCACAGGGCCAGGCCCATCGTGGACACCCAGGGTGAGTGAGTGTGCAGGGACCAGCCCGCAGATGAGCTTCCAGTGAGGGCAGCCAGTGGGACTGAGGGCAGGCAGCCAGCCTAGGTGTGCTGGGCAGCACAGGGGCTTCCATCCTTCATCCCGTGTGCCCATCGTAGCCACCGTGTAAGGCTGGAACTGGCATCCCCATTTTACATGTTGAAGCCAAGCCTCAGAGGAGCTTCAGTATCATTGAGGCCTCAAAGTTGACAGGTGGTACAGCTGATTTCCTGACTCCAGAACTCCAGACACTCCCCGCTGGTGGTCATGTCAGTGCTTTTTTTTTCTTCTTCTTTTGAGACAGGGTCTCACTCTGTCACCCAGTCTGGAGTACAGTGGTGTGATCTTGGCTCACTGCAGCCTCTGCCTCTCAGGCTCAGGTGGTGATCCTCCTGCCTCAGTCTCCTGAGCAGCTGGGACTGCAGGCTACAGGCGCCTGCCACCAGGCCCAGCTAATTTTTGTATTTTTAGTAGAGACAGGGTTTTGCCATGTTGCCCAGGCTGGTCTTGAACTCCTGGGCTCAAGTGAGCTGCCTGCCTCAGCCTCCCAAAGTGCTGGGATTACAGGCGTGAGCTACTGCGCCCAGCCAATTCTAGTGCTTTAAGCGGGGCAGAAGACAGAGTTAAAACTGCTGCTAATGCCCGGCTCCCACTGGCTCTGAGCTTTTATGAATACTGCCCAAAGTTAAACTTGGAGTTCCCTGCATTGTTGGGCAGCCAGAGCCCTAGCCAGTGCTGAGACTTAGAATTGCTGACTGCGGTGAGGTCATCTCCATGACCCCAGACTCAGGACAGCATGGGTGTCCACTGAACCTGGCTTCTGGTCTTGCCAGAAACCAGTTTGGTCCCTGTATAGGCGGAACAATGGCCTTGGCCCATGATACAGTTTCTGAGATGCAGCAGAACACTGATGAGCTTCCCAGCACAGGGACAGGAAAGGTGGCTTGTGGTTCTGGAAGAAGGGTCAGGTGGCATTTACACAGTGGGAGAGGGCTGATCGGAGACAGGCATTCCAGGCAGGGCATTTGGAAGCAGAATGTGGAGGTCAGGCCATGCTGGGCTATTCAGAGAAGGAAGTATGGGACATGTCGGTGAACCCGAATGCCTAGTAAGGCAGCTCTGATGGAGGAAGCCAAGCTGATGGCATCTCTCTGGCACTTGGCAGCGATGGCCTTCATTACTTACGTGCTCCTGGCTGGGATGGCACTGGGCATTCAGAAAAGGTCAGTGCCAAGCCCCTCCCTTACCCTCCCCTCCCTGTGAGCTCTTCTCCCAACCTCCCTAGGGCATATGTGGTGGTCCCCAGCTCACCCTCTGTTGCCCCAGTCTCTCTTCCTCACCCCTGCCTCAGGATGCCTGGCTCTGAGCCACCCCTGCTTTGGCGCAGGTTCTCCCCGGAGGTGCTGGGCCTGTGTGCAAGCACAGCGCTGGTGTGGGTGGTGATGGAGGTGCTGGCCCTGCTCCTGGGCCTCTACCTGGCCACCGTGCGCAGTGACCTGAGCACCTTTCACCTGCTGGCCTACAGTGGCTACAAATACGTGGGGTGAGCACTTGTGGGCCAGGGGGAGGTGGCCTTGGATCTGGGCCTGCATAGCTGTAGCCTCGAACTGTGACCCTGGACATGTCTCGGCCCCTAGTGACCTCTAGCACTGCTCTGTTAAGAGGGAGCAGCTGTCTCCAGCAGTCTCCTGAGGATCTGCGTGCCATGCAGAGGTTGGGGAGGTGTTGAGAGTCACTCTGCGAGTCTTGGGGAGAGAAGGGGGTCTCAGATCCAGGTCCTGGGGCTGAGTCCTGGGCCTTCCATATCCCTTTGGGGTCTGGGTCCCTGTGGGGACAGATTGAGAGTAAAAGGTGCTGTGGGAGGTGGGGTCTAGCTGGGCTCTGGGCGTTGGGGGTAGGGCCAATCTCAGGCCTAGACCCCTGGGGGTCACCAACCCTTTCCTCCTCCCACCCCCAGAATGATCCTCAGTGTGCTCACGGGGCTGCTGTTCGGCAGCGATGGCTACTACGTGGCGCTGGCCTGGACCTCATCGGCGCTCATGTACTTCATTGTGAGTCTGGTGCACCCCCCCATTCCCCTGCCTTCACTTGAGGGCAAACCTCCCCCTCCTGGCCAGGCTTCAGTTCTCCTTTCTTCCAGGTGCGCTCTTTGCGGACAGCAGCCCTGGGCCCCGACAGCATGGGGGGCCCCGTCCCCCGGCAGCGTCTCCAGCTCTACCTGACTCTGGGAGCTGCAGCCTTCCAGCCCCTCATCATATACTGGCTGACTTTCCACCTGGTCCGGTGACCCCCTGGCCCCAGATGGCACTGAGTTTTTCATTCATTGAAGATTTGATTTCCTTGACTTTGTCTGACCCTTGTTCCTGGGGCCTGATGGGGAGCTACAGATACCTCTGCGCCTCTGCATTGCCCAGGGGATCGGGCTTGGGGCCGTCTAGGAAGAAGGTGGACCCAGGGAGGGCTTCATGACTTTGGTGACCTTGATACTGCCTTGTAAGGGTTTCAGCAGCCTCAGCTGGGAAAGAGAAGATGGAAGGAGGCTGCTGAGGGGACCTGGAAGGCGTCTGATCCCTCTGGGGGGCTCCAGCAGGGTCTGTGGGCTAGTGGGGTGAGACAAGCCAGGCTGGGGATTCAGCTTAGGGCTGCCCCCTATACAGTCCCTGTAATCGGCCCCCATCTCCTCTTCAAGCTTTCCAGGAGCAGAACCGGGGCCCACATATTTGCAGTAGTTTATTCATATTTTGTCACAAATGGCCGGGGAGGGGGTGCCGGACTCCTCCAGGCGACATAGAAAATAGGTCCAAGAGACAAGGTGGGCTGAGGTTGGGGCAGATGGAGACAGGGCTGGAGAAAGAGCCTGGGGGAGAGGGGAGGGCAGACTAGGGGTGGGGCTGCCCCCCTGCTGAGCCTGCTCATTCCCGGTGCGGGTACCCCCCCACCTGCAGGGGGAGCCTCAGGGTGGGGGTGGAGGGGGATGGCCCAGAATTTCCAGGGTCAAGCTCTGCCCCTTGGCAGGGCCCAAGTTTCCCCCGAAATGGACAAGGCCGGAGGTCCTGCCCCTTCCAGGAATGACTGCCATGCCCACAGGCTGGCAGAGGAGCCCCTGCCCCTGTTTAGAGCTCTGCCCAGCCGCTCTAGTCCAAGGGGGAGGGCTCTGAAGGCGGGGTGGGGGGGGTTCCCCGCAGCAGCAGTTTGGGGGTTGGAGAGGCTGGGGGCACCAGTGCCCCCTCCCTCCCCAGGGCTGAGGCCTCTGCGGCCAAGGGGCAGGGCTGGGGGTGCACAGGCGTCCGGTCCGTTCTGGGCTCGCTCCCTGGCCGGCTTCCCCCTTAGAAACTCACCAACGTATAAACCATACTGTAGGAAGATGAGCCAGTGAGCCTAGCCCTGCACACACACAGCCACCCAGATGCCCACCTGGTCACACCCTGGGCTGCCCTCAGTCCTCAGGGGCAAAAGGCAGGAACTTGGGATTGGAAGCGTGATGCTGGGACATCCCTTCCCTGAGTTCTGACTGCTGTGGGCAAGGCCTCACCTGTACAGGTAATAGAAGAAGGAGAGCAGGTAGAAGGCAAGTTTGCACCAGGACTCCTTCTGGCAGTAGTTGAGAATGTCAGCATTCATGATGGAGACCGCATCATACATGACCTCAGAGCCATCTGCAGGACGGTGGAAGTACCTGGGGCAGACAGGGGCCTGAGTGTCTGCCATCAGGACTCCCACCCCCATCCTGCCCCTGTTCCCCATCTCAGCCTCCCCAAGGCAGCTGCTACCCTCACCTCCAGAGGTGGTAGAAGAGGAGGGGGATGTTGAGGCCCAGGGTCACCCACTCTGCTGCACACAGAAACATCAGACAGAAGAGGCCGTGGATGGAGTATTCTGGGACCACCAGCTGGGGGAGTGAGGGTGAGAGGTCAGCGGCCTGGTGCTATGACAGACCAGCCTTCAAGGGGACAGAGAGGAGCTGGGGTTTGGGAGGTGCCCACCCACCGTGACCTCTGGGGATTAAAAGGCCTCTGGCTTCCCACTCCCTCCCAAGTAGAGTGGATCAAACAGGCCCAAAGCAGGGGAAGGCCTGGTTCTGGGCCACAGACAGTGGGGGCAGCGCTGGGCTAGGAGCCTCCTGCCCCCAGCCCTGACACTGACCTTCCTCAGGAGGCAGCAGATGCGTTCGATGTTTTTTAAACGCTCGCGCTGTTGGGGGAAGGAAAAGGCCGCGATGGGGTGGCGGAGAAGCAGGTACTGGAGCAGCTCCCACCGCTCCACATGTGGCCGCCAGGGGGCGCCAGAGCGATCTCTGCGGCACTGTCGGCACGGCCGGGAAGCAGCCGCGCCGTCCCCATGGCGACCGTCACCATGGAAGGGCCTTCACCCGCGTCTCCATGGCAACGGCCCAGAGCCTGGCAACCACCGCCCCGCCAAGAGGAACTCAGCCCTGAGCCCGCGCCAGGTGTTTGCTGGGGGCGGAGACAGAGAGGAAGGGGGCATGGCCGTAGGCCCCCCACCCCACCCCCGTCTTCCCGTCTCCCACCCCCAGCCCACGACAGATGGAAAGACAGACGGACGGACACACCTCGGCACAGCACATGTATCACTTACTGCCCGCGCAGGGTTCCCCTGGTCGATGGGGTTCTTGAAGTCGGTCCGCAGCTCATCAAAGGCTATGATCTGGGGGAGGGGCGTGTGCCCGTCAGGGTTGGGGCAGCAGCTTATGGCCTTCCCCCAAGTCCTTCTGTGGGATAGTTTACTGAAGAGGACCAGCCAGGTGGAGCTTGTTGCAAAGGTGGAGAAACCGAGGTCCAGGGAGGAGCAGGGCCTGGTCCAAGGTCATTACAACAGTCCAGAAGGGAACCCTAGCGTCTGGATGCCCAGTTCAGGCCCATGTCCACTACACCCCCTTCCAAAACATCCCAAGACATGGCTTCGTGTCTGCCCTGCCAAGTCTCAGGCCCTGTGCTGAGCACTGGGGCTCCAGAGGCCTGGGATGCAGCCCCTGCCCAGGAGGAACCCAGGCCCAGAGGGATGATCACTCTGCCTTCCAGGTGATCAGGGTTTGGGGTACAGGGAGGACCTGGAGTGGGCGCTTAACCCTGTGTGGGGGGTGAGGGAGTTCAGGCTGGACTCGGAGTAGGTGTTGGTGAGCAAATGGGGGAAATGCAGTCCAAGCAGTAGAAGGTGCAATGGCAGAGGGGTGAAAGGTCAGGAGACATTCAGGAGGCTGCGGGTTTCATGGGGCTGGCGTGACAGCGCAGCGAGCAGGAAGAAAAGAGAGAGTGGTGGAAGAGGAGCTGGAGAATTCAGCAGAGCCAGACATGGGCGCCCTGTGAGGCCAGAGCAGGAGTTTGGACTTACTTTAACACAAAAATTTTGGGGGGAGGCATTGAAGAGTACACAGCAGCAGAGTGGGGTGGTCAGGTCCATGTCTTAGGATTGGTCCATGTCTCAGGATTGGTGGGGCAGGAAATCCGAGCTCACTGACAGTCACAGCTGAGATCTAAGTGGTGCTTCTCCTGGCCGGTATGTGGATTCACTCATTTAATTCTTAACAACCTTATGACTTAGGTACTAGTTTTATTTTCATGTCTGTTTTGCAGATGAGGAAGCTGAGGCAGGTTAAGTGACTTGTCCAGGGCCACACGGCTGGTTAGTGGATTCTAACCCAGTGTGACTCCAGAGTTAAAATTCCTAACCACTGTGTCATACTCAGGCCAGACCAGCAAGGGGACGGTTTGGAGGGTTAGGGGCAGGGCTGATGGTGGTCTGAGTGAGGAGAGTTGTAGTGGAGACGGAAGGCGTGCATGGGATTCTACAGCTCTTTAGGAGCCAGACTCCAGAGGGTTCAAATGGCTGAGAAGTGAAGGCAGAAATCTAAGGTGGCTTCAGGTGTTGGGGTGTCTGGCAGACGGCAGTGTCCTCACGGGTGGAAACTCTCCAGGGGAGCAAGTGTTTGAGGGGATGATGGGATGGGAAGGAGCTGACAGGTGACTTGGGGGAAATGGGCTGGCAGAGGAGCCTGCTGGGGTCCCCTCCTGTCGGCTCCAGCCCTAGGATGAGGCAGCAGGCCCACCACCCCCAGGCATCCCAGGCCCCAGACGGCTCAGAGAGAAAGAACATGGGCTTCCTGGAGGGAGCTGAGGCCATCTGGATCATCCCCCCTCCCCGCCCAGCTCCCCATTGACTCTGGGCAGCGCCACTTGGCACGCACAGCAACAGGGTCCACAGGGAGCAGAAGGGTGCCGTCTGTACCCCAGAGCTGGCACCACCAGCAGGCGGCGGGCGTCACCCCTCCCACCCCCCAGGCTGCCTGGCGCTGACTCAGCCCCCCGGAACAAACAATCCCCCATGGTGACAGCTGACACGCGTCACTCACCGCCAGGGTTGCCTAGGAACCACTGGGGCCTGGGCTGAGGGTCTGGAGTGGGATCTGGGGTCCCGCCCTGTTAAGAGTCTAGTTCTTAGCAGCTGTGGACTGAGGACCACGCCTCCTATCCCCTACCACCCAGCAGGCCGCACTAGGCACTCTGATGTGCACAGGTCCACTTTGCCGGCGAGGAACCAGACTTGGGACAAATGACTTGCTAAGATTGTCCAGCTAAATGGCTGAGTGGACAGAGTACCTCACACAGGTGCTCAATCAATATCTGTTGAATGAACAAAGACATTTCTTCAAAGCTTGGGCCTTTCCTCCCAGCCTGGGCACTCCACAAGGGCAAAGTCTGGGTTTTATTCATCCTTGACCCCCTCAAAGCCACCCAGAGCCTGATCTTTGGGAAGCATCAATGCAGGCGTGGTGGATAAACTGCTGAGGATCCCCTGAGGACAGGGACCCCACAGGGGCTGTGGGAAGGCCCTGGGTGGGGAAGGCCCCAAAAAGAGGCTTCTTGAATTCCAGGAGCCCTTCTCCCAGGAGCTGGTCAGCTCTGCATTCCCTAGCCTGTGGCCCCCAGCTCCCTCCAGTCCTTAGAACCCTAGCCCTCCTGCCCCTACCCCACAGAAAGAAAAATAGAGTAACTCGGGGTGCGGGGGAGAGGGGGAAAGACAAAGCAACCAAGACCCAGAGAGAGAGCAGAGCCAGGCCAAGGAGTGACAGGGCTGGAGCTGGGGTGTGTGCTGAGGTGCCTTTGGGGGCTCACTCTTCACACAGTAGGGGTTCAGTCTATGGATTCCCGATGTCAAAGAGCAAGGTGGCAGGGGATGGCAAAGGGAGCGCAGGGGGAACCATGGAGCAGGCGGCAGGTCCCAGGAAGAGAAAGGAGAGAGGAAGTGGAGAGCCCGGGAAAGAAGCAGGTGAGGCACCGGGAGGAAGGAGGGAAGGGCTATGGGAAATGGGATTGAGGGAGGGATAAGAGGACCCCTGAAAGGGAATGACAATCAGGGAGGTGTGCGCGGGAGGTGTGAGCAGAGGATGCTGAGCTGAGCCAGCCAGGGCCGAGCTGGGCAGGCTGTTACAGAAACAGGCACGGGGTTTGGGTGGGGGTGGGGACGGAGGGCAGTAAAGTGGGGCCAGGGGCCCCCAACAACCAGCTGGAGGCTGATTGATAGTTCTGTAGTGAGGGGACGGGAGCCAGGCAGAGGAGGCCCTGGAGGAGAGGAGCGGGAGGGGAGGAGGAGGGAGCCTGGGGGAAGCGATGGGTCGGATGCAGGATGAGGAATGGACATTTTGAAGAACCAGGTGTGAGGCTAGGCCAGGGCGAGGGACAGACCAAGGGGTATGTGAGAGACAAAGGGGAAGGGGGACAGGAAGAGGAGGGAAGCTGGAAAATGGAGAGGAAACCTGGGGGGCTGGGAAGCCCCCAACAGGAGGGGTAGGGAAACCCAAGGTGAGCCGGTGGTGGGGGCTAGGTCTCTGGGGGCTGATGAGAGCCAACTGCTGCTTGGTCAGGGAGGGGGCTGGGAAGGCAAAGGGTTAATGGACTCTGAGATCTGTGGGTCCTGTAAACAGATGCAGTTGCCATAGCAACCAGCTCCATCACTCTGGCTGGAAAAACCCACAAAGGCGGGGGGGGGGGGGCAGCAGACAGACAAACTGCCCGACGGACTAATGGAGGCGGCTGGATGGTGGTGGGGGGGGACATAGAAGATAAAGCAACAAAAATGCCAGAATTCCACCCCCCACCTCACGGGCTGCATGGGAGCAGAGGACGAGGGCAGAGGAGGGGGTCAGAGACCGACTGACATACACACAGACAGGCGGGGGCGGCGGAGGAAGGGGGGCCCCGGGAAGAAAGCCGACCACGGGGGGTGTTAATGGGGGCGAAGCCGACAAGCCGACGGCTGGGGGATAGCAAGTTTCCCCTGGGCTCTGAGACCACCCGCCCTGGGTCCCTCCAGCTCCGCGTGGCCCCTGCCCCCCACCCCGCCCCCAGCCCCAGCCCCAGCCCGGCCTTACGTGCCAGATGACAAAGAAGATGAGGGAGGCGCACAGCACCAGGGTGAGCATGTAGCAGAACGCGGCGAAGGTGAACGCCATGGCCCCCGCGCCGGGCGGCGGCCCGGGGGGCGCCAGCGCGGGGCCCGGGCGCAAGGGGACGCCCCCCGGCCCGCGCTTAGGGCCGGCCGGGCATGGCCCGTGGGGCTCGGGGGACGTGGGTGATGCGGCCGGGACCGGGACCGCGGGGCCGTGGGGGGCGCGGGGCGCGGGCCGGTGGGCTCGGGGGGCGCGTCCGCTGCCGGCTGCCCGGGCCCCGATCGCTCATCCTGCGATCCCTCGCCCGCGGCTCCCTCGCTCTCCAGCCCGCGAAGCCGGCGGGGCGGAGCCGGGGGCGGGGCCGCCGCGCGAGCGGCCTCGGGCGGGGCTGGGTCTCCGCGGGCCCCTCGTCTGCCCGCCCGGCTCGGGCGCCACCCCCAGCCCCGACAAGCCCGCGGCCGTTCACCCTCCGGACAGCGTAGACGCGGCCGCCCCCGGCACCCCGCACCCCTCGGCACTCCAGCCACCGGCACAGCCGCACTCGGCCCCCTCGGGCGGGCGCTCAGGGCAAAGGCTGAAGTGCGAGGCACTTGTCACTGTCGGAGACGGCAGAAGCACCTGGCTGGGACACACAATGACGCCAGGACAGGGGCTGAATGGGAGCAGTGGGGTTTTGGGGGGCGCTGAAGGAGGTTGGGCCAGGTGCAGTGGGGGCCCTCTCAGCGGCTGCGCGACCCCACACCTCTGCCGTGTGCCCCGCGGGAGTTGGCGGCGGCACGCCAGGTATGAGCTGATGGCCGCCTGCCTCTTTCCCTGACAGAACGGTGCTGGGCCCTTGGGGACAGACCACAGAAGCACAAGCAGCTTTCCTGGCCTCAGGAAACGGGGTCAAGGGCTTTTGCCAGCAGCCTTAGGACACAGAAACCAAGCCAGGACCCCCGTGCACCCCACCAAGCCCAGGGTTCCAGTTCCATCCCCCCACCCCAAGGCTGGGCTTAGACCACAGACCACACTTGGCCACCACAACTTCCTTGCAAAAACCCTCAGCTCACCCGAGGGCCAATGGAAATTTATTAATTTTTTTTGTCCTTTTCCATCTTTCCCCAAGTGGCTTTTCCTTGCAAAATGCCTGACATGACACCAGAGGGGAACCTGGGAGCGGGGGGCACCCCAAGGGGGCAGCCCAGGGACTTAAATACAAGCTGGAGGGCAGGGCACAGGTGGGACAGGCAAGAGACAGCACGAGGGACATGGCTTCTCAGGGAGACCAAAGACTTGCTTTCTTGCAGGAAGCAGCTGTGCCAGAGGGCAGGGGACTAGGATCCTGGGTGCAGAGTGGGTGAGCAGAGAGGCCCCCAATCCTGGATGGAACCCACATTCCCCAGAGAAGTAGCGGCAGGGGATGAGGGCCTTCCCTGGTGGGCTCCAGAGACGGAGTGGGGAGTGAGCCAGATGTGCTACCTTGGGGAAAGGGAGGAGGTGCTAGCAGAGTGAGGGTTAAGGCTGGTGCCCAGCCTCTGGCACGGTGGGCCTTCCGCCTCCGCCTGACATGGGGACAAAGGGGCACGGTGGGCAGGCAGCGCATGGGTCTGTCTCTGGCAGGGCAGAGGGCGGCAGGAGCAGACTCCCTCCAGGCTCAAGACACAGGCCCAGCACTGCTACCCGCCCACCCGCCCTAGATATACTCAGATCCCACCGCAGCTGGACGGCTCGAGCTGGGAGTGTAGGAAGGGAGAGGAGGCAGTGGGGAGAGGAAAGGGTGGGCTGCTGGGCCCCTGTGGCCTCCATGCCTGTCCTGAGGTCCAGCCCAGGGCCCTGGATCCCAGGTCCTGGATCCCCTGGCCACATTCCTCGCCCTGGGCACTGACTGCAGCCAGGGCAGTAGAGGCCGGGGAGACCCTCAGTTCTTGGGCAGGACAGCAGGAAGAAGAAGGAGAGAACCCAGTGCAGCATACATGGGGGTGGGAGGGACACCGACAGAAGAGCCCTCGTTCCAAAGAAAGGTGTGTAGGGGGGCATCTTGGAAAGTCACCTAGAGGCAACAGCACAGCAGGCCTCCGCCCTGCCTGGCCACAGGCCCTGAGTGTCCTCCCTTAGGGACCCTGACAGAACCGGGGCTCAGGGCAGCAGGCAGATGGGCCAGAAGGAGATGGGGAGCCCAGGACACCCCAAAGCCACAGACTCAAATGCCCCAGGAGAGGGAGAGGGAGGTACCTCCTGCCCCCTCCAGGGACATCATCTGGAGAAGGTGCCCCCTCCTGTCCCACTCCATGTGCCCCTCCTAGCAACAGCCACCGCCAGCCGGCTTTACAGGGGTGCTGTCGATCTTGAGATTGGGCCGCTCGCCCCCAGAGGCTGCTCCAGGCCCCATCCGCTTTTTGATTTCAGCAGCCATGGTCATGAACGCCTGCTCGACATTGGTGGCATTCTTGGCGCTCGTCTCCAAGAAGGGGATGCCCAGAGAGTCTGCAAACTCCTGACAAGGGAGAGGAGAGAAGAGGAGGGGAGAGAAGAGGAGGGGAGAGCAGGTGAGGGGCAGCAGGCCCCAGCGCCCCGACCCCGGGCAGACCGGCCCGTCTGCTACCTTGGCTGTGGTGTTGTCCACCACCTTCTTGGTGGTGAGGTCGCTCTTGTTGCCCACCAGGAGCTTATTGACGTTCTCGCTGGCATAGCGGTCAATCTCCTGCAGCCACTGCTTCACGTTGGCGTAGGATTCCTAAAGGGGGCCAGGGGCCAAAGTTATTTTGCTCCCAACTGTCACCCCTACCCCAGGCCTGGAGAAGACCTTCTCTGAGGGGAACAGTACAGCTCCGGGCCCCTTAAGTCCTGGGCTCAGCGATGCAGAGATGCAGAGGAAGCCCTCTGCTCCAGGCTGAACCTTCCTCCCTGCCCTCTTCCATCCGAGACCCAGAACAGCCCCAGCAGCCTGCCAGCTGCCCCAACACCTCAACAGCTGCCCCAACTTGGGCCTGCCAGCTCTGCTCCCTGCAGCTGTCTCTCTCCCTGAGACACTTGCAGGCCCTAACCACATGTGAGAAGCAAAGAGAGAGCGGACGGGAGATAGGAACAGAGAGTAACGGGTCCGCAAGAGCCACAGTTCCCACCGTGGCCTGAAAATCCCTTTAAGGTTTGAAGCCTTGGAGCACAGGAGTTCGAGGGTCCTCTCAGAGGTGGCCCTGGCCTGTGGGGAGACAGGAATCCTGGGAACAGCCTAAAATTCATCCTACTTTTGGCACCAACAGCCTCATTACTTGGCTTCAGACTCTCCCAGCACTTGCGCCCCTACCCCACACACAAAGGACAGGACTTTCAGGAAAGTGCTCAAGCTAGGGCCACTTATACTCCTTAGGAGCCAGAAGCCTGGTCATATCACACTGGCTCAAACTTAGACCTCTTGCCATGTTCCAAGTTGGGTCCTGTGCTAAGTGCTGGGGACAAAGGGGGAAATCATACTTGGGCCCTGCCCTAACACATTCACGGGACAGTAGATGAATAGACCAGGCCACACACAAGGGCAAAACAGGTTAGAAGGCAGGGGCTGGGGAGCCCCCAGACCACCTCTGCTTGAGGTGGGAGCAACAGTGGACCTAAGCCTGCAGGTGGGAACTGGCCTTGTGCAGGAGAGGTGCCAGCTGGGGAGCCAGCATGTGCCAGGTCACTGAACGGGAGGGGCATGGTGTGTCTGGGGAATGGGAGGAAATGGAATGTTGCTGGGATGCAGACACTCAACAGGGAGGGGGGACAGGGAGGGGGAATGGGGGAGTGGGGAGGAGAAAGGCAAGAGGGGAGAGGGGGAAGAGGGGAGGAAAGAGGGGGGATTGGGGAGAGGCCAGAGCACAGACTGTCTTAGCATGGCTAAGTCTTGGACTTAGACCAGGAGCCAGTGGGCGTTTCTTAGGCCAGAAGCAACAGGATCACACCTATGCTAGTCCTGACAGGAGGCAGAGCCCAGATCAGAATAGCAAGATAGAGACCAACTGGGAATGGCTGGAATAACTCAGGGAAGAGAACGTGCACTGAGCCAGGGAAGCACACAGGATTTAGTCAGACCACTGCTGCTGAAGGCCTGGCTCAGCCATTTACTGTGTGACCCCAGGTATGTTACCTGACCACTCTGAGCCTCAGTTTCCTCATTTCTATAAACAGTACCTCCTAGAAGGGCTGATTGTGAGCATGAAGAGAATGAACACAGGCTTGTCTCATAACAAGTGCTTAATTGGCAAGAGCTGCTATTATCCTCATCACTGCTATTATTATGAGGGGACAGATTTCAGAAAGATGATGGGGAGAGAATAGAGGGGACTCGAGACTGACTGGATGGGGGAGGGAAGAGTTTTCTGGTCAGGCTGACAAGGATTGTGTCACAAAGATGGGGATGCAGCTGGGGCATGGTGGTGTGTGTCTATAGTCCCAGTGACTTAGGAGACTGAAGCAGGAGGATCCCTTAAGCCCAGGAGGTTGAGGTTACAATGAGCTATGATCACACCACTGCACTGCAGTCTGGGTGACAGAGTGAGACCCCATGTCTTAAAATAAATAAAAATATTAAAAATGGGGATAGAGGCGCTGGTTTGGGGAGAGACAGTGAGGCCAGCGCTGGACATCTGAGTTCTGCAGAGGCTGCTTGAGGGTGGGAAAGGGTGTGCTCAAAAGCCAAGAGCCCTCCAAAACTGGCTTTGCCCTTCCCGTGAGACCGGTGGCAAGTTACTTAACACCTCTCCAAGCAAGTTTCCTCATCTAGAAAACACAAACCTCACCATTTAGTTTACTAGAGAAGATCATGAAGATCAGGATTAATACAGACACAAAGTGCCAGTGTAGACATGGACAGAGGAGGGAAGCCACAGCCACGGCTGTTAGATGCAGGAATCACAGAACACAAGGCAGAAGCAAACCACAGAGTGGCCGCAGCCATGCACAAGAGTAAGGAGGAGAGTCCAGGGCAGTGGGGAAGCACCAAACACAGGGTGATGGGAGGCAGCACTGGACAGACCAGCAAATAGACACTGACAATAGAGAATCGAGTGCTGCAGGAGACTGAGGAGCGGGGGATGGTCCACTTTTCAAGGAGAGAGAAGAGAGCAGTGTCCAAAGCCACGAGAGGTCAATGTGCTGAAATAAGATCACTGGATATATGGCAGTCAGGTGGGCCCTGGTAACTTGTCTGGGTGGTATGTAGCTTCCCCACAGCTCGTCCAGAGCTGGGGACATCATGAGTCCCTGGTGAGCTAAAGAGCCCGGCTGCTCCTCAGACAGGGACTCTTCCCGGCCCACGGCTGATTTAAGCTTCTCCTTATCTTCAGGGATTGGCCCTGTTAAGCAACAACATTTGGTAGAAAAAACAAAGCAGGTGGAATGAGCCATCCAGGCTTTCTGCCTCTGCCACCGGACTAGCTGAAGGACCCTCGGCAAGTCACCTCACCATCCTGAGCCCAGCTCCTTACCTGTGCGATGGGAACACAGACCTCTTCTGAGCATCAGAGGCAATCTGAGGGCTGGGCCAGGTTCTGTAAACTATAAGGTTTCATGGAACCATTTCCAGCCCTTGCTACCACCACTGCTAGTCACATGGGACTAACGCTGCTGCTGGAGGCAGAGCTTCTGGATCTCTGCTCACATTGGGCCCAGAGCTCAAGCTTCCCTGCTTCTTTGTCTAAGGCCCTCTAATTGTCCCCCTGCACTGTGTCTTCACACAGGAAGCCACAGGCCCAGCATAGCAGCCAACCGCCTGACTAAACTCCCACAACACAAAGGTGCCCAGAAGGTCTACAATAAGGTGGCAAGTTTGGCTTGGTGGGGAGGGAAGGTGTGAGGCCTTGTCCTGCCAGAACCTGCAGCAGGGCCTTCAGAGGATCCATTTCTGTGGCTGTTTCCCTCCTTGTGAAATGAGTCCAAGTACAGTCACCTATTTTTTTTCTTTTTCCTAGTTAGTTCCTGTAAGCAGACAAATAGTGTCCTTTCCAGGAAGCATCAGGAAAGAGAGGATGGAAGGAGGAAAAAGAAGAGTCAAAGACCTAAGGCTAAGGAGGCCAAGCTGAGGATGGCTAGTCCAGGAGTACCTGGTCAGTGACGTCATACACCACGATGATGCCATGAGCCCCCCGGTAGTAGCTGGAAGTGATGGTCCGGAACCGTTCCTGGCCCGCTGTGTCCCACTAGGAGACAGTAGGCAGAGGAGCAGGTCAGCTGAGGTCCAGAGTCCCAGAGTCCCTTCCCTCCCAAGGTGGATACCTCTGTACTGGGGATTTTGGGAAGAGCGACACTCACGATCTGAAGTTTGATAGTTTTGCCATCCAGCTCGATGGTTCGGATCTTGAAGTCCACCCCGATGGTGCTGATGTAGCTCTCTGTGTACGTGTCATCCTGAAAGTTCAGGGGCCAATGAAATCATGGGAGTTAATGAGGTGAGGCCCACTTGGAGAGCCTCCCTCCAGTTCCCTGCCCCAGCTGGGTCTCCGAACCACCAAGCCCCAATTCCCAGCACTCAGCTGGCCAGCCCTGTCTTGTTCAGGGCAGATGTGCTGGTGGCAGGTCTTACAGCTTCACCCCTGGTTCCCAGATCTTGCAACTACTGTGCTCTGTGTTGTCCCTTCTCCCCCCAGCTGCCAGTCAGGACCCCAGGTGGATGGTATGGGAGGCTTCTTACTCACAGCAAACCGCAGGAGCAGGCATGACTTGCCCACGCCTGAGTCGCCAATCAAAAGCAGCTTAAACAGGTAGTCACTGGAGAGAGAAGATGGGAAGGCGTGAAGGGAGGCAGGGAGCCCACCTACCATCATCCTGGAGTCACAATTACAGGATTCCCCCACCCCATGAGGCATCCCTTGGTTTATTTTTATTTTTTTTTTAGCAATAAGGTCTCACTCTGTCACCCAGGCTACAGTGCACTGAAGTGATCACGGCTCATTGCAGCCTCTACCTTGCGGGCTCAAAGTGATCTTCCCACCTCAGCTTCCTGCGTAGCTGGGACTTCAGGTGTCCACCACCACCACCACTTCTAGCTAATTTTTTTTTTTTTTTTTTTTTTTTTTGAGACTGAGTTTTGCTCTTGTTGCCCAGGCTGGAGTGCAATGGCGCGATCTTGGCTCACTGCAACCTCTGTCTGCCGGGTTCAAGCAATTCTCCTGCCTCGGCCTCCCGAGTAGCTGGGATTACAGGCACCTGCCACCATGCTTGTCTAAGTTTTGTATTTTTAGTAGAGACAGGGTTTCACCATGTTGGCCAGGCTGGTCTCGAACTCCTGACCTCAGGTGATCCACCTGCCTTGGCCTCCCAAAGTGCTGGGATTACAGGTGTGAGCCACCACACCCGGCCCCTGGCTAATCTTTTCATTTTTTGTAGAGATGGGGTCTCACTATGTTGCCCAGGCTGGTCTCAAACTCCCGGGTTCAATTGATTCACCTGCCTTGGCCTCTGAAAGTGCTGGGATTACAGGGGTGAGCCACTGCGCCTGGCCATCCCTTGGTTTAGAATACTATGGTGCTCACCAGATCTTCCCAACAGTCCCGGTCAGGGAGGGCTGATGCCTCCCTCCACAAACAGCTAGCCCAAAGGGCTCTCAGCTTGCTGAGTCTAAATTCTCACTTTATGGAGAAAGAAATCAAGACACGTGACCTGCCAAGGCAACAGAGCTGGGTATCCTAACCTGATTTCTGAAACTTCATGGTTTGGTCCAGTAGGAGCTATTTAGGGAATCCCCAGTACATGCCCTGCGTGTGCCTAGCTTGGCAGAGAAGGCCCCAGAAGTAGAAGCCAGGGCCCAGCCTAGAACCTATTAAGTTGAAAACCCACGTAGAGAGACTGATGGCTGGGTGCTGTGGCGTGTGCCTGTGGTTCCAGCTACTGGGGAGGCTGAAACAGGAGGAGGATCCTTGGAGCCTAGGAGTGTATGACCAGCCTGGGTGATGCAGCACAACCCCGTCTCTCTTTTCTTTTGTTTTTTCGAGACAGAGTCTCGCTCTCTCACCAGGCTGGAGTGCAGTGGCACGATCTCGGCTCACTGCAACGTCCGACTCCCTGGTTCAAGTGATTCTCCTGTCTCACCCTCCAGAGTGGCTGGGATTACAGGCATGCGCCACCATGACTAGCTAATTTTTGTATTTTTAGTAGAGACGGGATTTCACCATGTTGGCCAGGATGGTCTCGATCTCCTGACCTCGTGATCCACCCACCTCGGCCTCCCAAAGTCCTGGGATTACAGGCCTGAGCCACCGCACCCGGCTAACCCCATCTCTTTGGAGACAACAACAACAACAACAACAACAACAACAACAACAACAACAACAAAAACCTGTTATGAAGTCACCAGGAAGAGGTGGTCAAGTTGCAGTGAAAATTGCACTTAAGGCTGGGTGCAGTGACTGACACCTGTAATCCCAACACTTTGGAAGCCCGAGGCACGAGAATCATTTAAGCCCAGGAGTTTGAGATCAGGCTGGGAAACATATCGAGACCCTGTCTTTACAAAAAATTAAAAAATGTGCCAGGTGTGGTGGTGTGCCTCTGTATTCCCAGCTACTCAGGAGGACAAGGCAGGAGGACTGCTTCAGCCCAAGAGTTGGAGACTGCAGTGAGCCATCGTCACGCCACTGCACTCCAGCCTGGGTGACAGAGAGAGACCCTGTCTCAAAATAAAAAAAAAAAAAGGCAAAAGGTAATCACATTTAATATACTTGAGTTCCAACCTGTGGACGGACCCTGTGTGAAGTACTTTAAATGCATCATCTCATTTAATCTTCACAACAGTTCAATGAAGTCAGTTTTGTCATTGTCAACTAATGAGGAAACCAGAGGCCAGAGAAGGGAAGTGACTTGCCCTAACTTACACAGTTTATCGCTTTAAGACTCAAACCAGGTTTCTCAGACTCCAAAGTCCCTTCGAGAGCCTGCTGGTTCCCTTCTCTGTTCCCCTCCCAATCCAGCTCAGAGCTTCACCCTTCCCCAAGGAAATCTGAGACCTGGATGTGGAGTAGAAAAAGGAAGTGGCAGAAAAGGAAGAAGATAACTGATACTTGGGGAAAACTATTAGTCCTGGGCATGAGATGTGGGCCACCTACCCGCAGGGGGAGTGACCAAGAGTGAGGAGAGTTTGAGGACCAGAGAATCCCACAGGAAGGGGGAGAGCAAATTCCATATTCATCTAAACTTCACAGGCAGTGTGACAGCCAAGGGAAGGGGTGTGACGGTGGCGTTGGGGGCCTGAGCAAAAGCGAGGAGAGGGCGGGAAAGGACGGACCGGCGGGAGCGACAGGACAGCGCGACCCAGGCAAAGGGTAGGAGGCAGCCCCGGAAGAGAGGACCTGCGGGAGACGCGACCCAAGCGGCGCTTCGGGGCCTCCCGCGTAGTTGGCTAGCTTCTGGGCCGGCCCCAGGAGCCGGGCTTCAGGAGAAAGAGAAGGGTAGAGGGATTCACTGCCCGACCTAAAGGGCCCAAGCCTGAACCCGAGACCAGAAACTATCAAGACGGGCTCCAAAACTCCGGGACAGTTGTCAAGCAGCAGGTGGGGAAACTGAGGCCTGAAGTGACCGGGACTGCGGGGTCATCTGACCGATAAGGCCTGGTAGGACCGATGTCTCGAGCTCCAAGAGCTGCCCCTGGGGGTCGCCACGTCTGGGCCCCGGGTGCGAGGGCTCGGGGTTTTGAGCCGGGGTCCTGGGGCCCCTGGGGGGAGGGGCAGAACCCGGATGTGGGGGGGGGTCAGCGGAAGAGGGACCCGGATGTGGGGGCGCCGCACAGTCCTGACCCGGGCCAGACAACCCCGGTAAGCGTACAGCCCTGTATTCGGGATCGAGGCTGCGCTGGACGGCGCGGGCGGGGCTCACTCACTATTCGGGGTTCATGGCGGCGGCGGCGGCCCGCTCGGTCGCTCCCAGTCGACTCTGCTCCGCCTCCCGTTCCAAGATGGTGGCCGCTCCGCCCCAGAGGCCCCGCCCGCGACGCGCAGGCGCAAACGTCTTCTTCTCAGGCCTCGCCGCGCTGATTCCCGGAACTTGTAGTCTAAGACGTTCTCCAACTCAGCCCCGCTGCGCAGGCGTAGTCGGGGAGCCCGCGCCTCCGCGCCCACTCCCATCACTGCTGGCGCATTGCCTTCTGGGGCTTGTAGTTTGCACTCCGGACGCACTCAGGCTTGAGGACAGTGCTGGAAAGCCTGACCGCGACTCGGTGTTTAGAAAGCTCAATTTAGGGCTGGGCTTGGCACGTTTCACATCTGTCTGACGGAGGTAGTCATCCTTGCCCTCCCAATACCCACGTTGTGAACATTAAATGAGAATGTGGGTTCTAGTAAGACTAATAAAAGTACATTTGTCCAGGGTTCTTCGTGTACTGGGCAGTCCTAACTCGCAGCCGCGCGTCATCACCCGCATTTCATAGATGAAAAAACTGAGTCTCGGGAAACTCACTCAAGGTCAAAAACTTTGTGAGGAGCAGAGCTCATAAGAGCCCGCGGTCTCCAGAACCCCACAAGTGAGTGTTTTAGGGAAAGCCTGACTTGTGGGCCCCTCACGCAATTCCGGGGTGGGGCACAATATCTGGGCCCAGCTGCGCGGACAGCGGTTGAGCGAGACACACTGTCCCCCACTCACGCACGACCCTTCCCGGCTCCACCCCAGTCTAGAGACGCTGGGGGCCCCCGACCTCCGTCTCAAAACAAGCCCAGCTCAGATTTAAACCGTCTTTATTTCTACAGCAACATCTGAAAATATGAGAGCAGCCGCCTCACCCGCAACAGGGGGAGCCCCTCCTGCCACCAGGGGACCGTCGCCGCCCCTCGCGAGAAGCTGCAGGCGTGGGGGGAGGCGAGGCAGGATGGCTCGGTGGGCGGTGCCCGGGGCGGGGTCGGCCGTGCCTGGGCGGGGCCGGGTGGGAGGGGCAGTGCATAAGGCCGGGATGCGGGGCAGGGCCCGGCGGTGGGAGGACGGACTAAGGGGAGGTCCCCGTCCTGGGCCACGGGGCGATGGCGCGGGTAGGACGCATCCCTCAGAGGCCAGGAGGAGCGCGAGAAGGTCCCAGGACCCCCTTGGGAGGCGCCGCTCCCGAGAATGTAGAGCCTGGGAGATACCACCGCACGGAATGGGGGTGATTAAGGCCTGGGCGGTACCACTAGAAGAGGGACGAGGGGAGGCCCGGGTAGTACCGTGGACTGAAGGGAGGCGCGCGGCCAATAACTTATTTCTCTATATACAGAAGCAACGGCCGGGTTGAGTCGGGAGGGAGGGCGAGGGTGCCGAAGGGCCGGCGAGTGCTTAGTGTTCTTGGCTCTGGGGTCTGGGGAGGCCAGGCCACTGAGTCTATGGTGGAGACTCCAGCCGGCACCTCCTGCTGGCCCGAACCTAGGGAAGAGGGCCCTGCTGGAAGGAATAAATAAGGGATGGAGCTGGAGTGGGCAGGCCCAGCCTCCAGGGCTCAGGCTGAGATGACAAGGGAGAAGGTTACCCTGAGATTGAACAGAAAAGACAGGGGCTGTGGGAGAGACAGGCGGGACAAGCAGCAGGCCCATGCGCAGGGCTGGGGTGAGGGGGGTGTGCCAGGTGGGCGCTCTGGTGACTGGCTGCCCCTTCAGCATTAGCCCACCAGGGAGCTTCGTCGGGAGAGGTCCATGGAGCTGGAGCTGAGAGTGCGGCTGTCAGAGAGACCTGTGCCTCCAGGCTGTGGGCAGAGGGGGCAGGTGGCTCAGCCCTGTGCTGCTGCCAGTCTGTGCCTCCCTGGCCTGAAGGGGTCTGACCTGGCAGAGGCAGCCGGAATCCCTGAGCTGGGCAGAGGCAATGGCAGTTCTGACCCAAGGCCACACCCTGGTGCCCTGACACTCCCGTCCATCTCCACAGTGACGGTGTTAGCACTGGCCGTTTACACGTCCACCCCCAGGAGAGGCTGGGTTCCCCTCGTGTCTCCCCGTTGTCCAGCCCAAAGTAGGCCTGAGACAGAGCCAGGAACTGTTGCTGGATGAAGAGGCATGCTGGAGGGAAGCTTGGCAGCACGCATGCAGCCCCGGCCGCAGCTGCCCAGTGCCCAGACACCCGCCTGCCCCTACCTGGGTCGGCTCTTCCACGCTCTTGTTGAGGAAGTTGAGGGAACTGGCCCGCTTCATCCTGAGGGAAAAGGACAGCCTGGGATTTGCCCAAGGAGGAACTCACGGGAGATGGGGGCAGGGAGAAGGGTGGGGCTGGGGAGGGAACAGACTGGTGGGTGGTGGAGCCTGAGAGGGATGGGGAGGTTGCCTGGGGTCAGTGGGGCACACTCTGGGTCAGGAGCTCATCCGGGGTTGCTGGGTGGTTCTTGAGGCTCACCTTGGTGGGGGGCTCACCTGGGGTTAGGGGGCTCCTGGGGGGTGCCCCCCTGCAGCTTCTTTACCAGCATCTCACTGCTGCGCCTCAGGGCATCCCGGAGTTTCCCAAAGGAACCGCTGCGCCTCAAGGAGCCACTGCCATCCTGCAGGTGGACAGGCTTGCCTCTAGGCCCCGCTGGCCACCTAGGCTCCCAGCCCGACCCGGCCCAGGCCCCGGACTCACCCCATTCCACTCAGCTGTAGGTCCCACGTCCTCGAGGTCAGACTCAGACCGAGGCCCGGCACCCCCAGCCATGTCTCGGCTGCTGCGGCGGTCTCCCCGCCTGCCACTGCCATCTTTCAGCAGTTCTACCACCTTGGTCTGGCTTGCGGGGTCCAAACCCTGAGGGAGGGGCAGGGGCATCAGGCAGTGAATGGACCACACCCAGGGCCACACAGGTGTCTGCCCACCCCCTCCTGCATGGAGCCCCACCTGCTTGCGGTTACGGCTGGCACAGTCCTCTAGTGTGTGCGCGGCTTCCAGCTTGCCCTGGCGCCGGTATAGGGCCCCCAAGCTGCGCAGGGTGGTGTTGACTGTGGGGCTGTGGATGGGACAGTCTCAAACTCCATGTTCCCCCAGACCCAGGGCCCATCCTGGCACCCAGCCCACAGTGGGCCCTGAGGAAGCATGGACCTCCGGGGTAGCCAGAATCCATTCCTTCCCATGTCAAGCCCTGTGCTGGGCCCACCCAGCCTCTTCTGTCCTGGGGAAATCACCCCAGGGCTGGGGACCTGGCCCCAGGGCCCTCATGGGATGTTGTCACCAGGACCAAAAGCTGGGAGACCCAGAGCCAGAGAATTAGGCTGAGAATTGGGAGACAGAGCCTTCTTGGGACAGGTGACCTGTGAGTTGGGCCTTGCCAGATGAGCAGCAGAGGAGGGGTGTGTTGGGGGTGAGAGTATGGAATGTGGAGCCCGCCCTGCCGTGCCCTGCTCCCCAGCCCAGCCCCGCCCCACTCACCTGTCTACTTTACAGGCCTTGTACCAGCTGCCGTATTCCCCATAGGGGGCGCTGTCCCGGCGCTTATCCTGGAGGAAAGAATGGTCACAAGAAGTGAGAGCAGGCCCCCCTCTGCACATCCCAGCCTCCCCTGACAACCGCCCAGCCTGCCCCACAGAGCTACCTTGCTTTCCTCCCGCTCCTCTGCGTGCATCCAGATGGGCTTGTTGTCCCCTGGGGAGAGAAAGGGGACTGTCACCAGCCTACCATATAGGTCTCACCTGGTTGGGCTGGACACAGGACTGGGGTCAGGGGAGGGGAGACCACGGTTGGGCTTCGTTGAATGCATGAACAAGAGTAAGACCCAAAACACTGCTGACCCTCTTCTGGACAGAGATGAGCAGAACAGACCCTTGCACCTCAGGCCACAGCCCAAGACATGTGCTAGGCCTGAATGATGGGCCAGGCTCCGAGGGACTCAGGAGCAGATGACTGACCATCCGGGGCCAGAGGTGGTTTCCCAGAGTGGGAGACACTGGGGCAGGCCCTCAAGGTGAGCAAGAATCGCCAGTGGAGAAGGGGGATGCAAAGGCGTGTGAGGCCCTAGCAGGCCAAGGGGGCTGCGTGAGTTGGGTGTGTGCTCATGTGTGCAAACGTGAGCACAGGTGGCTGGGCACCATCTGAGGGTGAGGCTGGTGACCAGCCAGGCCAAAGCCTGAGGGCCTGCCCTGCTGAGGGATTTGTCCTGGGTGCTGATGGCAGAGTGGGCCTGGGATGGATGGGCTAGAGGCACCTGGTGACCACGCACTCACCATTGACAGAGCCAAACTCTTTCTCATGAGCGCGGGTGAGGATCTCCTTGTACAAGGTCTCCGCATCCTGGTACTTGCCCTGCTTCAGGTAGCAGGAAGCCTGGAAGCGGGAGACCCAGAGAGTGAGCGGGATGCATGCAGCCAAGCCTTTTTCTCTCCTTCTTCCCCAACCTCATCCCTGCCTCCCTCCTTCCCATCCTCCAGCTCCTCTCAGCCCCAAGGTACCAGGTTGTTCTTGGTCTTGGCCACATTGGGGTCATCGGGCCCGAGGCGTGTAGCATAGATCTCCAGTGCCCGCCGATAGTAATATTCCACCTCCTCAGCTTTGCCCTGGTTCTGGCACAGCAGGGCCAGGTTGCTGAGCTGCTTGGCCACATCTGGGTGAAACTTGCCCAGGACCTGGGATGGGAGAGGGAGCCAGGGGTTGGGCTCAGGGCTGCCCGGGCCCCTGCCTCCCAGACCCCCAGCCTGCCCAGCCCTGCCTGTTCCCACCTTCTCCCGGATCTCCAGTGCCCGCTTGCACAATGGCTCAGCCTCCTTGTACTTGCCCCTCTTGCCATACAGGACTGCCAGGTTGTTTAGTGTCGCAGCCACCTGGAGGTGGGAGAACGGAAGCTTCTTGACTCAGGCCCTGCAGGACTCTGGGACCTGCAGGGGATGGGGCACAGCCCCCACCTCCCACCCAACCCTCACTCACGGCTGGGTGGTCCTTGCCCAGTGTTTTCTCCCGGATGGCCAGAGCATCATTGAGCAGGTGGGCAGCCTCCTTGTACTTGTTCTGATCCCTGGGAGCAGGTAGGAGCATGGTCAGGGCTGTCCTCCAGCTCAAGGCCCTCCCCAATGGTCTGCAATCCCTGTGGTCACTCCTGTACTCACTGAGTGTGTATGACAGAGTGAGACCCAGAGTGTGGGGAGACCTGCTCAGCTCCTGCTCTCCAAGCTCCAAGGGCTGTAGGCAGTTTTCTCACAATTGGCTGGGGTGCGCAGTGCTGGGGTCCCACCGACTGCCTGGTGCCTAGCATTCCTGGGCGCCACATGGCTCTCCTGCTGCCCCTTTAGCGTGTCCTGCTCTCCAGGTCCCAGTGCCTTTGCTCATGCTGGCTTTTTGCCATGGGAACCTTTTCTAGCCCTCTTGTGTTTGGGCAAACTCACTTTCTGGCAAAGCCCCTCCTCCAGCCTTGGTGCCTGGAGAAGCTGTGTGGACTCCCCAGGACCCCTGGAGTCCTCATGTGCAGTCCCTCCCCAGTTCTGGCCAAGCCTCTCTCTTACACTAGACAGTTTTACTTGCATCTGTAGCCCAGCTCCACGCAGGTGGGCCACGAGTCCTGGCCCACAGCAGGCACCAAGGGTTAGTGATCCAGGGCTGGAGCCTTCCAGAAGAATTTGGGCACCCCCAGAGAGTCCTCACCGATAGACCAGTGCCAGGATGTTCAGCATGGTGGCAACGTCAGGGTGGTCGTGGCCTGACGTCTTCTCCAGGTCTTCGAGTGCCTGCTTGCAGAGTGGCACAGCTACCTCGTAGCGGCCCTGTGAGGCGTATTGGATCACCAGGTTGTGCAGGGTGCGGAGCCGGGCCGGGATCTCGTAGCCCCCATGCTGACCAGACACATCCCCTCCTCCTGGGCTAGGGGCTGCAGGGCCAAGGGCAGGAGGTCAGATGTACCATCTGCCCACTGGACTGGGATGGCACATGCCAGCTGTGCCTTTGAGCCACTTGACACATGGCCCTGGGCAAGTCACTAACCACTCTTTCTCAGTTTCCCCATTTATAGAATGGGTCTAGTTACCCCATAGAAAGAGGGGGTAGAGGCCCAGCTCCAGTACTTCAGGCTCTGTGTCCTGGGGCAAGCTGCCTAACCTCTGAGCCTGTGTCCCTGTGTACAGAGTGGAGGCCCCGATGCATAACCAGTACCATCAGCAAAGCAGGCACTGGCCCCATTGTGGCTGTCTGCATGTGCCTCCTTCAGAGGTGATTCGGAGAGGAAGAGAACTCTCCCAAGGGTCAGGGAAGCTAGTGGCAGAGCAGCACTGGAAGCCAGGCTGGTGACTCCACAGCTAATTGTGATGTCTGCTCACCACAGAGCTGGGGGGATGTGAGAAGCAGCAGCACGTACAACTGTTCTTGAAGCTCTAACACACTAGGATGTCATGATCAGAAGTGAGGCAGGAAGGAACATGGCAGCCACTCGGTCCCAAGGACCAAGAGTTCACACAACCTTTCCTTCCCCCACTCCAGAACTGCCCATCCGCACCTGGGCTCTGCTCATCCTCATTGGGGAACAGGTCATCCAGTGTGTCTTTGGGGACGTCCCCCTTCTCCTCCTGGGAAGGAAGACAGGATGAGCATCAGGGAAGGAGGCACAGGGCAGCCGGGGTGTCCATGGGCTGGGGTGGAGCCGAATCTGCTCCATGCTGCCCCTCCCTGCTCCCAGGCCTCCTTGCTGGGCAACAGTGACCATGGTAGGAGCTCACGTTAGGGGAGGCGTCTTCATCCAACTTGCGGATCTGGCTCATGAACAGCAAGTGCTGCTTCTCCTCCTCGAGCTGGGCCACGGCCTGCTCACTGCGCTGCAGCTTCTGCTGTGTCCCCGCCAGCTCCTCACGCAGCCACTGGTTCTCCTGCACCAGACGCCGCACCTGCGCCCGCAGCTTCTGCTTCTCTGATTCTACAGCCCCCAGGTGGCTCGACAATGCCAAGATCACCTGTGCAACCAGCCCAGGTAAGGGTCGGAGGCCTGTCGACCCCCTCGCCTATGACTGTAGCCTGGGCCTAGTTGGGCTCTGGCACCCAGTGAAGGGCCAGGCCTGGCCCTACAGTGAGGAGCTGCAGGTCTTTTCTCTGCTTGTCAAGGGAGAATCTCCTCAAGGCCCCCGACACACCATAATGCAAAGCCCAAACCCAGGAGGCTTGGGAGTCCCCAGTTCCTTCCTTCTAGGATCAGGAGAACCCCAAAAGGGCTAGTTGGGGTGCTGTGCTTTCCCTGAGCTACTAGCCCCTTCCTTCGTCTCTCCCTGGGTTGTACTCAAGCCTCTGCTGCCACAGCCAGTAGGTTACTGCTCCCTGCCTCAGGGCTAGCGCTTGCCCACAGAACTCTGCTAGATGGCTGAAGGACCACCCAAAGACTCCATCCCCACTTCTGCTGAGGGGCCACAGCATCCCCTGCCTTTCTGCAGCTCCCAGGTAGGGAAGGGGCATGTGTCCCAAATGCTCAGTTGGCATGAGGAGCCACAGGGGCAGGAAAAGTATCCAAAGGCCTTGGCCTCAACCCCCACCCCTCTCCCCAGCCTCTGCAACTCCTTTCCTTAGTTTCCAGTCTCTTCCTGCCTTCCTGCCTAGGGTCCAACCTCCCTTCTTGCTCTCTCTTTTTTTTTTTTTTTTTTAATTTAAGACAATGTCTCACTCTGTCACCTGGGCCGAAGGGCTATGGCACCGTCACAGCTCACTGCAGCCTCTACCTTCCAGGCTCAAGTGGTCCTTCCCCCTCAGCCTCCTGAGTAACTGGGACTACGGGTGCACACCACCACAGCTGGCTAATTTAAAAAATTTTTTGGCCAGGCACGGTGGCTCACGCCTGTAATCCTAGCACTTCAGGAGGCTGAGGCGGACAGATCACGAGGTCAGGATTTCAAGACCATCCTGGCCAACATGGTGAAACCCCATCTCTACCAAAAATACAAAAATTAGCTGGGTGTGGTGGCGCGTGCCTGTAGTCCCAGCTACTCAGGAGGCTGAGGCAGGAGAATCACTTGAACCTGAGAGGCAGAGGCTGCAGTGAGCTGAGATCGTGCCACTATACTCCAGCCTGGGCAACAGAGCAAGACTGTCTCAAAAAAAAAAAGAAAAATTATTTTTTGTAGATACAGGGTCTCATGAAGTCCGGGATTTAAGCAGTCTTCCCACCTGGGCCTCCCAAAGTGCTGGAATTACAGGCGTGAGCCACCACACCCGGCCTCCACCCTTTCCCAGTCCTTCCCGGTTCAGGATCATTTCTGCAGTTGTGTCTCCAGCTAGTCACACCTCCCACTTTGCTCCAGCTTCACACATGGCCTTGATGCCCATGCCCTCCGTGCAGATTGTTCCCCCTCTGTGAGAGTGCACGTGCTCCACCAGGTGTGCGGCCCCTGAGTGGTCCTCTCTACCTCTGACGGCCAACTGGCAGGGAGTGAATGTCCTTGCAGAGGGCCAGGCTGTCTGAGACCCTGTACTTTGTTGTTGGTTAGCAAATGCCTAAGTGACAGGTGTTTCCATAACCACTAGCTTTAAAAAAAAAAAAAAATTCCCCCAACAGCCTGGAAGTGTACACAGCAGATGGCATGATCCCTATTTTAAAGACAAGGAAACCAAAATGATACAACTTCCCCAGGGTTCACGTGCCAGGCAGGGGCTCAGCCAAGCTCTGAGGGGAATAAAACAAGTCTAACTCCTTGTACATCCCAATGGCTCCTGGACATCTCCAACTGCATATCATCCTGGCAGCCTCAATTAAAGGAGGCCAAAACAGAGTTCTGATCCACCAAGGCCCTCTCCTCCCTTAATTTGCTTAAATCACAAACTTGGGAGTGATGCTGCCTTCCTCTCTCTCTCCCTTATTCCACCCCCAGGTCTTGCTGGACCTACCTCCAGAACATCCAGAACTGGTCCCTTTTCTCCACCGTCATAGCCACCCCTTAATTCCAAGCACCAGCTCTCATTTGAATTCCAGCAGTGGCTTCCTAACCACTCATTGGAGAGTGATTCCATCCTCGACCCACTGAGGTTTATTCTCCACATCTCAGCCAGAGAGAGTTTTTAGAAACTCAAGTCAGACTGTGTTGCCTGCCTGCTTAAAGCCCTCCAGAGGCTTTCTGATTTCCTGAGAATAAAACCCAAACCAACCAGGCCATGATCTGGTTCTTGGCTTCTCCCCAGGCCTCTTCTGTCCCTGTCTCCCTTCCATGAAGCTCCAGTCACACAGTTCTTCCCTGAGTTCCTCCACCACAAGCTCTTTCCTACCCCAGGACCTTTGCACATGCAACTTCTCCCCTGCCTCCCTTTCCTGGAGGCTGGTTCATTTCTTCCCTCAGGTTTCAGTTTGTCATTTCCTCACAGAAGTCCTGCCTGACCAGTAGACAAGACTCGCTGCTGCGAGCTATCATAAAATCTTGTTCTTTTCTCTGCAGAACTCATCACAATTTGTAACAACCAATTATTTCTGTATGTGTGTTTTTGTCTCTAATAGGGCAGGAATCTTGTCTATTTTGTTGGGCCCTGTATCCACCTAACACCCTGGCTGGCCCTCAATAACTCATCTGTTAACGAGTGAATAGAAGAATTAATTGGTGGGAGGCTATGTTTCCTTAAGGATTTTCTTTCTGTTCTCATATGCCATCCAGTCTCCCTTAGGTAGAGGGGAGCCGGAAATGGGGCTCTGCGTGGGGGCAAGGGTGATCATGGTCTCTTAGGGCAGGGCTGGGGTCGCCAAAGTGCATTTATTTCTTCAAAAGGTATTTACTGGGGTCCTAACATGGGGCTCCAGGAAACAGACGGTTCCCTGCTCAGATTCTTCTCCTACATTACCGGATTCCTCTTGAAGGCTCGATCCCTCCAGTGACCTCCCACCTCAGTGCCCCAGACTGACCTACCTGGGCCTCCCCCAGCCCAAGCTCAATGGCTTCCAGGGAGCGACGCAGGAGGATGCAGCGCTCCTGCGAGCCAGGCTCGGCTTCGCCGGCCTCAGGTGCAACCAGAGGAGCCAGCAGGGCACGATGCTCCCCACGCAGAGTCTCCAGTCCCTGGATGACAGCCTTGGTGCCCAGCACGATCTCATCCTGGCTCAGCTTCTCCTCCCGCGGAAACACCATCATGGCCATGGCTGTGGCGTCTGTGAGGACGAGGGTGCGGGCAGGCGGGCGCCGGGCCTGGGGCCACACCGCCGTCCGCCCCGGATTAGGTAAACAGGCGGTCCCCGGACGCCTGAGTCTCCCGTGTGCCCAGGTCCCCCAGCCGGCAGCCCGCACCGTGCCCGCGCTTGGCCTACAGAGGGCGCGCCTAGCTTGTCTAGGCCTGGGAGACGCAATGCGGTGCAGCCGGATCCTGCTTCGGCCCCAGACCACCGGCTCAGGCCGACTTAGGCGGCTCAGTGTCCGGGTTTCCCCGGGGACCCCCTAACCAGGACAGGTATGGGGAACGTGGGGGCTCACTCCTGTGCAGGAGACCCTGGCCCCTCCGGCGATCCGGGCCCAGCCCCTCGGACAGCCCCATCCCCAAAAGGCAGGCCAAGCCGCGGAGCCCATCCTCCCGACGAGCCGACCCTGCGGAGGCGCTCCCACTAGAGGGGCTGAGTACGCGGCCCCCAGTCCTTCCAGGCTACGCCCACGACGACCCCTCCCCTAGGCCAGCGCAACGCCCTGAGGCCTTCCCTGAAAAGGCCGCGCCCCCGCCCCGGGCCACCCGGGACCGCGCCCCCTACCAGGGCTGGCCCGATCCTCCCACAGGCCGCGCCCATGACGACCCCCTCCCCTAGGCCGACCCGGAGTCTCCTCCCCCGCTTTAGGGCCTGACCCCGTCTCCCGGCCCAATCGGCCCGCGCCGACCTGCGCCTGGTGCTCGGGCCCGGCTCCGACTCTGGCTGCCTCCCGCTTCACCCGGACCCGCACCCGCGAGCCGGTCCCGCCGCCTCCATCCCGCCGGCCTTCCCAGCAGCCCCCGCGCCGCCTTAAAGGTGAAGCCGCTACCTCGGTGGCGTCGGAGGGGGCGAAACACGCTTCTCTTGGCCCGTTCGCTGCCTTAAAGGAGCGCGGGCCGGGCCGGCTCCAGCGGGAGGGGGACGGGGCGGGGCCATCGAGGCGGGGGCGGTGCGAGGACCCGCCCGGGGCGCAGTTCCCAGGGCCCGCCAGCCCCGAGGGGTGCCCTCGGCCGCAAAATGCCGCGGGGCCTCAGCGTGTGGAGCTGCTCGGGAGGTCGAACCCGAAGGTACCTAGTGTGGCGCCATGGCGCCATCGAGGACGTCGGGAGAAACTGAGGCGCAGGGAGAAGGTTGGGCTTCCTGGAGTACAGAGCGAGGCGCCACTAACTGAGCGCCTACTGCGTGTTGCGCGCTTTGGTGCCCTGGGTTCATTGACTTAATGCTCACGAAGACCCGAGAAGTGAGTGCCGCTGTTATCTGGCTCGCAGATCTGACCCCAGGCTCCGCATCCCGGGGTCACATCCGGTGGGGGATGCACCGTCTCTGACAGAGGTGGTTCAGCGCCCTTAGCTCAAGCACATCCGGTGACAGGTAGCTTACTACGTTTGGCTCTGAGACAACTCGGAAGGTTAGCAAAAATTTCCTCTGATAGACCCCGAAGTGCCTTCCTGCAGTGCTCATCCACAGCCCTAGCTCTGTCTTCAGAAAGAAGGCTGCTCCCTTGTGTCAGTTAAGGTATTTGGAGACAGCGATGGTGCCCCGCGTGGTCTCATCTCTTCCCTGGGCTGCCCCTGGTCCCTTCACTCAGTCCTACCGCAGTTTCCTGACCCTTCCCCATCCCAATTTCTCCTTTCTGGGTGTAGTCTAGCTTGTCCGTCTGGGTCCTGCTCAGAAGGTGGTGATCAGCCCAGGGCCCAGTGACCAGAGACAAGGAATGAACTGCAAAGATCAGAGGGACGTCCCCCCATAATAAGGATGCCACCTGTCCACAAAAAAAAAGCTGTAAATCAGGCTGCCTTTGACACAAGTGAAGACCCTCTATTTTACACATCTCAGTTACATCCAACCAGGTTCTTCTCAAACCTGTGCTCTGCCAATGGTTTTTTTTAAGTGACAGGTTCTTACTTTATCATCCAAGCTGGTGTGCACTGGTGTGATCATAGCTCACTGTGACCTTAAACTCCTTTTTTTCTTTTTGAGATGGAGTCTGTCTCCCAGGCTGGAGTGCAGTGGCACGATCTTGGCTCACTGCAACCTCTGCCTCCAGGGTTCAAGCAATTCTCCTGCCTCAACCTCTCCAGTAGCTGAGATTATAGCACCCACCACCACACCTAGCTAATTTTTTGTATTTTTAGTAGATACGGGTTTCACCATGTTGGCCAGGATGGTCTCAAATTCCTGACCTCAGGTGATCCACTCACCTTGGCCTCGGCCCAGCCTGTAACCTCAAACTCTTGGGCTCACAAAATCTTCCCATCATAGCCTCCCAAGAAGCTAGGACTACAAGTGCATGCCACTACACCTGGCTTTTTTTTTTTTCCAATTTATTTTCTTAGAGACAGGGTCTCAATATGTTGCCCAGGCTGGTCTCAAGTAGTCCTCCATCTCGGCCTCCCAAAGTGCTGGGATTACAGGCATGAGACACCGTGACTGGAATGATTTTTTTCCGGATAGCAGATACTTTCATTTGTGCAACATTCAAAAGACATACAAAGACTGGGCTCAGTGGCTCACACCTGTAATCCCAACACTTTGGGAGGCTGAGGCAGGTGGATCATCTGAGGTCAGGAGTTTGAGACCAGCTTGACCAATATAGTGAAACCCTGTCTCTACTAAAAATACAAAAATTAGCTGTGCGTGGTGGCGCACGCCTGTAGTCCCAGCTACTGGAGAGGCTGAGGCAAGAGAATCGCTTGAACCCGGGAGGCGGAGGTTGCAGTGAGCTGAGATGGCACCACTGCACTCCAGCCTGGGTGACAGAGACAGACTCTGTCTCAAAAAAAAAAAACTAAAAAAAAAAAAGGCAAACAAGCAAGTTACAATGAAATGTAGTTATCTCTGTGACTGCTGTCCTCAGCCATCCAGCCCCCCTCTCCGGAAGCAACTTCTGTTGTTTCTTATGTCCATTGATTATGTTATTTGCATCAGTGCTGAGCTTGTGTTTATCCTTGTCCATTTCAGCTGGTCAATTTTCCTCCAGGGCCCCTGAGGTTGGGGTCTGTTGCGTTTGGGATCTGTGATCCTTCAGCCCTCACATTGGCCTTATTTTCCAGATATATTGCCACTGGTTGGGCTGGGCTCAGTGGCTCACACCTGTAATCCCAGCACTTTGTCAGGCCAAGGCGGGCAGATTGCTTGAGCTCAGAAGTTCAAGACTAGCCTGGGCAACATGGTGAAACCCCATCTCTACAAAAATACAAAAACTAGCTAGGCATGGTGGTGTGTACCTGTAGTCCTAGCAACTCAGGAGGCTGAGGTGGGAGGATGGCTCAAGCCAGGAGGTGGAGGTTGCAGTGAGCAGAAATAACATCATGCCACTGAACTCCAGCCTGGGCGGCAAAGCCAGACCCTGTCTCAAAATATATACCTACATATATGTTGCACTGATTGCATTTTGGTAAGTCTGCCTCTGTGCATAGAGACTACATCCGACCATGACTGGACTCCCACCTGCCCAGCATGTTCTGTTCACAGGGAGGAAACAGAATATGGAGCACAAGGCACTTTTGTTCTTCATGACACTGGGTTTCAAAATCTTTTGAGAAATAACTTTCTTAGAAGGCTTTCCCTCTAGAGATTGAGATTTGGTGGTGCCAGGGTGAATCCTGGGCACCTCTTGGGACTTTTTTTTTTTTGAGATGGAGTCATGCTCTGTCGCCCAGGCTGGAGTGCAGTGGTGCAATCTTGGCTCACTGCAACCTCTGCCTCCTGGGTTCAAGCGATTCTTCTGCCTCAGCCTTCCAAGTAGCTGGGACTACAGGCGCATGCCACCACACTGGCTAATTTTTGTGTTTTTAGTAGAGATAGGGTTTTACCATTATTTTTACCATTTACCATTTACCATGATCCGCCCACCTTGGCCTCCCAAAGTGGACTTTTTTTTTTTTTTTTTTTTAAGAGCCGAGGTCCCACTGTCACCCAGGGTGCAGTGCAGTGCCACAATCATAGTTCACTGCAGCCTTGAACTCCTGGGCTCAAGTGATCCTCCCGCCTCAGCCTCTTGAGTAGCTGGGACTACAGGCAGGTGCTCACCATGCCCAGCTAATTTTTATTTTTTGTAGAGATGGGCTGTCCATATGTTGCCCAGGCTGTTCTTGAACTACTGGGATCAAGCGATCATCCCACCTCGGCCTCCCAAAGTGCTGGGATTACAGGTGTGAGCCACGGAGCCCGGCCGCCTCTTGTGGCTTTAAAGCTTAAGTGGTGCCTGTGCTGTGCGCCCTGGATTGAAAGTGCTGTTTCAGTGTCTCTGTTTTGCAGGTGAAGAAACTGAGGCTCAGAGAAGTGAAAGGCGGCTGCACCGGGCTCAATGGGCTTTTTTGTTTGTTTGTTTGTTTTGAGACAGAGCCTTGCTGTGTTCCCCAGGCAGGAGCGCAGTGGTGCAATTTCAGCTCACTGCAACCTCTGCCTCCCAGGTTCACGCCATTCTCCTGCCTCAGCCTCCCGAGTAGCTGGGATTACAGGCGCCTGCCACCACACCTGGCTAATTTTTTGTTGGCCAGGCTGGTCTCAAACTCCTGACCTCAGGTGATCCACTCGCCTCAGCCTCCCCAAGTGTTGGGATTACAGGCGTGAGCCACTGCGCCCGGCCAAGGAGCACATTTATTTTATCACCTTTTTCCCGGTAAATGGAGAGAACACTTCTCAATCTCCCTTTGTGACTTGTGCAGGTTCCTGGCTCCAATTGTTCTGCTCACCATCTGTGGGCTTCAGTGGTTCCTTTGGGATTCTCCTTAGGCGCTGGCTGCTCCGCCCGGTGTGCTGGTGGGGGAAGGCTGGGCCTTCCCTGCTGGTTCTCATTCTCTTGTCGCTTAGCCTCGCATGTGTTCGGCCCTTTCAGCCACTTGGCTTTTTATCTTGTCTCTGAGGATTGCACTGTGTGTCTCCCAAAGGAAGAGACTGTTACTTCATCCTGCACTGTCCTGTGCTCCTCCAGCAGCTGCTGATCTCATGCCAGGCTGCTGATGGGCACTCAGTAAATGGAGAATAAAGGAAGAAATCCATGCCCAGTGGTGATTCAGCTCCTTATGCTCTTTCCACAGTGCTCAGCAGCCCCCTGCCATCCCATGCCTGGGAAGTTGTTCTTGCTACTTTTAATATTACTGTTTCCTCCCTGAAAATCACTCCCACTTCTCCTACTGCATCCCTTTAGATCCTCAGAAGCCCTCGTCCCACTGAAATCTGCTTTCTTAAATTATTCTTTTTCTTTTGGCTAGATTCCCTCCCTTTCTCTGAAGTGGCTGGGGCACTTTTGCCAAGGCTGTCGTCCCACTTGAAATGTCAGCAGATATGGCCGGGCACAGTGGCCCACGTCTGTAATCCCAGCACTTTGGGAGGCCGAGATGGGCGGATCACTTGAGGTCAGGAGTTTGAGACTAGCCTGGCCAACATGGTGAAACCCTGTCTCTACTAAAAATACAACAAATTAGCCAGGTGTGGTAGCTCTTGCCTGTAGTCCCAGCTACTTGGGAGGCTGAGGCAGGAGAATTGCTTGAACCTGAGAGGCCTGGGCGACAGAGTGAGACTCTGTCTCAAAAAAAAAAAAAAAAAAAAAGTCAGCACATTCACCCATAAGTGCTCAAGATGGGAGGCTCCTTAAAGACCATGTCTCCCCAGCTTCCTGAGCTTCCTGAGGGGCCCTTGTCTACCTTGGACACCACTAGTTGTTGGTTCTTTCTGCCACTGAGCCAAGAATCAGTCTACTCAAAGCTGTCCCCAGAGGCTCCTGGTTCCTGTCCTGTGGCCTTATGGCAAATCTGCACCCTCTCTTCCTTGTGACCTCCCAGCCAGGGTAGACCGGTCCTGCCCTGCTCAGTGGAGGGACCGCAGGCCTTGGGGTCAGACTCAGCTAAGTTCAAAGCCGCGTTTCTCCATTTGCTAGTGGTGTCGCTTTTTAGGCATGGTCTGTTATTTTACCTGCTTCCTCATCTGTAAAGCAGGGTTCCTATTACCTACTTTGTTGGGACATCCAGAGAATGCAATAAAATGGCATAAAGGGGCTGGGCACGGTGGCTCACGCCTGTAATCCCAGCACTTTGGGAGGCCGAGGCGGGGGGATCACGAGGTCAGGAAATCGAGACCATCCTGGCTAACATGGTGAAACCCCGTCTCTACTAAAAATACAAAAAATTAGCCGGGCATGGTGGCTCGGGAGGCTGAGGCAGGAGAATGGCGCGAACCCGGGAGGCGGAGCTTGCGGTGAGCCGAGATCGCGCCACTGCACTCCAGCCTGGGGGACAGAGCGAGACTCTGTCTCAAAAACCAAAAACAAACAAACAAAAAAGGCATAAAGGCTTAACATTAGGCCTTGTACATAACAGACACTATTCCTAGTGGTTGTTTATTCTCATCACCATCAAGCTTAGTAGTCAACAGACCCTGAGTGCAAGGTGTGGGAAAAGAATGAGAAATACGGGGCAGCTTCTGCCTGCAGTGTTGTTGGACAGAGATGCACTCAGAATGAAGGTGAGCCACAAATGAGGCGGCAGAGACTGAATAGAAGCAAGCGTGAGCTGTGTAGTGTGGACCGTAGGTGCCCATGTGATCAGGAAGGAGATGAGCCCAGCGAGGGATGAGCTCACCTCTCCCCAGCGTCAGCTCTCCCACACGGTGGGGAGGCCCACATCTCCATCTCTGGCCCAGATCAGTCCCCTGAGCTCTACCCAGACCCATATATTCCACTTCCAGTTGGAATAGCACTAAGTCCTGTCCAAATCTCCTGCAGGGATGTTCACACAGGACAGTCAGTCTGTCCTGGACTCTCTTTCAACTCTGTTTTCTTTTTTTTGAGATGGAGTTTCACTCTTGTTGCCCAGGCTGGAGTGCAATGGCATTGTCTCGGCTCACTGTAACCTCTGCTACCAGGGTTCAAGTGATTTTCCTGCTTCAGCCTCCTGAGTAGCTGGGATTACAGGCATGCGCCACCATGCCTGGCTAATTTTGTATTTTTAGTAGAGACGGGGTTTCACCATGTTGGTCAGGCTGGTTTCGAACTCCTGACCTCAGGTGATCTGCCCGCCTCGGCCTCCCAAGGTGCTGAGCCACCATGCCAGGCCTCTTTTTTTGAGACGGAGTCTCACTCTGTCGCCTGCCCAGGCTGGAGTGCAGTGGCGCGATCTTGGCACACCGCAACCTCTGCCTCTCAGGTTCAAGCGATTCTTGTGGCTCAGCTTCCCAAGTAGCTGGGATTACAGGTGCCCGCCACTATGCCCGGTTAATTTTTGTATTTTTAGTAGAGACAGGGTTTCACCATGTTGGCCAGACTGGTCTCAAACTCCTGACCTCAAGTGATCTGTCTGCCTTGGTCTCCCAGAGTGCTGGGATTACAGGCATGAGCCGCCATGCCCGGCCTCAACTCTCGTTTTCTAACCAGCTACCAAAACCTATTAATTCAACCTCTTAAGTCGCTCTCAGATTTATCTATTTCCCTCTAACCCTTCCACCTTTACAATGTCCTCATCACATCTTTTCTAAATGGCTGCTGCACCCTTCAAGCTCATCTGCTGGTCTGCAGAGCAGGTCTTGTTTCTCCCGGTGTGTTGTATTAAGGAGATCTTTCTGAAATATGTCGTCTCACTTCTCTGCCTAGGTCCCTTCGCCAGCTCCCCTGTCTCTCAGGACAGAGTGTGCAGTCCTTGCTCTGGCTCACAGTGGTAACAGTAACAGCTACGAGGTTCCTCAGGGCCTAGACTCTTCCTCCGCTCCCACTGGCACTCACCATCCCCATGGTCTCCAGCTGCACTGAGCCCTGTGTGGTTCTTGGCATCAGCCACATTCTCCCTTATCTCTCTTATCTCCCTTATCTCATGCTACTTCCTATGCCCAGAACATCCATCCTTGTCAGATGTCTTCAGTATGCCACTCAGGTGTCATTCCCTTTGGGACATCTTCTTGGACACCTCTTCCTGCAGGGTGGACATCCCTCCTGTGTGCACCAGTGCAACCTGTCATGCTGTGTGGCGATGGTCTGCTTGTCTCCCCTACTGGCCTTAGCGTTCCTGTATAGGTTGGGACCCAACCTAGGTTCATGCTGTACCTAGGACACGAACTAGTAGGAAGTTAATAAAAGCCAGATGTATGGATGGTTGGGAAGATGGGATCTGAGTAGGGCCCTGAGATATGGCCTGAGTCAGATGATGGGGTTTAGAAACCTGACCTCTTCTCAGCCGATATGTGTGCATTGGACGAGTGACTTAACCCTCACTCATGCACTGAACCAACCTTTATCGAGGGTCCGCCGCATGCCAGGGTGCTGGATACTGCAACAATGAGTCCGGCGGCTCGGGTCTTTGTCCTCCTGGAGCTCTCATTCGAATGTGGTACAGAGACATTTGCTGCAGGTAATAGTGAACTCTATGACTGAAGAGACAGAGGCTAACAACCAGGCTTTGGGTGGGGTGGTTGGGGAAGGCTCTTGGAGGAGGTGATACAAAGGCCACATCTTAAAGGAAAAGGAGCTTACTCTGGGGTTGGAAGAGGGATGTGAGCACTGAAAGGTCAGGTGTGGCTCGAGGGTGGTGAGCATGGCAGGGGGAAAGCAACTAGAAGTGAAGGTAGTGAGCCAGACCACGGGCCTGGTGGACGGTGGTTGGCCTCTATTCAGAGGGCACTGGGAGGATAGGACGACAAAGGATACTCTATGCGAGGAAGGTACCCTGGCTTATAGTTGGAAACAGCGTTTGGGAGGCAGCATGGACAAGAGTTGCTGATGGATTGGGAGGGGCGGCGCAGGATGAGTCCGGGTTTCTGGCTGGAGTAACAGGATGGAGGCTGGTGCCATTGCCGACTGGGGAAGATCAAGGGAAATCAGGAGTCTTGCTTTGGCCATGTGAAGTCTGGGATGACTGTGAGTGTTCAGGTCGCAACATAAGTGGTTAGATGGGAGGCTCTAGAGTTGGGAGGGGAGGCTCTGACCTTTGGTTTCCTCCTTTGCAAAAGGAAGCATCAGCAGAATTGATTTCACAGGGAGGGCTGCTTTAAGGACTCGATGAAATAAACCATATAAGGCACTCAGCAGCAGCCTGGCTCAAAGGCAATGCCCTGTAGGTGACGGTGACAGCTATTAATGCTGTCAGTCCTTGGACACGGCAGGTGAAAGGGGTGGCGAAAGAAGCAGTTTAAAGATTAGTCTGAAACCTCCTGTACAGCAGAATCCCAGATGATGCATGTAGGGATAATCAACACCTCACCCGAGTGTGGGCTGCACCAGCAACTTCCTTCCAAAGAGAACAGCATGGGAGCAGGTGTGTGGGACTTTACAGTGAGGAGCCCAGGTCAACCTCATCCATGATGTCATGTTGACGGCATGTGCCCTTCACAGGCTGCGCTGAGAAGGGCATTCACCTTTGAGGTCTTCCTCCCCACAACCTATAACCTCCATCCAGCCACGAGAAGAACATCAGACAATCCCCAACTGAGGGACATTCTACAAAATGCCTGACCAATACTCCTCAAAACTGTCAAGGTCATCAAAAATAGAGATCAAAAAGTCTAAGAAAATGTCACAGCCCAAAGGATCCTAAGAAGGCAGAATGGGCTGGATGTGTTGGTTCACGCCTGTAATCCTAGCACTTTGGGAGGCAAGGTAGGAGGATCGATAACTGAGGTCAGTTCAAGACCCTATCTCTACCAAAAAAAACGAAAGAAAACAAAACAAAACAAAGAGCCAGGTGTAATGACACATGCCTGTAGTCCCAGATACCCAGAAGGCTGAGGTAGGAGAATGGCTTGAGCCCAGGAGTTCCAGGCTGCAGTGAACTAGGTTGGCACCACTGCACTCCAGCCTGGGCAACAGAGCAAGACCTGGTCTCTAAAATCAACAACAAAAAAGAAGACAGAATGACCAAACGTAGTGTGGCATTCTGGGTGGGAGTCTGAAATGGAGAAAGGACATTAGGGAAAAACTAAGGACATGCATAAAATAGGGACATTTATTTATTTATTTGAGAAAGAGTCTCACTCTGTCGCCCAGGTTGGAGTGCAGTGGTGCAATCTTGGCTCACTGCAACCTACGCCTCCCGGGTTCAAGCGATTTTCTTGCCTCAGCCTCCCGAGTAGCTGCGATTACAGGTGCCCACCACGCCTGGCTAATTTTTGTATTTTTAGTAGAGATGGGGTTTCACCACATTGGCTAGGCTGGTCTTGAACTCCTGACCTCAGATGATCCACCTGCTTCAGCCTCCCCAAGTGCTGTGATTATGGGAGTGAACCACCGTGCCCGGCCAAAATAGGGACTTTAGTTAATAATCGTGCATCACGATTGACTCACTAGTTATGACAAATGCACATGAATGTAACATGTTAACAGTAAGGGAAACTGGCAGGGCGGTATATAGCCACTCTTTCTACTATTTTTGCAACTTTTCCATAAATCTAAAGGTATTCTAAAATAGTTTACTTAAAAATAAAACCAGTCTGGAGTTGGCGTGCAGGTTAGATAGAGGCTCTTCCACTTTCTGCATCAAAAAGCCTTTAGTCTCTGGCGGACCTTGGGCAGCTCTGCTCTGGTCCAGCCTTAACTCCTGGTGACTGGGCACAGCTGCTTCAGGGTCTGAGTCAGCACCTTCCACCTGAGTTGCCTTGTGCTCCAAACTGTCCCTACACAGCTGATTTCCTCTTCTTTGCCCGGGGTAGGAGTCTATCTTCTTACTTCTGAGCCTATGAGAAAACCCAGGTGTCTTTTGGGCTAAGGCATCAGTTAAAATGTCTTGAGTAGCACATCTGGATTTGGAACCCAATTCCAGCAGCAAGAGGGAACTTCATTCTGCAAACGAGTATTTATTGTGCACCTGTGATGGGCCAAGCAGTATTTTGGGTGCCAAGGATACAACAGGGAAAAACATTTCCTCTTTTCTTGGAGCTTGCATTCTTGTGGGAGAGACAAATGAATAATTAATGCCAAGGAGTGGGAAATATGAGTAAGAAAAAAAAAAAAGAGGGGTTGGAGAAGGGAAGGCCTCCTGAGGTGACATTTCAGCCAAGACCTGAATGATGGAGCAAGCCACACGGGCCTGAGGGCAGCAGCAGGATGGACAGGACCAAAGGTCCGTGCAAAGGCCCTGAGGCTGAGTGGTGTTTGAGGAATGTTGAGAGGCCAGTGAGGAGGGGAAGCGTAAGAGGAATTAAGATCCAGCAGCTCCTGGGAGATCAGACCATGTGGGCCCCTCACAGGTAAGGCTTCAGCTTACACACCTAGGTAGGTGGGACACTCTGCACAGTTTGGATCAGCAATCCAACACGATCTGCTCAGCTCTGAAAAATCTCTGGCTATTGAGTGGAGAACAGGCTACAGGGAGAAGAGGGTGGGAGCAGGGATAATTAGGAGCCTATTGCAATATCCAGACAAGAGATAATCGCAGTAGAGGAAGGGGCAAGGCACTGTCAGGATAAGCCTGGAGGATTTGCTCATGGATTAGATGGTGGGTACAAGAGAAACAGGAATCGAGGAGGATTCCCCAGTTTTCGGCCTCGGAACTGAAGAACCGAGTTTGCATTTACTAGGAGGGAAGTCTCCCCAGGGGAGCACATTTCACACCATGGGGCCGAGTGAGCTCCCTTTAGGGCTGAGTGTGGGGAGAGAGGAGGCTATATTAGAGGCTGGAGCCCCGAGTCCTCCAGGGTTTTGAGGCTGGGAAGCTGAGGACACCATAGCAAGGGAGGCCAAAAAGGAGAGGCCAGGGAGGTGAGAGGAGAGCACAGAGCTGTCCACAGGCCAGGTGGAAAGACTCAAGCGGGTGATTATTTGCATCCAATGCTACTGATAGGACTGGGCAACCCAGGTCACTGGCAACTGTGGAAAGGAAACTTTTGGTGGGATTGTGAGGAAAAAACTGGAAGGGAGTGGGCAGAAGTGGAGACGGGGAACACACACAGCTCTTTGGAAGAGTTTTGCTCTAAGGGGAGCAGAGACAAGGCATGGCAGCTGAAGAGAATCTGGAAGTCTCTGGTCTTTGATATTGAGCTATACCCACTTGGGATGCATGTAAGTGGGTGGAAAGTCCTGGCAGAGGGGAGAACCCGCAGTGCAGGAGAGAGGGCGACTGTAGGAGAAAAGCCCTCAAGGAGTGAAGAGGGATGGGCCCCGAGGATGGGAGCAGGGTGGGGCATTTATTGCCACAGAAGGGGAGGCTGAGGATATGGTGTCAGATGCAGACGGGCTGAGAGTTCACCCTTCACCCTCTCTCCTAGCTCTAAGCCAGAACCTAAGGGGGCCAGAAGCTGGGATCCAAGTCTACTTGTCCCACCCCCTCCACTGGAACTCCCTGGCCCCCAGCTCTGCACAGCTCCTGCCCTGCAGCCCTCGCCTGGCTGTGCTCCGGGAAGTCCTCGTGGGCACTTCACCCTGCTCTGCAGCCACACTCACACCCTAGATCCAGGTCACACTAGGTATGATTTGCTTCTCCTGGCCTTTCCTCTCACCAGCCCCGCTATCACCTCATTTAGAAGGCAGGTATGATTTTCATTTTCTAGGCTCAGAGAGTTTGCGCAGGGCCACACAGCTGGGTCCCCAAGCCTCTCTATGTGAGGTCGTCTGGGCACAGGGCTTGGGGAACCCAAGACTGAGGCCAGTGACAGCAAGCTCTGGATGGCCATCCACTCCTCTGGGGCTATACCTGTAGGGCAAGGATGCCAAGCGCTGCCTCTCCTGCAAGCCTTCACCTCTGGACACTTCTCTTTTTTGAGACAGAGTCTCATTCTGTCGTCCAGGCTGGAGTGCGGTGGCACGATCTCAGCTCACTGCAACCTCCGCCTCCCGGGTTCAAGTGATTCTCGTGCCTCAGCCTCCTGAGTAGCTGAGATTACAGGCACATACCACCACGCCCGGCAAAAATTTTTTTTTTTTTTTTGAGACGGAGTCTCGCTGTGTCGCCAGGCTGGAGTACAGTGGCGCGATCTCGGCTCACTGCAACCTCCACCTCCTGAGTTCAAGTGATTCTCCTGCCTCAGCCTCCTGAGTAGCTGGGATTACAGGCACGTGCCACCACACCCAGCTAATCTTTGTATTTTTAGTAGGGACGGGGTTTCACCATGTTGGCCAGGATGGTCTTAATCTCCTGACCTCATGATCCACCCACCTCAGCCTCCCAAAGTGCTGGGATTACAGGTGTGAGCCACCGCACCCAGCCAATTTTTTATATTTTTTAGTAGAGACGGGGTTTCGCCACATTGCCCAGGCTGGTCTCAAACTCCTGAGTTCGGGCAAAACGCCTGCCTTGGCCTCCCAAAGTGCTGGGATTACAGGCGTGAGCCACTGTGCCTGGCCACCTCTGGGCACTTCTTCATGGGGAAGGCACACACTTCTTCGTGTGTGCAGGCCTGTCTTGGAAGCTAGTGGAAAAACCGGGCACCCAGGGGACAGTGGCTACCACTGCTTTCCATCTCTAAGTCAAGGGCGGGCAGGAAAAGGAACTCCACAGATGTCCCTCAGCCCTATTCCCTCCACCTGCAGAGGCAAAGACCCCACTGGCTCGGACTTCACCAACCTGGAGCAGGGGAGAGAAGCTAAGTTCTGACCTTTGATCAGAAGATGGGGAAGCCACACTCAACACGTCACTGCCTTGGGAGGTGGATTTGGGGATGGTGGGTCCTGGGGAAAAACGGGCTTTTGGTGTGGAAATGACATCTTTCCTGTTTCCGACCTCTGCCTGCCTCATGCCAGGTGAGACACCTTCATGCCTGTTTCCATGATTGAGAACATGGGAGTACGCTTCTTTCCACCTACGTTCCTGGTGGATTTTCACTGGAGTTGGGCTGCACTGTGGAAAAGGGGTTGGGCAGCTCCTGTGGCACAGTGAGGGGGCATAGAAGCCCAAGGCAGTCGGTAAGAAATCACCAATTTATTGAATGAAAAACCCAACATCAACTCAGTCCCTCCCACCCCCATCTCCTCTCTCTGGCCCAGGAGACGCTCAGGACAGCAGGGCTGAGCCCTGGGAAGGGCTGGAGGAGAGCTTGGGGGAGGTATGGAGAATGAGAAAAACACTTTCAAAATGAAGTTCTGTGCAAAAACTTCTGGGAAGGAGTGAGAGGACAAGAGAAAAGCTCCAAAGGGGCTGTGGGGCGCAGATGGCCGGGCTGGGGGGTGCAGAGGGCTGGGCTGGGGCCCTGTGTCCTCAACCACTCCTGAGAACACGGACGGTCAGGAATGAGGGGCTCAGACCCCGGGTTGGTGAGAGGGAGGTGACAGGGAGGGAAGGAGCCTGCTGGAGGGAAACCTGGCTGGGAGGATGGGTCTGGGCCCAGGCTGGGGCCTAAGGAGGGGGAAGAACAGAGCAGGGAAAGGCAGAAAAACTGACACGGTGGGAGGAGGGAGATGAATGGGAGATGAAACAGAATGTCTGAGGGGCCACAGACAGCATGTATGGTGGTGGGGGTCTGCCTCCCATCTCTCCAAGTCCAGGCAGAGCTGTGCTGGGTGAGGGGCTGGGAGGCAGAGGCAGGAGCATCATTAACAAGGGTGGAAGCCACGAAGACAGCGACCAGTGCACAGGGTGTGTCACATGGTACAACCAAGAGACTTGGCGTGCAAAGAACCAAAGAAACACTCAGGACACACACGACATCTGCAGGGAACCTGGGGGTGGTGAGGAAGTCGTGCACGGGTGGTGGGGGGAGACTGGGAGGCCCCTCTGTCCTAGAAACGCTGTGTCACCATAGCAACAGGGTCCTGGAGGCAGGGGAGCTGCCTCCTGCCCCTGTGAGCTGTGAAGTAGGGGTCCTGTGGGCTCAGGGTGCCCCCTTACCCTCCCTTGAGAAGCTCTGGGGCAGGTGGAGAACCCCATAAGAGTTGAAAGTGGCCTTGGGTCCTGCTGGAGGCAGCAGAGTGAGTGGATCTGGCAGCTGCATCCTAGAGGACACCCTGGTGGCTGGAGGGGCTGGGGGAGGACTAGGCTCTCCTGCTGGGGACCAGGATTCCAGCTTTCTCATTTCCGAGAAGGAAACTGATACCACAAGGAAGAGTTTGGAAGTCGGGTGAAGGAAGGCCTGGGGGACTCAGTCCAGGGGACTATGGGCACCAGAAGGCAAAACCAACACGCCTTGGGCCTGGAGCAGGAGGGAGAAGGGGAAAAGCGGGAAGGAGGAGGGGCTGTGCAGGGGTGGGCTGGAGGGGAGGGGAGGGAAGGCGTCCCTGTGGCAGTGTCCTTCGGGACCTGGGCGAGTGAGAGGCAGACCCTGGTGCCAGGGAAGGGGTGCTGGGCCCGGGCCTGCTGGCCTCCCCCTGCCCGCAGGCGGTGAGGCTGGTGGCAGTGCCAGGAGGGAAAGTGGCTGGGAGACAGGGCCTCAGGTGGCCTTGCTGCCACTGAAGAGTCCCACTGGAAAGTGCTTGACATGGGTGGGCCACTGGGCTGCCAGCTGGAAGAACTTGATGTCACTCCACTCGACCCCATCGATGGACACTAGGGGTGACAGGAGAGGAGGGGTGACCAGACTGCTCAGGCCATCTCCCCAGGGCCCCTTGGGAAAGGCCATTGCCTGCCTCCCTCTCCAGTCCCTTTCTTGCCCTCCTCCCGGCCCTGCCTGCCCTCGCACCTCTCAGCATAGTCTGCTGCTGCTTGGCTGAGCAGATGAGGCGGCTGATGCCTTCAATGACCTGGCTCTTAGAATCCACCTCCTTTTCTCGGGGTTTCTTGCTCAGGAAGATGGTGGGAACTGGAAAGCAAGCAAGGCCACCTGTGTCCCAGCCCCTGGGGAAGCCGCCACCCCTCTCCTCCCCAGCCGACTGTCCCCTTCTTCCTGTGGCGAGGGGAGGTGATCTGCAAACCAACCCCTCCTCCCTGGCACTGGGCTGTGGGTCAGGATCTTCAGGTTCCTGACTCAGTCCCAGCACTGGGCTGGTGACTTTGGCTAAGGTCCCACTTCTCCCCCTGGGGCTCGATATCTTCGCCTGTTCAGTGAAGACCTTGGTCCAGATGGTCTCTGAAGTCCTTTCCAGCTGGAACGTTCTAGGCAGCCTGTGGGGCAGGGGCCTGCCTCCCTATCAGGCGCATGCTCTATGCAGGAGCCAGTGCAGCATGAGTTTGTCCTCACGCTGTCCTGGGGATGCCGGGGAGTGCTCCCTGTTCCACTCCCACTCCAGAAAGGAAGCAAGGGCAGGGAGGTCACTGCTGAGCAGGCAGCTTCCCCTTGCAAGTTTCTGTGCTGCAGGCCGTGGGTTTTGGCTGTGGGCCTGGCACAGCCCCATGCCTGACCCCCCAGGGGAACTCTGCAGAGGGGAGTCACACACAGAAATAGGCACAGCTGCTTTGCAGCACCCAAAGGAGGCGGGGTTGGGGTCATGCCAGTGCTGCAGGTGCACTACCAGTTGCGGGTCCCCAGCTGGCACCAACGGTGGCAGGCGCTGCCGCAGCACTGGCCCAGCCATGGGGGTTCCTGCCTCACTCCCACGCACAGGAGCCGGGCCAGCTCCAACTCCCCTCCAGCTCCTTAAGCTACCCCTGCTATCCAGAATGGACTGTATGCCCCTTAATCCTGAAAACACAACCACGTCCTTTTGCTCATGAGGCCTCTTTGGAGAGGCCTCCAGGGCTGGGTGCAAGTTCTCTACTCCTGCGTCACAGGGACCTGGAGCTGTGATATAGAGAGGCCTCTCCCTGTCTGCAGTCCATCCCGGACAGCAGTGGCCAGAAAGGCCCCCTTCATTACACAGTGGCAGCTGCCTCAGCCCCTAAAGTACTGGAGCTCAGCAGAGAGTGACCAAGCGACTCTCTGCAGCCTCGGTTTCCTGCATGACAGAAGGAATGGCCTTGTCCCTCGAGGGGAGGTGGGACTGCCCCCTCTGCACCCCATGCCAGACCATGGGATGCTTCTTCATCCCAAATATCCCAAAAGCAGATTTATTCCCAGGCCCTGAGAGACGAGACGGGAGGCCTGGTGGCCCATGGTCTTCCCCGGCCTTGGGGGTACTTACCTTTCTTGTTCTTTTCTTTGGTGACCACAGTCATGGCCATGGTGCCAGAAAGCTGGGCCTCCCCACTATGGGGCAGGCGGGACACCTGCACTGAGCGGAAGACACTCTTGAGGGTGTTCTTCGAGCTGGCGTCCCTCTTGTCGCCTTCCCTCCTCCGCTCCCCGGGGTGGCCCAGCCAGTAGTCCACCTGGAGGCCAATCACGTCCCCATATGGGCTATTAGGGCTCCTGAGGAAAGGGAACAAAGAGGAGAGGTCAGCTCTGCCTTCAGCTCCCAACTACATAGGCCTGATGGGGTAGGGGCCATGCCAGTCCCCGGGAGGGCAGGCTGAGGAAGGCTGCAGCTCTGTTCCCTCCAGCCACACAGAGCAGCTCATGTAGGAGAGGAGAATCAGGCTGATCTGAGAACAAAGCTGGGGAGAATAAAGGCCCAAGTCACGAAAAGGAAACCAAATAAAATCTTCACAGGATGACAAGGGCAGCAGAGAAGGAAGCTTTATGAAGGAAGAAAGTGTGTGTGTACATAAGTGCATGCGTGCACACACATATACACACATATAACACACACACACACACATACACGCCCAGCAGGCAAAGCCTGGGCCAAACTGAGCCTCGAGCTGGAGAGAAGGCCTGAGCCCGGCAGAAGCCCCTGCGGGCGGCTCCAGTGCAGCCTCAGGACAGCAGCTGGTGCCACCCGACCTGCAGCTTTCTCCTTTTCATGGCACTCTTAGCTCAGCGATAATTTTAGCTCCCGGGAGAAGGGCTGGTATGTCTTGAAAGGAGGTGTCAGACACAATAGGTACACAGGCTAGGAAAGTCATCTGACTTTTCTCTTTCTGCCTCATTTTGGAGGTTCCATTAAAAAACAAGATTAACTTGGAAGGGAAAGGAGGTAGAGGAAAGGGTTGGTGCCAAGGCTCCCCAAACCCATGCTGGACAGAAACCCTTCCGCTGTGGGGTGAGATGAGAGAAAACGCCTCCAGGAGGCCAGGAACCTGAGGTCCCCAGGGCAGAACTTGGCTGCGTGGGTACTTCCTCCTTTCCTCTACTGTTCCCTCCAGAAGACCCTGAAGGGAAGTGCCCCGAGGAGCAGAGGCTGAGGGAGACCAGGGACTGGGATTCTAGCTCCGGGGCAGGCTTCGTGCCACCCAACACATTACTAGCACTTTGGGGGAAGCCACCGGCCAATGCCATCCTCGCTGTTGCTACAAGGAAAGGGAAGAGGCGAAGGCGGAAGGCAGCGAAATGGGGGAAGGGAAGGCAGGCTGCTCCTTCCCAGCGCTGACCACGCCTGCTCTCCTCACCTCGGCCTTCTTGTCAGGAGCCCACCCCTCCACCCTCTCTCTGCCCCCTGCTGCTGGACCCTTGATCTAAACTGTAGATACTTGAGATCCTAAAGACACGGCCTCCTGCTATATCACTGCTTCCAGTGGTCTCAGAGATTCAGCCTGAACCCGAGCTCCGCCGCTTGCTCCCGCGCCGGCTCCAGCTCTAGCGCCTCAGCAGGGCTGCCTCACTGTGCCAGGCACTGACACGCATGTTCTTTTTCTCTTTTTTAGAGACGTGGATTGTTTCCTTTAGAGAGGCCCTCTGACTGTCACCAAAGGAGACAATCCACGTCCCTAAAAAAGAAGAAAAAAGGAAGACACTAGAAAGAACAGCCCAATCCACGTCACTACGTGGCCCAGGCCTAGCTTTGAACTCCTGGGCTCAAGCGATCCTCCGGCCTTGGCCTCCGGAGTGGCTGGAACTACAGGATGAGGCCTGGTTTCCACGTTCTTATGTAACCTGCTCCACAGTCCTGCAAGGTGGCCACTTCACCTCTTTTCATTAGATGAAATTGAAGTTCAGTAACTTGTCTAAGCTAAGGCAGTGCAGAGACAAGACAGAACCACTCAAACCCACGTGTGTTTTATTTCCCAAGTGCCATGCTCTTTCTTGCACCTGGGAGGTCCCATAACAACACCTGGGAGGTCCCATAACAAGACACTTGCACAGCACTTCACAGGCCTCTGCCAACATTGTCTCATTCAACCCAATACTGTGAAACAGGGCAGAAAGTGTCCTCCCATGACCAGGCCGGCTAGTGATATGTCTCTGAATTCTAACTTTAGTGTTTTGGGTTTTTTTTTGAGAGACAGGGTCTTGCTGTCACACAGGCTACAGTGCAGTGGCGCAGTCATGGCTCACTGCAGCCTCAAATTCCTGGGCTCAAGCAATCCTCCTGCCTCAGCCTGAGTAGCTAGGACCACAGGTGTGCACTACCACGCCCGGCTTCCTGTGGCTACCTTCTAAGCCCATGCGCCTGTCACTGGAATCAGCCGGGTGGGCCTGATGGAGGGCATGGCAGGACAGGTACGGGCAGGAGCCTTACCCCACGATGGCCAGGGCGCTGCTCATAGATGGGGAGGAGGGAGGGGTGGCCGTGGCGTCTCGGCTCAGGCCCGAGCTGGAGGGTGGTGATGTGGAGGGCACAGTAAGGCTGACCACAGGAGAATCGTCCCCATCGCCTGTCAGGGGACAAACGACAAACACAGTTGGCCAGAGGAAGCTATCTCTGACTTGGTGGTGGCAAGGAGCCGGGGTTCCTCCCATCCTGTGGCCTGCTTTCCTCCTTTGGCCCCAGGCTCCTTCCACCTCCCCCAGCCACCACCGCAGCAGGGGAGTGAGGGCGCCCATAGGCTTCCTGCTCAAGCTCTGACTTCCCTCAGGGCATCCAGAGCTTAACTTCTGGCCTGCTGGACTAGAGGGAAGACAGGGAGGGCACCAGCCTCACTCCACAGAACAAGGGAGCCCCAGCCTCACCTGCTGTGGAGGGAGAGTCTTCAACCAGACCCACCTTCACCACCTGCAAGGAGAGAAGAGGCACTCATTAGATCCTCCTGTTAAAGCAGGCATGTTCTGATCCAACCAGAAACACATTGGTGGCACAAGAGCCATCACTACACATTATTTTATTGCCGACTTTAAAATCTTTGCAAATCTGGGCTGGGCGTGGTGGCTTATGCCTGTAATCCCAGCACTTTGGGAGGCTGAGATAGGAGAATCGCTTGAACCTGAGAGGCGGAGGTTTCAGTGAGCTGAGATGGCGCCACTGCACTCCAGCCTGGGCGACAGAGCGAGACTCCATCTCAAAATAAATAAATACATCAAATAAATAAGTAAATAAAAAAATCTTTGCAAATCTGGAGCAGCCCAGCTGTAGAAACAAACAAACAAAAAACAACAAAACCTAGTTGCAACAATGAGATGGGGCATGCGAGACTTTGCAGCTCTTCTCTGGGGATAAAGGGCTGAAGGCAGGAATCACTGTGATGTCCTGATGTTGTTTCTCTAAGGTCCTGTGGGCAGAGGGCCTAGGAAGATGGCTCTGTCTCTGCCAGGTGGGAGAGTCTAAAGCCAAGTGGACGTGCTAAGGTGTGGACACCAGCCTTCTCCTCTCTGGTCTTCCTGGAATCTGGAAGTGTACTGAATGGGGGTGGGGGGGTTCTTTAGGAATTTTCAATTCTCCATAGAGAATTCTGGAAAGGACAGCCTGGGCCCTCCAGTGGCTAGAAAAGAACACAGCCACAGACTAGGTGAGCATCCAGGCTGTGGTCTGAAGTGACAGGTAAAGTCCTGGGCCCTATCACCTGGGCCCAGGCCTAGGCAAAGAGGCAGCTGGGCTGGGAGTCCAGAGGGCTGGACCCTGATGGGGCGAAATCTACCGCACAGGCCTGCAGGTGGTTGCCTGGAGGCTGCCGCGACAGCAAGGCTGTGTTTGCTGAAGTCTGTCCCGATTCTCTATGCGCCCTTCTTTTGATTCCCAGAGAGGAACAAATTGCCACTCTGGGGCTTCCTGGATACAACTCCCCTTCTCTCCTTGTTTGCCTGGCATTTGGTGAGGTTGCTAGCTCTTTTGGTTTTTAATTTGTTTTAAATTTGTTATCTCTCTGTCTCTCTCGGTTGCGAGGCCTGAGTGAGCAGCAACTCACAGCTCCACGAAGATGTGTCAAACCACCAGCCACAGCTATGGGCCATGGTCTTGGGGCCTGTAATGTGGCTATGGGAGCAGCCCAGGGGCTAACCGGGGACTGGCTAGACTGCAGGACAGGAGGCTCTGCAAGGCACGAGAAAGGGCTGCTGGATTTCCCCAGCTCAGGTATCTCCTGAGATCACTCAAGACACCCACATCTTGGATGCGCAGAAAGCAGGGAGAGCAGGGAGCTAGGCCCCCTCATCCACATGAGCCCCTCCCTGTCTAGAAGCTACGAGGGAGCCTCAAGGAAATTACAAAAAAAGATACAAGCTGGTGGGGCATGGTGGCTCACGCCTGTAATCCCAGCACTTTGGGAGGCTGAGGCAGGTGGATCTCCTGAGTCCAAGAGTTTGAGACCAGCCTGGGCACCATGGCGAAATGCCATCTCAGCAGAAAAATACAAAAATTAGCCGGGCATGCCGTGCACAGGGGCTCAAGCCTGTAATCCCAGCACTTTGGGAGGCCAAGGCAGCCGGATCACGAGGTCAAGAGATCGAGACCATCCTGGCCAACATGGTGAAACCCCGTCTCTACTAAAAATACAAAAATTAGCTGGGTGTGGTGGCACGTGCCTGTAATCCCAGCTACTCGGGAGGCTGAGGCAGGAGAATCACTTGAACCTGGGAGGCGGAGGTTGCAGTGAGTCGAGATCGCGCCACTGCACTCCCGCCTGGCAACAGAGTGAGACTCTGTCTCAAAAAAAAATTAGCCAGGCGTGGTGGCATGTACCTATGGTCCCAGCTACTCAGGAGGCTGAGGCAGGAGGATCACTTGAACCCAGGAGGCAGAGGTTGCAGTGAGCTGAGATTGTGCCATTGCACTCCAGCATGGGCAACAGAGTCAGACTCCATCTCATAAAAAAAAAAAATAATAAAAAAAGATAGAAGCTGGTTTCGAAGGGAAATGTAAAGCTCTTTTAAGTGGAAATCGGAGTTTTCAGTCCTGCTCCGGTGCCATGCTCTGGCCTCTGGCAGGACTGCACAGCTCCCCCGGACCCCTCCCTAGGTCAGGCTGAGCCTGTGGCCCAGCTGCTGATGAACAGACAGCCGGCAATGCACCTGCCATGAGACATCCACGGGGTTCTTCCTTGACTTTCAAAGTTTACTAGTATAGAGATTTCTCCTTGGTTAAATAGAAAAGGAAAGAAGAAAGCCTTCCTCTCAGTGGCCTATCCAACCATGAAGACAGAAGTATCTGTTTTCAGACTTTTCTGAATGCTGCCTTCCACTACTACCAAAGCAGCTCCCTTTCCCGTGAGCCACGTCTGGACATCACTCCCCGGGTGAAGGCAGCGAGGTCAGGGCCTGGTGTAATAAACAGGAGACATCAGTGATGGACCCAGGAACAGTTCGTGATTTGGAAAAGGCGGACACTAAAAGGGACAGCCCAATCCATGTCCGGCCCAGGGTTTCTCCACCTCTGCACTACTGACACTTGGGGCCAAGCCATTCTCTGCTGCGGGACCTCCTGTGCACTGGAGGATGACCAGCTGCATCCCTGGCCTCCACCCACTGGGTACCCCCCGTATAACAACCAAACACGTCTCCAGACACTGCCAGGTAGTCCCTGGAGGCAAAATCTCCAGTGTCTGGAGAACCACTGTTCTAGATGAATCTTTTGTTTTCCTGTGTAAGGGGGAACAGGAAGACCAGGAGAACGGGTGGGGTGCCAAGCAGAGGGAGTCAGTACTCACGCCAATGAAGGGAATAAACTTCTGATAGGAGTCTTCATCAGGGCTGTTGGGAGACACAGGAGAGCTTCATAGTTAGTAGGAGAGACAGGGAGGAGTGCTGGGGAATTGGCCTTTCCTATCTCACTGTGGCTGCAGCAGAGTCCAGGATGCTGGGCTGCCTCTGCCCATCACATCCTGGGGTGGCATGGGGAAGGTCTGGGACTTGCTGTGCATGTGGAGCTCACAAAATGAGGGCAAATGACCTGATCATGCAAGCTACGCTCCCTGCTTCCCACGTCTGAGTTCCAGCTATGAGGATGGGCTGCTTTATACTGAAGGGCAGGAAAGGAAACTGATGAACTCAGGCTCCTATGGGTGGGAGGCCTTGGGCAAGGAAGGAGTGCTGGGGAGGTGGTGGTAAAAACCACTCATATCCTTTTGGGTTCCTATGAAGGAATATAGCATGTGGAGAAGGAAAATGTGAGAAAGCAAGGAAGACTCAAGATTCCTCTAACCCACCCAACCTATTTTTAAGAAACCCCTCAAAGTCAAACTTACAACTTATGCCGGCAAGTCAGCATGGCTTCGGCCACGGGAAGCTGGTGTGTCGTGGCTGCCCCGTTGACGTACTGCATCACCCGCCCTGCCACGTCCAGTTGCTCTGCAGAAAAGCCAAGAGATCACTAACTGCCTACTGACTTCAGCTGGCAAACCTGCAGACCCTCTCGGAGAGGGATCCCTTCCTGAGACCCGTCAGACTCTAGGAGTTGAGTGAAGGATGGGGCTCTACGGTCCTTCTGGTTTGAAGGAATCATGAGCCCAAGGATGGTCCTCTCCCTTCCAATCTTTGCAGTTCCTCAAAGCCCTGCTCTTTCTTGGGCCACGCACACCCTTCTTCTCATGTCCACTTGCTCCTGCCTGTCCTTGCACATACCCATCCGGTGGCCTGGAGGAGCCTCACCCCACAGACTTTTGCCATCACCTCCTTCTCAGTTGCGCCAGGCCCTCACTACCTCTCAGCCTGGAAGAGCTCAACCTCTTTCTGATCCCTGCCACCTTTATTTTTTTATTTTTATTTTATTTTACTTTTGAGACGGAGTTTCACTCTGCTGCCCCAGCTGGAGTGCAGTGGCATGATCACACTGCAGCCTCAACCTTCTGGTCTCAAGCAATTCTCCCACCTCAGCCTCCCGAGTAGCTGGGACTACAGGTGCACACCAACATACCCAGCTAATTTTTGTATTTTTGTAGAGACAGGGTCTTGCTATGTTGCCCAGGCTGGTCTTGAACTCCTGGGTTCAAGTGATCCACCGTGCCCTTGACCTCTGCCACCTTTATTTGATATTCAAGAAAGCACCTGGTTGGTGGGGTGCTATTCATTTATCAAGTGACTGCTTTGTCACTTGACTGCTATTCTCTGCTCCTTGTATTTCATCTCTACAACTAGAGACGCCCTGGCCACTATGCCAGCATGGCCCTTGTTCCTTCCAGATGAACAGGAGCAGAGCAAATAGCAGAGGATGAAAACTGGCAGAGTGGAGGGGCTGTGCACAGTGAGCCTCCGCTTAATAAACACTTATGGAAAAATGAATGGACAGAGTGACCGGGAAGGTGAGAGCTGCAGGGAGGAAAGCAGCATGACCTCAGCCTCCTTCTGCAGCCAGGCTGGCACCTGTGGACCCCGGGGGTGGGAGTAAGCTCCTTACACGGGGCCATTACCTGACACTGGTGGCTCCGAGCGACTGAACAGATCTCTCCAACCAGAATCCAGGAAGGAACTACTGTATTTACTGTCGACTGACCCCAAGTATTTGGCCACAGGGTGAGAACCTGGTAGATGGAAAACCAGAGGTGGTGAATTCGTCAGGAGATGAGACAGTGTGGGAGCAGCTGTCCCTGGCCACGGCCTTGGTCTCCTTGACTGTCCCTTCCTAGGCCCCAACCCCACCGTCCTGTTCCAGATGAGGCATCTGTCTATGGAACCCTCATGCCCGACGCCCTCCTGGTGCCTCCCGTCTTTACCGAGGGGGATGATGAGGAAGCGCATGTAGCCAAGCCAGTCGGAGGTCTTGTTGGCCAGGGACTTGACAAAGAACCTGAGGATGGAGCTCAGGTAGCTCTGGCCTCCCACAGCAGCCACCTTCACTGGCCTCGGCATGGAAGAGTTGCAGTTGCAGCTGGGGAGGAAGGGGAGCGTCATAGCAGTGCTCAGGGGTGCCAGGATCCTGCCCGGGGGAGGCCCAGAGCTGACTTTCTGTGATCTCAACAACCCACAGGGGAAAAGCAAACCAATCCACAAAATAAAACAGAGAGGATCATACAGGGAATAAGCCACAGTGCTTTCACAACCAAGAGAAAAATCCAGGGTCAGAGGGCATTGCCCATGAAGCAGACGGAACAGCTGAGGCTAACGTAGGACTCGGCAGTGTGCCTGGGATGCCCGCAGGGTGTGTGCCCCCAGGCCTGGAATCCATAGTTCTCTTTCACAAGGGCAAGGGACTTGGGCCTTTTAAGAAGGCCCTGAGGGTAGGGGAAGCACTGACTCCTGAGTGTCTAGCAGCATGTTGCAGATGGAAGGAATAAAAGATCTTTTTAAAACCAGTGTGTCCTCTCCTTCATCATGGGTTTAAGAGGATAAAGCAAGTCAAGGCATGGCGGGGGTCCAGGCAGGGAGGCAGGGAGCACAGGAATTGATATTTCCACCCCCGATCCTCTGGGGTCTGCCGGGGCCTCAAGCCCTACAGCCTGCTGCCGCCACCCCCCTAAACATACGCCCCTCTGCAAATTCTTGGTCTGATGAGGCCAGGAGGGTCTATCATTGCTTAGAAGTCAGGGTTGGAAGATGAGGTCAGAGGGAATCTCTAAGGGCAGGAGAAGGGAGGCCAGAGCCCTTACTAGCGCTGGATCCGGGTGAGCAGGGCGGACAGCACGGCCTGGACCTCCACGGTGGAGCAGGTGCACACCACAGGCTTCCGCTGGTCCTGGAGCAGCTCAGCCACATACTGGGATAGGGAGGGAGGAGAGCAGGGACACAGGTGAGAACACATCACTCCTTCACAAGGGCCAAGAGGCAAGTGAGACCCAGACCGAGCTGCAGGGCCCCTGTCCTCTGCAGTTCAGACCGAAGCTGGGCAAAGGCAGCCAGGTCTCCGGACTGCCAGTAAGGAGGGGGTGGGGCCGACCCACGAGACACGCAGAGTGTGAGAGATGGGAAGCCTTAGGGGGTTTCACATGCTAGGACACTCCAGGTGTCCCCGGCACCAGTGTCTAAGCCAGGTGGACAGCGGTGAGGGAGCAGGCAGGGATGCTCTGCCTTGCTGACCTGCCTTCATGGGGCAGCCCTGGAGGTTACAGCCGGGTGCTTCTCTACAGGCCTCCGTTCCACTATGCTGCCTGACGCATGTGGCGCCCTGGAGGAATTACTGTTGCTTTTTGTTTGTTTGTTTTTTAACGTATGAGGAAGCTGAGGTAGAGCAAACTTAGTGATTTAAGATCCCACAAGTTGGATAATGACAGAAGTTGGACTAGAACTCAGAGTTCTGGGCTCAGTTCAGAGCAGGTGGGGGCTGATGGAGGGGTGAGTTCCCCACCTCCCCACGCAATAGTATGGAGGCCACACTGACAATGCAACCGGGCATTGCCTGCCCTCCAGGACCCCACATGGCCTCGCAGTTTCAGCACTTACCTGGCCCTGCCAGTCAGTGGTGTTCACCAGAATGACATTTTCTGGGAGGGCTGCATCTGACACCAGGATCTGATTGAGCTGGTCATACACCACCTTTCTTGGAATCTGCAGGAACAAAAGAAAGTGTCTCTTGTTAGGGAGTCCCTGGGGAGCCTGAGGACAGGGCTGCTGGACTGGTGCATGGGGAGTCTCTGGAGCAGGGGTGTTAGAGAGAACAGATATCAGGACTTTGGGAGGGAGACTCAGTCTCCCACTGGCCAGACCACGATGGAAAGGAGGAGAAAGAAGCAGCAAAGCGAGTCCTTAGAGGACACATGGAGATGAGGAACAAAGCCACAGCGGTTGTCCTGCCAGGGCAGGTGGAGAGGATGGAGGTGCAGCAAGCCTCGCGGATGGGAAACGGTGTGGGTGGCAGGAGGGGCAGCAGCGTAAGAACCAGGAAGGGAGAGGCAGAGGGCGGCCAGCAGGTGCTCAGAGAAACAGAAACGAGGGCAGTGGGGAGAGAAATAATGAGAGTGGCAATGAGTGCTGTGTGGGTACCTGCTGTCTGAGGGAACAAAAGGTATTTCAGGAACAGTGATTAACAAGAAGGACAATACCTCACCCCAGGCACTGGGCTATTCTAGTCTCAAGTTCATTTTCAGCCATGTAATAGCATGGAGCTCAGGAGGCCACACTGACAATGCACTTGGTAAGTTATCAGGGGAATGAACAGGCTGGCTGTTTAACCCTAGCAGAACTGGAACTGTGTAAGGTGTGCCGGGAAAATCCCTGTCCCAGATCTCTGACACCACAGGCCTTCAAAAGGAGAACACGATTCCTGAGGCCCAGTTCTTCTGACTTCTTCTCCAGCCCACTCTCGGGTCCTTCCATTGAAACAGTTTAATATTGTTGGCTTCCCGGCTTGAAAGCACGATGACCGCCCACAGCAATACTCAGGTTGGGAGCTCGGGTCAGGATGTCCCATGAGATCCAGAGGCTGCTGTCCTCTGCAACAGTGGATTCACGGCACAATCTCCAGACTGACGTCTGATGGAGGCAGAGACACCGGTGGTGTGGAATCGACACTCGCAGCCGTGGCAGGCCACGACCACACAGCGTTTTTGGCTCCCCTGCCTGCGCCCTAGAGGTCAGCGTGGAAGCCAGTTCCACACTGGCAGTAAGCAAGGAATATAGGAGACCTCTCTAATTTAGTCTTTCTTCAAGAGTTTTTGTTCAGAGCATTTCCAAGTATTCCTCTTCTCTCCAACTAACTGTCCAAGGAAGCCAACAAAACAGAGCCTGAAGTTCAGGGAATCTCAGAGGGTCCTGGTGTTTTGGGGGCACCCAGAAGTACCTGCGTGCTGTGGCCCAGATCTGGGGAGCGCTCGCTGTCGGAACTGTTGGTCCTCTCACTTAGGGGCTTGGAGAGCTGCCGCTCCTTCAGGGGCGTGCTCCTCTTCTGCCGGGGTGTGTGCACCCCCTCCACTTTGCTGCCAGGGAGGTGGAAAAAGGCTGGTGAAATAGCCCCTCCAACCCCAAAGCTGCTGCCAGCCCCGCTTTCCCTCAGCCCTGAAGCCCATGCTAAGCACAGCTGCAGGCTGTACCCCCTGCTTCCTTTCCATCTGCAGTACCTGGGGGAGGCAGAGCCCTGGAGATCCGTTTTACTGGACTTCATGGGAGTTTTGACTTTCTCCGGCACAACCAGACTCGTGCTGGCATCTCCAAACATGTCCTGGTCAGTGATTTCCTACCATGGAGGAGAGGAAACAGTGAAGATGACCTCCCACTCAGTGACCACCCAGGAGCCTCCTTGGACTGGCCAGGCCCCATCACCATCCTGAAGAGAGAGTTACTCATTTTCTTTTCCTGAAAGCAAGTGGTCCTAAAGCTCCTGCCTCAGCCGAAGGAAAATCGCCACTGTTCACGGGTGACTGAGTACACCCCGTGTGGGCACCATATGCTGCAATCCAGTAAATATCCAGTTACAAACGACCTGCTGGCACAAGAAGAGTGGACTGATGATCTGCTGTCTCCAGGAGTGAAGAGGGGACCCCTAGATGCATCTCCCTGGTGCCCTGACCGGACCTTATCTGGTCTAGGAGAGCAGGGAGGGCCATAGCCCCATTCCTTTTTTTTTTTTCTTTTTTTTTTTTTTTTTTAGCCCCATTCCTTACCTTGGCCAAAGCCACCTGCATCTCCGTTGAGATTCTCCCTTCCTTCCTCATCCCCAAGCCACTGCTGTGTGTCCCGCTCTGGCCACACTCTCACATCCACCCTCTCTATCCCACCTTCTGAGCCCAGGCCTTTGCCTTTCCTCAGATCACTTTTTTTTTTTTTGGGATGGACTTTCGCTCTTATTGCCTAGGTTGGAGCGCAGTGGCACAATCTTGGCGCAACCTTGGCTCACCGCAACCTCCGCCTCCCAAGTTCAAGCAATTCTCCTGCTTCAGCCTCCCGACTAGCTGGGATTACAAGCATGTGCCATCATGCCTGGCTAATTTTGTATTTCTTTTTTAGTAGAGACGGGGTTTCTCCATGTTGGTCAGGCAGGTCTCGAATTCCTGACATCCTTTTTTATTTATTTTATTTACTTATTTTATTTATTTATTTATTTTTGAGACGGAGTCTTGCTCTGTCGCCCAAGCTGGAGTGCAGTGGCGCGATCTCGGCTCACTGCAAGCTCTGCCTCCTGGGTTCATGCCATTCTCCTGCCTCAGCCTCCCGAGTTGCTGGGACTACAGGCGCCCACCACCACGCCCGGCTTATTTTTAGTAGAGACGTGTTAGCCAGGATGGTCTCGATCTCCTGACCTCGTGATCCGCCCGCCTCGGCCTCCCAAAGTGCTGGGATTACAGGCATGAACCACCGCCCCCAGCCTAATTCCTGACATCCTTTTAAATTTTTTTTAGACAGGGTCTTGCTCTCTTGCACAGCCTGGAGTGCAGTGGCATGGTCTCAGCTCACTGCAGCCTTGAACTCCTGGGCTCAAGTGGTTATCTTACCTCAGCCTTCCAAGTACAGGTGCATGTCAGCATGCCTGGCTAATTTTTTTGTATTACTATTTTTTTTTTTTTTTTTTTTTTGTAGAGACGGGTTTTTCCATGTTGCCCGGGCTGGTCTTGAATCCCCAGGCTCAAACAATGTGCCTGCCTCAGCCTCCCAAAAGTACTGGGATTACAGGTGTGAGCCACCACACCTGGCCAAGTCTGATTCTTTAGTGGGGCCTCTGAGGCCCACCATGACCCAGCCTGGGCCACCTTTCTAAATTAACCTCCCGTGCCTCCTCCCTGGGCCCACTACCTCCCTAATGATCCAGCCCTCAGGGAGGACTCTGCTACCAATACAGGCCGCACACCTGCCTACTTCCCTGCCTCTGCCTGGTCTTTATGTTTTCAAAATGTTTACTGAGGGCATAACTTCTATAAAGTAAGAAGCACAAATCTAGAATAGTCAACTTGAATTTTTATGCAAATATGCCCCCAGGTGACCATTAACCAGATCAAGACAGAACGTTCCAGCATTCCTGAGGCCTCCCGATGCCCCTCCCTCTCCCCTGGGTAACAGGTATGCTGACGTCACCCTCATGGATTAGTTTTGCCTGTTTGTGAGTTTCACAGAACTGGAATCCTATGGCGTGCATTTTTTGGCATTCGGCTTCTTTTTACTCACTCAACATTAAATTGCTGAGATTTGGCCAATCACTGAAGAGTTTTAATCAGGAAGTGACACAATTGGAATTTAATTTTGAAAAGGCCACACTGTACTTGCCACGTGCAGTACGGACTACAGTGGGGCCACGGTGGAAGTAGGATTATTCAGATTACTGGTGAACTAGAAAATGTAAGTTAGGGTAGTGAGTTTCAAATTAATCTTGAATCAAGCCTAAATACATAAGATCTTTAATGTAGTCTTATTTACTATAGAAAACATAAGGCTAAAATAATTCTTTCACAGATTCTAGTCAACTCCCAGCAGGTCCCACCGTGAGGCTCATCCCTAGATGGCATTCTGTAAAGTTCTCTGCTCCTTCCCCACAAGGGTCCTGCCTCTGGTCCCACGGGATGAACTTTGACGTAACCTGCAAAGCCCAGCTCAGATGTCGCTTCTCCAGTTTGCATCCCCTGTACCTCCCTGGGCCGGAGGTACAGGGGATGCAAACTGTGGCTCACTCATGTTTGCATCTTCAGTGCCCAGCACAAGCAGGGGCACAGTAAATGTTTGTGCAATTCGACCTGTAAAAAAACTGGGCATCCCAACCAACTCAATTCCACTTCACTGGGGCTTAGGCCTGCACTCCTGGGCAGCTCCAGCACCTCTTAGAACACGGACCAGTACCAGTCAGAGACTGAATGTTGTGGGTTGCCTGGCCACGGAAACAGCAACATCCAATGAGGAAGGGATGATTTTCCAGGGAGAACGCTGGTGACAGATGGTGAGAAGTTTCCCCAGCTAGCATTTGGTCAGCTCTTATTAAAGGGCAGAATGAGGACATTTCTGGTATACTAAGTTTGAGAGCAACCTGGTGTCTACACCAGGTAGTAGGTTGCATTCCACGGGTAAGGATTTCAGGAGAAAGAGAGTGCAGGACATTCATAAGCCTGCAGATTTAGGTGAAATTTCTATGGTGGTCCTGAGGGTCCTTCTGCCGTTATTTCTAAAGGGACAAACACTATTTGAAACAGCTGAAACAGGAAACTGACCCATACATACCAGAGTGTCTGTTTCAGTCAAGCTGTCATCTTGGTTTTTAATCCAAGTAGATTTAATTTTTTCTAGAGCAGCCAATTCCATCTGCAAAAATTATAAGAATTAGTTATCACTGATCCAAATAACTACCACTTTAATTTGTTTTACTAGGTCCCTATGAAGCTTAAAATACTTTCATTTAATCTCAAACCTCATAAAATCTTCAGGGCTTTTTTCTTATGTGGGCCGGGGAGGCGGGTACATTTCTGTGAAAACCAGGTTTTGGAGGGATCAGTTATCTTTGTCATCAAGTCAATAACACGGAGATTCAGAACCCAGAAATTCTGACTCCACGAGGTGTCACTAGGCAAGAGAAGCTCAAAATTTAGATGGCTTTGCTATTGCATCCATGAAGTCTTTGACCCTGGATCCAGTGAATACACTTGCCCAGGAAGGACATAGAGGGGAGGCCTCCTTTGCTTGCCAGAGAAAGGAGTATGCTAGGTTCAGGTCTTTGATTTTGAGACTAAAGACATCCATGGTAGCCAAATGCTTTTTGCTTGGTGGGAACATCCAGAAAACCCTCTAACAGGATATACTAAGCAGAAAGACACCCAATGTTAAGCCATTTAGGTGTAAATTAATTCTCCATTTGTCCCCAACTCTTATTAGCATTTCTCATAAATATTAAAAATTTCCTTTGCAAATATAGACACATAACCAGATTTTCGTATTTGTTAATATTGCTTCTTGCTGTGCAGACAGCAACTCAAAGTCACCAGCAGTGACGTGTGGGTTGTAGGTCTTAGATGCAGGGAAGGTACTGGCTTTAGTGAATCTTTTTGTTTCTTGTAGGGAACCATAGGAGGCAGAAAAATATAAATGATATCCCACTTCCTCCCAATGACTCAAAGTCCTTTCTCTGAGTCAATCATATAATACTGAGAAGCATCAGGCTAGTAAGTTCAGGGTCACCTAGTAAACTATGGAACAAGGATCACCACAGCAGGCTCCCTATGTCACACTCTAAACCAGGGTTCCTCCACCTTGGCACGATTGACATTTGGGGCTGGCTCATTCTTATTGTGGGGGCCTGTCCTGTGTACTGTGGGATGTCTGGCAGCATCCCTGGCCTCTACTCACTAGGTGCTGGTAGTGGCAACTCTCCACTCCCTCATTTGTGACAAACAAAAATGTCTCCAATCATTGCCATATGTCTGGGAGGCAAAATCATCCCCAGTTGAGAACCCCTGCTCCAGGCCATTTGCAGGACTAACTCAGCATGCCTGAGCCAGACTCTGGGACCCCAGATCTTCAGATGGTTTGGCTTGTGTAATGGCTCACAGCCACAGAACAGGTTGCTTCCAGATTGCAGAGCTAGCTCATTTACACCTTCTCTATATGATCAGCCAATGTTGTTGTTGCTGTTGTTTTTTTGAGACTGAATCTCACTCTATTGCCCAGGCTGGGGTGTAGTGGTGCAATCTTGGCTCACTGCAACCTCTGCCTCCCGGGTTCAAGTGATTTTCCTGCCTCAGCTTCCTGATTAGCTAGGATTACAAGCGTCTGCCACCATGCCTGCCTAATTTTTGTATTTTTGGTAGAGACAGCTTTTACCATGTTGATTGACCAGGCTGGTCTTGAACTCCTGACCTCAAGTGATCCACCTGCCTCAGCCTCCCAAAGTGCTGGGATTACAGGTGTGAGCCACCACGCCCAGCCTCGGCCAACATTAATAGAATCTAGAATCATGGAAAAGCTCTGGTTAGACCTGAGACTAGAGATAATTTCACTCCATTTTCGATCTCAATATGACAAATTAATTAAACGCGTTTTAAAGAGAATGAACTGGGTGATAACACAGGTCTGCTGGGAGGTTTTGAAGTAGCACGCCTTGTTGTTAAGCCCTATGACAGCTACAGCATTGCTTCCATGTCAAAGCTGCAACATTTATTAAGATCTTTATTCCTCCCAGCTTTATTAAGCTATAATTGACAAATAAAAATTGTATATATTTACAGTATACAACATGTTTTGATGTATGGATACACTGTGAAATGATTAAATCAAGGTAATTAGCATATCCATCTCCTGATAATATCTTTAACTTGGATTGGGCTTAGAGGACACCTGCTGGCTATTTACTGGCTCTTCCAGATGTCCCAGACAATCCTCCTGGGGACAAATTCCCAATTTCATCACATTTCTGTTCCTGCTTCTATAAACACTAAAGGGCTTTTTCCCCCAAAAGATGTTGGAACACCAGCAGGACTCCAGCTGTGTCTGACCAAGTGTTTGGCATGGGATATGGATGAGGTATCACTAGAGGTCCCAGAAGTCTGCACCACTGTGCTCATGGACAATGTCAGCTGCTGAAGGGTAAGAGTGTAGGCCCGTGTCAGAGAGAAGGGGGCAAGAGTGGGTAATGTGTAGGCTATCATTTCATGAAGGACTAGGCTCTAATGCCATTATTTATAGTGCTGTGGAAATAGCGACTTAGCAGCAGGCAGTCCTGGCTGGAAGTCTGCATCTGTGGCTGCCCTGACGCACTGTCAGGGCTCATTGTTATCAGCTTGGAGAACCAAATTATGTTGCCATTGTGTGCTCAAGCCTTGGGAAAATTCAACAACTGGAATAATTCGTATCAGGAGAAATTCTTTCTGGTTCTAGCGATAAACTGAATCCTCTAAAATGTGGGGAACAAAAAGCAAGATTAAGAAAAATAAATAAATAACAGTGCTAGGAAACCAGGGAAGAGAGGACACAAGTTGAGGTGGTGCGTGCACACCTGCCTACAGGTGCACAATCTCGTGGTTTTTCCTAATCCATTCAGAAGTTCTCCATTTAAGAGCGCAGTCTGGTTCTGCTGTTCCCAAAGCGCCTTTCATACCAAAGGATTCCAAAGTTTCACACCCACATCCAGACATATGGGGCTCTTCAAAATAGAAATATCAGCACAGAACCAGCAAAGTGAGTCTGAAACGTGGCCAAGGGAACCAGAATTTGAAGGACTCACTAAAAAGACATCTAGATTCTATCAATTTTAGGAGTCCACAACTGAAATGGCACTAAGGAATTATAATAATAAAAGCAATAGTAGTCGGTGAGCAATGAGCAGTGCTCTGTGTGCAGTAAGTCAATCAGGCACACCCCACGCAGCAGTCTGATGTGCATGATCCTGTTCCATCTCCTCACTACCTTGGGAGGCACGAGCTTTAACACGTACCTTGTAGATGAGGAAGCAAAGGCGTGGTAACATGCCCAAGATCACACAGTCAGTGGAGTGGTGGAGTCAAGACTCAAACTCAGAAGCTCTACCCTGTCCCAAATGTGTTTTTGCCCTGACAGAGGCCCTTAGGCCATCATATTATAAAGGCTGACACTCACCTGGCTTTTTTTTTTTTTTTTTTTTTGAGATGGAGTCTTGCTCTGTTACCCAGGCTGGAGTGCAGTGGCGGGATCTTGGCTCAATGCAACCTCTGCTTCCCAGGTTCAAGCAATTCTCTGCCTCAGCCACGCGAGTAGCTGGGATTACAGGTGTGCATCACCATGCCTGGCTAATTTTGTATTTTTAGTAGAAACAGGGTTTTGCCATGTTGGCCAGGCTGGTCTCGAACTCCTGACCTCAAGTGGTCCACCCACCTCGGCCTCCCAAAGTGCTGGGATTACAGGTTTGAGCCACCGTGTCCGCCCTCAACTGGCTTTTGAGCCAAATGGGCTCCTATACCGACACCACAACCCTACAGATGAGGCACCGAGGCTCAGAGTGTCTAAGTAATTTTTTCTGTAAGTTTTATAAGTCAGGTAACTAACATTTATTGAACATCCACAGTGTTAGGTGTTCTGCTTACTGCTTTTGGGGCACTGTCTCAGTTAGTGATTTAGTTACATTTTGTTATATTAGGGCACTTGCTCTACATTCCTAGAACACTAAGAAAGAGTCCTCCCTCAGCCAGCTCCCAGGTATCTTTCTAGAGTCATCCCATATAGTTAAGAGGGAATTTAGCTCTCATGGCCAGGGGTAGGGTTTGCCCAGTAGGGTTTGCCCATGTGGATGCTGTCAATTCAGCAGGGCCATTCAGCAGTTCCATGTGAGGAAATGCATCTCCAAGCCACATCCTAAACACTAATACCAAAGAAAGTGAGGTGGCTGGGTACACACTGCACTCCAGCCTGGGGAGTACAGCGAGACCCTATCTCAAAAAAAAAAAAATAGGCCGGGCACAGCGGCTCAAGCCTCTAATCCCAGCACTTTGGGAAGCTGAGGCGGGCGGATCACCTGAGGTCAGGAGTTTGAGACCAGCCTGGCCAACATGGAGAAACCCCATCTCTACTAAAAATACAAAAATTAGCCGGGTGTGGGTGGCACGTGCCTGCAGTCCCAGCTACTCGGGAGGCTGAGGCAGGAGAATCGCTGGCACCCGGGAGGTGAAAGTTGCAGTGAGCCGAGATCGCTCCATTGCACTCCTGCCTGGGCGATAAGAGCAAAACTCCGACTCCAATAAAAATAAAAAATAAATTTAGAAAGAGTTTTTTTTTTTTTTTTTTTTTTTTGTAAATCGAGGTCTCCTCAGTTCTTGGATCCCCATGAACCCGGCCTGGAACGGCGTCTAGGGTGCAGGGTCTGCAGGGGCAGGGCTGGGGTTTCTCCCAGGGAGGAGTCTGTTTGGGCTGCAGTTTCCCATGCATTGCCTCACTAACGTCACGTGGGGCGCTGTCCTAAGCAGGAAGAACGGTGAGCTGGGAGAGAGCCCCACCTGGTGGCAACAGGCAGAAGGGCAGCCAGGGGATGCCCCAAGAGAAGGTGGTTTCCAGGACAGGCACCTGCCCTTTCAGACCCGTGCTTTTCAGCGGTAGAGGCCTCTCCTGTTTCCTATCATCTCCGCACAATTACTACCGATCTGCAGGGCGAGTTTGGTATTCCCCCTGGTGAACCATGAGTAGGCTTCATCTGCCAGTAAAGCAGGTGAACAGGAGGACTTAAAGGATTTGTTTCTTTGATCTACAGAAAAGACACTGGGCTTTGGAGGGCAAATCCTAAGCTGGGCACTCACATCGCGACAACACTCACTTGCCTTCCATTGTAAACGAAGGAAGAGCAGCTTCCTAGGGCCTGAGGTCACTTCAGGCTCACACCCACCCCTGCCTGTGATCTGCTGAGGGAGCAGGGCCTTTCTAGGAGGGGCGGAGCAAGGCCCAGGTCGTGGCTCCGGCTGCTACAGTACATGCCCCCTTTTCCCCTTGCTCACCAGAAAAAATGGAAACCTCTTGACTAAATTATAAATTTTCTCGGGGCACTGCTCCCCTCTATGGATTCTTGGCCCAATAAAGCCTACTAGGGCCTCCTGAGCACGTCTCAGTGGCTCCCCTCCTCTCCATACCTGCTCCTTCCCCAGTCTGGTGCAGGGCCACTCACTACTGGCCAAACGCCCACTCCATGCCACACTCTCAGCTACCACAGAACAGACACGAAGGGAGAGGTTTTTGTTTGTTGAGATAAGGTCTTGTTCTGTCACCTAGGCTGGAGAGCAGTGGTGCGATCACAGCTCACTGCAGCTTCTGCCTCCTGGGCTCAAGGGATCCTCCTGCCTCAGCCTCCCAAGTAGCTGGGTCTACAGACGTGCACCACCATGCCTGGCTAACTTTTGCATTTTTCGTAGAGATGGGCTTTCACCATGTTGCTCAGGCTGGTTTCGAACTCCTAGGCTCAAGTGATCCACCCGCCCTGGCCTCCCAAAGAGCTGGGATTATAGACATGAGTCACCACGCCCAGCAGAGGGGGAGATTGTATGTATTCTGAGAGGGAAGGCGCTGGGCCATGGCAGAAACAGACCAAAAGGAACAACCCAGCCTGACACAGCAATGACCCCAAAGAGCTAAGCTCCCAGCCAGACTGAGGGGAGGAAAACTGAGGCTGAAACAAGATGAGGCCATTTTCTTTTTTCTTTTCTTTTTTTTTTTTTTTTGAGGGAATCTCGCTCTGTCGCCAGGCTGGAGTGCAGTGGCTCAATCTTGGCTCACTGCAACCTCCGCCTCCCGGCTTCAAGTGATTCTCCTGCCTCATCCTCCTGAGTAGCTGGGACTACAGGTGCACACCATCACGCCCAGGTAATTTTTGTATTTTTAGTAGAGATGGGGTGTCACCATGTTGGCCAGAATGCTCTCAATCTCTTGACCTCATGATCTGCCCGACTCCACCTCCCAAAGTGCCAGGATTACAGTTGTGATCCACCATGCCCAGCCAATGGGGCCACTTTTCTAAGGTCACAACATGAGCCCTGATCAGAGATGCAGAGGGCCAGAGCGTCGAGCCCTGACATGCCACGGTCCCACCCCGCCCCGCAGTCGCGGTTGCGCTCACAGGGCTGGTGGTGTCTTTTCCGAGGCTGCCTTTGCTGTTGAGGCTGCCAATCTCCGTCTGGGAGCTGGACTGCGACATCCCCTCAAAGAAAGGCCTGTGGTGAAGAGCACAGCCAGGGTCAGTGCTGCCAGGGCTCAGAACAGCATGCTGGGAGAGTTGAATGGAGCTGGCATTCAGGGTGGGTCAACAAGCTACAGGTGTCCAGAACGCCCGGTGAGCAGGGAAGTGCAGGGTGAAGAGGAGGGGCGGGTCAGGAGAGGGGGTACTTCCTGAGAGTCCTATAGGACTTCTGTCAGTGAGAGGCAAAACAGTGACCTTCTCCAAGACAGCCAGAGGTTCAGAAAGGATGAAGGACCAAGATTCTCTGGTAATAGAGGGGACAGCGAGGGAGGGGTCAGGAGACTGCTATGGCCAGGAAGGAGAGTCTGGAGGCCAGCTACAGAGAGGGGGGCTCACTTGAGCTTGGGCTTTGGCGTGCTGAGGATGCTTTCTGTCTCCTCCATCTCAGGGCCACTGTCGCTGGGGTTGTACATCTCCAGACTGTCATACAATTCATCCAAGTCCTCTTCCACTTCCCGGATCTGCTCGCGGGACACATGCTCCAGCCCAAAGCCCACCTGCAGGGAAAAAGGAGTCTCTGAATTTAGGGTCATCCCTATTAACAATTTTGGTTGATGAGCAGCTCCTTTCTCCTGGGCTGCCCTTATAGTCCTGCTTAAGGGACATGCCAGAGCTTCACACTGGCTGGAGTAACCTTCACGTCATTTCCATGATCCAGCCTGAGGGCGGGGACATGGTGAGGCCACCTTCCCCCCAGTTCCTGCCACCGCTCCACACTGTGAAGCTGTGCCAGGAGGGACAGCTGAGGAATCCCGAGGCCCATCGCCCATGTGGGTTCTTCCTACCCTCCTTACAGCTCACAGGAAGGCGAAGCAATCGCTCTCAACAATTTTCATCTTTATCCCTCTGTTAGCCCACTGAGAGGCCTGTGGAAACGGGCCCCTCCCGGAGCCCAGGGAAAAGACTGCTTCTCTCTCAGCAGCCCCATTCCTGGTTATTCCAGGGCTGACCAACAAGGACATTTCCACCTCACAAGCTGCTGCTCACTGATGTTCCCGTGGGATAAGAGGGGAAATTAAGTGACAACCGCAGCAGCATCCGCTGGGTCTGTCCCTGTATCGCATGCCAGAGGCTTGCGCATCACCAAGGGTCGGGCGTAGCTGTGCTGCCCTGCGTTGTGTGCATAGCCTCTCTCTCCTCTGCTTGCTTAAGTCCTTCTTAGCCACCCTCTCCCTTAGGGCTCTACCAGGTATGCCACGGGGAGCAGGAATATTAATCCTAGAATCCTGACTCTCAGTGGCAATACAGAGTGTACTCCAGGGATGCTGGGTGAAACCCGGGGAATTCTACTCACCATTAACCTTGGGAGTAAGAGGCCATACCTCATCTGAAACTTTAAACCGCTTCAGGAGGGCCACAAACTTCTGTTTGATGTTAGGTTGCTGTAGGGACAAATCGCATGACAGTTCTCAGCAACGTCCACTTGGGGTCAATTCAAGTCAATAAACACCCACCAGAGCCCACTTTCATGACGAGCTGTGGGAAGACACGAAGACTGGAGGACTTGGTCTCTGCCCTTGGCACTCAAAGCCTGTCAGGAAGACAGGCCAAATTCCAGTGTAGCTCCTGGGCCTTGGGTGCAGCTGCGGGGAGAAGGAATGTCTATCCCCAGGTCCTCCACCCCCCTGTGCCCCAACACCTCCCAAATGTGGGTCTCCAGCTCATCCCTTTCTCTTGCCCTTCGGATTCACAGTGCCCACTGCTGACTCCTACCTGCGCATGCACAGCGCGGGCACCTCAGCCTTACCACCTCCACGGTGGAACGCAGCGTCCCGTCTTCTCCTTGCACCCCGATCCTCTTACTGATGTCGCCAACACACCTGAACCAACATCTACGCCTGGAGTCTCTCCTTCTCGTTCTCCCCGCAGGCCCATTCTAGCTACCCCAGATCCTCCCTTTTCCATCTGTGACACCACTGTTTCCAGTCAGGCCTTTCTCCTTGCCTCTCTGGGATCATAGCAACAGCCTTCAGCTGACATCTCATACCCTGCCCACCTGCTTCTGGTCTTTCTCCCTCCACAGCCCACAGTGGTCCTTCCGAGTGCAAACCTGCTCATGCTACCCTCCGACTAGAAGTCTTCATTGGCCTCCACTACTTGAACAGAGCTCAGCAGTCAGGCCTGTACGTGTCCGAAGCCTGGGTCTGCCTGTTTCTAGCCTTATCTCTCTATTTGACCCTTCACACCCCATAGTCAAGTGGAAACTCACTGCTTTGAGTTCCTGGGAAAAACTGCATGCTGTTGTACTGGGCCTTTTTTTTTTTTTTTAGAGATGGAGTCTTGCTCTGTTGCCAGGCTGGAGTGCAGTGAGGTGATCTCGGATCACTGCAACCTCTGCCTCCCTGGTTCAAGTGACTCTCCTGCCTCAGCCTCCTGAGTAGCTGGGATTACAGGCACGTGCCACCACACCAAGCTAATTTTTGTATTTTTAGTAGAGACGGGGTTTCACCATGTTGGCCAGGACGGTCTCGATCTCCTGACCTTGTGATGCGCCTGCCTCGGCCTCCCAAAGTGCTGGGATTACAGGCGTGAGCCACAGCACTGTACTGGGTCTTTATATAGGGTATCTTCTGCCTTGAATAAAAATTTTCCCCAAATCCACTTGGTGAAGTTTTATTTTAAAAAACCCATCTCTCAGCATCTCATCTGGGAAGCTGTCCTGGCACTCCTGGGACAGGTGGCCACAGTCCCCTGGTGTCATTGCAAAGCTCTGTCTTATGGCACCTGTCCTACTGGGCTGTAATTATTTGTTGAAATGTGTGGTGTCACTAGACACTGTGCGCTTGATGGCATGGACTGGGCCCTATCTCTTTGTCTCTGGGCACGATGCTTAGCCTGTGGTTGTATGTACTTCCTGCCTGAATGACAGACTCGCCATCTGGGGATGAAAACAATGAACTTGCGAGGCTGATAGGTCTTCAGAGAAAGGGCAGAAAGGGCATTCACAGCAGAGAAAAAAAGTCGAGCTCCCAGTGACAGAGCAGCATGAGACATGTTCACAGAAGGTCAAGTACATCTGTGTTCTTGGTGGGAGAGAAGAATGCGCATGCACAGAGGAGACAGGCACTAAGGGAGGTCACTGAGTCTCTGGGATAGAACTGGAAAGTGCCTGCAGCTTAAAAAGAAACACCTCTGGGGGAGTATACATTAGCAGGAGCACTGAACTCCAGTCATGTGCCAGGGTCATGCCAAGGAAGAGACCCCACGTAGGAAGAGGTGACTTATGAAGCTCTGGGGGCACCCGTTGGGAAGAAAATAGGGCCGCTTTCTGGTTACAGAGCAGGAAAAAGAAAGCCTCAGCAGTAGGGGCTGACTAGAGAGAGATCCTACAGCCACTCCCTATTTCCAGAGTGCAATGGAGGTCAAGCATTTGGGGTACTGGTGACACACCTCATGGGGACCATTTGGAGCACCAATTGAGAGGTGGATACCTGAGGACAAGGAAACAGTCCTCCCGCTCCCTAGTTGCTGACTGGATGGGAAATCCAGGTCACAGTCTCACGGATTTACCTGAAGTCCAGTGACACCTCATTGTGATGGGAGAGTGATCTGGCCTCCGTTTCATCCCTGAAGGGGTGGGCATCTCGGCTCTCAGGGGTTTGGTCCCTAGGCTAGCTCTGCACTGGGGAGAATCAGGATGCCTCTGGGTAAATGGAGCTGTGAATTCCCCTTCGGAAATGCTCCCAGCACTTCTGGCCCTCCCACACTTCATGCAGGCACTCCAGAATCTGTCAAAGACCACCTAGGAATTCAGGTTTTTAGCTTCTTAGTTCAGGACTCAAATGTCATCAAAACAGTGACTCTTGAGGAAGTCTTATGGAGGAAAAGTATCAAAAGGCACCTGGTCTCCAAGGTTATGGATCCGTTAAGGCAGGAACGATATCTGATGTAATTAAAGCTTAGCAAGCCCAGGGTCATAGGAGCACCCCATGACTAGCCTATTATCTCTGCCTAAGTTCAGCACATGATTAAAACTAGTGCTACTCCTAGAGGGAGCTGGCTTTCTCGCTGCAGAGGACAGCATGTGACATGAAGCAGCCACTGGAGTGGGTGGGAGGCGGTCTGTTCCCTGATGGACCACTATCTGTTCTGAATTCTACAAGAAGGGTTCTCCTCCTTTTTTCTATCTGACGATAACCTGAAGGATATAACACTCTTATCAGTAATTGTGGTTCCCAACAACAGTGAGTCTAATTGGGCGGTGGTGAGGATATAGAGCGTTCATTGGAATCGTTGAAGGGATGACCCTGTGTTGATTTTAAGAAGTCTCCACTAGGCCTGAATATGCTGCTGCCAACCTACCCCCAGACTGAAAATCTTAGCCAACCACTCCCCAGACCTTTGAGGCTCACCCTTGTGATGGCAGAGGTTGAGGTTAGTTTCCTCCGGGTCTTCTTCACTTTCCGGAGATCTTCGTCTTCGTAGAACAAGTCCTAAGTGGGTACAGGGACAGAATGAGGGTGGGAAACCCCAGGAGCTTCTTGGACACGCCATGTGAGGGACCACAGAAAGTTACCTGCCCATGCAATGGATCATCACTGCCTTCCTGTTCTGATGAGAAACTCTCTTCCTCTTCCTCAGAATAATTGTCAATATCAGGAGAACGATCTGCAACAGACACCTGAGTAAGATAACCTTGCAATGGGAAGATCTGGCCTAAGAAACTTCGATGGGCTGGAATCAATGGTTCTCTTTGGGTGGAAACACAGCCAGGGTGGAGGGGAGGGCCAGGGCCGAAGCCACATTTTACTTTCAGGGGTCTCTAAAGGTCTCTTGCCCAGGAACATCTCAGGCACTGTCTTGTTCACCTTTCCCAGGATGGGCTCCCTCTTCGTAGGGTCTCCAGATGCTGCATGCTTCTTACCAGAAAGCTTGGATTTGATTCCTTCATGGTCAATGGGTTGGCTGGACAGGGAGTAGATCTTTATTTCTGCCACAGGCACAGAGACATCCTTCACGTTGCTGTGTAGGCCAAGCACCAGTGCGCCTTCATTAGGATGCTGCATCACCTAGGAGCCAGGGGAGGTGGTGGAGGCGTGTTACTACAGAGGCACCTGGAGAAACACAGCCAAGGAATGCACAAGACCCCAGGGGCAACAGCATTCTGCTGATACGTTTTCTTCCTTACTTTCAAATCCATGCCTACTGTCCTACTGCTTCACGGTCTTACTTTGTTTATTATTATTATTATTATTATTATTATTATTATTATTATTATTATTATTTTTGAGACGGAGTCTCTCACTGTCGCCCAGGCTGGAGTGCAGTGGCGTGATCTCGGCTCACTGCAACCTCTGCCTCCCAGGTTCAAGCGATTCTCCTGCCTCAGGCTCCCAAGTAGCTGGGATTACAGGCGTCTGCCACCACGCTCAGCTAATATTTTTTGCATTTTTAGTAGAGACAGGGTTTCACTATGTTGGCCAGGCTGGTCTCAAACTCCTGACCTCATGATCTGCCCGCCTCGGCCTCCCAAGTGCTGGGATAACAAGTGTGAGCCACTGCACCCAGCCTGTTTTTTATTATTATTAAAGGCAGGGTCTCACTCTGTCACCCAGGCTGGCACGCACTGGTGTGATCACAGCTCACTACAGTCTCGACCTCCCAGGCTCAAGTGATCCTCCCGCCTCAGCCTCAGTAGCTGGGACCACAGGCACACACCACCATGCCTGGCTAATTTTTAAATTTTATGTAGAGATGGGGTCTCACTATGTTGCCCAGTCTGATCTCGAAATCTTGGGCTCAAGCAATCCTCCTGCCTTGGCCTCCCAAAGTGCTGGGATTACAGGCGTGAGCCACTGCATTTGGCCTAAGGTCTTAACTTTAAAATTATCCCCAGAAGTGCTGGTCAGGGCCATGTGCTTAAAGATAACAATCAAAGATTGAAAATGGCTGCTCGGGCCAGGTGTGGTGGCTCACACCTGTAATCCCAGCACTTTGGGAGGCCAAAGCAGGCGGATCATGAGGTCAGGAGATCAAGACCATCCTGGCTAACATAGTGAAACCCCGTCTCTACTAAAAATACAAAAAATTAGCCAGGTGTGGTGGTGGGCGCCTGTAGTCCCAGCTACTCAGGAGGCTGAGGCAGGAGAATCACTTGAACCCAGGCGGCAGAGGTTGCAGTGAGTCGTGATTGTGCCATTGCACTCCAGCCTGGGTCACAGAGCAACACTCCATCTAAAAAAGAAAAGAAAAGAAAATGGTTGCTTGGCCGGGCACAGTAGCCTGTTCCTGCAATCCCAGCACTTTGGGAGGCTGAGGCGGGCAGATTGCTTGAGTCCAGGAGTTTGAGACCAGCCTGAGCAACATGGTGGAACCCCGTCTCTACTAAAAATAAAAAAATCAGCTGGGTGTGGTGGCGCATGCCTGTAGTTGCAGCTACTCAGGAGGCTGAGGTGGGAGAATCACCTGAGCCCAGGAAGTCGAGGCTGTAGTGAGCTGTGATTGCACCACTGCATTCCAGCCTGGGTGACAGAGTGAGACTCTATCTCAGGAAAAAAAAAAAAAAAAGAAAAGAAAAAGAAGAAAGGAAGAAAGAATGGGAGCGAGAGAGAGAAGGAAGGAAGGAAGATGGAGGGAGGGAGGGAGGGAAAGGAAAGGAAGGAAAGGAAAGAAAGGAAGAAAAAGGAAGGAAGGAAGGAAGGAAAGAAATGGTTGCTAATCTCTAAGACTAATTTTAGTGTAAGTCCTTCACAGAGAAACTTGCTCTTGAGTCTGGGTGAGGCCAGGCCTATAGGTGGTGGTCGCCTGTCACTGGCAATGAGGAAAAGGAGCCCAGTCTACAGGGAATGGCAGAGCCTGGCGTAGCAGGGGCAGTGGGTGCTGGCGGGAATTCACTGCCCCGTCTCCACACTGACACAAACACTGACTGAGCAGGACAGAAAGACGGGCTGGAACTATCTCAAATTTTCTATCATGGCCACAAAATTGTTCCTATTTAATTTACTAAAGTACAGAAATAATTTTAAAAACAGATTAGCGGCTGCTTTCTTCTTCCTGTTAGGATTGAGAGGAACTGCCTGGCACACAGGGAGCTGCACCAATGAGTACATGTATTGAGAATAATCACAGCCTTTTTTTTTTTTTTTTTTTTTTTTTGAGATGGAGTCTCGCGCTGTCGCCCAGGCTGGAGTGCAGTGGCGCAATCTCGGCTCACTGAAAGCTCCACCTCCTGGGTTCACGCCATTCTCCTGCCTCAGCCTCCCGAGTAGCTGGGACTACAGGCGCCCGCCACCATGCCCGGCTAATTTTTTGTATTTTTAGTAGAGATGGGGTTTCACCGTGTTAGCCAGGATGGTTTCGATCTCCTGACCTCGTGATCCGCCTGCCACAGCCTCCCAAAGTGCTGGAATTACAGGCGTAAGCCACTGCGCCCAGCCCACAGCCTGACTTCTTACCATTCCAAAAGGGAATTAGAAACATGGAGAAAGAAAAGCTATAAAAAGGCATTGGGTTGGAACTGAAATTATCGATGTGTGCTCACGGTTAGATAGATCTGGACCTAGACCTGAAAGGAGCTGTGACGTGTGTAGACACGAGCACATGTGTGCATACAGACAGATCTTTCTCAGCTCTGTCTGCTCAGTGGGAGTGCATGACACCCAGTTGGGGACATGGGCACTCCTGGTACCCAGATCTTGGTTTCTGAACACCATCCTCTACTGAAAAGAACCAGGGCTCCTCAGAGAATCTGCTCATTCTGGGAGCTGGGTCAGGGAAAGTACAAGATGAGCCTGAAATGTTTTGTACCAGAAAGTACGGTAGGATGTAACGAATGATGAGACATATTACTAAGGACTCAAAGCTGGCATGAAGGGGCTCCCATGGGCCAAATCTGATAAGTTTGTGCATCAAAATAAAAAAATGATAGTAGCAGATTCAGCCCCATCAAATAAAACAGGAACCCACGGTCCATAACTGATACAAATAAATGAGAGCAAAGGAAAAGCACTATCTTACTACAGAAAGCCAATTAATGAGGCCGGGAGCAGTGGCTCACGCCTGTAATCCCAGCACTCTGGGAGGCCAAAGCAGCGGATCACTTGAGGCCAGGAGTTCAAGACCAGCCCAGACAACATGGTGAAACCCCATCTCTACTAAAAATATAAAAAAAATTAGCCGGGCATGGTGGCGGGTCCCTGTAATCCCAGCTACTCTGGAGGTTGAGGCAGGAGAACTGCTGGAACCCGGGAGGTAGAGGTTGCAGTGAGCCGAGATTGTGCCAGCGCACTCCAGCCTGGGTGATGAAGTGAGACTCTGTCTCGAAAATAAATAAATAAATAAAGCCAATTAATAAATATGTAAGGAATGGTGGGATTAGAAATTCACTGTCTGGTAAGCATCCAAGTATAGTGATGACCAATTCAGGCAAGAATCATGAATAGATGCTAAAACTAGTGGGTGAAATGTGATAAGGAAAAAGATAGTTGCCTTTCTTCTTCTCCCCTTAATATATTTACCTCCTCGTAAAATATTTTTTCCAGTAAGTACAAAATGCTTATTAATTAACTTTGTGGTGGAAAAACCCTGCAGACTCCATGTTAACCAAGTGATAATATCAGGCCGGGCACAGAGGCTGATGCCTATAATCCCAGCACTTTGGGAGGCCAAGGAGGGAGGATTGCTTGAGCCTGGGAGTTTGAGACCAGCCTGGACAACAGAGCAAGACCTCGTCTCTAAAAAAAAAAAAAAAAAGTTAAGGCCAGGCGCAGTGGCTCATGCCTGTAATCTCAGCACTTTGGGAGGCCAAGGCGGGCGGATCACAAGGTCAGGAGAATGAGACCATCCTGGCCAACATGGTGAAACCCCGTCTCTACTAAAAAAAAAAAAAAATTAGCTGGGCATGGTGGTGCACGCCTGTAGTCCCAGCTACTCAGGAGGCTAAGGTAGGAGAATCACTTGAACCCGGGAGGCGGGGGTTTCAGTGAGCCAAGATCATGCCACTGCACTCCAGCCTGGCGACAGAGCAAGACTCCATCTCAAAAAAAAAAAAGTAAAAATAAAAAAAATTAAAAGTTAATATCCCCAGGAAAGGAACCAATTGCCATCAGGTGCTGCCTAAGCTGCACTGAGAACAGAGCACTTCTGTGGTAATGCTGCCAGAAACACACAGGTGGAATCTAATCTTGAGGCAACATCAGGCGAACCTGGACTGAGGAGTATTCAAAAAAGTAACCAGCCTGTGCGCTTAAAAAATGTCAAGGTCATGAAAGGTAAGGAAAACCGAGGGGCTGCTGCAGACCGAAGGGGACGAAGGACACAGTGATATGCGGCACATAATCCTAGATCGGATCCCAGGCCCATAAAGGGTATCACTGAGACACTCAGCACAATCCGAATAGGGACTGTGGGTTAGACGGCAATCTTATCTCAACGTTAGTGTCCTGATCTTGATGGTGGCAGGGAGTTTAGACAGCAGAGTATTCTCATGTTAAGGAAATTAACGTGGTGCAGTATTAACGTGTAATGGGGCATCGTGCCAGCAACTTACTCTCGGATGGCTCAGAAAATAATACCTATCAATATATCTATGAGGAGAGCATATGAAATGTGGTGATATGTTAAAGAACTTGGATGAATCCACATATGGGAACTCTTTGTACTATTCTTGTAACTTTTCTGAAAGTTTGAAATTTTATGTAATTTTTTGAGTTTTACCTGTTTAAAAATTAAAACTTTTCATGAAGGAGACAGTATTTGATAAAAACAAGTATACTCTGAATTTCCAGCAAATAATTAACTCGTAAAACAGAATTAAGCACCTAGCCAGCAGGCTGGGAAAATCATCTGGAAGGCTCAACTGGCTGGGCTGGGGTGTCCCTTGGGCTCTGTGACTCAAAGGCCAACAGTCTGGAGACTGTGTTCCTCTCACCTCTGCCATGTTGATGAGTCCCACGGCCAAGGTCTTATAGCCCAAGATGGTCCGATTCTTGTAACGTTTTCTCCTTTGCAGCATGATCTGCAGCTTGTTGGCATCTCGCTTAAGGAAATGAGGGTACTACGAAATACAAAACAGAGTCGAGCGTGGTTAATGGGCAGCTGGGTCCTTGAGGGGTTCTGGAGGACACACAGTCTTTCTGTGCTTCAATTCTTCCTGTCTCTAAAAGGGGGCAGTCAGGGTTGAAAGGAGAGCCATGAAGTTGCTGCTGGTGGAGCTGATTCGGCTTGATGCCTGGCTTCTACGCCACAGCTCTGGGGTCCACACCTATTCAGAGAACTGTCTCTTCCCTTGCCACTTTATCAGGTGTTTTCTCCATGTGTTTCAATTTGGGCATTGAATTACTGGAATTACGATGAGAGGGACACCGACTAGGAGGGATACGGAGTAGAGGGGAAGGACGGAGATCCCGACGTGGAGGCTGATGGTGGCACAGTCCACGGGGTGTGCGAGGATCACTAAGGAGATGTGATGTGGTGCAGCAGATGGCTAACAGTGTTAGCCAAGGCAGAGGAAGGGAAGGGGCCACGGTGCCTACCCAGGTCTCCACACCCTTACCGTCACTGGCTAAAGGGTTGCTTTGGCCCTCCAGGCCAGCCATAAACCTCCAGGTGACTTTTATTCATTCCTGCCCAAGTTGGGGAATGGGGGCTCTGGGATAAAACAGTCTCTGGGTTAGAGGACTGTCTGGGGACTAGCCAGGATATAGCATGTTAGGGGCCTAAGATTAGGAGAGTCTCACCTGAAGGGAGAAGGTTAATTGGAGCTCTGTTTCCACCAGTCCACTAGCTGGAAGGACGATCTCGTTGGAGCGAAGAATTCTTTTTGAACCCTGAAACCAAGAAGAAAAGTCTGTTTGGCCAGGTGCAGTGGCTTGTGCCAGTAATCCCAGCAGTTTGGGAGGCTGAGGCAGAAGGACTGCTTGGACTCAGGAGTTTGAGACCAGCCTGGGGCAACATAGTGAGACTCCTGTTTCTACAAAAAATAAAAAAAATTGGCTGGGTGTGGTGGTACACATGCCTGTAGTCCCAGCAACTCAGGAGGCTGAGGTGCGAGGATCACTTGAGCCCAGGAGTTCAAGCCTGCAGTGAGTCATGATCCTGCCACTGCACTCCAGCCTGGGTGACAGAGAGAGACCCTGTCTCAAATAATATCAATAATAAAAAGAAAAAAAAAATCTGTCAAAGCTGTGTCACCAAAAATCAGACCAAAAGAAATACTATGTTTGCAAACAACTTCTAAACTCTACAAGCATTCTTTAAAAAAAAAAAATTAAATTTTATTTTTTTTGAGACGAGTCTCATTCTGTCACCCAGGCTGGACTGCAGTGGCGTGATCTCGGCGCACTGCAACCTCCGCCTCCCAGGTTCAAGCGATTACCCTGCCTCAGCCTCCTGAGTAGCTGGGACTACAGGCACCTGCCACAATGCCCGGCTAATTTTTTTGTATTTTTAGTAGAGACAGGGTTTCACCATGTGCTGGCCTTGAACTCCTGACCTCAGATGATCAGCTTGCTTCAGCCTCCCAAAGTGCTGGGATTACAGGTGTGAGTCACTGAGCCCGGCCCAAACATTCTTACCAGTCCAAATATTTCATGAGTCTTTATTGTACTTATTTGAATCAAGCCTCTACCATAAGTCTGATTTTACATATATGATGCTGTAGGGTGCATAAAAGGTTATCACAGCAAAATGATTTGTTAACGTCTGTGAGTTCCCAGCACTCCTGGGGAAGAGGCCGGTAGTGTCAGTCCCCAGGGTGTGTAAGACCCTCCCTGCCCACTGTTCCTTTTTTTTCCCAGGAACTTCCTCTTTAACCTCCCTGCTCTCCAAACCTAATATTTGGGTTAGACAGCCCTCTTACTGCCATGTTGGCCGGGCTGGCCTCGAACTCCTGACTTCAAGTGATCCTCCCTCTGACTCCCCAGGCATACTGTCTTGTCTCTGGGCCTTTTCATGTGCTTTTCTTCTCTTCTTGGATGCTTTTTTTGGCTTCTGAACACAAGTAACCAACTCATCTTTCAGGTCTCAGCTGAATTTTTTTTTCCCAGGAACTTCCTCTGTAACCTCCCCGCCTCCAAACCTTGTATTTGGGTTAGACAGCCCTCTTACTGCCAGTTACTGAATCTCACTAAACTTCAAGATCCATGAGACAAAGATATGTCTTGTTCAGTATGATTCCCAGCACACAAATAAACAGTGTTGAATAAATTTGTCTAAAAAAAAATCAGTTTTAAAATTAATACCAATAAAAAAAACCCCACAACATCCAAAGTTGGTAAGGATGTGGTAGAATTTCCAAATTCATTCATTGTTGAAGCAAAGTAAATTACAATAACCCTTTTAGAAAGTAGCCTGGCAATAAAGAAACATTTCTATTCAAAAATTGTAATCCAAAAAAATAAATTCTAAGGGCATGATTTTTATATATTATTTTCTTTTTTCTCCCTTGATCCCATGAACTTGGAGGGAATGATTTTTTTCTTTCTTTCCTTCCTTCCTTTCTTTCTTTTTCTTCTTCTTTTTTTTTTTTTTTAATAAAAAGAGAGACGAGGTCTCACTATGTTGCCCAGGCTGGTCTTTAACTTCTGAGCTCAAACGATCTTTCCACTTCAGCCTCCCAAAGTGCTAGGATTATAGGCCACCAGGCTGGGCCAGGAATGAGTTTTAAAAAGAAGCAAATCTGTAAACAAGGAGCTGTTCATTGAAACATTATTTTTACCGTTTTTATTTTTTATTTGTAGAGATGGGGTATCGCTACATTGCCCAGGTTGGTCTTGAACTCCTCGGCTCAAGTAATCTTCCTGCCACTGCCTCCCAAAGTGCTGGGATTACAGATTTGAGCCCCACACTCATCCCTGTTTATAATTAATGACAAATTTTTGAGCTGCTCATCTCTCACGTGTCTTCAGCAAAGCTGTGATTACTCTGGGAGCTGTTTCTGTTGAAATGGTACTATGCCGCGGTGCTGACCCTTAGGGGAAAACTCCACACATGGAAAAACGCCTCAGCCACTCATGAGGCCAAAATGAGACCAAGGAAGTGGAGCCCTGATGGTTATGTCATTATATAGCGATGCTGCCTATGGGTAATGGCCATAGGGGGAAGGCTGGGTATAAAATCAGCAGAAGCCTGGGTGTGGTGGCACCTGTAATCCCGGCACTTTGGGAGGCTGAGGTGGGCGGATCACCTGAGCTCAGGACTTCAAGACCAGCCTGGGCAACACTGGGAAACCTCGTCTCTACGAAAAATACAAAAATTAGCCAGGCATAGTGGCGTGCACTTGTAATCCCAGCTACTCAGGAGGCTGTGTGGGAGAATCATTTCAGCCTAGGAGGCAGATGTTGGAATAAGCCAAGATCATATCATTGCACTCCAGCCTGGGCAACAGAGCGAGACTCCGTCTCAAAAAAAAACAAAACAAAACAAAAGCCAAGATTATATCACTGCACTCCAGCCTGGGCAACAGAACGAGACTCTGTCTCAAAAAACAGCAAAAATAAAATAACATCAGCAGAAGCACACAGCCAGCCCGCACACAGGCCAGGGCCTCAGGACACCCGGAAGCTCGAGTGCTATAGTGGCAACTGAAGACCGAATGCATCAAATAAACTATAAAAAGCAAAACCAACAGCCACTCTCTCCCACAAGACCCACACATTTATGAGATTCATGCCACAACTGGAAATTTGAACACTGATTTTGTGATATTAAGGTTTTTGTTATTTTAGATAGAGTCTTGCTCTGTCGACTAGGCTGGAGTACAGTAGTGTGATCTCGGCTCACTGCAATCTCCGCCTCCCAGGTTCAAGCGACTCTCTTGCCTTAGCCTCTTGAGTAGCTGGGATTACAGGTGAGTGCCATCACGCCCAGCTAATTTTTGTATTTTTAGTAGAGATGAGGTTTTATCATGTTGGCCAGGCTGGCCTTGAACTCCTGATCTCAAGTTATCCGCTCCCCTTGGCCTCCCAAAGTGCTGGTATTACAGGCATGAGCCACCGCGTCTGGCCAAGGTGTGATAATGGTATCGAGGTTTTGTTTAAATATACTGCCTACATTTTTGAAATACATATCGACATATTTGTGGGTGAAATGTTATGATGTACGGATTGCCTCAAAATAACACTGGTGAAGGGAAACAGTGGGGACACAGACGAAACGAGACTGGCCATAAGTTGATAACAACTGCAGCTTAGTAAGGGGTTCGAGGGAATTGTAAACTACTTCGTCTACTTTTGCACGTTTGAGATTTTTCCAAAATAAAAGTTGAAAAAAGTAATCAGTGCTTAGGGTTCTTTTAAGATTTCTCAGCTCAGAGCATATATTCACAGAATATGAAGGCCTGAGGGCCTGGTCCTGGGTCTTCCCTCTGCCTGGAAGGCTCTTCCTCCAGATACCTGCATGGCCCTCACCTCCCTCAAAGTCTTTGGGTAAATGTCATCTTCTCAACCAGGTCTACCGTGACCACCGTAGGGAATCCGTTAACTTCCTCCACCCCAGCCCTCTCGGTCCCCTTTATCTTAGTTATTGTCACTATAGGACATCACCTTCCAACAGCAGTAGCCTCATTATATGATTATATGAACTCTCACCACCCAAGTATGTGCTCTAAATACCTGTAAAACTTTGTATCCCAAATTCACTATCTGAATTTCAAATTCGCTAGAAGTAATCTGCGTGTGCAGGTAGCAGGATGCGGAGTGCAGTGTGTCACGGGATCGCAGCCAGGCCCAGCCCAGCCCAGCCCTTTCAAGCATGGTGCACTACTGTCCTCATCTTTACTACCCTTCCCCAGGGGTTTAGCTTTCATGGGTTCCAGTATTTGCTTCTTCCAGGTGCCTGGGGCACTACCAACCAGGGTCCAATTTCAAAATTATTTTTAATATACTTTTGTATCATTTGTTTATCTATATAACAGTATATCTTCTTTTGCAGTATAGAAGCAAAACCATTTATATTTAATACTAAAGTAACATAGCACATTAAAATATCCAATATTAATATTATTTTAAAAATTAGGTTACTGGTGTTTTATTATTATTATTTTGAGACAGAGTCTCACTCTGTTGCACAGGCTGGAGTGCAGTGGTGCAATCTTAACTCATTGCAACCTCCGCCTCCCAGGCTCAAGCGATTCTCCTGCCTCAGCCTCCCCAGTGGCTGGCACTACAGGCATGTGCCAAAATGCCGGGCTAATTTTTGTATTTTTAGTAGAGATGGGGTTTGACCATGTCGCCCAGGCTGGTCTTGAACTCCTGACCTCAGGTGATCCACCTGCCTTGGCCTCCCAAGTGCTGGGATTTACAGACATGAACCACCGTGACCGGCCAGGTTACTGCTGTTTTAAATGCTTCTTATTTAAACCAAAAATTCTTATCATATAGATATTTAACAGTATTATTGCTGAATGTGGTGGCTCATGCCTGTAATCCCAGCACTTAAGGAGGCAGAGGTGGAAGGATAGCTTGAGCCCAGGAGTATAAGAGCTGCCTGGGCAACATAGTGAGATCCCATTCTCAAAAAAAAAAAAAAAAAATTAAGAGTATTGTAGTGATATTTGAGGAAATTTGTTGGGGTTTCTTGGATGTCTGAAAATAAGCTGTTATTTTTCATTTATTCTTTATTTCAATTTTTAACTAATAATTTTTATGGGTACATGGCATATATATTTATGGGGTACATAAGACATTTTGGTACAGGCATACAACATGTAATAATCACATCAGGTTATATTGGGTATCCATCGCCTCAAGCATTTATCATTTATTTATGTTACAAATATTCCAATTATACTTTTAGTTATTTTTAAATGTACTATAAATTATCATTGACTGTAATCGTCCTGTTGCACTATCAAATATCAGATCTTTAAAACATTAAAAAAATTTTTATAATTAAAATAATTGTTTTGGCTGGGCGTGGTGGCTCATGCCTGTAATCCCAGCACTTTGGGACGCTGAGGCGGGCAGATCACCTGAGGTCAGGAGTTCAAGACCAGCCTGGGCAACATGGTGAAACCCAGTCTCTACTAAAAATACAAAATTTAGCTGGGCATGATGGTGCACACCTGTAATCCCAGCTACTTGGGAGGCTGAGGTAGGAGAATCGCTTGAACCTGGGAGGTGGAGGTTGCAGTGAGCTGAGATTGCGCCATTGCACTGCAGCCTAGGCAACAAGAGTGAAACTCCGTTTCAAAAAAAAAAAAGTTTTTAAAAAATAGAGATGGGGTTTCACTATGGTGCTCAGGCTGGTCTCAAACTACTGGACTCAAGGAATCTTCCTACCTCAGCCTCCCAAAGTGCTAGGATTACAGGCGTGAGCCACCATGCTTGGCCAAATACCAGGTCTTATTCATTCTATGTTTTTGTATCCATTAACTATCATCACTGCCCGACTGCCCATATGAGCCTGTGGTAACCATCATTAGACTATCTCCATGACTTTAATTTTTAACTCCCAGAAGTAAGTGAGAACATTCAAAGTATGTCTTTCTGTACCTGGCTTATTTCATTTAACATAATGTCCTCCAGTTCCATCCATGTTATTGCAAATGACAGGAACTCATTCTTTTTTATGGCTGCATAGTACTCCATTGTGTATATGTACCACATTTTCTTTATCAGTTTGTCTGTTGATGGACACTTAGGTGCTTCCAAATCTTGGCTATTGTGAATAGTGCTACATGGGACTATTTTGGTTTTTTGAGGAAACTCCATACTATTTTCCATATTCGCTATACTAACTTACATTCCTACCAACAGTGTACGAGGGTTCCCTTTTCTCTACATCCTCACCAGGATTCACTATTGCCTGTCTTTTGGATAAAAGCCATTTTAACTGGGGTGAGATGATATCTCATTGTAGTTTTGATTAGCATTTCTCTGACAATTAATGATGTTACATACCCTTTCATATGCCTGTTTGCCACTTGTAGGTCTTCTTTTGAGAGATGTCTATTCAGATCGTTTGCCCATTTCTTAATCGGATTATTAGATATTTTCCTGAGTTGTTTGAGCTCCTTATATAGTCTGGTTATTAATCCCTTGTCAGATGGACAAGGGATCCCTTGTTGGCCTCTCAAAGTGCTGGGATTACAGGCATGAGCCACCGTGCCTGGCCCAGAAGCTTTTTAACTTGATGTGATCCCATTTGTCCATTTTTGCTTTGGTTGCCAGTGCCAGGTATTACACAAGAAATCTCTGCCCAGATCAATTTCCTGGAGAGTTTCCCCAATGTTTTCTTTTATTTTTATTATTTTAGTGGCCAAAGCAGTTGGAAAAATGTTTTCTTTTAGTAGTGTCATAGTTTCAGGTATTAGAGTTAAGTCTCCAGTCAATTTTTATCTGATTTTTGTATATAGTGAGAGACAACAGTCTAGTTTAATTCCTCTGCATATAGATATCCAGTTTTCCCAGCATCATTTATTGAAGAGATTGTCCTTTCCCCAGTGTATGTTCTTGGCACCTTTGTTGAAAATTAGTTCACTGTAGATGTATGGATTTATTGCTAGATTATCTATTCTCTTCCATTGGTGTAGGTGTTTGTTTTTATGCCAGCACCATGCTGTTTTGGTTACTATAGTTCTGTAGTATAATTTGAAGTCAGATAATGTGATTTCTCTAATTTTGTTCTTTGTGCTCAGGATGGCTTTGGCTATTCTGGGTCTTCTGTGGTTCCATATACATTTTAGGATTTTTTTTTTCTATTTCTGTGAAGAATGTCATTGGTATTTTGATAGGGATTGCATTGAATCTGTAGATTGCTTTGGGTGGTATGGACATTTTAACAATATTGATTCTTCCAATCCATGAATATGGAATATCTTTCCATTTTTTGTGTGTCTATTTAGATTTCTTGCATCAATGTTTTACAGTTTTTAATATAGAGATATTTCACTTCTTTGGTTAAGTTTATTCCTAGGTATCTTATTTGTAGCTCTTGTAAATGGGATTACTTTCTTGATTTCTTTTTCAGATTGTTCACTGTTGACATATAGAAATGCTACCTATTTTCTGTATGTTGATTTTGTATCCTGCAACTTCACTGATTTTATCAGTTCTAATAGTTATTTTGTGAAGTGTAGGTTTTTCCACATAGAAGAGCATATCATTTGCAAACAAGGATAATTTGATTTCTTCCTTTCCAATCTGGATGCCTTTATTTCTTTCTCTTGCCTGACTGCTCTAGTTAGGACTTCCAGTACTATACTGAATAACAGTGGTGAAAGTGATGATCCTTGTCTTGTTCCAGATCTTAAAGGAAAGGCTTTCAGTTTTTCTCCGTTCAGTCTGATACAAGTGATAGGTCTGTCATATATGGCTTTTATTGTGTTGAGGTATGTTTCTTTTATACCCATTTTTTGAGGATTTTTATCATGAAGCCTTGTTGAATTTTATCAAATGCTTTTTCAGAATATATATATATATATATATATATATATATATATATATATTTTTTTTTTTTTTTTTCCTAGAGATGAGGTTTTGCCATGTTGCCCAGGCTGGTCTCAAATTCTTGGCCTCAAGCGATCCATCTACCTTGGCCTCCCAAAGTGCTGGGATTACAGGTGGGAGCCACAACACCCAGCCATTTGGCATCAATTGAGATTATCACATGGGTTTTGTCCTTCATTCTGTTGATATGATGTATCACATTAATTGATTTGTGTATGCTGAACCATCCTTGCACATCCCTGGGATCTCACTTGGTCATGATGAATGATGTTTTTAATGTGTTGCTGAACTCTGCTAGTATTTTCTTGATGATTTTTGTATCAGTGGTCATCAGAGATACTGCCCTGTCACTTTCTTTGGTTTTGGTATCAGAGGAATATTGGTTTCATAGATTGAGTCTGGAATTATTCTCTATTTTTTGAAACAGTTCTTCTTAAATGTTTGGTAAAATTCAGTAGTGAAGCTATCAAGGCCTGGGCTTTTCTTTGCTGGAAGACTTTGTTAATGGCATCTAGCTCATTTTTTGTTATTGGTCTATTCAGGTTTTGAATTTCTTCATGGTTCAATCTTGGAAGGTTGTATCTTTCCAGGAATTTATCCATTTCTTCTAGGTTCTCCAGTTTATCGGTATATAGCTGCTCATAGCAGCCACTAATGATCCTTTGAATTTCTGCAGTGTCAGTCACCTCTTTTTTCATCTCTGATTTATTTGTGTCTTCTCTCTTTTTTTCTTATTTGGTCTGGCTAAAGGTTTATCCATTTTGTCTTCTCAAAAAACAACTCTTTGGCCGGGTGTGATGGCTCACACCTGTAATCCCAGCACCGAAGGCCAAGGCAAGCAGATCACCTGAGGCTGGGAGTTCAAGACCAGCCTGGCCAATAAGGTGAAACCTCGTCTCTACTAAAAATACAAAAATTAGCCGCGATGGTGGTGCGCGCCTGTAATCCCAACTACTCAGGAGACTGAGGCAGGAGAATCACTTGAACCTGGGAGGCAGAGGTTGCAATGAGCTGAGATTGCACCACTGTACTCCAGCATGGGCAACAAGAGTAAAACTCCGTCTCAGAAAAAAAAAAAACAAAAACCCAAAACATTTTGTTTTGTTGACTTTTTTTTTTCAATTTCATTTATTTCTGCTATGATGTTCATTATTTCTTTTCTTCTACTAATTTTGGGTTTGGTTTGCTCTTGCTTTTCTAGTTCTTTAAGAAGCATCATTAAGTTGTTTATTTGAAGTCTTTCTTCTTTTTTGATGTAGGCACTTATAGCTACGAATTTCCCTCTTGGTACTGCTTTTGCTGTATCCCATAGGTTTTGATATGTTGTGTTTCCATTATCATTTGCTTCAAGAAAATTTCAATTTTCCTTTTTAATTTATTCATTGACCCACTGGTCATTTAGGAGCATACTGTTTAATTCCATGTGTGCCTATTGCTTTCAAAATTCCTTGCTATTGATTTCTAGTTTTATTCCATTATGGTCAGGGAAGATGCCTGATATTATTTCAACTTTTTTTTTTTTTGAGACAGAGGCTCACTCTGTCACCCAGGTTGGAGTGCAGTGGCGCAATCTCCGCTCACTGTAACCTCCACCTCCAGGGTTCAAGCAATTCTCCTGCCTCAGCCTCCTGAGTAGCTGAGACTACAGGCGCCTGCCACCACGCCCAGCTAATTTTTGTATTTTTAGGGCAGACGGGCTGTCACCATTTTGGCCAGGATGCTATGGATCTCCTGATCTCATGATCCACCCACCTTGGCCTCCCAAAGTGCTGGGATTACAGGCGTGAGTCACCACACCTGGCCTCAACTTTTTTTTTTTTTGAATGTTTTAAGACTTGTTTTGTAACCTAACATATGGCCTATCCTTGAGAATGATCCACATGCTAATGAAAAAAAAAAGTGTATTCTGCAGCCATTGGAAGAAATGTTCTGTAAATATCTATTCGGTCCATTTGGTCTATAGTGCGGTTAAGTCTGATGTTTCTTTATTTTGTCTGGATGATCTTTCCAATGCTGAAAGTGGGGTGTTAAAGTCTCTAGCTATTGTTGTAATGGGGTCTAACACTCTCTTTAGCTCTAGTAATATTTGCTTTATATATCTGGGTGCTCCAGTGTTAGGTGCATATATATTTACAATTGTTATATCTTCTTGCTGAGTTGACCCCTTTATCATTATATAATGAACTTATCAATTTTTACAATTTTTGTCTTGAAATCTATTTTGTCTGATATAAGTATAGCTATTCCTACTCTTTTTTTTTTTGTTTGTTTCCATTTGCATAGAGTATATTTTTCCAACCCTTTATTTTTAGTCTCTATGTGTCTTTACAGGTCAAGTGTGATTCTCGTAGGCGATAGATGTTTGGATCATGTTTTCGTTTTTGTTTTTCTGAGACAGCGTCTCACTCTGTTGCCCAAGGTGGAGTGTACTGGCACAATCATAGCTCACTTTAGCCTTAACCTCCTGAGCTCAAGTGATCCTTCTACCTCAGACTCCTGAGTAGATGACTCTACAGGTGCACACCACCACATCCAGCTAATTTTTCAAATTATTTGTAGACCCAAGGTCCTACTATGTTGCCCAAGCTGGTCTCAAACCCCTGAGCTCAAGCAATACTCTCACCTCAGCCTCCCAAAGTGCTGGGATTATAGGCATGAGCCACTGTGCCTAGCTGGGTCTTGTTTTTTTTTTTGTTTTGTTTTGTTTTTGTTTTTGTTTTTTTGAGACAGAGTCTCGCACAGTTGCCTGGGTTGGAGTGCAGTGGTGCAATCTGGGCTCACTGCAACCTCCACCTCCCAGATTCCAGCGATTCTCCTGCCTCAGCCTCCCGAGTAGCTGGGATTACAGGTGTACGCCACTACACCCAGCTAATTTTTTGTATTTTTAGTAGAGATGGGGTTTCACTGTGTTGGCCAGGCTGGTCTCGAACTCCTGACCTCATGATTTGCCCGCCTTGGGCTCCCAAAGTGCTGGGATTACAGGCATGAGCCACCGTGCCCAGCTGGGTCTTGTTTTTTAATGCATTCAACTACTCCACGTCTTTTGATTGCAGAATTTTGTCCATTTACATTCAATGTTATTATTGATAAGTAAGGCCTTACTATTGCCATTTTGTTATTTGTTTTCTGGTTGTTTTGTGGTCTTATCTTCCTTCCTTCTTTCCTTCTTGTCTTTCTTTTTGTGAAAGTCATTTTCTCTGATGGTATGTTTTTAATTTCTTGCTTTTTATTTTTTGTGTATCTGTTTTAGGGTTTTTTGATTTGCAGTTACCATGAGGCTTGCAAATAACATCTTATAAAACATTATTTTAAACTGAATGGTAAGTTAACTCTGATTGCAAAAACAAAAAACAAAGAAGCAAAGAGAAAACCAATAAAAACTCTATAGTTCAACTTCATCCCCCCTCCCTCTTTTTTTTTTTTTTTTGAGATGGAGTCTCGCTCTGTTGCCCAGGCTGGAGTGCAGTGGTGCGATCTCGGCTCACTGCAAGCTCCGACTCCTGGGTTCACGCCATTCTCCTGCCTTAGCCTCCCAAGTAGCTGGGACTACAGGTGCCCGCCACCACGCTTGGCTAATTTTTTGTATTATTAGTAGAGATGGGGTTTCACCATGTTAGCCAGGATGGTCTCGATCTCCTGACCTCATGATCCACCTGCCTTGGCCTCCCAAAGTCCTGGGATTATAGGCGTGAGCCACCACGCCCGGCCCTTTTTACACTTTTAGAAAGAATCCCAAATAGCTTTTGTGTATGTAGGTATATCTATCAATATTTTGTTTATGTAGGTTTATCTATCAATAGTCACCATATTATGAATTAAAACAGATATTTTAAAATATTTATTAATCCATTTAAAATTAACAATAAACCTATTATGTGTTTACATACAAAGTTTTAAAATGAAAAATATATGTTCCCCAAACAAAAATAATTTAGTGAGAAGACATAGTTTTTTAAAAAAATTACAGCTTTACTGGGATATAATTCAAATACCACACAATTCACCCATTTAAAGTGTACAATTCAATGGCTTTCACTATGTTCAGCGCTGTGCAACCATCACCACAGTCAGTGTCAGAACATTCTCATCATTCAACAAAGAAACCTCATATTCTTTAATTATCACCCTCTGCAGTCTGCCCACCCCCACCCCTAACCCCTGGCAACTACAATCTATTTCCTGACCCTAGGGATCTGCCTATTTCATATAAATGGAATCATACAATATGTGGTTTTTTGTGTCTTGCTTCTTTCACTTAGCATCATGTTTTCAAGGTTCATCCACCTGGAGCATGGAGGTACTTCATTCTTTTTTATTGCCAAATAGTATTCCGAAGCTGTATGACTAGACCACATTTTATTTATCCATTGATCAGTTGATGGACTTGGATTGTTTCTACTTTTTAGCTCGTGAATAATTCTGTTATGAACATTTGCATGTTAGATTTTGTGTGTTTTCATTTCTCTTGTGGACATACCTAGGAGTAGAATTGCTAAGTCATATGGTTACTCAGTCTTTAACCTTTTGAGAACCGGGCATGGTGGCACAAGCCTATAATCCCAGCACTGGGAGGTCAAGGCGAGAGGATTGCTTGAGGCCAGGAGTTTGAGAGCAGCCTGGGCAACACAGCAAGACCTTGTCTCTAAAATAAAAACAAAAGCAAAACAAAACAACACAGTGGCTGCATTATTTTACATTCCCAACAGCAGTGTATGAGGGAGATGGCATAGTTTTACATTTCTGTAAATCTTTTTAATGAATGACTTAATAGAAAACAACTAGATTCTCATTCCTATTTTGGACTCAATGTGTTGCAAAACATTACTTTGGTTGAGTATATGAAAAAAATCCAGACGCAAAGTGATATACAGTTGGAAAACAGAGGAGCATTTTAACAGCCTTTTCAGACAACTGTGGAATTTTTTATTTATTTTTTATTTTTTATTTTTAGAGACAAGGTCTCGTTCTGTTGCCCAGGGTAGAGTGCAGTGGTGTGATCATAACTCATTGTAAACTTGAACTCCTGGGCTTAGGCAATCCTCCTGCCTCAGCCTCCCAAATAGCTGGGACTGCAGGCATATGCCACCATGCCCAGATAGTTTTTATTTTTGGTAAAGATGGGGTCTTGCTGTGTTGCCCAGGATGGTCTTGAACTCTTGGGCTTGAACAATCCTCTCACCTTGGCCTCCTAAAGTGCTGGGATTACAGGTATGAGCCATTGTGACCAGCCAGTTGTGGACTATTTTCCTTTGATACTACACCATTAACTCTCTAAGTGGTAGTTTCCTAAAGATTAGTTGCAAAGTAAAAATTTTTTTTCCAAAGTAGAATTTTAAATAATATCAATAAGACTTTTGTGCTCTTATATGTTAAAATCCAATTAACAGAAAAAGAACGTTAATGAAAAAACTAGGAAATCTGAAGTCGAATTTAATTAATAGTATCATACCAATGATAATTTCTTAGTTTTGATAAATGTACCATGGTTAAGAGAGATATTAGTGTTGGGAGAAGCTGGGTGGGGTATACAGGAACTCTTTAGACTAACCCTGCATCTCTTGGATACATTTAAAAGTATTTTAAAATAGAAAGTTAAAAACCCAATCCACTGGTCTATTTTGTTCTTTGAAAGGATCTTTTATCCAGCATGATTTTGTAAACTCATGCATTAGTCATTTAGAAAATATTCAAATGTTACATATTATACAATATAAAAAACTAAAAATGTTTAATATCACTTCTGACTTCTTCAGAAAAGTCTTTAAGAACTGGGAAGCTGTTAAGCTTTCAGTGACAGAAGCAAGTTTTCCAAAATTCTAATTTTTACTTAAAAGCTCAAATTTTGGCCAGGTGTGGTAGCTCATGCCTGTAATCCCAGCACTTTGGGAGGCCAAGGTGGGCAGATTACCTGAGGTCAGGGGTTCGAGACCAACCTGGCCAACATGGTAAAACCCCGTCTCTACTAAAAATACACAAATTAGCCAGGCATGGTGGTGGGTGCCTGTAGTCCCAGCTACTCAGGAGGCTGACGCAGGAGAATCACTTGAACCCAGGAGATGGAGATTGCAGTGAGCCGAGATCACGCCATTGAATAACAGGGCGAGACTCTGTCTCAAACAAAAAAAAAGGTCAAATTTTATTTATCATTGGCAACCAATATTAAGTTGTTTTCCCTGAATTGATAGGGTAACTCTGTTCAATTTTAAGGAAACACCTTCCAAATACCTGAGTCTAAATAACCTGTTTGTCTGGAAGTCCCTCTTTGAAGTAAAAATGGTGTTCATGAAAAAAGCAGCTACTGTGGTTCACAACTCAGTAGCTCCACCTCACACAGGCTCTAGTCTTAGAGACAGACATCGAACTTTGCTGCAAGGCAGAAGTGCTCAGTGTACACGTCCCATCTCATCACACAAAATATGAAAAAGATGCAGACTCAAGGTTGAGATATAATAAATTAACACGTTTTACTGCTTTCTTAAGAACATTCTTAAGCAAAACTGGCTTTCTCTCCCTTGTTTGGGTCGGAGTCTTGCTCTGTCACCCAGGCTGGAGTGCACTGGCACAAACAGCTCATTCCAGCCAGCTCCTAGGCTCAAGTGACCCGCATGCCCCAGCCTCTTAAGTAGCTGGGACTACAGGGGTGTGCCACTGTGCCCAGCCCTTTTATCTTCTTATTTCACTCATGAGATGGTAAACAACACAATGACCTCTGGGACATTGGGGGCATTTGTGCTGAGGCACCAGCAGCTTTATCCACTGTTGCTCTTGTACTTTCAGTGCAAAAGTCAACATGCTGAAAAAGGCAAATAATGCCACAGTATTATCATGAAAATAGTTGTGGCCTCCTGTACCCCCTGGAAGTGTCTTAGAGACCTCAGGGTCTGCAGATCTCCTTTGGGGAATTACTGCTCAACGCTTCTTAAAGGCAGGGATTTTTGTCTGTTTTGATCACTGCTGTATCCCCTGTGCCTAGAACAATGTTTGGCACATAATAGATGCTCAATAAGTATTTATTATATGAATGCATAAATAAGTGACTGAATAAATGAATGTGGTGACATCTGTAATTACTTTCAGCTGCTTGGAAGTAGAACAATTTAAAAATTCAAAATATTTGTAGTTTTGGTATAATTTAGAATTATAGAATCTTAAATATTTAATCAGGAAATAAATTATTTCTTTGGCAAAAGCATTTAGCTGCAGGGATGGCAAACGCAGTGGGGAACTTTCAAAACCACCCCAATGGTGTCGGCACAGGACAGCAACATTCTTTAGCAAAGGAAGCAATTCCTGAAAACGGGAACACTGCCTGTGACCTAGAAATGGGGACCAAAATCGGGAGAGGAGGACAAGACACTAATAGTTCACATTGCTGTCCCACACTTGCTTTCCCAACACAGTGTCTGGGAACATTTCATAGATTTGGAAGGAATTATGCATAAAATGAACAGGGAATTAGAATATAAGGTGGGACACACAGGAATTCATGAGTAATTAAAACATTTTAAGTTTTTGTTGTTGTTGTTTTGAGATGGAGTCTCATTCTGTCACCCAGGCTGGAGTGCAGTGGCACAATCTCAGCTCACTGCAACCTCTCCCTCCCAGGCTCAAGCAATTCTCCTGCCTCAGCCCCCTGAGTAGCTGGAACTACATGCACGCCTGGCTAATTTTTGTATTTTTAGTAGAGATGGGGTTTCACCATGTTGGCCAGGCTGGTCTCGAACTCCTGACCTTGAGTGATCCACCACCTCAGCCTCCCAAAGTGCTGGGATTACAGGTGTGAGCCACAGTGCCCGGCCCAACATTTTAAGTTTTGAGAACTAAATTATGTATTTGGGACTAACGTCTTTATCCCAGAAAGAGGCCGAGGCACCTCAATATATGATTCACACACTGAGAGTGATATAGAAGTGGATTTTAATGAAGGTGATATAGTACAATAAACTGCAGCATAGTAGGTGAACTAGCTAATAAAATATTCTGGTTAGTAGGGAGTTATCATACAGTTTGCTATTTTTCAATGAATAAGAATTCAGTAAATACACCATCCTTAAGCTGAAGACTCCAGTCATTATTTAGTGACTCCAGAGGCACTGCAGAATCTCACTCTACTCCAGGGAGTCATCAGCAGAAAGGATTAATCAGTTAAGGGAGGTCTGGTGATGGGATTTAATGAGCACACAAATTACCCACTCTTTAGTTTCTGGTCCAAGTTCTGTCGCTTGGTAATTAGCTGGCAACAGGTAAATTCCTGAGCCCTTCTATAATTCAGCTTTTCCCTTCTCTTTTCCTTAAATTCAGGAATACTTAAGAATACAAATGTTTGTGAAATATTTTGGGTCCCTTGAATATACCAAATGTAAGGAGTTATAAGTGGGATTTATATAGAGATAAAATATCCCAGTAAACTTTAAATTGCCAAGTCTGAAATAACAATCTGTAAGTTTCTTCCACCCTATAGAAAACCTCTGAAGTGCAGGCTGGGCGCGGTGGCTCACGCCTGTAATCCCAGCACTTTGGGAGGCTGAGGCAAGCGGATCATGAGGTCATGAGATCGAGACCATCCTGGCTAACACAGTGAAACCCTGTCTCTACTAAAAATACAAAAAAATTAGCCGGGCGTGGTGGCAGGCGCCTGTAGTCCCAACTACAAGGGAGGCTGAGGCAGGAGAATGGCGTGAACCCGGGAGGCGGAGCTTGCAGTGAGCCGAGATCGCGCCACTGCACTCCAGCCTGGGTGACAGAGCGAGACTCTGTCTCAAAAGAAAATAAAAGAAAACCTCCAAAGTGCTTCCCATACCCGTGCATCTACCTGGATCTAGCAATCCTGGGACTAAGACTGAAACCAAAGCTAGCCAGCCTAGTAATTTCTGAGTAGTTTACAATAAACACTTTAGGATCTATATCACTTGATCCTCACAGTATGTGTAGGAAAAACCATTTCTGTTCTTCAGACAAAGATAGGTTTGAAGAAACTGAGTGCCCTAACCAAGAGGCAGAGCTGGGCTCAGAAGGTCCTGTGAGCTCTGTTATCTTTCCACTGTGCACCTTGCTGTGCTGAGAGGAGGAAGACAGAGGTGGTCCCAGTAGTGTTTCTGAAGCCGCAGCAGTGGGCAAATGGTTATCCAGCTTCCCTGGGCCCTGAACAAACAGTCCTGCCCCACTCACCTGCAGCTTCACAGCGATGACCACTGAGTTAAGATCTTTGTCCATTTCTTTTAGCATGACGAGTTTCTTCAGGGTCAAGCTGAATAGCCTAGAAAAACAGAGAAGGAAGATGCTGTCATATGCGAGGAACTTGCGAGAAAAGTGATGAACAATTGGTTAGGCAATCTGCCTTACCTGAAGTAAGAATGTGAGAACGCTGTCCTCAGTCCCAGGGGTCCCCTCTCTCAGTAGAAGAGCATCCCCTCTTACTTAATGTTTATACTTTTAAGAGATGGGTCTCACTATGTTGCCCAGACTGGAGCCCTGGGCCCAAGGATCCTCCCCGTCTTGGCCTCCTGAGTAGCTGGGACCACAGGCACATGCCACCATGCCCAGCTTCTAAAGTTAAGTGTCAAAAGGTACATTATTGCATGAACTTCCATGGATATCATTCATCTCAAGCCAAAGGCAAAATATTCTCCATGCCTAGTATGTTGGAGCCATTTCTGAGGGGGAAGAGGAGACCAAGGGAGGAGAATCACACAGTTCCTCTTCTACTTTCCACCTGATCACACCTGACAGATGTACAGATGTAAATCTTTAGCAAGAGGAGATAATCCACACAAACAAAACATACATCATTTGGCAGGAAATAGTTAAATGGTCACAAATTCTATTTCAGCTGCATTTTGCTCCAAATATGCAGAAAATCTTCAGTGCCACAAATCAAGAAATTCCCCGCAACTCAAAAGTGACAGGATTGTCCCTCACTGTGGAGTCTCAGTAACTCTGCTCTGACTTTACCTTGGCCTTACCACAGCAGGGCCACCCTGGACTTCCAGCAGGAGTGGGAGGGAGACTCTGGAAGCTGCCTTTCTATGGCTGCCTGGGTGGTCAAAGTCTTTACACATTCTTCTCCTGGGAGAGGTTCTGGGGAACGGTACACATGAGGGATGTTGCTTACCAGAGTCATGACAAGTCCAGAGAATCCGGCTGGATTTCATACCTCTTTTTTCCTCCGTGCTGAGGCCCTCTAGGCCCTGCTCAGGCCCCTGTCTTGCATCTCCACAGCCCTCCCTCAGCTCCAGCCACACTAACTTTCCTTTGGCTCCGTGGCAGTGCCACCCTCTCTCGCCTCAGGGCCTTTGGAGGCTGCTGTTCCTTCTGTTGGCACCACCCTGCCACCTAACGCCTCCTCAGCCTTGGGTTATGCATTTTTGCCAGGAGAACTTCCCCCGATGCCTTGCAAAGTCTGTGATGTGTCCCCAGCACAATTCCTATCATGCCACTGGAGTGTAACTTCCGGCGGGCAGGCAGCAGGCTTGCCTCTCCACCGCTCTCTCCCCAACATCTGCCCAAATGCTGGGCACAGTATATAGTTGCTCAGCAAATATTTGTTACATTAAGTTTCCTAAAATGGCTTCTAGCTAAAATCAGATTAACAAGAGTATGTGAAGAAATTAATATAATTCATGTTTTGTTTTTTTTTTAAAGGAGGACAAATCCAGGTCAACAGAACTAAATTCTGGTTTTGAATTAACCTCACTCAAGAACTTTCTTTCTTTTTTTTTTGAGACAGAGTCTCACTCTGTCTCCCAGGCTGGAGTGCAGTGGCATGATTTTGGCTCACTGCAGCCTCCACCTCCCGTGTTCCAGCAATTCTGCTGCCTCAGCCTCCTGGGTAGCTGGGATTACAGGCACCCACTATCATGTCTGGCTAATTTTTGTATTTTTAGTAGAGACCGGTTTCACCATGTTGGCCAGGCTGGTCTCGAACTCCTGACCTCAGGTGATCCGCCTGCCTCGGCCTGGCAAAGTGCTAGGATTACAGGCGTGAGCCACCACGCCCAGTCACCCAAGTACTTTCAAAGATCTGCTGACTAACACAAAGAAAAACAAATAAATCTCTTTCTTTGCTTTAAGCTAGAATCAAAATCAAATAAAATGTATGAAAGCTTATCAGGTCTCTTCATCTATATCATTTTACCTAGACCTCAAAAACAGGACTGTGTGGATGTGTGTTGGGGGGCTCACTGTTCTACGCATGCAACAGAAAAACATTTCAAGTGGAGTAGTGACCTGCCCAAATTCACTTACAGCCAGTAAATGACAGAGCTGGATTCTAACTAATCTCTTTGTGGTGGACCAAATACCCAGCCCCCACCACCCAGATGTCATCTCCTAATCCCCAAAACCTGTGAATATGGTACCTTGGCAAAGTCCCATGGCAAAAGGGACTGTGCAGATGTGATTAAGTTAAGGCTCCTGAGATGGGGAGATTATCCTGGATTATCTGGGTGGACCCAATATGATCACAAGAGCCTTTAAAAGAGGGGGCCAGGGAGGAAAGAGTCAAAGGAGGAAGCAGGGACTGGAGATATGGCTGATGGCCTTGAAGATGGAGGGAGGGGGTCAGGAGCCAAGGAATATGCAGCCTCAAGAAGCAGGAAAAGGCAAGAAAACAGTCCTTCCTTGCAGCCTCCAGAAGGAGCACCACCCTGTCCACACCTTCCGTGCTGCCCAGTGAAACCTATTTTGGACTTCTGACCTGCAGAAATGCAAGATAATAAACGTGTGTTGTGTGAAGTCACGAAGTTTGTGGCCACTCGTCACAGCAGCAGTAGGAAGTGAACCACCCCTCATCCCAGGGCCTGGCCCTTCCCCATCACGTCACCGCCTCCTCAGCCTGTGACCTGGGTGCCCTCAACTCTGATGTCCTAAAACACTCTCCTGACATCTGTTGCTCTGGAGCCATCTGGGTTCATGCTGTTTCCTCCAAAATCCCCCCTTCAATGACTGCCCACAGTACCGCCTGTTTCTCCCTTCCCTTCAGAGCAGAGATGTGCTGTCCCACAGGGAACTCTGGTTCTACTGATATCAAAGGGATTATTACAGTTCACAAATGGCTATTCAGAAATGTAGTTAACTCCTGCAGTCCCAGCTACTCAGGAGGCTGAGGTGGGAGGACTGCTTGAGCCCAGTAGTTCGAGGCCAGCCTGGGCAACATAGAAAGATCCCATTCTCTTAAAAATAAAAAGAAATGTGGGAGGCTGAGGCAGGAGAATCGCTTGAACCCGGGAGGTGGAGGCTGCAGTGAGCCAAGATTGCGCCATTGCACTCCAGCCTGGGTGACAGAGGGAGACTCCATCTCAAAAAACAAACAAACAAACAAACAAAAACAAATGTAGTTAACTACGTACATTGTTTAACTGAATTTTGTGCCTTCATCAAGGCAAAAAATGATGGCTCAAAATGAAATGGGACATGACTGGGATGAGCCAATGGAAAAGACTGAATATGCCCAACGTTCGTCCTCATCTGAGGCTTGCCAAAATCAAATAAAATAGAAACAAATCTCTGAAATTCAAATGTTTTATTTGAGAAGAAAAAAACTGCTGCAATTGGGAGCATACCTGTAGATCAGGTAGTCTTCAGTATGTCCAAAGAACAAAGAGAAGCTTAGATGTTTTATAAAAAAGAGAAATGTTACTATTGCTCTTTGAGAAAGTTCATCGGCACAAGAAAGGTTTTGGGAAACTGGCAATCTCTGATAGGTGAGTGAGAGTGGTGGGCAAAGCTAGTCTTAGAGCTGCAGCACGTCGTCACAGTAGACATCAGATAAAACAGGTTTCAGGTTATAGCAGGCAGTTTCAGCAGCCAGGTTTGCAGAGAATTCCATTTCTGGAGCAATGCCTTGAGTGCCTTTCCCCTAGTTTCTCGGCTCTGTTTTGGTTGGGTATGACGAGGATAACTCAATGTGTATGATCAACTTTTGCAGACTGCTAATCATGAACGCTTCTGATGGGTTAGGTTTTTCCTTGTTTTCAAAGCAAACATTTTCCACCTTCAAATTGATTTGTGGCTGCTGAATAAACTCACTGCAAGATAAACGTCTCACAGGAGTCAGTCAGGGACATGAGTTTCTTCTCTGCTTAAGATTCTTCACTCATCAACACTGCCCACATTTAGAGAACATTCACTCTGCGCCTGGTACTGAACCAGTTGTTGGAGTTGTAGAAGGATGTGGGCTACACAGCGCAGCGGGAAAAGCAAACAATCACGTTACGTTCTGTGCTGCTGCTCTATTATGCCCCAGAAGGCTCTTACATAACATATAAAACATCATAGGATAATATGGCAGAATTATGTTAGGAGGAAAAAACATCACAGACCAATAAATATTTGTTGAATAAATAGACAAGACAGACCTTTATGCCACGGCACCTCATGTTAACAAGATGGCCAAGAAAGATTTAGTACCTTAGGTAAAGCAACAGCAAGACTGGATATGTTCCATGTTTTCACAGAAATGCCACACAACACACTGATTTTGAAACCTGTGGCAATCAGTTCAACAGGATTTTTTTTTGTTTGTTTTCAATGGCATGACTCAAGGGTACTTGGGGACTCAAATGTATTCTAATTCTTCAAAGTACAAGAAAATGTTTATCCCTCATTCAGTATCTATCAGGTACTAGTTGCCTGACATGCATTTCATTATCTCTTTTAAGTTTCACAGTAATGCTAAGAGGTGGGTATTATACCTATTTTACAGATACGGATGCTGGAAGTTAAGAAAATGTCCCCAGGTCACATAGGAAGTAGTCAAGACATGATGCACACTTAGGCCTATCACAGTCCAGAGACCAATTGAAGTTGGTATAAAGCATTTTATTAGCAAATTAGAAGAATTATTTTAATTATAAATGAACTTTTTAACATATACCTTAATATAACAGAGAACACTAAGGAAGTAAGATAAATTTCTCCATAAACCCGCATTTGCACACATTTGATGGAAAGACTCCTAGATATAGTTGTGAGGATGACTCATGCTGACTGTGTCTGGCAAGACATTGTAACGAAGTAGTCTCAGTGATTAGGAAGCTGGGTTAGTTAGCTGCCCACCCCAGGTTTCCTGCTACCCTGTGTTTCACTGGTGGGCGCTTCTCATGCAGTGAAAATGTAGGATACAAGGCCTGAAGAGAAGAGTCTTTCCCTGATGACACTCCTGCTTTAATTGGTTTTTCTACAGCAGAAAATAATTTTACAGCAAAATTATAAAGGCTGATAATTCCAAGTGCTGGTGAAGATGTAGGGTAACCAGAACTTACACTCATGGCTGGGGACAGTGGAAAATGGTACAGTTACTCGAGAAAACCATTTGGTAGTTGATTAGATTTTACATATATGTGTGTGTGTTTGTGTGTGTCTACTCCTATAACCAGCTCCCAAGGGAACCCAAGAGAAAGGAAGGCACACCACAACAAGACAGGTACAAGAACGTTCAAAGCTTCTGCACAGCAAAGGAAACAATCTACAGAGTGAAAAGAATAAGACAAAATATTTGTAAACTACTCATCTGATGGGGGGATTAATACCCAGAATATACAAAGAACTGAAATATCTCAACGGCCAAAAAAAAAAAAAAAAAATCCGATTAAAAAAATCGCCAAACGATCTGAACAGACATTTCTCAAAAGAAAACATACAAATAGCCAACGAACATATAAAAAAAAAATTCAACATCCCTAATCATCAGGGAAACGCAAATCGAAACCACAATGAGGTATCATATTCCCCAGTTGGGCTGGCTACTATCAAAAAGACAAAAAATAACAAATGCTGGAGAGGATGCAGAGAAAAGCGAACTCTTCTACACTGTTGTAACTAGTGAATGTGAACTAGTGCAGCCACTATGGAGAACAGCATGGAGGTTCCTTCAAAAAACTACAAATAAAACTACCACATGATCCAGCAATCCCACTACTGGGAATCGGTTCAAAGGAAAGGAAATTATTGTATCAGGGAGACAATGCAGACCCCCATGTTTACCGAGCACCGTTCACAATAGCCAAGAGAAGGAATCAACCTAGGGGTCCGACAACAGAGGAACAGATAAAGAAAATGTGGTGTGCACATACCATGGAGTACTATTCAGCCATAAAAAAGTGTGAGATCCTGTCATTTGCAGCAACATGGATGGAACTGAGAATATTGTGTTAAGTGAAATAAGCTGGGAATAGAAAGTAAAACACTGCATGATCTCACTCACACATGGAAGCTAAAAAAGTTAATCTCATAGAAGTAAAAAGTAGAACAGATGATACCAGAGGCTGAGAATAGCAGGGGAAAGGGAGGAAAATGGAGAGATTTCTTAAAGGGTACAAAATTACAGCTAGATAGGAGGAATAAGCTCTAGTGTTCAGAAAGATGACTACAGTTAATAATAATATTAATTACAGATAGCTAGGAGGAGGAGAGTCAATGTTCTCAACACAAAGAAATGATCAGCGTTTGAGATGATGGGTATGCTAATCCCCCTGTTCTGTTCATCATACATTGCATGTATCAAAACATCTCTACGTACCCCATGAATATGTAAGATCGGTCAATTTTAAAATTAAATAAAAAATTAAAAAATAAGGTTCAAAGCAGCTCCACTCACAATGGTCCTATACTGGAAACAACACACCCACCAACAGAAGAATGAACAAACAAAATGTAGTACACAAAAAAGACCAAGCTATGATACATGTGTCAACATGGATGATTCAAAACCACTACACTGAGCCGGAAGAGCCAGACCCAAAAGACCACGTACTGTCTTACCATCCACGTGAAGTTCAAGAACAGGTAAGACCAACATGTGGTGATGCCAGTACAGTGACCAAGGCAGGTGGAGGCACTGATTGGAAGGGATATGAGGGAGCCCTCTGGCCAACAACGGCAACGTTACGGGCCTACACACCAGCAGAAACCCACAGGGCTTATATCCAAAACCCATGCACTCCACTGTATGCAATCTGCACATTGATTTAAAACAAAAAAAATGCCTGAATGAAGGCTGTAGAGTCAGATACACTCTGGTTTGAACTGCAGCTCTGTCACGTTACTCTGTCACTCATCTGTCAGCCTTATAATGAGGCACATGCTGTTCTGGTCACTTGTGATACATCAGTAAACAAAGCAGACAAAATGTCTTGTCCTTGAGTTCACACTCTAGTGAAAGGACACAGTCAATAAGCAATAAACATAATAATTAGGTAAATTATGTAGTAGGTCAGATTGTGTGAAAATAGAGCTAGGTATTGCGAGCAAGAGGCAGAGGAGAGCGGGGAGGGCTGAAATTCTGAGTTAGGTGGCCAGGGTGGGCCTCCTTGAGAAGTTCTAGGTTGAGGGGAAGAAGTACATAGGCCTTAAGCTGGCTGCATGCTTGGTCTGCCTGTGAAACAGCAAGGCCAGGGAGCCTATGTGGGGCTGCTTCACATGCAGGCCTCTGTAAACCATACGCAAGATGTGGCTTTTTTTTTTTTTAAGAGACAGGGTCTTGCTCTGTCACCCAGACTGGAATGCAATGGCATGATCAAAGCTCACTGCAATCTTGAACTTCTGGGACTCAAGCAATCTTCCCATCTCAACCTCCTAAGTAGCTGAGACTACAGGTGCATTCTACCGCACCCAGCTAATTAGAAAAAAAAAATTTTTTTTGCAGCGATGGGGTCTCATTACACTGCCCAGGCTGGTCTGTAACTCCTGGGCTCAAGCGATCCTCCTGCCTCGGCCTCCCAAAGTGCTGAAATCACAGGTGTGAGCCACTGCTGCCAGCTGATTTTTTCATTTTTACGTGAGAAAGAAAGAAACCTCTTCTTTGTGGTTTTTCTGTTGTGTATGCAGGTGAACCTATCTTTAAGTAATGTTCACCAGGAACAGATTCCCAAGGTGTTAGGACTTTAGTTACAACCCCCAAACATTAATACTTTCAAAAAGAACCAGTTGGCCAAATTATTCCCAAAGTCCATTTTAAAGGGCAGTGCCCTATCAGGAAACCCTGGGTCTCATCCTTATGAAGGAAGAGAAGATATCTCAAAAGCTGAAATAACAAAGTTCTCTCCAAGATCCCTAGGAGAGCCAAATCTCTACTTTCTGCTCTCTAGCTACCTCTCTGCTACAGTGCGCTGGAAGTCAGGTTCCATGGTCCGGCATGGGGATATGGCAGCTGGCTGAAGACTCCTCTGTCACTCCCCTCCCGTCCTTTTCATCTGGGGATCAGGCAGAAGAACACCTCTAGCCGAGTCCCTACTTAAAGGGATTTCAAACACAATGGACAGCTGGGGTTCTCCAGCCAGTCCACCTTTGGAAGGTCAGTGAAAAGATGGATGAGACAAACAGGGCTCAATGTGCTGGAACTCTAAGAAGTTGAGTCTGCCTTCAAAGTAAAACAGAGTATTACAAAGATGATTAGAGTCCAAAGGACTTTTAAAGGAGGATCCCACGTTACTCAGCTGAGAAATAATCTTCCTCTCTACATAGGCATTCTGAAAATATATTAGTAACAGGTCATTTATTTTCAACTTTTAAAACTCCATTTGGAAGTCCTAGACCATCATTAATAAAACAATAACAAAACAACGAATCTTGGTCCCTTGATCTGCTCTCACCGCTTACTTTTCATATTTTTATGAGTTCAGTGTTTTAGCCTGTCTTTGACTCTCTTTGGGATCAATTTCCTTCCAATAAGAGCAGTCCAATAAAAGCAGCGAGGCAATAGCTATTATAATTAGGCCGAGAGTTCCTGGCCTGTCCCCTCATTCCCTGCACCTCAAGCCATTTCTCTTCCACTTCATAGGCATGCAAGCCCTCGTGAGCCCTTGCAGAGAACATTCCCATTGCCACCAGCAGGAAGGACAGAGTACCGCTGATAGAGTGTTCCCAGAAAGACCTCCATCAGCCTTTTACTGTACATATTCTCTGTACTTAGCTCTGTGCTAGGAGCTGAAAAAGAAAAAAATGGGCATAATCTCTGCTTTTGAGCAATTCATAACCTAGTTGAAAGGACAGGATTTAAGTATATCAAACAATTAACCAACAAACGTGACAGTGCATAATTAAGTTCTGAATTACACAAAAGGAGATCACTGAGTAACTGGGCTAAGGCTTCAGTGAGGACATATTTGAGCACAAGCAAATTCTCTCAAGAAATTATTTAGCTCTCATTAGACTAAGTCTGAAAGAATAAGGCTGTCTACTTGATAACTGGGTACAGAAAAGAACAAAATATAGTGACAAGAATCTTTTGAAACCTTCTAAATAATTCTAGTTTATACGTGACTGTAGGATAAAGGAGAAACAGCCTTGAATAATTTCTACAAATGATCCTCAACTTGCATTTAACAGCTGTTTCTAACCTACTCTCATGCAAACTTGAGAGGCTCACTAAGAGAGAAATGGTCATATTCCATTCCCCTCTCATCTCTTTTTTTTTTTTTTTTTTTTTTTTTTGAGACAGGGTCTCACTCTGTCACCCAGACTGGAGTGCAGTGGTGCGATCTCGGCTCACCGCAGCCTCCGCCTCTCAGGCTCAAGCGATTCTCCTGCCTCAGCCTCCCAAGTAGCTGGGATTACAGGTGCATGCCACTACCACCCGGCTAATACCCTTCTAATAAGATATCAATAAACAGCAAAGTGGTCAAATTTTGCACAGAAAAAGGGGAAGAAAGGAGAAACAAAGATCTGGATGAAATAAAAACCTGACTAGTTAGACCCCAAATCAAAATGATGGTCGTGAGGTAGGAGGCAGAACTCTGGACCAGATTGAAGACTGGCTGTAACAGAAGAGGCAACACCACCACTCCCTAAGACACACCCACTGGTGTATGTTAGTTTACCATTGCCATGGCAACACCCAGATGTCACTACTCCTTTCCATGGCAACAACCTGCAGGTTACCACCCCTTTTCTAGAAAATTCTGAATAATCTGCCTCTTAATTTGCATGTAATTAAGAGTGGGTATAAATACGACTGCAGAACTGCCACTGAGTGCTGCTCTTGAGGCTGCCTACCAGGTCTATCCCTGCTCTGCAGAGCAGTCACGGTGCTGTAACACTGCCACCTCAATAAAGCTGGTTTCTTCTACCACTGGCTCACTCTTGAATTCTTTCCTGAGCAAAGCAAAGAACCTTCCTGGGCTAAGCCCCAATTCTGGGGCTTGCCTGTCCTACACTGGTCCCTTTGTGACCAGAGCAGATAAATGCAAGGAACAGAAGACAAGTGACCTGGATTACTCCTTTGTCCTACCAAGAAATGGCTGTGTCATATGAGCAAGGCATTTTCCTCTCTGTGTGAGTTCTTTAATCAGAAGATGGGAAGAATAAGCCCTGCCTCTTCCCTTAACAGCATTTATTCACATAAAGAGTAAACCAAGAGAAAAAAATTGTGAAAAAGGTTTTCCTTTGTGAGAGTAAAAACATTTCTAAAATTGTTTCTATTTTACAGGCACCTGTGGAAGTCTCAACAAGCTTCAATAACACCAACAAGTAAATTTCTGAGCACTATATTCTTACTGCTGAAGAAGTTACCCAAATATATGTAGATACTGAACCTATTATTTCATATGAAATAGCATAATTTTGATTGTGAAACAATGAACTAAGGCATTATTTATTTATTTATCTATTTATTTTTGAGACAGGGTCTCACTCTGTCACCCAGGCTGGAGTGCAGTGGGATGATCTCAGCTCACTGCGGCCTCCATCTCCTGGGCTCATGTGATTCTCCCACCTCAGCCTCCCAAGTAGCTGGGACCACAGGTGCACACCACCACACCCAGATAATTTTTGTATTTTTAGTAGAGACGAGGTTTCACCATGTTGCCCAGGCTGGTCTCAAACTCCAGTTCAAGCGATCTGCCCGCCTCAACCTCCTGAAGTGTTGGGATCACAGGTGTGAGCAACCACACCCAGCTTAAGGCATTATTTTTAAACCAGTAACCTTAAAGCAGATTTTTCAAAAGCAAAGCAACTAGACCAGGTATGGTGCCCCATGCCTATAATCCCAGAACTTTGGAGGGCTGAGGCAGGAGCATTGCTTGAGCTCAGGAGTTCAAGACCAGCCTGAGCACATAAGTGAGGCCTTGTTTCTACAAAAAATAAAAACATTAAAAAATACTAGCCCAGGGTGGTGGCACACGCGCCCATGTGCCTACATGCCTATAGTTCCAGCTACTCAGGAGGCTAAGGTGAGAGGCTCACATGAACCTGGGAGATGAGACTGCAGTGAGCTATGATCACGCAACTGTACTCCAGCCTGGGTGACAGCAAGACCATGTCTCAAGAAAAAAAAAAAGCAAAGCAACTAAATTTTCTTCCCGAAAATGTTTGAATGGGGCAATTTCATCCTGAAATCACTCAGATGGGAGAATATCAGCGAATGAGAAAAAACTTAAGCCTAAACAATAAACAGAACTAAGGAACATCCTTAGGGATATTTTACTCCATAGCCATAAGATGTGGCTTTCTATGAAGTAGAGGGACATAAGATTCTAAGAAAATTTTCAGTTACTCAGGGTATGTTTATCTTTGGGTTATGAATGCCAATTACTTGCACAGACCAACACAATGTATGACATTTTCTATCTCTCTCTGCAATCTCCTTGATGATAATTTTCTGGATTGGGAAACAGGCCTCAGAGGTAGGGTGTGGACTTTTGCTTATTAAAACCAGATACAAAAAGTCTCAGGTCCAAAGTAGCTCCTCTAGTATTGCAGAAGAGACTTAAATGTAAGCTTTCTCATCTATAAAATAGAATTGCTGTGTGAACTAGCAAATGTGAAAAGTTCCTAGCATAGACTCTGGCATACAGAAGTGCTCAAAAAGGTGAACTGCCTTCCTTAAACTTTGCTAAAGAGAACCTTACACGTCATCAGCATTTGACGAATCCTAGTCACTTAAATTCCAGTTCTTCATTCATGACAACCCATTAGTACATGTGTCTCAGTGACTGAGGTAAAGCAGGTATGTGGGAGGAACAAAAACAAACAGAAACTGTCCAGGGTGTGTGGGGAAAAAAAGAACAAACAAAAAACCATCCAGGTTCCAGCCAAAACTAATTTGGGCAAGAACTAATCAAACAAAAATATATTATATCTAAGGGAGACTCCTAAGACAAGAAATATTAGAAACTTAATACATTATCACATTAATAAGCTCAAAAGAACAAATAAGCATAATTATTTTATTAGATGCTAAAAAAGGCACTTAATAAAATTCAACATACACTACTAATTTTAAAAGAGCAATAGGGCCGGGTGGGGTGGCTTACGTCTATAACCCCAGCACTTTGGGAAGCTGAGGTGGGTGGATCACCTGAGGTCAGGAGTTCAAGACCAGCCTGGCCAACATGGTGAAATCCCGTCTCTACTGAAAATAAAAAAAATTAGCTGGGTGTGGTGGTGGACACCTGTAATCCCAGCTACTCAGGAGACTGAGGCAGAAGAATCGTTTGAACCCTGGGAGGTGGAGGTTGCAGTGAGCTGAGATCCCGACACTGCACTCCAGCCTGGGAGACAGAGTGAGACTCTATCTCAAAAAAAATAAAAAATAAAAAATTAAAATTAAAATAAAAAAAAAAGCAACAGAAAAAATACTTCCTTAACATAATTTAAAAAATATATACCTTCCATAAATATATACAGCTACATATTTGTGTATAATTAGCATCAGGATTAACAATGAGAGACCAGAACATTCCTTCTGCAGACAAGAACAATATAAGGAAGGGCTTATCTGTGTTACTTACATAAAACTCTGGAAAGCTGGCTGAAGTAATTAGAAATAAAAGGGATAATGGTTGAAAGGGCTGAGCATGGTGGCTCACACCTGCAATCCCAGCACTTTGGGAGGCCAAGGAGGGTGGATCACTTGAGCCCAGGGGTTTGAGACCAGCCTGGGCAACATGGTGAAACCACATTTCTACAAAAAATTAAAAAATCTGTTAAGTATGGTGGCTCATGCCTGTAGTCCCAGCTACTAGGGAGGCTGAGGTAGGAGGATCACTTGAGCCCAGGAGGTCAAGGCTGCAGTGGGCTATGATCATACCACTGCAATCCAGCCTGGTTGAGAGAGCAACATCCTATCTCAAAATTAAGTAAGTAAAAAAATAAGGCTGGGTGCGGTGGCGCACGCCTGTAATTCCAGCACTTTGGGAGGCTGAGGTAGGCGGATCATGAGGTCAGGAGATCGAGACCATTTTGGCCAACATGGTGAAACCCTGTCTCTACTAAAAATACAAAAATTAGCTAGGCGTGGTGGTGCGTGCCTGTAATCCCAGCTACTCAGGAAGCTGAGGCAGGAGAATTGCTTGAATCAGGGAGTGGGAGGTTGCAGTGAGCTGAGATCACGCCACTGCACTCCAGCCTGGCAACAGAGTGAGACTCCGTTTCACACACACACACAAAAAAAAAAGCTGAAAGAAAGAGACAATACAATCCTTATTTGTAAATGTATGACTGTGTATTATTGGATCTCAAGAGAATCAACCAAAAAAGCTGGTGGCAGCATTAATATCTTGTTTTTTGTTTTTTTGAGACAAAGTTTCTCACTGTTGCCCAGGCTGGAGTGCAGTGGAGCATTTGTGCTCAGCCAAGATAATATCAAATTAAAATATAAAAAATCTGCTGGGCACAGTGGCTCATGCCTGTAATCCCAGCACTTTGGGAGGCTGAGGCAGGCGGATCACCTGAGATCAGGAGTTTGAGACCAGCTTGGCCAACATGGTGAAACCCCATCTCTACTAAAATACAAAAATTAGCCAGATGTGGTGGTGAATCCTAGCTGTTCAGGAGGCTAAGGCATGAGAATCACTTGAACCTGGCAGGCGGAGGTTGCAGTGAGCTGAGATCATGCCACTGCACTCCAGCCTGGGCAAAAGAGGGAGACTCTGTCTCAAAATAAATACATAAAAATAAACAAACAAACAATGAGAGCAAAAGGAACAGGCTGAACAGAATTCAGAGGGCCACAATTAACTGTTAAAGGGCACTTAAAGAAAAAGTACCTATGGTTCAAGTTAATTTCAAGCCCCTTTATACAACTGAAGTAAAGATTAAACAAAGTCAATTAGAACCCAGAGTACTGGAGCTGAAAGTACTATTTCCAGTTTACTGATGGAAACTGAGGTCCAAAGAGATAACAGAAACCTTTTAAGTCAAGATACATTTCCTCTGATTAGAATGGGTATATATGTTAATACTGAATGTTATACTGACCCAAACATTACACAAGTTTCCCCCTGCAAAAGTGCCAGTTAATAGCTCCCAAAGAAATCTAGGAAACCTCTAGGCCTGGCACAGTGGCTCACGTCTGTAATCCCAGCTTTGGAAGCCTGGGGCGGGCCGATCACCCGAGGTCTAAACAATATTCTTAATCTTAAACATTTTCCTTAATGTTTAAATTACTGCTTAAATAAAACTGGGAACAGTCCATTTGACCCTCGAATGTGTACTTTAAAAAGAAACATTTTAAATTACTTTACAAGGTAGAATGAAACTTGAGTTATGGCTGAAAAATACTGGATAGGTACTTAACAGAAAAGGAGAGCAAGTGGTCAATAAAATATAAAAAGATGGTTAAGTTCATTAGTAACAAAGAAAATGCAAATCAAACCACAGGGAGACAGTATTTCATTTTTACCAGACTGGCAAAAATTATAAATCTGACAACATCAAGTGCTGTGATAAGAGTGACTAAAACAATTAAACACTGCTGGTGGGTGGCAGGGGACAACTTAATACATTCATTCACTTTGGAGGGGTCTGGCCTTACCAGCAAAGGGGGAGAATGGACACACCCTGGGGCAGTGGTTCTTTAAGTGTGATAGTGTGATCTGGGACCTGTGGGAGTTCCTGAAACCCTTTCAGAAGATGTGCAAGGTCAAAGCTATTTTCAAAATAATTATATATTTTATTTCCTATTTCAACCTCATTCTCTCTCAAGTATAGTGAGGTTTCTGACTATTGTTGATACTGTAACAGATTGAATGCAGAAAGAGATGTGAGAACTTAGCTATTTTCTATTAAGCCACACAGTAAAGAGATCTGAAAAAAATATAAAATAATGCCACACTTCTGTTTTTTTGTTTTAAAACAGTTTTTTCATAAAAACATCCATTTTTATTTTAATTTTATTATTTTAAATTGTTATTCTAAATGAGTTACTAAGTAAACATTTAAAACATTTCTATTTCAATTTTAATACAGTAAATACTGATAGATATAATCCACCATAAAACAGGAACAAGAATTTTTTAGCACTGCTCTTTGGAAAAAGCAAAAAATCAAAAAACTGCTTAATACTGTGAATGTCTATCACACACGCATGCACATGTAGTAATACAATGGAATACTACATAGCAGTGAAAAGGAAAGAATTACTGCTATACACAGAAATAAGAAAATAGAACACATCCAGTACGGTTCCATGTACATGAAGCTCAAAACATGCAACACTAACAATATACTGTTCAAGAAGGCAACACTCAAGGGAATGATAACAACAGAATTTAGGATAGCAGTTACTTCTGAGAAGAAGGGAAAGGAATGAGAAAAAAGGTCATACAAGGAACTCCTGATAATTAAATTAATTTTCTTAAATTGGGTGGTAGGTTATTGGGTGTTTGTTGTAATGTGATTCTTTACATGATATATATACTAAATATTCCTATATATCTACTCAATACTTAGTAAAACACTTGATATTTAATATAACTAGATATCATATTGGTTCAACTCTCTGGAAAAGATGAAGCAGATCTAAATATTAAAAATGGAACCTAGACACCTGGATGCATTAATTCACTACATTTTTCTTAAGCATCCATTATGGACTATTGTGCTAATTGTTGAATACAAATACTATTATGCTACAAATACAAATGTGCTAAATGTTGATACAAAATACGCAAAGTTCCCACTCTTAAAATGCTTACTGCAGCCTGGACAGCAATGTGAGACCCCGTGTCTACAAAAAAAAATTAAAAATTAGCTGGGCATGGTGGTGTGAGAGCTGTGGGCCCAGCTACTTGCAGGGCTGAGATGGGAGGATTGCTTGAACCCAGGAGGTCAAGGCTACAGTGAGCTATGATCGCACCATTACAGTTGGGCCTGGATGACAGAGCAAGACCAGTCTCAAAAACAAAACAAAACAAAAAAAACCTTACAGGAAGAGAAGGTGGACTTTTAATAGAAGGATAGAGTAGGTGCAGCAAATCAGCACACCTGCCAAGAACAACTGAAAAGTCTAGCTGAAATACAGAAATTATCTATTTTGGCCGGGTGCAGTGGCTCACACCTGTAATCCCAGCACTATGGGAGGCCAAGACGGGTAGATCACCTGAGGTCAGGAGTTCGAGACCAGCTTGACCGACATGGAGAAACCCCGTCTCTACTAAAAATACAAAATTAGCCAGGCATGGTGGCGCATGGTGTAATCCCAGCTGCTTGGGAGGCTGAGGCAGGAGAATCGCTTGAACCCGGGAGGTGGTGGATGCACCACTTTCAATTTGGGGAGAGGAGGCTGCTGTTTAGTAATATGCTCTCACAAAAATTAACACAAATTTCTCCTCTCAGAACATTTCTGAAAGTATTTTTAAACCTGGAGATCCTTTCCCCTTTCTAAGAAATCTTCCTTTTCCTTTTTGCTATCCTTGCATTGCCCAAAACAGACTTGAAAAAGAACTACCAGTAGCCCTGGGATAGACAGCCACTGTTGAAAAAGACAAATGAAGGAACAGGGATGGAGCTAAGTAAATCAAGAACGATCCCTGACCTCAGAGCATCCTCAGTCTAGTGAGAATGGCATGCAAACAACAGCCTAACTTATAAGTGCTTTACCTGAGACATATGCAAGTTACTATGGAATGCAAAGGAGTGTCTGACGTCTTTCCTGGGGAGTAAGAGGAGGCTTCACAGAAAATAAGGATGAGTCGGAGCTCACCTGGCAGGGAGGGGGAAGATCATTCCAGTCAGAGAGAACATCATGTTCAAAGCCACAGAACTGGTTCTTTAAGAAAGCAGGTAAGTAGGTGGAAATTAAGAGTGTATATGGACCGGGCATGATGGTTCACGCATGTAATCCCAGCATTTTGGGAGGCGGAGGCAGGCGGATCACTTGCTATCAGGAGTCTGAGACCAGCCTGACCAACGTGATGAAACCCCATCTTTATAAAAAATACAAAAATTAGCCAGGCGTGGTAGCACATGCCTGTAAACCCAGCTATTCGGGAGGCTGAGGCAGGAGAATCCTTTGAACTCAGGAGGCAGACGTTGCAGTGAGCCGAGATCACGCCACTGCACTCCAGCTTGGGCAACAAGAGTGAAACTCCATCTCAAAAAAAAAAAAAAATCTGGATCTTATGCTGGGACATAGAAATTAAAGGATTTTAGACAGGGGAGTAACATTAAAATGCAGATATACTCTCTTTAACTAAAATGCATGTTCTCACATAAGTGAGCGCTAAATACTGAGCACAAATGTACATAAATATGGGAACAACAGACATTGCAGACTACCAGAGATGGAGCTAGGTGGGGTGGTTTGTTTAAAACACTACCTATTGGGTACTATGATAACTACCTGGGTGACGGGATTTGTACTACAAAACTCTGCATCACACAATGTTCCCATGCAACAAATCTGCACATGTATCCACTATATCTAAAAGAAAAGTTGAAATTTTTAAAAATGAAGGAAATAATGTCTATATTTTTGGAAAGTCCACTTTGGTCAAAGTGTGTGGAGTAGATTGGAACTGGTGAGTATAAAGACAAGAAGAGTTAGGAAGTTACTGTAACTGTCCAGGTGAGAAATGATGAATTCCTGAACCTGGAATGTGGTCACTGAGATCAAAAGGAAAAAAATTCAATCTGAGAAACATTTAGAAAGCGGAATCAACCCTGTGATATTTCAACCTACAGGATGCCAAGAGTAGAGAAGGAAAAATCAGAGACGACGCTCAGGTTTCTGGGTTGAATGATCAGTATATGTGATTGCCATTCACACCCCTCCCCAACATGGTTTGTGGAAATCCACTTGGTCCTGGAGAAGGTGACACCACCCTGGCTCCAGAAGTAAAGCCCGTGACCTATGTATGGGAAGCGATAAGCACACTCCATGTCCCCTAAAGGCCACTGGGACTGATGGAGTTTGTACAGTGGAAGACAGATCACAACTTACACAAAACGTAGCAAAGTGACAGTGAAAGTGTAAAAGAAAAGTTAGACCTAGAAAACAGAGAAGTTAGAGCTGAAATCTAATCTAGATGCAATGAGTCTCCAAGGAAATAGACAGAACAGGTGAGGGGCATTATTCAAAGGGCCAATGGCAAAAAAATTTCCAGAATTTACCAAAGCCACCCACTGTCACATTTTAGAAAGCCCAACAAATTCAAAGGGAGGGTAAAGAAAAATGAATCCACAATCAAACATATTACTGTGAATCTGTAGAATACCAAAGACAAAGAAGACTTAAAAGCTGCCTGAGAAAAAGACAGAAGCACCCAGACTGACGACTTAAAACAAAACAAAACAAAACAAAAACAAAACCGTATTGGTTTAATTTACATATTATAAAATTCACCATTTTTTTTTCTTTTTTTTTCAGACAGAGTTTTGCTCTGTCGCCCAGGCAGACCAGTTGCACCAATACAATGGTGCAATCTTGGCTCACTGCAACCTCTGCCTCCTGGGTTCAAGCGATTACCCTGCCTCAGCCTCCCGAGTAGCTGGAATTACAGGCGTCTGCGACCACGCCCAGCTCATTTTTGTAGTTTTAGTAGAGACAGGATTTCACCATGTTGGTGAGGCTGGTCTTGAACTCCTGACCTCAGGTGATCCACCCGCCTAGGCCTCCCAAAGTGATGGGATTACAGGTGTGAGCCACTGCCCCTGGCCAAAATTCACCTATTTTAAACGTACAATTCAATGCTCTTCAATAAATTTGTTAGATAGTGCAACCATCACCCCAATACAGTACTAGGATATTTTCATCATCAAAATACGACCCCTTGTGCCCATTTATAGTTAATCCCTATTTCCATTCCCTCCCAGGAAGCCAATCATGTCTCCATCTCTATAGGTCTGTCTTTTCTGGATACTGCATACAAAAGGGACAATACAACATGTCTGGCTTCTTTCATTTAACATGTTTTGAAACTGACCCATTTGTAGCATGCATCAGTATTTTATTCATTTTATTGGTGAATAATATTTATTTATCCATTTACAAGTTGGTGGACACTTGAGTGGTTTCCACTTTTTAGTTTTAATGAATAATGATGTTATGAACATACAAGTCTTTGAATGTTTTGGACCCAGCTTTCATTTCTCCTGGGTGTATATTTACCACTGGAATTGCAGGGTCATATGGTAAATTTATGTTTAACTTCTTATGAAACTGTCAAAAGTATTTTCCAAAGTGGCTATGCCATTTTACATTCCTACCAGCAATGTATGAGGGTTCTTGTTTCTCTATATCCTCACCACCATTTATTATTGTCTGCTTTTCTGATTAAGGTCATTCAGTAAGTGTTATCTTATTACGGTTTTTTGATTTTTTTGTTATTTTATTTAATGTGGTTTTAATTTGGATTTCCCTCGTGACTAATTTGCCTTTCTCAAGCGACTAATGATTTTGAGCATCATTTCAAGTGTTTATTTGGCATATCTTCTTTGGTAAAATCTCTATTCAAATCTTTTGCCTTTTTTTTTTTGAGACAGAGTCTTGCTCCGTTGCCCAGCTGGAGTGCAATGGCACGATCTCGACTCACTGCAACCTCCACCTCCCAGGTTCAAGTGATTCTCATGCCTCAGCTTCCTGAGTAGCTGGGATTACAGGCGCGTGCCACCAGGCCAGCTAATTTTTGTATTTTTAGTAGAGACAGGGTTTCGCCATGTTGGCCAAGTTGGTCTCGAACTCCTGACCTTAGGTGTTCTGCCCACCTTGGCATCCCAAAGTGCTGGGATTACAGGTGTGAGCCACCACGCCTGGCCCGAATCTTTTGCCCATTTTTAAACTGAGGTGTTTGTTGAGTGTTAGGTTCTTTTTCTTTTTGAGATGGAGTTTCGCTCTGTCGCCCAGGCTGGAGTGCGGTGGCATGATCTTGGCTCTCTACAACTTCTGCCTCCCGGGTTCAAGCGATTCTCCTGCCTCAGCCTCCCAAGTAGCTGGGATTACAGGCACACACCACCATGCCCAGCTAATTTTTTGTATTTTTTAGTAGAGACAGGGTTTCACCATGATGGCCAAGCTGGTTTCGAACTCCTGAGCTCAAGTGATCCGCTTGCCTCGGCCTCCCAAAGTGCTAGGATTACAGGCGTGAGCCACTGCGCCCGGCTGAGTGTTAGGTTTTTTACATAGTCTAGATACAAGTCTTTTATTTGACAATGGACTTTTAACAGCAATAATGGAACTCAGAAGAAAATAAAAAATGTCTTCAATATGCTGAAAGAAAATAATTGTGAATACAGAATTGTATATATAGATAAAATATATTTTAGGAATGGGCATTAATTAAAGACATTTTCAGATGGCTGGATGTGGTGGCTTATGCCTGTAATGTCAGCACCTTGGGAGGGTGAAGTGGGAGGATTGCTTGAGCCCAGGAGTTTAAGACCAGACTGAGCAACATAGCAGGACCCTGTCTCTACAAAAAAAAACAAAAAAAAAAAACCAAAATCAAAAAACATTTTAAGATAAAAACAGAGTTTACTACCAGAATACTCTCACTAATGTATATTAATTACTGCTGTGTAACAATACTGATAACACTTTTTTTTTTTTTTTTTTGAGACAGAGTCTCGCTGTGTCACCAGGCTGGCGTGCAGTGGTGTGATCTCAGCTCACTACAACCTCCGCCTCCCGGGTTCAAGCGATTCTCCTGCCTCAGCCTTCTGAGTAGCTGGGACTACAGGCACGCGCCACCACGCCCAGCTAATTTTTGTATGTTTAGTAGAGACGGGGTTTCACCATGTTGGCCAGGATGGTCTCGATCTCTTGACCTTGTGATCTGGCTGCCTCGGCCTCCCAAAGTGCTGAGATGTGAGCCACCGCACCTGGCTGCAAAACACATTTATTATCTCACAGTTTCTGTGTGTCAGAGATTCAGAAGCAGCTGGGCTAGGTGGTCCTAGCTCAGGATCTCTTGTGAGGTTGCCATCCAGTTGGTGGCTGGGGCTACAGTCACTTGAGGGGGCTGCAGGATCTGCTGCCCGTGTGGCTGCCTTGCAAGGCTGGCAAGTTTGTACTGGCAGTTGACAGGGAGCCTCAGTTCCTCTCCACATGGAATCTTCCCAGGACTGCTTGATAACCTCATGACATGGCAGCCGGCATCCCACAGTGAGTGGCCCAAGAAAGAGCAAGGCAAAAAGGTGCAACGTATTTTATGACCCAGCCTCAGAAGTCACGCTCCATCACTGCTGCAACGTTCCAATGCTTACACAGGTCAGCCCTCTTCGGTGTGGGCGTGTGAGTCACAGAGAGCCACAGTCATAAGGGAGACCGTGGAGGCTGGCTCACACATTTCATGAAGTGTCTTAAGGATATACCGTAAAAGTAAGGAAAGGTCCCAGAAAGAAGATCAAGGATAGAAAAATAAATGATGGACAAAGAAAACTGTAAAAATATAGGGAAATTTAAACAAACATTGCTTTTATAAAACAAGAATGGCAATGTCTGATTTACGCACAGTAAACGGTACGGCAAGCGTGGTGGGAGGAACTGACTGAATTAAAGCATTTTTTAGGGCCTTTAATTGTTTCAGAAGAGAATGGAAATTGACTAACTTTAAACTCTTAAGTATTCACATTCAAAGCTTGAGAGTAAACTAAGAAAATAAAAGTTGAATGTCTATCTTTCGAATGCATAGTTTAGAAAAATGGAATGAGGCCGGGCGCGGTGGCTCAAGCCTGTAATCCCAGCACTTTGGGAGGCCGAGGCGGGCGGATCACAAGGTCAGGAGATCGAGACCATCCTGGCTAACATGGTGAAACCCCGTCTCTACTAAAAATACAAAAAATTAGCGGGGCGTGGTGGTGGGCGCCTATAGTCCCAGCTACTCGGGAGGCTGAGGCAGGAGAATAGCGTGAACCTGGGAGGCGGAGCTTGCAGTGAGCCGAGATTGCGCCACTGCACTCCAGCCTGGGCGACAGAGCGAGACTCCGTTTCAAAAAAAGAAAAGAAAAGAAAAGAAAAATGGAATGAGAGAAAAACCACCAACGAATTCAAAAGGAGACAAAGAAGGCTAAAGAGTCATCCAGAAATAGAGACACCGCCCCCCCAAAAAAAGAACAAATAGAAAGCATAAGTTAAGATGGCAGAAAAAAACACCTATGGATATCAATAGCCACAGTAAGTATAAATATATTAAACTCCTAAGGTAAAAGATATAGATTAGATTTATAAAACAAAACCTACTTATATGTTCTTCATAAGATTCACCTAGAATAAGACTAGAAAGTTATACCAGATATATAATAATCAAAAGAAAGCTGGAATAGATAATATTAGACAAAATAGAATTACTAGAGAGAGAATCATCAGGAAGAAAATTCTAGACCTATATAAACTTAATAAAATGTCTTAAAAATAAATACCACAAAAACTGACAAAAGTATAAGACAGTGACAAGCTTACTTATCAGAGGGGCATATTTTAACATACCTCTCTTAGTAATTGATAATTAAACAGAAAAAAATGCTAACATTACCAATATTCAAACGAACACATGAAATCCGGAACCCCACAACAAGAGAATACACAATCTTTTCAAACATACATAGAATGTTTTCAAAAACTGATCTTGTATTTAGGTATAAAGTAAGTTACCAACAAATTTCCTTTTTTTTTTTTTTTTGAGACAGGGTTTTTTTCTGTCAACCAGGCTGGAGTGCAGTAGCACAATCTCGGCTCACTGCAATCTCTGCCTCCCAAGTAGCTAGGACTAACGTGCATGCCACCACACCCTGCAAATTTTTTTTTTTTTTTTTTTCCAGAGATGAGGTTTCATCATGTTGCCCAGGCTGGTCTCGAACTCTTTGACTCAAGCTATCCACCTGCCTCAGCCTCCCAAAGTGCCAGGATTACAGGCATGAGTTACCATGCCCACCCAGCCTTTACCAATAAATTTCAAAGAATCAGTAATATGAGAACTACTTTTTCTCATTAAAATGCAATTAAATTAGAAATCAGTAATAAGAAGATAACTTTAAAGATAATGCATTTGAAAGTATAAAAACAACCCTGTAAAGAACTCATGGGTCAAAGAAGAAGTTATAATATAAATCAGACAATATTCAGAACCAAACACTAAAATATGACGTATCAAAACTTTGCTATGCCATTAAAGCAGGTATTAGGGGAAACTTTATTTTATTATTTTTTAAAGGAAACAACAGCTTTAAGTAGTTATATGAGAAAAGAAGAAATGCTGAAATTAATGAATTAAGCAGCCATTAAGAAGTAAAAAATAAAGGGACAGCCAAATAAGCCTAAAAATCTAAAAGAAAGCAGGATAAAAGCAAATTTCACAGAATAGAAAGCATATATATATTAGTCTTAAGAGGCTAATAAAATCTAGAAACCTAGAATTGTTTTTCAAGGAGCATACTCCAGATTAAGCGAAGATTCATAAGACTACACTATGCCACAAACCACTTTATGCAAGTAAAGCTGGAAACTTAGATGAAAAAGGTAGATTTCTAGAAACATATAATTTAACAGAAATTATTAAGGAAGCTAGAGAATACCTGAAAGTTTCTACAACTATTAAAGACAGTGGTCAGTAGTTTAAACTCTTCTGAAAATGAGAACACCAAGTCCAGATTATCTTCACAGGCAAATTCTACCAAACGTTCAAAGAAAATATCATTTTAATCTTATATACATTCTTCCAGAGGATCAAAAGGAGGAAACACTTTCCAATTCATTTCATAAAATTAACATAACCTCAGTACCCAAGAAAGAAAAATAATTAGCCAATCTCTTTTATGATCAGTAATGAAAAATTTTAAAACAAAATATTAGCAAAACAAATAATGTATTTAAAAAATAGCCGGGCACAGTGACTCACACCTGTAATCCCAGCACTTTGGGAGGCCAAGGCAGGTGGATCACAAGGTCAGGAGTTCGAGACCAGCCTGGCCAACATGGTGAATGAAACCCCATCTCTACTAAAGATACAAAAAAAAAAAAAAAAAATTAGCCGGGCGTGGTGGCACACACCTGTAATCCCAGCTACTCAGGAGGCTGAGGTAGGAGAATCGCTTGAACCTGGGAGGCAGAGGTTGCAGCGAGCCAAGATTGAGCCACTGCATTCCAGCCTGGGTGGCAGGGTGAGACTCTGTCTCCAAAAAAAAAAAGTAATGAACCAGTTAGATTTAGATTTATTTCAGGAATGTAAAGATGCTTTAACATTAGAAAACCAATGCCTGTAATCTTCATCATTAACAGATTAAAGGACAAAATATATTATCATTTCAACAGATTTATATCAAGCATTTGGTAAAACTCAACATCCATTTATGATAAGTCCTCTTAGCAAACTTGGAATAGAATACATTCCTTGACATAAAAGATACACATCAGAAATCTACAGCAAACACTTTAATAGTGAAACATTAGAATGTTCTCTTAAAAACTAGGAATAAGACAAGGTGTTCACCAGTCCCACTTTTATTCAAGGTTATACTGTTGTCAAGACTAGCTATTTGAGAAGGCTGTTCAGCTAAAAGCAAAAAAAGACCAGCTCAGTAAAAGAACAAAAAAGACATAAAAATATGAAGTTTGAAATGGAAGAAACAAAAGCCATTATCTGCAGGTTGATTTATGATAGCCCATTTGGGAAATCCAGAAGAATTCTCATTATTAGGATTAATGAGAGATTAACCAGGTTGCTAGATTTCTGAAACTCAAATGCATTTCTAAACACCAGCAACAAAGAATTTAAAAATGTAAAATTAAAAAATGTAAATGTGTGTAAATGTATACACACACACACACACACACACACACATATATATATATACTATTTAGGAAGCAACAAAAAATAAGACACCTAGGGATAAAACAAAATAATAGCAACAGCTACCAACAACTGAGCATTTACTATATGCCCCTATGAAGTAGAAATATTAGCGCCTATTTTACAGATGAGGAAAATGAGGCACAGAGAGGCTGACTTGCCCAAGATGACATTGTAAGCAGCTAGGTGAGGATTGAAACCAACAGGATTGAAACCCAAGATGACACCGTAAGCAGCTAAGTGAGGACTGAAACCAGGCAGCCTGGTTCCGAAGCCTTTGCTCTTAAAACCACTACTCTACGCTGTCTCTACACTGTCTCGCTCCATAAGATGTGCAAGACCTGCATGGAGTTGTAAGTTATACTGTACGTATACAAATGTCATTGTAAGACAAAAGAGATGCCATGTTCATGCACAAGAGACACTCTAGCATTGATACGTTGATTCTCCTCCAAATTGATATAAAAAATTAATACAACACCGATCAAAATTCCAACAGGATTTTCCACAGATGCTAATTCTAAAATTTATAAGGAGGAGCAGGCCAGGCATGGTGGCTCATGCCTGTCATCCCAACACTTTGGGAGGCCAGGGTGGGCAGATCAGTTAAGCCCAGAGTTCAAGATCAGCCTGGGCAACATGGCGAGACCCCATCTCTACAAAAAATTTTTAAAAAGTAGCCAGGCATGGTGGTGGCATCCAGTTACTTGGGATGCTGAGGTGGGAAGACTGCTTGAGTCTGGGAAGTTGAGGTTGCAATGAGCCATGATCACACCACTGTAAGACACTCCTGAAGAAAAGAAACAAGGTGGGGAAATTAGGCTATCAGGTATCTAGATTTACTGTAAAGAAACAGTAGTTGAAGCACTATGGTATTAGTGAAGGAACAACAAAAAGATCAATGAAACAGAATAGAGTGCCCAGAAATAATCCCACAATCATGCAGAAACAATATAAGAAAAAGGCAGTATTTCAATAACTGGGAAAAAAAATAAACTATGAAATGCAAAAAAGGAAAGTTGGATCCACACCTCACACCATACATAAAAATAGTCTTCATGTAGCTTAAATACTTATATGTGAAAGGCAAAATTTTAGAATATTGGACAATATTTTTATGACTCTGAGGTAAGAGTAGATTTCTAAAAATAAGACATTGAAAACAATGAGAAATCCAACTATATTAAAATTAGGAATTTCTATTCATCAAGAGACACCAAAAAGAGACTCAAAGGACAAGCCAAAGGCAGCTGTGGTAGCTCATGCCTGTAATTCCAGTACTTTGGGAGGCAGAGGTGGGAGGATCAGTTGAGGCCGGGAGTTCAAGTTCGAGGTTGCAGTGAGCTATGACTGCACTCCAGCCTGGATCACAGAGTAAGACCCTGTCTCAACAAAAAAAAAAAAAAAAAAGACAAGCCAAAGCCATGAACCCAGAGAAGACTGAAACTCCTAATACTGACAAAGGGAAAGAACTATAAGTCAGTAAGAAAAAGACTGACAAATCAATGGAAAAGTGGGCAAAAGACATGAACAGACGCTCCATGTTTCCGGAAGAGGAAACACTAATGGATAATAAATATACAAAAATATGCTCAAATCATTAGGAATCGGGGAAATGCAAATTGAAATCAAAATACCATTTTACACCCACAAATTTGGCAAAACTAGGTGTGTGTGAAGATGCGGCACGATGGGAACTCATATGCTGCTGGTGGGAGTATCAACTGGTACAATCACTTCAGAAACTATTAGGCATCATCTTTTGAGGCTAAACATATGTGAAGTCCATGATCCAGCAATTTCACTCATTACCAGATGACAAGGGTAAGTTACTCATCTTCCTATGTCTCTGCTCCCTCATCTGAAAAATGAGCATCGTAATAATACCAACTCATAGGGTTGCTCTTAGTGCCCATATATATAAAAGCACTGAGAACACTGCCTGGCCCATTATAAGTTCCTTATATACTAGACAATATTTGCACTGTTCTCATCAGAACCCAAGTGTACACTGTCAGAGGAGTAGACAAACCTGTAAATTCACACAATCAAAAGCGATCCAGCAATGAAAGTGAATGAACTAAGCTTAAGCTGCAGAAGACTACCTATAATATTGTACTATATCAAATTCAAAACCAAGCAAAAATAAACGATTAATTGTGCAGGGAAATACATATAGAGTAAAACTTTAAAAAAGAAGATGAAACCTAAATAAAGTGAGGCTGGGATATTTGAAGGAAACAAGGCAAGGATGTCTAGTGCATGGCAAATGACGACAGCTGTAAGATGTGACATCAGGCTGTGCATGGTGGCTCACGCCTGTGATCCCAGCACCTTGGGAGGCCAAGGCAGGTGGATCACCTGAGGTCAGGAGTTCGAGAGAGCCTGGCCAACATGGTGAAACCCCATCTCTACAAAAAATACAAAAATTAGCTGGGTGTAGTGGCGGGCACCTGTAGTCCCAGCTACTCGGGAGGCTGAGGCATGAGAATTGCTTGAACCCGGGAGGCAGAGGTTGCAGTGAGCCGAGACCATGCCATTGCACTGCAGCCTGGGTGACAGAGTAAGACTCTGTCTCAAAAACAAAACAAACAAACAAACAAAAAGATGTGAGGTCAGAGGCAAACGGAGCCTGGACTATGCAGTAGGGACCTTTATTTTGTTTATGATGGAAAGCCACTGAAGAATTATAAACAAAGGGGTGATAGAAAATGATTTGTGCAAGATCGCCCTGCTGCTAGGTGAATAATGGACAAAGAAAGGGGAGAGTGGAAACAGGAAAACCAGTTAGGAGGCTGTGGCGTGGCCCAGGAAAGGCAGGAAGAAGTTTGTTCTGAAGCAGTAGTAAAGCTGGATTTAAGTGTGGAACTCAGGAACACTGATAGAACTGACGGGTCTTGCTGATGATGAACTGAAGCAGGAGGATCCTTTAAGCCCAGGAGTTCAAATCCAGCCTGGGCAACATAGTGAGATCACTGTCTCTTAATACATATATATATTTTACCCTTAATACATATATATATAAATACCCACAGGGTATGGGGCAAATAGAAAAACTCCAATATGTTTCTGGGCTTTTGGCTTGAGCAACAGGGTGGATGGATGGTGGTGCTGTTTAATCAGACAAAGGAGACTGGGAGAAGTTTTGGGGTAAATAGGGCAGAAAAGTCAGGACATGCAAGTTTGACACATCTTAAATATCTGAGTAGAAAACTGAATTACTATTAGGCCAGCTGCTTATGAGTTTTGATCTCAACGGAAAGATCAGCCTAGAGAGACAGATTTAGGAGTCGAGGCATAGAGATGGTATTTAAAGCAATGGGATTGGCTAAGATCTTCCAGAGGAGAGTTCAGGTAGAAAAGAGAATAGGCCAAGAATGGGACCCTGGGTATTCCAAGGCTTAGAAGTCTGGCAGAGGAGAAAAGTTCAGCAAAGGAAACTGAGGAGCTGCCGATGAGGGAGGAAAACCGGAAGGACACGCCTTCACAACTTAGAGAAGAAAGTGGTCCAGAAGATGTGTCAGATGCTGCCGAAGAGTGGAATAAGCTGAGAACAGAAAACTCATCACCGGATCTGGCAGAATGAAGAATACTGGTGACTACAATAGTAGACATTTCAGTGGAGCAGGAAAAACATTTGACTAAAGGATCTTTCCTTCTTAGGAAGACAATCAGTTGCAGATGAAAGTGAGGACAGAGGACAAGATTTCAAGCTGCAATAAAGGGCATGCTGTACAGCAGAAGGAACCTGTACCTGCAGCTTGGTCTCCACACTGGCCAGCAGTAAGGCCACCAACTCAATTTCTAGCACAGCTTGTTAAGATGTTGGGACCACATGTTCTCTAAGATCTCTTGTGGTTCTGAGGATTCCCTGTTAAGAGAGAAGTGAAGTTTCACCTGAGAATATAGGGAAGAGATGTGAAGGGGGACCTGAATGTAATGTCAACAAACTATAAACAATGTTTTAAAACTGTTATTTAAAAAAAATTTTAGAAGGCCAGGTGCGGTGGCTCACACCTGTAATTCCTGCACTTTGGGAGGCTGAGGCAGGAGGATCACTTGAGCTCAGGAGTTCAAGACCAGCCTGGGCAACATAATGAGACTTCGTCTTTACAAAAAAAAAATACATATATATATGTATTATATATTATATAATACATATATAAAATATATATATGTATTAAGAGACAGTGATCTCACTATGTTGCCCAGGCTGGATTTGAACTCCTGGGCTTAAAGGATCCTCCTGCCTCAGCCTCCCCAGTAGCTGGGACTATACTCACAAATGAAAAAAATTTTTTTTTTAATAGATCTGATGTCACTCTAGAACTACATACAGGACAAATGACATAGCACACAAGTGCCCAGAAAGGTTCAATTATGTCCTACCATATCATTACCCCAGGGTCACTGTGCTATTTTTGAAATCATATAGATCAGGAGTTGATCTGTATCTCCTCTGTAACGAGACTTGAGTGATGAACTGAAAAACGCACATGGAAGAAATCATTAACTCTGTAGAGTTCGAAAGCTGCACAGTAATACCCAGAGACTAAATATGAAGATTTCTGCTCTTTTTCCCAATTATGGAGGCATTAAATCCAGATTCTGCCACTTCCCATGAACCGAAAAGCCAGGACGGGAAACACCAACTTGTGATTTCACTCTTTTTCCTTTCTTACTTGCATTCTCTCCTCACTTGACTCCCCTCCCACAAAGTTCAGCTTCTGACAGTCTTACAATGCTTAAACAGAGTAAGAAAACTGCAATTTGGACTCAAGATGTCTTTATCTACAAAGACAATTAACATTTTTTAAAAATAGGTCACAGAGGCCGAAACAACTTGCTATTTTACCTTTAAATGGTACATTTTAAAGCATTGTATAATCAGCTGGGGTTTTTTGACCAGAGATAATTCCATCTTTCTCTGATCTCCCTATCTATCCCACCTCAAGGCAAGACCTATATTTTGCTTTAGAAACAAACAGCTGCACTCAGAAAGAGAAAACAAAATAATCCTTAGACATTCCTGATAAAGGACTTCACAGACAGAAAATACCATTATCTTACTGTTTGAAACCAGAAGACTTTGATTCAAATAACAATACACGTCACATCATAGCTACCTATTCAAAGATCTTCCACCTTGTAAAGAAGAATTCTGGGATATGAATGAGCATCTTTAAGTCTACTGTTGAGACCTCAATACAGGAAGTATAAATTTTAGACCTAAGATCTGAATAATCATCTAGCTTTGTATCAGAAATGTTAGCAGCAATACAAAAACAAAGCATGGTTTCCAGGTAATTATAAATGCTGGGTGTGACTGAGATACTGGGATAGGACAGCATCAGGTCAGACTACCAATAACTTTTTTTTTTTTTTTTTTTTTTGAGACAGGGTCTCACTCTGTCGCCCATGCTGGAGTGCAGTGGAGCAATCTCAGCTCACTGCAACCTCTGCTCACCTCGTTCAAGCAGTTCTCTCACCTTAGCCTCCCTGAGCAGCTAAGACTACAGGCACGCACCACCACACCCAACTAATTTCCGTATTGTTTGGTAGAGATGGCATTTCACCATGTTGGCCAGGCTGGTCTCAAACTCCTGACCTCAAGTGATCCAACCACCTCGGTCTCCCAAAGTTCTGGGATTACAGGTGTGAGCCACCACACCCGGCCACCAGTAACTATTTTTAAGGAGAAACTGCAATAAACTTTTTTGTATTAATAGGAAATGAGACTTACTTGTATCACTTTTAGATTTCTAGTTATTCTCCAATGGCAAATTTAATAACCATATTCAGTCTTCAAATTTTCCAAATAAAAAGGGTCATTTTATTATACCCATCAGGATTGCTGATATCTAAAATGGTATCTTTGACTTCTCCAACCCCACATTTACTGCGGATAAAATTTTAACATTGCTTACTTGGTTTCACATAATAGACGCATTAGTCTTAGCAAATATATTTTTGCATATGTACATAAAATAATTTTCCCATTGACAACTTCAAATTATGCCTTGTTTTCATCTCCTAAAGCTGCCACAACAAATTACCACAAACTTGGTGGTTTAAGACAACCATAATTTATTCTCTCATAGCTCTGGAGACCAGAAGAGCAACACCAAGGTGTAGGCAGGGCTGTGCGGCCTGTAAAGGCTCTAAGGGAGCATCCCGCCTGGCCCCTTCCAGCCCCCAGTGGCTGCTGGGAATCCTGGGCATTCTTGGCCCTGTCACTCCAACCTTGGCCTCTGTCTTCACATAGCCTTTCTCCCATTTCTATGTCTTAAAACTCTCTCTCCTTCCTCTTATAAGAACATCAGGCCAGGCGCGGTGGCTCAGGCCTGTAATCCCAGCACTTTGGGAGGCCGAGGTGGGCAGATCACCTAAGGTCAGGAGTTCTAGACCAGCCTGGTCAACATGGAGAAACCCTGTCTCTACTAAAAATACAAAAATTAGCCTGGCGTGGTGGCGGGTGCCTGTAATCCCAGCTACTGGGAAGACTGTGGCAGGAGAATCACTTGAACCTGGGAGGCAGAGGTTGCGGTGAGCTGAGATCACACCACTGCATGCCAGCTTGGGCGACAGAGACACTGTCTCAAAAAAAAAAAAAAAAAAAAAAAAAAAAAAACCACCACCACCACCAACAGAAAACATCAGTCATTGGATTTCAGGTCTGTCTTCAATCCAAGATTATCTCATCTTCAAAGACTCTCGATCCAAATAAGGTCACATTCCTAAGTACCAGGGGTTACTTGAGGGCCAATATTCAACCCACTACACCAATTAATATCCATCAGGTTGGGCTCCTAAAATAATGTGTGTTTGCCTCTCATGGCAATCATCACATTCCTCCTGGAATCCAACCTGACTGTGGAAAAGCTATTATTTATAGGAAGTCAATAGGGAATCTCTCGAGGCTGTGAATGCTCATTCTCTAATTTATCTGTTTTGCAAATCAGAGTAAGGGTTTTTCCGTAGGAAAAAAAAATGTAGCCAATTGAATTTCTACTTACTTTTCTGGCTGAGATTTAAAGTGGGAATTTATTCATTGTCCCAATGAAATTAGAGTAATAGGATCTTTTTTTATTACCCACAATATAGACATTCTTATCTTTTACTTGAGTTTTAAACCACAGATTTATTCACTTTTTTTTCTAATTGCCCAGGAAGAAATTATTTTCCAGTTAGCTAGGGGGAACTAAGATTCCATCCGCTCTACTTCAGTTTCCTTTCTCCACTCTAGTGCCTTCTTTATTTTTATTTATTTGGTGTTTTTATTTTCGTTTTAGAGATAGATTCTTGCTCTGTCCCTCAGGCTAGAGTACAGCAGTGTGATCTCGGCTCACTGAAGCTTTGAACTCCTGGGCTCTTATGATCCTAACTCCCTCAGCCTCCTGAGTAGCTGAAATGACAGGTACATGCCACCACGCCCGGCTAATTTTTTTTTAGTGCCTTTCAGCCATCTGCCAGTCACGGAAATTACATATTTGTGTATGTTTGTTTATCCCCTGTAGCACTTCTTGCCTGCCGGCACCACTCATGAGTGCCATATATATATTCTCTATTTCAGAGGCTGATGAAATTTCTTTAAACTTTGGCCATACACACAGAATAACAACAACAACACAAACACATACACTTACCTCTGCCTCGCCTATTCTAGATGCTCTACATATATTAGCATCTTTTATCCTCACTAAGTGAGGGGTACTATTAGCCACATCTTACAGATGAGGAAACTGAGAGAGATGAACAGAGATTAGTAAACAGCGGGACCTGAATATGAACCCAGGTAGGTGGCTTCAGAGTCCATGTTCTTAACCACAATGCAAGCAAGACTGCCTCTGAGGATGTGCCCAGATGCTAACACTGTTCTATTAGTGGTGAGGTGATAGATGAGTTTTTAAAAAATGCTTTTTGGTCAGGTGCAGTGGCTCACACCTATAATCCCAGCACTTTGGGAGGCCGAGGCAGGAGGATCGCTTGAGCCTAAGGAGTTCAAGACCAGCCTGGGAAACATAGTGAGACGTCATCCCCACCCTCACTCCCCTGCCAAAAAAAAAAAAAAAAAAAAAAATCAGCCAGGCATGGTGGCACATGCCTGTAGTCCTAGCTACTTGGGAGGCTGAGGTGGGAGAATCACTCGAGCCCAGGAGATTGAGGATACAGTGAGTCATGTTAGGGCTACCGTACACCATCTTGGCCAAGGGACCTCATCTCAAAAAAAAATAAGCTTTTCTATATATCCCACATTTCCTATAAAGATCATGCATTAATTTTTTTAATCAGGAAAATATATTTTTAAACAAAACTTTCACAATTTGTGGGGGTGTAACATCATACTGGCAAACATATAACACTATAAGCCAGATACTGTTATGTGCAATGTATATAATTTAATCTTCAAAACAATTATAATCTTTATTTTATATTTGAGAAAACTGAGGTGCAGAAAACTTCAGTAGTTTACCTGAGGTCACGCAGCTAGTAGGTGTCAGCCAGGATCTAGCACCAATCTGTGTTAACTAGGTTAGGCTGCCTAAATTAGATATAAAACTTGGGTGTCAAACTCCAATTTGAATTACAGTCACATTGCGCTAATGTGTTGAAGAACAGAGACCATGTCCAACTCTTAATGAATCTAACTCCTAGCACAGTGGTTTAAAAGAAAACAGGAAATGTGTAGCTTATTTAATTAAACTATAACCTTTACCATTCAATATAAATATACTAAGGGGAGAAAATAAATCTGCTTCACCACACTAAGTATTAAAAAACCCAAGTGTTATCATCCTAACAGACTTCTTAATTGGACAATACTAGCCCAGATTAAAGGGCATTTAAATTACCCCTTTCTAAACAGTGTCACGAATGCAGAATATTTTCTCCCTCTCCCGCTGGATGAGCTGGGCATGTTGCCAGATCTTTTTCTAATTAGGTCCTGTGGTTAATTTCTTAATCCATTAGCATTTCCTTACAGCTTGTTAAATGTAAAGATAGCTGGACTTTTTCCACTGTTTCTGTGAAAGTGGAGTAACCTTCCATGTCAGTCTCATAAGGGTGGATTGATCAACACTAAACAGCTGCCATCCTACATTTACCAGATCAGCAAATACCACCCGCTCCCCCACCCCCAAAACTGAAAAACCTACGACAATCTCTTGGCCAGGCTGTGGGGAAGCAGGCACTGGTACCTAGCTTGTGGGAATGTAACTGGCACACCCCTATGGAGGGCAGTTTGGTAATGTCTCCCCACCTTGCATATGCACATACTCTTTGACTCAATATTTCTTTTTTTTTTTTGAGACTGAGTTTTGCTCTTGTTGCCCAGGCTGGAGGGCAATGGCGTGATCTTGGGTCACGGCAACCTCCGTCTCCCGGGTTCAAGTGATTCTCCTGCCTCAGCTTCCTGAGTATCTGGGATTACAGGCATGTGCCACCACGCCCAGCTAATTTTGTATTTTTAGTAGAGATGGGGTTTCCCCATGTTGGTCAGGCTGGTCTCGAACTCCCGACTTCAGGTGATCCACCTGCCTTGGCCTCCCAAAGTGCTGGGATTATAGGCGTGAGCCACCACGCCCGGCCGAGACCCTGCATTTCTGAAAACATTTTTCACTCTTGATTTGACAGTTTGACTAGGTGTAGAATTATAGACTGAAAATTTTTCCATCAGGCTTTAGATGGCATTCATCTATTATCTTATAGATCCCAGTGCTATTGTTAACTGGTCTAATGTCACTTGTTTTAGATCATTTTTATGTGACTTTTCTCTCTGATGCTTTTAAAATTTGTCATCAGTGTCACAAAATTTCATGACAATGTACTCTGTTGAGGGTCTTTTTCATCACTTTTTTCATTCTGGACACTGGGTGAGCTCTTATCCATCTGAGACATTTTTGGGGAAAACCTCTTGTGTTGCTTTTTAAATAATGCCTTGTCCTTCATCTTTCTAGAACTCCAATAGTCAGATGTTGGACCTCCTAGATGTCCTTTAATTTTCTTTTTTCTTCCACTTATTGTCTATTATCTTTGACCAACTGCTTTACTTTACTCTCTCTGCCACCCAGGTTGGAGTGTGGTGGTGTGGTCATAGCTCACTGCAGCCTAGAACTCCTGGGCTCACGCAATACTCCCACCTCAGCCACCCAAGTACTTAGAACTAGGGGTGTGCCCCACCATACCCAGTTAGTTTTTTCTGTTTTTGTAGAGACAGGGTATCATCACCATATTGCACAGGCTGGTCTTAAAGTCCTGGTCTCAAGTGAGCCATCAACACTGGCCTCCCAAAGTGTTGGAATTACAGTTGTAAGCCACCACGCCCGGCCTATCTTCCAACTGCTTTACTGCAATCTTCACTTAGTGAGATTTTTCAATTCTCAAGAACATTCTTGAATAGTTCCTTTACATGGCATCCTGCTCTTGTTTCCTTGATGTAACATCTTATCTCTAAGGAATTTGTTTTTCAAAGTGCAGGCCGGGCACAGTGGCTCACACGTGTAGTCCCAGCACTTTGGGAAGCCAAAGCCAGTGGATCACTTGAGCTCAGGAGCTCGAGACTAGTCTGGGCAACATGGCAAAACCTTGTCTCTACAAAAAATACAAAAAAATTAGCCAAGTGTGGTGGCGCGTATCTGTAGTCTCAGTTACTCGGGAGGCTGAGGTGAGAAGATCACTTGAGTCCAGGGGAAGGAGGCTGCAGTGAGCCAAGACTGTGATCATGCCACTGCACTCCAGCCTGGGCAACAGAGCCAGACCCTGTCTCAAAAAACAAAAGAGGTGCTAAAGAGCTAACTAGAAATTCTATGTGGATAAGCACCGCTTGCTTCCTGTGGGACCTCACAGCATGTGATGGGATAAGGAAATTCTAAATACCATGTTAGGTTTTTTTTTTTTCCCATAGGCTAGTCAATTTCCCCAGACAGAAATGTGATAATGTCCTGGCTGAGGGGCTTATAAATGAGTATTCTAGGAGCCAAGGATGGGTCAGTTGCTCTGAGGTCTTTCAATGTCTTGGTGGGCAGAGATGGTGTCTGTGATAACAAGTCCCACAGCCAAGACAGGAAGGTAGGTGGAAAGATCTGGCTGAATATGCAGACTTCAACTTGATCTACTATTTTGGGTAAGAAACCTGCCTCCCACCCTCATTTATAACAGGGTTTCCCCAGGTTAGACTTTGACACACATATTCTTTGGGGATGGGGATCTGGGGTGCTAACTCTTCCACATTCAGACTTTCAACTCATTTTCCTGTTTTCAGCCCCAGTGTATATCCTATATTCACAGGTACCTAAAACTTATCTCAGAACATGGCCCACATGTGGCTGAAAACAGGATTGCTTCCTGTTAGCTTCCTCCACTGCAAATACTTAGTGGAGCAGATGAAGTTGAAACCTAAATGACTCATCATATATGCACCTACATTTCAGTTTTCAAAATTTTGTAGGGAAAAATTCTGGCCCACTGTGATCTCCTCTCCCAATCTCTTCATCCTTATAGATTTGTAACTTTTTTAAAAGAAAATTCCTTTACTGTCATTTTAGTGGGGTTGGGGAGGGAGGAAATATAATCCATCTCATTTCTCCATCTTTTCTAAAAGTCTCTCCTGACCCTGAAGACATCTGTTCATTTGTCATTGGTCACAACTTGGTAACATGTACCATCCTACGTAATTGAGGGGAGACAAAATTATCAAACAAAGCAAAATGACCAGAACTTGGGGTCAGAACATTCTTCCTAGAAGAACATCACCACAAAGAAGAATCTGATACCTGAACAAGAAAGAGGTTCTGGGAAAGAGAATAAACAACCTAAAGTATAATCATCACCTAGAGAGTGAATACTGAATAGCTGCCTTTATTAAACCATGGAAAGATTTTTTTTTTTTTTTCGAGACAGAGTCTCGCTCTGTCGCCCAGGCTGGAGTGCAGTGGCGCCATCTCGGCTCGCGCAAGCTCCGCCTCCCAGGTTCACGCCATTCTCCTGCCTCAGCCTCCCGAGTAGCTGGGATTATAGGTGCCCACCACCACGCCCGGGTAATTTTTTGTATCTTTAGTAGAAACAGGGTTTCACCGTGTTAGCCAGGATGGTCTCGATCTCCTGACCTTGTGATCCGCCTGCCTCGGCCTCCCAAAGTGCTGGGATTACAGACATGAGCCACCATGCCCAGCCGGAAAGATTTTTTTAAAAAACAACTTTAGGCCAGGTGCAGTGGCTCACGCCTGCAATCCCAGCACTTTGAGAGGCCAAGACGGATGGATCACTTAAGGCCAGGAGTTCAAGACCAGCCTGGCCAACATGGTGAAACCCCATCTCTACTAAAAACACAAAAATTAGCTGGGCGTGGTGGTACATGCCTGTAATCCCAGCTGCGGAAAGCAGGAGAATGGCTTGAACCCGGGGGGCAGAAGTTGCAGTGAGCCGAGATCACACACCACTGCACTCCAGCCTGGGGGACAGAGCAAGACTCTGTCTTAAAAAAAAAAAAACTATATATATATATATATATATATATATATATATATATATATATATATATAATTTAAAAAATGAAACAACTTTGTGGAGGATATAATTTACAGACAATAAACAAAATTTACATACAATATACCAGTGGAAACACCCCCACAATAAAGACACTGAGCATTTCCATCACCCTTGAAAGTTCCTTTACGCCTCTTTGCAATCTTCCCTCCACCCAAGCCCCAGGCAATCACTCCTTTATTTTATTGTCACTATCCACTGGTTTGCACCTTTGAGACTTTTATATAAATATACAGCATGTACACCTCTGGGTCTGGCTTCTTTCACAAAGCATGTTTTTGAGCCAGATCCATGCTGTCTAGAGCTCCTTTTTCCTGCTCAGAGCTCTCATTGGACTGGGACAGCACAGTTTGTTCATCCATTCACCTGATGAGCCCCCGGATTGTTTCCAGCCTTTGGCCGTCATGAATACGCTGCTACAAACACTCATGGAGAAGCCTCTGCGTTTTCATTCCTCTCAGATAAATATCTAGGCATGGAATTACTGTATCCTTGAGTAACTGTTGTTTAACTTTAAAACAAACTACTGTTCTCTAAACTAGTACTACTTTACATTCTCAACAGAGGATATGAAAGTTCTGCTTGTGCCACATCCTTGCCAACACCTGGAGCTATCAGTCTCTTAAATTTTAGCCATACGTAGAGGGTAAAGAGCGGTAGTTCATTATGGCTGGAAATTGCTTTTCTCTGATAATTAATAATATGAAGTATTTTATGTAGCTCCTGGCCACTGTTTTATCTTACCTTGTGAAGTATACTTTGAAATCTTTTGTGCATTTAAAAAATGGGGTTACTATTACTGAACTGTAAGAGTTCTTTACAATCCTTTGTCAGATTTATCTATTGTAAACATTTTATCCCATATTGTACATTTTCTTCATTCCTTTCTGAAAAAGCACATTTCAATTTTGATAAAGTCCAATTTAGCATTCATTTATTTTATGGTATGTGCTTTTTGTATCCTACTTAGAAAATCTTTTCACACCCAGAAGTCACATGAACGTTTTCCCCTATAATTTTTCCAGAAGCTTTATAGTTTTAACTCGTTTAGGACTTTGGTCCGTTTTGAGCTTTCTGGGCAGTGTATAAGGTATGGGTTAATGTTTGTTTTCTTCCACACAGATATTTAGTTGCTGCTGTACCATGTGTTGAAAAGATGTTCCTTTCCCCATTGAATTGCCTCAGGACCTTTGCTGCAAATCAATTGTCTATTTACGTGTGGATCTCTTTCTGGATTCCATCTTCTCATTTATGTACATGTCTATTATTTTGCCAGTATCACAGCCTTGCGGTGCTGTAGAAGTCAGTCCTCAATTTTTGCTGGCTTTGCCAGTTTTAAGTACTTTGCATTCCATACACATTCTAGAACCAGCTTTTCAATTTCTACAACAAAAATACGCAGAAATTTTGATTGAGAATGTATTGAATCTACAGATGAATTTGTAGAAAATTGATTATGTTTATGATACTGAGATTTCCAATCCACGAGCCTATTTATACTAATATTTTGTAGTTTTCAGTATGTAAGTTTTACATACATTTTGTTAAATTTATCCCTAGTACTTCATGTATTTGGATGATATGGCAAGTGGAATACTATACTTAAAATTTTTTTTCCAGTTATCTGTTATTTTGGTATTCTGACCAAAACATAAATGGTTTTCTTGATATACTGACCTTGTATTCTTACAGTAGTGAGATCCTACTGTATCTCGCTAAACTCACTTACCAGTCCTAGTAGCCTCTCTATTTTTATTTTTTAGAGACAGGGTCTCACTCTGTTGCCCAGGCTGGAGGGCAGTGGTGCTATCATAGCTCACTGCAGCCTTGAATTCCCAGGCTCAAGCAATTCTCCTGCCTCAGCCTCTAGAGCAGCTAGGACTACAGGTGTGCACCACTACAATAAGCTAATTTTTAAAACTTTTTTGCAGAGATGGGATCTCACTATGTTGCCCAGGCTGGTCTTGAATTCCTGGCCTCAAGCAATACTCTTGCCTTGGACTCCCAAAGCACTGGGATTACTGACGTGAGCCACTGCACCTGGTTCAGTATTTTGAAGCTCTGTTATCAGGGACATACACATTGAAGATTTTTATAGCTCTGTAAGATACTGACCCTTTTATCATTATAAAGTATCCTTAATCTCTAGCAATATTCCTCATCTTAAAATTTATTTCATTTGATGTTAATATCGCCACTTCAGCTTTCTTATGTGTATTCTTTTCATGGTATAATCTTTTTCCATCCTTTCACTTTTAACCTGTGTCTCTGTGTTTAAAGTGTGTCTCTTCTAAGCAGGTAAAATGTACAAATCTTACAACAGTAAATTTCCATTTGCCCTGCCCCATCTTAGTGCTACTGTTGTCATAATTACACCTATATACATATTATGTTTAAAAGGTTTTTTTTGTTTGTTTGTTTTGAGACAGTCTCGCTCTGTCACCCAGGCTGGAGTGCAGTGGCACCATCTCGGCTCACTGCAAGCTCCGTCTCCCGGGTTCACGCCATTCTCCTGCCTCAGCCCCCAGAGTAGCTGGGACTACAGGTGCCCACCACCATGCCGGGCAATTTTTTTGTATTTTTGGTAGAGACGGGGTTTCACCGTGTTAGCCAGGATGGTCTCGATCTCCCAATTTCGTGATCCGCCCACCTGAGCCTCCCAAAGTGCTGGGATTACAGGCGTGAGCCACCGCGCCTGGCCAGGTTTTTTATTTTTTAGGTAGAGAAAAGGTCTCACCATGTTGCCCAAGCTGGCCTCAAACTTCTGGGCTCAAGCAATCCTCCCACCTTGGCCTCCCAAAGGGCTGAGATTACAGGTGTGAGCCACTGTGACCAACCTATATGTACATTATAAACCCAGCACTAGAGTGTTATAAAATCTTTAAAATCTTGTTTCTTATGTCACCAGCAGGCACAGTGGCACATGCCTGTAGTCTCTGCTACTCAGGAGGCTGAAGCAGGATGATAGCTTGAGCCCAGGAGTTCAAGGCTATAGTGCACCATAATTGTCCTTGTGAATAGCCAACACACTCAAGCCTGGGCAACATAGTGAGACCCCCATCTCAAAAAAAAACACATATGTATCTTAAAGAAATTAGAGAAGGAAAAAAATCATAGTCTTTTATATTTACCTACATATTTACTATTTCCAATGCCCTTTATTTCTTCCTGTAGATGAGTTACCACCTGGTATCATTTCCCTTCATTCTGAAAACTTCTTTTAGTGGAAGTCTGCTGGTGATGAATTCTCTCAATTTTTGTTTTTCTGAAAATGTCTTTAGCCCTCATTTTTGAAAATGTGTTTCTCTGGATACTGGATTCTTGGTTGACAGGGTTTTTCTCTCAGTATTTGACTATACTGTTCCAGTGTCTTCTGGCCTCCTTCATTTCTGATGAAAAGTCAGTCACATTTGTAACACTGATCCCTTTTATGTAATGTGTCACTTTTCTCTACCTGCTTCCCCTCCCCATGCAAGTTCAGAGACGTAATGTGCTGATGTTGTAACAAGGTTCAGAGGGTGGCACACCTCACACACATGCATGAACACCCAATCGTCACACTCATGAGCTGCAAAAGGATCTCTATCTGCTTTTAAGATTTTCTTTTTATCTTTGGTTTCAGCAATTTGACTATGATATGCCTATGAGTGCTTTTCCTTTGTGCTCAGACTCCACTGAACTTCTTGAATCTATAGTGTTTTCTACCATATTTAAGAAGTTTGGGGATATTATTTCTTCAAATATTGTTTTTTGCCTATTTTTCTCTTCCCTTTCTAAGACTCCAAGTACACTTATGTTAGGCTACCTGATATCGTCCTACAAGTCTCTGAGGCTCTACTCACTTTTCTTCAATCTTTGCTCCTCTCTTCATTGGATGGGATAATTTCTATTGATCTATCTTCAACGGCACAGATTCTTTTCTCTGTCATTTCAAAACTGCTGTTGAGCACATCTAGTGAACTTTTTTTTTCTTTTGAGACATGTTGTCAGCCAGGCTGGAGTGCAGTGGCACGATCACAGCTCACTGCAGCCTCGATCTCTTGGGCTCAAACGATCCTCCCACCTCAGCCTCCCAAGTAGCTGGCACTACAGGCACATACCATCATGCCTGGCTCATTTTAAAATTGCTTTGTAGAGGTGGGGTCTCACTATGTTGCCCGGGCTGGTCTCAAACTCCTGAGCTCAAGTGATCCTGCTGCCTTGACCTCCCAAAGTTGTGGGATTATAGGTGTAAGCCACTGCACCCGGCCTCCAGTGAGTTTTTATTTCAGCTATTACTTATTTGAGCTCTACAACTTCCATTTTTTCACTTTCCATTTCTTTGTTACAATTTCTCTATCTGTTCACTTATTTTTCCTTTAATTCTTTGATCATAGCACAGTGGCTTTGCAGTCTGCCTGCAAAATCCAACACTGTACCCACTTAGATGCTCAGAGTCAGTCTCTACTGACTGCTTTTCTTCCTGAGTATGAGTTAGACTTTCCATTTTATTTACATGTCTAGTAATTGTAGATTGAAAACTTGGCATTGTAGATAAGATGTTATAGCAACTCTGGATTCTACTGTGTTCTTCTGAGAACTTTCTCTTTTTATATTCTAGTAGGCAGTTAACTTGCCTGGATTCAAACTGCGAACTGTCTCTCCTGTCGTATGAAGCAGCTGCTATCTCTGCTCAGCTCTTACAACGTCTAGCCTAGCTCCCTGGGGTCTCCCATGCTTCTGTGTAATCTGGCAGACAGCCAGGGATTTAGGCTGATCATACTCAGATTTAGGGGCTCACACTCTGTGACTTTTGTGTTCTTGTGATTTCCTCCTAAGTTTTCAGCTGCTTGGGCAATATTAGGGTCTTTCCTCTGAACCCCAAGCCAGTAAGGCTTCAGCTTTCCACTGCTTCGCTGCTCACAGTTTAGGGATATACTGTTTTAAAAAGCATGAACCTCACAGATCTCATCTAGTATAGGTCTGTCTTTTAAGGGTAGATTCCTCTCTAGCCTCTGCCTGCTTGCTTTGTTTCATTGGTTGGCTGGTTTTTATTTTTGTTTTTGTCTTGCTGGGCTCCCTGGGATTTCACTATACATTTAGAGTTTAATAGTCAACCAGGAATTTGGGCAGTTTTCACTCAGATGTGGGGCCTCCCCCTTTCTGTAGTCCTCTCTTGTTTCCAGGATTCCCCCCTGAACTTTCCAGCTTGTCTTCCATCCCTGACTTCTCTTCTTTGGCACCTCTCATCTGTAAGGCTGCAGCTTTCCACTATCATTTCTTTCTACTGAAACCACCATGGGTACTGATGCATAACCTCTGGCAAAAAAGTCACAAACTTGCAATTCTTGCTCCTTCTATTATAGTGTTTCAGGAGTCAATTCTCCTCAGGTTCTAGGGACAGCTTTTGGATGCTTTTAGTTGTTTCTTATATTTTACCCAGATCTTTCAATTGTTATCTGTAGGAGGGTTTATGCAACCACTTCAATCTCCCTTAATGGAAATTTCCTCTAATCCAACAGAAAGTAATTTACTTTTTGGATTTTTAAATATAACACCTTACTTTTAAAGGCATAGTGCTATAAACAAAACATTTAAAAGTAACACGTTTTCAAGTAATGAACAATAACACTTCAGTGGCAAAGTCCTAATTGTCTTTAGAAATTTATTAGATCAAATATTCCAAATGTTGCATGTGATAAAGTCATATAGCAAAGGTAGAAAGGCTTAAAATGTTTCTTTTTTTTTTCTATTTTAGTGAAAAGGAAACAACATAAAAGAAAAAGAATAGCTCAGTTAGATATAGGAATTCTGTTCCTAGAAATAGAATCTGTTTCCTGCCTAGAAGTCAGCAAAACCCAGTCTGTTCTACATTTAGTAACTGGAGAAGATGGGAAAAGCTAGAGCTCTTTGTTTCGGTTTTGTTTTGGTTTTGTTAGTCTCAATGGTTATTTTTGGGAGAAAGAGAAAGAACGTATGTCAGTGGATCAAATAACTGTATATAGATTACTGTATTGGATTCCAATTGCTGTAGAGAATAATTACTATTTTATATGTCTTTAATAAAGTATAAATATTCACAGATGGTCTGTTATGTGCAAAGCACTATATGATAGGAATAGAGAGAGGGGATGTGGGGGAGAAATTGAACAAATATGAATAAGATCAGTTTTGGCCGAGCGTGGTGGCTCAAGCCTGTAATCCCAGCACTTTGGGAGGCCGAGACGGGTGGATCGCCTGAGGTGGCAAGTTCGAGACCAGCCTGACTAACATGGAGAAACCCCATCTCTACTAAAAATACAAAATTAGCCAGGTGTGGTGGTGCATGCCTGTAATCCCAGCTACTCAGGAGGCTGAGGCAGGAGAATTGCTTGAACCTGGGAGGCAGAGGTTGCAGTGAGCCGAGATCATGCCACTGCACTCCAGTCTGGGCAACAAGAGCGAAACTCCGTCTCAAAAAAAAGATCAGTTTTGCCCCCCAAAGATCTTATAATGTACTGAACAGACATGTAAAACACACACACACACACACACACACACACGAACACAAGATGTGGAATGGATGTAGAAAGTGCTGTTTATAGACCGGGTACTTGATTTCATCTCACAATTTCAAATACAAAGTTAATGTTATGCTATGAGCTACTTTTTAAAATGTGTATGTTTATAAAATATTTGTTTTTAAAGTAATAGTTTGAAAAGTAGAAAAAGTAGAAACACACAGTAGGAAAAAAACCTCTTATTTTGGAAATATATAATAAAGTGGAACAATCCTATAAATCGCCAGAGAAGATCACTATTAAAAGGCTGAAGAAAAAAAAGTGCGTGTTGGCTGGGGATGGTGGCTCACACCTGTAATCCCAGCACTTTGGGAGGCCGAGGCAGGCGCATCACCTGAGGTCAGGGGTTCGAGACCAGCCTGACCAACGTGGTGAAAACCTGTCTCTACTAAAAATACAAAAATTAGTCATGTGTGGTGGCGCACGCCTGTAATCCCAGCTACTCGGGAGGCTGAGGCAGACTTGCTTGAATCCAGGAGGCAGAGGTTGCAATGAGCCAAGATCACACCATTACACTCCAGAATGGGTGACAGAGGGAGACTCTATCTCAAAAAAAAAAAAAAAAAAAAAAGTGCGTGTGCATGTGCACATGCTCACACATACCTTTGAGCATATACTTCTGTGCTGCTCAATCTCTTTTCGACCAAATGCATCACATTTAGCAGCTGTTAAGTGGACACCTTTCCATGTTAAAACATATATAGTGACTTCATTCTTTTTTGTTTTGTTTTGTTTTGAGATGGAGCCTCACTCTGTCACCTGGGCTGAAGTGCAGTGGTGCAATCTCGGCTCACTGCAACCTCCACCTCCCTGGTTCAAGCAATTCTCACACCTCAGCCTCCCAAGTAGCTGGGATAACAGATGCACGCCAACATGCCCAGCTAATTTTTGTATTTTTAGTAGAGAAGGGGTTTCACCATGTTGGCCAGGCTGGTCTTGAACTCCTGACCTCAAGTGATCCGCCCTCCTTGGCCTCCCAAAGTGCTGAGATTACAGGCGTGAGCCACCGCACCCGGCCTGACTTCATTCCTTTTAATGGTTATAATAGTTAGTCAAAATAAATATACTACTTACTTAATCAGTCCCTTTCTGATGGGCATTTGACTTTTTTATAGTTCTTAGTTATTACAAAGTTATTGTAGTGTTTCTATGATATGTGTTCTTAAAACTGAAAGTGCTAAGTCAAAAGGACTAAACATTTAAATTTTTAATGGCAGGCCAGGCATGGTGCTCACACCTGTAATGCCAGCACTCTGGGAGGCCGAGGCAAGAGGATCATTTGAGGCCTGGAGTGTGAGTACAGCCTCACGAGACACCCATCTCTATAAAAAATACAAAAATTAGCCAGGCATGCTGGTGTGTGCCTGTAGTCCCAGCTACCTGGGAAGCTAAGCTGAGAGGATCACTTGAGCCCAGGAGGTCAAGGCTGCAGTAAGCTGTGATCACACCACTGCACTCTAGCCTGGGCAATAGAGTGAGACTCTGTCTCAAAAAATAATAATAATAATTAATTTTTAAAAAGTACATTTTTAATGGCTACTGCCCAACTAGCTTTCAAAAGGATTATGCCAATTACACTCAACAAACTACAAGAGAGTCTCAGGTATTTTTTTTTCCTTATGTCTTTTGTTATTATGGCCGTATATTTCATTTCTAAATTTTAAAAATTTATTTTTAATTTTTGTGGGTATATAGAAGGTGTATATATTTATAGGTTATTTGAGATGCTTTGATATAGGCATGCAATACCTAATAATCACATCAGGGTAAATGGGGTATCCATCATCTTAAGCATTTATCATTTGTGTCACAGACAATAATTAGTTATTTTTATATCACAATTATTTCTGATTACAGTCACACTGTTGTGCTAGCAAATACTAGCTCTTATTCATTCTTTCTTTTTGTACCAATTAACTAACCCACTTCCCTCCCACTACCCCCTAACCTTCCCAGCCTCCAGGAATCACCCCTTTACTCTCTATTCTACATGTTTTAACTCCATAATACATTGTTATTATTTTTGCTTTTTACTGTCAATTACCATTTAGAAAAATTACAACATTAGAAAATTTCTTATGTTTACCTACATACTTACTATTTTTAGCATTCTTTATTCCTTTAAATTGACTCAAGTTTCCATTGTTATCATTTTCCTCTTACCAGGAGAATGTTCTTTACTACTTTAAGCCTCAGCTATTTTTATATATTATCTTACATTTACCCAAATATTTGGCAATTTTGGTGTTCTTCCTTTAGTCTTGTGGATCTAAATTACTGTCCATTGGTAGAATTTTCCTCTCAGTCAAAAAAACTTCTTTCAGGTAGATCTCGTAGCAAGCAATTCCTAGTCTTTGTTTATCTAGGAATGTCTTTATTTTGCCTTCATTTTTGAAGAATACTTTTGCTAGATATAAAAATTTTGTTTTGTTTCGTTTTTTCTTTCAGTACTTTGAATATGTCATTCCATTGCCTTCTACCCTACACTGTTTCTGCTGAGAAGTCAGCAAACATTCATACTGTTACAATAAAAAACTTGAGGAGTTATCTTTTTCTTGCTGCTTTCAAGACATTCTTATTCTTTTTGTCTTTGTCTGTTTTTAGACAGTGTCTTACTTGGTCGCCCAAGCTGGAGTGCAGTGGCAGGCATGATGTCGGCTCACTGCAAGCTCCACTTTCCAGGTTCAAGCGATTCTCCTGCCTCAGCCTCCTGAGTAGCTGGGATTACAGGCATGTGCCATCATGCCTAGCTAATTTTTGTATTTTTTAGTAGAGACGGGGGTTTCACCATGTTGGCCAGGCTGGTCTCGAACTCCTGACCTCAAGTGATCTGCCCACCTCAGCCTCCCAAAGTGCTGGGGTGCTGGGGTTACAGGCGTGAGCCACTACACCCAGCCTCTTTTTGTCTTTGCCTGTCAATTATTTGACCAGGATATGCCTAGGTGTGGATCCCTTAATATTTATCCGATTTGAAGTTTTCATAGATTCATGATTTTCATCAAATGTAGGAAGTTTCTGGCTGTTACTTCATACATTTTTTTTCTGCCCTTTCTTCTCCTTTCCTTGTAGGAGTCTGTGACATGTGTGTTGGTATGCCTGATGTTGTCCCACAGATCTCTGAGGCTCTGTTCATTTTTTTCTCTCAGGTTCTTCAGATTGGCAGTTTCTATTGATCTATCTTTAAGTTCACTGATTCTTTCTTCTGTGTCTCAAATCTGCTGTTGAATTCCTGTAGTGAATTTTTAATTTTAGTTACTGTATTTTTCATCTCCAGAATTTGCATTTGGTTCTTTTTTACAGTTTCTGTTTTATTGAGATTTATTGAGTCACTGTCATCATACATTTCTTTAAATATTTAAACATGACATGCATAGTTTCCTGTATTTCCTGAACACATGTATAATAGCTGTGTTGAAGTCTTTGTTTACTAAACCTAACATCTAGGCTCTCTCAGAGACAGTTTCTATTGACTGATTATCTTCCCTGAATATGAACCACCCTTTCCTGTTTTTTTTGTCCCATTAGTGTTTGTTTTTCTGTTTGTTTTCTGTAGCCATTCCTTACAGACATAACCATAATAAATTACAGACATAATCATAATTTTAAAAAACTAGATGTTTTAGATAATATATTGTAGCAACTCTCAACTGTAATTTTTCACGTGTGTTATTTCTTTAGTAATTTGCCCTGACTAAATCTACAAAATCTGTCTCCCCTGTGATGTGTGGCTATTTGATGTCTCTACTCAGTTTCTTTTCTTCTTTTTTCCAGTTTTTCTTTTCAAATTCTTGTTTTTATTTTTAAGCCTGACTTGCTGACACACAGCTTAGTGATCAGGCAATGATTGGTTACAGGTTGTGTTTGCATCTCTTGAGCCTACTAGGCTTCCAACCTCTGCCCATGGGTCTGTGCAGGGTTAGGGAGCAAAAGTTCAAGCAGTTTTCAGGTCTATCCCACTTTTCCTTTCGGATCAGCCCTGTCACATTTCCTTCATACGTTCATGCAGATTCCCAGCCAACCAGGGACAAATGGGTACCATGGGATCTCTCTAGTTTTACCTGCATGTGTGCAGAGGCTTCTAAGTCAGCCAGAAATGTGTGGACAGCCCTTCAGACCCCTCTGTAACTGTCTCATTTCCAGGATCTCTGTTAATTAAGTTTTGGGCTAGTTTGCCAGTCTGTTGCTTGACCCACTTGGGATAGCTCTCTCACTACCAGAACTGTTGGCCTTCCTTGTTCTCTTGCTACTGAGGGTCATTACTTTCACTGTCAATGCCACCGGACAGGGGCTTTTCACCTGCTCCAAATCAAGCGCATTACCTCTGGCAGCCAAGCTGTTAGTTTTCACGGCCTGCTGTACCCTAACAGAATTACCACACCAATGGCAGGAAGGGATGGGAGTAACCCCCTACCATTTAGGCAAGGAGTCAAAGACTCCCATTGTTCTTACCTGAAGTTTGGCAGTTTCTCTTGGATAAATGCTTCTCCATTTCTTTCTTGCATTTATTCCATTTCTAGAGCCCTGAAACAGTTGCTTTTAACAATTTTGTCTGGTATTATTGTTGTTTTGTGGGGAGAGATTTTGACTTCCTCACTGTAACTACTAAAGTTCTGATTCTGTCCTCAGCTACTTTTAAATGCCCTCTTTCATCTTCAAACGTATCACCTCATCACATGACATAAAAGTGCACTGTAAGTCAAATGTGAGATCATCAAGAATAATGAACAGGCCTGGCGTGATGGCTCACATCTGTGATCCCAGCACTTTGGGAGGCCAAAGTGGGTGGATCACCTGAGGTCAGGAGTTCGAGACCAGCCTGGCCAACATGGTGAAACCCTATCTCTACTAAAAATACAAAAAATTAGCTGGGCGTCGTGGTGCATGCCTGTAATCTCAGCTACTTGGGAGGCCAAGGCAAGAGAATTGCTTGAACCCGGGAGGCAGAGGTTGCAGCGAGCCGAGATTGTGCCACTGCACTCCACCCTCGGCCACAGAGCGAGATCCATCTCAAAGAAAAAAAAGAATAATGAACATACTTCACACCAGTTGTCTTTCTAAGCTATTATACCATGCATTTCTAGGTCTTGAGAGTGGAAAATGTAAAAGATTGCCGTACAACTCTATATTGATCTAACAATAAACCAAATAAATGCCTGTGTTTCCTTCAAGTCTTATCTAAGCACCTGGAGCAAGTTTTACCTTCATTCTCACACATGAAAGAAAACTCAGACAGCCCTGATAGCCTTCTATGTATATTTGTACAAATAACAAATTCAAGATTTGTTTTCCTCTTCTCTAAAAAACTTTGTTTACTCTTTTGACATGATACATTTCCTTTTTGTTATAGAAATGGTTCATAGTGCTGTACCTTACCCTACTAAAACTGCAAATCACCTGGCTAGCTCTTGTCATACAGCAAACACATATTATTGTTACTATTAGTTAGTCTTCTCATTCTTTGATAAGGACCCAACCCAAGAAAAGGCTAAATATAGTCCATTATCAGTAAGAGGCAAACAGGAATCAAGGTTCAAGAACTTCTGACTCTTAGTTCTATGAATACGCATCTCACAAAATTAAAAGCATTTTTCAATATTGTTACCATGTTGACACCGTTAAGTTTGTGACAACACATTTACTTCACACAGTCCACTCTAAGTTAATTCCAATATTACTTAAGAAACTTTAAAAAATGCTTTGTTTCACAAAAGTCTTCAACAGGGGCCAGGTGCAGTGGTTCACCTCTGTAATCTCAGCACTTTGGGAGGCCAAGGCGGGCAGATCACTTGAGGTCAGGAGTTGGAAACCAGCCTGGCCAACATAGCAAAACCCCATTTCTACTAAAAATACAATAATTAGCCAGGCATGGTGGTGTGAGCCTGTAAACCCAGGTTCTTGGGAGGCTGAGACATGAAGATCGCCTGAACCCAGGAGGCAGAGGTTGCAATGAGCCGAGATTGTGCCACTGCACTCCAGCCTGGGCAACAGAGTAAGACTCTGTCTTAAAAAAACAAGAAAGAAGGTCTTCAACAGCAAATGGCTTCCCAAACTAAGTACCGTATGTTAAATCAGGGCAAAAATCATGGCAAACTAAATTTCCCATTCATTTCTTCCTGGGGGTTAGTGGTAGAACATGACAGGCAGATGCGAATGGGAAGTGCGGTAACAATACTAACAAGGACTCAGAAGCAACCAGCCCCAGCCTCTGGAGAACCCACAGCACGTTGGCATCAAGCAGACAAATGAGCCTTTGCTCTGAGGGCTTCAGACCTGTTCCAGAACCCTTCCCAGACAGGGCAGAGCTCATAACACTGCAGCCTCCAAAGTGCTCCAACAGGGGATGCTCCACCTGGGGAAGGGGAGATGCTACAGGTGATGTCTCCTTTACAGCAAGAAGTTTTAAATAATCCAGACTCAGTCTCTTGAAGCCAGCAGTCCATTACAAGTAGAGTTAACTGATAAGGCGGAATTGATTACAAAAAGGTAATTCAATTGCAAGACTCCTGACAACACTATAATCTAATACTGCTTAGGAAGGAAATCACTCTTTCTCTTTGGCATTTTCATTAACAGCACCACCTTACTGCAGTTTAAAAAGTACCATCAGGAAAAATAGCCTCTTTCACTGTCCCTCCTAGATAGATTAATCTGACCTGTCTGTAAATAATGGAATTTCTATTCAAGCCCCAGCTTGTGATTCATTTTGTTTGACCAGTAATGGCATGCGAGATGACAAATATTCATGGATTGCGGGTTTTTTCCATGAAAGTGGCTAACAAGTAAGGGGACAATGTTGAAACCCAAGACATCATTCAGAGAAACCCAAGCCTCACAGGGCTGCTCTCCTGGGAGAAGCAGTGTTAAATGGCAGCAGGTTGAACCTTCTTCCCTCTTTTTTTTTCTCTTAGTAGAGACATTGCCCATGCTGGTCACAAACCTTCTTTTTCAGGAGCCCCACTCCCATTCAGCTTAAATTGAAAGTTCTAACTATCAGGTTTCAACGTAATTATCTCCTTCCTCTTTTTTTTTTTTTTTTTTTAATAAAATGCTGATAAGCCAGACGCAGTGCCTCACGCCTGTAGTCCCAGCACCTTGGGAGGCCAAGGTGGGAGGATTGCCTGAGCTCAGGAGTTCAAGACCAGCCTGGGCACCATGGCGAAACCCCATCCCTACTAAAAAATACAAAAAATTAGCTGGGCGTGGTGGCAAGTGCCCATGGTCCCAGCTACTCAGAAGGATCAGGCGTGAGGATCAGGTGGCGGTTGCAGTGAGCCGAGATTGCGGCATTGCACTCCAGCCTGGGCGACAGTGTGAGACCTTGTCTCACCCAAAAAAATAAAAATTAAAATTAAAAAATGCTGATTCTTAAGCGATGAACACATTTTACCTGGGTTTTGGAAAAAATATATGCAGCCCAGCTGGGCAGTGACTGCACACCCAGCACACATTGGTACAGAACAATGTCCATAATCCCAGCACTCTGGGAGCCGGGGCAAGAGGATCAGTTGAGCCCAGGAGAGCAGCCTGGACAACATATCAAAACTGCATCTCTGGCCGGGAGCGGTGACTCATGCCTGTAATCCCAGCACTTTCGGAGGCTAAGGCAGGCAGATCTCTTGAGGTCAGGAGTTTGAGACCAGCCCAGAGGCCAACAATGGTGAAACCCCGTCTCTACTAAAAATACAAAAATTAGCTGGGTGTGGTGGTGGGCGCCTATAATCCCAGCTACTCAGGAGGCTGAGGCAGGAGAATCGCTTGAACCCGGGAGACAGAGGCTGCCGTGAGCTGAGATGTGCCACTGCACTCCATTCTGGGTGACAAAGTGAGATTCCGTCTCAAAAAACAAAACAAAACAAACAAAAAACAACTGCATCTCTACAAAAAACAACAAAAAATAGCTAGGTGTGGTGGCACATACCTGTAGGGCCCATTACGTAGGAGGCTGAGGCACCAGGATCACTGGAGCCCAGAAGTCTGAGGTTACAATGAGCATTTTTTTTTTTTTTTTGAGATGGAGTCTCATTCTGTTGCCCAGGCTAGAGTACAGTGGTGTGATCTCGGCTCACTGTAGCCTCCGCCTCCTGGGTTCAAGTGATTCTCCTGCCTCAGCTACCTGAGTGGCCAGGACTACAGGCACCCACCACCATGCCCGCCTAATTTTTATATTTTTAGTAGAGATGGGGTTCTACCATGTTGGTCAGGCTGGCCTCAAACTCCTGATCTCAGGTGATCCGCCCGCCTTGGTATCTGAAACTGCTGGGATTACAGGGGTAAGCAACAGTGCCTGGCCTACAATGAGCTTTCATTGCACCACTGCACTCTAGCCTGGGCCACACGGCGAGACCCTGTCTCTGGGGAAAAAAAAGGAAAAATGCATATAAATATATTTAATCTGTTCTGTGTTAATAACATTAGGAATGTGAAAAAGCATTCCAAACTCATCAAAGGAGAACTTAAAGATATAAAAGTAATATTTCATTAAACATACAAAAAGTTCAAGATACATAAAATTTTAAGACTTCATAAAATAGAACATTGCTGAATAAAAGAAAACAAAATGTGTAATGTACATAAAATATACAAATGTGAATTTATTCTTTGCATTTTAACAGCAAGAAATTGGAAACAATCTGAAGTCCATCAGTAAATAAGTTTCTAGTTAAATTATGGTAGAACCATACAATAAGATACCACGATATGTATGGTAGATCCATACAATAAGATACCAATAAGAAAGAAAACCAAAAAAAGCTCTTCATGTGGACATGTGGAAAGATCTCCAAGATTAATTTTTTCATGAAAAAACAAAATCAAGGTGCAGAACAATGTCCATAGTATGTTAACATTAATTTGTTTTAAGGTGAGAAAGAGACACTATATATAATTATATATAAATAAATTTATGTTTGCTTGTATTACATAAAAATAGTTGGAAAGATGCACAAGAAACTAATAAAGTACTTTTACTAATTTGGCAGGGTTGGAGGGGTGAGGAAAATTGGGAACTGAGCAGATGGGGAATTAAGGGGAGGACACTACTCGCTGTGTATCTCCTTCTATATCTTTTGAATTTTGAACCTTGTAAATGTATTGCCTATTCACACATTTAAAAAAACGAAACAAAGTGTTCTACCCAGTGGGCATCCCTCTCTCAGCCATGCACCGTGACGGCAGAGTACAAGTTACAAGTCATGCCTGAGTCTGGGAGGTCCACGGTTGGGAATCCATCACTGGCTTTTGTGAGCAAGGCAGGTCACGCGGATACAAAGCATCTTTCCCTGTCTGCTGAAGTAAAATCCATGAATAACTTCTCCAAACATTCCTAACCAAAACTCTCATATGTTAGGAAAAAGTTCCGAACTAGAGCTCAGTCAAAAATCTCCTCGGTTTGCAAGCACAGCTGTAGAGCTAAAGCTTCAGCACCCTCTAAAAGCTTGTCAGAAATGCAGACTTATAGGTCCCACCCCAGGCCAGCTGAATCAGAATCTGCATTTTAACGAGACACCCAGAACATTCTTACCCGCATTAGAGTTTGAGAAGCACTGAGCTATGGTCCACTTTCAATTAAGGTTTTTACCACATCAGAGTTGGATTTTGAGCAAAAGCCACGTTATCAGATTCAGTACGTGGGTAAAGGTTGGTTTTGCCAAATACAAGTAGGCCTTCTCCTGTAGTTTGGCACCACTTGAGTAACTACTGTCAATATTTGCAACTTTACAACCACTATGGAGAACAGTTTGGAGGTTCCTCCAAAAATAAAAACAGAGCTACCTTACAATCCAGCAATCCCATTGCTAGGTATATACCCCAAATAAAGGAAATCAGTATAGAAAAGAGGTCTCTGCATTCCCATGTTTACTGCAGCACTATTCACAGTAGGCAAGATTTGAAAGCAAGTGTCTATCAACAGATGAATGGATAAATAAATGCAGTACATATATATACAATGGAGTACTATTTGGCCACAAAAAAGAATGTGATCCTTTGGATGGATGGATGAAACATGGATGGAACTAGATCATTATGTTAAATAAAATAAGCCAGGCACAGCAAGACAAACTTCACATGTTCTCACTTACTTGTGAGAGCTAAAAATTAATACAATTAAACTCATGGAGACAAAGAGTAGAAGGATGGTTACCACAGGCTGGGAAGGGTAGTGGTGGGGTTAGGGGGGTGGATGGGAGGGAAGTGGGGAGGGCTAATGGATTAAAAAAAAAAGTTACAAAGCATGAATAAGACCTAATATTTGCTAGCACAACAGGGTGACTATAGTACAAAATAATTTAATTATACATTTTAAAGTAACTAAAAAGTATAACTGGATTGTCTGTAACACAAAGGATAAATGCTTGAGTTGGACACCCCACTTACCCTCATGTGATTATTATGCATTGCCTGCCTGTATCAAAACAAATGCAACCCATAAATATATACACCCACTATGTACCCACAAACATGAAAATTAAAAATTTATATATTTCGGGCTTAGCCACCACTATCTCAAGCACATCATGAAAACTAAAGGTAAACAGTAGCATGATGTTTTCAGGTTGCAAGCACTGGTTTCATAACAGGCTGTAAATTAATCCTAAAAGTCAGAACTTCTCTTTTTCAGTGGTTCTCAAACTTTGGTGTGCCTAAGGGTCGCCTGGGGAACCTGTTTAAAAATACAGACAGCGGCCAGGCACAGTGGCTCACACCTGTAATCCCAGCACTTTGGGAGGCTGAGGCGGGCGGATCATGAGGTCAAGATATCGAGACCATCCTGGCCAACATGGTGAAACCCTGTCTCTACTAAAAATACAAAAATTAGCTGGGCGTGGTGGCGCATGTCTGTAGTCCCAGCTACTCGGGAGGCTGAGGCAGGAGAATCACTTGAACCCGGGAGGCGGAGGTTGCAGTGAGCCAAGATCGCGCCACTGCACTCCAGCTTGGGCGACAGAGCAAGACTTTGTCTCGAAAAAAAAAAAAAGTGCAGACAGCAAGAGCTCACCTCTCAAGAGTCCTATTTAGTAGCTTCATCAGCAGTAAGCCTAACAATAATAAGAAACACAATATCAGGGCTGGGATTAGGGTGAGGCAAGCAAGGGACCCAGGGTACAAAACTTAAAGAAGTGCTTGCTCTCAGGTTTGTGCAAGTGCCAAGACAGTAAGTGCCTCCTCACACACTTCGTGGGGCATGTCACTTGACTCACTCTAGTCTTGGTCCTGCAAAGTATAGGGTAGTCCATGGACCATCAGCATCAGCATGGCCTGGGGACTTATTAAAAATGCAAAAGCCGTCTGGGCACCATAGCTCACCCTGTAATCCCACTTTGGGTGGTTGCTTGGGGACAGGATTTCAATACCAGCCCAGGTAATATGGCAAGACTCCCATCTCTGTAAAAAAATTTTTTTTAATTACCTGGGCATGGTGGCAGAAGTCTACAGTCCTATCTACTAAGAAGGCTGAGGCAGGAGCATCACTTCAGTCCATGAGTTTGAGGCTGCAGTGAGCCATGATCAGGCCACTGCACTCTAGCCTGAGTGACAGAGTGTGATACTGTCCAATAAATAAATAAATAAATAAATAAACGGGGCAAAATCTTGGCCTACCCCAGACCTACTGAATCAGAATTTGCATTTTATGCTGGGTGCTGTGGCTCATGTCTGTAATACCAGCATTCTAGAAGCCCAAGGCAGGTGGATCACCTGAGGTCAGGAGTTCAAGACCAGCCTGGCCAACATGGTGAAACCCCGTCTCTACTAAAAATAAAAAAAGAATTTGCATTTTAACAAGATTCTCAGGTTATTCCTGTTCACATTAAAGTCTGAGAAACAATGAATAGAAGGGATGCTCAAATTTAGTTCTGCAACTGAAACCAAAACCCTAAGCACTTTTTAACCTATCATGCTGCATTTCTAAAATAGGAAACAGTGAGTAATGGCTCTCCACTGGAGTCCAAAGGACAGCCCTACAATGGCCAATATTATTGTCACCCCTTGGTCAATGGCCTGGATAATGACATAAGAGATGCTTATTAACCTGCAGGTGGCACAAAAGAGGAGGCTGCTGAGGCAGGAAGGAGCAGAGTCAGACCATCCTGACCGGCTGGATGCCAGGTAAGCACATAACAAGTTTTACATTTAGGTTAAAAATTTCAGTAATGAAGGTATAAGATGTGTGTGGTGGTTTGCTTGGAAATAAAACATATGAAACACTCTAGGAATAAATCCAAAAGTGTGTCATGAATTTAATATAATGGCATTTCAAAACAGGAAAAAATGAGTAATTCAATAATGTTGGAGTAACTAGACAGCTAGCTGGAAAAAAATTAATTTGAACCCCTACCTCACATCTTATCTTAAAATAAATTCTAGATGCATAAAAGATTTAAGTACACACACACACACACAAACACAAACACACACACTCACACAAATCCATTTAAGTACTAGCAGAAAATATGGGTATTTTTTAAACAGCCTCAAGTGGACAAGGCCTTTCTAAGTATGAATAAACTCCAAACACATGAAGTCCAGAGGTCATTTTAAAAAAGATGGCTACATTTTATTACATTAAAGAAAAACTTCTGCACGGCAAACACCAATGTAAACAGAGCTTGGAGACAAATGACGAAATGGTGGGGGGGGGGGCAATTTGTGACTCATATCCAAGACATAGGGCTATTTTCAAAAATCCCCAAAAATCAAGAAGAAAAAAGCCCAACAAGCCAAGAGAAAAGTGGGCAATGCTGAGGCTGGAGAGCCTACGGAGGCCGGGCACTGTCCTCCAATAGCTGAAGACCACTTCTGTGGGAGTGAAAAAACTGAGTCATTCATTTCTACAAATGGTTAAATCAGGACTTAGGGTGGAAATTCCCATGAGTTAAGTTTTAGCCGAACATAGAGAACTTATTAATAATTCGGGCAGTCCATACAATGGAATGGGCCTGCTTAAAAAACTGCTGAATTCTTGTTCAGTGGAAGCACTCGGGCCAAGGCTAGATGAGGGTCAACTTGTATGAAGTTTTTTGGAAGGCATGAGATGGGAAACTAAACTGCACGATTACTGAGGGTGCTTAAAACCCTAAAATTATGCAATTCTATTCAAAGACTACATCCGCTCTGGAAAAGATAGGAGAATAAATCAAATAATGATGGGCTATCACAGCTCCATAAAGACTGAAAGCCATGGTGCTCATCACTCCTAGCTTTTTATTCTAAGTAGGGTGTTCTCTGGAGTGGGGATGTTAGAGGATATGAAGGTTTTGTTAAATCATAACTCCTGCACTCAGGAATATTTTGGTTTGTTTTGGTTTTTGGTGTGTGTGTGTGTGTGTGTGTGTGTGTGTGACAGTGGGATTGGGCAGTCCTGTTTCACATTCTTGGCGTGTGTGTGTGTGTGTGTGTGTGTTAGCGGGATTGGGCAGTCCTGTTTCACATTCCTCTCCTGGGCTCCCCAAACACTGAAAGCAACAGCACAATTTTGAAAGAGAGTGAATTAGTGCTGGAGGGTTGAGTGTGAGGTCTCAGCAGCATAGCCACATAACCCGTAGGACGTACTTACGTATCTACGTCATTTACGACAGTCCAATTATGAGCTAAAAGTCACAGACAAATCAGTAGCTCAATAATTCAACTGACAGGTGGACAGTGTTTCAGAAGCTAGTCTGGAAGGCACGTGGGCAGAATCTGAAACCACGTTAAGAGGAGCGCAGGAGGCTGGGTGTAGTGGCTCACGCCTGTAATCCCAGCACTTTGGGAGGCCAAGTGGGGTGGATCACTTGAGGTCAGGAGTTCGAGACCAGCCTGGCCAACATGGTGAAACCCCGTCTCTACTAAAAATACAAAAATTAGCCAGGCATGGTGGTAGGCACCTGTAATCCCAGCTACTCGGGAGGCTGAGACAGAAGAATTGCTTGAACCCAGGAGGTGGAGGTTGCACTGAGTTGAGATTGCACCACTGCACTCTAGCCTGGGTGACAGAGCAAGGCTCTGTCTCAAAAAAAAAAAAAAAGCGCAGGAGAGGAGGCCAGCAGGGATGAGGGCAGGCCTCAGGCAGCCATGGTACATGCTGAACCTGTGCACAGTGTGTCTGGGTGACAGTGCTGGCATGTTTTCCACACAGAAAATCGCTCTGTAATACTAGTAATTTATCAACTAAAGTTAAAATGAAGAACTTTCATTTATCTTGAGTTCTAAAGCTTAAGCCAAAGCAATTTTAGTTGGAGAAAGCTGAGGAGCTAACAAAAACCCATAAAGATTCTGAAGGGCGTGCCTTACCTATCTCAGAGCTCGTGAAGATGGCAACCATGAGTCCTTAGCGTGGCTTCTAATTTCTCTTCAAAATCAAGGGCTTCCTTTCTTTTTGATATGGACACACCACTAAGTACTCTTTAGCCATTACCAGGACAAGCTTTTAGTTCAAAATATAATGAAAAGAATGAGTGGTGAGAAGAAATAAGATTTTTTTTTTTGAGATGGAGTCTATCTCTATTGCCCAGGCTGGAGTGCAGCGATGTGACCTCAGCTCACTGCAACCTCCACATCCCGGGTTCAAGCCATCCTCCTGCCTCAGACTCCCAAGTAGCTGGAGTAGCACCACACCTGGCTAATTTTTGTATTTTTAGTAGAGACAGGGTTTCACCATGATGGCCAGGCTGGTCTCGAACTCCTGACCTCAGGTGATCCACCTACCTCAGCCTCCCAAAATGCTGGGATTACAGGCGTGAGCCACTGCACTTGGCTGAAATAAGATATTTTTGAGGTAAGAGAGCAATAAATAAGGAAGAAACAAGAAACCCAAAGAGGAGATAAGAAGGATTATCTCCGGCATAATTATCTAAGATTCAAGACAGAATAAAAGTGAGTAATTGCTGGGGAGTGAAGGGAATCCCCAGTGATAGTGAGAAAAAGATGACACCGTGACCAAGTTTCTACACTGGCCATCAGGGGGCACCATCGGTCAGAACAACGCCCTGGCGCCAGGGTACAGGGAGCCCTACCCAACTGGACTTCCATATGTACAGGCTGCTCCCACTTTGGGAACACATACTAAACTATAAGCCATTGGAAATGCTTTTACAGCCAGATTAAGAGAGAAAAAAAAATACATCAAAAACAAACACAAACCCATCTGTCCCTATATTTGTACATCCAAATCAGAAATGGCAACGATACGTAGCGTGTCATTTGGATCCTAGAAGTAGGGAGGGCCAGAGAAAGCTGAAGAAATTTCATCACCTAGCCAGGTGTAGTGGCAGGCACCTGTAGGTCCCAGCTACTAGGGAGGCTGAGGCACAAGAATCACTTGAACCTGGGAGGCAGAGGTTGCAGTGAGCCGAGCGAGATTGCTCCACTGCACTCCAGCTTGGGGGACAGAGCGAGACTCCGTCTCAAAAAAAAAAAAAAAAAAAAAAAAAGAAAAAGAAAAAGAAAAAGAAATTTAATCACCGAGTCCCTGTTACTGAAACTCAGCCGGCCTCACAACAGTCGAGGGCAGCAGCACAGTGGGGCAGTGGACTCCGCACAAGGGGATGGTGGGGAATTACGCTAATGGGGATTTCAGGGAGCACAGAGAGGAACCTGGAACAATGACAATGTGATCAATGCCTCAGGAATAGGCATTTCATGCTTATGTTAGAGCTAGGTTCTCATATCTTTAAGAAATTAGAATAAACATGGGGTATATATCACAGGCATCTGAAGAAGGAAGTCAACAACTTGCCCAGTATCACACTTAGCCAGGACAAGTATCTGTCTGGCTTGCTAATCCAGTTTCTTTCCATTAGATATTTTTATAAATAATTAAATTTGTGATGGGAAAAAAAAGAAGAAAGCATTGCTTTAAGGTACATTTAACAAAAAAGTCTGGCTGGGCGCAGTGGCTCACACCTGTAATCCCAGCACTTTGGGGGGTTGAGATAGGAGGATCGCTTGAGGCCAGAAGTTTCAGACCAGTCTGACCGACAGATGTGGAACTCCATCTCTACAAAAAAATTGAAAAGTTAGCTGGGTGTAGTGGTGTGTGCCTATAGTTCCTGCTACCCTGGAGGACAGCTTGAACACAGGAATCGGAGGCTGCAGTGAGCTATGATAGCGCCACCCCAGCCTGGGCATGGTCTTCAGACTCAGACCTGCTGGCAGGCAAAAATCTTTCAATGACATCTCTGGATCTACATCAGGTTATAAACCACGGACATTATCAGCTGTTCCAGTGACCTGCATCGAGGTTGGCAAGATCCTTTGCCCCAAGCATCTGTGCACAGTGATGCCTCCAGCAGCCACTAGTGAAGCCAAGGAGCAGAACATAGGAAAAAAACTCAGCTCCTCCATCTGGCAGCATATGGCTAGCCAGACCTAGTGCTCTATCTTGCAAAACTAGCTATAAAGCTGAGGTGAGAGTCTTTAATGAATAAATGCAACAAATAAACTCTGCAAAGCAGAGTAATAATGGCTATACGAAGACAGGTGACACGGGTTAGAGTAGCAGCAGGAGGCCATAAAGTGCCCAGGACAGATTCCAGAAATTTTCTGGAGTCAGAATGTATAGAACTTGCTGATAGATTGCACACACAGAGCATGAAAAAGAAGCAAAGATGACTCCGGGGTTTTTGGCTTGAGCAACAGGGTGGAAGGCAGCACCATTTACAGTCGGCCCTCTGTACCCACAGGTTCCATATCCATGGATCAAAAATATTTAGGAAAAAAGCCAGGTGCCATGGCTCACTTCTGTAATCCCAGCACTTTGGGAGGCCAAGGCAGGGAGATCACTTGAGGTCACGAGTTCGAGACCAGCCTGGCCAACATGGTGAAACTCCGTCTCTACTAAAAATACAAAATTAGCTGGGCGTGGTGGCATGTGCCTGTAATCCCAGCTAATCAGCAGACTAAGGCATGAGAATTGCTTGAACCTGGGAGGCGGAGGTTGCAGTGAGCAGAGATCCCACCACTGCACTCTAGCCTGGGCAAGAGAGTAAAACTCCATCTCAAGAAGTATGTACCTATATGTATATTTAGGGGGAAAAAAAGGCTGGTTGCATCTATACTGAACATGTACAGACTTTTTTTTTCTTGTTTATTCCCTAAATAATACAGTATAACAACAATTTACATAGCATTTACATTGTATTAACTATTATAAGTATTCAAGAGATTAAAGTACGAGGGAGGATGTGTGTAGGTTATATGCAAATACAGTGTCACTATATAAGGAACTTAAGCATCTGTGGATTTTGGTATCTGTATTAATCCGTTTTCACACTGCTATAAAGATACTACATGAGACTGGGTAATTTATAAAGGAAAGGGTTTTAATTGACTCGCAGTTCCACAAGGTAGGGGAGGCCTCAGGAAACTCACAATCATCGTGAAGGGGAAGCAAGCATGGACTGTCTCACATGGTGGCAGGAGACAGAGGTGTGTGAGAGCGCAGGAAAAAAGCACCATTTATAAAACCATCAGATCTTGTGAGAATTCATTCACTGTCACAAGAACAGCATGGAAGAAACCGCCCCCATAATCCAGTCACTTGCCATCAGGTTCCTCCCTTAACACTCAGGGATTACAATTCAAGATGAGATTTGAGTGGGGACACACAGCTAACCTATATCAGTATCCATTGTGGAGGGCTGCTCGTGGAACCAATCCCCCAGAGATACCAAGGGACAAGTGTACTTAGATGAATAAAGATTGGGAGAGGAACAGATTTTTTTTTTTTAATGAGGAAGGGATAAAATAAGTTTTAGCAATGCTAAGTTTGAGATATCTGTTAGATATTTAGGTGGGGCTATCAGGTAGACAGTGAGTATACAAATTTAGAGATCAGAGAAAAAATCAAACTGGAGATGTAAATTTGAGACACATATAAACCTAATTAGAAGAAAATACAGGATAATGCCTTTTTTTTTTACATAGAGATGGAGTCTTGCTATGTTGCCCAGGCTGGTCTCGAACTCCTGGCTTCAAGCAATCCTTCCACCTTGGCCTCCCAAAGTGCTGGGATTACAGTCATGAGCCACCACGCCTGGCCCAGAAAAGATTTCTTAAGTAAGACATCAAAAAGCACAAATCTTTATAAATGGAAAAACCAAAGGAAATGTCTAAATTAAAACAAAAGATTTCTGCTGAATAAAGGACACCACAAACAAAGTTAGCAGGTAGATGAGGGACAGAAGAAGACATCTGAAACATTTATAACTGCCTTAGGATTAATAGCTACAATATATAAGAAACTCTACTGGAAAAATGGGAAAATGATATGACCAGGTCATTCATAAAAGGAAAATCCAAAGACTACCCAGTATATACAGAAATCTAGCCATGCTCATTAGTAATCAGAGAAATGTGAGTTTAAAAAGATATTAATAACATGTGAAACCTGCCAAACTCACAAAAGTTTTAAAGTCAAATACTAAGGACTGCACTTAGTAGTGGAAATACAAATTAAGCAATCATGCATTACTTAGTGAAATTAAATATGATTATACTCTGTGACCCAACAATGATACTTGTTGGTATTTAGCCAGAGAAACTCTTGTACAAGTTCGTAAGAAGACATATATGAGGATCTTCTTATTAATTTATTTAGTTTTATCTTTTTTTTTGAGACAGTCTCACTCTGTTGCCCAGGCTGGAGTGCAGTGGTGGCACAATCAAGGCTCACTGCAGCCTGAACGTCCTGGGCTCAAGCGATCCTCCCACCCCAGTCTCTCAAGTAGCTGGGACCACAGGCACATGCCACTGTGCTCAACTAAGTTTTTAATTTCTGGCAGAGATGAGGTTTTTGTCACATTGCCCGGGTTGGTCTCGAACTCCTGGGCTCAAGCGATCCTTCTGCCTCAGCCTCCCCAAAGTTCTGAGACTATAAGTGTGAGCCACTATACCCACAGAGCATTGTTTGTGGTACAGGGAGAACAAATAAGGTGTCTGTCACTTAGGGGAACAGGCAAATAAAACGCAGTAGACAGAGCAATAAAAATACAATGCAGTGGCTAAAAGCACCATATAAACACAACACCAACAGAACTGAAAAACATAGTTTTAAATGAAGAAAGGATCAGAATGAGAATTATCATGTAATACTATTTATATAAATTTACAGAAAACACCATGTAAGAATACATATATATCCAAGGATACATATTAAACACATCAGAGAAGATGCTAATGGGAGTGGGATGGGAATGGGAGAAGAGATACAAAGTGACAACAGAAAACAATAAAAACATCAGGGACCCTTGCAATGTCAATATAATGGTATTGTAAAAATAACACATTTTTAATTGGAAGAAAAAGTAACAAATTCAAAGGGGCAGAAGGAAGTTTCCTTCTGCTTCAACTCTCCTTTCCAAACTGTTTGACATTTGGTTCATTTGACTTACCAGGTAAGGAAGGGGGCTAGAGGGGAGGGAGGGAGGAGGCCAACATGTATAAATGCGGCCTACTATATTGCATCTTGCACCCACTTTGACCATGGCATTTGTCATGCTGCTGAAATTATACATATACACAGCTATCTTCTCACCCTGAAAGTTACATCCTTAAGGGCAGGACTGTATCATATTCATCCTCATGCACCCAAAACCCAACTCGGGGGATGGTGCAAAGAATACATTCAATAAATGCTGACTGGCTGACTGGTTGGTTGGTTGGTAGACTGGATGGAAAATAAATCAAAATTATAATCCAGCTGAATTGTTTTCAGCTCAGGTGTACCCTTAGTGCTTGACTATTATAATGTAGCCAATTGAATGTTTAAAGAATTATCATAAATGGGTAGATGTCCTCCTAACATCATTTATTCTAGCATAAAAATGCATGTCCTTTTGGATGGCAGACACATGGACAAACATCACAAAATTCAAGCTGACTCTACAGCTGCAAGGAGAAATTAGAGACACTACTGCAAAATCAGAAATATGAACGATAAAGTTAACTTGAGGTGAAGGGAAAAATAAAGATGCAGCACAAGCCAGGTAATCCCTGCTGCCTGGCAGTGCTGGGTGCCTCACACTTCTGACACTACTGATTCCACACTATGTGTATAATACACAAAAACCCTTCTTACTGGCCAAGCACAGTGGCTCACACCATTATCCCAACACTTTGGGAGGCTGAGGGTGGATCACTTGAGCCCAGGAGTTCGAGACCAGCCTGGGCAATATAGTTAGGCCCCGTCTCTATTTTAATAATAATAATAATAATAATAATAATAATAATATTTTTTAAACCCTTTTTTTTTTTTGATATGGAGTCTTGCTCTGTCACCCAGCCTGGAGTGCAGTGGTGCGATCTCAGCTCACTGCCACCTCCACCTTCCAGGTACAAGTGATTCTCCTGCCTCAACTTCCTAAGTAGCTGGGATTACAAGTGCGCGCCACCACACCTGGCTAATTGTTGTATTTTCAGTAGAGACAGGGTTTCACCATCTTGGTCAGGCTGGTTTTGAACTCCTGACTTCAGGTGATCTGTCCACCTCGGCCTCCCCAAGTGCTGGGATTACAGGCATGAGCCACCACACCTGGCCCCTTCTTACTAACTTTAATCAATTTTTAAATTGACATTACAGTATAATTTACATACAATAAAATACACACATTTAAATGAACAGTTTGATTAGTTTAAATGTACGTACCCATGAAATCACCATCATAGCCAAGACGCAGATCATTCCCATCACCCCAAAAGATCCCTTGTGCCCCTCTGCAGCCACGCCACCCCTTTACCCAGGCTCCAGGCAACCACTACTCCGTCTTTTGTCAAGATATCTCACTCACATTTTTTTTTTTTTTTGAGATGGAGTCCGGCTCTGTTGCCCAGGATGGAGTACAGTGGCACGATCTCGGCTCACTGCAACCTCCGCCTCACGGGTTCAAGTGATTCTCCTGCCTCAGCCTCTTAAGTAGCTGAGATTACAGGCGCATGTCACTACGCCTGGCTAATTTTTGTAATTTTAGTACAGACAGGGTTTCCCCATGTTGGCCAGGCTGGTCTCGAACTCCTAACCTCAGGTGATCCACCCTCCTCAGCCTCCCAAAGTGCTGGGATTACAGGCATGAGCCACTGTGCCCAGCCCTCACTCACTTGTTAAATTTTAAAATTTAATTCTAAAATTTTCAAACATATACACAGTAGAACAGTAGAATGAGCCTAGTTTGCCCAACACCCAGCTTCAACGATGTTTAATGCATAACCAGTCCTGTGTCAGTGATTCTCCCACCTACTCCCTTGCCTGGGCTATTCTGAAGCAAATCACAGACAGCATTTCTTTTCATATGTAAATATTTCAATATGTATGTCTCTTTAAAGGATATTCTTTTAAAATGTATCCACAATTTTCACACTTAACTAACAAATTTTTTAAATTTAATTATTTGTTGTCAATATTCAATATAAGATAAATTTCCTCTTGTCTTTTTTGGTTTGTTTTATAAAATAAACTTCTTAATACCATTAATACCATCAAATAATCAGTCAGTGTCCACATTTCCCAGATTGCCTCACATTTTCTTCATTTTGTCTGAATCAATCATATATGACTATTGGTTCATTCATCTCTTCAATCTCTTTTTATCTATAGAGGCTTTTTTCTCACCTTTTCCCCTTATGATTTATTTGTTGAAAAAACTGTTCTGTTTATCCTATAATGCAGTTTGGAATTTGCTGATTCTATCCCCAAAAAGCCATTTACAATGTTTCTCCATCCCTCGTATTTCCTATAAATACACAGTAAGATCTAGGCGTTTTATCAAACTCGGGGTCTACTTTAGCAGCAAGGCTGCTTCACAGGTGGTGGTGTGCACACATACCAGGACATACATACAATGTCCCATATGCCTTTTTCTGTCTCACTTTTTGAAAAATACCATCTTTTCCCTCAAGTAACTAAAAACAAAAGCATTTATTGTAGAGTATTAGGACGATTTAATCTAGAAAAGTGTCACAGGACATCAACTCCCATTTAACAGACTGATTCTGGCCTACAGTGTTCCTACAAAGAGACAAGCAGTCCTTGAGCCGCTGTCTGAAATACACACAGTTCTGCCCACCACACTATGTCTGTCGCTTATTTTAAGTTACACACTGAACGTACCCTGATGCACTTGTCTTTGTGTGCATGTCTTGCTCCCCAGTTACACAGAGAAGAAGCCTTCTTACACCTCTTCAACATCTCCCATGAGCACCCTGCACACAGACAGCACGTATGAGTGAGGAGGACCAGGCGGTTCTCTGCTAAGGGGAGGCTCTTGATGCAGTCGGGCCCACTGGTTCTTCTCCACTTTCCTCCAGAGTCAGGATCCTTTCCACTTCCCCAACCGGAAAACAGAGGCACAGAGAAGAAACAGGAACGGTGAAGCAGGGGAAGGTTGCACTAAGAACTCAAAATTCACCGGGGGTTCAGAAAACCTGTTGACGTAAATGTGTTTCTACTTGAATGCCTCCTCCTTCCCTTCGGGGAGACATGTGAGTCTCAACACTGAGTCTTTGAGAGAAGGGACTACAGACATTGTGTAGACAGGAACCAGAGGGCCTTCCCGTTCTCCTTGTCAGGACAAGTCCCTGCTTGACAGCTAAATAATTACTAAGAGAACAAGAATCAGTTAGAGAGAACCCATGATGAGCTTGGGATGGGAAAGAAAAGAAAGTCGTTTACATCCTAACCTCACTGCAGGCCTGCAAAGACGTGGCATGCAGGGAAGTTGGAGTCATAGGCAGAAAAGGCCTCCCCTTCTTCCTGCTTTGATGAAAAGCTCCTCCACCCGCAGCAGTGTTGCACTAATAGCGACGAGGCCCTTGCTGCCAGTCACCTCCCACTCTTCTCTCTGCTTGGCTGGCTCTTTACTGCCTCCAGAAATAAAAGCTAGAATATGATACTTATTATGCTAATAATCACTCCCTAGTAAACATAAGTTCCAGAAGCACAAGCCTCTGCTTACAAACAGCATAACTGCCAATGCAAAAGGACATCACTTCTCCCTCATCCCCACCCCCACCTAGGACAAGTGCAGATTAAATTAACAATTCTCAAAATTCCCAATGGTGTCAAAAGCATTTAAAGTTGCTGGGTCAAAGATTCACTTTTGCAGCAGACAACCACAAAGGATTTCAGTGTTACATACAGTGGAAATGATTGCAAGAAATTCTAAATAGGGACAGACCAGTAATTTAAATTCATTTTCTAATGGCTAACACTTATTTTTTGTTTGTTTCCCAGTTCAATAGCTGATTCTAAGTCAGGTTCCAATTAAGGAAAACAAGACCCAGTTTTCTGGTTCCACTGGGATTTACTTGTTCAGGGATTACCTGTCTGCCAGTTGTGAACCTGTTGTGACTAACACAAGCGTGTTTCAGAACAAGGAAACACCCTGATTACTGGAAGTCAAGGGCAAAGTAAAGCCCAAAACAAGGAACTCTCACTTTCCGTCTGGTGTGTTCCCCAGCAGGCCACTGCCTCTGTCTCTAACCAGAGATTACTGTATACAACTATGAAACCACTGGTGATAGAAATCAGAAAATAGAGCATGAGAAGCAAAATCCCACTAGTAATGTCGAACACTAACACATAAAGTGGACTACTGAAGCAAATACCTAAAAGCTAAGTATTAGAGTTGCCCACATTTTTTTTTTTTTTTTTTTGAGGCAGAGTCTTGCTCTGTCACCCAGGCTAGAGTGCAATGGTACAATCTCGGCTCACTGTAACCTCTGCTCCCTGGACTCAAGCAATTCTCCTGCCTCAGCCTCCCGAGTAGCTGGGATTACAGGCATGCGCCGCCATGCATGACTAATTTTTGTATTTTTAGTAGAGACGAGGTTTCACCATGTTGGCCAGGCTGGTCTTGAACTCCCGACCTCAAGTAATCTGCCTGCCTCGGCCTCCCAAAGTGCTGGGATTACAGGCATGAGCCACCATGCCCGGCCTGCCCAGATATTTTAAACAGGACTGATTTTCTTCAATTACTTGAATACCTGAATTATCCCAGTTTTCTATTTTATTTTATCTACACAGGCATAGTTAGACACTGGTTAGAGTAAGACTAGAGGCAAAAGACACCCCTGGTTACTCTACTTGAATCTGTGAGTAATGTGTATTTTCATACACTTTGAATTATTTAACATGACTTAGCTCTCTGACCCTGGAAAATCACTCTGAATCCAGAACATCTTCAAAATAGAGGATGGAATAAAATTGCTTCTAAGATCCTTTTGACTTACTTGGTTTATATCTTCTTTACTATGGGATCAAATCCCATTAAACAGCAAGTCAGTGGCTCAAAATATTTCAAATACTAGAACTTCATTGTAGCAAATGATGCTAAAAGTAGAAATTTAATTGCAATAAGATTTGGTCTACGCATTAATTGATGTGGTACTTTAATTTTTTATTTCCGTAGGTTTTTGAGATTTTGGTGCACCCAACACCCAAGCAGTATACACTGTACCCAATTTGCAGTATTTTATCCCTCACCTGCCTCCTGCCCTTTCACCCGAGTCCCCAAAGTCCATTGTATCATTCTTATGCCTCTGCATCCTCATAGCTTAGCCCCTAGATGCTGTATTTTTAAAAAGAATTTATTGTTCACCAATGTTCATAGCAGCATTATTCACAATGGACAAAAGGTGGAAGCCACCCAAATGTTCATCAATAAAGAGACAGACATGGAAAGAAACAGTTCCTCCTCCTCAATGGGATGTTCTGGTGTCTCCCTGTGGCACCTGGAACTGCGACAGGCCACCTGAGACCATGGGGAGCCAGCGGGCAAGCCTGTACTGAGGATGACAAAGCAGGAGGGCAAAATGAACTTGGCTCCTTGATGCCTTTGCCAGGCTGCTCAGTTAACCAGCACTGGACTCACCCTTGCCCCAGACTTTTGTTTTCTGAAATGATAAACATCTGTGTGTTTAAGTCATTGAGCTGGCTTTTCTGTTTCTTGAAGGTGAAAGCATTCTAACTGATGACACACACTGACCTAAGATGTCTGACACACCATGAGACTTATGCAGTAATGAAAGGCAGAGTTTGATCTCCATAATTAACAAACTCACTGAAAGGCAAAATACACCGTTCTTGTCATTAAAATGCAAGAAAGGCTTCAGAGCAGGTAAAGAACAAGGTTAAAGTGCAGTAAGCAGATCCATACATTTAGCCATTCAATACATAAACGTGGACCCAGAAGTTATCCTGAATGAACCAATTATGCCCCACTTCAGAAATATTAGAAGATGATGACTTAAAATACTGTCTTTATGATCACAACAACCCTAACTATATAACTCTAGGTTATATTATTCCCATTTTATAGATGAAGACACTGAAGCAGAGAAGAAGCTGAGTAACTTGCCCAAAGCCATTATGTCCACAGTTTTCTCTGCCTGGAACTCTTCCTTCTCTTCACTTAGCTAATTCCCACACATCCTTCAGGTTTCAACTTAAGCAATCACTCCTTAGGAAAAAGGCTTCTTTTATGTGTTCAGACAAGGTCCAGAGCTCCTATTATGCTCCACTGCACTCCTGTTCTATGGCAGCATTTTGCACACTTGAGATTAAATATTTGTCTTCCCACTAGAATGCCCATGGCCTGAAACAGTTCCGTCTTTTTTACAACTAGACGGTATTGCCAAAGCTGCGCAGAATGCCTGCCCTTGACAGTCTCACAGTCTGATAGCGAGACAGCAAGTAAACAGTTCCTTGGAGATATTGTGGCTTTAGTTCCAGACCACTGCAATAACGCAAGTGACATGAAATTATTTATTTCCCGGTGCATATAAAAGTTATGTTTACACTATACAGTAGTCTATCAACTGTGCAATAGCATTGTCTTAAAAAAAAAAAAAGTATATACTTTAATTTAAAAATGGGCTGGGTGCGGTGGCTCACGCCTGTAATCCCAGCACTTTGGGAGGCTGAGGTGGGTGGATCACGAGGTCAGGAGATCGAGATCATCCTGGCTAACACGGTGAAACCCCACCTCTACTAAAAACAACAAAAATTAGCCGGGCGCGGTGGCAGGTGCCTATAGTCCCAGCTACTTGGGAGGCTGAGGCAGGAGAATGGCATGAACCCGGTAGGTGGAGCTTGCAGTGAGCCGAGATCACGCCACAGCACTCTAGCCTGGGCGACAGAGCGAAACTCTGTCCCAAAAAAATAAATAAATAAATAAAATAAAAAAATAAAAATGGCTTATTGAGCCAGGCGTGGTGGCTCACGCCTATAATCCCAGCATTTTGGGAGGCCGAGGCAGGTGGATCACCTTAGGTCAGGAGTTCAAGACTAGCCTGGCCAACATGGCAAAACCCTGTCTCTACTAAAAATACAAAAATTAGCTGGACATGGTGGCACGTGCCTATAATCCTAGCTACTTGGGAGGCTGAGACAGGAGAATTGCTTGAACCCAGAAGGCGGAGGTTGCAGTGAGCCAAGACCATGCTACTGCACTCTAGCCCGGGCAACCAAGCAAGACTCCGTCTCATTAAAAAAAAAAAAAAAAAGCTAACAATTTTCTGAGCCCTCTGCAAGTTGCAATCTTTCTCCTGGTGGAGGGTCTTGCCTCAATGTTGATGGCTGCTGACTGATCAGGATGGTGACTGCTAAAGGTTGGGGTATCTGTGACAATTTCTTAAAATAAGACAATGAAGTTTGTCACACTGACTCTTCCTTTCATTAAAGATTTCTCTAAAGTATGCAATACATTTGATAGCATGCTACCCACAGCAGAATTTCTCGCAAAATTGGATTCAGTTCTCTCAAACCTTACTGCTGCTTTATCACTAAGTTTATGTAATACATAGTTATTGTTATAAATTATTGTAATACATTATCATTTCAACAGTGTTCACAGCATCTTTACCAGGAGTAGGTCCCATCTCAAGAAACCACTTTCTCTGCTCATCCACAAGAAACATCTGTTCAAATTTTATCTCGAGATTACAGCAATTCAGTCATATCCTCAGACCCCACTTCTAATTCTAGTTCTCTTGCCATTTCCCCCACTTTTGCAGTTATTTCCTCCACTGAAGTCGTGAGCACCTTGAAATCATCCATGAGTCGAAATCGACTTCTTTCAAACTCCTGTTGATGTTGATACTTTGACCTCCTCCCATGAACCACAAATGTTCTTAATGGCATCTAAAATGGTGAATCCCTTCCAGAAGGTTTTAAATTTACTTTGCCCAGATCCATGAAAGGAATCACTACCTATGGCAGCTATAACCTTACAAAATGTTTCTTAACTAATAACACTTGAAAACTGAAAATATTCCTTTATCCATGGGCTGCTGCATGGATGTTGTGGTTAACAGGCATGAAAACAACATTAATTTCTTTGTACATCTCCATCTGAATTTTGGGTGACCAGGTGCACTGTCAATGAGCAGTAATATTTTGAAAAGAATCTTTTCTTCTGAGCAGGTCTCAACAGTGGGCTTAAATATTCAGTAAACCATGCTCTAAATAGATATGCTGTCATCCAGGCTTTTTTGTTCCATTTATAGAGCACAGGCAGAGTAGATTGAGCATAATTTTTAAGGGCTCTAGAATTTTCAGAATAGTCAATGAGCATTGGCTTCAACTTAAAGTCACCAGCTGCATTCACCCCTAACAAGAGAGTCAGCCTGTCCTCTGAAATGTTGAAGCCAGACACTAACTTCTCCTCTCTAGCTATGAAAGTCCTAGATGGCATCTTCTTCCAACAGAACACTCTTTCATCTCCACTGAAAATCTGTTGTTTAGTGTAGCCACCTTCATTTCATCATCTAGCCACCTTAGCTATATCTTCTGGATTACTTGCTACAGCTTCTGCATCAGCACTTGCTGCTTCACCCTGCATTTTTATGTTGCTTTTTTACTTAAAACTCATGAACCAACCTCTGCTAGCTTCAAACTTTTCTCCTGCAGCTTCCTCACCTCTCTGAGCCTTCATAAAATTGAAGAGAGTCAGGATCTTGCACTGAATCAAGCTTAGGCTTAAGGGAATGTTGTGGCTGGTTTGATCTTCTGTCCAGATCACTGAAACTTTCTCCACATCAGCAATAAGGTTGTTTTGCTTTCTTAGCATTCCGGAGTTCACTGGAGTAGCACTTTTAATTTCCTTCAGGAACTTTTCTTTTACATTCACAACTTAGTTAACTGCTGCAAGACGCCTGGTTTTTAGCCTGTCTTGGCTTTCAATATGCCTGGTTTTTAGCCTGTCTTGGCTTTCAATATTCCTTCCTTACTAAGCTTAATCATTCCTAGCTTTTGATTTAAAGTGAGAGACACGTAACTCTTCCTTTCACTTGAACATTTAAAAGCCATTGTAGGGTTATTAATTGACCTAATTTCAATACTGTATCTCATGAAATAGGGAGGCCTGAGGAGAGGAAGAGAGATGGGGGAATGGCCAGTCAGTGGGGCAGTCAGAGCACATGCCAACATTATCAATTACGTCTAACGTCTCGCACGGATGCGGTTCATGGCACCCCAAAACAATCACGACAGCAGCATCAAAGACCACTGATCACCGTAACCAACACAATAATAAAAAAATTTTAAATACTGCAAGAATTACCAAAATGTGACACAGAGATACAAAGTAAGCACATGCTATTAGAAAAACAGTGCCGACAGACTTACTCAACGTAGGGTTGCCACAAATCTTCAATCTGTAAAAAATGCAGCATCTGTGAAGCACAAGAAAGTGAAGCACAATAAAAGGAGGAGGTAGGGCCCGCACACAGTGGGAAGCAGAGAGAGGCGTGCACAGGCCCTGTGGAAGCACAGGGCTGGGGCAAGGGGGACTTCATGAAGACGTCCCTTGAACTGGGCTCTGAAGGATAAGTAAGTTAGGAGAACAGGGAAGTGAGGAGTTCTAGCAGACAGAGGATAGGTATGTGTCCAGAGAGTAGGAGGCCATGAAACTTTAGAGTGGCACTACTTAGGTACCATGCTAAGCATTTCACATGGGTAATTTCATTTAATCTTCACAGCAAGTATTATTATCATTCCCAGGAGGAAATGGAAGGCCAAGATCATACACAGCTAGTAAGTAAATGGCAAAGCCAGGCTTTGAACCACAGCTATATTATATGGCTCCAAAGCGTATGCCCTTAACCACAATCTAATACATGTCTAGCTTCCTATGCATTGATATGATCTCATATAATTGCATGTAATTCAAATAATGTTGATTCTAGTAGAAAAGCTGGCTTTTAAAGGAACGTCATATCTCTTTCATTAAGCAAATCCTAAATCCAGCTATTTCACAAATTGAGTTTGATTAAAATGAAGTATATAATTAGTATTCAGGCTGGGTCCAGTGGCTCACGCCTGTAACCCTAGCACTTTGGGAGGCCAAGACAGGTGGATCACTTGAGGTCAGGAGTTCAAGAACAGCCTGGCCAATAATGGTGAAACCCCATCTCTACTAAAAATACAAAAATTAGCCGAGAGTGGTGGCACACAGGGGGCAGAGGTTGCAGTGAGCCGAGATCGTGCCACTGCACTCCAGCCTGGGCAACAGAGCGAGACTCTGTCTCAAAAAAAAAAAAAAAAAGAGTTCACAGACATAATTTTCACAGTTATAGTAGATTAAATACCTATTAGTGCCAAGAGTTTTAAGAATATGATCTCAGTCCATTCTCATGAGGTCATTCTTACAGCCACATTTTCAGATGAGCTAACAAAGGCACACAGCATTTAGATAAGCTGCTCAAGGTCTCCTGGGCAGAAAGGGACAGAACCAGGATTCACACTGAGGTCACTCCTTCCACCATGCAGCAATGTCTCTACTGAGCTGAACGGTGCCTAGAGATGATCTAGTGTAATCCCCAAACAATCCTACCATTTAGAGACCTGCAGGGAGGTTAAAGGACAGTTCTGACGTCCTTCAGCTAACAGCACACCAGGAGTGGATCCCGCATTTCCTGTTCTCCAGGCAAGCATGTTCTATAATCATTCTGACTCACACCAGATACCCTATTTTTGAGAGATATTAAAATATTCCCATAACTAAATTCAAAACAGACAAAACAAGAATGAGGCAAATGCCTGTGCCTGTGCACTGAGATCCGCCTGAATTATCCTTTGGTGGGAGATAGGAAAAGAGATGTCTCAAATATATCCTGTGTACTACTTGCAATCAGCTAACAGAAGACAACAGGATTTCATGCATTCCTTTTGACTACCATCATTTTTTCAACCTCCTGCCTTTCAGTAGGGCAGTTAAAGCATTAAACAGGAGCCAGCAAGCTTTCTCTGTAAAGGGCTTAACATTTCTGGCCTAGCAGGCCATAAGGTCTCTGATGCAACTGTTCAATTCTACCGTTGTAGGGAGAAAGCAGCCACAGACCATATACAAACGAATGAGCATGGCTGTGTTCCAGTGAGGTTTACAGACAGAAATTTGAATTTCATATAATTTTCACATGTCACAAAATATTACTACTCTTTTGATGTTTTTCAGCTATAGTACTTAGAAAGGTATGTCTTATGGGCTACACAAAAACAGGTCGTGGGCCACAGAGTCTGGTGATCCTGCATTAAACCAAAGAAGTATTAACGCTACCGGTCAGAAGAGAGCAGAGGACAAGCAGGGAGTAGGGGGCCTCTCCCTTGTCCATCTGGTGCCACTGGTTCAGGAAGCCTTCTTGGGCCACCCCCACTCCCACTCAGCTCAGGCATCCCACTTCTGTGTTTTCCCTGACACTTGTGCCTACCTTTATCTTAGCACTTACTATAACATGTTGTGGTTGATTATTCAATTGTCTATATCTCCCCAGTCACAAGGGCAAGCAATGTTTTTTAGTTTCTGTATTCCTAGCTGACACAGATGCTCAAAAAAATATTTGGGAAGGGAGAGAAGGAAATAACGAGAAAATAAGCTCAGAATATCTTTTTTTCTTTTTCTTTCTTTTTTTTTTTTTTTTTTTTTTTGTAGACATGGGGTTTCGCCATGTTGCCTAAGCCCAGGCTGGTCTTAAACTCCTGAGCTCAGGTGATTGGTCCACTTCAGCCTCCCAAAGTGCTGGGATTACAGGCGTGAGCTACCACGCCTGGCCTAGAAAATATCCTTTTTATTTATTTATATTTTAGAGACAAGATCTCACTCTGTCACTCAGGCTGGAGTACAGTGGCACAATCATGGCTCACTGCAGCCTTGACTTCCCAGGCTCAAGTGATCCTCCCACCTCAGCCTCCCAAGGAGCTGGGACTACCAGTGCACACAACCACATCTGGCTGATATTTTCATTTTTTGCAGAGACAAGGTCTCCTTATGTTGCCTAGGGTGGTCTTGAGCTCCTGGGCTCAAGCAATCCTACTGCCTCAGCCTCCCAAAGTGCCCGGATTATAGGCATGAGCCACAGCGCCCGGCCCCTGGCTGGAAATTCTTATCTTTATACAGACACTAGGTAGCAGCTCAAGGTCTTGATAGTGGCTCAATGGCATACACATAACAGGTTAAATCAGTGGTTCACCTGTGTGTAGCATCTGTTAACCATCTATGCTGTTTATGTTCCATAAATATGCACCAACCCCTTAGTCTATTCTCTTTACTTATACCTACCTCAAAGCCAGGCATCTGATTACTTGTTTAGACTAACGTAGATGAATAATCCAAACATACGTTTAAAATGACCCCCACATGTGCCAAAAAGGCTTCAGGGTACCCTGGGGTTCTACAGAACACAAATGGAAAAAACATCCTACAAACACTAGTCTCAAAAGTGAATGACAGCTTCAAATAATTTAAAGCCACAATTACCAGATATAATAGGGAGATATGTGGAAAGTCTACCGCATCATTATCACATAAAGCATCAAAGAGGAAACAAACATCTTTTTTTTTTCTTTTTTTTTGAGATGGCATTTCACTCTTGTTGCCCAGGCTGGAGTGCAATGGCGCAATCTCGGCTCACTGCAACCTCACCTCCTGGGTTCAAGCAATTCTCCTGCCTCAGCCTCCCAAGTAGCTGGAATTACAGGCATGCGCCACTATGCCCAGCTAATTTTGTATTTTTAGTAGAGATGGGGTTTCTCCATGTTGGTCAGGCTGGTCGCGAACTCCCGACCTCAGGTGATCCGCCTGCCTCGGCCTCCCAAAGTGCTGGGATTACAGGCATGGGCCACCACGCCCGGCCATAACAAACATCTTTTAATCACATGTTGAGGGCTGGTCTTGTAACTCTAATGAGGGGTCCTTAACCTTTTCTTTTTCTTTCTTTTCTCTCTTTTTTTTTTTTTTGAGATGGAGTTTTCCTCTTATTGCCCAGTCTAGAGTGCAGTGGTGCGATCTCGGCTCACTGCAACCTCTCCTCCTGGGTTCAAGCGATTCTCTTGACTCAGCCTCCTGAGTAGCTGGGATTACAGGTGCCCGCCACCATGCCCAGCTAATGTTTGTATTTTTAGGAGAGACACGATTTCACCATGTTGGCTAGGCTGGCTTCAAACTCCTGACCTCAAGTGATCTATCCACCTAGGCCTCCCAAAGTGCTGGGATTACAGGTGTGAACCACTGCGCCCAGCCTCCTTAACCCTTTCAATGCCAGGGTCCCTTTGGCAGTCTGGAGAAGTCAGAGGACCCCTTCTCAGAGCAATGCTTTAATGCATAATACACATCGTTTTTAAAAGGAAACAATTTATAATAATAAAGCCACAGTACTACTCCTGACACTTCCTGTCTTCTTCCCCTGCTTAGTTTTTTCTACCCAGCATTTGTCCCTACTGAATTCACTATATACTGCCCTTTATTTGTGTTATCTTATTTAGTATATGTCTCCCCAACTAGAATCTGAGTTGTTTTTTTTTTTGTTTTTGAGATGGAGTCTCACTTGGTCACCCAGGCTGGAGTGCAGTTGCACGATCTTAGCTCACTGCAAACTCCACCTCCCAGGCTCAAGTGATCCTCTCACCCCAGTCTTATGAGTAGCTGGGACCACAGACACACACCACCACGCCTGGCTAATATCTTGTATTTTTGGTAGAGATGTGATTTCAACATGTTGCCCAGGCTGGTCTTGAACTCCTGAGCTCAAGTAATCCACCTGCCTCAGCCAAAGTGCTGGGATTACAGGCGTGAGCCACTGTGCCCAGCTAGAATCTAAGTTCTATGAAGGCAGAGATGTTCATCTATTTTGTTCACCACTCTATTTCCAAAAAGCTAGAAAACTGCCTGGTATAGAATAGTTGCTCGTAAGCATTTGTGGGATTATTAAATGAACTTTATGTCTCATAAGAGCTGTTTTCTAGCATTAATCAAAGGCAGTTCTTCTAGGTTCTCACAACCTTAGGAAAGATAATATGTAATACTTCGTATTTACAAACAGCTTTTGGTGAGCACTGGAACCCTTTTGTAGACAGTCTCATTCAACCACAGTAGACCTAATATCTAACGACTGAGGGCAAAGAAGGGATGTGAGATGAGCAGTCAAATGCTTTCAGGCCAGAGAACAAAATAGATGACCCAGGCCCCTGCTTATTCGCTCTGCCCTTTGCCCCTGGAGCTTTAGCTGCTTTGCTTAGAGGACAGTCTCTCCCTCACTGAAGATACCTAATTGCACATTAGCAATAGGAAGGTTTCACTGGACCCAACCAGACTCATTCATAACAAATAGCGACACATTCCTTTGCAACAAGGTTCTAGGATTTCCAACTTCTTGCCAAGGCAATTCTTAAATAGAGGAAATGGCTTTCTTTTCAAATTCATCTTAATCACAATAAGTTAAAAGGTTAACAAGAATTTAAAACCCTCAGATATGACAGCTGCCTATATTATTTGTCTAAGAGGAAGAAAGCTTAAAGTCAAGATAACTGAAACCGCCAGAGAACAAAATAATCTCTAACAACTGCAACGCCTTCGTGCTTTAAGCGTACTTGTAACAAATTGAAAAGGAAAACCAGAAACCAAAAAAAGAAGGGGAGGAGGGAAGGTGAGGTTAATACCGAGGTCAGCTAATACGAAAGAAAAACAGGGTCTCAGGCTGTCTCATAACTAAACATGCAGGCAAAACCTAACAGGAAGGCAATTTTGGTCCTTCTTGGGTAGCTAAGACAAATGTCAGCCTGCTCTGCAGTCCCACTATTTGCTGAAAAGCAGGGCTGAAGAAATATACTTACCTCATGTGGGGTTTTGAAAGATTCAAATCCATCTACCTGAAATATAACTAATTCTGCTTAAACATCAGAATTTTCCATATTTGTGCATCTCCATATACAGGGCAAGGAGATGGAAAGACAGGTTTCTTGCTTGTTTTAAATATTTTGAGTGCTAATAAACCAGCAACTGCTGGTCACCAGTAGAGGCTGGTAGAAAGTTCCACAGAAATTAGTGTATTAGCAGGATTTCAAACTGAAAAAGGGAGAGAGAAAAAACATTTTTCACAAATGCTTGGCTCCAGCTCCATGGGAAAACATTAATTTAAAGCACTCATTATAACCAACTGCTGATCATGTTACAACCAAAGGTCACTGTTCTAGTTTTTTTTTTTTTTTTTTTTTGAGATAGGGTCTCGCTCTATTACCTGGGCTGGAGTGCAGTGGCACAATCACAGCTCACTGCAGCCTTGACCTCCCAGGCTCAAGCAATCCTCCCACCGCAGCCTCCCAAGTAGCTGGGACCACAGCCATGAGCCAGCATGCCCGGCTAATTTTTGTATTTTTTTTTTGTAGAGATGGGGTCTCCCTATGTTACCCAGGCTGGTCTCTGACTCCTGGGTGCAAATGATCCTCCCACCTCAGCCTACTAAAGTGCTGGGATTACAAGTGTGAGCCACCACACCTGGCTTATGGTTCTAGTTCTAATCCTTAGAGATGTATGCTTCTTTTGAATGAGGTATACAAACTGTAAGAAAATTATGTAACCACTTATAGTGCTTTTGGTTTATAATCATACCTAAAAAGAAAGCCCTGAAGACACAATGCTAATGAAGTCCGCAGTCACAGAGAACTTACATTCAACTTTTTCTTCTGAAACAAAGTTTTCAGTGTAGTTCTAACATTACAGTATCAGTGAGGCACTTCCCACCCTAATAAGCTTTTTTAAAAGCTAGAATAATTATATAACTAAATAAGAAATGAAAGACCCTAAAAACACAAATTATTTGCATTTTCTAAATTCATTTTTTGACTATTAGAGTGAAAATTAGAAATAAATGTCCATTTAGTAGGATTAGTTAAATAAACTGTGTTTTCTCTATTCTATGGCATACTAAGCAGCCATTAAAAAGTATGAGATAGGCCTGTAAGTACAAAAACAGAAAAATCCCCAAGGTACTTTTTTTTTTTTTTTTGAGGCGGAGTCTTGCTCTGTCGCCCAGGCTGGAGTGCAGTGGTGGGATCTCAGCTCACTGCAACCTCTGCCTCCTGGGTTCATGCCATTTCCCTGCCTCAGCCTCCCGAGTAGCTGTGACTATAGGCGTCCGCCACTACTCCCGGCTAATTTTTTGTATTTTTAGTAGAGACGGGGTTTCACCGTGTTAGCCAGGATGGTCTCGATCTCTTGACCTTGTGATCCGCCCGCCTCGGCCTCCCAAAGTGCTGGGATTACAGGCGTGAGACACCGCACCCAGCCCCCAAGATACGTTTTTATGTGAAAAAAAAACAAGCTGAACAACTCATAGTGATTCTGCTTACGTAAACAATGTCTATGTATCTGTACACATGTCCTATGTCAATGCTTAGGAAAAGATCTGGAAGAATGTCTGCCGAACTCTTAATCGTATTTTTGTCTGGGGAGGTGGAGAGATGCAAAAGAGCTTCAGTGGCACTTTCACATCATACCCTATGTGTTTGCTTGAGTACTTTATGAGGCTGTGGTCATATATCACTTGCAAAATAATGTATTAATAAAGGAAGAAAGGACTGGGTGATTCTGTGAACTAAAGGGAGGAAAAATAAAAGATGAAAATTAGACTTGATACTAAATAAAGTATATTAATGTCAGAGCAAGAGTTTGATCACGAGACAGTCAACTATTCATCAAATCTCTATACAGCTTTCAGTTCAGCTGCTGTATTAACAGGAACAGGAGGAATCCTAAACATAAAGACTACAACTTCTGAAGAGGAAGTCTGATCAAAGTATACAAGTCATCATACCGAAAGGAACTGAGAGTTTAAAATATACTCTTATGTCTTCTTGTCAAACTACATGTGCTGCAAACATTTTTTTTCCTTGCTTGTTACGTTGTAAAAGTATCTGTTTGGAGATACTTAGTCTTTGAGGTGGAGACCCAACTAGCCTTGATGGTAAGTAAGTTCCAATAGCATATCTGAAGATAACCAATAACCCTGCAATTAGAAAGATGTTTTGCCAACTAGAGATTGAGGACAAGAGACCCAAAGGATGTTGGAACTGATTCAGAAACAGGAATGTAAGTACGTCTGGGATGAGTCAGCAGGTAGCTAGGAGAACTGGAAATTAAAAGAAAAGTCATCTGCCCAAGAAGTGGGTAGGTAAACAAAAGAAATCCAAAGTACATTTAAATGTCAGACACCAGTTCAACTTTGAGAAATAGTTTATATACAATAAAGTGGACTGATTTAATTGTACATTTTGATAAGTTCTGACAAATTTATACCTGTGTAATCACCACCATATTTAAGATACAGAACATTTCCATTACCCTAAAAGTTCTGTGTTCCATCCCAGTCAACCCTCTCCCATCCTGGGTTCTGGTTAGCCACTTTTCTCTTACTATAAATTAAATGCCCTTCCTAGAATTTCATATCAATGGAATCCTAAGTATGTGCTCTTCTGTGTAAGGCTTCCTTTCATGCAGCATAATGCTTTCAAGATTCATCCATATTCCACCATGTATCATTCTTTTTATAGCCAAATCATAGCCACAGTTTATTCATTCATGTGTTGATGGGCATTTGGGTTCTTTCCAGCTTTTGTTATTATGAACAAATCTGCTATGAATAAGCAAGGCACCAGAGGCTTTTGATAACTTTCATTTCCCCATTCAGCACTGTCCATGTACTCTCAGTTCACTACAACTCGACCCCTGGCACTGGCCCATGCACAACGGGAAAAGCAGTCACTTATTCAACAAATAGATATAAAGGGTCTACTGGATGTCAGGAACTGTTCAGGCACTGAGAACTCAGTCATGAACGAGACAGATATAACCCCTCTCCTGTAAAACACACAAACAAAATCATGTCGGATAAGGTATGTAATAGAAAAAAAGTTTAAAGTAAAATATTAAGAAAGCAACGAGAGGCATGTGACTAACTGCGCAGCGAGGGAAGGCCTGTCTGCGCTGAGTGAGACCTGAATGACACCAACGGGACAGCCATGTAACCTTCTGACATCCAAGCATTTCCAAGAACTGCAAGCACAAAGGCCCTAAGGAGAGACTGAGCCTCTCCTATCCAAGCAGCAGCAGAAGGCAGGCCATGTGGCAGGCATGCAGCAAACTAGGCGAAGAGGGTAAGAAACAGGCTGGAGAGCAGGCAGAGGCCAAGCCAAACAGGATCTTGTAGGCCAGGAGAAGAAGTCTGGGTTTTACTGGAGGGGATTAGGCAGGTGAGTGCAACAATCAGATCTGCATTTCAAAGAGACCACTCTGCCGGCAGTGTAGAGAAGAACTGCACAGGCAGTGAAACAGATCAGTCTGGTGGCTACTGCGTGATGCAGGTGAGACAGGGTGGTGTGAACGACAGGAGAGCAAGGGAACCACGGGGGATGGGAAGGGTTCAGAATCAATAGCTCCTGCTGAGGGACTACATGAGGCAGGCATTATAAAGAAGAATCTGAGCTGGGTGCAGTGGCTCACACCTGTAATTCCAGCACTTTGAGAGGCCAAGGCAGGCGGATCACTTGAGGCCAGGAGTTCAAGACCAGCCTGGCCAACATGGTGAAACCCCATCTCTATAATACAAAAATTAGCTGGGCGTGGTGGCGCATGCCTGTGATCCCAGCACCTAGGGAGGCTGAGGCAGGAGAATCACTTGAACCCGGGAGGTGGAGGTTGCAGTGAGCAGAGATCACGCTACTGCACTCCAGCCTGAGCAGAGTGAGTGAGTCAAAAACAAAAAACAAAACAAAACAAAAAAAAGAATAATAATCTGGGATAATTCCTAGGTTTCTGGCTTAGGCAGCTAGGTGGATAATATAGTTGACTGAGGTGGGGACAATTAGAGGAAAAACAGGTTTGGCGTTGTGGAGAGAATCAAGAGTTAGGTCCTTGTATTAAATTTGTGATGCTGATCCAATATCCAAATGCAGATGTCAAATAGGCACTTGGATACATAAGTCTGGAGTTAAGAAGAAAAGTCAGTGCCACGTGTCTGATATTAGGAAATAGTACCTGAAGCTAAGAAGTGGATTATAGAGACAGTTCTGCTTTTAAAACTAGTACAGTCATGCACCGCAGAACAACATGCAGTCAACAATAAACCACATATACAACAGGGGTCCCATAAGATTATAATGGAGTTGTTCTATACAGATGCAACATTTTTTATACTGTATTTTTACTGTACCTTTTCTATGTTTAGATCCACAAATACCACTGTGTTACAATTGCCTAAAGTTGAATCAGTGCTGTACAGGTTTGTAGCTTAGGAGCAACAGGCCATACCACACAGCCTAGGTGCGTAGTGGGCTATGCCATCTGGGTTTGTGTAAGTACACTCAATGATGACATGTTTCTCAGAACACATTCTCATCCTTAAGTGACACATGACCCTGTATATATACCTCTAGCAGCGTACCAGGATAATACCAGATAAATAGGTCAAGTGACTCCGAGATCAATTTTACTTAGACTTGGGAGGGTTGGTAGGGAAGAAAGTTTTGTAGCTGAACACACGTATAAAGAGTAAAATGTTGGCTGGGTGCTACGGCTCATGCCTGTAACGCCAGCACCTTGGGAGGCTGAGGCGGGAGGATCACTTGAGGTCAGGAGTTCATGACCAGCCTGGCCAACATGGCAAAACCCCGTCTCTACTAAAATACAAAAATTAGCTGGGCATGGTGGTGCACACCTGGAGTCTCAGGTACTCAGGAGGTGGGAGGATCACTTGAACCCAGGAGGCAGAGGCTGTAGTAGTGAGCCGAGATCGCATCACTGCACTCCGGCCTGGGCAACCAGAGTGAGACCCTTTCTCAAAACAAAACAAACAAAAAAAAACTACAGGAAAGAGAAGGATCATTTCTATCAGACTTTAGAGTTTTTTGTGGAATATGCTATGAAGACAAGACATGCCATTAAAATCAAGAGGCATTTAGCTAGACGCAGGTGCCTGTGGTCCCAGCTACTCGAGAAGCTGAGGCAGGAGGATCCCTTGAGCCCAGGAGGGCGAGGCTGCAGTGAGCTATGATCATGCCTGTGAAAGCCACCATACTCCAGCCTCGGTGACACAGTGAGAACTTGTCTATATATGTATAAAAAAAATTTTTTTTTTTAAATCAGGAGACATTTGATATGAGTGTTGGTAGTTTATCAAAGGGTCATGAAGCAATCAGGCATGTAATAAGTACTTTTTAATTATTTCAATTCCATGAATCATCAATGAGACTAAGGTAAGATATAACTACTCCCTCAATCTCAATGCTTTCAGAGAAGTCAATTATACTCTCATAAACATATCTGAGCACAGGCACCAGATCCGTTTAAAGTAAATGGCAACCAAGACAAACTTAATTTAATGTTATGTGTGTCCCGTTGAGAGGGGAAAAAGAAATACTGGCATACTATGTAAGGAAGTCTCTGGAGCTATAACTTATCAAATCACTTGTGCCGTTTATATCTTAAGAACTTCACAAAATACTGCATCAGTAACTGTAATTTCATAAACAGAGTATTAATGCTGGCTGACAACCTCCCTTATCACTTATTAATGGCAAACAGTAGGCTCTAACAGGAACAGCTTTCACTTAACACCAGGAATTGCCTTTGTAGAAAGCGAGGAGATGAGGAGAGAGAACTAAAGGTTCAACTCAAACTTACTAAGGAAAAGAAATCAGAAACAAATCAAAATCAATTTTTACTTCATCATCAATAGAGTATGAACAGAAAAGTCACTGGCTGTTGAAACAACACAGCAGAAAATGTGGAAGATAAAGGCTGGGGAGAGAGGCTGGAGTAACTGTAGCAAAAGAACCAAAGCCAGGTGAAGATGAAGAAAAAGGGCTTAGGTTAGAGTGTGAAGGAACTACCTTCTTGTTACTATAAAGATGGGTGATGACAATAATGATGGTGACATGACTCATATGCTGTTGTGTGGTAAACTATGCACACACTTCTTCACAGACCTGAAAGACCATATGCGACCTTCTCTTTTTCTTTTACTTTTTGTTAAAATAGAGATGGGGTCTCACTATGTTGCCCATGCTGGTCTCAAACTCCTTGGCTCAAGTGATCCACCTCAGCCTCTCAAAGTACTGGGATTACATGCGTGAGCCACCACGCCTGGCCATATGCGACCTTCTCAATGAAACTTTTCCTGACACATCCATCCATCCCCAGGTACTCACCACCCTTCTCTGAAACTGGCTCTGTCTCCTCTACTGGTGGAGGGTACGGGATATCCCCTGCAGCTGGCATAAAACTTGGCACATAGTTTTGTCTTCAATAAATGCTAGTTTAAAAAGTGAACGAAGGCCATAGTGTCTGTGTGAGATATTGCACCTGAAGCATAAGGTTATTTGTTCCAGTCAAAGAGGTATCACTTGCTATGGACTGAGTTGTGTCATCCTAAAATTCTTAGTTTTGTTTTGTTTTTAGAGACAGGGTCTTGCTGCTCTGTCATCCAGGCTGGAGTACAGTGGCACAAACATAGCTCATTGCAGCCCTGAACTCTTGGGCTCAAGCAATTCTCCTACCTCAGCCCCAAGTAGCTAGGACTACAGACACATCAGCACACCCAGCTAACTCATTCATTCTTTCTTTCTTTCTCTTTCTCTCTCTTCTCTCTTTCTCTCTTTCTTTTTGAGACAAGGCCTCTCTCTGTCACTCAGGCTAGAGTGCAGTGGCACAATCATGGCTCACTGCAGCCTCAATTACCCAGGCTCTAGTGATCCTCCCACTTCAGCCTCCCAAGTAGCTTGGACTACAGGTACATACCACCCTGTCTGGTTAATTTTCTTTTTTTCTTTGTAGAGATAAGATCTTAATACTCAGGCTGCCAGCTTTTGTAGAGACAGGGGGTCTTGCTATGATGCCCAGGCTGGTTTCAAACTCCTGGGCTCAAGCGATCCTCCCACTTTGGCCTCTCAAAGCTCTGAGATTGCAGGTGTGGGCTGCCATACCTGGCCCTAAATTCCTATACTGGAGCCCTAATCCCTAAAGTGACTGCATTTGGAGATAGTGCCCTAAGGATGTAATATGGTTAAATGAGGTCAGAAGGGTGGGGCCCTAATCTGATAGGGCTGGCATCCTTATTAAAGGAAGACACAAGGGCTTACATATGCTCTCTGTGCACAGAGGAAAGGCCACATGAAGACACACCTAGAATGTGCCCGTCTGCAGCCAAGAAGAAAGGCCTCACCAGAAACCAACCCCTACTGGCACCTTAATCTTGGACTTCCAGTCTCCAGAACTGTGAGAAAATGTTTGCTTTTTAAGCCACTCATTCTATGGTATTTTGTTATGGTAGCCCATGCAGACTAACACAACACTCAAACTAGAAAATGAGCCTTGCTGGGTTCTCTTGGCCTTGTTGGCAGCTGTCATGATGTACAAAAGGGAGCTCCTTAGTAACAGATTATGAGATGGTGCCACATGCAGGGCATCAAGGCAAGGTCAGGACTAGTCCTATGAAGCTGGAATTAGATTTCTCCTAAGTGGGTAGATTAGGATGGGGCCTGCAAAATATGAGAACAAGCTAGATATGGCAGCTCCAAGAGTGAAACACTGTTAAGCCAGACTGTTGTAATACTTGTTGCATTCTCTATGCTGGTTTCTCTATTGTTCTTAGTACTCAAAACACTTCCTTGAACTCTCCAGCCTATCTCAGTTATGCTAAGAAAGAATCAAGAGAAGATGTTTTTGTCCTTGTTCATTAAAGGGGGAACAGAGCATCCCTGGCCAACGTGGTATAGTGGTAACAATCATATAAGTAAAAGAATTCCAAGCAGAGGGTGAAACTCAGTGTCCCAGCCATTTCATTCATTCAACAAATATTTACCAAGCACTTACTATGTGGTTGACCCTAATCTAACCACTGGGGATAGAACAGTGAACAAAATCAGTACAAATCATGGCCCTCATGGAGCTTTCATTCTACCTGGAAACAGGGAGACAGTAAACAATCAGCATAGTATACAGGAAAAGGATATAGTGTGTTAGCAGTTGACAAGTGCTATGGAGAAAGGGAAGCAGGAATAATGTGGGGGGAGGGGAGCACAGGACAGGCCTCACTGGGATGGATGACACATGAGCAAACACTTTGAGGAGGAGTGAAAATGAACCATGACTCTATGTGGCAGAGGCAGTGCAGAGACCAAGGCAGATCATAATTGACATTTTCAGGAAAGAGCAAAGAAGCCTGCGTGGCTGCAAGGGAGTGACCTGGGAGGAAGTAGTAGGTGGTCAGACTGGGGGAGGGTGCTGTCCGCAGGGAGTCATTTCATGTAGACTCACAGACCACTGAATGGCATTTGAATGAAATGAGAACAGGTACTTCATGTCTTCCCAACTGCTAAACCTGGGAGGTAATATTCCCTTAAGGAGTAGGCTTCTCAAAGGGTAAAATCTTTAGTACTTTGTTTTGTGCTGCAGAATTCCTGCCCGGGGCAAGAATGCTCACATGAAGCCCAGAGGCAATGGCTTGAACACCAACTGTAGATATCCTGGAAAGGTAGTTTGGTAGAAGAAACACAAAAACCTATTTAGCAGCAAACTCACCACACAACCTTCGGAAAGGTATAAAGAACCAGTTTTGCATGTGGAGAAACTAAGGTACAAAGACAAGATTTATCTTTTTTTTTTTTCTCTGAGACAGGGTCTCGCTTTGTCATCCAGGTTGCATGCAGTGCAGTGGTGTGATCCTGGCTTACTGCAGCCTCAACCTCTTGGGCTCAAGCGATCCTCCCACCTCAGCCTACCTCTTCACCTCCACCCAGTAGCTGGGATTACAGGCATGCACCACCACGCCTGGCTAATTTTTTTATATTTTTTTTTATTTTTTGAGATGGAGTCTCATTCTGTCACCCAGGCTGGAGTGCAGTGGCACGATCTCAGCTCACTGCAACCTCCCCGGGTTCAAGTGATTCTCATGTCTCAGCCTTCCAGGTAGCTGGGATTACAGGTACGTGTCACCACGCCCGGCTAATTTTTGTATTTTTAGTAGAAATGGGGTTTCACCATGTTGGCCAGGTTGGTCTTGAACTCCTGGCCTCAAGTGATCTGCCCACCTCAGCCTCCCAAAGTGCTGCGATTACAGGCGTGAGCCACTGCACTCGGCCATTTTTGTATTTTTTATTTTTCATTTTTTGTAGGTTCTCCCTCTGTCGCCCAGGTTGGTCTTGAACTCCTGGGCTCATGTGCTCCTTCCGCCTCAGCCTCCCAAAGTGCTGGGATTACAGGTGTGAGCCACAGCGGTGGGCCTCAGCTACATTTTTAAAGGCAGGCTGAAAGTGAAATGAGAAGAAAACCAAATGACTACTTCAAATGACTTGCATCTTCTAGAAAATGCTGCCTCTTTACATGACACTGTGGAAAAGCTAGCCAGAATAAGAGGAAAGGAGGAATGACGCTTTGAGAAAACCCAAACATTAGACATTCTCACCCAGGCCACTCCTTTCTACCCTGCCTGTATGGGTTTCATCTCAAATAAAAAGGCTTTTATCTAAATGTAAGCTTGTAAACCCAATTCAGGTTCCAGCCAAGGATGCTTATAGGCATACTCCTCCCAGAAAGTATACTGTAGCTGTGTATCTCAGGATAAAGTGGAATATCTATCCATAAAGCCTATTCTCATTACCAATGCTGAGATTCAACACCATCTCTAATTTCTGATTATTGTGTTATTTGTGATCCACATTAAAGATTCTATTTCTGTACATAGTGCAGGGAAGGGCATGGAAAGTTTATACATATTTAAAATCATTTCTGAAAAGATGAGTAAGCAATAGTATTAAAGAAAATTTTGGAGAGAAAAACCACCAAAAATTCCACTGTCTTAAAATGATTTCATTTTCACATTATCTTCCAGTCTTTGTCCATATTCATTCATATTTTAGGGAGGCAGTGTGCCTACGATTTTGACCTACCATAAACATTTCTCCTCATTTCTATAGTTATCATAATTACCAGTTTGTTTGTTTGTTTTGAAACAGAGTTTCACTCTTGTTGCCCAGGATGGAGTGCAATGGCGCAGTCTCAGCTCACTGCAACCTCTGCCTCCCCGGTTCAAGCGATTTTCCCTCCTCAGCCTCTGGAGTAGCTGGGATTATGGGCATGCACCACCTCGCCTGGCTAATTTTGTATTTTTAGTAGAGATGGGGTTTCTCCATGTTGGTAAGGCTGATCTCAAACTCCCTACCTCAGGTGATCTGCCCGCCTCGGCCTCCCAAAGTGTTGGGATTACAGGAGTGAGCCACCGTGCCCAGCCCATAATTACTAGTTTTAACTGCTGCTTAATACTCCATTGTACTAATGAAACAATTTTCTGAACTTTTGGGAAAAATTATAACAGATTTACATAGTAACATAATTGCCACCTACAAATATATCATCCTTGTTCCCCCAAGAAACTCCAAATGTGTGTAATACAGAAGAGAAGCAAAAAGACTAAAATATTTGCTTACTTATTCAACAATTACTTACTGAATGCCTACTAAATGTCTGGCACTGATCCAGGCCCTGCCAATAGAGTAGTGAGGAAAAGACAAAAACCTCTGATTTCACAGAGCTTAGTTCACAATATAAAATCAAATAATAAACAGAGGCAGAAAGATTCTTAGACTTACTTTCTCAGGCTATAAAATGAATGATAAAGACAGAGCAAAACAAAATCCACTGTTTCTGACTCCTGTATACCCCTGTATATCACAAAGACATGGCTGTTTCTAATCCATATACTCTACTCAACTCCTCTGAGAGCAAGCACTAAATCCAGGGCCCAGTTTCTTCTAGATCAGAGGTTGGCAAACTTTTTCTATAAAGGGCCAGATAGTAGTAAGTATTTGGGGTTTTACAGTTCATAGAGTCTCTGCTGCAACTGCTTGACTCTGCCCATTGTGGGGTTCATGAAAGCAGCCATACACAACAATACATCAACAAATGGGTGTGGTTGTATTCCAGTAAAACTTTATTTACAAACACAGACTGAGAACAGGATTTGGGCTACAAACCATGGTTTGTCAACCCTGTTCTATAGGGTTCAAAATGACTACTATTAACCAGAAATAGAAGGAAGACACACGTGCTGTCCTCAACTGGAAAATTCCATTAAGTTTACCTCTGCCGTGACTGACATTTGCAATTTCCTTTCCGCCCAATGCCACAGCCCTAAATCAGACTTTTATTACCTTTCACTTACACACGGTCCCTGATTTTCCATGTGTTATTCCCTCTATCTGAATTCCCTTCCTCCCATTCACCATCTATTAAAATCTTCTCTTTGTAAATTCCAACTAAAGTGACTGCAAATCAGATAAAATTAAGGACTTACTATTATTTTAGGAGAGATAATGGTATTGTGGTTATGTATTTTTTAAAGTGTCCCTATCTTTTGAAGATACATATTGAAATTATTACAAAAGAAATGTGATGATGACTGGGATTTGCTTCAAGATAATCTGGGGGTGGGAGTGGGGGGAGGGGATGGGGGCACAGATAAAACAGCACTGCCCCTGAGCTGATAATAAAGCAGGGTGGTGAGTACACAGGGATTCATCACACACCTTTCTCTATTTTTGTATATTTAAAAAATTTTCCAGCTGGGCACACTGGCTCATGCCTGTAATCCCAGCACTTTGGGAGGCTGAAGCGGATGGATCACTTGAAGTCAAGAGTTTGAGACCAGCCTGGCCAACATGGTGAAACCCCGTCTCCACTAAAAAAAATACAAAAATCAGCTGGGCGTGGTGGTGCACACCTGTAATCCCAGCTACTGGGGAGGCTGAGGTAAGAGAAACACTTGAACTCAGGAGGTGGAGGCTGCAGTGAGATGAGATTGTGCCACTGCACTCCAGCCCCAGATTCCGCCTCAAAAAAAAAAAAAAAAAAAAAAAAAAATTCCAAACAAAAAACTGAAAAGAAAAATTCCAGGTCAAATGCCAGATTCCAAAGGGACTAATGCCCTTTTCTCCTAAATTACCCCACATGTAACTCTAGTTGTTACTTATTTCAATCTGCTCTGTCTTGCAGTGAGCTGTAGATACCAAGATGGGGAGCTCTCTAAGGACAGGCCTGAGCCACCCACATCCTTGCAGCTTTCTCCATGTACTTTACATATAATTGACACCCCACTGTTGAACTTATCTGAAAAAAGACCAAACCAAACAGAATACAGGGAAAACCAACAAGAGGAATACCTTTCACTCACTTCCCCTAATCAAAATTAAATCTTAAGGACGTTTATCATTTCAACTGTGCCATTTATATAAAACTCACAGGTTGGCCAGGCTTGGTGGCTCATGCCTGTAATCCCAGCACTTTCAGAGGCCAAGGCAGATGGATCACTTCAGGTCAGGAGTTCCAGAGCAGCCTGGCCAACATGGTAAAACCCATTCTCTACTAAAAATACAAAAATTAGCTGGGCGTGGTGGCACGTGCCTTTAATCCCAGCTACTCGGGAAGCTGAGGCAGGAGAATGGCTTGAACCTGGGAGGTGGAGGTTGCAGTGAGCTGAGATCGTGCCACTGTACTCCAGCCTGGGACACAGAGTAAGATCTGTCTCCAAAATAAATAAAATGAAATAAATAAAAATAAATAAAACTCACAGGTCATCTCACTCCGAGGTTCAGTAATCCAACCTACAAAGAGAAAATAACAACCATTTCCCTCAATTTTCCTACAGCCAGTGGGGCATGGGGAGAGCAGTATTTTTATTCCTAAAAAGATGACATTATTATTTTACACTGATTTCAAGGCCACCAGTATTTTTAATAATAATAGTAAACTTGGCTGGGCACAGTGATTCAGGCCTGTAATCTCAGCATTTTAGGAGGCCAAGGTAGACAGATCACTTGAGGTCAGGAATCCCAGACCAGCCTGGCCAACATGGTGAAACCCCTTCTGTACTAAAAACAGAAAAATTAGCCTGGCGTGGTGGTATGCACCTGTAGTCCCAGCTGCTTGGGAGGCTGAGACAGGAGACTCGCTTGAACCTGGGAGGCGGAGGTTGCAGTGAGCCGAGATCGCACCACTGCCCTCCAGCCTGGGTGAGAGAGTGAGACCCGTCTCAAAATAAAAAATAAAATAATAATAATAATAATAATAATAGTAAATCCGATGGATGCAGAGTGGTTATCAGGGTCAGAATCACGTGTCTGTCCTGTTCATTCTGCATCCCTTTTCTAGCTGTACTGTGGATCTCCTCTGTAACATAAAAGGGGCAAATAAATCCTTCTTCAGCCATTCAATTGAACTAATTATTACACGTGGCCTAGGTTGGTTTGACTTGGAGAAGAGATCAAGGATGTTCCCATCAGGTAGCTCTGGTTTCAAATTTTAAATGCCTTCAATGCCTCAGAAAGACTAGCAAACTCACATTGTTATATTTAGCAAAAGATTCCTTCAGCCCACACCATATAAAATGAAAATAAAAACTCTCCTTCTAAAAAACTGGCAGCTTTTTAAAGATCAGAACTTAATGCATCAAGTATAAATACACTGGACCCTGGTCTGGAATGAAAATATTTCAGTCACTGTCTGGGCCCACCACTAACAGCAAGTGATGCTAAGCGAGACAGAGCTCTCCCCCCAGTAACCGTCTCCCTTTATAGCTTTGTCTATCAACTCCAGTCCTATCCTTGGACTCACTCCCTGCTCCTATGTATTCAACTGCCTGGTAGGTAATTTTAGTGCATATAAAAAAATACTCATTTCCCCGCTAAAACCAACCAACACACCTCCCCACCACCATTTTCCCAACTTCCCACCCACTTCGATGACACATCAGGTTGAAGACCCCAGGAATACCTAGCACTCCTCCTCTTTCTCTTTCCTGACTACCCTTTCTTTGAAGCCTGTCCCTCTCTATTCCTACCCCGTCATGATCAAATAACCAAATCAGAAAACAGAGTATGTGCAGCATCTAAAAAGAACAAATTAGAATGAAACCTCTTGATTTATAGGGATTTCTCCAAGGTGTTCAGAAAAACAGGATGCAAAAATTAGTTTCAATGTGATTCTATTTTTTAAAAACAAGATTCCCAACCCACTGTATGTATGTGTATATACATTTCTGTATCACACAAGAATGAACAAAAGCATGAACGGACGCATACATGAGTTAGCTTGCAGCAGGGTTCTGTAAAAAGAGAAAGTGAAAAGAAAAGGAAATGGGGCAAGCATACCTATATACCAGTAGATGTAAGTGTTTAAAACTTTTAAAAAAAATGAATTAAAAATACTGAACGAATGCAACTGTACAAATGAATCTTCCATTCTTCCAGAAAATAGTATATTTTTAAATTCTGTGCCAGTCTTAAAACATATCTATAAATTCTTTAACAGTCCTCTCATGAAAAAGTGGAAACAAATTACCCTCCCCCTGAATATGGCTGGCTTTAGTGACTTCCTTCTAACCAGCAGAATGCAGTAGAAATGAGGCCATGTGACTCTCCACGCTGGAGGAGGACAGGCACTGAGGCTTCCGCCAGCTCGCTCTTGCTTGTGTGATGCCTGCCCTTGGAACCCAGCCACCGTACCGTGAGGAAGCCAAGCAGCCACGTGGAAAGGCCATAACAGGTGTTCCAGCCACAGTTCTCATGGAGGTCCCAGCTAATAGCTGGCATCAGCTGCCAGACATCACACGGTGAGGGAGACTGCACAAGATTCTAGCCTCCGCCCCTGGATGCTCCAACTTTGAACCAGCCCACCTCACTTGAGTGCCGCAGAGAGAATTGAGTATTATTGCTGAACTCTGCCCAAAGTGCAGTTTGTATGCAAAATAGTTCTTCCCTTATTTTAAGTGATAACTTTTGGAGAGACTTTTTTACACAACAGTAGATAATGGAACAAATACTACTTATGATTTTGCAGAGTAAATCGGCTTCTCGCTTTCCACCTCTATTGTCTTATGAGTCACTGTTATGAAGTTTACACGTCTGTTTTCCTGCTTCCACCTACTAGTGCTCAAGGACGCAGGGTGCTGAGGCAGGGGTGTGAGGGCACGTGCAGATGTGGTAGACAGAAGGCAAGGTCAGGGTAGGTGAAAGACCAGTTACAAGGAGCAAATAAGTAAATATACTGAGAATAGTGAAAGCCAGGTTTCTTCCAAGTACCTCTTGGAAGAGGTACTTACAAACATGCAAAGGGCTTAGGCTGGAGAGAACCCTAAAATGTTACATTGGAATTTAAGAGATCAGTCTGAATACATGGTTTTTAAGATATATAAAGAAAAAGGCAGGCGTGGTGGCCCACGCCTGTAATCCCAGCACTTTGGGAGGCCGAGGCGGGCAGATCACCTGAGGTCAGGAGTTCGAGACCAGCCTGACCAACATGGCGAGACCACGTCTCTACTAAAAATACAAAATTAGCTGGGTGTGCTGGCGGATGTCTGTAATCCCAGCTACTCAGGGGGCTGAGGGAGGAGAACTGCTTGAACCCAGGAGGCGGAGGTTGCAGTGAGCCGAGGTTGCAGCAAGCCAAGGTTGTGGTGAACCGAGATTGCGCCATTGCACTCCAGCCTGGGCAACAAGAGCAAAATTCCATCTCAAAAAACAAAAACAGATATAGGCCAGGCATGGTGGCTCATGCCTATAATCCCAGCATTTTGGGAGGCCAAGGTGGGTAGACCACTTGAGCTCAGGAGTTCAAGACCAGCCTGAATAACATGGCAAAATCCCAACTCTACAAAAAATACAAAAATTAGCTGGGTATGGTGGCACATGTCTGTGGTCCCAGCTACTCGGGAGGCTGAGGTGGGAGGATGACTTGAGCCCAGGAGGCGGAGGTTGCAGTGAGCTGATATCGAGCGACTGTACTCCAGCCTAGGAGACAGAGCCAGACCCTGCCCTCAAAACCCCCCCAAAAAAGAAAATGATATAGAAAGTGATAGGCTGGGCACGGTGGCTTATGCCTGTACTCCCAGCACTTTGGGAGGCCGAGGAGGGTGGATCACGAGGTCAGGAGATTGAGAACATCCTGGCTAACACAGTGAAACCCCATCTCTACTAAAAATACAAAAAAATTAGCCGAGTGTGGTGGTGGGCGCCTGTAGTCCCAGCTACTCGGGAGGCTGAGGCAGGAGAATGGAGTGAACCTGGGAGGCGGAGCTTGTAGTGACCAGAGATTGTGCCAATGCACTGCAGCCTGGGCGACAGAGCGACACTCTGTCTCAAAAATAAATAAATAAATAAATCAATAACTATTAGCCCGGTGTGGTGTCATGCACCTGTAGTACCAGCTACTTTGGAGGCTGAGGCAGGAGAACTGCTTGAGCCCTGGAGGCGGAGGTTGCAGTGAGCTGAGATTGTGCCACTGCATTCCAGCTTGGGCTACAGAGTGAGACTCCATTGAAAAGGGAAGGGAAAAGGGAAAAAAGAAAAGGAAAAGAAAAGAAAAACAATGGCATTACAGTAAGAAAAACAGAGATACCTGGAAGACACCAACATGAGCAGGTGATGAGGGCCAACAACAGCAGTAACAGGGCTGGTTAACAGAATGTGCCCCTTGATGTGATGTGCTGAGACTATTACAGCATCATTTTTGTGATACTTTTGCCAAGAAATCATGACCTGAATTTGGTCATAAGGAAATACTATAAGATCCGCCTTGCCAATCACCCTACAGGATATCTAACGGTTGTGGACAAGAACAACCGGGATGACAAAGGATGATCCCAGACTGGAGGGTGTGAAGAGACGCTGACAGCTAGGTGCAATGCACACTCCTCCCTGGGATTCTGGGACAAAACAGAAATGAGATATAGTTGGGGCAGCAAACTGTGAATGGGGTCAATAGATTGGACAATAGGGTTTTATCACTGCAAATTGTCTGACTTAAAGGAGTATGTAGTGGTTATTTGGGAGTGCCCTTAACTGGCGGAAAATAAACACTGAAATATTTAAGGGTGCTAGGATAGCATGTGCATAACATGGTCTCAAATGACCCAGAAAAAACTGATTTAGAGAGAGAAATAGTACAATAGAGTAAATGCAGTAAAACGTGAACAGTTTGGAAATCTGCATGAGGTGAGAGGAATGTGCAAGTTCCTCCCCATCACAGACTAGAAGAAAACTCTATCAGATACACACACAAACATACAACACACATTCATGCAGAGACACACACACACACATCTGATAAAGAACTTAACCCGTCATATATAAAGAACTTCTACAAATAAATTATAAAAAGACAAACATATTGATTATTCTTACTCTTATTATTTTTATTATTTTTGAGACGGAATCTCACTCTGTAGCCCAAGCTGGAGTGTGGTGGCATGATCTGGGCTCACTGAAACTTCCATCTCCCGAGCTCAAGTGATTCTTGCGCCTCAGCCTCCTGAGTAGCTGGGACTACAGGCGCCCACCACCATGCCCAGCTAATTTTTTGTATCTTAGTAGAGACGAGGTTTCACCATGTTGCCAGGGTGGTCTCAAACTCCTGAGCTCAGGCGATCCACCCACCTTGGCCCCCAAAGTGCCGGGATTACAGGTGTAAACCACCATGCCCAACCTACCTATTTTTAAAATAAGAAAAAGACTTGAACAGATACTTCGCAAAAGAAGGTATCCAAATGTCCAATTAGCAGGTATTCAATGTCATTAGGGAAATGCAAATTAAAGCCTCAGAGTTTCCATTTCATGCCCACTAACATGGCTAAAATCTAAAAGACAGGCACTAAATGTCGGTGGAGATACAGGGCAACAGGAACTATATTGCTCGTATTAGTTATCCACTGTAGCATAATAATACTAGCAAAGCTTAGCAGCAGCTTAAACTAATGCATGTTTATTATCTCACAGATTCTATAGGTCAAAAGCCCAGGCACAGTTTAGCTGGGTCCTCTATAAGGTGCCACCAAGGTACTGGCTGAGACTATGGTCTCATCTGAGAACTGAGTGGGATAGGATCTGTTTCCAAACACACATGGTTGTTGGCAACACTCAATTCCTTGTGGGCTGCTGGACTGAGGGCCACAGTCTCTTGCTGGCTGTGGGTTTGAAGCTGCCCTGAGCTCCCTGCCACAGGGCCGTCTCCATAGGCAGCTCACAACACAGCACCAAAGCCAGCAAGGGAGAGAGTCTCCTCACAAGATGAGCATTACGATCTGACTGGGAATAATCAGGTATGCATGACCATACACATCCTGTCACCTCTGCCATATTCTATCAGTGAGGAGTCAATCACAGGTCCCACCTGCACCCAAGGGCACAGGACTACTAGGCCATAAATACCAGGGGGTATTTATCATGGGGGCCACTTCAGAATCTGTCTGCCTCAGTTAGTGGGAATGCAAACTGATACAATCACTTTGAAAAAATTGGCAGTTTCTTACAAAGTTTAAACATACACCTACTCTAAGACACACCATTCCACTCCAACATATGTACCCCCAAAGAAATGAAAATGGGGCTGGGCGTGGTGGCTCATGCCTGTAATCCCAGCACTTTGGGAGTGTGAGGCAATAGGATTCCACAAAGCCAGGAGTTCAAAACTGGCATGGGCAACAAAGCGAGACTGTCTCTACATTAAAAAAAAAAAAAAGAGAGAGAGAGGGAGAAATGAAAATGTATGTCTGTAAAAACACCTGTGTAAGAATGTTCACAGCGGCTGGGCGCGGTGCTCAGGCCTGTAATCCCAGCACTTTGGGAGGCCGAGGTGGGCAGATCATCTGAGGTCAGGAGTTTGAGACCAGCCTGACCAACATGGAGAAACCCCGTCTCCACAAAATAAAAAAAATTAGCCAGGCATGGTGGCGCATGCCTGTAATCCCAGCTACAAGGGAGGTTGAGGCAGGAGAATCGCTTGAACCCGGGAGGCAGAGGTTGCAGTGAGCCAAGATCACGCCATTGCACTCCAGCCTGGGCAACAAGAGTGAAACTCCCGTCTCAAAAAAAAAAAAAAAAATTCATAGCAACTTTATTCATAAAAGCTAAAAGCTGTAAAGAACCTATATGTCCATCAACAGGAGAATGGATATGCAAATTATATCATGTTTCAATGAAATACTTGGAAATAAAAAAGAATGAACTACTAGCTGGGCGCAGTGGCTCACACCTCTAATTCCAGCACTTCGGGAGGCTGAGGCAGGTGGATCACTTGAGCTTGGGAAGTTAAGGCTGCAGTGAGCCATCACTGTACTCCAGCCTTGGTGACACAGCGAAACACCCTACATCAAAAAAAAAAAAAAAAAAAAAAAAGAAAGAAAAAGATAAAAAGAAAACCAGGCATGGTGGCTCACTTGAGGGCAGGAGTTCAAGACCAGCCTGGGCAATTGGCAAAACCCCGTCTCTACTAAAATAAAAAAATTAGCTGAGCATGGTAGTGCATGCCTGTAATCCCAGTTGCTTAGAAGGCTGAGGCAGAAGAATTCCTTCAACCTGGGAGGTGGAGGTTGCAGTGAACTCAGATCACGCCATTGCATTTCAGCCTGGGCAACAGAGTGAGACTCTATCTCAAAAATTTAAAAAAAAAAAAGAAGAAATTACAAACTTATTGGGAAAATGTGGGTGCTGATGAAAAAGCCAAACAGTTTTCGACAGCTGGAATTCACCAGATAATACCTAAAGATTGTTTTCTAAATAAGTCTGTAAAACTACGTGACTCTCTAAAATATATGTATAACTTTGATTAAAAATAAAAGCAATAATGAGGCCGGGCGTGGTGGCTCACGCCTGTAATCCCAGCACTTTGGGAGGCCAAGGCGGGTGGATCACTTGAGGTCAGGAGTTCGAGACCATCCTGGCCAACATGGTGAAACTCCGTCTCTACTAAAAATACAAAAATTAGCCAGGCATGGTAGCATGTGCCTGTAACCCCTGCTGTTCAGGAGGCTGAGGCAGGAGAATCACTTGAATCCAGGAGATTGAGTTCGTAGTGAGTGGAGATCACATCACTGCACTCCAGACTGGGCAACAGAGTAAGTCTCCGTCTCAAAACAACAACAATTCTCTTTGAAGCAATTGTGAATGGGAGTTCACTCATGATTTGGCTCTCTGTTTGTCTGTTATTGGTGTGTAAGAATGCTTGTGATTTTTGTACATTGATTTTGTATCCTGAGACTTTGCTGAAGTTGCTTATCAGCTTAAGGAGATTTTGGGCTGAGACAATGGGGTTTTCTAGATATACAATCATGTCATCTGCAAACAGGGACAATTTGACTTCCTCTTTTCCTAACTGAATACCCTTTATTTCCTTCTCCTGCCTAATTGCCCTGGCCAGAACTTCCAACACTATGTTGAATAGGAGTGGTGAGAGAGGGCATCCCTGTCTTATGCCAGTTTTCAAAGGGAATGCTTCCAGTTTTTGCCCATTCAGTATGATATTGGCTGTGGGTTTGTCATAGATAGCTCTTATTATTTTGAGATACGTCCCATCAATACCTAATTTATTGAGAGTTTTTAGCATGAAGGGTTGTTGAATTTTGTCAAAGGCCTTTTCTGCATCTATTGAGATAATCATGTGGTTTTTGTCTTTGGTTCTGTTTATATGCTGGATTACATTTATTGATTTGTGTATATTGAACCAGCCTTGCATCCCAGGGATGAAGCCCACTTGATCATGGTGGATAAGCTTTTGGATGTGCTGCTGGATTCGGTTTGCCAGTATTTTATTGAGGATTTTTGCATCGATGTTCATCAAGGATATTGGTCTAAAATTCTCTTTTTTGGTTGTGTCTCTGCCCGGCTTTGGTATCAGGATGATGCTGGCCTCATAAAATGAGTTAGGGAGGATTCCCTCCTTTTCTGTTGATTGGAATAGTTTCAGAAGGAATGGTACCAGTTCCTCCTTGTACCTCTGGTAGAATTCAGCTGTGAATCCATCTGGTACTGGACTCTTTTTGGTTGGTAAGCTATTGATTATTGCCACAATTTCAGAGCCTGTTATTGGTCTATTCAGAGATTCAACTTCTTCCTGGTTTAGTCTTGGGAGGGTGTATGTGTCGAGGAATTTATCCATTTCTTCTAGATTTTCTAGTTTATTTGCGTAGAGGTGTTTGTAGTATTCTCTGATGGTAGTTTGTATTTCTGTGGGATCGGTGGTGATATCCCCTTTATCATTTTTTATTGCGTCTATTTGATTCTTCTCTCTTTTTTTCTTTATTAGTCTTGCTAGCGGTCTATCAATTTTGTTGATCCTTTCAAAAAACCAGCTCCTGGATTCATTAATTTTTGAAGGGTTTTTTGTGTCTCTATTTCCTTCAGTTCTGCTCTGATTTTAGTTATTTCTTGCCTTCTGCTAGCTTTTGAATGTGTTTGCTCTTGCTTTTCTAGTTCTTTTAATTGTGATGTTAGGGTGTCAATTTTGGATCTTCCCTGCTTTCTCTTGTGGGCATTTAGTGCTATAAATTTCCCTCTACACACTGCTTTGAATGCGTCCCAGAGATTCTGGTATGTTGTGTCTTTGTTCTCGTTGGTTTCAAAGAACATCTTTATTTCTGCCTTCATTTTGTTATGTACCCAGTAGTCATTCAGGAGCAGGTTGTTCAGTTTCCATGTAGTTGAGTGGTTTTGAGTGAGATTCTTAATCCTGAGTTCTAGTTTGATTGCAATGTGGTCTGAGAGACAGTTTGTTATAATGTCTGATCTTTTACATTTGCTGAGGAGAGCTTTACTTCCAACTATGTGGTCAATTTTGGAATAGGTGTGGTGTGGTGCTGAAAAAAATGTATATTCTGTTGATTTGGGGTGGAGAGTTCTGTAGATGTCTATTAGGTCCGCTTGGTGCAGAGGTGAGTTCAATTCCTGGGTATCCTTGTTAACTTTCTATCTTGTTGATCTGTCTAATGTTGACAGTGGGGTGTTAAAGTCTCCCATTATTATTGTGTGGGAGTCTAAGTCTCTTTGTAGGTCACTCAGGACTTGCTTTATGAATCTGGGTGCTCCTGTATTGGGTGCATATATATTTAGGATAGTTAGCTCTTCTTGTTGAATTGATCCCTTTACCATTATGTAATGGCCTTCTTTGTCTCTTTTGATCTTTGTTGGTTTAAAGTCTGTTTTATCAGAGACTAGGATTGCAACCCCTGCCTTTTTTTGTTTTCCATTTGCTTGGTAGATCTTCCTCCATCCTTTTATTTTGAGCCTATGTGTGTCTCTGCACGTGAGATGGGTTTCCTGAATACAGCACACTGATGGGTCTTGACTCTTTATACCTAGGAATCCAACTTACACGGGACGTGAAGGACCTCTTCAAGGAGAACTACAAACCACTGCTCAATGAAATAAAAGAGGATACAAACAAATAGAAGAACATTCCATGCTCATGGGTAGGAAGAATCAATATCGTGAAAATGGCCATACTGCCCAAGGTAATTTATAGATTCAATGCCATCCCCATCAAGCTACCAATGACTTTCTTCACAGAATTGGAAAAAACTACTTTAAAGTTCATATGGAACCAAAAAAGGGCCCGCATCACCAAGTCAATCCTAAGCCAAAAGAACAAAGCTGGAGGCATCACGCTACCTGACTTCAAACTATACTATAAGGCTACAGTAACCGAAACAGCATGGTACCAAACAGAGATATAGATCAATGGAACAGAACAGAGCCCTCAGAAATAACGCCGCATATCTACAACTATCTGATCTTTGACAAACCTGAGAAAAACAAGCAATGGGGAAAGGATTCTCTATTTAATAAATGGTGCTGGGAAAACTGGCTAGCCATATGTAGAAAGCTGAAACTGGATCCCTTCCTTACACCTTATACAAAAATTAATTCAAGATGGATTAAAGACTTAAACGTTAGACCTAAAACCATAAAAACCTTAGAAGAAAACCTAGGCATTACCATTCAGGACATAGGCATGGGCAAGGACTTCATGTCTAAAACACCAAAAGCAATGGCAACAAAAGCCAAAATTGACAAATGGGATCTAATTAAACTCAAGAGCTTCTGCACAGCAAAAGAAACTACCATCAGAGTGAACAGGCAACCTACAAAATGGGAGAGAATTTTCGCAACCTACTCATCTGACAAAGGGCTAATATCCAGAATCTACAGTGAACTCAAACAAATTTACAAGAAAAAAACCAACAACCCCATCAAAAAGTGGGCGAAGGACATGAACAGACACTTCTCAAAAGAAGACATTTATGCAGCCAAAAAAGACATGAAAAAATGCTCACCATCACTGGCCATCAGAGAAATGCAAATCAAAACCACAATGAGATACCATCTCACACCAGTTAGAATGGCAATCATTAAAAAGTCAAGAAACAACAGGTGCTGGAGAGGATGTGGAGAAATAGGAACACTTTTACACTGTTGGTGGGACTGTAAACTAGTTCAACCACTGTGGAAGTCAATGTGGCGATTCCTCAGGGATCTAGAACTAGAAATACCATTTGACCCAGCCATCCCATTACTGGGTATACACCCAAAGGACTATAAATCATGCTGCTATAACAACATATGCACACGTATGTTTATTGCAGCACTATTCACAATAGCAAAGAGTTGGAACCAACCCAAATGTCCAACAATGATAGACTGGATTAAGAAAATGTGGCACATATACACCATGGAATACTATGCAGCCATAAAAAATGATGAGTTCATGTCCTTTGTAGGGACATGGATGAAATTGGAAATCATCATTCTCAGTAAACTATCGCAACAACAAAAAACCAAACACTGCATATTCTCGCTCATAGGTGGGAACTGAACAATGAGAACACATGGACACAGGAAGGGGAACATCACACTCTGGGGACTGTTGTGGGGTGGGAGGAGGGGGGAGGGATAGCTTTAGGAGATATACCTAATGCTAAATGATGAGTTAATGGGTGCAGCACACCAGCATGGCACATGTATACATATGTAACTAACCTGCACATTGTGCACATGTACCCTAAAATTTAAAGTATAATAATAATAAAAGAAAAAAAAAAGAAAAAAAACAACAACAACAACAATGAGAAAAAAAACTACTGGGGAATTTGGACTACCAAAAAATAAAACCAGGCTGGGCGTGGTGGCTCATGCCTGTAATCCTAGCACTTTGGGAGGCCGAGGTGGGTGGACTGCTTGAGCTCAGAAGTTCAAGACCAGACTGGACAACTTGGTGAAACCTCGTCTCCACTAAAAATACAAAAATTAGCTTGGTGTGGTGGCACACACCTGTAATCCTAGAGACTCGGGAGGTTGAGGCCTGAGAATCACTTTAACTTGGGAGGCGGAGGTTGCAGTGATCTGAGATCCACTACTGCACTCCAGCCTGGGCTGGAGTGAGAGTCTGTCTCAAAAAAATAAATAAGTAAAACAAACCAGGGAGGAAAGTAATCAAATGCTGAAACTTCAAATGAAACAAAAACACAATTAAAAGGAGCATTTGTCTTTTCTAAGAATCTGTATGCTAAATGTAATGCTAATTAAAGAGACTAAGATTTACTGGGGTGGAGAAATCATATTGAAATTCAATATTTTATTAGTATTAGGCATATTCCATATTAAAATTGTAAAAACTGTATCCCTTCTTCACAACTTACATTCCAAGTTCTCATTATCTTTTTATCCACTAACAGGCCAAGGATTTCTCAATCCATTGGCTGGAAAGTCAGGGTTATCGTGCATTTATATGAAAGAAAATCTAATTATAATAATATATCACCTATATTCATCTGATACCTTTCACTGAGGAACATAAAACTCTTTAGTGATTCTATCTTTCTCCTCAGAGCATTTCTAAGCAGTAAGACAATGAAGGGTCTGGAAAGTGAGTGGTTTGCCTACTTTCATTTAGAAAATCAGAATTAAGACACAGGAATCCCAACAGATCAGTGCTCTTGTTGCCTTCCTACATACACACACTTTTAGAAAACAGGTGCCACTTTTAGGCAGGGCACGGTGGCTGATGCCTGTAATCCCAGCACTTTGGGAGGCTGAAGCAGGAGGATCACTTGAGTCCAGGAGTTCACCAGCCTGGGCAACAGTGGGACCTTGTCTCTACAAAAAATAAACAAAATTAGCTGGGTGTGGCAGCACGGGCCTGTAGTCCCAGCTACTTCCGAGGCTGAGATGGGAGGATTGCTCGGGCCTGGGAGGTTCAGGCTGCAGTGAGCTGAGATCATGCCACTGTGCTCCAGCATGGGCAACAGAGCAAGACCCTATCTGAAAAAAAAAAAAAAAAAAAGAAAGGAAAGAAGAGAAAAGAAGAGAAGAGAAAGAAAAGAAGAAAAGAAAAGCCAAGCCAAGCCAAGCCAAGCCAAGTCAAGTCAAGCCAAGCCACTTTCTGTAAGTTATGGCTAAAGTGTCCATGTTCAAAGAACCCCAAACTGGATGGATCCAAACTATTTAGGAGGTTTCCTCTTGGTAATTATGCCCACAGTCCCGGCAAAGAAGAGTTAACAAATACTTGAATTTATACCAATGGCATTTCTTTTTTTTTTTTTTTTTTTTGAGATGGAGTCTCGCTCTGTCCTCCAGGCTGGAGTGCAGTGGCGCGATCTTGGCTCACTGCAAGCTCAGCCTCCCGGGTTCACGCCATTCTCCTGCCTCAGCCTCTCGAGTAGCTGGGACTACAGGTGCCCGCCACCACACCCAGCTAATTTTTTGTATTTTTAGTAGAGACGGGGTTTCACTGTGTTAGCCAGGATGGTCTCGATCTCCTGACCTTGTGATCTGCCCACCTTGGCATCCTAAAGTGCTGGAATTACAGACGTGAGCCATCGCGCCCAGCCACCAATGGCATTTCTATGGTGCTCTGAGATACAAAGCATTTATAAGTTGTCTCGTCTGTTCTTCCCAAGAACTCTGAGTAGTCAGCTAGATAGTTATATTTACTTATTTCTATTTCGAGGAGAAGATTGAGCTGCAAAAGGTCATAGACCCCAAATCACAGAGTTTCTAATTGCTAAAAGAAGGATTTAATTCTTCTGGTTCCAAGTCCAGCGTTCAATCCACTCTACCAGGAAGCTTGTAAGCAGAAGTCTGTAAAGATTAACTGTTTGCTAATTTTTATAAAGTCTAGGTTGTATTAATAAATGGCAACACTTGAAACTGTTGACTTATTTTAGGTCTCTTCCTGCAAAAAAATCACACGCACTTGGGGACATTCAAGCATGCTTACATTTATGAACTATAATAACTGTCATAATAAGAGCAAAATGTCTTTAACAATTGAGTCTCAAAAGAATGATGGTGGTGGTAATGTCTCTGGGGTTGTCACAATGATTGAGAATTCACTGACATTCAGTGGTGGGAAAAATAAGAATGCCAAACATCCTACGACCCACAGTTGTGGGAACCTTCGAGTCCTGCACAATTAAGAAATGACTAGCTTCCCACATGATTTTCAACATTCATGTGAGTGAAAACATTCTGCCCAGGGATAGAATGAGGTTTTGTAGGGCCTACAGCTTAAAAAAGAGTCCTCTATAAGAAAAAGCATACAAAATTACAATTACAAAATTAGCTTTAGGGTTTAAAAATATCAAATATATAGGAATACATCTAAAGAAAAGTACAGAATACTTATATGCTAAAATATGCAAAACCATGACCTAAATAAATAAAGGGACATATGTCTATGAATTAAAAGATTCAATTTTAAAGATTTCAATTATCTGCACATCAATCCATAGAGATCAATGCAATCCTGAATAAAATTTCTCCCCCAAGAGAAGTTTTTAAGGAAACTGAAAAGCTGATTCTAAAATTCCTAAGGAAACACAAAAGGCAAAGACTACCTTAAGGCAATTATGAAGAAGCACAAAGCGGGAAGACACACTACGTAACAGGCCTATTATAAAGATACAGTCACGGAGACAGGGCGGCATTGATGCAAGGATGGACAGACTGACCGATGGTACAGAACAGAAAGCCTAAAATTAGAACTGCATGTAAAATATCATGGGACTTATGATCAAGGTGATAATGCAGTGCAGTGGGAAAAGGATGACCTTGTAAATAAATGGTACAGGGTTGAGTATCCGTATCAGGGGAAATGTGTCTTAATCCATACCTCACATCACATACAAATATCAATTTCAGATGGACTGGAACTCTAAATGTCGAAGGCAAACAATAAAACTTTTAGAAGAAAACAGTAGAGGACATCTTCATGATCTTAGAGTAGGCAAAGATTTCTTAAATAGAAAATAAAAGGTACTAAACAAAGGAAAAAATTGATAAATTGAATTATAAGATTAAGAATTTCTGTTCATTGAAAGACACCACTGAAAGAGTAAAAAGGTTGCTTGATATCGTCATAAAAATAAATAAATAAATAAATAAATATAAAGAGTAAAAAAGGAACACACAGAGTATGAGAAGATATTTTTGAGAAAAACAACTCCTAAAGGTAAATAAGAAACAGAGAGACAACCAAAATAGATAAATGTGCAATCAACCTGAACAGACAGTTCATAAAAGAGGATACACACACGGCCAACAAATACATGAAAAGGTGCTCAACATCATTGGGGAAATGCAAATTAAAGCCATAGGAGAAATCATTTTACTCCAGCCCAATTCTTTGCCTTGAAAAAGGCAAAAAAAAACCAAAAAACAATTGTTGGTGGAGATGTGCAGCAACAGGAACTTTCATATATTGCTCAGCTGAATATACTGTCCATATACCCCACAGCCCGGCAATCTGACTCCCAGGTATATACTGCAGAGAAATGAGTGCTTTGGTCTACCAACAGACATGTACAAGAATGCCCACAGTAGCACTATTCAGCATAGCCCAAACTGGAAATCTCCCATATAGCCATCAACAGCGGACTGTACACAAACTACGATATACTCACACCATGGAATACAGTACTACATAGCAACAAGATTACATTCACTACAACTCCATGCAACAAGGTGGATGCATCACATAAACATAATGTTGAGCAGCAGAAGTTAGATACAAGTGTTCTTGGCTGGCTCATGCCTGCAATCCCAGCACTGTGGGAGGCCAAGGCAGGTGGATCACCTAAGGTCAGGCATTCAAGACCAGCCTGGCCAACATGGTGAAACCCTTCCTCTACTAAAAGTACAAAAAATTAGCGGGGCATGGTAGCGCATGCCTGTAATCCCAGCTACAGGGGAATGCTGAGGCAGGAGAATCACTTGAACCTGGGAGGCGGAGGTTGCAGTGAGCAGAGATCGTGCCATTGCACTCCAGCCTAGGCGACAGAGCAAGACTCTGTCTCAAAAAAAAAAACAAAAAAAAAAAACAAGTGTTCTTTTGTACTTCATCCACTGTGTGAAGTACAAAAGCAGGCAAAACTAATGCGTGCTGCTGGAAATTAGGAAACTAGCTATCGTTGGTGGAGTGGGAGGGGTGGTATTAGAAGGGGGCATGGTAATGTTCTGGGGCGTTGGTAATGTTGTTTCTTGATGTGAGTGCTGCTTATATGTTCAGTTTATGAAAATTTATCAAGTTAGGCTTATGATATATGTCCTTTTCTGAGTGTACATGACATTCCAAACAAAAGGTTTTTTGTTTATTTCCATGACACAGCCTCAGAAGGCCCTGAAAACGTGCTCAAAAGGTGTTTGGGGCCGGCCCCACGCCTGTAATCCCAGCACTTTGGGAGGCAGAGGTGGGTGGATCACTTGAAGTCAGGAGTTCGAGATCAGCCTGACCAACTTGGTGAAACCCCATTTCTACAAAAAAATTAAAACACTGGCCAGGCATGGTGGTGTGTGCCTGTAATCCCAGCTACTCAGGAGGCTGAGGCACGAGAATCACTTGAGCCTGGGAGGCGGAGGTTGCCATGAGCTGAGATCACACTACTACACTCCAGCCTGGCGGACAGAATGAGACCCTGTCTCAAGGGAAAAGAAAAAAGGTGTTTTTGCTTTTGTTTTTCTAATTAGGGCCCTGGAAGTAGCCTGTGCATGTACAGGGCCCTAAAACTTAAAAGCTTCATCAGGTTCATAACAAATCGGCCTTTGGCCCTGCCAGACACATCATCTAAGTAAAAAGCAGTTTATAACTATCTCAGCCTAGACCTAAAGAGATCTTACAGGCCGGGCGCGGTGGCTCACGCCTGTAATCCCAGCACTTTGGGAGGCCGAGGCGGGTGGATCACGAGGTCAGGAGATCGAGACCATCCTGGCTAACACAGTGAAACCCCGTCTCTACTAAAAATACAAAAAATTAGCCGGGCGAGGTAGCGGGCGCCTGTAGTCCCAGCTACTCGGGAGGCTGAGGCAGGAGAATGGCGTGAACCCCGGGGGGCGGAGCCTGCAGTGAGCCGAGATCGCGCCACTGCACTCCAGCCTGGGCGACAGAGCGAGACTCCGTCTCAAAAAAAAAAAAAAAAAAAAAGAAATCATAAGCATTTTTTCACCACTAAATATACACTAAATTTTCCAGGAATGTAACCACTATGTAAATAAGGGAAAGATTATACTTTGTTTTGTGTAGAACTTTATGAAGATTTATTCACCATTTTAGAAAATCATATCGCCAGTGGCATTGCTACATATCTGAGTGACCAACACAATACACCTGTATTGGCCTCTATTTATAGGTGTCATATTCACACAAATAAAGCCACGTGTACCCACAAGCACCTGATGGCTCCAGTTTCCAATGTGCTGTGAGCATTTACATTTGTCTTCTGAGAATTTACACAGAAATACATATTTTATTACCATAATGTTCCTTTTATTTTTCTTTCATATTACAGTTAAGACTTTGTAGACAGGTCAGTAGATTTTATCTGGGAATTTTATTTCAGGATATTAAAGGGAGTCACAGGGTATGACAGGGTTGAGAACTAGTTACAAACCATCAGTCTATTGTTAAGAACTGTAAAGAGAATTCTAATTCCTAAACTTGGTAACTATTCTTTTATACTACTCACTTCATCAATACCACAAGTTGAATAATATACTTAACTAAAATGTAAAAGAACGAATGAAAGAAACAAATGAAAACCCAGCTGTCATTTTCAAGAGTAATTATCTAAGTATATCTATCATAAATTTGATCTAGATATAATGAGCAGAACGAGAGGGAAATAGGAGTTCAAACTGCAAACTCTGAGTCCTTTGCCTTTATAAAACAGTAAGATCCAGTTTGGCAATCTTGAGCAAAGGGCTCCATTATTTTTCTGTTCTCTTTCAAAAATAGCTCCACCTTCAAGATTACACAAATTAGATCATTCTGCAGCAGGATTCCTCCTCACAGAGCAGCTCCTAGGAAGTGCAGACAGGCTGTCTGATACAGCAAACCAGTCTTTCAAAAAAGAAAAAAACTCTTACAGTTACATTAGAAAAGAAAAAATATTAAAAAAGAAAAAAACATGATGTTTTGGACTTTTCTATTTCGCTGCGTTAGTGACAAAGGCTATGGGGCTACAGTTATTAATGGCTTCTGCAATCTACCTCTTTGGAAACCATCAAATAAATAAGGATTGCAGAGGGGACACCAGACAGCAAACACAACAGCAGAGTAATTAGGGATATTGAGACTCAGCCATTCCCACAGCATCACTGTGGCCTAAAGCATAAGAAGAACTCATCCAGGTTTTTAAAACAATCAGGTGCCAACCTATGGATTATTCTATCACCCAGTACATTCCCAAGAAATTTTATTTCCAATTAATTACAAATGGTAAAAGTGGAAACAAAAAAAACTCCCTCAAGAGCTCTGTTACACAGATCTCATTCTCACAGAAAGTCGCTAAGATAAAGAGACGACAATAATTATTTTTAAAGAAAACAAACAGAAAACTGACACAAAGAAGTTAAATGAACTATTGGTGTCATCCTTGAATCCTTTTGTTCTGTCACACCTCAAATCCAATCCATAGGCAAATCCTTCAGGCTTGACAATATGCCCAGACTCCCACCACTTTCTCATCTCCACCTCCACCACCCTAGTCCAAGCCAGCATCAGCTCCCACCTAGATCATCACAGCAGCCCCCTGACCGGACTCCCTGCTTCCACACACAGTGGTCAGGGGTTCTTTTAGGGTGGAAGTGACCATCATGCCTCCTCGCTGGCTCAAAAGCCCCAGTGACTTCCCATCTCACTCAAGATCAAAGCCAGAGTCCCACAATGGCCTGTGAGATCACCTGTTTTACCTCTCTGACTTTATCCATTACTCTCTCTTTAATTCACCTGGCTCCAGCCAAACTGGCCTCCTGGATGCTCTGGAACCTGCCAGTACTTCTTGTTCCCTCTACTGGGGGGCCTCATCCCATAAAATGCACCCAGCTTACCTAAATGTGTGTTCCATGTGGCCGGCTCGCTTTCTGAGGTCTTTCTAGACCACCTTGTTTAAAACCGTGACCTCTTTCCTCTGCCCACTTATCCCCATCCAGCTTTATTCTTCCCGTCCAACACACCCTAATATTTGCTCACTCACTCACTACTGCCTGCTGCCCACCCTGTCCCCAGAAGGTAAGCTCCGCAAGAGCTGGAATTTCTGTCTGTTTTGTTCACTGCTCTCTCCTCAGTATCCAAGCAGTGACTGGTCTGTAATGTGTGCTCAATAAGTATCTTTCAACTAAATGAGGAAACAGTAAAGGTATGTGCAGGAAGAGTTACAAAGACTTATCCAAACCCACATGGTGGGGTAAAGCCAAGTGAGAAATCAAACTTTAATGTCAAAGCATTTCTGGCACATGGTTTTAAAGAGACTATAGCAATTTGCTGGCTTTTTTTTTCCTCCACATTTATTATAATTGGCAGAAATATCTAAATGACAAACAAGAAAACAGAGCCACAGTCCTAAACAGTCATTCTTCTATAGCTGTTCTCTTAAGTGGATTTAAATATAATGAAGCCTCTCCACACTTGATACAAGGCATTCATTTATCAGTGTGGCTGCCTTAGAACCAGGCCCTTCTGGAGCCTAAGTAAACATATCACTTGGCCCAAGTCCAAAGCATACAAAACCAACCTTCTGCCAGATCTTAGATTTGGGAGACCATGACCCATTTCCAGCCCAAGCTTGCTTCCCCAGTGAGATGATACTTTCCTTTTTCTCCATGGAGGAAAAAGTCAACCAAAGGGATTAATGGCCAGTGTTTAATAATTACGGCCATTCTTTTTATACTTTTTTTAAAAGGAGAGATAGGACTACCTACAAGTAATAAAAACAAAGCAATAATGACATTACATGCGTTTAATGAACAATTCTCCCCACTAACGGCAAGGGCATAAACAATTTATTGCATATCTTGGTGGCAGAGAGGAAATACAATTAAATCCATTAATAGCCACAGGAGTTTTTATGTTCCCAGAGGACCTTGGTTTCCAGAGTTGCTTATTCATTTTCATCCACAGCAAAAGCAGTGCATGGGAGAGATGACAGAATGCTGTCAACTACTTTCTACATATTTTAACTCTGAGGACATAATTTCATAAACAATAGACTTAAGGCATATTACACTGCCCCATTCCATCGCCTGTGATTTAAAGTACCAAACAAAAACCTGCTTGTGAAGACAATGTAAAAGGTGGCTGATATGAGAGCTGCTGCAGTATAAATATTATACCATCATATTCATAGTTTCACTGACACTCCTCAAAGATGTGAAGGTCATGATTTCTATGAACATAGATGCTCAGACATTTTATTTTATATTTTTTGAAACAGAGTTTTGCTCTTGCTGCCCAGGCTGGAGTGCAATGGCATGATCTTGGCTCACTGCAACCTCTGCCTCTCGGGTTCAAGCGATTCTCCTGTCTCAGCCTCCCAAGTAGCTGAGATTACAGGCGACCGCCACACGCCCGGCTAATTTTTTTGTATTTTTAGTAAAGATGGAGTTTCACCATGTTGGCCAGGTAACTCCTGACCTCAGGTAATCCACCCACCTCGGCCTCCCAAAGTGCTGGGATTACAGGCGTGAGCCACAGCGCCCGGCCTGATGCGCAAACATTTTACAAACAAACATTTTATCTATCTTCATAACAAATGAGGTGTTTTTTTGTTTGTTTTTTTTTAAGGTGGCCAGACATAGTGGCTCACACCTGTAATCCCAATACTTTGCGAAGCTGAGGTGAGAGGATCACTTGAGGCCAGGGCAACATGGCAAAACCCCATCTCTATAAATAATTTAAAAATTAGCCGGGTATGGTGATGTGGACCTTTACTTGGAAGACTGAGGTTAGAGGATCACTTGAGTCCAGGAATTCGAGGCTGCAGTGAGCTATGATTGTACCACTGCACTCCAGCCTGTGGGACAGAGTAAGACTGTCTCAAAAACAAACAAACAAACAAAACCAAAAAACTAAAGAAAGCAGTTGTGCCCCATGTACCAGTCTACACTCTTCATTAAGCCCTGATGTTTACCATGAGAATCCATTCATCATTAAGATCCAGATTCAAGGAAATGTTAATCTGTGTTTTATACATTCTTAAAGAAGAACCAGAAACAAGTAAATATAATTGTAGATTTCCAACCAAAATGGAAAAATAAAGTCCTGATGCTTATTAAAGGTGAAAATTAACATACACCCAAAGATCTACATGTTTCAGGAGAGACCACAAATGTATTATCAGGTTTCTCCTGTAAAAGTAGAATGTAGTTTTTCTATGGCTTGAGACACAAAAAGGAAAACTTAAAAAGACAAGAGAAAAAAAAATTAACTACATTTAAACCCTCATTTTCCTAGGAGTTGCTCAGTTTTCACCGGTGACAAATGGCAAGCTGTAAACCGGTTCAGTTGCTCTTCTGCTGCCAAACCAGGGCTAAAGAAGTCAGCAGGTAAAACAGGGAAGCTGTCAAGTCAAGCTGGCTCAAAACAAAGCTGTGGTTTGCAGGCGGGGCCTGTACCATCTCTTCCGTTCATATAAGCTGGCAGGATGTAGAAACAGGATCCCGACCCAGCCACTGCTTCAGAGAACCAAAATATTTTGTTTTGACTTTGTAGTCTAATAAGCTTGGGGTTTGGCAGGATCTGTGCCTCAGGTGAACCCAAGACCTTGTGATGGTCCCACCGAGGAAATCTGAATATTACCCTAATTCTAGAAAGAAAGCATGTTTGTTTTGTTTGTTTTGTTTGTTTTGTTTTGGTTGGGGGGGGCAGGGAAGACGGAGAAATTAGGTTGACAAGAAAAACAGCAACAGTAATAGCTGATATTAAGTGCTTTCTATGTTGCCACACACACGATTAACATGTGTTAATAACAAAATTAACCTTATTTAATTCTGATGATAATCCTGTGAGACAGGGACTTTTCTTTTCTTTCTTTCTTTTTTCTTTTTTTTTGAGACAGGGTCTTGATCTGTCGCTCAGACTGGAGTGCAGTAGTGCGAACACAGCTCACTGAATTCTTGACTTCCTGAGCTCACACAATCCTCCAGCCTCAGCCTCCCAAGTAGCTGGGACCACAGGCGTGTGCCACCAAGCCCAGCTAATTTTTTTTTCTATTTTTTGTACAGACGGGGTCTCCCTATGTTGCCCAGGCTGGTCTCGAACTCCTGGGCTCAAGCAATCCTTCCACCTCAGCCTCCCAAATTGCTGGGGTTATAAGTATGAGCCACCACACTCAGCAGGGACAATTATTATGCCCATTTACAGATGAGAAAAGTTGAAGCATTATAGAGGTTAAAAACTTGTCCAGAGTCACTCAAATAGTAAAATCTGACCTGACTGGCTCCAGAACCCACACTCACAGCCACTATACCACACAGCCTCTCGCTGTCTATGATGGAAATTGAGCAGTGTTTTGTAATTCCAGCTGGCAAAGAATAAGGCATTAAATATTATTTGTCAGCTATGAGAACCAGACAGGGCTTGGGGGACCAAGTTTAAACACAGAAACGGCTCTGGTGTCTGGCAATCATGAGTCATGAGACAAATTCCAGCCCCGCCCACTTTTAAACTGTGTAGTCTTAAAAAAATGCCTTCACCTCACAGGGCCTCAATTTTCCCTTCTGAGAAAAGGGATCGTAGCACCTGGCTCTGGCAGTTTTGTGGCACACAGTAAATGCTCTGGTCATCAGCTTCACTGCAGCGAGCATCAGCGCAACTGTCACCTTACCAGAGGCCCTCCCTCACCAAGACAGCCTTTCCCCCCACACTCAGTTCCCCACCACACTATTCTTTGTGACCCTACTCGCTATCTGACCATTTATCACAGATATAACAATATAATTGTTCCTCATCTGTCACCCCCACCAGAAAGCACACCCCGGGAGAGAATGGACTTTGTCAGCCTGTCTGCTGCTGCTTCTCCAGAGCCTAGATCAGTGCTTGGCACACAGAAACACTCAGTAAATATTTGGTGAATGGATGAATTGTGCATAACAGATAGTCATTCAATAAACATTATAAAACACTATAGGAAAATCAGTGTCATTGATTTGACAAATGTAGTTATTGAGCATCTATAAAGTAACTAAATAAAGGAACAAGATTATTTCCAGTAATGGCGAGTAGGTGTGAAGTAGCTTTATAAACTCCCAGAAGGGGTTGGGCAGGTGAGGACAGCCTTCCAAGGTAGCAGGTCAGTGAAGAGCTGAATGATACCCAGGAGCTAGTCTCAGCGATCCAAGGATCCAGGGAAAGGGTATCACAGGTAGAGGGAACAGCAAGTGCAAAAGCCCTAAGGCGAGGGTGACCCACCGCAGGAACAAGGGGAGAACGCAAAGGTGAGGTCAAAGACATGGGAAGGGGCTGCATCGTTTAGCATCTCCTGAACCATGAAAAGGGGATCTTTTTTAAGTATGACGGAAAGTTACTGGATGGTGTCTCTTATCTTCACCCACTAGAATGCAGACTTCATGAGATCAAGGATTTTGCTTGCGGCACATATCAGCTGGTCTATAAGCTTTTGCTGAATGAATGAACTGGAAGATTATAGAGGGGGTGTGACAAGTTCTGATTTTCATTTTAAAATATCACTCTGAACTGCCACTAGTGGTTACTTTCTGGGAAGGACTAAGGTGGCAGAGGTTGGGAGGGATTACAATGCAATGTGTTTGAGAGGTACCATAAAACAGAAAAACAGAAGGGAAAAGCTGCTCCCTAAACCCTGAAGCCATTTGGTGTTTGTAAACAAGAGGCAGGAAAAGGTTAGTGAGGAGGGATCAGTAAATGATGACTGATGCCCCAAGCCTTAGTGTGTTCTAAACTTTTTTTTTTTTTACCCAGACCTTTTCCCAGCAATAAACTATTAAAAAAAAAAAAAAAAAACCTGCTACAAAGAATGTCTCACCTACCAAGAGGAACAAAAGAAAACTCACAGACAGATACAGAAGTGCACATACTCACACACAAACACACACAATGTTTCAGAAAAACAACTGAAAAGAGGCTGGGCGGTGGCTCACGCCAGTAATCTGCTGACGCGGGCTTGAGGTCAGGAGTTCAAGACTAGCCTGGCCATCATGGTGAAAGCCTGTCTCTACTAAAAATACAAAAATTAGTCGGGCATGGTGGTATGCACCTGTAATCCCAGCTACTTGGGAGGCTGAGGCTGGAGAATCACTTGAACCCGGGAGACAGAGGTTGCAGTGAGCCAAGATAGCGCCACTGCACTCCAGCCTGGGCAAGAGAGCAAGACTCTGTCTCAAAAAGAAAAAGAAAAGAAAACAGCTGAAAAGAAAAAACGCCTTCCTATATCTCAGCACAATAACCAGCCTAGCCTGGGTGCGGTGGCTTACGCCTATAATCCCAACACTATGGTAGGCTGAGGCGGGAGGATTGCTTGAGCCCAGGAGTTTGAGATCAGCCTGGGCAGCATAGTGGGACCTTGTCTCTGCAAAAAATTAAAAAGTTAGCAGGGCATGTTGGCATGTGCCTGTGGTTCCAGCTACTTGGGAGTCTAAGGAGGGAGGATCACTTGAACCCAGGAGGTTGAGGCTGAACAGAGTGAGCTGTGTTCATGCCACTGCATTCCAGTTTGGGCAACAGAGTGAGAGCCTATCTCAAAATCAAAAACAAAATAACCAGTCTAAAATCCTTCAGAGACAATTAACATGCCAGTCATACCCAAAATGTTAGCTGGGGGAAATCCTACTCATAATAAAGTTTTGAGAGGTAGTTTGGAAAACTAGTTTAGAAAGAAATCACATAACCACTAATGTGTCCAAAAGATCTGTCATTTGGAGGAGTTACACAGACTACAAAGAAGGGAACAGGTGTTACAGTAGGGAGCAAATTTAAGGCGTCACTCCTTTCACATCTACCTATATTTATACGAGGTCACTAAAAAACATACACAGCAAATTACCCACATCACAATTTCTAAGACGCATACAGTTCTAAAAAGTGTTTTTGCCAAAATGACCTGTGGATACCACTGTATTTACAAAACTAAAAGTACTGAAAGTGTTGAAAGGATGAAGGGAGCCCAGGTTGATCTGAGAGTGGACACAGATCATTACTCACAAGGAGAAAAGAGGAAGAACGATATTTGAGATTCAGAAAAATTGTTGAAGCTAGCACTAAACTCAAATATTCCAACCTTTGTTGTACCTTAAAAACCTTACAGTTGGCCAGGCATGGTTGCTTACAACTGTAATCCCAGCACCTTGGGAGGCTGAGGTAGGTGAATCACCTGAGGTCAGGAGTTCGAGACCAGCCTGGCCAACATGGTGAAACCCCGTCTCTACTAAAAATACAAAATTATCCATGCATGGTGGTGCATGCCTGGAATCCCAGCTACTCGGGAGGCTGAGGCAGGAGAATTGCTTGAACCTCGGAGGCGGAGGTTTCCGTGAGCCGAGACTGCGCCTTTACACTCCAGCCTAGGTGACAAGAGCAAAACTCCGTCTCAAAAAAAAAAAAAAAACAAACTTACAATTTAAAAGGATCTGCACAAAATTAAATAAACAAACCTGCCATCAACACTATTTTATCACCTATGCCTCACCATCTACCTCAACACAAGGAAAGTAATGACTTAGAACATTCTCTATTCACCCATTTTTGTTTGAGACAGGGTCTTACTCTGTTGCCCAGGCTAGAGTACAGGGGCGAGATCATGGCTCACTGAAGCCTCGACCTCCAGAGCTCAAGTGCTCTTCCCACCTCAGCCTCCTGAGTAGCTGGGACCACAGGCGCACGCCACCACACCTGGCTAATTTTGTTTATTTTTTGTGGAGAGGGGTTGCCATGTTGTCTAGGCTGGTCTCAAACTCCTGGGCTCAAGTGACCCTTCCGCCTCAGCCTCCCAAAGTGCTGGGATGATAGGCATGAGCCACCACGCCCAGCCTTGGAATGTTTTAATAAACTATTTTCTAGAAGTTTTCTAGATGTGTTTCATTGGTTAGCTGTCTGTTCTACTGCGATTCCCAAGGTCAAGAGGCAGGGTGCAGGTCTGCCTAAGTGGCGATCCCTGAGTTGTGACCAAAGCCATTCTCTGGTTTTTAATGAGATAACGGGGAACACAGGTCCAGCTGACTGCCCTGTGAACATCTATAAGGGGTAACACTCTAGAGCTGGTGCATATCTTGGTCTCTAAAACCTTTGGAAGCTGGTTATTCCTCTATCTAGGTCCACAAAGAAGACCCTGTCAGTGCTTGCCAACCTAAGAGACTGCCCACCTTGCTTGATGGCCCTCTGAAAGAAGTTCTAAGTCCAACTCCAAACTCTGACTTTCCTCAAGAGCCCTCAATATCACCTCAAGCCCTGTGCTGGAAGAAGACCAACGTTGGCAAATCATTCCCACAGCTACGCTAGATTCCCACGGAATTTCCGGAATGTGACAACATGGGTGCAAGCCAGGCCAACACCAAATTTCAGAGGACCCACCATGTAGATGCATGCTGGCATCTACATCAACACCTTCAAGTCCAGGCCAGTCCAGGCACAGTGGCTCACATCTGTAATCCCAGCACTTTGGGAGGCCGAGGCCGCCGGATCACTTGAGGTCAGAAGTTCGAAACCAGCCTGGCCAACATGGGGAAACCCCGTCTCTACTAAAAATACAAAAATGTGCTGGGTGTGGTGGCGTGCGCCTATAGTCCCAGCTACCTGGGAGGCTGAGGCTCAAGAATCCTGGGAGGCGGAGGTTGCAGTGAGCCGAGATCGCACCATTGCACTCCAGCCTGGGCAACAGAACAAGACCCTGTCTCAAAAAAAAAAAAAGTCCAAGTCCAAACTGGACAAGCCTCCTGAACTGAGGTAGTGAAAAGACGCAGCTCTAACATTTTCTGAGGCGTACCCGCCCTCATTCCAGCACCTACAACAACAGTGACAACTTACTGGCTTAGCTAAGAAATTGGAAAACTAGTTTAGAAAGAAATCACATAACCGCTAAGGTGTCCAAAAGATCTGTAAATCAATACATGTAAAATGGACTCTGTGAAAGTCATTATCTTTCTAACTCATGTAATCTGAGCTTCCACAGGGACGATGGATACTATTACCCTGATAGAGATGATATTCTATTACAACACTCACAATGTGAAATTCAAATCTCCTAAGGTACAAACATGCTTTTAAGACTTTTAATGTGGCTGAGCGCGGTGGCTCACGTCTGTAATCCCAGCACTTTGGAAGGCCAAGGCAGGTGGATCACGAGGTCAGGAGATCGAGAGCATCCTGGCTAACATGGTAAAACCCCGTCTCTACTAAAAATATAAAAAATTAGCTGGGCGTGGTGGCGGGCACCTGCAGTCCTAGCTACTTGGCAGGCTGAGGCAGGAGAATGGCGTGAACCCAGGAGGCAGAGCTTACAGTGAGCCAGATCGCGCCACTGCATTCCAGCCGGGGGACAGAGCGAGACTCCGTCTCAAAAAAAAAAAAAAAAAAAGGACTTTTAATGCTAGGGTAGTAATAGAAATTTCATCAGGTCTTTCTTATTTGATCAATTACATTTACTTTATACCTATAATTTAAGAAATACTTTCTCCCATGCTTCTATAGATCCAATTTTATATATATTTCATCCACATCTAAGAATGGATGGTAAGTAAAAGTATTCCCATAAAGATGAAAAAACTAAGGCATGGGCCAGGCACAGTGGTTCACACCTGTATCCCAGTACTTCGAGAGACTGAGGCGGGAGGATCACTTGAGCCCAGGAGTTCGAGACCAGCCTGGGCAACACAGCAAGACCCCATCTCTACAAAAAAATCTTAAAATCAGCCTGGCATGGTGGCAAGTGCCTATGGTCCCAGCTACTCAGGAGGCTGAGGTGAGAGGAATGCTTGAGCCCAGGAGGTCTAGGTTGCAATGAGCCGTGATTGTGCCACTGCACTCCAACCTGAGTAAAAAAGCAAGACTGTGTCTCAAAAAAACAAAACAAAGGCTGGGCATGGTGGCTCACGCCTGTAATCCCAGCACTTTGGAAGGCCAAGGCGGGCAGATCACAAGCTCAGGAGATCGAGACCATCCTGGCTAACACAGTGAAACGCCATCTGTACAAAAAAATACAAAAAATTAGCCAGGTGTGGTGGCAGGCGCCTGTAGTCCCAGCTACTCGGGAGGCTGAGGCAGGAGAATGGAGCGAACCTGGGAGGCGGAGCTTGCAGTGAGCCGAGATTGCACCACTGCACTCCAGCCTGGGCGACAGAGCGAGACTCCATCTCAAAAAAAAAAAAAAAAAAACACCAAAAAAAAATTAATAAAATTAAACTAATGCATGGAAGAGTTTGTCCTAGTATATAGTAAGAAGATAGAGTAGTATATCTTGGCTCGTATAGTGCTTCTGTGGTTAAAGGGGCAAATGCCCCCAAGCGTTTTCATGAAAGTAACACTTCTGCTGCAGACCAGTCATGCCAACTCAGCTATGGCCACCTTCTGTGATTCCAACGCTTTTGTCCATTAAGGCTTGACCTCAGCACCCACTTAAAAAAAATGTGACCTAAGGAGAAAAGTGACTGATAACTGCCAACTCCTACCCTAAGTTCACATACACATAAGGGTATGCAAATGGGCTTTGGATATGGTTTGCGAATGATACAGCAGAGCACATTTCATCTCTTAATAATCACTTTTATGCCACTGAGGAAATTTTGAATGCTTGTAAAATTTAGTAATTTTTCTGCCTCTCCTACTTACAGCAACACAAAAAGAAAAGAACATCAGGGAAACCTCACCATACAAAGGCAGAAGGGAAGGGATCAACAATGAGGCTCTAACACCCTTCCTTTAACATCAAGCAGCATGCCACCTGGTCCCCATAACCCTGCACCACGGTCCATGCCATACTGGACCATAGTAGAGGAAGTACTACTTAGCATGAAGGGAAAACAATGCTAACTTCTAAAGCTTGAATTTCATAAAAGATAAAGGAACTATAGCAAAACTACCTTTTTGTAACAGAATCTTAAAAGCCAACTGTATTTCACAGTGATTACCTCTGGGAAGTGAGAAGAGGGATGGACTGGGGGCTTTTTCCTTTGTGCTTTCCATCTTTCCATACTGCTCAAATTTCTAATCATGGACATATATTAATCATTTTGTCTTTAAAAAAAATGCTGGTAAAAGGCTGGGCACAGTGGCTCACACCTGTAATCTCAGCACTTTGGGAGTCCGAGGTAGGAGGACAGTTTGAAGCAAGGAGTTCAAGACCAGCCTGGGCAACATAGTGAGACCCTGTTTTTAAAAAAAAAAAAAAAAAAAAAAAAAAAGCCAGGTGTGATGTCACATGCCTATAGTCCCAGCTACTTGGGAGGCTGAGGCTGGAGGATTGCTGAGCCCAGGAGTTGGAGGCTGCAGTGAGCTATGACTGTGCCACTACACTGTAGCCTGGATGACAGAGCAAGACTCCATCTAAAGAAAAAAAACAAAAAATGCTGGTGAAAAATGTGATCAACAGAACAATTTCATTCTTTTAAAACCAGCTGTGAGTAAGCTATTCACCTATATAAAGTTTTTCAAAAGTACTATGTATTCTGGGGGAATTTAACAGATGTTAAATAAGAGCAGACACCTACCTGAAGAACAACTACACTGCTCTTTATTTAAATATCTAATACAGGAAACGGTATTTTTTTCAAAAGAAAATTATATTTTGACAGGCATCAAGAAAAGCAGCAGGACCTTCCTAACACTGTACTGTTCGAGCCCCTCTTCTCTGCCCTAAGAGACCAAATCCCATGACATTCTTATGCACACCTAACCTTAGATCCACAATCATGTTTACATTTCTAAGGGGCATGTATCTCATATATTTGTGTCCCGTTTGAGTTACATGAGACAAGAATGTTAATCCCTCCACAGAGTGCTGCATGTTGCCTATATATTCTAAACAACATGAACAAGGACACCCAGGAGACCTCAAATTAACCAGATGACTCTAATAATTGGAAAGACCAATGGCAGGCCATTTTCTCCCCACAGAGTGTTATTCTGGCCTGCAAAATGCTCAAAGAGCACATGTGTTCCACAAGGAGTGAGGAGGTACAAGGGTGATGGATGAAAAACAATGTCGGAGCAGGACAGTGGACAAGCTCAAGGACTGGTCAGTAAACGTGACGTAACTGCACACTCCCGGAATGTAAAAATAAGTCCGCCTAAGCCTCTCACAGCAAGTTAGCATAATAATTATACATTTGATCAGGATGCCTGGCTGTTTCTTAGGCTAATAATTTATTACGTGGACTTTGCAGTGACCAAAAGACCTAGGGGCAGACCAAACATCAACAGCAGTCAATGATTTCATTCACGCCCCTCTGCTGCAGCTCCTTGCCAGTAGGCTCGCGCCTTTTCAACCTAACGAGATGGAGAAGGCAGCTGCCCAAACGTCACCAAACACAGGCATGAAAGTGAAGGAGAAATGGGAAAGACTGGACCCACGTAGGAAGGAACACAGTGTTTCTATGTGTGAAAGAGGTGGGTTAGGATACTTCAGCGATAGATGGGCCTGTATAGAAAGAGAGAGGCCTGCTTAGGATCAAGAGAGGAACACCATCACATACTCAACTCTCGCTTGAGCTTGGTGTTGTGCTATGGATCTGGCCACAGCAAACTAAATTAATGTGGCTCCTGATTTCCCTAGAGAAAGGACAGAGAAAAAAAAAACAATGTGTAAATCTGTTAAGTGATGTGGAAACACAGAGTGGAAGCAGCCTGTGGAAACAATCTACTTTTGCCTAGTGAAGTCCCAGATCTATACCCTGCGAGCGGCAATCCCACCCCTCCATATGAATACAACCTAAAGAAACTTCTGCACAAGAGCACTAGGAGTCCTGGGGGGAAATGTGTGCATTACTGTGGGTGTTAAACAGGAAACAACCTACATATTCAAGAGAATTACGGTATATTCATTCACACAACAGAATACTACCCATCATGAAAATATTTAAACTATGGCTACCATACCACATGGATGATTCTCACAAACCTAATGCTGATTTAAAAAAAAATAAAAAAACCAATCAAGTCACAGAACACATACAGGATGACACCATGTACACAAACTTCAAGAACATTCAGAACTATAAAATATATAGAGATGCATTATGTAGTAAAACTAATTTTTTTCTAACAAGGGAAATGATAAACACAATTCAAAATAGTGTTTACCTTTGTAGAAGGAAGAGGGGAGACAGTCAGGAAGGGGCACCCTGAGAGCTTCAACAGAAGCGATAATGCTCTGTTCCTTAAGCTGAGCGAAACAGAAAGATGTACTCTCATCATTCCTATCTGGGATATATATATAAAACAATATTATCCAGAATAAAGGTGGGGAAAGGAAGACAGTCGAGGGGGGAGCCCAGCAATCCTCTCTAACTCTGACTTACACATCCGTCTGCCTAACCAACAGTGAGGAGACAGCCCAAGACTTCAAGGCAACAGAATCAACTCAGCTACAAGGTGACAAAAAAGAACACCTCCAGGCACTTCTCTGGGCTTTCTGGGTGAAACCAGCTCCACACACCGTCTTATTCAAGTGGCAAACTGTAAGACACAGCACCCTGTCCCCAGAGTTGGAGACAGACTGCCTTGCCAATACAAAAACAGAAAATATTCCCAAACTCAGGCCTATTTTGCCAATGGAAGGAAAGTCCCCAGATGGTTCCAACAGACAGAGAGCAATGGATTGAATTTAGGAACAAGGCAGTAATTTCATACAGCCCTGCAGAGCTGGGAGATTCTGGGACCAGTTTTAGTGGGGGAGGGGAGGTAAAAATACACTTGAGGACACATTAAATAGGGCCCCAAAACTAAGAGCCTAGCGCTTGGGACAGAACGTGTGTAATATGAAGTTCAAATGAACATGTGTGCCGAAGGCTAATGAGAAGCCCCTAGGGTGATTATATGAGCTTTACCTGCAAGAGGTGACAATCGAGTTTGGCACATGCTGAGTCTATTGGGAAATAATAATATCAAGAGATCTATACCACATCCATGTATGTACAGCTCCCGGCGCCGGCGAGGCAGGAGAGTGACTTACTCAGGGAAACTGACTGCCAGGAAGGCCGGATTCGGTCAGCCCAATCGGAGAAAGCCCGGGGCCGAGGCCAGAAGGTCCCTCGGGGAGGACAGAAGGGTGGTCCCGGCCCCAGGCAGAAGGTGGGGCTGCCAGGAGAGGGCGGGTCCCCGTGGCAGGAGTCCCGGGAGGCCTGGCTGGAGCCAGGCCGGGCCGCGGGACAGTCGGGGAGATGGAGGGCGGGGACCCCATGGGCGCTGGGGCGGGGAGGGCTGGGCCCCGGCGGCCACCCCGCTCCCCCGGCGCCCCGCCGCACCCTCCCGCGCTCACCTAGGCACGCAGCTGGACGAGCTCCGGTCCACCTCCCAGGTGGCGTACAGGTTCATCTGCACCGGGGCGGGGGTGCGGCCTGGCCCCGGGCCACCGGGAGGCGCGGAGCCCGAGGCCACCGCCACGGCCATGGAGGTGGAGGTAGACGAGGACGAGGAGGAGGCAGCCGCCGCCGAGGTGGACGAGGACGACGAGGTGGCCTGGGCCAGCTTGGGGGGCGTCGGCTGCTGCGGCGGCTGCTGCTGCTGCTGCTGCGGCGGCGGCTGCTGAGGGGACTGGGCGACCCCGGATCCCCGCTGGCCGCTGCCGCCCCCGGCGCCTCCGGGACCACCGCCCGCCCCTCCGCGTTCCGCCATGGCCCGGCTAGGCGGGGGTTACGGAGGCCGAGGCGACGCCGATCTGGCTCCCAGGCTTCCCCCGCGGCGGCGGCGGCGGGGGCGCGGCAGCCTCCTCAGCCCGCCTGCCCGAGCGCGAGCAGCCAGCGAGCTGCACGCACGCGCGGGGCCTCTGGGCGCGCGGGCCTCGCGCTCGACCGCCGCTGCCTGTTGCGGCTCGCGAGGCCGACACGGGTGGGCGTGTCCGGGAGGGGGCGGGGAGCCCGGCCCGCGCGGCCCCACCCAGCGCGGAGGGGCCGGGCCGGGCGCGCTCGCGCCCTGCGTGCAGCCACGCGCGCCCCTCGCTCCCGCGGAGTAGAAGGGGTGGTCTGTGGCCAGCGCGCGCCCACGGGTCCTGCCCTCAAATCCGCTGCCAGTCTGCCCCCGCTCCTCCCCTCCCCGCCCACGGCCGGCCGCGGCCCCGCCAGCGGAAACCCGGCTTTTCCGGGATTCGGTCCCTGCAGGGAGGGGGCCGCCGCGGGAGCGCGCCTCGGCCCCTCGGGTCTTCGGAGCCAATGCGGAACCCGCCCCCAGCGGTGGGGGTCTGCCCGGGGAAGCCGGCTCTCCGCCTGCCGACCTAGCCCTGCCCTGCGGCCCCGGCAAACAGAGAGGTCGGCGGAGACCCGGGGCCCGCTGCCACCGCGGGTGCCTGTGATCCGGGAAGTTCCCGCCCCGAGGGCAAGCGGGGGCTCAGGGACCTGGAGTCCAGAAGGTTCTTCGCATAAGTGAATTCTCAAGCTACCCCGGGGCCCATCTGGAGCCAACCTTCCTCTTCTTTCCCTACCCCCCAAATGCCTCTTTAGAGTGCCAGTGCTTTGTTGCTTACCAAATTTCTAAAATTCCATTCCTCCTAAGGCCTAGCTCAGCTGCCACGTCCTATCTGGATCATGCCCCCCACAACCCCGAGACCATCTTGAACCCTCCGGCAAGTGAGCGCCTCCACTGGTGCACTTAAACACCAACAGTAGTACAACAGCAGCGCATGACTACCCTCCCCACAGGCTGGCAAATGCCCATGGGAGCCAGTGATCCAGCCTGCTCTAGTCTGTCAGAAAGGCTGCTCAGGACCAGATTACAACCTGGAGAAAGTAAGTCCCCCCATCCCACATACAAATCCCAAACCCCAGCGACTAGTGTTGCTTGAACCCAAGGGTTCATATGGACTCAAGACAATTTAGCTTTTGAGCTATGTTGTCGCACAGGTAAGGACTTGAACTTCTGGTCACAAGGTCAGTTGGGAAGGCCTGCCCTGGCCTACTTCCCAAGCCCACTGTTACTTCCTCTGCCGCGCTAGGGCGCTAATCTGGCTATTTTTACTCCCCAAGGACAAAGTAGTAAGGTCAAACCAGACCTAGAGGTACTTCCCCCAAGCCTTCCTACAAAGCAGGGCAGTGGTGAAACACAGATTTCAGCCTGGGGTTGGCGTCACCACCAGTCAAATGCGCCGTCTAATCCCAGTTTATGTTCGTGGTTACTGGGGCAGCCCAGTGATTGTAGAAAGAGACTATTTTAGTCCTTTTGCAAGAAGGGGCTAAAAGGAGATGAGGGAGGCTCAGGAGTGTTAAATATTCATCTCTTTCCTTGGGAAACAGCTTTATTTACAAAACAGGTCTAAAATAAGAACATGAAATGACAAGTCCTTGGGAACTGCGGGAGAGGTGGTTCTTGTGTGAAGCCCAGGCATCCAGACGTAGGGCCAAAAAAAGGGCTAGTGTGAGGGGACCTAAAACTTGAACTCCTTATATTTCTTGCTGCCCCCACGGCTGTCCTGGGGCTGAGCTTTCCGTTTTTTTTGCTGTATAGGGAGAAAGAGACACAGGTTAAGACAGGTTGAACCACCCCCGGACCCCCAAAACAAGGGTGGGCAGCCTGACATAGACATAGAAGTCTGTGGGAAAGGCGCTGAATCTGAATTCTCTTCGAGCTCCCTCTCAGACTTGGCTGAGTTCCTCCCCCTCATCGTCCTTAAAGAGGGCAGCCCACTGGAGGATTTCTAAGACTTCCAAATCTAAGGAAGCACAGAGCAGCAAGCAGAGGCCACCCTCACTCTCACCACTAGAGGGCACCATGCCACTGAAAACGGCAGGCCAGGGTCCCTGGCTCTCACCCAGCCCAGCGCCCCTGGAAGCGCCTACCTTCTGTTTGGCAGCGTGCTCAGCCACCATGTCACTGAAGTCCTCCTTCTCTACTTGAGCCTGCTGCTCCCGCACATGCTCCTCATACTTCTGGGTCATGGCCATAGGATCCAGCTCCAACTCTTCAGGCGCCAGCGCCACTTCCACACCTTGCAGCTCAGGAGCCGGGCCCTTCCGGCTCATAACCTGGAAAGGAGATCAGGGCCTGGTCATCTCCAAAGAGTCAGAGAAGCCCTAGCTTCTGCTGCCTTTCTCAGCCTCCAAAAGCAGTATCCTCCAAGTACTCACCGTGGACATGTCATAAATGTGGGTTGATCCCATCATGGCCCCTCCAACAGTGGCTGTTCTCTTCTCTGGCAACACAGTGAAGAGCTGAGGTGTCTCACTTCTGCGAAGGACAATGGGATCAGGCCCAAAAAGCAAGGGACAAAAGGGTCTCCAGAAGCGGAAACAAAAGATACAGGTGGCACCTCCACTCAGCGCCTTGGAGAGCTTCTGAGCTCCCCAAGGATGCAGCCTCTGCAGTTCTGCCCATGACAGAAAAGAATTGGGCGGGGGGGTGGCACAGTGCTGACTCCAGGGAACACAGATGGAGCTAAGGGGCCCCCTGAATCAAGTCAAGGGATCACAGACCAGGACTCCCACATGCACATAAGGGTCAAAAGGTCAGAGAGGCTCAAAGTTTCCAAAAGAACTTTGGTACAGAGAAGCTGGCAAGATAGAGCAGGCGACAACAGTTCCCACCCGAAGAATGTCATGCCTGGAGTTCTCATGTATGTAATTCACACTTCCAGGCCTTCCAACGCAAGAGCCATCCACAGCCAGTTTCACCACTAATTTCAAGGATTACACTAGGAACAAGAGCAAATCTACCACTATCACCCCAGACTATGCCCATCATCTCCACCTCTCCCGCTGGAAGAGGTGACAATCTATTGTCCACACAGGAGCCAGAGAAAATACCTTAAAACGGATGTCGGGTCCTGTCAGACCTTTGCTCAAAACCCTCTGAGGCTTCTGATCATTATCTGAATAAAATCCAAACTCCTTACCATGACCTAAAGGGTTCATAGCCTGGTCCCTTACCCAAGCCCTCCTCACTATACTCTGTCCACAGTACCCTTCTTTATTTTTCTTCCTTGAATATGCAAAGCTTGAGACTTCTGCTTCCTGACAAGGAGCAAGAGGAACCAGATACACCCTCCTGCCTGAAACAACCAAAAAAAATGGGCAAAATATATGAAACAGTGGTTTTCAAGACACTACACATGGGGCAACAAAGCACAGTGATTCCTGCGAGACAGGAAACAAATGTGATGAGCCCTTCAACTGCCCCAGCATACCACACCTGAGAGTTTGCAGGCCACAGAACAGAGGGGAGACTCATGGAGAGCCCTGAGGACTCCGTGAGTTGGGAGGATGAAACTGAAAGTCCAGGGAGATCAAGGCAGCTAGAGTTCACAGGATAGAGTACTGGAGAAAAGAGCAGAGAGAGAACTCGAGACCTACAGAAGGTCCTCAAGTATGCAGGGGAGTACTAAGCAGCACATGCCTACCAAGGACAGGGAAAGAAGCACCCAAAAGGATTCATAACAGCAACTGCTGCTCACTCAGAACTGGGAATAGAGTAACTCCCACTAGCCAGCCGGAAAAACCTCCTGATTCACAGGGTGGTGGGTAGAGTACACAGGTACTTGTGCCTCACAATGGGGAGGACTGCTTCAGTCCTGCCTCAAGAACCCCAAAACAAGACCTGAAAGGATCAAACTATCTCCATATAACTATATTCCCGAATGAGCTGAAGAAAATGTACAGGAATACAAAAATATCTTGGACCCAACAAGGTAAATTTCACAAAGCCTAGCATTCAATAAAAAATTACCAGGCACTGGACAGGCCTGATGGCTCACACCTGTAATCCCAGCACTTTGGGAAGCTGAGGCAGGATGATTGCTTGAGCCCAGAAGTTCAAGACCAGCCTGGGCAACACAGTGAGAACCTCTCTCAAAAAAAGAAAGGAAAAGAAAAAAAAATTACCAGGCGTGCAAAAGAGTAGGAAAATACAATCCATAATGAGGAAAATGAATCAACTAATGGCAGTCAACCCAGAAATGGCACAGATGTTAGAGTTAGCAGACAATACATTAAAATGTTGTTATAGCCAGGTGTGGTGGCTCATGCCTGTAATCCCAGCACTTTGGGAGGCCGAGGCAGGCAGATCACCTGAGGTTAGGAGTTCAAGAACAGCCTGGTCAACATGGTAAAACCCTGTCTCTACTAAAAATACAAAAAAATTAGCTGGGTGGGGTGGCGCACGCCTATAGTCCCAGCTACTTGGGAGGCTGCGGCACAAGAATTGCTGGAACCTGGGTGGCAGAGGTTGCAGTAAGCCGAGATCACGCCACTGCACTCCAGCCTAGGCAACAGGGCAAGACTCCGTCATAAAATAAAATAAAATAACATAAAAATAAAATATTGTTATAACTGCATTCCACATGTTCAAAAAGTTAAGAGAGAAAGAATAGATTTAAAAGACCCGAAATCAAACTTCTAGAAAGGAGAATTATATTGTATGGGATTACTGTTAGATCAGAAATTACAGAAGAAAATAATAGTAAACTTGAACATATAGCAATAGAAATTTTCTAAAGTGAAATACAAAGAGAGAAGAATTTCTTTAAAAATGAAGAGCATCAGTGAGCTCTTCATTTATTTTTTCATTTATTATTTCATTAATAGAGGAATAATTTGAGTTCCCAAAGGAAAGAGAAGGGAACAGAGAAAATATCTGCAGAAATCATGACAAAATTTTCCCCAAATTAATAAAAACTAAAAACCCAGATCTAAGATGCTTAAAAAACCCCAAGCAAAGAAACATTCAGAAACTACACCAAGGCACATTGTAGTCAAATTGTTAGAACTAGTGATAAAATCTTAAAAACAGCCAAATAAAAATGACACATTATGTACACAGGAACAAAGGTAAGAATGACAGCAGTTTTCTCACTAGAAACAATGCAAGAAAGAAGACACTGGAGCAACATCTTAAAAGTACTGAAAGAAGGCTGATGCGGTCACTCACACATGTAATCCCAACAAGCTGGGAGGCCAAGGCAGGCGGATCACTTGAAGCCAGGAGCTCGAGACCAGCCTGGCCAACATGGCAAAACCCCATCCCTACTAAAAATATAAAAATTAGCTGGGTGTGATGGTATGCACATGTAATCTCAGCTACTCGGGAGGCTGAAACAGGAGAATCGCTTGAACCCAGGAGGTGGAGGTTATAGTGAGCCAAGATCACACCACTACACTCCAGCCTGGGCGACATAGCAAGATTCCATCTCAAAGAAGAAAAAAAAAAGTGTTGAAAGAAAAAAGATTGTCAACCTAGAATCCTAAACCTGGCAAAGATCTTTCAAAAATGAAGGCCAAATAAAGAATTTTTAAGACTACTCAAGCAGAACAAATTCAAAACCAGCAGACCCACAATACAAGAAATGTTTTTTTAATATTTTGTAGAAATGGGGTCTCACTATGTTGCCCAGGCTGGTCTCAAATTCCTGGAATCTAGCAATCCTACCACCTCAGCCTTCTCCCAAAGTACTGAGAGTACTGAGATTACAGGCTTAAGCCACCACGCCCCCTAACTTAAGAAATGTTAAAGGAAGCCCTTCAGGCAGAGGAAAAATGATATCAGATAGAAACCTGGATATACACAAAGAAATGAAAGAAACAAAAATGGTAACTACATGGCTTCATGCATGATTCTTATTTAAACCTCCCTAAAAGATAACTGACCATTTAAACAAAAATAATAACTATATAGTATAGGATTTATAACATATGTAAAAGTGAATATATGACAATATAGTGCAAAAATTGGGAGGAGAGAAATGAAGTATACTATAATGGCTCTTAATACTATCTGGAAGCAGTGTAACATCAAGAGAAGGTAGATCCTGATAAAGACATGATCTATAAACCCCAGAGCAACAACTAAAATAACAAAGCAAAAACTTAACAGCTAATTAACCAACACTGGAGATAAAATGAAATCATAAAAATTGTTCAAGTAATCCAAAAGAAGGTAGAAAAACAGGAAAAAGGGAACAAAGAGCAGAATGGATAAAGAGAGGGTCATTTCATGATAAAGGGGTCAATTCATGAAGACCTAACAACACTACACATTCAACTACCTAAAAATGGAGCTTCAAAATACTAGCCCATCCCTGTCTCAGTGCCTTTGCACTTGCTTGCATTTACTGTTACTTCTGACCCAGATGATCCTGTGGCTGGCGCTTTTTCATTCGGGTCTTAGTTCAAGCACCACCTCCCCAGTGAGGCCTTCCCAAAGGCCTCCCTGCCACCCCATCCCATTACCCAGTTTCCTCTGCTTCAACATCCTTATCTACATCTGAAAGTATCTTGTTCTCTGATTACCAGTTTACCTCAACTGCTGACTCCTCACTGCCTACAGTAGTGCCTGGCAGAGAGTTGGTTCAATAATTGTTTAAAAAAGGATGAGGGAGAAAGGAACAACAGTCAGCCAGCCAGCCAAAGGGAAGTGAAGGTCCTCCCCTCTCAGCCCTGTCTGGTACCCTTACCCGTCCATCGCCTCCTCAATCTTCTTCTTCCTCAGCTCAATGAGTTCAGGGGTCTCCATTCCAGCAGGCACTGATGAAAAGCCTCCAGGAGTGATAAGGCCACTGTAAAGAGAGGAACAAGCTCTGGAGTAAAGAGAAGGACCCCAAAGATAGCCCACTTCCAAGAGGCATTCTCTGCTTCCCCCACCTGTCTGCAGGGGTAATAAAGCCTGTCTCATCTGGTTTGTCTTCATCACTTTCTTCCTCTTCCTCTTCTTCTGAGGATTCTTCATCAGATGGTTCCAGTTCCCCCCAAGGGGTCCGATCAATCTCTTCTTCCTCAGTCTTGGTCTGAAAGAGATCACTTTATCATTCAACAAATGTTTTCTAAGTACCTATTATGTGCCAGGCTGTTTTAAGCTGAAGGGGTGTAAGAGTCAAAACACAATAATCCCTACCTACCTAGAGCTCAAATTCTAGTGAGGAGCTTACATTAACATCTCAGGAAAATGTATGCCCTTTTCCAGGCTCTGCTGTGTCAGAACACACAACTCCCTGATAATGAAGCTATAAACCAACAATCTAACCTTCATGACATTAAGTAAAACCAAGATCGCTAGTACATGGCCCATACCTGAAATTCAGCAGCATTGGTTCCAAACACGTCCCCATAGAGCGGTTTCCCAGTCTCATCCACTGGAGGTTTGCCCCAGCCACCAGCATGGTACCCAAAGGAACAGCTCTGCAAGACAGTGAGCACAATCAGTTCACTCCTTAGCTGCAAAAGAAATTCTGAAGCCCTAGAGAAAAGGCACACTCAAAAGTACAGAGCTGATACTTGGGAACTCCGGAAATTATGACTGCAGAATTAAATCAAATGTTATGAAGCATTAGAAACCAAAATTAATAAACAACTAAAATCTGGAGGCAACAGGATAAGGAGACAGGAGGCAGAAAGTATGCTAATAACTTCTGTCATGGCAGAGTCTTTACTGTCTGAAACCAAAATACGTACATTGAAAACATGACTTCAATTTCTTATTGAGTTTTCCTAACTTTGGAAAGCTAGCTTGTTCAGAATCTATTTATCTTAAGGGGCAGAAATTTCTATCTAAAATTTAACAATACTACTGTTTTACTTTAATGACTCATCAATTTTTTTAATGCTTATTTTAAAATAAGAAATTTGAAGACATTCTTGAGATAAAATTATTTCTGAGAGACTGAAGTGAAGCTAAAAAAAAATTATTTCTTTTTTCTTTTTTTTTTTTTTTAAAGTAGAGGTGCGGTTTCACTATGTTGCCCAGGCTAGTCTTAAACCCCTGGCCCCAAGGGATCCTCCCACCTCAGCCTCCCAAAGTGCTGGGATTACAGGTGTTGAGACACCACATCTGGCTGAGATAAAATTATTTCTCTCTGGTCATTCTTAATATTCAGAGACATATCTGGAAACACATTCACCAAACAGTGAATTTGGCTATTTCTGAGTGGTAAAATTGTGACTTGCTTTCATCTTTGTACTTGTCAATTCTGACTGAATATTTTATGATGAGCATGTCAGTTTCTTTAAAAAACAAAAACCATTATTTGTTTTTCTACACATACACATGGTATATGACAAATATTATGTCAATAAAATATTTTTTAAGTAAATAAAGAGACACATGGTGGAGTTAGAGAAGGAAAACAAACAAATTACCTTCCAGTTCAAAAGCAGAAATGGCCAAGAATGAACGAAAGGACAATGCTCACCTCAGGGATGGGCGAGTTCAGCCCAGGGATTTTCAGGTTGGGATACGATGGGGGTGGTCCATATCGCTGCATGGCAATCAGCCATGGGGGAGGGACCTTGTGGGCATTCTGCAGGAAAAAGAGAACAGGATACCATCTGCCAAACCCTATCCCTGTCTCTGCCTTCCACTCCAATCCCCACCAGCCTCTTCGCTGCTTCCCCAGACAGCTAACTGACACTCACTGGTCCTACTGGCATCCCCAAGGAAATCCTTAGCTCATCAGACAGATCTCCTGGCTTCTTCTCCTTCAGTCGTGTCTCGAACTCCTTCCCCTGAGGGAAAAGCAGAGCATGCTACATTGTAGACCCAGACACTCAGTGGGAGCACAATCCTAACGCACATCAGATATAAAATCCCAGTGAGGGCTACCTGGCTCCCACTCTGATTCTCATCACTTCTTTCCCTGGCCAAAGTCGGGGAAGGAATAAAAACCAGGCCAGACTCACAGTGCTGTCAATAACCCACTATGAGAACACGGCCAACGTTAGGACCTGCCTCCTCATCTGTAAAATGAGGGCACTCGACAGGAAGATATGCAAAATTCTTCCACCTCATAAATTCCATGACATCATGGTGACTACGATTTCAAGGATCAGAAAAAACCAGCAATTTCTCTACCACTCCCAATATTAAAAGTTTCCTAAAAGCATCTGCCCCTTGGCCCCTCCATCCCTAAACCACCTACCACAAACTATTATCATTTCTAAGACAGGATACGAAGAGTCTATCAGGGAAAGAAGCCACCAGATCTGCATCTCTCCTCCAAATAGAGCCTCATTTTTAAATTCCATCTCATCCGAGGGTAGTCGATGGGCAATTCTAAGGCTGAGGAACTATCGTAGTTGCTTCAAAAGCCCTCCTTGGCCAGGTGCGGTGGTTCATGCCTATAAACCCAGCACTTTGGGAGGCTGAGGCGGGTGGATCACTTGAGCTCAGGAGTTCCACACTAGCCTGGGCAACATAGCGAAACCCTGTCTCTACCAAAGATACAAAAAATTAGCCAGGTGTGGTGTGCCTGTGGTCCCAGCTACTCAGGAGGCTGAGATGGGAGGACTGCTTGAGCCCCCAAGGCAGAGGTTACAGTGAGCCGAGATCCCACCACTGCACTCCAGCCTGGATAACAGGGTGAGACTCCATCTTTTTTAAACAAACAAACAAACAAAAAAAAGCCCTAGACAGTCTCAACCCCAAGGCCCAGCCTGACCTCTCCCAGCCCCCTCCCGAACCTCATAGTACAGGTCCCCATGGATGGTCAGCTTTGGCTTGGTCTGCCACTTGAAGAAGGCATCATGCAGTTTCTGGTAGTCGATGTCAATTTTGCCCATCTTAGGCCGAACTTTCTCTCGCATTTTTGACTTCATGGTCTTCTGTTCTTCCTGTGGAGAATGGCAGCAAACAAGCCTTAACAAGTACTCACCAAATTCATGTAGAGAATCCAGCTCCCAACTCCAAATGAGATCATGGGAAGCCTCAATTATCTCACCCTGAAAGTCATCAAAATCCTTCCTGCTAAAACCTTTCAAAATTACATAATCCATACTGAACAAAACAGACTATACAATATCAGCCTCAGCCGTGTATATCAATAACTAGTTTTTAAACCATCTCATCAAGAGATGAATCTCAACAGTTCTCTGGAAAGCAGAGACTTCCCCATGTTCTTTTCTACCTCCTGAATTCAAAGCATTTAACTAAAAGCTTTAAAATTAAGAAGTTACACAACCACCACGAATCTCTAGCCACAAAGTACATCTGAGAAAGGAGTCACCAGGTGAGCTGGCAAAGTGAAGGCAGAGGGGAGGAAGAGCAGAGGAGGAAAACAAAAGGATAATTAGACAAGTAACAAGTAGGTGGTAGGTGGGTTTCAAACCAGATTCCCATTTTGAAGCACACTGCTATGAAGGATGGGGACACCCGGGGGCAGGTCTGAGCCCTGCCAGGCCCTCACCTTCTCCTGCAGGGCCTCTCGCATCTCCTGGATGCCTGTGCGTTTGATGAAGTCTGGCAGCTCGAAGGGGGGCTTCTCAATGCCCCGTTTGCCCTGCAGGTATTTGCGCTTAAAACACCAGTGGCGTGGCACAGGCACAGAGTTCCGAGTGGCCTTGAGGTGAACCAAGAGCTTAGGGTCCTGCGCTGTCACATCGTGCATCTCCACGACATCGGGCCGAGCCACCAGCTGGAAAACACATAGTAATGCGTGTTCTCGAGAGCCCCGACTTCTCAGTTCTGAAGCTCTTCTTCCTCAAAGGACCCAAACCCAAATCACCCACACCTCCTTCAAAGAACTCCTTTTCACCTCCCTGGCTCCCCAGGTGGTCTCCCAGCTGGGCTCCAGGGCCTGCAGGATCCTCTCAGGTCTTACCTGCTTGAGTTCAGCCACAGTGAAGCGGTTCATTCGGCGCAACTTCTTCTTGGACAGCTTGGGGGCTTCTGGCTTCTTTTCCTAGAACAGAACAATCAGCCCTTTTAAGCAGGACTCAGATGTGAATGAAACTGCCCAACCCACCCCAACCTTAAGCCACCAAAGCTCTGTAAGAGTTCACCATGGTCCCTCTCTGGATGCATCTCAGCCACCTGTGCCCAGAGTCCCTGCTTCCCACCAGGAGGGCTGGGCCTGACCTGCTCGTCATCACTGCTGTCATCATCACTGTCCTTGTGCTCCTCTTCAAATCCCTTCTTCTTGGGGGCTGCAGAGTTCTCCAGTTTGTCAAGTTTCTCTGGCTCCTTCTCTTTCTCCTTCTTCACATCATCAGTGAGCTAAGGAGGCAGACAAGGTGAAACCCCTGCCCTCTGAGCCCCTTCCCAGTTCCTAAGGCCAGCACTAAAAGATGCCTGTTCACCGCTGCCTCTCACCCACCTCTGAGCCCCTTCCCTGTTTGGCACTGCCCCTTCCTAGTGTGCTCTCCTTGTACCTTAAAAGCCTCAAAGATCCTCTTAAAGAAGATAAAGTTGGGCTCGTAAATTTCAGGTTCTTCAGTCACATACTCAATCTCAACATCAGCTGCTGGGGAATCAGAGCCACGGGACCGGGTTGAGTCTTTCTCCCGGTCCCCAGAGCTCTCAGAGGACACCCCTCGCACCCGCTGGGGCTTTTTCTTCTTCTTTCGGTTCCTACGCTTCCGGTTTTTCTGTCAAGAGGAGGAAAACCAGCTGGGTCAGGGAATCCAAGCACTGTGCCAGCACCCCAACCCCTAAACTCCTCCCCCATTCTCCCCCACAGTTCAACAGTCAGGCTTTTCCCAAGGAGGCCATCTCATGAAGTAGCTGCGAAGGGGCCTTGGAGTCAGACTCCAAAGTTCTGCCACTCACAAGCTGTATGCCTTTGGGTAAATTACTGTGCGTCTCAGAACCTCTGCTTTTTCAGCTGTAAAATGTAGGCACGTATAGTACTTGGAACTCAAAGCAATTAAATGAAAAATATCTATAAGATGCTGAGGGCGGAAATTGGCACAAAATAGAAGCTATTACTTACTGAACACTTACAAATTGTGTTATTTCCGTACCCAAGTCCCATCTCCTGGCTTTCCTTCCACACTCAGCTCCAATCCCTACCTCCTTTTTAGATACGGACACTGTGTCCTCCTCAGTCTCTGACGCTGACTGGCCCAGGGACGAGCGAGCATCTGTTTCCATTTCCTCTTCCTCTGTAAGGAAGAAGGTGGTGATGAGTCTTCACGGTGCCACTGCCCTGCACTCGTTCACAGTAACCTGCCTTTACCAAGAGCCAGGGAAAGGGACAGAGGGATGAGGACTCAGCTCAGCCTCTCCAGGTTCTGTGGCTACAGCATCAGAACGCCTGGCACTCACCCTGCTGAGAATTCATCTCTTCCTGGCGGCTCTCCTTCAGCTGCAGGATCTTCTCCAAAGCCTGGGGGATCTTGGGGCCCACAGAGGGGTCATCCATCTGCCAGAGACACCCAGTCAGAGAAGGCAAATCACAGTGCCCTTTTTCTTTTTTTTTTCTTTCTTTCTTTTTTTTTTTTTTGAGACGGAGTTTTGCTCTTGTTGCCCAGGCTGGAGTGCAATGGCGCGATCTCGGCCCACCACAACCTCCGCCTCCCAGGTTCAAGCAATTCTCCTGCCTCAGCCTCCCGAGTAGCTGGGATTACAGGCATGCACCACCACACCTGGCCAATTTTGTATTTTTAGTAGAGATGGGGTTTCTCCATGTTGAGGCTGGTCTAGAACTCCTGACCTCAGGTGATCCGCCCGCCTCGGCCTCCCAAAGTGCTGGGATTACAGGTGTGAGCCACCGCACCCAGCCCACAGTGCCCTTTTTCCACCAACTTCCACCTCTTGGACTAGAAAGGCTGCTGCCCAGGTGATGTAAGCAGCAGAGAGTGGGCAACACCAACTGGGCTCAGTGGGGTTTAGTGTTCCTCAGAGGGACCCCAAGACTCTGCCTCAGTAATGTCTCCCCAGTCCCTCTGCCATACCCTTAGTTTAAATAAGAAGGGCTCCCCACTACCCCCAGGAATTTAAGTCCCCCCATCTTCTCACAGAACCTTTCTCTAAAAATCCAAAAATAGTCCCATCCTAAACTACCACTCTCTTATCCCTAGGAATAAATCATCAGTCTCACCTCTCTGTTCTCATCTCCAGGGGGCGGTGGGGGACCACGAGGCCGGGGAACAGGGGCTCCCATGGGCAAAACTGTAGGAGTGGGGCCCACTGGGCCCACTGGAGCAGCTACTAAGAGACGGGAAAAAGAAATCCAATGTCAGAAGAGGCAAAACACTCACGTAAAAAATTACCTCTCTTGCTGAAAGGGTGATGGTAAACCTGCAGGGGAGGAGGGCACGTGGCGTGGCTTTTGGAATGCTGGTAATGTTTTGGATCATGGTCCAGGTGCTGGTTGTACAGGTGTGTTCAGTGTGTAAAAAACCATTAAACTATATATTTACTATATATGCCCTTTTTAAATGTGATAGATACCTTAAAAGTCTTTTTAAAAATGTCTAAATCACCTTCCTTGCCCTTCCCCTCGGTTCCAGGGTCTCACCTCGAGGACCCAGAGGAGTGCGCACACCAATCTGGCCCATGTCTTGTGGGGGCCGAGGGACTGGGGTGCCCATCTTGGCAATCTCCTGCTGTCGTTCCTGCTCCAGTAACACAGCTGCCTACGGGAGGGAAGTGGGAGTAGATACTGCCTGAAAACGCATTTGGCAGGCAGCCCCTGGCAAATGCATTCTTTCAGCCGGGTAATGGGCCCAAGGAGAACAATCACGAACCACTTGGGTGCTGACATCCCCTCCACCCCCACACTTCCAGGCTACTAATCCAAACGGAGGAGCCCTCTCATCACAACGGAAAATCCCTAGAAATAACACCAAGGAAAACCCCAGGAAACTTCTGGTTCCTAGCAGAGAATTTCATATTGAGCCAAACAGTGCCTTCTACTTTTCAGAGAGTTTTCTTCCCCAAAAGATTAAATTATACAGAAGAAACTTTTGAGCTCTTTTCTTATATCCACCCCTCAAGATCCAGCACAATCTGGGCAAAGACAGTACTTTACCCACAGGTCCAGACTTGTGGCTTTTTTTTTTTTTTTTTTTTTTGAGACAGAGTCTGGCTCTGTTGCCTAGGCTGGAGTACAGTGGCATGATCTCAGCTCACTGCAACCTCGGCCTCCCCAGCTCAAGCCATCCTCCCACCTCAGCCTCCCAAGTAGCTGGGACTACAGGCATGCGCCGCCACACCTGGCTAATTTTTGTATTTCTGAGAGACAGGGTTTCATTATGTTGGCCAGGCTGGTCTCGAACTCCTGAGCTCAAGCGATCCACCCACCTCAGCCTCCCAAAGTGCTAGGATTACAGGTGTGAGCCACGGCACCCAGCTCATACTTGTTGCTTTTTAACACTTACTTTTTAATACTCCTGAGTAACCCACTGGGTAATGACTGATGCAATGCACCTCTGGGGCCAAACATCTTATATAACATTCCCAGACTTACAGTCCTATTCTGTCTAAATCCAATACAAATAACTCAATTACCCAGAGTCCTATCTAGAATGATGTCATGTAAGGCGAGCAGAGGTCAGCAGGCTCTTTTTATAATAGGTCAGAAGGTAAATATTTTAGGCTTTATGGGTTGCTGTACAGACTCTGGTACATATTTTTGGTTTGGGTTTTCTTATAACCCTTAAAAAATTTTAAAGTTATTTTTAGCTCATAGGCCATACACATGCAGGCCACAGGTCATAGTTTGTCAATTCCTGAACTTCAAGAAAAATTGAAAGCTTTGGAAGATACTAGAACTTAGTTGAGAACAAAGTAGCCTCCAGGGAAAACTTGAATGGTGCACTCTAAGCACTATAAATGACAGCCAACTGACTGGACCACGAGGTCAAAGGTTAGGGGGAGGGGTATTACCCGCTTCTGCTGCTCCAAGAGCTCATGTTCCTTCAGCGAATGATCTCCCTGCTTAAAAAAGAAAACAAGTTCATACCAGCACCAATACCCAACACGCCAATCTGCCACAACTCTTGCTTCTTGAGATCCTCTTCCAGTCAAGGGCCCATGTTCCAATCTTTAGTCCCGACCTTCCCAGAAGCCTTAGTTCTAGGACCCAGCTTTCTCTAAGGCTCCACTGCCCCTTCAGGGACCTAATGAGTCCAAGGCCAGGGCTGCCACCTGCCCTACCTGCTTGGCACGCTCCTCCTGCTGCATCAGCAATGCCGCCTGCTGCTGAGCCAACTTCAGCCGCTCCTCCTCTGACAGTGCCACTGGCTCACCCACACGGAGAGGAGGCGGGGGCCCCAAATTTGGTGGGTGGGCCATAGGAAAGCCAAGGCCAAGGCCTGGTGGAGGTGGTGGGGGTGGCGGAGGAGGCTGCAGAGGGGGGAGTCCCAAAGGTGGTGGTGGCATGGGAATTCCAGGGAGCTGTGGAGAAAATATGATCATAAAACTAGGAAGCATTTATCTACTCATTCTGCAAATATCTGGGGGATCTACTTTGAGTCAGGAGCTGGAATTCTAAGTCAAATGATACATAGTTACCACTCCATAAGAGAGAATGCTCCACAGCTCTATAAAGATATGAGAATGTTAACTTCTGGCACCAACCAAAGGAAGCTATCCACTCTCTCCAAAAAGATATCCTGAATATAGATTCTGCATACAATTCTAGGAGACTCAAAGACGCCTCTGAGGCCATCTAGGGACTCCTCATCCTACACACAGAGATCAGTAGATGCCAGGTCAGAGCCACTGCTTTAGAGAAAATGAGGCAAATCCTGGATCAGAAGGAACATGGAAATTGAGAGGACTTACATAAACAGGAACCACTGTATCTGGGCAATGCAAACCCCAATGACTACTAAACGCAAGGGGTGTGAAATCAAATCAGGGAGCCCTCGATGTCACACAAAAGAACATGGGAACTGTGCCTGGGGCAGGCAAAGAAAAGGGTGATTGCTTCCAGCTGGGTAAGGACAAGTCAGTCTTCCTTGTATTCAAGCTGTATTTTTTTTTTTTTTTTGAGACAAGAGTCTCGCTCTGTCACCCAGGCTGGAGTGCAATGGCGCAATCTCAGCTCACTGCAACCTCCGCTTTCCAGGTTCAAGCAATTCTCGTGCCTCAGCCTCCCAAGTAGCTGGGATTACAGGCACCTGCCACCATGCCCGGCTAATTTTTATATTTTTAGTAGAGACAAGGTTTCACCATGTTGGCCAGGTTGGTCTTGAACTCGTGACCTCAAGTGATCGCCCACCTCAGCCTCCCAAAGTGCTGGGATTACAGGCATGAGCCACCATGCCCTGCCTCTTTTTTTTTTTTTTGAGACAGTCTCGCTCTATTGCCCAGGCTGGAGTGCAGGGGCTTGATCTTGGCTCACTGCACCGTCCACCTCCAGGGTTCAAGTGATTCTCCTGCCTCAGCCTCCCAAGTAGCTGGGATTACAGACATGTGCTACCACGCCCAGCTAATTTTTGTATTTTTAGTAGAGAGAGTTTCGCCATGTTGGCCAGGCTAGTTTCAAACTCCTGACCGCAGGCGATCCACCTGCCTTGGCCTCTCAAAGTGCTGGGATTACAGACATGAGCCACCACGCCCTGCCTCTTTTTTTTTTTTCCTATTTTTTGGTTTAATTTTATTTTATTGTAAGTTTTCGGGTACATGTGCAGTATGCGCAGGTTTGTTACATAGGTAAATGTGTGCTATGGTGGTTTGCTGCACCTATCAACCCACTGCCTAAGTATTAAGCCTGGCATGCATTAGCTATTTTTTCTGACACTCTCCCAGCCCCTCCCCCATCACCTCCCCCCTTTTTTTTTTAAAGAAGCAAAGTCTCATTCTGTCACCCAGGATGGAGTACATGGAGTACAGTGGCGCAACCAGAGCTCACTGCAGCCTCCAACCCCAGGGCTCCAGCAATCCTTGAGCCTCTTTATAGGGACTTTATAGGCGCGTGCCACCGTGCCCAGCTAATTTTTAAAATTTTTTGTAGTAACAGAGTCTCACTATGTTGCCCAGGCTGGTCTCGAACTCCTGGCTTCAAGCGATCGTCCCATCTAAGCATCCCGAAGTGGTGGGATTACAGGCATGCGCCACTGCACCCGGCCACAAGCTGCTTTTGGAGAAGCAGACAGTGGAAAAGGAGGCAAGTGTCAGCATCAAAGAGAGAACTGAAGAGCTCACAATTCTGTCATGGCAGTACCTCCCTGCCCAACAACTGCAAGTGAGAGGAAGGGCTACCCTGAACATATGGAATCTTTTTTTTTCCCCACTCAGGTCAGGCGAGTAATGTGCAAGGGTGTCACATCTCACACATGCACGTGAACACCCAATCATCATGCTCATGAACTACAAAAGGATCAGCAGATGGAATCTTAAAAAACAGAAGAATCTCCCTACCTGTGCCGACATGGGAGGTGGAGCGGCTTTGTCCCCATCTTCCCCTCTCAAAACCGGCCGATTCAGCACGATGCCAGTCTGCAAAAGAGAAAGGACTCTAGGTCAGTCCAAAACTAGCTGTTTCACTAAACGACGTTCGCTCCCAATTCATTCAACAAAACGTACCCAGTGCCTGTCTGCCAGCGCTCTGGCTGGGCACTGAAGAGGACCAAGATGGATACAAGAAATTACAACTAAGCTGGCAAAGGCAAGAACAAGCTAAAAAGGGCAAGCCTCCGCCTTGCTGTGCCGAGATAAAGAAAGAATGAAGACCGAGCCGTGATGGGGTATATAAGGTCTCCTGGAGAAGCTCGGCCTATCCTGACGTCCCGCCGCCAACACCTACCTGGCGGGTGTAGCTCTGCAGCCGCTCCACCAGCTCCTCGCGATTACCTGCAGGGCAAAGTACACGATCAATGGGGCAGGCCAGCCCGGCCAGGTCAGGCCCCAGCGGCCTGCCTCCGCCCCTCGCACCCGAGTCTCCCGGGTAACCAGGCTCCGCTTCTCCGCAGGCCCGTAAAGGCCCCTCGACTTCCTGTGTTCCTCACCCTGGATCGGAGCTCCGATCTCTGCCAACTTGGCCTGAAGCTCCTGGGCAGCCCAGGCGCCATAGTGGCCTGGAGGTGGCGGCGGCGGCAGCTGCAATTCTGCTTTGGGAGGCTCGGGATGCTCCGTCGCCATCTTAGCCGCAGGAAGGCGCGCGACCAACCCGGAAGCTGGGGCCAGCCTCAGGGCCCACTTGCCGGAACTTCCGGTGGCGCCGTATGCCACGTCCTCTCTGGTTGGGAGGCGACGCGCACTCAGGCACACCCGCTGCCGTGCGCTGGGCGACGGGATTCGCCGCAGACGCACCTTTCTCTAGTGGCCCCTCGGCGGTCTGGTCGCGAGGCCTCCTGGGAGTTGTAGTGCGCAGGTCTCGGTCTCTGCGGGCCCTGCGCGCCGCTACGGCCCCGAAGGCCGGCGGCGGGCCGGAGGGCGGGGCTGCGAGGAGGGCTGGCACTTCCCCGAGGGAGTGTTTTCTGCGCCTCACCTGCGGGAGCGAAGGCTCTCAAGCTTTCCGGCCCGGCCCTCCGGTCAGATCCTCGAACGCTTACGCTCCCAGGGAGTCCCGAGAGACTCATTTCCCCGGCGGCCCCGCGTTGCGGGCGCCAAGCGGGAGGCTGGAGCCGATGCCTGGGATAAAACAGTGTCTGATTGTCTGCCCGCCCACCCCCGGCCCAGGCCCGGATGAATGGGCTGAAAGGGGATCCAAGCCGGGAGAGCAGCAGGCCTGCCCGGGCTGAGCTCCAGCTGCCGACCTGGGGGAAGGGCGACTCTAAAGCCCCCTTTTCCACCTTCCAGGCCGGCTCAAATGTCGTCTTCTCCACTAAGCCTCCTCCCGCTTTCCTTTCCTTTCTTAGAGCTCCCATAATACGTTCGAATCTCCACCGTTTGTTAAGTCTTTCTTGCCCTTTCTTCCTACCTCTATCCCAAAAATGTGAGCAGGGACTTGATCATTTTCAGTCTCGCATCGCCTGGCGTTCAAGAGGCGCCCAATAAATGATTACTGGAAAAAAAGGAACAATGTTTCTGGTGAAAGCATTTGTGTCTTTTTTAGTCTCAAAAATAAACTCAGGCCCTTTTCCCTCAGCCGCACCTGCACTGGGGGCCCCACCTTGCCTCCCACTCCCCACCCCAACTCCCCTTGGCCTTTGGAGACAGAGGCAGAGACTGGCAGGGATTCTTGCCTGCCTAGCATCCACCTCTCCCTGTCCCACACCATCAATTCAGTTTCTCTCCCCACCTCTGCCACTAGCTCTGCCCTCTCACCAACAGCTAGCCTGTGTGTGTTTTTTATGTGTGTTGAGAAAGGGAGTGGGGAGACTCAAGTGAAATGGTCTCATTTTCCCCCTACACATCCCCTTCAGATCTTTTCTCCAGCTCCATTTTGCCAACTGCCCCCAGTGGAGAAGAAGCTGGGAACAGGGAAAAAAAAAGAATGGGGCACCAGGTCGGGGGAAGGTGAGGTTTGGGAGAGACAGGGAAAAGGACTGGGTTGAGAAAGGTTGGCTCACATCCTAGCACTGGGTGGGAAGTCCTCTTCCTCCTACCCAAACCTTGACCTTTCCCCTTTCCATCAATATCACTATGGGAGGCTCCTGCAGCCACACTCCCAGAGGAGAAGCCAAACCCGGAAAGGACAGTAACGAAGACAGAAAAACAGCGCCCTTCCCTCCAGCTTGTCAGCCCACTCAGGCAGAACCTTTCTAGCCCAAAGGAAGGCTCTTCTGCTCCCTGTAACTGGAGAGCCCAGGGCAGGTCATCTGAGGCTGAGGGCCCCAAGGCATGTGTAGGTGCTAGGGAAGGGGGCGGGGTCTCTGAGGCAGGATAAACTAAAGGCTGATGGAGTCTCATTTTATTTATTTATTTTTTATTTATTTATTTATTTTTTTTTTTTTTTGAGACAGAGTCTCAGTTGCCCAGGCTGGAGTGCAGTGGCTCTATCTGCGCTCACTGCAAGCTCCGCCTCCTGGGTTCACGCCATTCTCCTGCCTCAGCCTCCCGAGTAGCTGCGACTACAGGCGCCCGCCACCACGCCCAGCTAATTTATTTGTATTTTTTTTAGTAGAGACGGGGTTTCACCGCGTTAGCCAGGATGGTCTCGATCTCCTGACCTCGTGATCCGCCCGCCTCAGCCTCCCAAAGTGCTGGGATTACAGGCGTGAGCCACTGCACCCGGCCTGGAGTCTCATTTTATAACAGCCCTGGGAAGGAGGCAAGGTCTCAAGATCCTCCTCCCCCACGATATTGTACACAGCGGAAGATTGATGGGCAGAGAAGGTGACATGCCCAAGAGGCCAAACTGGGGCCACCAGCAGTCCTTCTGACTCTGAGAGTCCCTATTTCCTCCTCCTCAACCATAACAAGGACCCTCACACTATTTCCTATGTGGGCCTAGAAGGGCGTATCCAGCCCCTTCCAGTCCCACCTTTGGGTGGCTACCCAGCTCCAGGATCCTTGCTTTACCAGGCCCAGAGCAAAATAGAAAGCAGGTGTGCAGGCCAGCCACAGAACTCAGTGTAGGGCTCTTGATGTCTGGCATGGCTTTGGGAGGTGCTGCTGCCCAGCTCCCAGGTGATGGGAGCTGAGGACTAAGAAGTTCACATGGAGCCTTCGTGTGTATTATCTCTGCTACCTCAGAACAGCTTCCCATTTTACAGCTGGAAGCAATAGGGCTTAGGGAGTTGCCTCTTGACTCTGGGATTTAAGAGCAAACCAGGATTGAACTTGGGTTCTTTGATGCCTGGTGGCAGGTGCCTAGGCAGGGGTCCCAGCCTCACTATAGCTCTGGTCAGGAGTGAGTGGGTCTGGAGTCCTAGTGAGGAAAAATGGGTGAGCAGCCAGAAGCTACATCAGAGGGTATGGGGGACACGCTGGAAGGGAAGGGGGCATGTGGGCAGAGATGGGACCAGACAAGGCTGGAGCACTGCTTCTCTACTGGAGGAGGACAGAGGATGTGAGTACCTGCACGTGTACCAGCATCTGGCTCACCCAGAAGCCCACGTATGACCGGCGGTGCCCCAGAATACCCAGCAATGCAGGAGTATCCAGACACCTTCCCGGCCTCAGTTTCCCTGCCTGAGTGAGAGAAGGGAGCTGGCCACATTAGTGTCCAACTCTGCAAGGTTGCCAGAGTAAGACAACTGCATCTGAAGATGCCACCCAGAGACTGTTCACGGCAGCCAGCGGGCAAGCCAGGGAACCACCCCCCCTCCCCCGTCCCCCTTCCTTTCCCCTCTCTCCCCTCTCCCCTACTTGCTCGTGGCCTGGCCCCGCCCCTCGCCTTCCTCCGGTGTGCGATGGGGGGCGGGGGGCGGGGGGCGGGCAGAGCCGGGAGGAGCGAGCCTAGCGGACGCTGCCACCTGATCCCATCCAGGCGCTGAGAGGCAAGCCACCGGCACTCGGCGCGCAGGGCCCCGGGCACCCTCGGACCCCGTGCGGATTTCGAGACAAGGGTCCAGAGATAGCGGCGGCCGCCCCCAACCCGGGCCAGAGGCAGAGCCCAGGCGTGCGGTGTGAGTACTGCAGTGGCCGGCATGGGGTTGGAGGGGTGGGAGTGGACCAGACCGGGATGGGGGCCGAGAGGCGGGCGGGAGAGTGTCTTGGGGGCCTAGTGGTTGGAAAGCATGAGGAGGGGGGCGCTCTACCCCTGGAAAGTGGGAGAAGATAGGGTGAGCGGGCCAATCTGGCCTATCCCCTATGGTGATCAGATCCCACTGGCAGGATCCCTGGGGGATGCTGGGATGAAATTGAGGGAGTGGGAGGTATGGTGCGGGTGGGCAGTAATGGAGACAGGAGGATGGAGGGAATTCCAAGGCAGGGATGATGCGGGGGTGGATGAGAGAGAGAGGAGGCTGGGGGGCCAGGGGCAGACCTGGTGCAGGCTGGGGGGTGGGGGAGGAGGAAAAAGAGGGAGGTGGAAAGATTTGCTCTCCCAGGCCAGTACTTTGCAGACCCCCTCAGCCCTTCGCCCCTCCTCTGGAGCACCCTGGGTCAGCGTCCCTCAACACTGGGCTGTCCCATCCCTCAAGTCAGGACAGGATGGAGTCTCCGGGCCATCCAGCAGTCAGGTCCAAGTGGTCCAGTCCAGGGCACCCCTTCCTCTAAGTGCATCGGTTTCAGCTCTAGAGCTCAGAGGAGACAGAGGAGAAAGGGCTCCTTTAGGAGGGTGGGCACCCCGGCCCATTTTCAAAGCTTTGGTCGGCTCTACTATTTCTTTGGTTCCCTGGAGAAAAGCTAGCAATTTGCAAAACTGGGCAGCAGCGTGAGGTAGATTGTTCTGACTAAAATTAGCACTGACATTCTGATGAGCCTGGGCGTCCTGACCTGCCTGGGATAGCTGGGAGAACTCTCTCTATGGAGAAGACACCAGGCACAATGGGGAGTCGTGTGAAGCATCTGAGGGCAGGAGCCAGGGCCACTGCTCTAAAGCACAGCTCCAGCAGCACCATCATGCACCCCACACCAGCCAGAAAATCCGATGGAAACCCAGCCCAGTGGCCCCCTCCCTGAGAGGCACTGCCTTGGCCCCATCTCCAAAACAGGCATCTTGGAGTCAAATTGCCAAGGGAAGGCAGGCCTCCCACAGTGTCCGAGCAGCACCCTCTCTCAGGACCTGGAATGTTTAGCCTGGCCGAGTGCCCACCCAGAGGAGACAGGGTTACTGCTTCCAAATACCTGAAGGTCTGTCATGGAGAAAAATGTTCTATGTGCTCTAGGAGGGCAGCACTACCAAGAGTGCAGAATGGGAGGTGTAAGGGGCAGGCCGAAGCAGGTGCTACCACTGGCAGGGTAATCCTGGCTGTCCCGGAAAGAACCTGAACAAGCTGTAAGTTGCTCAGAAATGGACCAGGCTGTATCAGGAGGTGATGAACACCCTGTCATTGACAGTGGCCATACAGAAGCTGGTGCCCGCCTTCAGGGGCTGGTGTCCAGGGAATTCCTGCACTGAGGATGCCCTGTCCCCTGTCCCTAAGCAGGCCTCAGACTGGGGCCTGGCTAGCTCCCCAGAGCTCAGCCATGTAGGGAAGTGGGGAAAGGCCCAAGAGTGGGACAGAGGGGGATACCAGGCACCTGTCACTCTCTCTGTGCGGCCAGTAGAAGCTCTGCCCTCGGGAAAGGTCCCCCATAGCTAGGCTTGACTTCCTTGGCTGACCCTGAATCCTCTGAGAAATAGGGTGGTTTCTGCAAGTTTAGCAAAGGTGGATGTAGACTCCCCTCTTCCCATCTTGGGACACTTCTGTCTAATCACCAAGTTCTCTAAGCAGCAGGAGTGACAGAGGAAAAAGGTGTGTATCCTTAGAGGGCCAAGGGCTCTCACTTCCTCCTGCAAGCAGCCCCAGCCAGGCCAGGCCAGCCCTTCTCTGCCCCAGCAATCCTTGAAGAGACAGGGAGGGCCTTAGACTTCCTCTGCTGTGCCCTTGGTTACCCTCTGTGGCTGGACCCTTTACCCTTGGCTCCGGCCGGATTAAGTCTGTCTGCAGGCAGGTGGAGGGAAGCAGCGATAAGGCCTAGAGAGAAGGGGAGGCATAAACAGAACATCTTTCCACCCAAACAGGTTTAAATGTAATCCAGGATTAAGGGAGCAGGGTCAAGAAGAGAGACTGGAAGCCAAGCCCAGGGCTCCCAGAAAAGGTGATGATCAAAAGGGTTTTCATATTACCTTACCCCTCCTGGGACCCAGGTGTCCTAGTTCCACATGCACATGCCCATCAGGTTCCAGGCTCCCCCTCCCCCGTGGAGAAGGATATGTGTGAGGGCTGAAGCTAAACTTGAACCTGGAGACTGAGGCCCCACCCTAGCTTGGGGACAGGCATCACTGCTGAAGTGGACTTTCCACGGGAGCTGCCCAGGATTGGGCTGCCCTTAAGCCAAGGCATTCCTGTGGGGAAAGGAGACTTGTGTGTGACCAAGCCCTCCTCCCCTCTCTTACTCCTGGGCTTACCTGGGATGGAAGCTCACCTTCTCCTGGAGATCCTCCGTAGGGCAACAAGCAGGAGCCACCTCTTACCCAACCCACACCCCGCCCAGGCTGCCATCTCATTGCTTTGGTCAGGCACTTTTCCCTGCAGAGTCAGCTGATGGGGCCGCCTGGGTTTCAGGTGTCTGGGGATGGAATCCAGATAGGGCTCCAGGATTTCAAGACCTTCCTTTCCCTCATGAATTTCTCAGTCTTGGGCCCTCAGGGCAGGAGCCCAGCTAGGAGCGCTCAGGACTCAGAAGGATGCAGAATTGCCAGAGTCTAGGGCAAGGTTGGGGAAACCAGTTCTCTACAGAAATAGCATATACAGTGTCTAAGGGCATGGACTTTGGAGCCAGAAACAGCAGGTATGAATCTCATTTCTACTGTTACCAGCTGTGTAGCTATGGACAAGTGATATAATCTCTTAGAGCCTCAGTTTCCTTATCTATACAGTGGGAATAATACCTAGGTCAGGGCTGTGGTGAGGACTAAATGGGATTAAGTATGTAATAATACAGTACATAGAGTAAGCCTGCAGTATCGACTCAAAGCCATATCGATCCAAGGAGGTGAAGGCCTGATCAGTGTTTCCGAGGAGCTCGGTTTCTCTGGGGAGTCAGGACCAACCCTGGGCTAAAGCAATTGGGCAAGGAGTCCTGGAGGAGAGGAAACTTTGAGTTGAGACCTCTATGTTCTGAGCCAAGCCCTGGCGCTAAAGCCACTCCACTGGGGAGACATGTACAAATAACCATGAGACAAAGACGAGTTAGGAGCAGGCAGAGAGACAGAGACAGGGCTGAGGGATGGGAGTGGCTACAGCCTGAAGGGCTGGCTACACCCCAGACCCTGTAATTCCACCCAAGACTAAGTTATCTGGAGCAGTGAGGAGATAGGGTCTTGATAACGGGAGGTAGGAATCCGATCTGCCCTGGCCTCTCTGCTTACCCCACCTGTTGGAGCTCTTTGCATCAGACCTGCTGGGGGCCAGATCCCATCTCCTCTGCCCACTGCAAACCCGTCTGCCTTCTTCTGCCAGGCTTCTCGGGAACACTGGCCCTGCTACCAGAGCCGCAGGATCCCCCATGAGTGCCTGTGAAGGGAGTCCTGGATAGTGAGGCCCTGGCTGGTCCAGGGGTGGGTACTCCGCCATGCCACCCATCCTCCAGCGCCTGCAGCAGGCCACCAAGATGATGAGCCGCCGGAAAATCCTGCTGCTGGTGCTAGGGTGCAGCACCGTAAGCCTTCTCATCCACCAGGGGGCGCAGCTCAGCTGGTAAGGGGGCGGGGCCCCAGGGGGGCCGGAGCTCCCCTCCCCATTCTTCCACCTGCTAGAAGGGTCCTGCTAGGCTTTGCTCCTCCCCTCTATTCTGAAAGTGCTTTCCCTTTAGGGCCACACAGCCTCCCTGGACAGGGACTGCTCTTCAATGAAAGGGCTGAGTGACTTGCTCAAAGTTACAGAATCAGTTAGCTGAGATCCGAATCCAGCTCAACTCCCCACAGCATGCAGCTAAGCATTTCCCCAGTGGAAACAACTTCTCACAACTTCCGTAGTGCTGGGCAAGGCCAAGTCCCCTCACTTCTCCGAGCCCCCGTTTTCTCATCTATAAAGTGAGACATGATATGTGTGACACAGCCAGTCACCCTCACACAGGATACCATGTGATTCATGGGAACCCCAACCCTACTCCTGACTCACTGTGTGAACCCAACAAATCCCTGCACCTCTCGGAGACTTCATGTCCCCATTTTCTACACTGTCTGCCCCTGAGAATGGTGTGAATGCGCCCAGCCCCCCTTGCCAGATAATTTGGTTTGAAATCCCAAACACCCATGTTTTAAGAATGAAGCAACAGAAATGAAAGCTTCACGAGGGCTAGGATTGTTTTTGTATATTACTGTATTTCTTGAACCTAGCATTAACCTGGCACATAGTGGACACCCAAAAAATATTTGATGACTGAATTAATGAGGCTTTAGAAGCCTCAAGAGAAACATAACAATGGGTTGCTGCAAAGCCCAGTGCCAACCATCTACAAAGTGAGGAGCCAGTTAAAGAGTAAAAATGAGAAAGAGCAAAAGGATTTAGTGACCATGTGAGTCGTCTCCAGACTTTGTGTAAGTGATTGTTCTCCTTTTGGCCCTCAGTTTCTACATATACAAAGTGGGATTCCTCAAAGATCTCCAGGGGTCTTTGTCCCTTATTTATTTCTACATAAACAAATTATCTTAAAGCTTAGCAGCTGAAAACACAAACATCTGTTATTTTGGGTCAGGAAGCCAGGTGTGGCTTACTGGGAACTTCTGGACCAAGGTCTTTCATGGGGTTGCAACCAAGGTGTTTGCTGGTGATGCAGTCTCATCCGAAGGCTTGATTGGAAGGGATCAGCTTCCAAGCTCACTCACGTGGTTTTGACAGGCTTCAGGTCTTCAAGCCGGCTGGTGGACTGAGGGCCTTAGGTCCTTGTGGGCTTTTCCCACTTAGTGGTAGCTCCCTATAGGGCTGCCCACTATATGGCAGCTTGCTTCCCCCATCATCTGTCATCCCAGATTGAGTGAAAGACACCAAGATACTAGCCAGCCACAGTCTTTCTATGATGAAATTTAAGAAGTGACATCCCATCATTTCTGCCCTCTTCTCTTCTTTAGATGCAATGATAAGTCCAGCCTAACTCAGGTGAGGGGAATACTCAAGGGCATGAATACCAGGAGGGCAGCAGGGATCATAGAGGGCATCTTAGAGGCTACCAAGCACCGCCCTCGACCTTTCCATGAGTGCAGCCCAGGCGGGGCCGCGCTGTGGGGCATCCCACAGTCCTTGGGTAAGGGCAGGGGTCAAGCGGCAGCCCCCTCACACCCTCCTCTCCGCACACTCCCTGGGCCTGGCAGGTACCCCAAGCTGTTCCCCTTGAGCTGCCCTCCTCTGCGGAACTCGCCGCCGCGCCCCAAGCACATGACTGTGGCCTTCCTGAAGACTCACAAGACGGCAGGCACGACGGTGCAGAACATCCTGTTTCGCTTTGCCGAGCGCCACAACCTGACGGTGGCCCTGCCGCACCCGAGCTGCGAGCACCAGTTCTGCTACCCCCGCAACTTCTCGGCGCACTTCGTGCACCCGGCCACGCGGCCGCCGCACGTGCTGGCCAGCCACCTGCGCTTCGACCGTGCGGAGCTGGAGCGCCTCATGCCGCCCAGCACCGTCTATGTCACCATCCTGCGCGAGCCGGCCGCCATGTTCGAGTCGCTCTTCAGCTACTACAACCAGTACTGCCCGGCCTTCCGGCGCGTACCCAACGCCTCGCTCGAGGCCTTCCTGCGCGCGCCCGAGGCATACTACCGCGCTGGCGAGCACTTCGCCATGTTCGCACACAACACGCTGGCCTACGACCTGGGCGGCGACAATGAGCGCAGCCCGCGCGACGACGCCGCCTACCTGGCGGGCCTCATCCGCCAGGTGGAGGAGGTTTTCTCGCTCGTCATGATCGCCGAGTACTTCGACGAGTCGCTAGTGCTGCTGCGGCGCCTACTGGCCTGGGACCTGGACGACGTGCTCTACGCCAAGCTCAACGCGCGCGCCGCCAGCTCGCGCCTGGCCGCCATCCCCGCGGCGCTGGCGCGGGCGGCGCGCACCTGGAACGCCCTGGACGCCGGCCTCTACGACCACTTCAACGCCACCTTCTGGCGCCACGTGGCGCGCGCGGGCCGCGCGTGCGTGGAGCGCGAGGCGCGCGAGCTGCGCGAGGCCCGCCAGCGCCTACTGCGGCGCTGCTTCGGGGACGAGCCACTGCTGCGGCCTGCCGCGCAGATCCGCACCAAGCAGCTGCAGCCGTGGCAGCCCAGCCGCAAGGTGGACATTATGGGCTATGACCTGCCCGGCGGCGGCGCCGGCCCGGCCACCGAGGCCTGCCTCAAGCTGGCCATGCCCGAGGTCCAGTACTCGAACTACCTGTTGCGCAAGCAGAAGCGCCGGGGCGGTGCGCGGGCTCGGCCCGAGCCCGTCCTGGACAATCCCCCGCCTCGGCCCATCCGAGTGCTGCCTCGCGGCCCTCAAGGTCCCTGAGCTCCGCAGGCCTCCAGGAGTATGGGTCCTGCCCTGCCCTCCCAGGAGTCCAGCCAGGGGCTGCCTCCATGTCCTGCCCCCATGAGAGCCCTTTCTTTTCAAGGGGCTTGAGTCCCTCGCTGAACTTTGGGGTACGCCTCCCTATCTGAGCCCCCGCTCCCGATCGTGGGCTGAACCTTGCCTTCGGGCACGGCGCTGATAGGCTGGATCCAGCGCTGGGCCACCCTCTCCTTCCCAGCTGGTTGGTGATTTTGACAAGAGGCCTGAGGGCTGTCCAGAACTGCTCACCCTGCCTTTTTCTGGGGGCTGAGCCCCCACAACCTGTCTTTTCCAAGTGGATAAGCCCAGGCCCCATGGAGAGAGGCTCAGCCCTAGGGAAAGGCTGCTCTTGCTCTCCCTCCCAGGGCTTGAGGCTCCCTATACTTTTCTGTCTTCCAGGTTCTACCCTCCCCACAGACCTAAGCTGCTCCCAGTCTCCCAGAACCAAGAGTTCTTGGGTTGGGATTTTTGTTTGGTTGGTTTTTCTTTTTTTTAATAAAACATCTTTAAAATGTGCGAGTTGTATGTCAGTCATAGAAGCCGGATTCCCCACATTTGAGGATGAAACGGATGCCCAGGAGGAGCTGTGGCTGGACCCATGAGGATGGGGGCCTGGACTCAAGGTCCCCCGCCACCTGGCATAGGCCTACAACCCTCCTCAACCGCTTGACCGACTGGGCCCCCAACACAGACTGGCCACCTTAGCCCCACTCACTTTCCACATCGTTCTTTTTCACAAAATTCTGCGACATTTACTGAGCATCATCTCTGTAACTTGGGGATACAGGTGAACCAGATAGATAGGGCCTTATTTTCATGGAGCTTATGGGGAAACATTGGAACAGGAGCAAGACAGGTAAGCAAAGAGGAAGGACTGGAGGGGTTAGAGCACAACACCTCTTTGGGTGGAAGGAGGATCATTTTCAGATAAGGAGCTGCCTAACTCAGAATTTGACCTCCTCCTGTGAATCACTGACTTCACTAATGGCCTGCTTTCCTCACAAGAAGACAACTTGGACTCAGATGAAGACCAGTCCCTTTCTGCAGTTTCCTTTAACACAGCAAGATAGCCAGCACTTCCAGGTGAAATCTCCCTTAAGACTAGCAGAGAATTGGAACTTTTTCTGTTACTTTCTTCAGAGCTATATCGACGTATCTGGACAAGTGATAAAAAACAATAGCTATTATGGTCTACGGTGTGCCAGCCACTGTTTAAGGGCTTTATGTATGTTAACTTTGGAGATGGGTGCCGTTTTCCAGGTGAGGGAACTGAAACTTGGGGGAAATTAAGTCAGGGTCACACAGCCAGAAAGTGGCCACTAGGATCTCAACCAAGGCAGTGTGGCTTCAGAGTTTGTGCTCACAAGTGCTGTCTGTAGTGCCATTCAAATAAAAAAGGTCACATGCCACAAGCTAGGCTGATTCCCAGCACCTTCCCCCAAAAGAATGTAAAGGGAAGAACCAGGACACTGCTATCAGCAACTCTTTATCCAGTTTTTCATGGAGACAACGGTTGACCTGTTTGGACAATGGACATTACAGTGATTGATTGGCAGGATGCATGACACGCTGGGCTTGAAAAGGGACTGTTTGTATGGCACCCCACTTTTTACCAGCAGAGCTCTGAAAAAGGCAATAATTAGAATCATGCAAAAGCATAATTAAGTTTCTGACATTAAGCAGCAGTAAAGAATTGTACCAGACTCAAAGTGATCTATCCAAAAACAGGTGTCCTCTGGCCCCCAGCCAATAAGGTGCTTGCCATTGTCTCCATCTGCACCCCCAGCCCTAGCCTCTGGTCATACCTCTGCCAGGAAAATCCTTCACCTTGCCCTCAGTTGGCCTGGAAAATTCAGACGTGCCTTTAAGTCTACTTTTTTTTTTTCTAGACAGTCTCACTCTGTCACCCAGTCTGGAGTGCAGTGGTGCAATCTCGGCTCACTGCAACCTCCACCTCCTGGGTTCAAGTGATTCTCCTGCCTCAGCCTCCTAAGTAGCTGGGATTACAGGTGTCTACCACCACGCCTGGCTAATTTTTGTATTTTTAGTAGAGACGGGGATTGGCCATGTTGGACAGGCTGGTCTCAAACTCCTGACCTCAGGTGATCTGCCCACCTTGGCCTCCTAAAGTGCTGGGATTACAGGCGTGAGCCACCATGCCCGGCCAAGTCTACTTTGATAAGTGTCCTAGTTCATTATGTGTTGCCATAAAGGAGTGACTGAGGCTGGGTAAAGAAAAAGGTTTATTTGACTCAATCCTGATGACTAGAAAGTTCAGGATTGGTATCTGTATCTGGCGAGGGTCTCAGGCTGCTTCCGCTCGGGAGCCCAAGTATGCAGAGACCACAGGGTGAGAGAGGAAGCAAGGGGGTCAGAGGAGGTGCCAGGTCTTTTTAACAACCAGCTCTTGGAACTAAGAGTGAAAAAACTCACTTATCCCCCAGGAAGGGCATTAATCTTTTCATGAGGAATCCATACCCATGAGCCAAACACCTCCCCCAATTAGGCCCACCTCCAACATTGGGGATCAAATGTCAACATGAGGTTTAAGGGACAAACAGCCAAACCACTGCAATAGGCCTCCCCTGGCCTCCCTGGCCCTCAGGCAGGCGGGCCCTCCTTTAAAAACCTTGCCCTGCTTCAGCAGAGAGCACAACTCTGGCCTCAGAAAAATCTGGAATCAGGGGCAAATGGAATCATCAGGCACTAGGAGAGGGTGCTCTGTTTGACTCAGGGGCAAGGGCAAATCCTAAAGCTGAGCAGGGGCTCTGGAACTCTTTGGTGGGAACATCTCCAGCTTCAGCCACAAGCCAGGGGAACAGGCCTCAGCCCCTAGGACTCCTGCAAAGAGGCTCCTTCCACCAACAAACACTTGGTGCTGCCTACCTCTGTGCCTACTCCGAACAGTGCCAGAGCTTTGGCAGTGAGTGAAAAGTGGTCCCTGCCTTGAGGAGCTTACCCTAAGGTCTAGAGACGATGTGGAGGCAGTAAACCTGGCCAACGGTGACTCGATGGGGATGATCTTGCCTAATGATTAAACACTGGGGCTCTGGAGTTCAAACCCTGGCTCTGCCATCTACCAGTTACATACTTTGAACTTAGCCTTTGAGCCTCACTTTCCTCACCTGTGAAATAAGCAGGCCCCTAGTACAGGGCCTGGCACACAGAGGCTCTCCCAAGATGGCATCTCTGGTTTCATCAGGACTCCTCCAGGGTCAACACCTTTCATGTTACAGATGCTATAGTTTGACACATCTATTACAAGAGTTTTTCAGCAGATGGAAGAAAGCATTTTGAGGAAGGGGTGATTTCTTCTACTTTCCCCACAGCCATGGTATGGGCTATGAGCAGCCTTGATTTTTTTTTTTTTTTTGAGACAGGGTCTCACTGTGTTGCCCAGGCTGGAGTGCAGTGGCATGATCATAGCTCACGGCAGCCTCGAACTCAAGTGATCCTCCCATCTCAGCCTCCCAAGTAGCTGGGACTATAGGCTCATGCCACCATACCCAGCTAATTATTTACTCTTTTTTGTAGAGACAGGGTTCTCAGTATGTTGCTCAGGCTGGTCTCAAACTCCTGGACTCAAGTGATCCTCCCGCCTCAGCCTCCCAAATTGCTAGGATTACAGGTGTGAGCCACTGCACTCAGCCTTGTCATTCTTTTCTTTGAATAAATGTGACTTTTGAGGCAAAAAAAAAAAAAGGAACAACGAACATTTAAGACACTTTTTTTCTTTGGGTGGGGGTGCGCTCTTGCCCCAGATGCCATCTGTTCTCTCAAAAAACATTTATCCATTTCTCCTGATCCCAGCTGAATTCCTCTGAGAATGATTCAAAAGGCCATACAGTGTCAGTCAGTCTCATTTGCTGGGCCAAATCAGGAGGAGATTTTAAAATAATTTTTCTAAAACTTGGGATTGTTTTGCCTGGGATGCTGGCATAAGTGGAATGTCCAGAGATGACCAGCAGGGGAGGCCAGGCTGTCCCCAGAGCTGAGGAAGTCACTGTCTCTGTCCATCTGCAGCCGTGGCATGTAAGGACAGCTCTCTGGTTGGTGATGGGGAGCCACTGAGGTAAGCAGGAGAAAGGCCTTTAGTAACAAGCTGCATGGCCAGGTGCAGTGGCTCATGCCTGTAATCCCAGCACTTTGGGAGGCCAAGTGGGGGTGGATCACTTGAAATCAGGAATTTGAGACCAGCCTGGCCAACATGGTGAAACCCCATCTCTACTAAAATACAAAATTAGCTGGGTGTGGTTGTGCATGCCTGTAATCCCAGCTACTCAGGAGGCTAAGGCAGGAGAATGCCTTGAACCCAGGAAGCAGAGGTTGCAGACAGCCGAGATTGTGCCACTGCACTCCAGCCTGGGTGACAGAGAGAGACTCCATCCAAAAATAAAAGCTGCAAATGCCACTGAGAGAAGGCACGTTAATAAGAACAATGCTACTAACTTTTACTGAGCACTTACTCTATTAGGCTGTTTTTGCATTGCTATGAAGAAATACGTGAGTCTGGGTAATTAAAGAAAACAGGTTTGATTGGGGCTGGGCACAGTGGCTCATGCCTGTAATCCCAGCACTTTGGGAGGCTGAGGCGGGTGGATCACGAGGTCAGGAGATCAAGACCATCCTGGCTAACACAGTGAAACCCCGTCTCTATTAAAAATACAAAAAAATTAGCCAGGCATGGTGGCAGGCACCTGTAGTCCCAGCTACTCGGGAGGCTGAGGCAGGAGAATGCCGTGAACCCAGGAGGTGGAGCTTGCAGTGAGCTGAGATCAGCCACTGCACTCCAGCCTGGGCTACAAAGTGGAAAAGAAAAAGAAAAGAAAAGAAAATAGTTTTGATTGGCTCCCAGTTCTGCAGGCTGTACAGGCATGGTGCTGACATCTGCTCGGCTTCTGAGGAGGCCTCAGTAAGCTTACAATTGTGTGAAAGGTGAAGTGGAAGCAAGCATATCACATGCCAGAAGCAGGAACAAGGTCAATGCCCTCTGAGGGGAGGTGCCACACACTTTCAAACAACCAGATCACTGTGAACTCAGAGCAAGAACTCGCCGATCACCAAGGGGATGGCACCAAGCCATTAATGAGGGATCTACCCCATGATCCAAACATCTCCCACCAGGCCCCACCTCCAGCACTGGAGATCACATTTCAACATGAGATCTGGGCGGGTGGGGGGGACACACAGCCAAACCATATCACTTACTATATGCTAGGTCAGTGGTCCCCAATGTTTTTGGCACCAGGGACTGGCTTTGTGGAAGAGAATTTGTCCGTGGTGTGAGGGGTTAAGGGGGATGGTTTTGGGATGAAACTGTTCCACCTCAGATCATCAGGCATTAGATTTTCATAAGGAGTGCACAACCTAAATCCCCCGCACATGCAGTTCACAATAGGGGGTTCACACTCCTAAGAGAATCTAATGGTGATCTGACAGGAGGCAGAGCTCAGGTGGTAACGTCCATGGCCTGGGGGTTGGGGACCCCTGTGCTAGGTGCTCTTCTCTACACTTTATGTATTTTAACTTACTCGATTTTTTTTTTTTTTTTGAGATGGAGTTGCGCTCTATCGCCCAGGTTGGAGTACAGTGGCATGATCTCGGCTCACTGCAACTTCTGCCGCTCAGGTTCAAGTGATTCTCCTGCCTGAGCCTCCCGAATAGCTGGGATTACAGGCACCCACCACCACACCTGGCTAATTTTTGCATTTTTAATGGACACAGGGTTTCACCATATTGGCCAGGCTGGTCTCAAACTCCTGGCCTCAAGCGATCCACCTGCCTTGGACCCTCAAAGTGCTGGGATTACAGGCATGAGCCACCAGGCCCAGCCAACTTACTTGATTTTTACAACACCCTAAGAGGTAGCTGTTACTCTTCTCTCCCTCTTTTATTTATTTTAGAGACAGGGTCTCACTTGTCACACAAGTCTCAGCTACTCGGAGGGGGCAGTGGTGCAATCGTGACTCACTGCAGCCGTAAACTCCCAGGCTCAAGCAATCCTCCCTCAGACTCCTGAGTAGCTGGGATTATAGGCAGGTACCACTAAACACCCAGCTATATCCCCTCTTGTAGAAGAGGAAACTGAGATACAAAAAGTTGAAGTGCCCAGGCTCATACAGCCGGGAGAAGCTGAGCTAGGACAGAAACCAGACTGCTCAGGCTCCAAAGCCCAGGTCCTCCCACCATAATACATTACCCGACCCCGTGAAACACCCTCCCAGCCATCCCTGCAGGCTCCTTATTAAACAGCCTCATTATAAAAGCCTCCTGGGAGCAGGTTTGAGTGGGAGGGAGAGGCAGAGAGCCCAAGTTCTTTGGGAGCCCAAGGTGAGGTGAGGCAAAGAGAGAGAAGCTGGTGCTCTGCCAACACAACCGGGCAGCTTCCCAGAATGGGCCAGAGGCGTGCAGAGGGGCTGTGGGGCAGAGGTGCCTGAAGAAAGGGGCTAGACAGTCAGTCCCAGCCAGAGAAGGGCATGGAGAAGAGGAAGGGGAGCCCCTCTCTCAACCTCATAGATTCTAGATTAGCTCCTCTGGCCCAGCAGGGCTACAGAAATCTGAGGATCCCTGCCAGCCAATCCTCTTCTCCCCAGCAAGAGTTTCCCTGGTGCCCTCCAGTGGGCAAAGGACAGGACAGGATCACCCTCTGCCACCCCCATCCTCCACCTTCATCCCAATCTCATGGGATTGCTACAACGCAACAGAGGGCGAAGGAGTCAGGCTCTCATACTCCATTACAAATGGGAAGACTCAGCCCGGGCATGGTGGCTCACGCCTGTAATCCCAGAACTTTGGGAGGCCGAGGCAGGTGGATCACTTCAAGTCAGGAGTTTGAGACCAGCCTGGCCAACGTGGTGAAACCCTGTTGCTACTAAAAATACAAAAGTTAGCTGGGCATGGTGGTGCGTGCCTGTAATCCCAGCTATTCGCAAGGCTGGGGCAGGATTGTTTGAACCTGGGAGGCAGAGGTTGCAGTGAGGTGAGATCACGCCACTGCACTCCAGTGCACTCCAGCCTGGGCAACAGAGTGAGACTCCATCTCAATAAGAAAAACAAAAAGCAAAAAAACAAACAAACAAACAAACAAACAAACAAAAACAAATGGGAAGACTGAGAACTAGAGAGGGAATGTGGCTCCCAGAGGTGGCCCAGAGCCAGGGCAGAGCCCTGAGAATAAGGACACCCCCATGAGCTGGGGCCACAGGAGTAGGACCCTGGCTCCTATATCCCAACTCTGTCTCCAGCCCAGGGCTCCCCGCCTGGGTGTCCCCCAGCTTGATCAAACCCACTATTCTCACAACCAAACATCTCATCTTCTACCCAAACTGGCTCCATCTCCAGTCTGTCAGTTTCCATGACTGAAACCCCCCACTCAAGTTGATGCTTGAGCCCAAACCTTGGCACCTCCCAATGCCTCCTTCCCCCTTCCCCTTGTGCCACCTGTCACCACGTCTATAGATTCTGACTCCTGAATAACTGTGACTCTGCACACCTCTTTCCCTACAACATCTGCCTTAATCCAACAGTTTGCCTCGGACGTTCCCCACACCAAACGTGCTTCCCACTCTGTATTCAGGGTGATCCTTGTTAAAGCAATATGATCCTTTCACTCCCCTGTTTGAAACCACCTCTCCCCACGCCAACCTAATCTGATCCCCAAAACCTTCCACCTACATCTCCCATTGCCCCCTACGCCATCATATTCCAGCCACACTGGATTACATTCCATTCCCTGAACACAACGGTATGTCAGGTCAGCCTCTTATTGGCTCTTGAAAGCTGAATTGTGGCCGGGCACGGTGGCTCATGCCTGTAATCCCAGCACTTTGGGAGGCGGAGGCGGGCGGATCACAAGGTCAGGAGATGGAGACCATCCTGGCTAACACGGTGAAACCCCATCTCTATTAAAAATGCAAAAAATTAGCCGGGCGTGGTGGCGGGCGCCTGAAGTCCCAGTTACTTGGGAGGCTGAGGCAGGAGAATGACGTGAACCTGGGAGGCAGAGCTTGCAGTGAGCCAAGATCGCGCCACTGCACTCCAGCCTGGGCAACAGAGCGAGATTTCGTCTCAAAAGAAAAAAAAAAAAAAAAAAAAGAAAGCTGAATTGTGCAAGCCAGTTGTTGGACACAACCATTATTAAAAATTAAATTTTCCTTGGGCGTGGTGGCTCACGCCTGTAATCCCAGCATTTTGGGAGGTCGAGGCAGGTGGATCACTTGAGGTCAGGAGTTTGAGACTAGCCTGGCCAACATGGTGAAATCCCATCTCTACTAAAAATAGAAAACTTAGTTGGGCGTGGTGGCACGTGCCTGTAATCCCAGCTACTCAGGAGGCTGAGGCAGGAGAATTGCTTGAACCCGGGAGGTGGAGGTTACAGTGAGCCAAGATCATACCACTGCACGCCAGGCTGGGCGACAGAGCAAGACTCTGGTGCAAAAAGAAAAAAAAATTAAATTGTATAAAATTACAATTAAATAAATTGTATAAATAATAAAGACAATAGGCCGGGCTCAGTGGCTCGCACCTGTAATCCCAGCACTTTGAGAGGCCGAGGCGAGCGGATCACGAGGTCAGGAGTTCCAGACCAGCCTGACCAACATGATGAAGCCCCGTCTCTACTAAAAATACAAAAATTAGCCAGGCATGGTGGCGTGCGCCTATAATACCAGCTACTCAGGAGGCTGAGGCAGGAGAATCACTTGAACCCGGGAGGTGGAGGTTGCAGTGAGCCAAGATTGCACCACTGCACTACAGCCTGGGCGACAGAGTGAGACTGCGTCTCAAAAAAATAATAAATAAGTAATAAAGACGATAAATACTCAAAACTCATCACTTACTAATTAGTTTACTACAATTTACTTTTTTTTTTTTTTTTTTTGAGACAGGGTTTCACTTCCGTTGCCCAGATGAGTACAGTGGTGAGATCTTGGCTTACTGCAGGCTTGACCTCCCTGGGCTCAGGTGATCCTCCCACCTCAGCCTGGCATCCCTGGTGCCACTCTGTCAGGCTAAATCTTTTTTTTTAGTAGACAGGGTCTTACTATGTTACCCAGGCTAGTCTCAAACTCCTGAGCTCAAGCGATCTGCAGGCGTTGGCCTCCCAAAATGCTGGATTACAGGTGTGAGCCACTGTGCCCAGCCAGTAGTGTGTTATTTACTGCCTATCTCTTCCAGGACAGCACTTGGTGGTGTTACATTGATAGCCTGAAATCAGCCATCGTGAGAGTATTTACACTACAAATCAACAAACATTATACATCAGAGGTTTTATTGATTTGTTGACTGTCTAGACCAGGGATGAGCAAACTACAAGCAAATCTGGCTTACCACCTGTTTTTGTAAATAAAGTTTTATTGGAACACAGCCACATTCATGCATTTACTTCTTGTCTAATGCTGTTTATGCTCTACACTGGCAGAGTTGGGTAACTGCAATAAGATCATATGGCATCCAAAGCCTAAGACATTTACCACTTCGTGGAAGGAGTTTGCTGACCTCTAGCCTGGATTTAAGAAAACACTGGAGGGGCCAGGCACGGTGGCTCATGCCTGTAATCCCAGCACTTTGGGAGGCCAAGGCAGGCAGATTACTTGAGGTCAGGAGTTCGAGACCAGCCTGGCCAACATGGTGAAATCCTGTCTCTACTAAAAATACAAAGATTTGCTGGGCGTCAGATTTGCTGGGCGTCAGGGCAGGTGCCTGTAATCCCAGCTACTTGGGAGGCTGAGGCAGGAGAATTGCTTGAACCTGGGAGGCAGAGGTTGCAGCGAGCCAAGATTGCGCCACTGCACTCTAGCCTGTGCAACACAGTGAAACTCAGTTTTTGTTTTTGTTTTTTTTTTGAGACGGAGTCTCGCTCTGTCACCCAGGTGGGAGTGCAGTGGCGCAATCTTGGCTCACTGCAAGCTCCGCCTCCCGGGTTCACGCCATTCTCCTGCCTCAGCCTCCCGCGTAGCTGGGACTACAGGCGCCTGCCATCACGCCCAGCTATTTTTTTTGTATTTTTAGTAGAGACGGGGTTTCGCCGTGTTAGCCAGGATGGTCTCGATCTCCTGACCTCGTGATCCACCCACCTTGGCCTCCCAAAGTGCTGGGATTACAGGCGTGAGCCACCGTGCCCGGCCGAAACTCAGTTTTTTTAAAAAAAGAAAAGAGGCTGGGCTTGGTGGTTCACGCCTGTAATCTCAGCACTTTGGGAGCACAAGGCGGGTGGATCACCTGAGGTCAGGAGTTCAAGACCAGCCCAGCCAACATGGCGAAACCTCGACTCTACTACAAATACAAGAATTAGCGGGTCGTGGTGGTGGGCACCTGTAATCCCAGCTACTTGGGAGGCTGAGGCAGGAGAATTGCTTGAACCCGGGAGGTGGAGGTTGCAGCAAGCCGAGACTGCATCATTGTACTCCAGCCTGGGTAACAAGAGCAAAACTCCGTCAAAAAAAAAAAAAAAAAAAGCAAAAAGAAAAGGAGGGAAGGAAGGAAGGAAGGAAGGGAGGGACAGACAGACAAGACAAGAGCGCCAAGCATGGTGATTTATGCCTGTAATCCCAGCATTCTAGGAGGCTGAGATGAGAGGATCACTTGAGCCCAGGAGTTTCACACCAGCCTGGTCAACATAGTGAGACCCAGTCTTTACAAAAACAAGGTTTAAAAATTAGCCAGGTGTGATGGTGCATACCTGTAGTACCAGCTACTTGGGAGGCTAAAGGGGGAGGGAGAATTGCTTGAGCTCAGGAGTTTGAGGTTACAGACAGTGGTGAAGGAAAATTCTCCCAGTGGGTGGAACTTTGGGGCAATACATCTGTGGATGCTTTCTGTGGAGGAAAGGTGGCCTAAGGTACAGATTTACATGGACTGGTGAGCAGCATCTGATAGGCTGGCCAGCTGCAGAGACTTTGAAAGAGCACAACTGGCAATCTGATGGCCTAGGAGACAGGACTGTGGCCAGCTTCTCAAAATAGTCACAGGGTGGGAAGATTCCCATATGAAGTGCCCATCAGAGAGCCATCGGTGCAGCAGCCCTCGGTGATGAGATGGGATGACTCATGCTGTAGATTGTGTCAGCCTCTTTACCTGGCCAGACCCAGGCTTTCTCAATGGTCCCATACAGAGTGCTCCACCACCAGATGTCTGCGTGTGCTAGAAAATGGCTGTGCTCAATTGGCCGGGCGCGGTGGCTCACACCTGTAATCCCAGCACTTTGGGAGGCCGAGGCAGACGGATCACTTGAGGTCAGGAGATGGAGACCATCTTGGCTAACACGGTGAAATCCTGTCTCTACCAAAAAAATACAAAAAAATTAGCTAGGCCTAGTGGCGGGCGCCTGTAGTCCCAGCTACTCGGGAGGCTGAGGCAGGAGAATCCCTTGAACCTGGGAGGTGGAGGTTGAGGTGAGCCGAGATCGTGTCACTGCACTCTAGCCTGGGCGACAGAACGAAACTCCGTCTCAAAAAAAAAAAAAAAGAAAGAAAGAAAAGAAAAGAAAATGGCTGTGCTCAGGCCAGGCGCAGTAGCTCATGCCTATAATCCCAGCTACTCGGGAGGCTGAGGCAGGAGAACTTGAACCTGGGAGGCAGAGGTTGCAGTGAGCCAAGATCGCATCATTGCATTCCAGCCTGGGCAACAAAAGTGAAACTCTATCTCAAAAAGGAAAAAAAAAAAAGAATGCCTTGTCTATGTTTTTATACAGTGCTTTTAATTCATTTCAGTTTTTCTAAGTTTTTTTTTTTTTTTTTCCGAGACAGAGTCTTGCTCTGTCACCCAGGCTGGAGTGCAGTGGCACGATCTTGGCTTACTATAACCTCCACCTTCTGGGATCAAGCAGTTCTCAGGTCTCAGCCTCCTGAATAGCTGGGACTACAGGCTCCCACCATCATGCCCAGCTGCATTTTGTTTTTGTTTTTGTATTTTTAGTAGAGCTAGGGTTTTGCTATATTGGCCGGGCTGGTCTCGGATTACTAGCCTCAAGTGATTCACCTGCCTCGGCCTCCCAAAGTTCTAGGATTATAGGCATGAGCCACCATGCCGGCTTTTCTTTTAGTTTTTAAAATTAAAAACAAATATATTGCCAGTCTTGGTGGCTCACGCCTGTAATCCCAGCACTGTTGCCCAGGCTGGAGTGCAGTGGCACCATGTCGGCTCACTGCAACCTCCGCCTCCCAGGATCAAGCGATTCTCCCACCTTGGCCTCCCAAGTAGCTGGGATTAGAGGCACCCGCCACCACACCCAGCTAATTTTTGTATTTTTAGTAGAGACAGGGTTTCACCATGTTGGCCAGACTGGTCTCGAACTCCTGACCTCAGGTGATCCTCCTGCCTCAGCCTCCCAAAGTTCTGGGATTACAGTCGTGAGCCACCACGCCCAGCCTGCCTGGCCACATTTTTTAAATTTTATTTTATATATTTTTTTGAGACGGAGTCTCGCTCTGTTACCCAGGCTGGAGTGCAGTGGCGCCATCTCGGCTCACTGCAAGCTCCGCCTCCCGGGTTCACGCCATTCTCCTGCCTCAGCCTCCCAAGTAACTGGGACTACAGGCGCCCGCCACCACGCCCGGCTAATTTTTTGCATTTTTAGTAGAGATGGGGTTTCACTGTGTTAGCCAGGATGGTCTTGATCTCCTGACCTCCTGATCCACCCACCTCGGCCTCCCAAAGTGCTAGGATTACAGGCATGAGCCACTGCGCCCAGCCTGCCTGGCCAGTTTTTAAAACATTTTCAAGTGAGTGAGTCTTTGTTGAATAAAGGCAAACGTTTTGCTCCATCATTACTTTTCATCTCCAAGAGTTTCTGACACCAGTGCCTCTCTGTGAAGAAAGCAGTGTGTTGTGACAACATCAAGTTTTTGTTTGTGGTTTTGTTTCTTTCCAAGAACAGTAAAAATTCTTATGGAGCTAACCACTGATTTGAACCATCAGTATAAATGCCAAGGTAGTTCTTCCAAGACAGACTTTTTGATGATTCCTGATATGAAATGACATTAAATCTATCTTGGCTTTTTGTTTGTTTGGAAAAGCTGAAACATTTTCTCGATGATCATGCTGACCATTTACAGATCTTACTAGTGCTATGGCGTGGTAAGCATTCACCATTTTATTGGTGAAATAAGTTGACTCATCAGCCAGGATAAAGATTATGTTGTGGCCGGGTGTGGTGGCTCACGCCTGTAATCCCAGCACTTTGGGAGGCTGAGGCGGGCGGATCACGAGGTCAGGAGATCAAGACCATCCTGGCTAACATGGTGAAACCCCATCTCTACTAAATATACAAAAAATTAGCCGGGCGTGGTGGCGGGCTTCTGTAGTCCCAGCTACTCGGGAGGCTGAGGCAGGAGAATGGCGTGAACCCAGGAGGCGGCATTGCAGTGAGCCAAGATCGCGCCACTGCACTCCAGCCTGGGCGACAGAGGGAGACTCTGTCTCAAAAAAAAAAAAAAAAAAAAGCAAGTTGTTTTTCAGTTTATTATCAAGAAAACAAAAACGAAAACCTGTTCAGTATCAGAGATCATGTCATCAACATGTGAGGTTGTTGTTCTCTCTCAGGGTAGAGTCTTCTCTTTTTCTTTCTTTCTTTCTTTTTTTTTTTTGAGATGGAGTTTCGCTCTTGTTGGAATGGTGTGATCTCAGCTCACTGCAACCTCCGCCTCCTGGGCTCAAGCAATTCTCATGCCTCAGCCTCCCAAGTTCCCAAGCAGCTGGGACTACAGGCGCACACCACCACATCCAGCTAATTTTTTGTATTTTAGTAGAGACAGGGTTTCACCATGTTGCCCAGGCTGGTCTCAAACTCCTGAGCTCAGGCGATCCACCCGCCTTGGCCTCCCAAAGTGCTGGGATTACAGGTGTGAGCCACCATGCCCAGCCCACACAAATTGTTTCTTTGTCTGCTGCTGGCAACAGATAGTGAGCTCCTTAAAACAGGAGCCGTGTCTCTTTCATCACTGGGAACCCAGCAGCCACTATGGACATGGCTCTGACCAAGCACTCAAGAAGCTGAGACCCATAAGCTTCCAGAAGAGCTGCGCTGTGCACATATGAATTCAGCATACAGGGCAAGCTCTGCAGTGGATTCCAGGAGGAAGACAGGACAGCATGAAGGTTACAGATACAGACTTGGAGTGAGATAGCACTGACGGTAAGTTTTCATTCATCAAGCAACTCATTTATATTCTCTGAGCCATAGCACCTTTGTCTGTCAAATGGGGATAAACAATATCTACCATGTGGGGCTATTGTGAGGATTAAATTTAATGTGTATGGGCCGGGCACGGTGGCGCATGCCTGTAATCCCAGCACTTTGGGTTGTCGAGGCGGGCAGATCGTTTGAGATCAGGAGTTCGAGACCAGCCTGACCAACAGGGTGAAACCCCATCTCTACTAAAATACAAAAGAAGTTAGCTGGGCGTAGTGGTGCACGCCTGTACTTTCAGCTACTTGGGAGACTGAGGCAGGAGAATTGCTTGAATTCAGGAGGTGGAGGTTGCTGTGAGCTGAGACCATGCCACTGCACTCCACCCTAGGTGACAGAGCAAGACTGTGTCTCAAAAAAAAAAAAAGAAAGAAAGAAAACAAAATGTGTATGAAGCAATCCTCAATAAATGATGGCTGATAGTTTAATTTTGGTAATAACCCTAAAGGGGGGTTCCAAGATCAAGAAGAGAATAATAATGCCAATTAACATGTATTGGCCAGGCATGGTGGCTCACACCTGAAATCCCAGCACTTAGGGAGTGCGAGGTGGGTGGATCATTTGAGGTCAGGAGTTCAAGAGCAGCCTCGTCAACATGGTGAAACCCCGTCTCTACTAAAAATACAAAAATTAGCTGGGTGTGGTGTGCACCTGTAGTCGCAGCTACTAGGAAAGCTGAGGCAGGAGAATTGCCTGAACCCAGGAGGCAGAGATTGCAGTGAGCCAAGATTGCACCCCGGCACTCCAGCCTAGTGACAGAGTAAGACTCTGTCTCAAAAAAAAAAAAAAAAAAATTAGCCGGGGTGGGGTATGGTGGTGGGTGGCTGTAATCCCAGCTACTCAGGGGGCTAAGGCAGGAGGCTCACTTGAACCTGGGAGGCAGAGATTGCCATGAGTGGAGATCATGCCGCTGCACTCCAGCCTGGGTGACAGTGAGACTGTCTCAAAAAACAAAAACAAAAACAAAAAAACATGGGCTGGGCGCAGTGGCTCACACCTGTAATCCCAACACTTTGGAAGGGCAAGGCAGGCGGATCACGAGGTCAGGAGATCAAGACCATTCTGGCTAACATGGTGAAACCCCGTCTCTACTAAAAATAGAAAAAGTTAGCCGGGCGTGGTGGTGGGCGCCTGTAGTCCCAGCTACTTGGGAGGCTGAGGCAGGAAAATGGCATGAAGCTGGGAGGTGGAGGTTGCAGTGAGTCAAGATCGTGCCACTGCACTCCAGCCTGGGCGACAGAGCGAGACTCCATCTCAAAAACAAACAAAGAAACAAACAACAACAACAACAACAAAAACCATGTATTATGCTGTTAATATAAGGCTTACATATCTTAACTTTTTTGATCCTGTGGGCTAGGTATTATTATTCCCATTTTACAGAGGAAGAAACTGAGGCACGGGAAAGTTCAGCAACAAGCCCAAGGTCACACACCTACTTATGAGGGAGTCAGGCAGTCTTCACCCCAGAGCCAGCTGATCTCTAGATGGGACTGAAGACTGGACCACTTGGACCATTTTCTTTCCAACAACAGGGCTAAAGTAGCTGATGAAGCCATGGCGCCCCCATGGACTTCTTTGTCCAGCTTTGCCAGTGACCTGTGAGGTCACCTTGGTCTAGTCCTTCCCTTTTCTTGACCTCGGTTTCCTCATTTACAATGAAGGAGTTTGACACAATAATTCTTGATTCCGAACTATAGCCCAGGAAGAGGCATTTGGGAATGAGGCCCTGGCCTGCTGGTGACATCATAGAGGGGAGAGTTCCACGAGAATAGTCAGGCCTTTCTGGAAGCCCAGTGCCACAGTCTGCATTGAGCTTGGCTCAGGAAAGAAGGGAAATCCAGGCGGGGCCTGTTGGGCCCAGGTCTTGAGCTCTTTTGGCTCCAGAGTTCCCAGCACAGTCATGGATCAAAACTCAGTGCCTGAAAAGGCTCAGAATGAGGCAGACACCAATAACGCAGATAGGTTCTTTCGCTCTCACTCATCACCCCCACACCACAGGCCAGGCCACAGCAGAGCTCTCCACCATTACGAGTTGCACCATCACGGCGTGCCCCACCAACGTGGTGAATCTCACCACCCTCCGGAGTTCCAAGACTTCCACGACCAAGCCTTGTCCTCCCATGTCCACCAATCTCACCACCACAGCGAGGCACGGAATCACGGCAGAGCCCATGGCCCCACAGGCTTTGGTCTGGCTCCCTCTCAAGGCGCCGTCCCCTCCCACCGTTCCTACGGTGAGGACTACCATGATGAGCTCCAACGTGATGGCAGGAGGCATCATGATGGGTCCCAATACGGTGGGTTCCATCAGCAGAGTGACTCCCATTACCATAGGGGGTCTCACCATGGCAGACCCCAATATCTCGGTGAGAATTTATCCCACTATTCCTCTGGCGTGCCCCACCACGGTGAGGCTTCCCACCATGGTGGGTCCTACCTCCCCCATGGACCCAATCCCTACAGTGAGTCCTTCCACCACAGCGAGGCTTCCCACCTTAGCGGGCTCCAACACGATGAGTCCCAGCATCACCAAGTCCCCCACCGTGGCTGGCCCCACCATCACCAAGTCCACCACCATGGCAGGTCCCGTCATCATGAAGCCCACCAGCATGGAAAGTCTCCTCATCACGGAGAGACCATTTCCCCTCATTCCTCTGTGGGGTCCTACCAGCGTGGGATATCTGACTATCACAGCGAGTACCACCAAGGTGATCACCACCCCAGTGAGTACCACCATGGCGACCATCCCCACCACACACAGCACCACTACCACCAGACCCACCGGCACCGAGACTACCATCAGCACCAAGACCACCACGGCGCGTATCATTCCAGTTACCTCCATGGCGACTACGTCCAGAGCACTTCCCAACTCTCTATCCCACACACATCCCGGAGCCTGATTCACGATGCCCCCGGCCCTGCTGCTTCTCGTACAGGAGTCTTCCCCTATCACGTAGCACACCCACGGGGCTCGGCTCACAGCATGACTCGGTCCTCCAGCACAATCCGCTCACGTGTCACCCAGATGTCCAAAAAAGTCCATACCCAGGATATCTCCACCAAACATTCAGAAGACTGGGGCAAAGAAGAAGGGCAATTTCAGAAACGCAAAAGTGAGTCTTTGCTGGGCCCCCCATGCCAACTCCTGCTGCCTGGCGCAGGATCCAGACCTGATCTCGGCCCCGCACTGTCCTTCCGCAGATCGTAAGGCCCGACCCTCCTGCACAGGTCCCCCACTGGCTATTCACTCTCCTGACTGTTCATGGTCCCATCTTTTATTCCTTGAATTATGTACCTCTTTAGGCCATGAGGTGTTTGTTCATTCAGTCACTGCCTTATTTATTCATATGTCTACCAGTCAAACATTGATACTCATCCAATGTGGGTGTGTGGCCTGCCTGGGCCATGGCAGCATGGGGAAAAATTCAACACAGTCGCTGCCCTCGAGGGGCCCAAAACTAGGAGTGGTCACTTAGCTGACCACAGATCATCCTGTGCTCGGGGCCTGCCCTCAGAACATTTACCATGGTGGATTCTATCTGTCCAGATTTCTCCCACTCACCTGTGAGCTGCTTGAGAACAGAGATTAGGAACTAATGCCTGAATGAGGGCCTTATTGGAGGGCAAGGAGGGACCATGGCCTTTAGCTCATACGCCACCAAACTTTCTTCCTAGTAGTTCAATAAACATGACAACAGGCCAGGCGCGGTGACTCACGCCTGTAATCTCAGCACTTTGGGAGGCCGAGGTGGGTGGATCGCTTGAGGTCAGGAGTTCAAGACCAGCCTGGCCAACATGGCGAGATCCCGTCTTTACCAAAAAAATACAAAAATTAGCTGGGCGTGGTGGTGCACCCCTGTAATCCCAGCTACTTGGGAGGCTGAGGCAGGAGAATCGCTTGAACCCAGGAGGCAGAGGTTGCAGTGAGCCGAGATCGTGCCACTGCACTCCGGCCGGGGTGACAGTGCAAGACTCCGTAGGAAAAAAAAAAAAAAAAAAAAAAAACAAATAGGCTGGGTGCGATGGCTCACATCTGTAATCCTAACATTTTGGGAGTCCAAGGTAGGTAGATTGCTTGAGGTCAGGAGTTGGAGACCAGCCTGGCCAATATGGCAAAACCCTGTCTCTACCAAAAAAATACAAAAATTAGCCGGGTGTGGTGGTGCGTGCCTGTAATCCTGGCTACACAGGAGGGTGAGGCAGGAGAATCTCTTGAAGCTGGGAGGCGGAGGTTGTAGTGAGCCGAGATCACGATACTGCACTCCAGCCTGGGCAACAGAGCGAGACTCCATCTCAGAAAACAACAACAACAACAAACAAAATATGACAACAGTCTCAGGAACAAGCAGAGAGGGGCAAGTGTGTTATTAAATGGGGACAGGAAAGGCAGCCCAGAGGAGGGAACATTTCATCAGGACCTGAAAGGGAGAGGATAAGTTTACCAAGAGGATGGGATGATGAGGAGGGTGGGTTTTCCATATGTAAGTTGCCACGTGAGCAAAGAAAGGCATGGAGGCATAGGAGTGGGAGCCCTCAGGATCCCCAGAAGCCAACTCCAAATCCCCAACAGGCTGGCCCCTGCCACAGAAGGCACAGGACCAGCCTGTTGGGGATTTGCTGGCCAGGCTGGTCTCAAACTCCTGGCCTCCAGTGATCCGCCTGCCTCAACCTCCCAAAGTGCTGGGATTACAGGTGTGAGCCATTGCTTCTGGCCACAATTATGCCCATTTTAAAGACAACAAAACTGAGACATAGAGCAGTAGTGAAGTCGCGCAGCTGCTTACCCAGAGCTGGAGAGAGCCTGGGAATCCGGGCTTGTGTGAGGCTCATGCTGAGGAGAGAGAGGGCACTGGGTGCTGGGGACAGCCCTGAGCGCACCCCTGTGTCCCTGCAGAGTGGTACTTCATGGCCTTGGACTCCATATTCTTCTGCATCTACGTGGTGGAAGCCCTGGAGGCCAGGAGTTCGAGACCAGCCTGGCCAACATGTTGAAACCCTGTTTCTACCAAAAATACAAAAATTAGCCGGGCGTGGTGGCAGGCACCTGCAGTCCCAGCTACTTGGGAGGCTGAGGCACAAGAGTTGCTTGAACCCGGGAGGCAGAGGGCCAGCAAGCAGGCAGGAGTGACCATGGACGCTGAGCCAGGCTGGGGGGTGCCTGGGACCTCGTGTCCCCTCTTGCACACACTTGACTTTCTGGCCCTGTTCCTTTCAGCCGGCCGGCTCCAGCGGACCCGCAAGAAGGGACACTCTACCAATCTCTTCCAGTGGCTGTGGGAAAAGCTAACCTTCCTCATTCAGGGCTTCCGGGAAATGATCCGGAACCTGACCCAATCCTTGGCCTTTGAAACTTTCATCTTCTTCGTTGTCTGCCTCAACACCGTCATGCTGGTGGCCCAGACCTTCGCTGAAGTCGAGATCCGGGGCGGTAAGAGCCAGGGAGTCCTGTTCCCATGGAGAAGCCACCGATGCTCTTCCAGGACCTCCGTGGGCCTGATCCAGTGCCGGGCGGTTTATAGGACTCAGCTCACTTGATCCTCACCCCTGGGAAGTAGATGGCCTTACCCAGTATTAGAGAGCGTCTCAGAAAGACCCCGCTGAGGCCGGCCCGAGACAGAAGGACCCGCTAGGCGGGAGGCGGTGCTGTTCGCGCCGCAGCCACTAGGGAGCGCATCTGCTCCAAATGTGCGGCTGAGGGCGGGCGGGCGCCTGGAGCCCGAGCTTCGCGGAAGGGCCGGGAGCCCGAGAAGGCCCTGGAGGGGCGAGGATGTAAGGTCGGGGAAGGCTGGGCCCTCCAACGCCGTGGAGCAGGGTGAAGGACAGGAGCTGCCCGGCTCGCTGTCTCAGGCTCCATTCTAAGCACTTCGCTTGTGTTCATGCATTTAACGCTCACAACTCTATCAAGTGGACTTCAATTATCCCCATTTTATTTTATTTTATTTTAGACGGAGTCTGGCTCTGTCACCCAGGCTGGAGTGCAGTGGCGCGATCTCACTGCAACCTCCGCCTCCCGGGTTCAAGTGATTCTCCTGCCTCAGCCTCCCAAGTAGCTGGGACTACAGGTGCCCACCACCATGCCCAGCTAATTTTTGTATTTTTGGTAGAAACAGGGTTTCACCATGTTGGCCAGGCTGGTCTCGAACTCCTGACCTCCAGTGATGCGCCCGCCTCAACCTCCCAATGTGCTGGGATTACAGGTGTGAGCCACTGCTCCTGGACACAATTATCCCCATTTTAAAGACAAGAAAACTGAGACACAGCAGTAGTGAAGTCGCGCAGCTGCTTACGCAGAGCCGGGGAGAGCCTGGGAATCTGGGCTTGTGTGAGGCTAATGCTGAGGAGAGAGAGGGCACTGGGTGCTGGGGACAGCTCTGAGTGCACCCCTGTGTTCCTGCAGAGTGGTACTTCATGGCCTTGGACTCCATATTCTTCTGCATCTACGTGGTGGAAGCCCTGCTCAAGATCATCGCCCTGGGCCTCTCGTACTTCTTTGACTTCTGGAACAATTTGGGTGGGTGCGGCCGGGGCCAGGCTGCGTGTGTTTAGTCTGGGGGAGGCTCGGGACGAGAGAAGGATGGGGAAGGGGGCGCTGGCGTTGGGAGCCCGCCAGGCTCAGGCACCCCGTGCCCTCAGACTTCTTCATTATGGCCATGGCCGTGCTGGACTTCTTGCTGATGCAGACCCACTCCTTCGCCATCTACCACCAAAGCCTCTTCCGGATCCTCAAGGTCTTCAAGAGCCTGCGGGCCCTGAGGGCAATCCGGGTCCTGCGGAGGCTCAGGTCAGTGGCCACGGCTCCCACCTGGGGTGGGGACTCCAAAGGAAGAGGGGACACAGACCAGGGCCCCAAAGAAATCCACTGTGACCTGCTCAAGGGATGGGGGCGCAGGAGGCTGCTGACCCCAGCCTGCTTCTGCCTTCTGTCATGCACTGGAATCAGCCCCTTCATTTTTCCAGAGAGGGGCCAGGACTCACCCAAGTCACCAACAAGTCAGGAGCCTCCTGCCTTCAGCGCCAGCTGTGGCTGCTGGGCAGAGACACACACCCCCGCCCCTCACCGATGACTCAGTCCCCACTCCTTCTGCCCACAGCTTCCTGACCAGCGTCCAGGAAGTGACAGGGACCCTGGGCCAGTCCTTGCCGTCCATCGCAGCCATCCTCATCCTCATGTTTACCTGCCTCTGTATCCTGGTGCTGCAGGGGCTGGGGTGGGGGCCTGAGGGGCTGCGGTGAAAGGGGTGCGGGGAGCAGGGATGGGGCAGGACGAGGGGCGCTGGGGTGGGGATAGCACTGGAGAGCTGAGTTTGGCCCTGAACAGCCAGTCCTCTTCTCCGCGGTCCTCCGGGCACTGTTCCGCAAATCTGACCCCAAGCGCTTCCAGAACATCTTCACCACCATCTTCACCCTCTTCACCTTGCTCACGCTGGATGACTGGTCCCTCATCTACATGGACAGCCGTGCCCAGGGTAGGGCAGGCCCCAGGCTGCAGGGAGGGCCGGGGATTGGCGGGGTGGACCGGCCAGGGCTCAGTGACCCCATCGGCAAAGTGGGGCTTCTGATGCCTGCATGTCCGGGTATGGGAAGGGAGCAGGTCGTGGTTGGGGGTGGCGAGCACAGCCTGACTGTGCCCTCTGGCCTGCTCCCCCTAGGCGCCTGGTACATCATTCCCATCCTCGTAATTTACATCATCATCCAGTACTTCATCTTCCTCAAGTGAGGACTCACCCCTGCTCTGCTGCCCAGCACCACCCACACTTCCTCCTCTCCCCTGGGACCCTTACCCCAGCCCTCTCACCCTGGTCATGCCACGCTGAACCCACAAGAAGTACCGGGTGCCCCTCTCCTCTGGCCTCCTCGCTGAGGGCACACCCCTGTCCCTCTCCCCAGCCTGGTGATTACTGTCCTGGTGGATAGCTTCCAGACGGCGCTGTTCAAAGGCCTTGAGAAAGCGAAGCAGGAGGTACCGAGTGGGGTGGGACAGGTGGACCAGATCAGGAAGCTGGAGGAGTGAGGCCAGGGGCCTCCAGGGTTGAGCAGGCCTGGGACTCTGGCAGATCTGAGGCCTCTTCTTCCCAGAGGGCCGCCCGGATCCAAGAGAAGCTGCTGGAAGACTCACTGACGGAGCTCAGAGCTGCAGGTATGGGCCTGGCCCGCCCTGGCCCCACCTGCCCGTCCGCAGTGGGGGCCAGTCTCTCCATCCCCCTAACCTCCTTCCACAGTCACAGAATTCCAGACTCAGTTTTAGAGTTTTAGAATTTGAGACTCAGGAGGACTTTAGTCCAGAGGACCCTAGAACAATCCTCCCAAAGCCAGTTAAACTGCTTGTCAAGTCTTTTTTTTTTTTTTTTTTTTTTTTTTGAGATGGAGTCTTGTGCTCTGTCGCACAGGCTGGAGTGCGGTGCTGCAATCTCTGCTCACTGCAACCTATGCTTCCCAGGCTCAAGCAATCCTTCCATCTCAGCCTCCTGAGTAGCTGAGACTGCAGGCATGCGCCAGCACACTCGCCTAATGTTGTTGTTTTTTTGTGTGTGTGTGTATTTTTTAGTAGAAATGGGGTTACACCAGGTTGGCCAGGCTGGTTTCAAACTGGAACTCCTGACCTCAGATGATCCTCCCACCTCAGCCTCCCAAAGTGCTGAGATTGCAGGTGTGAGCCACAACACCTGACTGTGCTTGTCAAATCTTAAAAGACCTACCTGGGGCCGGGCATGGTGGCTTACACCTGTAATCCCAGCACTTTGGGAGGCTGAGACGGGCGGATCACCTGAGGTCAGCAGTTCAAGACCAGTCTGGCCAACATGGTGAAACCCTGTCTCTACTAAAAATACAAAAATTAGCTGGGCATGGTGGTGGGCACCAGTAATCACAGCTACTCGGGAGGTTGAGGCGGGAGAATCACTTGAACCCGGGAGGCAGAGGTTGCAGTGAGCCAAGGTTGTGCCACTGCACTCCAGCCTGGGCGGCAGAGTGAGATTCCGTCTCAAAAAAAAAAGAAAAAAAAAAGTTCTAATTGGCCAGGCCTAAGTTACCTGTCCTTGAAGCTGGGGGGTGGGGCTAACTTCAGCCAGAGGACATGGACTGAAAGGGGGTATCCCTGAAGCTGGAGGTGGGGCTAACCTCAGCCAAAGGACATGGACTGAAAGGGGGTAGAAGTGATTTGTTCCTCAAGACAATTGGGGCACTTCTTCCAGAAGTGGGGTGGGTGCTAGACGGGCAAACAAAGGGAACTGCATCGTGCTGCATGCCCGGAGAAGCAACCTCCTGGAGCAGCCTGGCCAGAAACTCCATTAGCCCTTATCTTCCTGACACATGGGGTTCCTCTGCCTCCTCTCCAAATCCAGGCCTTGACCTCACCCTTCTTTCTCTACATCCAGAGCCCAAAGAGGTGGCGAGTGAAGGCACCATGCTGAAGCGGCTCATCGAGAAAAAGTTTGGGACCATGACTGAGAAGTGAGGAGACAGGAAGGGAGCGAGGCCTGGGGTCTGAGGGTGAGGCCTGGGGGCCTGGCTGGAGGGCTGGAGGGAAAGGGACATTGCCTGCCCCTCTAGAAGGGGATGGAGCGCTGAGGCTTGTGGATGAGCCTGTGGGTGCAACGAGGAGACCCTGGGTGGCTTCTGCACATCCAGAGGTGTGTGTGCCACCTGGCTAATCCCAGCAGCAGGGGTGCCACCCATTCCTTCACCCCAGAACCATCCCCAACCTTTGTCAAGTCTGGGCCCTGTGAGGGCTCCAGGGACCCAAAGAGGACACAGATTCAGCCCCTGCCCATGAGGACCCCACCTCTAAAGACCTGTGTTGGGCCATGGAGAATGAGTAGACTTCAGCCAAGTGGAGGGATAATGAGGCGGTTGGAGGAACAGCTTAGATCAAGGCCTGGAGGTCCGATGCTCAACCTCCATTCCTGTCCACTTGAGTGGCCAGCTGGGCCAGGACATCTGGGGACTCATGCTGTCCCCATGAGAAGGATCTCTGGGGAGCCAGGCCTGGGAGCACCAGGAGCCCTGCCCAAGCCTGGTAAACCCTCATGTATCTTTCTCTTTTTTTCTTTTTTCTTTTTTTTTTTTTTTTGAGACAGGGTCTCACTCTGTCACCCAGGCTGGAGTGCAGTGGCACAATCTAGGCTCACTGCAACCTCCGCCTCCTGGGTTCAAGCGATTCTCCCACCTCACCCTCCCGAGTAGCTGGGATTACAGGTGCATGTCACCACACCCAGCTATTTGTGTGTGTGTATATTTTTTTAGTAGAGACAGGGTTTCACCATGTTGGCCAGACTGGTCTGGAACTCCTGACCTCAAATGATCCACCTGCCTTGACCTCCCAAAGTGTTGGGATTACAGGCATGAGCCACCGCGCCTGGGCTCTCACTTATCTTTCAAACTCAGCTCATTGACGCTGCCTCCAGAAGTCTTTCCAGGTCGCCAGCATCAGGCGAGGTTTCCCTCCTCTGGGCCCCTCAGAACCCAATTTCATGCCTCAAAGTGTCAGCAGCTGTCTGGCTCTGAGGGCAAGCTGTCTCTCATTCATCTCCATCTCCTCGGAGTACCTTGCTGTGTTCATTGTTTCCAGTGTTCTTTGATGAATGGGTTGACAAGATGGCGGGGAGGGTGTGAATGGGACAATGGGTAATGTGGTGGGCAGATGAGTGGGTGGAGGGACAGGTGGGTGACTGACTACACAGCATGATGAAGGTGTCAATGGGTGGGTGGGGGGTGGCTACAGGGAAGAGCAGGTGGGTGGAGGGGGAGGTGAGTTGTGAGTGGCTGGAGGGCCAGATGGGTGAGTGACTGGATAAGGAGGTGGGTGGATGGATGGGTGGATGGTCGAGTGGGCGTATGGGGAGGAATGGGGCTGACAAATGGGTGGGTGGAGGGATGGGTGGTTAGGAAGATAAACAAAGCCAGAAGCCTCTGCGCTACAGGCAGACTTGGGCTCTTTCTCATATCTGGAAAAGGAGACCTCCTGGAAATGCAGGTCTGCAGTCATATAAATTTTGTGGGGAGGAGGCAGGCAAGAAGAGCCTCTGGGTGGTTCTGGGGTGCAGTAGGCCCAGCCAGCAGGTCAGCCCAGCCCCTGTCTCTGCGACCCCCCCGCCCACCCGCAGGCAGCAGGAGCTCCTGTTCCATTACCTGCAGCTGGTGGCAAGCGTGGAGCAGGAGCAGCAGAAGTTCCGCTCCCAGGCAGCCGTCATCGATGAGATTGTGGACACCACATTTGAGGTGAACCAGGCAGGAGCGGGAAGGGGCCGGCGAGGGGAACCCCAGGGGCTTGTAGCCAGAAATGGCTCCAAGTAACTCCCATGGGGATCGGGGAAGGCAAAGTCTGGCTCATTCACCCACCAGTGCCCCACTCACCCCTGCAGGCTGGAGAAGAGGACTTCAGGAATTGACCCCAGGAGGACACCAGATACAGACTTCAGCCCCTGGCAGTCTGCCCACCTGGGTGCACTGGGACGGGTCCCCAGATCTGCTGGAATGATTGTCCGGGCCCTGCAGAGCAGGGGCCCCAACAGAGTTTTTAAACCCCAGGAGGCTCCATGTCCTCACTGACTAGGCCAAGGCGCAGGGAAGGGAATTGGTGCACACACACGAACGAGTGTGTGCCCGTGTTGCATGTGAAAGGAGCTGCTCTTGGATCCCCTCCAGCCCTACCAGCGCCCGCATGCTAGCTCAGCCCAGCAGGGCATTAGCAGCAGCTGGAGGGATGAAGCAGAACGTGGGCTGAGCTCAGGTGCCGGCGGTGCCGGGAGGGCCGAGGAGGCAGTAACCCTGCTTTGGGGAGGAAGGCCCATCTGGCCCAAGAGTCAGGAGAAAAAGAATAGGCCTGAACACCCCAGGGTTACCAGGGCCTGGGGGCCCAATAGGCTCTAGGAATGGGGACTCAGAGCCCAGGAACTCAATCCTACCAGGACCCTCAGCTCCAGTAGAAGAGCACCAACCGGATGGGGATATCATGAACCCAGAGGTCGGAGGTCATTGCCATATCCTGCCCTTTCTGGGGTCAGACTCTAGAGCCCCACTGAGGGGAGGTGGAGTCGGGGCTGCTCAAGTCCTTCTGGCCTCAGGGCAAGGGGCGGGCAGGGATGTGTGGAGGACCCTGCTGCTGGGAGAGGGAAGCAGGGAATGAGGCTGAAGGCTGCGCCCCATTGCCTGCTCTAGGACTTAGATGACCTCCCCGACTGATAGCCTGAGCCTAGGCTGGATGTCCAGAGCCCCTGTCCCCATGGCTGGGGGTGACAGTGGGACACTGGCCTATGCTGGGTGCTGGAGACCTAGCACTGAGTCAAGTTCAAGCCTCGCCCTGGCCCCAGGGGTCTCTCCTTAAGTGGAGGGTTTTCCATTATCTACAACAGCCATCTCACCTCTAGTAGAGGCGAATCCAGGGTGCAGTTCAGGCCGGAGGGAGTCAGGAGCGGGAGCTGAAGGGCAATAGTTTTTTGCCAACCCTCCCATCTCTGGACCAGACCAGTCAGTGCTGGAGCTTCCAGGGTCCCAGGACAGAAGAAGCACCTCCCCTCCCTGGTCTGGCGGAAGGCACTGGCTGGCCCAGGGCCCAGGGCCCAGGAATAGACTATGCGGAGGAAATGCCATCTGGGATTTGGGCACAGATTCCAGGGGCGGAGAGGTCACCGGGCAGGCGTCTCTGGGCCTTGCTTCTCTCCACCACCTCACACATTCATTCAACAGGCATTTCCTGCCACCCACCCTGTGCCTGCCCCATGCTGGGAGTCCCTGCTTGGTGGCACATGGGAGCCCTTCCAAGCAGCAGGCCCCGCACACACCCTGGGCTGTCTGAGCTGCCACATCTGACAAGCTTGAGCAGAAGCAGGGCTGGATGTTGTCTCCTGGGTCCCCAGCTCCTGTCAAATGCCACCCCTCAGCTTCTCACTCCCAGGTGGGACCCAGGGTCTACTTCCCGTTTCCCCGTCTCTACCCCAATCTGGCCTCCAAAGGCCGACAGCAGGGCCTGGGAGCTGGGGCTGCTGCTTATTAGGCCCCAGCCTTGGGCAGGGGACCAGGCAGGCACAAGCAGGGTGTGAGGCCTTGTCAGAAAGGAAGGACCGTGGGATGCTCTCCGCAGCCACTGCAGTGCTGCCTGCCTGGGCCTGATGGTGCCTATACCTAGCACCCCCAAGGCCCATATCCCAAGTGTGGGTGTGTGCTTGTGCATCTGAGGAACCTCTGGGTGTGGCATGTGGGTCCTTGGGTTGTGTTTGAGTTTTGTGTGTACATCTCCAGGTTGTTTCTCTAGGGTGTGTTGCTTCTGTGCTCATGAGTTGCTAGGCTGTGTTTCTCTGGGTATGCATGTGATATCTGCCAGCATCTGAGTGTGTGCTCTGGGTGTCTGTGTGTGTATGTCTGGTGTGTTGTGCTTTGGGTGTGTGCGTGTGTATATGTATGGGGGGGTATGAATTGCAGCCACAAATTCAGATGTGCAAATGTTGCAATGCTGTTTTCTTCTTCTTTTTTTATTTTTAATTTTTTTGAGATGGAGTCTCGCTCTGTCTCCCAGACTGGAGTGCAGTGGCGCAATCTCGGCTCACTGCAACCTCTGCCTCCTGGATTCAAGCGATTCTCCTACCTCAGCTTCCTGAGTAGCTGAGATTACAGGCACCTGCCACCACACCCAGATAATTTTTGTATTCTTGGTTGAGATGGGATTTCACCATGTTGGCCAGGCTGGTTTTTTTTTTTTTTTTTTTTTTTTTGAGATGGAGTCTGGCTCTGGCGCCCAGGCTGGAGTGCAGTGGCGCCATCTCGGCTCACTGCAAGCTCCACCTCCCGGGTTCACGCCATTCTCCTGCCTCAGCCTCCCGAGTAGCTGGGACTACAGGCGCCCGCCACTACACCCAGCTAATTTTTTGTATTTTTAGTAGAGACGGGGTTTCACCGTGTTACCCAGGATGGTCTCGATCTGCTGACCTCGTGATCTGCCCGCCTCGGCCTCCCAAAGTGCTGGGATTACAGGCGTGAGTCACCGCGCCCGGCCACCAGGCTGGTCTTGAACCCCTGACCTCAGGTGATCCATCCACCTCAGCCTACCAAAGTGCTGGGATTACAGGTGTGAGGCCGGCTGCAATGCTGTTTTCTTTAAATGACATTACATTGAATCTGTCCCCTCACCCCTCCTGTGGGCGCTAGACAATCTCTGTCCCTCTGCGGCTCCTAGTCTAGCCCCTTTCAGGCGTCTTGCCCAGGGCAAGGCAAGAGAGGCGTCCTTGTGGCGTGGAGCCCACAGTGTGGACTGAGAGGCACTGTCCTAGCCTTCATGGTCTCTTGGCCTGCAGGGACTCTGCCATCGTTGGGCCACATGCAGGTGGAGGAATCTTTATAGGCTGGGAGCTCAGTGTCCTGGGTGAGGACACTGCCTGATTGAAGCCCCCCATGCCACCCATGAGCTCCTCCTGGGGCTGAGTGGGAGCACAGCACAGACTCCTCCTCAGAGTGCTCCCAGGCAGCCGGCCCTGTTCTTATCTCAGGCCATCGCCCCTCCTCTGTGAGTCTGCCGCCACCCCTGACCTCTGAGAATATTGGGAGTCTCTGGCTGTGTGTGGGGGCTCTAAGGTTTGTTCCTCTATGCCTGTGATGCTGGGGTGTTTGGGGGCTCCACATTTGGAGGCTCAGCCCTGCACCTTCAGCACTGTCTGGGCTGGGACAGCAGCAGCTCTGCTGCAGGTGGCAGGGTGACCTCTCAGCTTGGGCTGGGGAGCTGGGAGCTGCCAGAAGTGGGAGTGGGGGATGGGGGCAGAAGCGAAGCACTTGGAAGAAACCAATGCAAGAAGCAGCACTGGCCATTTATTGTGACAGATACGGCCCACGGACCTGAAGTGCCCTCCACCATGGCCCCAAACCCAATGGCCTTCGCCCTCGGGGACTTATCACATCTGCACACAGTTGTGCTTTAGGAGCTGAGAGGAGTTCTGCCAGGGAACCACAAGGACCTCAAAGTCACAGCGCAGCTTCTGTGGAGGGAATATGGGGGAGAAGGAGGGGTGAGCCCAGCCTCGACCTGTCTCCTCCCAACAGCCAGCCCTCTGCCTGCCAGGCTGCTCCAGGCCAAGAGAGGGACAATCACTGACCCAACGGATGTCAAGCCGCATGTCTGGGGCTAGACTCCAGATCTTGGTAGCCAACTTCCCCATTCCCGAGGGAAGCCCCAGCTTCCTTTCTGCACCCCATCTTGGCCCAGAGGCTGACTCATCCAGAAGGACGACAGGTTCAGCCAGACATCTAGACATCTACGTGTCCAGCCAAACCAGTTCAGGATGGACAACCTGAGTGCCTGAGGCTCTGGGGAGGGCTGGGGCTGGAGGAGCCCAGCTGTTACCTCCTGCTGCGCCCCTGCTGCCAGGGGGCAAGTGGTGAGGTCGACGTGGTCTCCAGTGACCCTGGTCTTGCGGCAGTCTGTGCTCCCCATCTCCATCGTCAGGAAGTACTTGATGCCGGCCACCAGCTGGGGGCATAGGGTAGGGGCAGGTCAGGGGTCTTGACCCTTGATCCTCACTTCTCACCTCTTGATATATTCTCCTGTTGCCCCCAGGCACTCAGGTGGGGAGAGAGGGAGAGGGGATGATTCAGACGGGGTGGGGGGGGGTGGGGGGGGGTGGGGGGGGGAGTTCTGGTGGGGATGGAGGGTGGAGAGGCCTGGAGGCTGAGCCCCACCAGCAGCCTTGGCAGACATCAGACATGCCCCATCTAGGGAGCTGCCCACTGTCCCCACCTGCCTTCCCTCCTCCCCGATCCACCCCATCAGGGCAGAGACTAGGACCAGGCAAGCCAGGAAGGCAGGTAGTGCAATACAGGGTTTAATTATGTCTTTCCTTGAAATTTAGATGGTTGTCCATCGTGGAGTTTTAGCATTAATTCGATTTTTAAAATATTGCATGAAAATATCCCGATTGCGCTTTTAGGCCCCCTTCATGCACGCTGGGGCAGCGCCTGTGGCCTCCCCCATCTGGGCCGGGTGTCCCCTCCCAGCACCCCGCCCGCCGCACCTGGCTCTGCGCCTTGATGATGTGCGTGTCTCGGAAGTAGTAGATGCTGTTGCTGCCCATGTTGTAGCTGGCCACGGCCGCCTGCGCCGCCTTCTGCACCTGCGGGTCGTCGGGCGACAGGTCCCGGAGTTCTCCGACCATGCGCTCCTGCGGCCGGGCCCGGGCGTCGCGTGGCAGCGCCAGGAGGCAGAATGCGACCAGGGCCAGGCCCAGCGCCAGCGGGAGGTTCGAACGCGCCATGGCCGTCAGTGCCGTCGGAGCCCTCAGAGCCGTGAGTGCCGAGCTTGCGGCCGCGCAGCTTTTACCCGCTGGGCCGCCCCGCCCGACGCCCGCGATGCGCCCCCGCGGCCTGGAGCTGGGGCGGGGCTCGAAGTTGCCGGGGTCCTGCGAGGTTCAGGGAGCCCAGGAGGCCGAGGGGGCGGCGCGCACCCGCGTGCCAAGACGCTTCCCTGCCCTCCAGGACACACCTGGCCCGGGGAGGGAGAGGACAGCGACAGTCCCCAGCAACAAGTGCCAGTACAGGGACGGTTCACGGGAGGGCTGTCCAGAATGAACTACCAACCGCAGCTCTTCGTGGGCTCTTACTGTTGCCACCATTTCCTAGCTGTGTAACCTCGGAGAAGTCACTTAACCACTCGCTGCCTCAGTTTCCTCTTCTGTACAATGGGTGTTGTGAGGATTCAGTGAGCTGAAACAGGTAAAGTTCTTAGAAGAGGTCTGGTGCTGGATAAACAGCAGGTGAGTAGGACACATTACTGCTCAGCGCTGCCTGACAACCTTCCTGGAGCGCGAGTGACTAATGTTTCTACCTGGCCAGGCACCTAGGCATGCTTGTAATTCCAGCACTTTGAGAGGCCAAGGTGGGAGGACCACTTGAGCCAAGGAGTTCAAGTCAGTGAATCGTGATCTCACCACTGCAGCATTCCAGCCTGGGCGACAGAGCTAGACGCTGACTCAAAAAAAAAAAAAAAAAAAAAAAAAAAAAAGAAGGCCGGGCATGAGGGCTCACACTTGTAATCCCAGCACTTTGGGAGGCCGAGGCAGGCAGATCACTTGAGGTCAGGAGTTCAAGACCAGCCTGGCCAACATGGTGAAACCCCGTCTCTACCAAAAATACAAAAATTAGCCAGGCGTGGTGGCACACACCTGAATTCCCAGCTACTCAGAAGGCTGAGGCAGGGGAATTGCTTGAACCTGGGAGGCAGAGGTTGCAGTGAGCCAAAATGGCACCACTGCGCTCTAGCCTGGGTGACAGAGAGAGACTCTGTCTCACAAAAAAAAAAAAGAAAAAAGAAAAAAAATAGTTTCCACTTTACAGAGAAGGGAAAATGGATTTGCCCAAAGACACCGGCAGGAAATAAATGGTGACACTGGCTTGTGTGTGCTGACAGTCTAAGTCAAATCTGTGGTCTTAAACCAGACTGAGCCCACAGGACACAAACTGCCCAGAAGGAGGGGGTGTCAGTCATGTCAGCTCTGCCATCTTACTGACGGCATGGCTTTGGGCAAGTCCCTCAACCTCCCACACAGAGCCTCCGTGCCCTCGTCTGAAAGACACCTTATCTCCTAAGTTTGTTCTGATATTGATGTTTCGAATCTGGCTGTCCCGTGGATACAGTGAGCATGTGCTGGAGGTACCAGCAAACAAGGCCCATGACTGTGTTTTTAAAGACTCCAATAATTGCCAGGTGTGGTGGCTCACGCCTGTAATCCCAGCACTTTGGGAGGCCGAGGTGGGCAGATCACTTGAGGCCAGGAGTTCGAGACCAGCCTGGCCAACATGGTGAAACCCCATCATAGCCCGCACGGACCTAGGGGGACTGAACAAAGCCGGGCAAACGTGGGAATAAAAGACAAGAGACAAAAGAGTATATTTGGAAGAAGGGGTCAGGGGGCACCTTGCCTCTAGTGGACAAGGGCCCTGAGCTTTACACAGCCCTCTGTATGTAGTAGGCAAAAGAGATAGCGAGAAAGGGGGAGGGTGATTGTCGGGTATGTCAGGTAATTGTCGGTCAGCACTTTGGTTCACAGCAGGCTTGTGAGACTGCATCCTTTGAACAATAGGTGCTAATTTTCTCAGTAGATAACTTCAGGGACCCCAGTGCCAAGGAGTAAGGCCCTCAGCAAACCTTTTGGTGGCAGGGCAGTGGGAGTTTGCCCACATCCTGCATTCGTGATAAACAGGTGGCTGTTTGATCATATAGCCTTCAGTGGAATGCTGAGTTGGTCACAATCCCTTTGGCCCTTTCGGCTCCCAACACCCCATCTCTACTAAAAATACAAAAATTAGCTGGGTGTGGTGGTGCACACCTGTAGTCTCAGCTACTTGGGAGGCTGAGGTGGGTGAATCACTTGAACCTGGGAGGCAGAGGTTGCAGTGAGCTGAGACGGCACCCACTGCACTCCAGCCTGGGTGACAGAGCAAGACTCTATCTCAAAAAAAAAAGACTCCAATAATTAATTGATTATTATTAATAGGTGGTGATCTATTAATCACACGGTAGCTCACACCTGTAATCCCAGGACTTTGGGAGTCGGAAGCAGGAGGATCACTTGAGGCCAGGAGTTTGAGACCAGCCTGGGCAACATAGTGAGCCGTCTCTACCAAAAAATCTAAAATAAATTAGCTGTGCATGGTGGTGCACGCCTGTGGTCCCAGCTACTCGGGAGGCTGAGGTGGGAGGATTACTAGAGTCTGGGAGGTCGAGGCTGCAGTGAGCAGTGATGGTGCCACTGCACTCCACCTGGGTGACAGAGCAAGACTCTGTCTCAAAAAAAAAAAGGAACAGATGAAAAGCAGTGTTGAAGTAGTCAACGCAAGAAAAGTCTGGATTTTGTTGAATTTTTTTTTTTTTTTGTGACAGCGCTCTGTCAGCCAGGCTAGAGTGCAGTGGCGCTATCATAGCTCACTATAACTCGACTTCCTGGCTTCAAGCTATCCTCCCATCTCAGCCTCCCAAGTAGCTGGGACCACAGGCGCATGCCCCCATGCCTGGTTAATTTTTTTCCACACCTGGCTAATTCTTATATTTTTTTGTAGAGATGGGGTCTCACAGTAGTGCCAGGTGGGTCTCGAATGCCTGGCCTCAAGAGATCACGAGATCCTCCCACCTCAGCTTCCCAAAATGCTGGGATTACAGGCAGGCCTTGGAATTATTTGTCTGCATTTTAGAGTTCAGTGTAGTTTGTATTTGTAATTCCATGTTGCTGGGGGGCGGGGCTTATTGTCCCTGGGGCACTAAGATCTTGCAGTGCTTAGAGCCTCCAGGGGCTTCACTGGGGCTTGGAAGAGGTGCTAGGTCACAGTACGTAAAGAGCAGCTGGCAACTGTCACTGTGATGGATATTGTATGTAGGCATCCAGCGTGTCACCCTCCCTTCCTGATTCTGGGCCTTAGAATCCCAGGACCACAAAAGGAAGTGATTTCCCACACAGAGACCTAGACCACAGCGGTCACTCACTGCCCAGGGCAGCTGCCAGCCTGCTACCCACCTCACTTCCTCAGCCCAGCTGTGGAAAACCAACTCTGCCATCTTCCTGGGATTCCAAGGAACCGTCACAAGTTCCTGGCGGCCTCAGGTGTCTGGCTTAAAGGGACAGACTCCAGTTTGTGGAAGTGCTGGCCGAGCTTGAGTTGATCAGGAGGATGACGCCTGGCCAGGACTCTGAGCTGAAAGCCTGGGAGGGGTAGAGGAAGAGTACCAGGATCGTGCCACAGGGGCGAGGTGGGAGAGGCAGCTCCCCTGGGCCTGCTGTGTCATCACTTGGAGCTTAGCCATGGCCACAGGTACCTCCAACAGCTCTCTCAAAAACTAGCCAAGGCCTGTCTGCCACTCACCAAGGGCACCCACTCCACCTGCCTCTGCTTTGTGCTGATGCAAAGGACTTTTTTTGCAGTACAACCTAGCAATTTCTGAGCACTTTTCACCCACTGATTCTCACAAGCACCCTGAGGGAGTACACATTATCCTCACTTTGCAGATGAAGAAGTTAATCAGAGAGGTCGGGACACTTGTCTAAGGTCACACAGCTAGAAGTGGTATCTTGGTAAGAAAAGGTGGGGAGGATTAACAATGGTAAGAACTCTTGCTGTGTGCCAGGCCTTGCGCCAGGGATTCAATATATGTTCTTTCATTCCCATAGCAGCTCTGCACAGACAATGACTATTATCTCTTCCTACAAGGAGGAAATGGGAGATCAAAGGGGAAAGGTTAGTGGTGGGTCCCGGTGCATGAGTCCTGGGCTGCTCCACAGGGGTTTGAGGTCTGCTGTGCATGGTGTAGGGGTTGTTTCTTGCAGATGGGGTGTCCCTGAGCAGACTTTCCCAGGGCCTGACTCCATCCCGTCTGGACCACTCTGGCTTCCAGGAGGTTTGCGCCAAGCGTGAGCTTGAGGTCGGTCAAATGTACTGGCCACAGGGCAGAGCCTCCAGTTTTGCAGTGGCCCAGACATCCCACCCCAGGTTGTCCACAGCACCCCTCTCTTGCCCCTGGCCTGATGGGTGGAGATGACCAGGGCAGGTTCTTGACATCTCCTTCCCTCTGGGATCAGGCTCTCCAAGGCTTCGATGCTTCCCCCAGAACCCTCTTCCTTGAACCTTCAGTTGGGCAGAGGATATTGCCCTCCCCCCAGGGCTCTGTAGCCCCATATCCTGGAAAGGAGATCTTTCAGCAAGGAAACCTGTAATCCAACAGGGATTAAAGCTCCCCTCTGGGGAGGAGCGCTCCTAAGCGCTGCTGATTCACTGGTTGAATCTTCACAACCCTGTTATCAGCTGGCAGAGGAGGCTGTAGCTCAGGGGAGTGAAGCAACTTGCTCCAGATCGCATGGGGAGCAAAGCCCCAGAATCGGGCCTGGCTGGCTCTTCAAGGCTGCCACCAGTCAAGGTTGGGAGTGACAGGAAAGAGCCCTGGTCCCCACAGGGAGGGGCCAGCCTGGAAAGGGATCAACAGTCACAAGCACCTGCTGGGAGCCTTCCATGCTCAGCAGGCTGCCGGGGGCAGGGCTTGTGGTGGTCCAGGTAGCCTCCCCCTACTTCCTTTCTGGGGGCAGCAGGAGCCCTTCAGCACCCCAGAGTGCATGGGCTGGGTTCACACGAAGTTCTAGGCTGGCTCTGAGCACTCATGACTAGACCAGCTGAGGGGGTCAAGCTCTGGCTGGGTGTGATGGGGGGATGGGGTCAGTATTTGCTGATTTCTGGGCCCACCTATGTCCCAGGCTAGTGGGTGGCCAGGCATGTCCTCTTGGACACCACGGGCTGACACTGAGACAACCTGACTCATACCCCTCACCAGCCAGGTCTGCTTTCTGCGCCAGCATTCCAAGCCGTGGTCCCTTTGTCCTGCTGGCTGAGTCGGGCTGGATCTGAGAGGCCACACTGTCACAAGGTACATTCTAGATGCCCTTTGTCTACTGCTGTCCCAGGACAGAGCCAAGAACTTGTGTGGGATGCAATATGGAGTCCTGATAAAGGGTTTGTGGCCTGCCACCTGGTATATGCACTGCCTGTGCCCCAAGGGAGAGGTGAGAAGGCAGGTTCCAGTCCCTTCTATGGCAAAGCCTGTGGGTGAGCCGGGAAAGGCAGACAACAAGGAAATAAAGCAGACAGCATGAGCCGCAGGCTTCCAGCAGGGTCCCAGTGCCACCAGGCGAGGCCAAACCAGGAGGCCAGCGTGGGCAGGAGCCCAGGGAAGGGCTTCATGGAGGAGGAGTCTCCATGACCTCACAGAGCACCAGCAACAAGCTGGCAGCATCAGGACTGAGGTGTGGTGAGGCCGGAGCCCTGCAAAGCCCCCACCTAAGCACACAAGGCCTGCGACAGCATCATAGCATGAGGGTCAAGGCTGAGGGGACTTAGCCGGGAAGACATCAGAAACAGTCTGAAACTCAAGAGAGAGCCCTCGTGACCACCTCAGCCGGGACTCAGACCAGCAGCCTCCCAGGAAGCGGCTTGAAGCACAAGCTGGGCCCTGCTGCAGTCACCTGGTGTCCCTTTCAAGCTGGGCCACTCGCACTTTCCAGTCCCAGCCTTGCACAGAACTCTCATCCCTACAAATAACAATTTAGTTTCTGACCTTTCACTCAATCGTTCCAGCCTCAGGTCTTTATTTTTGGTTTTCCTGTTATCTTTCTATTGTTGAGATGTAGCGAATACACTGAAAAGGGCGCAGAACATACACTTTTGGTCAATGCCTGTACCACCACCCCATAGGTCAGAAACACAGGTCAGGGTAGGCCAAGCCTACCCTTAAGCCCTTCCACACCCTCCCCCAAAGATAATCCCTGTAGACTTTTTCCTTTACTATTTACCATAATCATTTCCTTTGTTTTCCTTCTAGTTTTACCATCTATGTAGGAATTCCTAAGAATTTGTTTGTCTTCATTTGCTATTGAGATTCGTGTTGTACACAACTATCATTTGTTCATTTTTACCTCCGTCCAGTGTCCGGTGGCATGAGTGCCTATTTATCTACTCTAGTATTGACAGCCGCTAGCGTTGCTCCCAACAATGCAGCTGCAAACTCATCTAGGTCCTGCTGCAGGTGTTCGGGACTTTCTTCAAGGCACAGTCCTGAGAGTGGAACTGCTTGGTCACAGGGCGTGTCAGTTTTACTAAATAACACCCAACTGTCTTCCCAAATTGTTTAGACCAATTTATACTCCCACCAGCTAGGTATCAGTTCCTGTTGCTTCATTATCTCATCAATACTTGGTATTGTCCAACTTAAAAGTGTTTGCCAGTCAGGTGGGTGTTAATGGCATGTGATGTCTTATTACTAGCAATATGGAGCACCTTTCCTGTGCTTATTTACTGGGAGGGAACCCTCTTCTGTGGCCGTCTTAGATCTTTTACCCATTTTTCTGTTGTTTTTTTTTTTTTTTGAGACAAAGTTTCATTCTGGTCACCCTGGCTGGAGTGCAATGGCCGTGATCTCGGCTCACTGCAACCTCTGCCTCCCAAGTTCGATTCTCCTGCCTTAGTCTCCTGAGTAGCTGGGATTATAGGCGTGCACCACCACACCCGGCTAATTTTTGTATTTTTGGTAGAGATGGGGTCTCACCATGTTGGCCAGGCTGGTCTTGAACTCCTGACCTCAGGTGATCCACCCACCTCGGCCTCTGAAAGTGCTGGGATTACAAACGTGAGCCATTGCGCCCAGCCAGTCCGCTTTTTTCTTGATTGCAATTCTGTATGTGCTATGGAAATAGTCCTTTGTTGTTTATACTGCTGCAAATATCCTTTCCCTACAACCACCTCATTTTCCAAGTGGAGAAACTGAGGCTCAGAGAGGCTAAGCCACATGACCAAGGAACACATGGCCGGGTCCCTGGGTTTCCAAGCTAGTTTGAGTTCCAGTCTGGCTACTTCCCAGGAGCAAGTCCATGGGCAAATTAGCCTCTCTGAGCCTCAAATTTCCTCACCTGTAAAGGAGAAAATATTTATTACTGTGAAAGAAAAAAATGTTTGCAAAGATTTTAGCTTCAAGCCTGGTTCATACTAAGTGTTCAAGAAATAATAGGGCTGGCCGGGTATGGTGGCTCACACCTATAGTCACAGCGCTTTGGGAGGCTTAAGGATCGCTTAAGGCCAGCATGGGCAACAGAGCAGGGCCCTGTCCCTATTAAGTTAAAAAGTAAACAAAAAGAACAGGACTAAAATGTACTGAGGTGTACTCCCCTCACATCCTTCCAGCTGTGATGCCTGTGCTCCTTCTCCTCCCTAAGAGATCATGGAAGATGGCAAGCACCCTGCCCACCCTTACAGAGGCCGGGAGAGCAGATGATGACTGGCAGGTGAACTCTCACCCACATCCGGCCCACCCTGTCTGGTACCTCTGACTCCCACTGACTTTTCCACCAGGTGCTGCCTAGCCCAGCTGTTGACTTAACTGACATCTGGAGCACAGTCCATCTGGCTCCCAGGAAAAGATCCACCCACACCCTCTCCCACATCACTCGGGGATTGAGACAAAAGTCACCTGCCTGAGGCCTACATGGCTAGGGTGGCTGCCCTCTGGGAGTGGAAGGGAAGCTGCCAGTTTCGGTCTCTACTGATAAGGAGTGAGGGAAACATGGTCAGTCCCTGAAGGAGAGGCAACTCCCAGCCCACTTGCTTTTCAGTGCACAAAGCCCAGTCATGAAAGCCACTGACTTTATTGATCTAAAAAACTTTACAAGGACAGTGACTGTTCTGCCAAAAAAGGAGCCAAATGGTATCAAACGGATTGAAAGTGAGGGTGGGGGTGAGGGATGGGGCCGGGAATCCATTCAGGAAAGCTGGTAACTGTCACCAGGGAACTGGCAAGGGAAAAAGGACGGGGGAGGCATGCAAGAGCGAGAATCCAAAAAAAAGTTGAAATGGTTAGGGGAGAAAACTCCCAAAAGACCCCGGAGTACGTCGGAGGTGAGTACGACAATAGCAATCTTTTCCTTCGTAGAGGACAGGGGAGGAGTCCCTACTCGGCTGCAAACTCTGGATGAGGGCTGGGGATTGAGAGCTTCCCAGAGAGCATCACAAGAAGGCGTCGCACCACTCTCGAAGGCATCCGAAGCAGTCCCGGGACTGCTTGGCGTTGGCGCCACAAGTGTCTTTCAGCCATTCCCGGAAGAGGTCTTCATCTTTCTTTAGCACCAGAAACTGGCCAAGGACAACATAGGCCTGCAAAACAGGGAAAAGGAAGGAGCGTGCTGCTCAGTGCTCAGTGAGAGATAAGAGCAAGACAGCCATTCCTGTGCCATTCAGAGCACACAAGCCCAGGAAGCAGCGCGGGTTTTGCCCCCCTCTCCTCTCCACCAGGTGCCCAGGCTCTGGCAGCCTCTTCAGATTATACCTTACTGTCCATCCCCCAGCAGATGGAATCACTTCCCTTCCACCCCCCGCTTGCACTAGGTACACGCAGCCACCCCACACCTTGTCAAAACCCCTTTCCTCCAGCTTCTTGCCCAGGACTTCACCAATCCCAGCCAGGCTCCCCACTGGCTTCTCCCCCATGGGCTCTGCCACGAAGTCTCGGTGCTTTTGGGAGGTTGTCATCTTGATCAGGCTTAATCTAGGAATCCCAAAAAAAAGGCAGATTAGGGCTGAAGACCTGGAACTTCTAAGGGCCCACGAGCAATCTCATAGTAAGAGGAAGCCAAGCCAGGGGTTACAGTGGCTTGCTCGATCCCCCTCATCCTGAAAGGAGAAAACAGTTCCAGGGAGACTCTTCCCTACTATTTTTAAGAGGAGTTTCTTCCTGCAGGACCTGGATTTTGATCTTGCCCCAGAGGAAAAACGATCCTGCCTAACAGGTGGCGCAAGCGGGGCAGTGGAAAGATGCCCAGAGTCCGTAGCCAGGGCTGCGCGGAAGCTATCACTCCCTCTGTGACCTTGGCTGAACCAAGACGACACTGCCTGCCTGGAACGGCCACTTGGCGTGGAAAGCTAACCAAAGGGTCTCTCTACCTACAGGGCGAAGCGCACACCTAGCGCTGCGCACACCCGCTCCCCGCCCGCGGGGTTCACGCCGCGCCCCAGCTCCGCCCCCACCGCGCGCCGCTGCGGCCCGCCCCTTCCCGCGGCCCGGCTCCCACGCGCTGCACCCCGCCCCCTCCCCGCAGCGCGGCCAAGCTCTCCCCCAGGGCCCGCCACAGCGCCTGCGACCCCTCTCCTCCCCTTCTCCCCGCAACCCCTCTGGCCTCCAATCAGGGCCCTGCTCCGCGGCTGGCGCTCACCCGCAACTTCAGTTCCCGTAACGGTTCCTCCCGCCACCCGGCCGCTCCTGCGGATACCTCAAGCCACTAGAACTTTCTTCCACTTCCGCTTCCGGGTCGCTTCAAGAGCCGCCTTTAAAAAAGAAACATTCCACGTTGGGCACTTCTAGCCAGTTAGAGCTATAGAGTTGAGGCGCCCCGGACCTCGACGGCGTCCTTAGTAGGCGCTCCTTTCCGGTCCTTCGCGGGAAGCCCTGCCTTCTAAGGTCTCGCTTCTCGCGCAGTTCTGAGGGAGATAGGCCTCCAGGGAGAGGACTTCCTTTCTCTGCTGCCCGGACCCGGAACTCAAGGACTTAGGCTTGACGGACCTGGCGTGGGGAAGAGTTAGAAGACGGACAAGGGAGGGGACGGGAGGCCTCCGAGACAGCGCCGGAAGTACGGTTTTCGGAGGGATCAGACTCAGACTCACGTCGCACTCCTCGCAGTTGGACTGGTGGGAACTGGGAACACTGGAGACCTGATTTCTAACTGACGCTACCGTCGCGGCCGCCGGCAAGTTCCTTTACTGTGTTTTCTTGGTTCAGCCTTGAAGTGAGTCGTGGACGATCCTCTCTCAGCGTCCAGCCTAGACGGCGGTGTTGCTCCGGCAGCGTTCCTGGGAGCCGAGGGCCAGAGACTAAGTGTGGGTGTTTCTCTGAGGGTCTTTTCTCCGGGATAGACAGGGAGGAGGAAGGAGGACAGCAACTAGAGACGACAGTGTTTCTTTCGGAAACCATCAGTCTTAAGGGTACTGGCCTTCGTCTTCTAAGTACGCAAGTCAGAAATATGCAAATGTCGCAGACAAGCCTGCTCACCTCAACCTTTAATTAACTAGTTCCTGGCTTGAACCATCACGGTGGCCACCTAGTTTGTCTCCGGCTGTAGTGTGTTGCCAGACTGAACTTCTCTGTTGTGTGACTATGCTAGACTTGGGGTGTACAAGCGTGTTGAGAAAGATACGGTTTATTTCAAACTCCTTCCAGAGAGGTTGCCAGGATGACTTCTCTGGAGCATGCGTATAGTTTTATATTACACTAGTACTTAAGATTATAGGAGTTACTTTTTTTTTTTTTTTTTTTTTGAGACGGAGTCTTGCTCTGTCGCCCAGGCTGGAGTGCAGTGGCGCGATCTCGGCTCACTGCAAGCTCCGCCTCCCGGGTTCACGCCATTCTCCTGCCTCAGCCTCCCGGGTAGCTGGGACTACAGGCGCTCGTCATCACGCCCGGCTAATTTTTTGTATTTTTGTAGAGAGAGGGTTTCACCGTATTAGCCAGGATGGTCTCGATCTCCTGACATCGTGATCCGCCCACCTCGGCCTCCCAAAGTGCTGGGATTACAGGCGTGAGCCACCGCGCCCGGCCGGAGTTACTTTTACATGACATGCATTGTATTGTCCCATTCTGTTGTAGCAGGACGAGTCGCAGACAGAACTCCTCAGACACCAGATTAAAGAAGGAAGAGGTTTTTTTATTCGGCCGGGAGCGTCGGCAGACTCGTGTCTTAAGAGCCGAGCTCCCCGAAAAAGAAATTCCTAGCCCTTTTAAGGGCTTACAACTCTAAGGGGTCTACGTGAAAAAGTCATAATAGATCAAGTAAGCGTGAGAAACGTGACTGGGGGCTACATACATCAGCTAACAGAACAAAAAGTTTTACAGTGCTTTCTCATACAATGTCTAGAATTTACAGATAACACCAGTAGTTTTGGTCAGGGGTTAATAATATTATTATTATTTTAGCCACCAGGGCCAGGTGGTGGTGCCAAGGTCGTCTAGCTATTTATCTTACTTCTGTTTCTTTCCAACTTTTTGCTTTCTCCCTTTTCTCCTGTCTTATAAACTAGGGAAAAGGGGAGGTTGGAGAGAAACTAAGAAGGCCAACAGGAGAAGTGGTGGCCTCATACCATACTGTAACAGTGCTGAGTTAGCTGTTATTTTTCTGGGACCTAGAGAAGTTGAATAGTTAGGAAATAAACCAAGGTAGGATTTGAATCCAGGCAGTTAGACTTCAGAACCCATGTTCTTAACCAAGACACCGTGTCACCCCTCAGTAAAAGGCCCCTCCCCATCTTCAGAACAGTCCTGGGTTCTGAGCCTGCCATCCAAGGAACTCAGGAGGAGGAGTTGACAGTCTCTTCGTTCCTAACCAGTGTGGGACGACTTCAGCATGTCTCAGGCCACCAAGAGGAAGCATGTGGTGAAGGAGGTGCTAGGGGAGCACATAGTGCCCTCCGACCAGCAGCAGATTGTCAGGGTGAGTGGCGTGGGGCACAAGCTGTTCTGCTCCCCACCCCTGCAGCCCTGGAGGGCCCCTGGGGTGGGGGTAGGGTGCAGCGTGTCTGAGAGGGTGTTTGATCTGACTGATGAGACTGATTCTTGGTCTCTCCTGAACCAGGTACTCAGGACCCCAGGGAACAATCTGCATGAGGTGGAGACAGCCCAAGGGCAGCGCTTCCTGGTGAGCATGCCCTCCAAATACCGCAAGAACATCTGGATCAAGAGAGGTGAGAGGATTACTCCTGTAATCCTGGCACTTTGAGAGGCTGAGATGGGAGGATCGCTTGAGACCAGCCTGGGCAGCATAATGAGACCTTGTCTCTACAAAAAGAAAAAAATTAGTTGGGCACGTGCCTGTGATCCCAGCTACTCAGGAGGCTGAGGCCTGAGAATCACTTGAGCCTGGGAGGTGGAGGCTGCAGTCAGCTATGATCATGCTATTGCTTGCCAGCCTGGGCAACAGAGCAAGACCCTGTCTCAAAAAAAAGAAAAAAGAGAGAGGTGAGAGAGGCAGCCCTCTCTAGGAGATAGAACCCCTTCCTATGGCTTTGGCTTTCCTTATTGCAAGCAGGCCTGACTTTGCCTTTTCTCTTCTTATCTACAGGGGACTTTCTCATTGTTGACCCCATTGAAGAGGGAGAAAAGGTGAAGGCTGAAATCTCGTTTGTGCTCTGCAAGGACCACGTGCGCTCTCTGCAGAAGGAGGGGTTTTGGTAGGTGGTCCCCTTGATCATTGGCTGTCTGGCTTCTGGAGGCATTGCCTTCCTAGCTTGGGAATTAGGGGAGGGAAGGTCATGGCATCCCAGGCAGACACAGCTGGAAGCAGCTCTTTTGTGAGAAATTTATTTGTCCTTTCTGACTTTGGCTCATCTCTTGGCATAGGCCTGAGGCCTTCTCTGAAGTGGCTGAGAAACACAACAACAGGAACAGGTGAGGAACAAGCCTTGGGGTGGGGTACATGGAAAATAAGGGGTTCATGCTTTGGTGCCTTGAGGGAAAAATAGAGCCTTCTTTCCTCCTTACATAGGGTATCTGTTGAGAGCTCCTAAGCATGTGGTATAACATGGTTATGAATGGGGTTTGAAGGTCAGATGCTCTGGGTTAAAATCTTGGCTTTGCCACTTAAAGCTGAATGACTTTAAGCACGTTATTTAATTCCTTCAAACTCTATTTTCTTATATGTAAAATGGGAGCTTTGTGAGGATTAAAGAAGTGGATGGCTTGTAAAATTGCTTAGTGCAGTATCTGTTATGTGATATGGGTCCATTAAGTGTTAGTTGGTGGTCGTAGAATCATTATTTCTAACTAAAACAAATGGCTGTGGCACACGTTTGGGGAGTGGGGTCAGTCTTTAGCCTGTTTCTTTGGCCACGTTTCCCCACTGTTTGCTCTCCTGTGTCCCTTGTTTGAGTCTTTAAAGGGTGCTGTAGGGCCCTGACTGCTGGGCCGGATGGTCCTTTTTTTGGAACTCCTTGATTGTAGATATTATTTTCCCAGAAGGCGCTGGGCTAACCCTGCTCTCTTCCCTTCGTGCAGACAAACTCAACCAGAACTCCCAGCTGAGCCACAGTTATCAGGAGAGGAGTCCAGCTCAGAAGATGATTCTGACCTGTTTGTTAACACAAACCGCAGACAGTATCATGAGAGTGAGGAGGAGAGTGAAGAGGAGGAGGCAGCCTGAGACTCCAGGACCCAATTCTCCACTTGCTCAGGGACTGGCCCCTGGCTCTTCTGGGCTTGGACATTCCCAGGGTGCTCTGCACATCTTCACCCCTGCATGAGGACAAAGCAGGGCTCCTCTCTGAACTGATCTTTTGATTCAGAGAATTAAACCCCTGGTGGGTTGGTGACTTGTTCTGGTGTCTGAGTGGCTCTCTCGGGGGAGGGAGATTGTGATGAAGTGAAAAACTGCTCCCTATTTATTAGAGACCTTGTGGGTGGGTGGGCTGAATGGGGAGGAAATGGGAAATGGCTGGAGTCTTTCCCAGGTGGTTTGTTCTTTCTTATTGGGCACTTAGAAAGTGCCAGGCCGTGCTCTGGGCCTTCTTGCATGTGTTTAACAGCTGGGAGCACTCCTGCTTCCTTGCCTGCTTGCAGTTCATACCAATTTAAGCATTCAGGATGACAGCCCTAGGACCTAACACCCACCTGCCTCTAAGAGACGCTCAGGAGCCCATGGTGCCTCGTGCTGTTCTCCCCGCCTTTCTAGTCACCCTGTGTACGGGAGTGCTCACCTCCAGCTACTGTGTCCATCCCCACATACGACCTCATCTCTCCCACTCTGCACCATCTATCACTTCCAGAAGGTGGCTGGCAAATCTCTCTATCCTTAACTTTGTTTTGAATGGTCCATCCATCTCCTGACTTTATTTGAAACCTGATTATTCCCTGAGGACATTGATTGTCTTATAACCTTTTAAATAGAGGCTGCTTTTCCACCCTCACCCTTCATTCTTCTAACCAGCCCTGACATTCTCATGAGTAACCTTCTGCCTTCACTTCCCTCTTGTGTAGCATCAATTCCGTAGTCCACCCTACACCCCTCTGTCTCCCTCCATTCTGTTCCGCTAGTAAAACCCTAACCCTGGGTAAACCCAATCATTCACCTCTGTGCCCAAACCCAAGTCACCATCATTAGGTGAGAAAACAGCCAGCCTGGCCACCAGTTGTACCTTACGTTTATCATTACAAACCTCAGATGGACACTAAGCACTGCCCAGCAGATCTACTCTGGGATGTCTGTTTCAAAACTTCTGTCTTATCTATCAATTCCCCCTTGTGGTAGTTACCACAACACATGCCTCATTAAGAAACAGCAACCATCAGAGGGAATGCCTGCCTCCCTGTTACCAGCTCTGCAGATGTGCACATATCTTCCTGTCGTAAGCCAATGGGACTTAAACCTTACCTCTTGTGTTTTGGAGACTATCTTTTTTTTTTTTTTTTTTTTTTTGAGAGAGTGTCTCCCTGTGTTGCTCAGGCTGGAGTGCAGTGGTGTGATCTCGGCTCACTGTAACCTTCACCTACTGGGTTCAAGTAACTCTCCTGCCTCAGCCTCCCGAGTAGCTTGGACTACAGGCGTGCACCACCACACCTGGCTAACTTTTTGTATTTTTAGTAGAGACGGGGTTTTGCCATGTTGCCCGGGCTGGTCTCGAACTCCTGACCTTAAATGAGCCTCCTGCCTCAGCCTCCCAAACTGCTGGGATTACAGGCGTGTGCCACCATGCCTGGCTAATTTTTATATTTTCAGTAGAGACGAGGTTTTGCCATGTTGGCCAGGCTGGTCTCGAACTCCTGACCTCAAGTGGTCCACCCACCTTGGCCTCCTAGAGTGCTGGGATTACAGGTGTGAGCCACTGTGCCCGGCCTCTTTTGCTTTCTTAAAGACTTTGGTCGGGTATTTGTGTTGTTGAGTATTGTGTCTGGGTGTGGGTATTTGATTCTTTTTTTGTTTTGTGTTTTTGGCTGTCCTGTCTATTGGATGTGATATGTTATGGATGTGATGTGTTAGTGTCGAGCGTGCTGTAGAATCTCCCATTTCTGAAACAGGCGTGAAAACCTGTACTGATTCCCACGTCCTCCAGCTACCACTTCATTTGTCTGTTTCTCATTTACTTTCTCTTATAGCGTGGCTTTAAACATATATACATTTGTATATATGTATATATGAATATAATGTATAAAATGTATGTAGATGTATATACAAAAAATAAACGAGATGGGTTAAAGATATGTATGTGTGTGTATCTATCTTTAATTCATCTGAAGTTTGTTTTTTCTGAGAGGTAGCAAACTTTCCCTAAAGGGAAAGTCACTTGTCCCTGTACTATTTCTTGAAAGGTTCATTCTTTGCTCACTGGAAATATTTCTTTTTTTTTTTTTTTGAGACGGAGTCTCGCTCTGTTGCCCAGGCTGGAGTGCAGTGGCGCCATCTCGGCTCACTGCAAGCTCTGCCTCCCGGGTTCACGCCATTCTCCTGCCTCAGCCTCCTGAGTAGCTGGGACTACAGGCACCCACCACCACGCCCGGCTAATTTTTTGTATTTTTAGTAGAGATGGGGTTTCACCGTTGTTAGCCAGGATGGTCTCAGTCTCCTGACCTCGTGATCTGCCTGCCTTGGTCTCCCAAAGTGCTGGGATTACAGGCATGAGCCACCACGCCTGGCCAGAAATATCTTTTAAAACATAAATTCCTGCATATATATGGATCTTTTTTGGAATTTCTAATCTGTCCTATTGATCCGTGTGCCCATACTGCATTTTTTTTTTTTTTGAGACAGTCTTGCTTTGTCACCCAGGCTGGAGTGCAGTGGCGTGATCTCAGCTCGCTGTAACCTCCGCCTCCCAGGTTCAAGCGATTCTCCTGCCTCAGCCTCTCCATAGCTGGGACTACAGACACTTGCCACTACACCCGGCTAATTTTTGTATTTTTAGTAGAGACGGAGTTTCAACTTTTATTTTTTTGAGACAGGGTTTCACTCCTGTCACCCAGGCTGGAACACAGTGATGCAATCATGGCTCATTGCAGCCTCCACCTCCTGGGCTCAAGCGATCCTTCTACCTCAGCCTACTGCGTAGCTGGGACCACAGGTGTGCACCACCACATCGGGCTAATTTTTCTTTTTCTATTTTTTTTTTTTTTTTTTTTTGTAGAGCCAGTCTTATTATGTTGCCCAGGCTGGTCTCAAACTCCTGGGCAAGCCATCCTCCCGCCTCAGCCTCCCAGAGGGCTGGGATTCCAGGCGTGAGCCACTATGTCCACCCAAGAAGTGGTATCTTAACAGTTTATTTTTAGTTTTGTTTAAATAAATATTGTAGAAAAATTAACAGTTTTTCATCTTCCTGTCCAGAAATGAGGTATGTTCTTTGGTAAGGTGGTGTGGTCTTCAAATGGGCCTTTACTTCCAATTTGGTTTAGTCTTAGGAGTTTTATGAAAGTCCTAGTTACTGGTAGTGAAGGATCTGTGGAAATCACCTTTCCCCATCCCTGGCATCCACCTGTGTGTCCATCTTTGTGTTGCCCACCTTGTCGAATGCGCAGTTCTTCAGTTGATCTTGTGGCTTTATAGATAGCCAAATCGTATCCCACTAATGACAGTTTTATCTCCTCCTTTACACTCATGTCTATTTCTTGTGAATCTCAGAGGCCAGGACCTCCACCGTGGTTGCATGGCACCCTTGATTGATGTTTTCTCAGTGGGAATGGTTCTCACGTTGCGTCCTGAGGTAGGACGCTTGCTCTGGGCTTCCGGTAGATGATCTTCATTAGACTGAAGATGTTTTCTTTGTTCCATCTTACTGTTTTTTTTTTCTCCTTCGCTTTTGTTTAACAGTGATGAATGTTGACATCTATGGAGAAAATCAAAAGATTTTATTGTATGATTGTACTGAGTTACAGTAATAGGTTTCCTAATGTTGGACACACCTTACTTTCTGATATAAACCTTGCTTAGTTTTACAGTATATTATGTATTTACTTAGGAGTTTTATCTCTCTCCCTGGGCCAATCCCCTCCCTCTTTTTAAAAAATGACCTTCCTGTTCTATTTCGAGATTAGCTTTATGCTAGCCTTGCAAATGGGTTTGGAGACGTCTTTTTCTTCAGGCTTGAATACTTTATAGGCCAGGCATTTGTTTCTTCAACGTTGTGAACTTGTTTACAAAAACATCTGTGCTGGGTACCTTTTTCAGGGGTGGATCTTTCACTGCCTTTTAGTTTATTCAGTTGTGTTCTGTCTAAAGTTTTCTATCCTTGAGTCAATTTTGATCATTTGTATCATTCCAGGATCATATTTCATATATATTTAAGCTTTTTGGGCAAAAGTTCATGCATAATATTTGTATTATTTGGAACTTTCTTTTTTTGTTTGTTTGTTTTTGTTTTGTTTTTGAGGCAGAGTTTCACTGTGTCGCCCAGGCTTGAGTGCAGTGGTGCAGTATCGGCTCACTGTAACCTCCACCTCCCGGGTTCAAGTGATTCTCCTGCCTCAGCCTCCCAAGTAGCTGGAATTACAGGCACCCGCCACCACACCCAGCTAATTTTTGTATTTTTAGTAGAGATGGGGTTTTGCCATGTTGACCAGGCTGGTCTCAAAGTCCTGACCTCAGGTGATTGGCCCCCCTCAGCCTCACAAAGTGCTGGGATTACAAGGGTGAGCCACTGCACCCAGTAATTTTTTTTTTTTTTTTGAGACAGCCTCTCACTCTGTTGCCCAGGCCATCATGGCGCCACTGCAGCCTTGACCTCCCAGGCCCAAGTGATTCTCCCACCTCAGCCTCCTGAGTAGCTGGAACCACATGTGCGCGCCACCACACCTGGCTAATTTTTTTTATTTTTAGTAGAGACAGGCTCTCCCTATGTTGCCCAGGCTAGTCTCGAACTCCCAGGCTCAAGTGATGCTCCTGCCCTGGCCTCTCAAAGTACTGGGATTACAGGTGAGAGCCACCATCCTGGCGTATGCGGGACTTTCTTATAAATGACAAAATTGAACTCAAATTAGGAGAAGTAAGCAAGGCTCATTGACCTGAGGTCTCTGAGTGGTGCGCATCGGGCAGGGATGAACCAATGCCAGCAGCATGAATTCCTCAGGCTCTCTCATTTATCTCTGTCATCTCTGCTCCCGGCTGATTAATTTCTTTCCCTCCTACAGATGTTTTCTGTAGAAAGCTCAAGTTTTTTTTTTTTTTTTTTTTTTGAGACGGAGTCTCGCTGTTGCCCAGGCTGGAGTGCAATGGCGCGATCTCGGCTCACTGCAGGCTCCGCCCCCCGGGGTTCACGCCATTCTCTTGCCTCAGCCTCCTGAGTAGCTGGGACTACAGGCGCCCGCCACCACGCCCGGCTAATTTTTTGTATTTTTAGTAGAGACAGGGTTTCACCGTGTTAGCCAGGATGGTCTCGATCTCCTGACCTCGTGATCCGCCTGCGTCGGCCTCCCAGAGTGCTGGGATTACAGGCATGAGCCACTGCGCCCAGCCAGGACGCTCAAGTTTATACACAGTCCTTGTAGACAGAGCCCCTTGGGGCTCTTGAGGATCCCTGTATTTCCGTGAAGGGCGATTGATCTTCCTCAGGTCACTTGCTGTGCTTGAGCAGTCACTGTGGCCAGGGCCGGGGGGTGGGAGGGTGTGGAGGACTGGGGTGGGGCAGGATGAGCCACAAGTAATTTTTATATGTTTCCCATGGAATAGAGAGGTTCTATTACCAGAAAAAGTGGGGCAAGGGGTGAGGGCAGGTGAAATCAACAAAATATGTTTATATTTTGTGTATTTTATTTGGCTAGCTTTGCAAGAGGTCTTCCTTACTGGACTTTTCCTTCGTTTCTTTGGGTTTATTTGCTCATTCTGGGTTCTTGAGATGTGTGCTTAGCTAATTTAATTTCAATTTGTTTTCTAATATATTCAGGGCTATATGTTTTCTTCTAAATAGTCCTTTGACTGTTCCCCACTTTGTGTGTGTGTGTTTTGGCGTTTTATCTGTAAACTTGGTCTTATGTTCTTCTCCATTCTCTCAGTGATACTGTGATCCACCTAGTAACATCTTTTTTTCCCCCTAAAACCTTTTCGTTTCCACTTCTTCATCTCTTACCAGCCATTCAGCTTCTGTGGGCTGTAGCTAAGGGTACTGATGGAGGTAGGGTCCTTGTATTCTGCATGCTACTTTCCTATGTCATTCTCTGAAGCTGGATTCCACCTCTGTTCTTCCAACTGAATGGTGGGATCCAACCATGTATGAATAGATCTCCCTGAGTGAGCTGAGATCTGATGTAAGAGCCCCTTGTCCCGATGTCATGGCCAGTCCCTGTGACTGGCTGCCTAATAGTACTTACTGGCTTCTCTTGCAGTTATGCTTGAGACTTTGTGGCCCTTCAGAATCTGTACCTCTGTCACTTCAGGACTAACCTCTACAGCCAGGTCATTTCCACCAGGGCTTCCCCGTGTGGCCCAGTGCGCTTTCCCCCCTTGCCACCCAGCCACCCCTGTGTGTGTGCCAGGGAGCACAGATGGCAGTCTGAGCTCACCACATGGTTTTCCTCTTCTAATCTGTAAATGTGGTGGAGTATCATAACATTCTCTCACGTTAAGATATCCTTGCATTCCTGGAAGAAGACAGTCACAATGGATTTGTTATTATACTGCCGGATTTGGTTCTCTGGTATTTTGGCATCCAGGTGTATAGGTGAAATGGTTTAAGGTTTTCCTTTTCCGTACTGCCCCCACCCTTTGTTTTGTATCAAGGTTATACCAGCTTCATATAAATAAGTTGGAAAGTGTTTTCCCTTTATTTTCATTACGAGAGTTTGTATAAGATTGGAATTTTGCATTTCTACAATTTTTGGTAAAGCTTGCTGTAAAACCAACCATGCCTGGCGATTTTTTGGGTGGGTGGGTAGGTAGGTTTGGAATTAGATTGTCAGTGGTAATAGATTACTCAGGTGTTCTGTTCTTCAGTCATATTTTCAAGGAAAAATATTTTCATGTTATTTATTTATTTATTTATTTTTGAGACAGGATCTTGCTCTGTCGCCCAGGCTGGAGTGCAGTGGCCCCATCTCGGCTCACTGCAACCTCCGCCTCCCGGGTTCAAGTGATTCTCCTGCCTCAGCCTCCCGAATAGCTGGGATTACAGGTATGTGCCACCATGGCCGGCTAATTTTTGTATTTTTAGTAGAGATGGGGTTTCACCATGTTGGCCAGGCTGGTCTCAAACTCCCGATCTCAGGTGATCTGCCCACCGCAGCCTCCCAAATTGCTGGGGTTACAGGCGTGAGCCACCACACCCAGCCCCCATATTTTCTCATGTTTGCTATGGCTTCAAACTTACTGGCGCAAAGTTATTTGTATGATTGCCTTATGTTTGTAATCTTGGCTGTATCCAAAGTTATGTCCCCCTTTTTACATGTAATATTGTTTATTTGTGCCTTCTCTCTGTTATAGCTGGTCAATCTTGGCAGAAGGTCATTATTAGTCTTTTCTAAGCACCAGCTTTTTGTTGTCATTCTTTGTATTGGTATTTCATTAATTGCTGCTCTTACCGTATTTCCCACTTATACTCCCTTTGTTTTTGTTTGTTTTTGTTTTTTTCTCATAACCAATGGGAAACAAACCAATCCCTCTGGGTTTATCCTGTAGTTCTTTTTCTTTTTCCTTTCTTTGTTTTGTTTTGTTTTGTTTTGTTTCTGAGATGGAGTCTTGCTCTGTCACCCAGGCTGGAGTGCAGTGGTGCAATCTCAGCTCACTGCAACCTGTGCCTCACAGGTTCAAGCCATTCTTCTGCCTCAGCCTCCTGAGTAGCTGGGATTACAGGCGCCCACCACCACGCCTGGCTAATTTTTATATTTTAGTAGAGACGGGGTTTCAGCATGTTGACCAGGCTGGTCTCGAACTCCTGACCTCAGGTGATCCACCCGCCTCGGCCTCCCAAAATGCTGGGATTACAGGCGTAAGCCACTGAGTCTGGCCTATATTTAAACATTTTGGCTGGGCATGGTGGCACATGCCTGTAATCCCAGCTACTTGAAAGGCTGAAGGGAAAGGATTGCTTAAGCCCTTGAGGAGTTTGAGGCCAGCCTGGGTGACATAGTGAGACTCCCTTTCAATAAAAAATTAAAAGTCAAGAATAATTAAATATTTGGTTGGTTATTTTTAATAATGTGAGCAGCTTCAAACCCACCACCATAAAATAAAGGCTAGGACTTTAACAATAACCCAAGTAACATACTCCACCTCCCATCCTACCCTGACCAGCCCATTCTCTGCTGTCCCACCCAAGGCAACCATTGTCCGAATTCCATGTGCACTTTTTTTCTTTTTACATGGTTTGCTTTATTTTTATTTATTTTTATTTATTTATTTATTTACTTACTTACTTACTTTTTGAGATGGAGTCTCGCTCTTGTCGCCCAGGCTGGAGTGCAATTGTACGATCTCAGCCCACTGCAACCTCCGCATCCAGGGTTCAAGCAATTCTCCTGCCTCAGCCTCCCGAGTAGCTGGGATTACAGGCCTGCACCACCACACCCAGCTAATTTTTTTTGTATTTTTAGTAGAGATGGGATTTCACCATGTTGGCCAGGCTGGTCTCGAACTCCTGCCCTCAGGTGATCCACCCGCCTTGGCCTCCCACAGTGCTGGGATGACAGGTGGTGAGCCACCGTGCCCGGCCTGGTGCTTCGTCTTTAGTAGTTGCCCAGTTGTCTCCCAGGAAAGTGACTTGGGCCACAGAACCGTGGGTTTTGTCTTCATTCAAGGCCCAAACATCTCTACTGACCTGTGTCTGAGAAGCACACAGAGAAGTGTGGGCAGTTTCCTCAGTGGGAGCCGCCCTCAGAAAATCACTGATGAAGCAAGAAGTCAGGACACCACGGACACCACCAGCAGTTCATGCTGTGCGTGTGTTTGATCCACTGGTGACATTTGCAAGAGAATCCAAAAGCCCCTGTGGGAGGTGTGGAGGCATGCCGTATGCCTCATCTGGTGACACTGAGGAATGAAGAATTAGCAGTACAGGCTGGGCGCGGTAGCTCACGCTTGTAATCCCAGCACTTTGGGAGGCCAAGGCAGGTGGATCACCTGAGATCAGGAGTTCGAGACCAGCCCGGCCAACTGGTGAAACCCTGTCTCTACTAAAAAAATACAAAAATTAGCTGGGTGTGGTGGTGCACGCCTGTCATCCCAGCTACTTGGGAGGCTGAGATAGGAGAATCGCTTGAACCCAGGAGGGGAGGCAGAGGTTGCAGTGAGCCGAGATGGCGCCACTGTACTCCGGCCTGGGCAAGAGCAAGACTCCAACCAAAAAAAAAAAAAAAAAGAACTAGCAGTGCCCAGGGCTGTACACCAGGTGCCAGTACTGGCAGCAATTCTTCCAGTTATTGTGATAGATTCTCATGACGCTAAAATACCCACTTTGTTATTTAACCCTTGCTAATCCACAATGAGTTGCCAAGTACCAGAATCCTTTGTTACTAACCAGACCAGGCTGTTCATTCTTGAACAGCATTGGGCATCACTTTGTTTTAATAATTCTTGTATGAGAAGAGCACTCTTTTCCTTCTGATAGCAATGTGGCTCCAACTACTGGCTGATGTGAGACGGTACCGGCAGTTCCTGGCTGTGTATTCTGCCAACATTTAGAGAAGCCACCAGCAGAGGTCACCCTAAGCACGTAAAACCAGCAAGTCAGCACCTTGCCTTGGGCTACAGAACCCGAAAGCATCTAACCTAGTTACAGTCTCATAAGGGAACTGCATTCTTGGTCCAATCAAAGGGTCCACATGCCCCAACAGCAGTTAGGATGCTGGTAGACCACTGCGAACACAAGTTCCACTCCCCCAGAGATGGATTCACTCACCAAGGCATGATCAGAAGTGGCCTTCCTCCCCAGCAGCATTTACAAGCTGGAGTACAGTGCTTGGAGGGTGGTGGGGAACTGCCCTGGTTTTTTTGTTTTTTGGGGGACCCAGTTTCACTTTTCTTGCCCAGGCTGGAGTGCACTGGCGCGATCTTGGCTCACCGCAACCTCCGCCTACTGGATTCAAGCGATTCTCCTGCCTCAGCCTCCCAAGTAGCTGGGATTACAGGCACGCACCACCACGCCTGGCTAATTTTGTATTTTTAGTAGAGATGGGGTTTCTCCATGTTGGTCAGGCTGGTCTTGAACTCCCGACCTCAGGCGATCTGCCCGCCTTGGCCTCCCAAAGTTTTGGGATTACAGGCGTGAACCACCGCGCCTGGCCGCCCTGGTCTTTCAGTTAGAAAGCACCCAAATTGAGGTGCAGGAGGACTCACATGGAGGTGTCTGTGGCTGTGTCCCCCAGAAACCCTGCTCTGGACAAGGATGAGGTACCCCTGTAGTTAATGTCTGAGGATTCAGGGAGCCTTGGACCTGGTAGATGGGCAGCAAGGAGGGGCTGGTAAGACCTAAGAACTGCAGCCTCTGGAAGGGTCGTCTCCCCAGGGCCCCTCAGCACATGTATTCAGCTCCCCTTCTAGTGACTGCTGAAGCTTTCAGGCCTTTGGGGGTTTTGCCTCCCTGCGTTCTTCTCTGAAGGCTCCAAGTGCCTTCTTTCATGTGGGTCTCCCATCCGCTTTGTGTCTGCCATAATTTAGCTTTCGACAATGGAGTTCTGTCTTATCGATCCTACTCACGATCTATGGCCACATCTTTCCTTCCTCGCGCCCTCCCTTCCTTCCTTGCTTCGTGATCTCGGCTCACTGGAACCTCTGGCTCCTGGGTTCAAGAGATTCTCCTGCCCCAGCCTCCTGAGTAGCCGGGATTACAGGCACCTGCCACCACGCCTGCCTAATTTTTTGTATTTTTAGTAGAGACGGGGTTTCTCCATGTTGGTCAGGCTGGTCTTGAACTCCTGACCTCAGGTGATCCACCCGCCTCAGCCTCCCAAAGTGCTGGGATTACAGGCGTGAGACACTGCGCCCGGCCCACACATTCCTTTTTTGGGGGGGTGGGCCGCAGGAGACCTGCCCATCTGTCCTGCTTCTTGCTTCTCCCTTTCACTTTGTCCAGGGCTGACAAATCAGCCGTTTCTGAGGAGCCCTCCTGTCTGCCTCCTTCCCCAGGTGGGGTGTGCATTGGCACAGAAGGGCTGTTTTGCTTCTCTCACTGCCCCTGAACAGGTGCCTGAGGAGGGAAAGGCCTGGGACCCAAGGCAGAGCAGGTGGCGTGCTGTGTCTGTTGGGCAGGGGCGAGGTGGGGAGGACACTGGCAAGGCTCCTTAAGGCCGGGGGGTACGGGGCTCAGGGACTCGGAGAATCAGCATGCAATGACAGCATCGATGTGTCCGGGGCTCAGGGAGAGGGAAGTGGGACCCAGCCTGATCTGAGTGGAGACCCTGAGTGGGGCCAACTCCGTCTTCCCAGTGTGTTTGGGCTTTGGAGACATGCCCAAGGCAGGACAGCTTTGATTCTCACCACAGCCCTGGGGGCCACGACGGCTGTCTCCTCCCTACACCATGGTGAAGACATTCAGACCAACAGAATATAGGAGTTTATCACCAGCAGACAGAAGGAACTTCTAGAAAACAAACTTCAGAAACAATGAGAAGATTTGGCTATCAGTATTTTATTAATATCATAAAATATGTTAAGAGCGCTTACCATCTTTTTCTCTGATCTGGAGTAGTTTAAATAGCATTTGAATGATCTATTATCTAAAGGTAAAGCCTTTAGATAATAACCTTTTTTTTTTTTTTTTGACGGAGTCTCACTCTGTCACCCAGGCTGGAATACAATGGCACCATCTCAGTTCACTGTAGCCTCCGCCTCCCAGGCCCCAAGCAATTCTCCTGCCTCAGCCTCCTGAGTAACTAGGATTACAGGTACCTGCCACCATTCCCGGCTAATTTTTGTATTTTTAGTAGAGACAGGGTTTCGCCATGTTGGCCAGGCTGGTCTTGAACTCCTGACCTCAGGTGATCCGCCCACCTTGGCCTCCAAAAGTGCTGGGATTAAAGGTGTGAGCCATGGTGCCGGTCAATAAACTTTTGAAGCTTTAAAAACATCTAGGCTTGGTGCCTTTTTTGATGCGTCAAAAAATAACCGCAGCAAAGATTTACGTTGTTTTTAGTTTTGGAAGCTCTTTATTAGAAGGCACCGTAGTGGGAAGACAGCAAGTTACAGGCCTGGGAAATGAAGAACCTTACAGAAGAGAGGAAGGAGAAGGCAAAACCAGTGAGCTAGTTCCTTATGCCATATGTGAGTCACCATAGGAAGAGTTTATGAACTTTCACTCATTCTCATGCTGGCCTTTTTTTTTTTTTTTTTTTTCTTTTGGAGACGGAGTCTCGCTCTGTCGCCCAGGCTGGAGTGCAGTGGCGCGATCTCGGCTCACTGCAAGCTCCACCTCCCGGGTTCACGGCATTCTCCTGCCTCAGCCTCCCGAGTAGCTGGGACTACAGGCACCCGCCACCACACCCGGCTAATTTTTTGTAGTTTTAGTAGGGATGGGTTTTCACTGTGTTAGCCAGGATGGTCTCGATGTCCTGACCTCGGGATCCGCCCGCCTCAGCCTCCCAAAGTGCTGGGATTACAGGCGTGAGACATTGCGCCCAGCCATGCTGGCCATTTTTTATATTTATGTCATTATTTAAAACGATGCTTTTTTTTTTGACAGAGCCTCACTCAGTCACCCAGGCTGGAGTGCAATGGCACCATCTCGGCTCACTGCAACCTCCACCTCCCAGGTTAAAGTGATTCTTGTGCCTCAGCCTCCTGAGTAGCTGGGACTATTGGCACACACCACCATGCCCAGGTAATTTTTAAAATTTTTTTGTAGAGACAGGGTCTTGCTTTGTTACCCAGACTGCTCTAGAACTCCTGGCTTCAAGCAATCCTCCCACCTTGGCCTCCAAAAGTGTTGGAATTACAGGCATGAGTGACCGCACCCAGCCTTCTATACTGCTTCTAATAGAATAAAAGAATTTTTCCAGATTTTGTATTAAATGGAAGCAAACAGTATGTATAATTTCATGTCCATGAGGTTCATCCATGTTACTCATTCGGTTATATGAATGTCTACCCTTTGTTGATTTTTTTTTTAGAGACAGAGTCTCACTCTGTCACCCAGGCTGGGGTGCAGTGGCCATTCACAAGTGTGAGGATAGCTCACTGCAGCCTCAAATTCCCAGGCTCAAGCAATCCTTTGCCTCAGCCTCCCGGGTAGCTGGGACTACAGATACAGGCATGAGCCACCACACCCAGCTAAATTTAAAAAATATTTTTAGAGGTGGGTCTCACTATGTCACCAGGCTGGTCTTGAACTCCTGGCCTCAAGGGATCCTTAGCCTCCCCAGTAGCTGGGATTACAGGCACTAAGAACCATGCCCGGCTATTTATTCATTCTTCTGTTAATGGACATTTGGGTTGTTTCCAGTTTGGGGCTGTTATAAATAGTGCTGTTAAGAACATTCTTGTTCATGTCTTTAGCTGAACATATGTATGCTTTTCTGTTGCTAAGCCAACATGTTCTTGTTCTCTCTTTTTAAACAAAGTTCTATAATGGAAATTTTCAAACATACTCAAAAGTAGATAGAATGGAATAATGAATCCCATTGTACCTGTTACACAGCTTCAGTTTTCTTTTCTTTGTATTTTTTGGTTTTTTTCTGAGACAGGGTCTTGCTCTGTCGTCCAGCCTGGAGTGCAATGCATGATCCTAGAACACTGCAGTCTCCAACTCCTCCTGCCTCAACCTCCTGAGTAGCTGGGACTGCAGGTGCATGCCACCATGCCTGGCTGATTTTTAAATTTTTTGTAGAGATGGGGATCTCGCAATGTTGCCCAGGCTGGTCTCCAGCTCCTAGCCTCAAGCAATCCTCCTGCCTCGGCCTCCCAAAGTGCTGTGATTACATGCACGAGTCACCATGCCCAGCCAATATCATCATTATTATTACTAACAATAAGACTATTAAATGTGTTTAAGATTTCATTATGTTAATTTAAAAATTTTTAAATAGATATCCTACTAGGGATGTGAGGTCAAAATATTCTATCTTAAAATCTTTTGAAATAATTCTGGTTGGGTGTGGTGGCTCATGGCCAGAACTGCAATGGGTGCAGTTGCCTGAACTGAATCCTTTTGCTAAAACCTACTATCGGCTGGGTGTGGCTAGTACTGCAATCCCAGCACTTCGGGAAGCTGAGGCAGGAGAATTGCTTGAGCCCAGGAATTTTGAGACCAGCCTGGGCAACATAGCAAGACCCTGTCTTTGCAAAAAAATTAGCCAGACATGATAGCATGCAGCTGTGGTCCCAGCTACTCAGGAAGCTGACGTGGGTGGATCACTTGAGCCAGGAGGTCAAGGCTGCAGCTAGCCATGTTTGTACCACTGTACTCCAGCCTGGGCGACACAGTGAGACCTTGTCTTAAAAAAAGTAAAAAGGATATTACTAGGCTGGTGACCTGCTAGTGGTGGCCGCAGATGGAGAGGCTTCCCTTGGCAATGATTTAGTAGGGTGGGATGGGAGTGGGGCTGGGCCCAGAGATGCTGACCCCCTTTGTACCATTGAGTGAAGCCAGTAAACCTGCCCCACCCCAGGCATACCCCCTTCTATGAGGTACACCCAGCCCCCTACTCACCCTGACCAGCCTGGGGAGTGAGAGTGCCCACTGCTCATCAAGGTGGAAGGCAGAACTCATCAGCTTGTAGTCAATGCAGTACCTGCAACAAAGCTGCTCCAATCCAGAATGCACCCGAGGGAGAAAGATGTCTGAAGTCCTCATAGCTGTCTCATCTGCAAAGTGACTTCCCAGCGGGTTACCTGCCCTCGGCCCTACTGCAAAGGAATCATCACTGTGGGGTCCAGAACCTCAGGTGGGTGTCAGGGCCATCCGTGGGCACTGCAGGAATACTCTTCCATGGACAGAGTTCACATGTCACCCTCACTGTTGGAAAGTGTCATCTATGGGTGCAGATATCCGTGGAAGTGACATATCTGCTACCTGCTTTGGCTCAGGGAAGCATGCGGGGCGACATGGAGGCCTCCATGCAGCCTGGTGTCTGTCATCTTGCTGGCTGTGCTGTGTTTGGGCCAGGCCCTCTTTCGGGCCTGCCTGAAGGTCAGCCACCCTGTCCAGAGCTTCTCCTGAGCCCCATGAGGACTCACAGACTGTGCCTGGTCCCTTCAAGGGAGCTGGGAGCCAGCAGCTGCCATCCTTTCTGGGTAGAGGTGGGAAGGAGCTAGGCTGTGCTCGGGTCTGGGGTAGGCAGAGCCTCTGCTGGGCAGCCGCTCCCTCAAGGCCGCTGTGTTTACAGAAAAGCAAACCAGGTGTTCTTCCTAAAACTGGGTCCCGTAAGAAGACAGTTCTGGCCTCGTCCTTCCCATACACTCCCTGAGAGCCATTCCTGTCCCTTCCACGTTCTATGGCACGACGGGTGGGCACCCCTGGGCCTGCCTCGGCTCCCTCAGGCTCTTCTCCCTACCTTTCATGTCCTGGTGTGGGGGTGGTGACAGCCGTGGCTCTGCAGACTACAGGATCTGGCCCGTATGTGACCACTTAACAGAGTATTTGTCCCTAGTCCTGTATTTCCCTTAATTCCTCCCTCCAGTCCCCTAGCTCCCAACTGTATTTAACTGCGCTGGGGCTGCGTAGGGTTGCTCTGTCCTGGGGGGTGGCCAGGGACTCATCCAGTGCTTGTAAATAAATAAGGCTACGACTCAAAGAAAAAAAAATAGACATTAGGACAGTTGGGGTCTAAAATGAGGTGGAAGTGACGCATCAACGGTACTTTTCCCAATGTCCTAGGTGGCGTTAGTTTATGTGGGAGAACGCCCTTGTTTGCAGGAAACACACACTTAGTTGGGGCGGTACGGAATCCCCTTGACCACCGATTGTCAAATGGTTCAAGGGGAAACACTTTGTATCGCTTGCAACTTTTCCTATGGGTTCTGTAGCTTTTTTTTTTTTTTTTTAATCTTAGTAGCTATCATTTTTCTCCTATGGGTTCTAAACAGTATCACGGTTTCGAAAAATCTTTTTAGCAACCTCTGCATTGCCAGGGTCCTCAGCCCCACCCTGCTCTCCACTGTCCACGTGGCTGCTGGTGGGTCTCTCTGGGAACTCCAGCCAATTAATCCTGCTCCTCCTGGGAACTTACTGCTGAATCCCCACTTTCCTGGGACCAGCCCGCCCTTCCCACCCATGGCACTGAAACGCAGAGACCCGACACCAGCAAAGCCAGGTCCTCACCCTGGTTGTCCCCTTCAGTCCACTGCCCAATGTACACCTGGGCTGAGCCCTTCTTGAGGATGCCAAGGGACAATGACAGGACCAGCTGGGGAAGGCAGGGCAGGGAACTAAAGCCCCGGGGCAATCGTGGGTTTGGCACTGAGGGGCGCCAGGGACCACTCTGTAGGATGAATGGGGGCGAATCTGCCCACCAGGCTGTGCTCCTGAGGCCTGCGTCCACTGCCCAGAAGGGCACCTTTTCCCAGGTCCACAGGGAGCCCATGCTGGCAGGGCCTGCCTGCACCCTCCAGAGCATCTCTGAATTGTGGAGGAAGAGGCAGGGCCCTGCCTGGGGCTGGGTGGGGCAGGTTTGGGGCCACAGGCAGAGGCTTGGAGGAGCCTGGAGGACCTGGGCAGGGGGTGCGCACAGGAGAGGGCAGGCCCCGAGAGCAAGAGGGGGACCCCATCCTGGTCTTGCTCAGAGCCAAGGCCACACAGCACTGGACTGCTGGGCTGTGGGCTGGGGTTGGCATCACCACACCCGGAAGGCCCATCACGAGGAGAGATGGGCCCTGGGAGGGCAGGAGCTGGGCCTCGTCCCATCCTTCACACCTGGCTGTGCCCTTGCGCAGTGGCTGCTTGCTCTTAGGGCCCATGCCCCATGGGCCCAGGCAGCCTGTCCGGCTTTGCTCTGGGTTCTTAGGCAGCGCTCGCAGATGCTCGGTACATTTTTGTTGAAGCTGTGGAAGGATCAGTCCTCAACTATGCAGTAGGGTGGCCCTAGAAGTCTTGAGATCACGCCCCCCACCCTCAACACGCACATTTTGTAGGTAAGACAGAGACTTGGTGACCTGCCTCAGGTCAGGCAGCAGTGAAGGGAAACATAGAGGGCAAACATAAGCACCCTGTCCTCCCTGAGTGCCACCCACCTGGCTGAGGCCCTGGTTGAGGGCTCACTGACCCTCAGGGCAGCTTTTGAGCCATCGCTGCCCCTCAGGTACCTGAGGGCAGGGGAAGCACCGTTGGTGTCCGGCTACCGAGCAGCAGAGGTGGGAAGCCGCCTTGGGTTCTGTCTGCTCTGGGGGCTCAGGCCTCCAGGGATTTGGTAGTCCCCAACCCCTCCCAGCCCTGGGCACATGGGCAGGACACAGCTGGGGAGCAGAGCAGAGTACACCAGGGCAGAGAAGGGAAGTCTCTGGGCTAGGACCAAGAGCCAGAGATGCAGAGAGGAAGCAAGATGGCGCGAACGAGGAGGCCCCTGGTTCACCACGTAGTCTGCCCAGTTACTAGAGCCAGAAAGTTAGTCGGCTGCAGAGCTGAAGCTGGTCTTTTCTACCCTGGCTCCACCTGGGCTCTAGCCCAGGCTGCGGTCATTTTCAGCTGTGACAGCAGCTTTGACAGCCTCCTAATGGGCCATTTCCTGCAGACGTCAAGGTGTGACTTGGACAGTAGGCCAGGGCCTGGGGTCCATGCCAGGGACACCTGACTGCCCAGTCCCAACCCTGGAAGCACCTCCTAGGCTTCCTTTTTTTTGAAACAGGGTCTCATTCTGTCACCCAGGCTGGAGTGCAGTGGCACCATCTCGGCTCACTGTAACCTCCACCCCCTGGGCTCCAGCGATTCTACTGAGTAGGTGGGATTACAGGCACTTGCCATCATGCCGTTTTTTGTTTTTTTTTTTTGAGATGGAGTCTCGCTGTGTCGACCAGGCTGGAGTGCAATGGCGCAATCTCAGCTCACTGCAAGCTCCGCTTCCCAGGTTCACGCCATTCTCCTGCCTCAGCCTCCCGAATAGCTGGGACTACAGGCACCCGCCACCACGCCCGGCTAATTTTTTGTATTTTTAGTAGAGACAGGGTTTCAACGTGTTAGCCAGAATGGTCTCGATCTCCTGACCTCGTGATCCACCCGCCTTGGCCTCCCAAAGTGCTGGGATTACAGGCGTGAGCCACCGCACCCAGCCTACATGTCAATTTTTTTTTGTATTTTTAGTCAAAGACGGAGTTTTACCGTGTTGGCCAGGCTGGTCTTGAACTCCTGGCCTCAAGTGATCCATCCACCTCAGCCTCCCAGAGTGCTGGGATTACAGGCATGTGCCACTGTTCCCAGCCTCCTCCTAGGCTTTTGAGAGAAACAGACTGTGACTGCCCCAAGTCCTAGTCCCAGCCTAGACACCCCAGGACACCCTTCCTGAGGAAGCCAAGGAAGCAGCCAAGGTGAAAACAGAATCAAGAGTCAGATGTCAAACTATAGAGAATACAGAGCTCAAGGAAGGGCACCCAAAGACTCAGCCCCGCAGCTCCCGCTGCACAGAAGTAATGGTGTCAGTGCCAACCGTGCATTTTCAGGCTAAGACTCAGCCCCGCAGCTCTAGCCGTGCAGAAGCGACAGCATCAATGCCAACCATGCATTTTCAGGCTACTGGGTTTTGCACCTTGTCTACAGTTTCCTCACCCCAAGATTATTTTAAATTTTTTTTATTTTTTTTGAGACAGGGTCTGACTGTCACCTAGGCTGCAGTGTGGTGGCTCAATCAGGGCCCACTGCAGCCTGTGTCTCCCAGGTTCAAGTGATCCTCCCACCTCAGCATCCCAAGTAGCTGGGACTACAGGCGCTCACCACCACGCCTGGCTAATCTTTGTATTTTTGGTAGAGATGGGGTTTTGCCACCTTACTCAGGTTGGTCTCAAACTCCTGGGCTCAAACAGTCCTCCTGCCTCAGCCTCCTAAAGTGCTGTGATTACAAGCATGAGCCACTGCGCCCAGCTGATTATTCTTTAAAGTTTACAGTTTTCTTCAATTTATTTTTTGGTTTCATTTTTAAAATCTTAAAATGTGGGAGCCATCTGAGAAGTATGTGGGTGTACGTGGGGCCAGGCACCAGTATCCTGGGCACCCAAGGTGGCCGTTTGTCTTTCTATGGATTTGAGGCTCACATGTCCCCCAGCAGCTCAGTCACACTCTATCACAGAGTTCAGGCCAAGGAATCTCATCTTTCTGGGTCACTGTACACGGGACAAGTCTCCCAGGAGGCACTGAGCTCAGCCCTCCCCATACCGCGTGCACCAAATACTCCCAGCCCAACCCTGGGAGTTTCACTCCTCTAGACACAGACCAGGGTGGCACAGGACAGCCAGGACAGAAGGTGGCACCTGTGCCCTACCCAAAGCCCAATCCCCAGCCCACCAGGCTGGGCAGTCCTGGGCTGCCCTGACCGGGAGACATTACAGGACAGTGACCTGTGCAGCCCCCGAGGCCAGGAGAGAGCAGGGTGATGAGTTTCTAAAACCGCCTTCCACTTTCTATCAGAGAGCCGGCCCTGCAGAGGTGTGACCGACAGCCAGGGGAGAAGGAAGGAGCCTTAGAGGACCCGGGCTCGCTCTCTCTTCCATCGTTTAGTTGTTTGTGTCATTTGATGGCCAGGTCTCACCTAGCAGGAGCCAGACTCTGTGCCACACCCAACCAAAGATCCAACCCTGGAATCTGTACCACGACCAGGGAGGAAAAAATAAGGAGGGAGCTTTATTTAATATGAAGGTTGAGGCAGGGCCGGGGCGGGAGGGCGCTGTCACTTGGTGATGGTGTTCCTGCAGAGAAGAACAGGGGCGTGAGGCTGCAGAGGCGGGCACAGGCCACGCCACCCCTCCCCACCACACCCTACCCCACCAGCCTCGAGCCACTCACGCGTTCATGCTCTTGCCGCTGCCGCTGAGCACGATGTAGGGGGTCTTCTGAGCCTTCTGCTTCTCCTGGAGCAGGGCCACGGTGCCCAGGGGCGTGTCGCTGGAGCTCATCTTCTTCAGGAGCTGAGGGGTCGGGGCCACTCAGAAAGGGCTGCAGCAGGCCCCACACACCAGCCACCCCTGCCCCGGCAGGCACAGGGCCCCCCACATCCCCAAGGGCACCCACCGCCTCCTCGTCCAGCTTCTTCATCCGCCGCTCTGTCTTCATCTTGCCTGAGCCCTTGCCATGGAAGCGGTGCGACAGCTGCCGGAAAGCCTGGGGACGCGGGGCATGAGAGGAGATGCAGGGCCCTGGGTGGGGCCGGAGCCACCTGTGCCCACAAGGTGTATAATAACAGGGCGGGTGTTGATTGACCCCAATGCCAGGCCTGGGGTGCAGTGGGAAGGGGATGGGAAAAGAGCACAGACGCTGGCACCCTGCAGGGCCCCAGCAGAGGCCGGGAGACCAGCTTGGCTAGTGGATGCGCTGCCATGGGGGCAGAGCATGGGGAACCTGGAGACCTGCCACGCAGGGGCTGGGCCTGGACGCTGGGGCTGGGGCTGGGGCTGCAGGGAGACAAACCCCAGAGAGCAAGGGGGCAGCTGAGTGGTAGGGCAGGACGGTCGGGCGGCCTACGAGAGTGCTGGAAGGGCCTGGACGCTGGAATGGCCCTGCGGGCCAGGAAAGCCAGTGAAGGGCTCACGCAGGTGAGGACAGGAGGGCAGAGGTCCCGAGTGCCTGTCTGACCCTCCTGCCAGGCTTGCAAAGAGACTGCTGTGCCCACTAGAGACAAACTGAGGCACAGCCTTCCTCAGCCCTGAGGGCCCCCTCCCCATCCGTGGCATTCACCAGGCCCCCAGCCAGAGGCTGGTGGAGCCAGGACCCTGGGGCATTGCATGGCCCGGGGCATTGCATGGCCCTGGGCTTGGCCTCCCTGTGGCAGGCCGGGCCTCCGCCTGCAAAAGGCCCTGCTCACCTCCTTGGGTGTGAGTTTCCGGCCCGTCTCATCCACGTATTCGATCTTAACGTCGGGTTTGTAGCCGTCCTTCTCCTTGAAGTCCTGTGTGAAGCCTCGGTATTCCTCCCTCCGGCTGTACTTGTCATCGATGGCCCTGGCCCGAGACAGAGGAGGCCTTAGTGTGAGGAGCTGCCGCCTGCTGTGGTCCCGAAGCTCCAAGCTGGCACAGGCCCCTCAGCCCTGCACAGGCCCCACCACACTCACATCTTATCCTCGATGCAGTACACGGCTGAGGGCAGCGACTTGTTGGGGGCCTTCACCCGGGCCACCTTCTGCACTGTGGTCTCCAGCAGCCCTAGGGATGGAGGGGTTGTGAGACTCCCAACCCCTCGAGAGCCACAGCTCCAGGGCCGCCTGAGAAGGCAGAGCAGGCCCTGTGGGGGCACCTCCCTTTCCTTGCCTCTGGAAAGCCATCAGGCCTGTTCTACAGGCAAAGCAAAGATGCAGAAATGAGCCCCTTGCCAAGGGTCACTGGCCAGGGAAATGGCAGAGCTGGGGTCCTAACACCAGGGCTCTCTGTGCCACAGCTGGAACAGTTTCAACTCCCCTCTCCTTCCCCAAGCAGGTGTGGAGCCTCAAAGGCAGAGCAGACGGACAGATGCCACAGTGGAGGGGAAGGAGTGGCTCTGGGCCGGACAGCTGGCTCCAGCATTGGGACTGAGAGAAAGGGGCAGCAGAGGGGACCGGAGGGGGCCCTGCCTGCACCTGCAGCAGCACCCAAGCCCACCCAAGTCATGGCTGCCCTGAGCTCCCTACCTTTGTTCTGACACAGGAGCAGGGCAGCTGCCAGCCCCCTATTCACGATCGGTTCCTCGTCCAGGATGGTGGTGGAGGAAGCAGAGAACTACGGGACACGTGGCGGGGGTGGTTAGCAGGCCATACCGGCTCTTCTCAGCCCCACCCACTGGTCACCACCTGCCAGGCACCAGCCCTCCACAACATTTAATTTCCTCATTTACTCCTCAGATCGCCCTGGGAGGTCTGCAGAGCCCACTCTGGATGAGGAGGCTGAGGCTCTGGACACCGAGCCCGGTGCTCATCTCCAGCTTGAGCACCCCCAAACGCCCACCCCCCAGCGGCGCGGCCCTCACATCCTGCTGCTGCTTCTCCTCGTCCAGGTTCACCGTGCTCCAGCCGATGTTCTCCTCCCCGTCAGATTCGGAGCCACCGTTGGCTGAGCGCTCCTCATCCCGTTCAAAGTCCTGGGGCACAAAAGACCAGGGTCGGCCCAGGCCCCAGCCAGCCCACCCAGCCGAGGGAAGCAGAGGGCGGGGCCGCCCCAGACGCACCATGAGCTCCTCCTGCTCCTCGCGATTGCCAGCCAGCCCGTAGGTGGGGATCTCCCCCAAGGTGCGGCAGAACTCGGACGTGGCGTTGAACACGATGGCCCCCTTCCGCTCGGGATCCTCATCCTCCTCCCAGCCCCGCTGGCGAGACTCCAGCTTCTTCACAATCTCCACCACCTGGGGGAGGGAGCGGCTGTGGGCAAACCCAGCAGTTTCTGGGGTGATGCCATTGAGACCCAGGAACCTAAGGGTCCTCCCTGGCAGCAGCCAGACAGGCCACGCCCACAGCCCATGCAGGCCCAGCTGCTATCTGCCGCCTAACTCCACTCTGCACCTCTTTCACTGGGGTCACTCTTCTGCTCCAAACCCATCAATGGGTTTGGATGCCCTTTGAATGAATACCCAACATCCTACAGGGCCTTCCTGACCAGGCCTGTGCCAATCCCCCTCCAAAGCCCCTCACACACTACCTCAGCCTCAAACTCCTTCCTCCAGGCTCCCTCCTGCCACCTGCCCCTCCCCCGACAAACTCCGGTTTCAGGACTCTAGACAGCACTTCTAGAACCCGCAGGGTGGTGAGGTGGCCCACGCTTTTGACTTCCCACAGCCCAGCTTCTCGCTTCCTGCTTCACCAAGAAAGCAGGTTCCGTGACATGGGAAGAGAACTCACTCATGCTGCCAGCACTGAATCCAGCGACCCCCACACGGGCACCAGCACCCTCTGCTTTCCCTCCTGTCGCAGATGCCCAGCCACACACAATGATTACCATCTCCCCTCTTTAAAAAACTTCTCCCTCAACCCTGCAGCCCAGACAGCAAAGTCCTCACTCCTCAGTGAAGGTTCGAGTCACTATGTCCACTTCTGCACCCCTCTTTCATTTTATATTACATTCATTTTTTTAAAAAAATCTTCTGAGGCGGGTGGACTGCTTGAGTTCCGGAGATCGAGACCAGCCTGGGCAACATACCCAAATCCCATCTCTACAAAAAACATAAAAATTAGACATTGTGGTCACACACGCCCATAGTCCCAGCTACTGGGGAGGCTGAGGTGGGAGTACTGCTTGAGCTTGGGAGATCAAGGCTGCCAAGATCACACCACTGCACTCAAAAGAGTGGGCAAGAGTGAAACCCCGTCTCGAAAAAAAAAAAAAAAAAAAATTCTTCCAGGGGCCGGGTGGTTGCTCACATCTATAATCCTAGCACTTTGGGAGGCCGAGGCTGGAGGATCACTTGAGCCCAGGAGTTCGAGACCAGCCTGGACAATAAGGTGAAGCACAGTCTCTACAAAAAACACAAAGATCAACCAGGCATGGTGGTGTATGCCTGTAGTCTCAGCTACTTGGGAGGCTGGGGTGGGTGGATTGCTTGAGCCTGGAGGCCGAGGCTATGGTGAGCCGTGATCTTGCCACTGCACTCAAGCCTGGGCAACAGAGCAATACCCTGTCTCCAAAAAAAAAAAAAAAAAAAGTCTTCCAGGACATCCAGGAACATTTGTTTGTTTGTTTGTCTTTTAATTTTTATTTCTTTTTGAGACAGAGTCTCACTTTGTCGCCCAGGCTGGAGTGCAGTGGCGCGATCTCAGCTCACTGCAAGCTCCGCCTCCTGGGTTCACAGCATTCTCCTGCCTCAGCCTCCCGAGTAGCTGGGACTACAGGCGCCCGCCACCACGCCCAGCTAATTTTTTTGTATTTTTTTTCAGTAGAGATGGGGTTTCACCGTACTAGCCTGGATGGTCTCCATCTCCTGACCTCGTGATTTGCCTGCCTTGGCCTCCCAAAGTGTTGGGGTTACAGACGTGAGCCACCGCGCCTGGCCAGGAACACTTATTTTTTAATGAACATTGTAAACATAAAACGAGGTATATCTAATGCATCATATGCTACTTATTTATTGAGACCATCTCACTCTATCACCCATGCTGGAGTGCAATGGGGCGATATAGGCTCACTGCAACCTCCACCTCCCAGGTTCAAGTGATCCTCCTCCCTCAGCCTCCTAAGTAGCTGGGACTACAGGTGCATGCCTCCACAACCAGCTAATTTTTGTATTTTTAGTAGAGACAGGGTTTCACCATGTTGCCCAGGCTGGTCCCAAAACCAGCTTCAAGTGATCCACTCACCTCAGCCTCCCAAAGTGCTGGGACTATAGGTGTGAACCACCACACCCGGCTGATATGGTTTTTTTTTTTTTTTTTTTTGAGACAGAGTCTCACTGTTGGCCAGGCTGGAGTGAAGTGGCACGATCTTGGCTCACTGCAACCTCCACCTCTCGGGTTCAAGTGATTCTCCTGCCTCAGCCTCCTGAGTAGCTGGGATTACAGGCATGCACCACCATGCTCGGCTAATTTTTTTTTTTTTTTTTTTTTTTTTTAGTAGAGAGGGGGTTTCACCATGTTAGCCAGGATGGTCTCAATCTCCTGATCTTGTGATCCACCTGCCTAGGCCTCCCAAAGTGCTGATATTACAGGTGTGAGCCACCGCACCCAGCGGCTGATATAGTTTTTAAAACATTAACTAAACACACACCCATGTCCCTCTCCCTGGGGCTGGGGCAGCATCACTAATGCCCTGCCCAGACTTGAGTGTCCCCTCCCCATCCATGGTCATGACTCACCGGCTTGTCTTCATGGCTTTAGCACATAAGGACCTGCCCCTGAACAGTTATTTTGTTGTGTATTAATTATTCTATAACCTGAGTCACACTGTATGACTCTTCTGTGATTTGTTTTGTAAAAAAATCTGTGCCCCTGAGAGTAACCCTGATGCACACGGCTGTAGCTCATCAGTTTCCACTATGGAATCACAGCCCGTGAGCTGGATGCTCCTTGATCTGGCTCTCTAGCCCACTGAGGATGGACTTTTTTTGTCCCAAGTACTGCGGCTGCAGGCCCACTGACAATGTCTCCTGGTGCACATGGGCACACTCGGGAGAGGTGTGGGGTGGGCCCCGGGCACGCACACATTCCCTCTCATCTGATTAGACTCCTGCCCATGGCTGTGAGTAGCGTGGCTGAGGACTCTGGCCGCTCCATGTCCTTTACTCCTACTCGCTACTGTCAGGCTTGGACCTTTCTGCGGAATTGTTGGCAGGTGGCAGGTGCCTCACTGTTTTGGTTCACCTTTCTGTGATCCCTCCTGAAACTGGATTCACCGGGTATTTTCCTGGTGAGTTAGGCTTTCTCTTCTGTGAACTGCCTGTCTTATCTACATCTTTCGCCTATTTTCCTGTTGTGTTGATTTGTTTTGTCTGTTTGTATACTCTTGACACCAACCCATTCTTGGTGGTATATATGGGCAAATATCTTCTCTTTTTGGTCTGCCTTTTTATATTCTTCATGGTATGTTTTGTAAAAAAACAAAAAACAAAAAACTTACGTTCTCAATTTCTTTTTTTTTGAGACGGAGTCTTGCTCTGTCACCCAGGCTGGAGTGCAGTGGTGCGATCTCGGCTCACTGCAAGCTCCGCCTCCTGGGTTCACACCATTCTCCTGCCTCAGCCTCCCTAGTAGCTGGGACTACAGGTGCCCGCCACCACGTCTGGTTAATTTTTTTGTATTTTTTTTAGTAGAGACAGGGTTTCACTGTGTTGACCAGGATGGTCTCATCTCCTGACCTCGTGATCCGCCCGCCTTGGCCTCCCAAAGTGCTGGGATTACAGGCGTGAGCCATCGCGCCCGGCCACGTTCTCAATTTCTATGTAGTTACACGTTCACTTTTTTCTTCATGGTTTCTTGAAGAAACTCACCCATGGAACCTGTGGGTTTCTTGGTTTTTTTTTTTTTTTGAGACAGGATCTTGTTCTATCACCCAGGCTATCATAGCTATCTGTGATATAGTCAGCTATAGTCTATCATAGCTGACTATAACCTCGAACTCCTAGATTCAAGCAATCCTCCTGCCTTAGCCTCCGGCGTAGCTGAGGCTTCAGACACATGCTACCATGCCCAGCTAATTAAAAAAACATTTTTAGAGATGGGGTTGGTAGGGGGGGTGGTCTTGCTGTGTTGCCCCAGGCTGGTCTCAAATTCCTGGCCTCAAGCAATTCTCCTGCCTTGGCTATGCTGACAACTTAAAAAATCTTTTCTACCAAAAAGTTATAAATGTAATTTCCTTAATTTGATTCCGAAATGTGAAGTTTTTACTTTGAAGTTCTTAATCTATCTGCAAGGTGTGAGGTATAAACCCAATTTCATTTTTTCCCCAAATAGATAACTGACTGTCCCACGCCCACTCGCTGCACTGACGAGCGACTCTTCCCACTGGGACACGATTCTGTCTCGGGGCCCCGCTGTCTGGTCTCTCTGTTCTGTTAGTCTATCCTTATGCAATCCCACACTGCCACAATGCCCCTACTTTATCCAATTTCAGAATCATTTTCCAGCTTCCAAAATAATCCCTATTGGGATTTTTACTGGAGTTGCATTTAACCTAGAAATGAACTACATGAGATGGACATCTTGACAATATATTGTCCTATCTAGGAATTGTGTAACCCCTAAATTCATATCGGGAAGCCCTAACCCCCAATGACTGTATGTGGACAGAGCACCTTTAGGAGGTGGAAATTGCAGTGAGCTGAGATAGAGTCACTGCACCCCAGCCTGGGTGACAAAGTGAGACACTATCACAAAACAAAACAACCCCTCAATTCCAAGGATCCTTTCTGTTCTCTCCAGCCTTTCTTTCTAGCTCATTGACTGTATTAACTTCAATCCAGTAATTCTTCAACCACATCACGACTCCAGGCCCTGTCCTCACACCCATCATTCTCTGTTATGTCCCTCATTACCCAGTTTAGACTCAGGGGGAAATCAACAGAACCTCTCCTTTGTGAAACCCTTAACTGCCTTGTCCCTCCTCCCTAGAAAACCCAATCCTCAATCCCACCATCCACTGCTTCAGGGCATTAATCCCACCATCCCCCTCCTCAGCTCCTGAATCCCACCATCCCCCTCCTCAGCAGCTCCTGAATCCCACCATCCCCCTCTTCAGCAGCTCATGAATCCCACCATCCCCCTCCTCAGCTCATGAATCCCACCATCCCCCTCCTCAGCTCATGAATCCCACCATCCCCCTCCTCAGCTCATGAATCCCACCATCCCCCTCCTCAGCAGCTCATGAATCCCACCATCCCCCTCCTCAGCAGCTCATGAATCCCACCATCCCCCTCCTCAGCAGCTCATGAATCCCACCATCCCCCTCCTCAGCTCATGAATCCCACCATCCCCCTCCTCAGCAGCTCCTGAATCCCACCATCCCCCTCCTCAGCAGCTCATGAATCCCACCATCCCCCTCCTCAGCTCATGAATCCCACCATCCCCCTCCTCAGCTCATGAATCCCACCATCCCCCTCCTCAGCAGCTCATGAATCCCACCATCCCCCTCCTCAGCTTCTGAATCCCACCATCCCCCTCCTCAGCAGCTCATGAATCCCATCCCCCTCCTCAGCAGCTCATGAATCCCACCATCCCCCTCCTCAGCTCATGAATCCCACCATCCCCCTCCTCAGCTCCTGAATCCCACCACCCCCCTCCTCAGCACCTCATGAATCCCACCATCCCCCTCCTCAGCAGCTCATGAATCCCACCATCCCCCTCCTCAGCTCATGAATCCCACCATCCCCCTCCTCAGCTCATGAATCCCACCATCCCCCTCCTCAGCTCCTGAATCCCACCATCCCCCTCCTCAGCAGCTCATGAATCCCACCATCCCCCTCCTCAGCTCATGAATCCCACCATCCCCCTCCTCAGCTCATGAATCCCACCATCCCCCTCCCTCAGCAGCTCATGAATTCCACCATCCCCCTCCTCAGCTCATGAATCCCACCATCCACACTGCCACTGGCAGGCCTGCTCTTCTCCCAGGGTGTATCTGCTCTCCACTCTCCAGAACAGCATCTCCCATCTCTTTGCACCACCACCTCTGCCACCTCTTCACTGGAAAAACACCAGAACAATCGGCCATGGGCTGCCTTGACTTCCCCTAAACAAGGTCACCCACAGCTGCTGTGCCCTCCCCACCTTCCCTCCTGAAATAAATGATGACACGAGCTGGCTTCACTCAAGCCCACCCTCCACTTGCACTCTAGGCCCCAGCACCGCCTGCCGAGATCTTTTTCTTCTTCCGTCATAAATGTGTCTCCCACATACTCTAGAATCTCCGGTAGTCAGAAAAGGCTCCTTTGCGGGTGGGAAACTTGATTGGATGCTGCTTACAACAAAAAACTAAAAAGACATTTTGGGGGATAACTGGAAAATGTTGGCATGCGAGCTGCTGTTTTACAGCATTTATGGGCTTGTTAGGGCAGTGTGGCTATGCGGGAGAAGGCCCTGATTTCGCCAGATGCCTACTGAAGTCGTTAAGGATGCAGTGTCATGATATCTGCAACTCCCAGTGGTCAGGAAAAAAAGAAGAGAAAGAAAAGAACTGTAACAATGTTTATAATTACTGACTCTAGAGGACAAAGGTGTTCACTGTGATAGGCTTTCCACTTTTTTGCCTGCACAGTGTGTGGGGTGTGGCTCATATGTTTAAAAAACCTTCTAGGTGGCCGGGTGTGGTGGTTCATGCCTCTAATTCCAGCACTTTGGGAGGCTGAGGAGGGTGGATCACAAGGTGAGGAGTTTGAGACCAGCCTGACCAACACGGTGAAACCCTGTTTCTTCTAAAAAATACAAAAATCAGCTGGGCGTGGTGGCATGCACCTGTAGTTCCAGCTACTCAGGAGGCTGAGGCAGGAGAATTGCTTGAGCCCGGGACATGGAGGTTGCAGTGAGCCGAGATCGCGCCACTGCACTCCAGCCTGGTGACAGAGCGAGACTCCGTCTCAAACAACAACAAAAACTTTCTAGGCTACACCAGGCCTGGTGGCTCATGCCTGTAACCCCAGCACTTTGGGAGGTGGAGGCGAGAGGATCGTTTGAGCTCAGGAATTTGAGACCAGCCCGGGCAACACACTGAGACCCACAGGCGCACGCCTGTAGTCTCAGCTACTTGAGAGCCTGAGGCAGGAGGATCCCTTGAGCCCAGGAGTTCAAGGCTGCAGTGAACTATGATTGCACTACTGCACTCCAGCCTGGGCAACCGAGCGAGACCTTGTTTCTTAAAACAACAACAAAAACAACCTCCTAGGTGAGTCTAATGTGCAGGCAGGCTGAGATCCACGGGGCTAGAAACCCTTATGTTCATTTCAGTCATAAAACAGCCCTGTCAGCCTATTGCTCCATTTCTCTGTTCCTTTTTAGCCGGGCAAACTATGTCCCAACACCTGTTCTTAGAAATAAAGTATTACTGGAACCCAGCCACGCCCACTCACTTACAGACTGTCTTGGCTGTTTTCCCTATAACAGCACAGCATTCAAGGTGCCTAACAGAGACCATATGCCCTTAAACCTCAAATACGTCCTCTCCAGCCCTTCAACAGTAAGCCTGGCCTCCGTCCCGGGTTCAGCCCTCACTTTTTCAACTCCCCTGTCCTCCGGGTCCTGAATCCACTGCAACTGTCCCCACTTTGCCTCCCAGTAGTATCAGAAGCTTCCCTCCCTTGCTCCCTCTCCTGGACACGCTTTCTTGGCTTCTTCCTAGGTGAGAAGTGTGGGGTAGGGCTAAAAGTGTGGCCTCTGGAATGATGGAGATGACAGAACCTTCCTCATAGGGTGTTGCTGGGAGGATGGAATGAATCAACAAACACAGAACATGTGAGCAGTGCCCGGCCCACTGTGCCTCTGGGGCAGCGACGACCATGGGGTCAAGGCTCCCCCTGCGTTGGCCCCCTACCTCTCCATCTCAGCTCACGCCACCCCTCACTCTCTGCTCTGCTCCAGCCTCCCTGGCCCTCAGGCACTCTAAGGTCACTTCTCCTGAGACACCTGCTGGTTGGTCTACTGCCTAAATGCCAGCCTGTCCACCTGCTGCCACCCCTAACCCCCCGCAAGGCTGGCTCCTCTGTGTGACTCAAGTCTCAGATGAACTAGTACCTTGGAAAGGTCTTCCCTGCACTCTCCCATCTAAGATCCCAACCCCCGGCACGTTATCTTGGTTTACTGAGTGCCCAGCTCCCACCACCATCAGAAATTACCGTTCCTGCATTAACAGTCACTGCTGCTCCCCACGCTCTCCCCCACACACTCTAGAAAGCCAGCTCCATGAGCCCAGGGCCCCATGGCTATCCTGTTCACCAATGACCTTCTCAGCCCAAGAACAATGCACTACTCACAGCAGGCATTCAACAAACATGCACAGAAGAGAGAGGCAAGGAAAGGATCCCCTACTAAAGCAGGCATCTAAAAATTTTTGCAAAACATGACTTTAAACAGAATAGAGGGCTGGGCACGGTGGCACACACCTGTAATTTTAGCATTTTCGGAGGCAGAGGCAGGCAGATCATGAGGTCAGGAGTTGGAGACCAGCCTGGCCAACATAGTGAAACCCCGTCTCTACTAAAAATATAAAAATTAGCCGGGTCTGGTGGCGTGCGCCTGTAATCCCAGCTACTCAGGAGGCTGAGGAATAAGAATCACTTGAGCCTGGGAGGCGGAGGTTGCAGTGAGCTGAGGCTGCGCCACTGCATTCCAGCCTGGGCGAAAGAGCGAAACTCTGTCTCAAAAAAAAAAAAAAAAAACAAACCCAGAAAACAAAAAACAAATGGAAAAGAGGCTTCAGACAGGAATGTGGCTGTCGCCTATGACACAGGTGCTCGTGAGGACAGGTGACTGCTGACGCAGTCACCCTGCCCATGCCCAGCCTCACCTTCTCGCCACTGTCTCGCAGCTGCTGTAGCTGCTGTAACTGTCGCAGCCGGCGTCCCTTCTCCAGCTGCTTCTGCAGCTCCAGCTCCGCCTCGTCCTCCTCCAGCACCTGCGGGGACCCCGGCGGTGGAGCTCCACCTTCCTCTGGGGGAAACACAGGGGATGCCTGCTCAGACCATCTCCTCCAACCCGCGGCTCCTGTCCCTGCCCCTCCCACCCCCTGGCCGGGCCCTCACCCTCATCACTGATGTCCATGTTCTCCACTCGGGTGTCGTCCGACGGCAGGGGCTGAGGCACAGGCTCCTTCTCCTCCTCCACTTCGGACACTCGGCGGCGACCCCGTCCCCGCAGTCTGAGGGAAGGAGGCCTCTCTGGTGAGCACCGGTCCCCAGGCCACCCCAGCCCAGCCATCTCGCCCCACCACCGTGTCCAAGCCCACCTGGAACCAAAGTCCCCATCCTGAGTCTGGTCCCCGAGAGGCAGCAAGTCATCTGCCCGCACTACTACCTCCTTCTCCTTCTTGCGGATTTTCTTCACCCTCCGCTTGGTCTTTTTAAAGGTCACCTTAAGGGAAGAGGGGCGAGACATGGAGCGGGGGCCACAGAAAGGCAGGTCGCCACAAGCCCTCGAGGGTGAACACTTCTTTGGTGTTCCTCTGTGCTAGCCAGCGTCCTGAGCGCTTCCCACACATGAGCAACATGTGGGGTGGTTACTATCTCAATTCCACTGGTGAGCTAGGGAAACTGGGGCACAGGGAGGTTAAGTACCTTCCCCAAGGTTGCCCAGCTCCTAGGTGGGAGAGCTGGGCAGTCTGGCTCCAGAGTCCTGCTCTTACCCACTGAGGAAGACGCCTACCGCGCCAGCTGTCTACCTCACGTTCACACAGTCACCCTGTGGACAGAATCCACGCACACCTCTCCAGTCACCCCTCACCCACGCTGTCACTCATCCTCACAGCAACCTCAGGAGGCGGCTCCTGTCACTGCCATTCCAGATGGGGTGCCCCAGGCTCACAGTTAAATGGTTTATCCAAGGCACGAGCTGGCAGCATGGCAGAGCCGAAACAGACTGGGGCCCATCTGGCTCAGCAGCCCTGACCCATCCACACCTGGTGCCTCCCCCGGTTGCCATTTAGTGCTCACCCGCGAGGCCAAGCGCTTTGTGAACACAAATACTCGCCCTGTCTTCTCAGTGCCTGCGGGCAGGGCAGGAGCCCCAGAGGGAGGGAGAATCTTGACCCCGAGTATAAGGCACGGGAGGGCTCACCATCTCCTCAGGCGTGAGGTATTCGGAGGCCAGCCGGGGCCCCACTGTGCTCAGGGACTGAGCCTGCAGCCGCAGCTTGGCCCGGATCTCCTCCAGCTCCCGCTCCCGCAGGCCATCAGCCGTGCCGCCCTGCTCCAAGCGGAAGGAATGTGGCCGCTCCCCTTCAAGCTCTTCGTCATACTTGGACAGGATAGAGCGAGGTTTTTGCTGCAAGGCAAGAGGTACAGGTTGGGACCCAGGCTGGCTCCTGAAAAGCCACTGAGCCACCACCTCCTCAGAGCCCCCATTCCCGACATTCTCCACCTCAGCCCCCGCCACCCAGCCTGCCCAGGCCGTGCCTGCGCCAGGTCGTCCACGCTCTCGTCCTCGGCATAGGGCAGGTAGTCAGGCTTCTTCTTCCGCAGCTCCACATTTTTCTCTGCCCGCTCCTTATCCACCAGGTTCACGTTCACCAGCACGTCCTCCTCCTCCTGCAGCACGCCTGGGGGCAGCACAGAGCAGTGGCCATTCACACTTGTCCGCAACTCAGCAGAGGCTGTGCCCCCACCCAGGGCACCCAGCTCGCATTACCTTTGTCCTTGAGGGTAAGAATCATTGTCTCCCCTTCTCGGAAGGAATCAATGGCATGCTCCACGGTGAGGCCCTGCAGGTCCCGGGCACTGTACAGGTCCTAAGGGAAGAATCGGCGAGTCAGGAACCTCCCTCCACGCACCCAACCTCGGGATTCCGGTAGCAAGGCCACCAGTGTCCCCTGTACCACCCCTGCTGCAGCCTCACCTGCCGCCTCTGCCCGAACTCCTCCTCCACCAGAGTGCTGACACCAAACTCTTGGTCCATCTCCTCCAGTAACTTGGCCTACGGGACAGGGAGGGGTGACCTAGGACTTCAGGCCACTCAGCATCACCAGAAAACACTCAGGGCTCTACCAAGCGGAGTGCAAAAAGGGCAGGCCTTGCAGGAAAGCTGCTGAGAATCCAAAGTAGATGCTACCGACCACGGCCCTTCCCTTCTCCAAGCCCCGTCTCACCTCTCTGGGGTTGGCCCCCGCCTCAGTGCCGTCAGGCCACCAGAAGCACTAGGCGACCACCCCATGCTGCCCAGGTGCTCACCCTCTTCTCTGCCAGGTCCTTCTCCTTCTGCAGCTGCCGGCTCCTCTCGATCCAGGCTGCAGTGTCGTCCAGCCAGGGGTCATCCTCTCCTAGGGTCTTTATCTTCCTGAAGAGGGGAAAAAGTGATGCTCAAGGAGCCCAGCTCCTGCTCCCCACCCCACTCAAGAGGCAGCCAAGGATGGTGGCCTCCCCAGCCCTTCCCTTGCCTGCCCTGGCCAGGACCCCTCACCCCAGCTTTTGGTTCAGCAGGCGCTTCTCCTTGGCAGCCGCCAGCTTCTCCCGCAGCTCCTCTCGCTGTCGCAAGGCCATAGGGTTGATGACATCAGCTGTCACGGGCTCCTCCTTGGTGCCCGCCTCTGGAAGGGGGGCCCAGACGTGAGGCTATGCCCGCCCATGGCTGGTGGGGAGAGGAGGGAGCCACTCACCCTGCCCCCTTCCAGCTCAGGGGGCCAGAAGGGGTCAGGACAGGAAGGAACAATCCTTCACCTCCCTGCTCCCACTTCGTCCCCACACTCCTGGCCAACCCATGCAGCACAACAGGACCCTCTGTGGCTTCCAAAGCCCCTCAAATCGTGCTTTAAAGAAAAACAAGAAACCCACCCCCGCACAGCGCAGTCTGCAGCAAGTGTGCACATCTTCCAGTCCATCTAACAACTCACAGCCAGAGTGAGTATGCGACGGCCACAGCTCCAACTCAGAGAGCAGGCGGAGCCCCAGATCCCCATTATACCAGCAAGGAGGGACCTCATGCCTTCCGGCAAATATGCATGTGTAAGACCACTAAACAGTGCTGAACCTGCCCTCTAACCCCACCTTCTTCAAAGACCCCTTCAGATGGCCTCTTTCCCCCAAACCCTATCCTCAGCCCCATACTCACCCTTCTTGATGGCATTAACCTCCAAGGGTTTCAGCCCCAACTTTGCCCGGAGTTTGCTGACAACAAGAGATACAAGTGTTAGGGGCTATTAAAGACACAGGGTGCCATGTGCATTTCCAGACAGACAAGAGGAGAAACAGGGTGGGAGTGAGTGGTCCCAAACACAAAGTCTGCCCCAGGCAGCCTAGGACACTGGGAAGGGCCCTGGCCTCCAAAGCAGGAAACATGGGCACCAGCCTGGTCTGCGTCTAACCAGTGAATGCCACTTTACTCTTAGGTTTTAGTTTTCTCTTCTATAAGTCAACTGTTGGCTAAGATGATTTAAACAATCTTTCCAACTCTGATTAGCACACTTTCATGTGAGAAAGCCTCCCCCGTGCTGGCCCCAGAGCCACCTCTCTTAGAAAAACAAAGTAGAAACAAGGGAGACAGTACTCACTTAGTCTCCTCGATGCTGAGTGAGGAGGCATCGCCTGAGCTAGTTTTGGAGCTGGCAGCTGGAACAAGAAGAAGCATGGCTCAGGAGCTGAACACAGGGCCAAGAAGCCAGCATCGTTGGCTCCAGCTGCAGGAACAAAAATGAGGGCCCCTCACCAGCACCTGGGCCTGCTGAAACACCAGAAAACAGCAGCTTCTTCCACCCAAGCTCCCCAGCAGCTCCTCTGCCCGAGTCCAGTCTCAGAGCCCTGCCTCTTCTGTGCACCTTCCTTTCCTGACCCAAGACATCCAAACTGCTGTAGTCACCACTCTGCCCTCTACTTTTTTCTTTCATTTTTAACAGACAAGGTCTGGGCCGGGTATGGTGGGTCATGCCTGTAATCCCAGCACTTTGGGAGGCCGAGGCAGATGGATCACGAGGTCAGAAGTTCAAGACCAGCCTGGCCAAGATGGTGAAACCCCGTCTCTACTAAAAATATAAAAATTAGCCAGGCACGGTGGTGCGCACCTGTAATCCCAGATACTCGGGAGGCTGAGGTAGGAGAATTGCTTGAACCCAGGAGGCAGAGCTTGCAGTGAGCTGAGATCGTGCCACTGCACTCTAGCCTGGGCAATGGAGCAAGACTTTGTCTCAAAAAAACAAAACAAAACAAAAAAAAAACTCTTCCTTTCCTGCATTCCCATCCTGCATCCTACCTTCTCCTTTATCTTAAAGGCTTCTCTCTCCACCTGGGCCATGGATCCCAACCTCTCCAGGCTCCCCAAGGTCACCAGCCTCCTCGTTTCTAAATCTAGTGGGTTCTTTTCGGTTCTGGTTTTGCTTGATCTCCTGTGGTATGTGGGACTGCTGATCGCTCCCTCCTTCTAACAATACTCTCTTCCCAAAGTTCCCATGACACAAAGGTTTTCCTGCCTTTTTGGTTACTCTGTCTCCTTTTTTTGGTAACATCTTTCTCTGCCTACTACTAACATAAGGGCATTTCTCAGGTTCTAGTCCTGACCCCCTCTTCTCATGTCACAGTCTTTCAGGGGCTTCACTGGCCACCCAGATACTGACTCCCAATGGCTTTATCCAGTCCAAACTCTGGATTTCCCCATTACCATCAACCTTGACAACCCCAAAAGTGAACTATCTCCCCCCACCCCCGCTCCAAATCTGCTTCTCTTCCCTACTCCTCAATTTCAGTAGAAATGACACCCACTACCTATCTGGCTGCTCAAGCCAAAATTCAAGGAGTCATCCTCCATTCCTTCTTCCCACCCTCATACAAGTGCTGAGTTCTGTTCATTCCTCCTCCAAAACACCTCTCCAACCTGTCCACTTCTCTCAATCCCACTGCTGCTGCCTTGGTGCAGGCCACCATCAGCCCTCCCCTGGCCTATAGCCCTCCTGGTTTCCTGGTCTCCAGTCCTGACTACCTTTGACTAAATTCTCAATCCAGTGATGTTTACAAAATACGGATCTGAGCAACTCACTCCTCAACTCACATCCATGGCTCCCTACTATCCTCAAGACAATCTACAGTTCTTAACAGAGACTACAGTACAGGGTCCTTTGTGTTCACATCCCTGTCTATCTTACTCCCTCATTTCTCTACCATGCGCCCTACACGATTCGTCCAATACCAGGTTTTTCTTGCCTCTGTATATGCTGACACTACTTCATTCACTCATTCAACATATTTATTGAGAATCTGATTGTACCAGACAACTGAGGAAAACAGAAGCCCTCTGTCCTCAAGCAGCTGAGTGGAGAAAGTCAACCTCTAATCCTAAACAACCGTAGAAAGACTTTTTTCTTTTTGAGACAGAGTCTCGCTTTGTTGCCCAGGCTGGAGTACACTGGCGGGACCGCAGCTCACTGCAGCCTCTAACTCCTGGGCTCAAGGGATCCCGTAGAAAGACTATTTAATAGAGCTGGTAAACAGCTTGGGGGTTTCCTGGCCTGAAGAGCTTCGCTGACACTGCGCGCACACCCAGACCCACGCGTTCCGGGACCCCCGCCCGACCCGCCCCCTGCGCAGGCCCCGCCTCCTCACCGGCCTCGTAGCCGTCATCGCGCTTCTCCCGCTTCACGCGCCGCTCGGAGGGCTCTGCCTGGCTGCGCTCCCGCCCGTGCGTGCTGCTCCGGGCCTCAGCTTCGGCCCCGCGCCGCCCGCTCCCGCGCTCGCCCCCACGTTCCCGGCTCCGCTTCCGTCGTTCGCCACCGCTACCGCCACTGCCGCCACTCCGGTGCTTGTGTTTTTTGTGTTCCCGGTGCCGCGGCGGCTGCTCGGTGGCACCCCCGGTGCCGGCCGCCGCCGTCGTCCCGGCCGCCTCCTTCTCTCCGCGATGCTTCTTGGACGACCCCATAGTGGCACGTCCACTCCGAGCCCGGCTGCCGCCGAGCCCAGACAACGCAAAATGGGAATACTTCCGGGTCGCTCGGCAGCCGCTGTCGTGTTGCCGGAAACTAAGAGCGGCTGCTTCCGTCGCTCGCCTTGGAGCCTGCCCCAGAGGCTCATGGGAAGGCCGGGATCAGCGCTCGACTGCACATTCGCGCCGTCTCGGGTCGGGTGGGTTCTTTGAGCGAGTGGTCCCATTGCGCATGCGCTCCTCAAGGGAAGCGGAATTAACCCGGAGGTGGGATCCCAGAACTGGAAGGACTTAGAGCCCATTAAGTCAGTGTCTTCGTGGCTTTAAGTTCCTCCCCGGCCTCCCTGCGCTTGCACTTCACCGGCAACGGGGTGTTCACTACCTCACGGTCTTTCCGTAGACACCTCCCTCCTACAATGGGCGCTCGCTTAGTGGACTCCTAGGGTCGTGGCTCCAACGGGTGTTGTTTTCCCGAGATCTCCAATTCCACAGCCCAGCTTCAGACCCGCTATAACCAGTATCGTCAGGGAACGCTTCCTTCCCACGTTCCCTGTTTTGTTTTGTTTTGTTTTTTCCCTTGAGATAGGATCTCACTCTGTTGCTCAGGCTGGAGTGCAGTGGCGTGATCACAGCGCACTGCAGCCTCGACCTCCTGGGCTCAAGTGATCCTCCCACCTCAGCCTTCCCAGTAGCTGGGACTACGAGAGTACGCTACCACGCCCCTTTAATTTTTGTATTTTTTTGTAGATGGTTGGTGGGGAGCGGGGGTAGGGGGTGGGGTCACTATGTTGGCCAGGCTGGTCTCGAACTCCTGAGCTCAGGCTATACACCCGCCTTGGCCTCCCAAAGTGCTGAGATTACAGGCATGCGCCACTGCGCCTGGCCCTGGATTGGATTTTTAAAACCTGGCCCCGTGAACTGTTAAGATTGTTTAGGAGCTCCACATGGGCGTCAGTGTATCCCTGGAACCCCTGAAATTGAATGCAAAATGTGGCACATCTGTGTGTATGAGTTTTTTTCTTGAGGAGACCAGCCCTAACTTAAAACTATTGGGACTTAAAACCCCAGTGCAGGCCGGGCGCGGTGGCTCACGCCTGTAATCCCAGCACTTTGGGAGGCCAAGGCAGGCGAATCACGAGGTCAAGAGATCGAGACCATCCTGGCCTACATGGTAAAACCCCGTCTCTACTAAAAATACAAAAATTAGCTGGGTGTGGTGGCGCACACCTGTAGTCCCAGCTACTCAGGAGGCTGAGGCAGGAGAATCGCTTGAACCTGGGAGGCAGAGGTTGCAGTGAGTTGAGATCACACCATTGCACTCCGGCCTGGTGACAGAGCGAGACTCTGTCTTAAAAAAAAAAAAAAAAAGCGCAGTGCACACAATCCCAATCTCTCCTGAAACCCCTCCCCTCACCCAGTGGTTGCTCAGTCTGTGGCTCCCTGTGTGGCACAACTCAGCATGTGTTAGGCTATGTTGTATGCGCCCCTTTAAGGATCCACCCCCTCTCCCACTCACTGGGCGTCCTCAGAGGCAGGAGTCATTTCATCTTATTCATGCTTGAATTTATAGGACCCAACATATACATTGGAGATGGGGTGGAGAAGTCACAGCTCTTGCTCTTTGAGATGTCCCCACTCCTCAGGAGCAGAGAAGGGGCTGTGTGTACTGGGTGGGGGGAACCAAAAGAGCCAAAGCTCCTGGTGGGGAGGGGGTGCGGGGACAGAGCTAAGCCTGCTGCCCACCCACCTGCCACCTCCAACTTCCAACCCGTAGCTTCCACCACCCCCACCACCAGAAATCTCATACTGTGTTTGCCATAAAGCCTTTAATTTTATCTCAGGGACTGCACTCCGGGTCCAGGCTGGGGTTGTAGTGCCTGTCAGGCTGGCTGCCGGTGGGTTCTGTCCTTGGGGGCCTCTGAGGAGAGTGCTCCATTCTCACCCCCATTGACCTGTGGCTCCTTCAAGACACAGATAGAGGCCCCTGACTCTGCAGCTCCCACCCCCATGCCCAAGGAAACCACTGACAATGTGGCTTCAAACCCTGCTTCAGTGCCGGCTTGCTGTGTGATCCTGGGCAAAGTGACTCTTCTCGAGTCTCACTTTCCTTATTGTCAAGTGGGCTTCATAATCGCTGCTCTGTACCAGGTTATTCTAAGGCATGGGGTGACCAGCGTGGTGGTGCCAGCCCCTAATGAGGGACTTGGTGTGTGGCCGCTCAGATGGTTGCAGAGTCCCAGACTGGTTCTGCTGCTTGTTCGCTCCTGCGTCCTTAAAGAAGGCCCTTCCCCTCAGGTCCTTAGTTTCCTCATTGAGAAGTAGGAATGACAACCCTGGCCTTGCCTTCCTCTGGGCTCTCTGCCTGTCCTGGGGGAGGCCCTCCAGAGCCCAGAGTGCTGGTGTGGGCGCCCCTTCCCGCAGCAGCATGGCAGAGTCAGTTCTTGACCTGACGGGGAGACTCACCTGGGTTTCCTGGGGGTGCCCTCTCTGTCCACCTTTCCTGCCTCAGACAGCAGCTGCTCCTCATCCAGCCCCAGTGCTGACAGCACCTGGGAGAAGCGCCGAGTGACGGTGAGCCGGGCATTGGCCTGAGGAGAGAGAAGACGGCTTCCTGCTCTGCACCAGGGCTGCCGAGGGCAAGGTGGGGATCGGGTTACTGAGGGGGTCCCAGGGATTCCAGAGGGCAGCAGCCCTGGGATCCTATCTGCAGGGACCTACTCGCATCCTGCTTCCCTACCCACTCAGCCAGCTCTTCACAGGGGGCAGCTATGTGCTTGCCCAGGTGCCAGCCTCACCTGCATAGCCTGCTGGAACAGGAAGGGCCGGGCCTGCACCCTGTGCTGGATGCCTTGCAGCTCCGCCTGGTACTCAGCAAAGCGCTGTCGCTCCTGGCGCCTGCAGGGGAGACAGGCCTTTGTGCAGCTAACCATGGACACAACTGTTGATCTCCATTCCTGAGCCCGCTTATCTTCACTAAGGACTTGATATTCATGTCCTCACCCTCACCTTTACAAAGCTATTTCATTCCCATTCTTGCCTGGATTCCTTGTGAAGTCAGCCAAGGTGGAAATTATTCACCCAATTTACGGATGGATCGGGAGGGTTGAGGGACTTGTTCAAAGTTGTGCAGCTGGGAAGTGAGGGGCCGAGCCCTGTGCAGCTGGGGCTTGCCCATCCTCCTGTGCCAGCCCCATGGGAAAGGGGCCAGTGCTGGCTTCTGAGCTTCCAGACACGTGCTTACATAGCTTCCCCTCCCCATCCTCTTTCCCTTGAGGGGGAGCTGTGGTTGTTGGTTGTGTGACTTTGGGTGAGGCCTCTCTCTGGGCTCTTGGCTCTGGGCTCAGTTTATTTCACTGTGCTATAGTAGGGATCGGACAAGCTTGCCAGCATTCTCTGTGGTTCTTGTAAGCAGACAGCTTGGAAAATGGGACAGAGAAACTAAAAAAAAATATGTTTCAAATTTAAAAAACACACCCCTGAGAGATCAGGGTTCCACTGGGGAAGCACAATTTTCATTTATAAAAACCCAATTTGGCCAGGCGTGGTGGCTCGCACCTGTAATCCCAGCACTTTGGAAGGCCAAGGAGGGTGGATCACTTGAGCCCAAGAGTTTGAGACCAGACTGGGCAACATGGTGAAATCCTGTCTCTACAAAAATTAGCCAGACATGGTGGTATGCACCTGTAGTCCTGGGTAGTTGGGAGGCCAAGGTGGGAGGATCGCTTGAGCCTCGGAGGTCTAGGCTACAGTGAGCTGAGATTGTGCCACTGCACTCCAGCCTGGGCAACAGAGCAAGACCCTGTCTCAAAAAACCCAAAACCCAGTTTGTGCACTTGTCAGAAATGTGTCTGTTTGACAAACTTGAGTATCACTGCCACTCATGAAGAGAGCACTCTAGCAGCAAGAGGGACCTTCGAGCCACACCCACATGGGACCAGGCATCCATCTGTGAAGCATGTAAGAGAGGCCTTGAGGTGTGGAGGCAGCACCCATGGACAGGAGGGGAGGGAAGACGCAGACAAGAGGACAGGAGGGGAGGGGAGACACAGACAAGACCCCAAGACCTGTACTGGGACCTCAGCGATTGTGCTGGGCCCGGTGGAAAAACTCAGCCTTGCTGGGCCATGCCACCCTTGCTGTGGCCCTGTGCCAGGGAAGGAACCATCCTTCATTGAGAAAAAGACATGGACTTGAAAACCCATGGCCCGGAACACAAGTTACTGCAAAAACGGCTTTCACCATTTAGGAAGGAATTTATGGCAGTTACAAGGGGAGGTGGGAAATGAGCTGGCAGTCCCTATCTTTTCTGTGATATTGTGTGCACTTTTCCTGCTGGATACTTTATGCTATTTCTGTTAGAAGTGACAGGAGCTGGCCGAGGCGGGCAGATCTCGAGGTCAGGAGATCGAGACCATCCTGGCCAACATGGTGAAACCCTGTCTCTACTAAAAATACAAAAGTTAGCTGGGAGTGGTGGCGTGCGCCTGTAATCCCAGCTACTTGGGAGGCTGAGGCAGGAGAATCGTCTGAACTGGGGAGTTGGAGGTTATGGTGAGGCGAGATTGCACCACTGTACTCCAGCCTGGCGACAGAGCGAGACTTTGTCTCAAAAAAACAATGACAGGAGCCCTGAGCAGAAAGGGAAGTGGTGCCTATGGGTGTCAGCCCCGTCCATCATCTCAGAATGGAAGGAGACACATCCCTCCCTCCCACAGGACAACCTCTTTTGTGCCTGCCCTTCCTAGGCAGGACAGAGTCTCCTGTTCCGCTCAGACAGCGAAGTTCATAGGCTGTAATGGCTGAGAGACTGCATGGGAGATACCTACTTATGCCTTAGCCCTCTCAAATAGAAAGTAAAAGGAGTGAGGTTGAATCACTCTTTTTGCTGCACCTGCCACTTGGAGTTCTGAACCTTACACTTCCTGCCTCACTGTGAAAACAAAACACTTGGCTGGGCGCGGTGGCTCACGCCTGTAATCCCAAAACTCTGGGAGGCCGAGGCAGCCAGATCACTTGAGGTCAGGAGTCTGAGACAGCTGGGGCAATATGGTGAAACCCTGTCTCTACCAAAAATACAAAAAAATTAGCCAGGTGTGGTGGCGCGCACCTGTGGTCCCAGCTACTCAGGTTGCTGAGGCAGGAGAATTGCTTGAGCCCGGGAGATGGAGGTTTCAGTGAACTGAGATCACACCACTGCACTCCAGCCTGGGCAACAGAGCAAGATTGGGAAGGAGAAAGGATCCCCCTAAACATTGGCCCAAGCAGTCCCCCAAAACACACTTGACCTTTCAGAGCCTCTGTTTCCAAATCTGTAAAATTGGGGTGATTAAGACTGAGCCTCGGCCGGGCGCGGTGGCTCACGCCTGTAATCCTAGCACTTTGGGAGGCTGAGGCGGGCGGATCAGCTGAGGTCGGGAGTTCAAGACCAGCCTGACCAACATGGAGAAACCCTGTCTGTACTAAAAATACAAAATTAGCCGGGCGTGGAGGCGCATGCCTGTAATCCCAGCTACTCGGAAGGCTGAGGCAGGAGAATTGCTTGAACCCGGGAGGCAGAGGTTGCGGTGAGCCGAGATCGCGCCATTGCACTCCAGCTTGGGCAACAAGAGCGAAACTCTGTCTCAAAAAAAAAAAAAAAAAAAGACTGAGCCTCAAAGAGTAGGTGATAAGAACCCCGCTGAGCCGTCAGTGGCCTTAAGGCAGGGCAGGACCCTCACCCCACTTGCCACGGACCAAAGGAGACAGGGTGCAGAAAAAGATGCCCTGCGCCCGCTGCACCCAGGAGGTGCTCAAATCAATGGCACTGGTTTTGGTCATATTTATTTGATTTATTTGTGTTACATGTGTCATTGGTTTGGGCTCTTGGGGGAAGGTCCTGGTGCCTTTCGTCTAAAAGCGGAGGATTTGAGTGCTCAGGCAGGGCAGCATCGTGGCTGGAACCCAATTCTGCTGCCCATGCATGACCTTTGACAAATTATTGAAGATCTCTGAGCCTCAGGTTCCTCACCGGTGGGGTTATGCAGGTGGAGATACCAAGGTAGGATAGTAAGGTGAGCGGGCCGTACTGACTTTTCCCCTTGTATGAAGCCCCAGGGGCTCCTTTCGCAGGAGCTCTGCAGCCCCTGTGCCCTCGTGCATCAGCACCTAACTCTTTTTTTTTTTTTTGAAACGGAGTCTTTCTCTGTCACCCAGGCTGGAGTGCAATGGTGCAGTCTCGGCTCACTGCAACCTCCGCCTCCCGGGTTCAAGTGATTCTCCCGCCTCAGCCTCCCAAGTAGCTGGGACTACAGTCGCGCGCCACTACGCCCAGCTAATTTTTGTATATATATTTTTTAGTATAGACGGGGTTTCATTACGTTGGCCAGGCTGGTCTCGAAATCCTGACCTCAGGTGATCCACTTACCTCGGCTTCCCAAAGTGTTGGGATTACAGGTGTGAGCCACGGCGTACAGCCGAGTACCTAACTCTTTTGCAAGATAAGCAGTCTTAGGGGATACCAGATGGCTACAAGTTCCCTCATACCTAGCACAGCCCAGGAAAAAAAAAACAAAAGCCCCTTATTCATAATGTAGCTTCCCCGATCTCCAGCCAATCAGCACCAAAAGCCCAAGAAGCTATTAGCTACAAATTCCTGCCTTGGAGGGAGCTAAGGACTTCTCGGGGTTCCGCATACACAGCTAGGCTCAAGGTTTAGCTTATAGCAACATTTTCCTCGTTTTGATGGTAAAAAAACACACCCCTAGGTAGAGATTGTATATGCTAATGTTACATGTGATGCGTGTTGGAGCATGCAGATGCTGAGCGCATGCGCCCACCACAGGTCCACCTTTGCATACCTGACCTCACCAGTATTTTGTGACTAGGTATAAACAACTTCCATAAAAGGAATTCCTCTTAAGGCACAAGCTGCCGTCTCTCCCTCTGAGCAGTCCTCAGGGTGGGCTTTTTTTTTTTTTTTTGAGATGGAGTTTTTGCTCTGTCGCCCAGGCTGGAGTGTAGTGGCTCAATTTCGGCTCACTGCAACCTCCATCTCCCGGGTTCAAGCAATTCTCCTGCCTCAGCCTCCCGAATAGCTAGGATTACAGGTATGTGCCACCGCACCTGGCTACTTTTTGTATTTTTAGTAGAGATGAGGTTTCACCATGTTGGTCAGGGTGGCCTTTGCTTTGCAATAAACTTTTTCTTTTGTGCGGCCAAGGGAAGAACCTGACCTGGCCCACCAGCAGCAATACTCCCTGCTTCACGGACCTGTTAGGAGTCCAAAAACGTTTGCCCACAAATCTGCTTATTAGGAAAATGGTCACGGCCAGGTGCAGTGTCTCACACCTGTAATCCCAGCACTTTGGGAGGCTGAGGCGGGTGGATCACGAGGTCAGGAGATCGAGACTATCCTGGCTAACACGGTGAAACCCCGTCTCTACTAAAAATACAAAAAAAAAAAAAAATTAGCCGGGCGTGGTGGCGGGCGCCTGTAGTCTCAGCTACTCGGGAGACTGAGGCAGGAGAATGGCGTGAAGCTGGGAGGCGGAGATTGCAGTGAGCCGAGATCGCGCCACTGCACTCCAGCCTGGGCGACAGAGCGAGACTCCGTCTCAAAAAAAAAAAAAAAGGAAAATGGTCACAATATAGGAAGAGAACAAAACGCGACTCTTCAGCTGACTGTGAACAATGGTTGTCTCCCAGAGTGGGGTCACACGGCTGTTCACCTTCTCCAGGCATTATTTCTGTAATCTTTGAAATTTTATAACAAGCATGTCTGGCATTGGAAATCAGAAAATGAAGATTTGAAAGTGTGATCATACATGTAGAATATTTTAACCTTGACCATTCAACAGCTGCAGAGATTGTCATTATTAACTGGGTGGCCTTCGACAGACCCCTTCTCCCCATGCCTCAGCGTCCTTATCTGGAAACGCGGTGAAGTGGCCTGGTTAGCCCCAGGGAAGGCGAGGGCTGGTGCTCCTCGGTCCTGTAGACTGAGACCTGACACGGCCTCCCTGCCCTCTCCCAACCAGGCCTCCCGAAGCCCAGGCTCCCTACCTCAGCTCCTCCAGCTTGCGCTGGGCCGCCCCAGGGCCCCGGCTCCCTCTGGGTGCGTAGGCTGCCAGGCAGTGGGCCACCTGCCGCTGTACATGCTGTGTCCGGGCCCGCCGCAGCTCGGCCTGCTGCCGCTCCTCCTGCCGCTGCCGCTCCCAGGCCTGCAGCAGGCTCCTTGGGTGAGAAAGGGAAGGGGAATGAGAGGTTCACGGGCAGCAGGAGCCTCACGGAGGGCCAGGGGCTGGATAAGGGAATATGGAAGCCTGTGGGGAGGGGCTGCAGTGTCCAGAGCCAGTGTCCTGGGAGTAGGGTTTGTCATGGAAGTCCATGACAGAGACTGCCCTGGAGGCTCAGCCCTCGGTCCCAGCTCAAGGCCTTTCCCTACTCTTTCTAGAAGTCTCCTGCTTCCAGGCCAGGCACGGTGGTTCATGCCTGTAATCCCAGCACTTTGGGAGGTGGAGGCAGGCGGATCACCTGAGGTCAGGAGTTTGAGACCAGCTTGGTCATCATGGTGAAACCCTGTTTCTACTAAAAATGCCAAAATTAGCCAGGCGTGGTGGCATATGCCTGTAATCCCAGCCACTCAGTAGGCTGAGGTGGGAGAATTGTTTGAACCAGGGAAGCAGAGGTTGTAGTGAGCCGAGACCACGCCATTGTACTCCAGCCTGGGCAACAAGAGCAAAACTCCATCTCAAAAAAAAAAAAAAAAAGAAAGAAAGAAAAAAGAAATGAAGGGTGCTTTGGAAGAATTAATATTGTTAAAATGTCCATATTATCCAAAGCAATTTACAGATTCAATGCAAGCCTATCAAAATTCCAATGACATTTTTCACAGAAATAGAAAAAACAATTTTAAATTAATATAGAACCACAAAATACTCCAAACAGCAAAAGCAATCTTGAGCCAAAAAAAAAGGCCAGGCATGGTGGCTCACACCTGTAACCCCAGCACTTTGGGGCTGATGCAGGTGGATCGCTTGAGCCCAGGAGTTTGAGACCAGCTTGAGCAACATGGTATATATACACAATGGTATATATTGTGTATATATTGTGTATAAAAGGTGGTCTATATATACAATGGCATTCTTCAGCCTTAAACCCCATCTGTACTGAACATACAAAAAATTAGCCAGGCATGGTGGACCAGACCTGTAGTCCTAGCTACTCGGGAGGTTAAGGTGGGAGAATCACCTGAGCCCAGGAAGTCAAGACTGCAGTGAGCCATGATTGAGCCACTGCATTCCAGCCTGGGTGACAGATTGAGACTCTGCCACACACACACAGACACATACACACACACACACCACACACACACACACACACAAAAGAAAGCTTAACGACACTTGTCTGGGCAATGGTTTTTTGGCTATGACCCAGAAAGCACAGGCAACAAAAGCTAAAATAGACAAATGAAGTTGCATCAAACTGAAAAGCTTCTGCACAGCAATGGCAACAATCAACAGAGATGACATACAGAATGGGAGAAAATATTTGCAAACCATACATCTGAAAAGGGGTTAATATCCAAAATATGTGAACTCAAGTAACTCAGTAACAAGAAAGCAAATAACTCAAAAAATGGGCAAAGGCCAGGCGCGACGGCTGTTGCCTGAAATCCCAGCACTTTGGGAGGCCAAGGCGGGCAGATCATTTGAGGTCTGGAGTTCGAGACTAGTCTGGCCAACATGGTGAAACCCTGTCTCTACTAAAAAAATACAAAAAAATTAGGCAGACCTCGTGATGTACGTCTGTAATCCCAGCTACTCAGGAGGCTGAGGCAAGAGAATCACTTGAACCTGGGAGGGGGAGGTTGCAGTGAGCCAAGATTATGCCACTGCACTCCATCCTGGGTGACGAAGTGAGGCTCCATCTCAAAAAAAAAAAAAAGGCAAAGAGTCAGGGCATGGTGACTCACACCTGTAATCTCAACACTTTGGGAGGTGGAGGCAGCAGGATCACCTGAAGCCAGGGGTTGAGACCAGCCTGGGCCACATAGCAAGACACCTATCTCTACAAATAAAAAGTTAAAAAATAAATCAGCTGGATGTGGTGGCATGCACCTGTAATCCCAGCTACTCAGGAGGCTGAGGTGAGAGGGTCACTTGTGCCCAGGAATTCAAAGCTGCAGTGAGCTATGATCGTGGCACTGCACTCTAGCCTGGGCGACAGAGCGAGACTCCATCTCAAAATAATAATAATAATAATAATAATAATAATAATAAAATAAGCAAATAACCCAAATAGACATTTCTCAAAAAAAGACATACAAATGTCTTTTTCATCACTAATCACTAATCATCTGGGAAATGCAAAATAAAATGATAATAAGATATCACCTCACGCCTGTTAGAATGACTATTACCAAAATGATGAAAGATAAGGGTTGGTGATGATGTGGAGAAAAGGGAATCTCTGTTTACTGTTGGTGGGAATATAAATTAGTACAGTCATTATAGAAAACAATATCAAGGTTCCCCAAAAAATTACAAGTAGAACTACTATGTGATCCAGCAACCCACTTCTGGGTACATATTCAAAGGAAATGAAATTAGTATGTTGAAGAGGTAGCTGTACTCCTATGTTCATTGCAGGAATATTCACAGTAGCAAAGATATGAGATCAACCTAAGATTCCATCAACAGAAGAATGGATAAAGAAAAGGTGGTATATATACACAATGGCATTCTTCAGCCTTAAAAAGAAGAAAATCCCATCATTTGCAACAACATGCATAAACCTGGAGGACACTATGTTAAGTGAAATAAGCCAGGCACAGGAAAACAAATACCATATAATCTCCCTTATGTGCCAAATCTTAAAAAAGTCAAACTCAGCATAATGGGACCCCATCTCTACCAAAATTTTAAAAATTAGCCAGCAGCCAGGTGTGGTGGCTCACGCCTGTAATCCCAGCACCTTGGGAGGCTGAGGCGGGTGGATCACGAGGTCAGGATAGCGAGACCATCCTGGCTAACACAGTGAAACCCCATCTCTACTAAAAATACAAAAACTTAGCTGGGTGTGGTGGCGGGTGCCTGTAGTCCCAGCTACTCAGGAGGCTGAGGCAGGAGAATGGCGTGAACCCGGGAGGCGGAGCTTGCAGTGAGCTGAGATCGCGCCACTGCACTCCAGCCTGGGCAACAGTGAGACAAGACTCCATCTCAGAAAAAAAAAAAAAAATTAGCCAGGCATGGTGGCTCATGACTGCAGTCCTAGAGCTCAGGAGGCTGAAGTGGGAGGATCACTTGAGCCCTGGAAGTCAAGGATGCAGTGAGCCATGATTGTGCCACTGCACTGCAGCCTGGGCAACACAGCAAGACCCTGTCTCTAAATAAATAAATAAATAAATAAAGTCAAACTCATAGAAGCAGAGAGTAGAATGGTGGTTACCAAGTCCTCACTGGGTTTGTGGGGAGAAGAAGGGAGATGTTGGTCAAAGGATAAGAAATTTCAGTTAGAGAGGAGAAATAAGTTCAAGAGATCTATTGTATGATCTGGTGTCTGTAGTTAAAAGCAATGTATTGTATACTTAAAAATCAATAAAAGAGTAGATTTTAAGTGTTCTCACTACAAAAAAAAAAATCAAGTAAGACCGGGAGTGGTGGCTCACGCCTGTGATCCCCGCACTTTGGGAGGCTGAGGCGGGCAGATCATGAGGTCTGGAGTTCGAAACCAGCCTGGCCAATATGGTGAAACCCCATCTCTATTAAAAATACAAAAATTAGCCAGGTGTGGTGGCAGGCACCGGTAATCCCAGCCATTTGGGATGCTGAGGCATGAGAATTGCTTGAACCCTGGAGACGGAGGTTGCAGTGAACTGAGATCACACCACAGCACTCCAGCCTGGGAACAGAGCAAGACTCTGTCTCAAAAAAAAAAAAAAAAAAAAACCGAGGTAATGCATATGTTAATTAGTTTGATTTAGACCTTCAACAATATAAACATATTTCAAAACCTCATGTTGTACACCATAAATACAATTTTTATTTATCAATTACATAAAATAAATTTTAAAAAAAGAATTGTGGCTGGGCGCAGTGGCTCATGCCTATAATCCCAGCACTTTGGGAGGCCGAGGCGGGCAGATCACGAGGTCAGGAGTTCAAGACCAGCCTGGCCAACATAGTAAAACCCCGTCTGTACTAAAAATACAAAAATTAGCCAGGCGTGGTGGTGGGCTCCTGTAGTCCCAGCTACTTGGGAGGCTGAGGCAGGAGAATCACTTGAACCTGGGAGTCGGAGGTTGCAGTGAGCCAAGACTGTGCCACTGCACTCCAGCCTGGGCAACAGAGTGAGACTCCATCTCAAAAAAAAAAAAAATTGTGGGGTGCTATAAGAATGCTGAATGAACTCTCCCCTGCCCTCACATGCCTCCTGTCACCAGTCACCATGGCCTATTGAACCAGCCTCTAAGTGTCTCTTAAATGGATCCCCTCCCTCCATCCACAGGGCCTCTTGGTTCCTCACCTCAGTGTTGCCAACAGTCTCCTCACAGCCTCCAGTCTCCCCTTCAGCTCCCACTGTCTCCTTTGCTTTAGAAACAGAGGCTCGCTCTGTTGTCCAGACTAAAATTCAGTGATGTCATCATGGCTCACTGCAGCCTTGATCTCCTGGGCTCAAGAGATCCTCCTGACTCAGCCTCTGGAGTAGCTGGGGCTACAGACACTTTCCACCAAGCCAGGCTAATCTTTTTTTTTTCCTTTGTAGAGACAGGGGTCTAGCTATGTTGACCAGGCTGGGTTTTTTGTTCGTTTGTTTGTTCGTTTGAGACAGAGTCTCACTCTGTCACCCAGGCTGGAGTGCAGTGCTGCAATCTCAGCTCACTGCAACCTCCGCCTCCCAGGTTCAAGTGATTCTCATGTCTCAGCCTCCTGAGTAGCTGGGACTCCAGGCACACACCACCATACTTGGATAATTTTTTATATTTTCAGTAGAGACAGGGTTTCGCCATGTTGCCCAGGCTGGTCTCGAACTCTTGAGCTCAGACAATCCACACGCCTTGGCCTCCCAAAGTGCTAGGATTATAGGCGTGAGCCACCACGCCCGGCCCCTTAACTTCTTTTTTAGAGACAGTGTCTCACTCTGTTGCCCATGCTGAATGCAATGGTGGGATCATAGCTCACTGCAGTCTTGATCTCCTGAACTCAAGAGATCCTCCTACCTCAGCCTCCTGAGTAGCTGGGACTACAAGCACGTGTCACCATGCCCAGCTAATTCCAAGTCTTTTAATAGTTATATCCTAAGGGCCCATGAGTAGATAATAAACGTTGCATTAATCACTTAGTTAATAATTTAATGGATGGATGGAACAAAAGATGGGAAATAAAAGTGGTTGTATCAATAGATAATTGGCCAGGTATTGAGAGAGATGGATGAATGGTTGAGTGGATGTTATCAGTAGTTGGATAGATGGATGGATGGGTGGATGGATGGATGGATGGATGGATGGATGGATGGATGGATGATCCAAAAGTTTGGTGAATGGATAAATAAAGAAATGAATGAGAGTTCAAATGCCTAAGCATCTCTTGGAGAAGTGGCTCCATCTCTACTTCTCATTCTGGGCTCCCACTCCCTTCTCTTCCCTCTTACCTGGTGGCTTCCTGTCGTTTGTGGAAGGTGCGATTAGGGAGGTTGGCAGACACGAAAGTTTCATCGTATCCCGAGGCATAGGCCTTTCCATTCCGCTTGGAGGCCTGGAAGGCAGCCCTCAAAGTCTTCCAGGGCAGCTTTTGGGGGCCTGCCCACAGTGGGACCAAGTCAGGGGCTGCCCTCTCCCTCTCAGCCCACCAGGCAACGCCCCCCAGCACCCAGAGCACAGCCCAGCCTGCCTGAGCCCCTGCCTCCCTGACTGCTCCCTGTTCCCTGCGGTGTAGCTTCGGGGGAATCCAGGCTCTGAGCCCCACGCTCACCACAGTCCAGGTCTCTCTGTAGCTGCCTGTGCAGCTTCTCCAGGTCCCATGGCCCCTGCAGCTCCTTGGCCCTTGTCTTCCTCCATTGTCGCCTTCGGAGGTTGTTGAAGCTGGGGCTGCTCCCCTGGCTCTGGCCCTGCACTTCTCCCTCATCGGAGGCTTCCTCTCCAGAAATCTGCCCCTTTCTCTGACAACCAGCCCTCCTTCTGCAGGGAGTCCTGTGCTCTCCCTCCTCAGCCTCCTCTGTGGCCTCTGAAAATTGCTCCTCCTCTGAGATCGACCCCCTCCTGGGGCGCTGGGGCAGCACCCCAGAACTCAGACCCCTCTCGGCCTCCTCAGCACCCAGGCTTTGCAGCTGGACCTGCTTGTCGGACGCCGATCCTGATCCTGGCCTCCTCCCAGGCAGCTGGAGACCACTGGGGGGCTCTGATCCTAGCTCCCCTTTGCCAGTAGGGATGGAGACACCGCCCCAGGCTCCCAGCTGCTGTCTCGCCTTCAGGTTTTGCGCCTCTGTCTTCCAGCAGCAGCCATGGGCCTCTGGGAGGTTGGCCGTGGACTTGCGCCTGGACTGACGCTGGGAGAACGAGGAGGGCATGGGCAGGGCTTGGTGGCCAGGGGTTGGGGAGCTTGGCTGAAGCACAGCCCGGACATCTGTGGCGATGCTCTCCCAGGCCCACTGGAAGGGGAAGGAGGGTTTCCGAGGAAGAAGCGGGAAGTGACTGAAGAAGGAAAGGGTGGGGGTCAGGGTCGGCGCCAGCCCCCAGAGGGCCCTGACCCCCAACAGCCTCCTGACCCATCCCACTGCTGCTTACTCTTCAGACTCTTCAGAGCCCTGTCCTTTCTTGCTCTGGCCCCTGGGCTTGCGGTCCTTCTTTGCTGTCTGCCTTGAGCTCTGAGACCTCTGCTGCAGGTCTTGATTTGGCACACCATCACCACTCCCCAGGCAGCCCTGGGCAGAGACAGTAGGGGAGGAGCAGCCAGCTTGAGCAGCCTCCTGGACTGTGTTGCACCTCACCCGGGTGCTCCCTCTGTGCACCTGGCTGGGCCTGGCTGGGTCCCTCTGGGCCCTCGTTACCATAAAAACCAACCAAACAGGGCTGGATGTGGTGCTCACACCTGTAACCCCAGCACTTTGGGAGGCCAAGGGGGGCGGATCACCTGAGGCCAGGAGTTCGAGACCAGCCTGGCCAACATGGCGAAACCCCATCTGTACTAAAAATACAAAAAAAATTAGCCGAGTGTGGTGGCCTGCGCCTGTAATCCTAGCTACTTGGGAGGCTGAGGCAGGACAATCGCTTGAACCTAGGAGTTGGAGGCTGCAGTGAGCCGAGATTGTGTCATTGCACTCCAGCCTGGGCAACAAGAGTGAAACTCCATCTCAAAAAAACAAACAAACAAAAAAACCCGACCGAGCACCACCTCCGTTCTGCATATTAAAATAGCAACAGCTGCCACCTGCTGAGCACCTATTGTGTGCTCAGGACTTTCATGCATAAACACACGTAACCTTCCCAAGGACCCTAGGAGGCCGGTACTCACTATCACCTCCATCATGTGGAGGAGAAAGCTGAGGCTCAGAGAGGCTGAGTAACTGAGGTCACACAGCTGGGAAGTGGTGGAGCCCAGATTTGTCACCATTGCGCTAGGCCACCTCTGGGCCCTGGACTGCACTCCCAAATGTCCCACTGGGCCCTGGACCTGCTACAGCCAAGGCAGAAACCAAGGTGGTCTTCATCAAGGTGGTCTTCATCTTTCCTGAAACCTGCTCCTTCCGCAGTGTTCCCTGAATGGCCCCATCATCCCTGGGAGTCACTCCTGGGCGTCATCCCTCGGCTTCTCCCAAGGCCCTTAGGCCTCCCTGTGGTCCCTGTCCCACTCCTGCCTCCCTGAGTTTCATCTGGACCTCAGCTCAGGTCTTGTGGCTTCTCAAGGGCCTCCCCAGCCCAGGCCTCCCTGACCCACCTGGCTCTAGGCAGCTGGAAGTGTCCTCACTGGGCCTCCCTCACCTGCTTGTCCTGAGAGACGGTCGACAGCAGCTTGAGCAGCCCCGTTCTGGTTCCTGGAGCCTGGAGCCGCACGTCCTGCCCTGGTCGCACCGACGGGGTCCTAACCAACTGTTGGTAGGTATTTAGCATATCGGTGTCCTGCCCCATCCTGCCCCATCCCCCATCCGCACCGTAGAACTGCCTAACAGGCCATCTCTATGGCAACCAGTCCTCAGCCAGTCTCAATGGGTCTGGCAAAAAGCATGCTAGGAAGGGGTCAGTGGGGTATGTGAGGCCAATCTCCTTCTGGGAGAGAGTTCAGCAGGATGCCCAGGAGTCATTTAGCGCAGAGACCCAGGCCCAAGTCCTGCCTCTGCCTCATCCACAGGCTCCCCGTGTGACCTGGTGTAAGTCCCCTGTCCCTACTCTGCCTGTGTTTCCCCATCCATCTGTACAGGGGAGTCAGCCTGTCTCCTGTGCTGCCCCCCGGCCTGGCCGAGTCCCTGAAGGAGCCAAACTGAACTTTCACAAGATTTTATTTAAATCCTTGCACTCCCAGGCTGGGAGTGGTGGCTCACACCTGTAATCCCAGCACTTTGGGGGGCTGAGGCAGGTGGATCACTGGAGGTCAAGAGTTCAAGACCAGCCTGGCCAAAATGGCAAAACCCCATCTCTACCAAAAATGCAAAAAAGATTAGCCAGGCCTGGTGGCGCATGCCTGTAATCCCAGCTACTCAGGCTGAGGCACGAGAATCACTTGAACCCGGGAGGCAGAGGCTGCATCGACCCCAGATTGCACCACTGCACTCCAGCCAGGGCGACAGAGTGAGACTCTGTCTCAATAAAAAAGAAACAAATAAACAAATCTTTGCACTCCCAGCCCCAGCCAGGAAGTTGAATGCTGTGTCCAGGAGAGAGGCAGCAGGCCATTCAGAGCCTGGGCCCAGGCCCACCTGGCCATCTTCATAGGCCATGAGGTTCTGGAGGGAGTTACAACATTGAAAGCTTACCCCAGGCCGGGCAGTGGCTGTAATTCCAGCACTTTGGGAGGCCGAGGTGGGCGGATTGCCTGAGGTCAGGAGTTGGAGACCAGCCTGGCCAACATGGTGAAACCCCATCTCCCACCTGGATTGAAACTCTATCTCTACTAAAAATACAAAAATTAGCCGGGCATGGTGGTGGGCACCTGTAATCCCAGCTACTCGGGAGGCTGAGGCTCTCCCTCTCCGGGTTCTCTTGAACCCGGGAGGTGGAGGTTGCAGTGAGCCGAGGCCACACCAGTGTACTCCAGCCTGGGCGAAAGAGTGAGACTCCATCTCAAAAAAATATATTTTTTTAATATAAAAAAAGTAAAAGATCTTACCCCAAACTTCTAGCAGTGCTCAAAAGCCTTGGAATCTTAAGTCCCCATGGGACGCCTGGTGCTGACCACTGAGGCTTGCAGTACAGGGATGTGGTGCTGAGCTGAGGCCCTGGAGACGGACCAACTGGGCTGGAGGCCTGGTCTCACTAGCTCTGTGACCAACTCCCCACTCTGCAAAACTGGAATCACGGGCCCAGCTCATAGGTTTGTTGCAAGGACTACATGAAACCCCAAACGATGACATCGGTAAATGTTATTATTACTAACACTAGCTGGCCGTTCTTTTGAGGCAGCAGAGCATCATGGCTAAGAGCATAGAGGAAGCGCTTGGGTGCAAATCCCAGCTCCTCCACTTGTCCCGTACCCTCTCGGTGCCTGTTTTCTCATAGGCAATGGGGAGGGGATGGTTATAATCGGATCTACTCCCAGGGTAGTGGTAAGGATTAAATCACTATGCAGATACAAACAGAACATCCTCATGGCTCATGGGAACTGCTATGTTAGCATTGCTGTTATTCTTATTATCTTTTTTTTTTCTTTTTGTGATGGAGTCTTGCTCTGTTGCCCAGGCTGGAGTGCAGTGATGTGATCTCGGCTCACTGCAACCTCTGCCTCCTGGGTTCAAGCGATTCTCCCACCTCAGCCTCCCGGGTAACTAGGATTACAGGCATGTGCCACCATGCCCGGCTAATTTTTTGTATTTTTAGTAGAGAGAGGGTTTCACCATGTTGGCCAGGCTGGTCTTGAACTCCTGACCTCAAGTGATCCACCCACCTTGGCCTCCCAAAGTGCTGGGATTACAGGTGTGAGCCACTGCACCGGGCCGTGTTGCTGTTATTAATTAATCAATGATGTGGCCCCAGGGAAGCAGACTATCCTGGAAGATGCCATAGAGGCAGGATTTTTCTCAGACTGTGGCCCTGTGGCTCCTCTTCTGCTCTCAGACTCCATCCCAGTGGCACCTCACAATGAGCACATCCAATGTAAATATCCTAAATAGTGCTGCTCCGGGTGAAGCTCTTTTGCCACCCAAAATATGCAAACTCTTTTCTTTCTAGGGGGCTGCCATCCTTCTCCCACACCTGGGGCCCAGTGGAAGGCACATGTAGGCAGCTTCACTTTCAGAAACGGAGCCCCTTCCAGACCTCAACCCCAGGTGATTTCCTGGACAGTCCAGAACTCTGGGCCACTTTCTTCCTTGGCAGAGGGCAGGTCTGGGTTTCTCAGGTTGATATTCTCATGAGGTGCATACAGACCTCTTTCCTTTACCACACTCCCTCCCTAAGTGAGCTCATCCAGTCTGATGGCCTTAAAAGCCACCTGCTGCTTGCTTTCTGAGACAGAGTCTCACTCTGTCACCCCGGCTGGAGTGCAGTAGTGCCATTACAGCTCACTGCAGCCTCAACCTCCCAGGCTCAAGTGATCCTCCCACCTCAGCCACCCGAGTAGCTGGGACTACAGGTACGCGCCACTATGCCCGGCTAATTTTTATATTTTTTGGTAGAGATGGGGTTTTGCCATGTTGTCCAGGCTGGTCTTGAACTCCTGGCCTGCCTCGGCCTCCCAAAGCATTGGGATTACAGGCATGAGCCACTGCGCCAGGCCAGCACCTGCTGTTTTCCACCCGTCCCCAGGTTTACGTATCTCAGCCTGACCTCTCCCATACTTAAATATCCAGTGGCCCATCTGACATCCCCACTTGGATAAATAAGCATTTCAACTTGACATGCTGAAGGTCAGACTACTGGCCTGCCTCATCCCAGTCAGGGGCATGTCTGAGATTCCTGTTGCTCAGGTCAACGCCCTGGCATGATCCTTGACTCTTTCGTTTGACTCACATTCTGCCCCTAATGCCTTAGCAAACCCTACCAGCTCCACCTTTGAAATACATGCAGAATCCAGCACTTCTCCAAACCAACACCCTCTCTCTTCTGGATCATTTCAGTAACGCTTAATCTCCGGCTTTTGCTTATTTATTTATTTTTTATTGACATGGGAGCTCACTATATTTCCCAGGCTGGCCTCGAACTCCTGGCCTCAAGCCATCCACCTGCCTCAGCCTCCCAAAGTGCTGGGATTATGGGCGTGAGCCACCACACCCAACCTCCCGGTTTTTGCTTTTGTCCTGATACCATTCTCTACTCAGCAACCAGTGTGATTCTGTGAAGAATAGAGCCCAGCTGGACGCAGTGGCTCACACCTGTAATCCCAGCACTTTAGGAGGCTGAGGCAGGCGGATGGCTTGAGGCCAGGAGTTCGAGGCCAGCCTGAGCAACATGGCAAACCCCTTCTCTACAAAAAATAATACTAAAATTAGCCAGGTGTGGTGGAGTATGCCTGTGATCTCAGCTACTAGAGAAGTTAAGGTAGGAGGACCACTTGAGCCCAGGAGGCAGAATGAGCCCTGATTGCACCACTGCACTCCAGCCTGGGTAACAGAGCAAGACCTTAACTAAAAAAAAAAAACAAAAAAAAAAAAACAGAGTCCATCACGCCTGTGATGGGTCCTGGGTCTCGCTGAGTAAAAGGCAAAGTCCTTACTGGCCCACTAGGTCCTGCATGTTTCACAGGTGTTTGCTCACAAGTGCCACCATGATCCCTTCTCACTCCGATCCAACCACACTCTCCCTTCGGTACGCCAGCCAGTCTGCCCTAAGGCCCTTTGCACCGACTGTTTCTTCTTCCTGAAATGCTCTCTCCCCAGAATCCACATGGCTTACTCCTTCAGGACCTCTAGGTTTCTGCTAAAATGACACCTGCCAAAGAAGCCCTCCCTGCCCAGATCCCCTAAGTCCCTAATAGGCACCACCATTTGCTCTGCTTCTCTTATCACCGCTTCACACACATTCATTCATTTGCTGATTGCCTGCTCAGCGATGTGGCTCCGGCCGTCCTCCCACTCTCTCCTGCATCAGCAATGTCTCATCTCTCTGGCATCATTTCCATCAGCACTACTGTTCCTTCTTTCTTGACTCACTTCCCCTTCTTCAACACTGCCCCATTTCTGTGTTCCCTTTGCAGCAAAGCCTTCTGAAAGAGTTTTCACTGGGCAAGGTCAATTTCCCCCTTGCCTTTCTTTCTTGAACCCACTCCAGGCAGGCTGTCACCCCCACCACCCTGTGAGCCTGCACCTGCCAAAATCACCGATGCCTTCCCTCCCACTAACATGAGGTCAGTGGCCAGCTCTTCCCCAGCTCCTCTGCCAGTTCCTCCTCCTCTTGCAGGAGAGGGACAGCTGCCCCGTCTGTCTTCTTTGTCCACAGCTACTCTGTTGCCCAGGCTGGAGTGCAGTGGTGAGATCTTGACTCACCACAACTTCCGCCTCCCAGGTTCAAGTGATTCTCCTGCCTCAACCTCCGAAGTAGCTGGGACTACAGGCGCAAACCACCATGCCTGGCTAATTTTTGTATTTTTAGTAGAGACGGGGTTTCGCTATGTTGGCCAGGCTGGTCTCGAACTCCTAACCTCGTGATCCGCCCGCCTCGGCCTCCAAAGTGCTGAGATTACAGGCATGAGCCACCACGCCCGGCCACAGCTCCTCTTTTACTGGACTCACCAGGACCATGGTTTTGTGTTTTTGGGTTTTTGGTTGTTTTTTTTTTTTTTTGAGACAAGGTCTCACTCTGTCACCTAGACTGACTGGAGTGCAGTTGCGTGATCATGGCTCACTGCAGCCTCGACCTCCTGGGCTCAAGTGACACTCCCGCCTCAGCCTCCTGAGCAGCTGGAACTAAAGGTGTGCACCACCATGCCCAGCTGATTTTTTGTATTTTTTGTAGAGACAACGTCTAGCCATGTTGCACAGGCTGGTCTTGAACCCCTGGGCTCAAGAGATCTTCCTGCTTCAGACTCCCAAAGTGCTGGGATTACAGGCATGACAGGCTCATTTTAAATAAAATCTATCAGACAATGAACCCCACTTTTATCTGTAGTCCAGACATCTCCCTCAAGCTCAGAAGGTGAGTCCTGCCTCCCAAACTCGAATGACCCAGTCCACTGCTCCATCTAGGTGTCTAACAGGCATCTCACATTCAACAACTCTGAAACTGACTCCCTGACCCTCCCCACAGCCCTCTCCATCTTGGCCTAGTGACTATGCTATCCTTCTAGTTTCTCGAACCAAAAGCCTAGGCTTTTCTCTCTCTGAAATGCTATGTCCTATCCAACAGTTGTTCCTGATTTCAAAGTGCATTCAGAATCTGAACGCTTACCACCAGCTATTTGGAGCATTCTCAACATCCGTTGTCTTCTACATAGACTTTCTGCTTCTTCATGGTCAATTCCCAACCCAGCAGCCTGGGCCATTTTTTTTTTTTTTGAGATGGAGTCTCTTGTTCTGTCGTCCAGGCTGGAGTGCAGTGGCGCAATCTCGGCTCACTGCAAGCTCCGCCTCCTGGGTTGACGCCATTCTCCTGCCTCAGCCTCCCGAGTAGCTGGGACTACAGGCGCCCGCCACCATGCCCGGCTAATTTTTTGTATTTTTAGTAGAGGCGGGGTTTCACTGTGTTAGCCAGGATGGTCTCGATCTCCTGACCTCATGATCCACCCGCCTCTGCCTCCCAAAGTGCTGGGATTACAGGCGTAAGCCACCGAGCCCGGCCAGCTTGGGCCATTTTTTAAAGACTTCTGCTTAAAACCTGCAATGGGAGCCTGGAGTAGTGGCTCACGCCTGTAATCCCAGCACTTTGAGAGTCTGAGGCAGGAGGATGGCTTGAGCACCGGAGTTTGAGACCAGCCCAAGCAACATGGATAAACCCTGTCTCTACTTAAAATACAAAAAAATTAGCCGGGCATGGAGGTGCATGCCTGTAGTCCCAGCTACTCGGGAGGCTGAGATGGGAGAATTGCTTGAACCCAGGGGGTGGAGGCTGCAGTGAGCCAAGATCACACCACTGCACTCCAGCCTGGGCAACAGAATGAGACTGTCTCAAAAAATAAAATAAAATAAAATAAAATAAAATGAAATACAATACAATAAAATAATAAATACATGTACAGATAGAAAACATCTTTATTGGTTCTTCAGATAATAGAAGTAATATATGCACACTGTCAAAAATTTAAATATGACCAGGTGCAGTGGCTCACAGCTGTAATCCCAGCACTTTGGGAGGCTGAGGCAGGTGGATCACCTGAGGTCAGGAGTTCGAGACCAGCCTGGTCAACATGATGAAACCCCGTCTCAGCTAAAAATACAAAAAAATTACCAGGGTGTGGTGGCAGGCGCCTGTAATCCCAGCTACTTTGGGAGGCTCAGGCAGGAGAATCGCTTGAATCAGGGAGGCAGAGGTTGCAGTGAGCCGAGATCGTACCACTGCACTCCAGCCTGGGCAACAAGAGTAAAACTCTGTCTAAAAAAAAATTAAATCTGTGCAGTAGAACTGCTGTTAACTTTTGGGTGTGTATTTGGCCCGTGTTTTTCCCCTGTGAGCACAAACAAATGTGGAACTGACACCCTGAGCAAGGCGGGGTGCAGCATTCGGACAGAGACAGCTGCATCCTTTTCCACCCACCCACTCCCCCTTGGGCCAAGCCGTTCCCAGGCCTGGATAAGACGTGAGCAGGCACTATGACTTCTCAAGTCACCTCAGGTAGTGAAAAGTCCTCTGATCACTAAGAACAGCCTCAGAAATTGAAATTGAAATGTCTAGTCTGGGCCGGGCGCGGTGGCTCACGCCTGTAATCCCAGCACTTTGGGAGGCTGAGGTGGGTGGATCACTTGAGGTCAGGAGTGTCCTGTCCTCACTGCAAGGGGGCCTGGCACCTGATTAGCAATGCAGGGCCCTGGGGCTATTGCTTTGTCCTTGGCCTCCGATGCAAAACCAAGACCTGAGCCAGTGTACCATTTGAATATCTTGTGATTTTAGAGATAGACGTGTGTGTGTGTGTGTGTGTGTGTGTGTGTGTGTGTGTGTATACAAACCTACATATACATATTTTTCAACAAAAATGAGATCATCCTGGTTTTGCCTACTAGAATGTTATATTCTTTCCATGTCAGGACATACAGAGCCACCCAGTCTTTACCATCATCACTGTTTGGCTGTCTGACCCACCTAATGTACATCACCTGTGTCCTTTTGTCAAACACCGGGACTGCTTCCGCTTGCGTCCTCACTCCAGACACTGCAGCTGCGGACATCCCTGGAAATGTGTCTTGAGATTTCTGCAAGGTAATGTTCTATAAGCAAACTAGCTAGCTCTAAGCCATTTAGATCTTGATGGTGCCTAATTATTCCCCCTAAAGGCTCAATCATTATAGATTTCCATCAACAGTATTTATACCCTCACCAGCAATTATAATTTTCACTTTGCTAATCTGATAGATGAAAAGCTATTATTGCATTGTTGCAATAACTTGTATTCTCTTCTCTTTCATGAAAGGGCCAGATATGCAAGGCAGCTCCCGAATGCTGAAGGAGCAGAGAAACCAAAGAACAAGGCAGACAAATCCAGTTTGCTGGTACAGGGTGATTTATTTGGGTGACCTTACAGACAAGCTTGGTCTTGGGCAGCCACGAGACAAACAGATCTCCGTGCCTGTCATCCTAGAGCCAAGGCTTATGTACCATAGGGAAAGGGTATGAGTGTTCTGTGCAAGACAATTAAAGGCAGCCCTCCAGAACAGGCAAGAATCTGCATACGTTATAGCCTATAATTGGTGTGATAACATCAAGGTGGACATAGTCTTATGCTAAGGGCAGTAAATAGAGTAGGAATCAGGAGGTATTCACGGGACTGCAGCTATTCAGAAGTCAGCATGGCGGATTCACGTCTAAGATGGGGTCATTTTTGTCTCCACACCTTCATTATTTGTGAGGTTCAAGTATTTTCCTATCTCCATGGACCATTTGTGCTACCTCTGTGAATTCCTGTCCATGTCCTTTGCACATTTCTCTTCTGCATTAGTCCTGGGGAGCAGATAGCTGAGTTTATTGTATTCCTTATTTCACAGCATACAAAAAGCATCAATGGATGCAATGCGACTCTTGTTTTGCCTTTGTATTTTCTTCTTCATCTTTGATCCCCGCTCCATCCTATTTAAATGTGAATAGGCTGGGCGTGGTGACTCATGCCTGTAATCCCAGCACTTTGGGTGGCCGAGGCAGGTGGATCACTTGAGGTCAGGTGTTCGAAACCAGCCTGGCCAACATGGTGAAACCCCATCTCTACTAAAAATACAAAAATTAGCCAGGCGTGGTGGCACGTGCCTGTAATCCCAGCTACTCAGGAGGTTGAGGCAGGAGAATTGCTTGAACATGGGAGGCAGATGTTGCAGTGAGCTGAGAACATGCCACTGCATTGTAGCCTGGGCAACAGAGCAAGACTCTGAAAAAAATAAATAAATAAAGAGAGAAAGAAAGAAAGAGAGAGAGAAAGAAAGAAAGAAAGAAAAAGAAAGAAAGAAAGATGTTAACGGATCATTGTGAAGCTTTTATCATTTTTGTGTGTATGTATTTTTTGTTTATGTAAGTGGTATTGTGGTCCGGGTGCAGTGGCTCACGCCTGTAATCCCAGCACTTTGGGAGGTCAAGGTAGGTGGATTGCTGGAGTTCAGGAGTTGGAGACCAGCCTGAGAAACATGGTGAAACCCCAGCTCCACAAAAATATACAAAGAAATTAGCTGGGCATGGTGGCGTGTCCCTGTAGTTCCAGCTACTCGGGAGGCTGAGGCGGGAGGATCACCTGCGCCCAGGAGGTTGAGGCTGCAATGAGCTATGATCACACCACTGCACTCCAGTCTGGGTGACAGAGTGAAACCCTGTCTCAAGAAAAACATAAAAAATAAAACTAAGTATAAAAATAAATAAATGGTATTGTATGTATTTAATTTGCATAAGCAGTATTGATCTCATTTTTGTTCCTTACTCGTTTCCTTCAAAACTGTGCTTTAGGGTTTTTAAAATTTATTTTATTTTCTAGAGATAAGGCCTCACTCTGTCACCCAGGCTGGAGTGCAGTGGTGTGATTATAGCTCACTGCAGCCTCGAACTCCTGGGCTCAGGTGATCCTCTACCACAACCACAACGTCCTGAGTAGCTTGGACTACAGGCATGTGCCACCATGCCTGGCTACTTTAAAAAAAAATTAGTTTTGGAGAGACAGAGGTCTCACTATGCTGCCTAGGCTAATCTTGAACTCCTGGCCTCAAGGACTCCTCCCGCTTAAGCCTACTCAAAATGCTAGAATCAGGCTGGGCAAGGTGGCTTATGCATGTAATCCCAGCACTTTGGGAGGCCGAGGCAGGTGGATTACTTGAGGTCAGGAGTTCAAGACAAGCCTGGCCATCACTGTGAAATCCCGTCTCTACTAAAAATACAAAAATTAGTCGGGCATGGTGGCACACACCTGTAGTCCCAGCTAACTCAGGAGGCTGAAGCAGGAGAATCACTTGAACCCAGGCAGAGGTTGCAGCTAGCTGAGATCACACTACTGCACTCCAGCCTGGGTGACAGAACAAGACTCCATCTCAGAAATAAATAAATAAATAAATAAAAGCTGGAATTAGGCTGGGCGCGGTGGCTCACGCCTGTAATCCCAGCACTTTGGGAGGCCGAAGAGGGAGGATCACGAGGTCAGGAGATTGAGACCATCTTAGCTAACATGGTGAAACCCCGTCTCTACTAAAAATACAAAAAATTAGCCGGGCATGGTGGCGGGCGCCTGTAGTCCCAGCTACTCGGGAGGCTCAGGCCAGAGAATGGCGTGAACCCGGGAGGCAGAGCTTGTAGTGAGCCAAGATCATGCCACTGCACTCCAGCCTGGGCAACAGAGCGAGACTCCTTCTCAAAAAAAAAAAAAAAAAGCTGGAATTATAGGCATGAATCACCATGCCCCATCGTTTTGTTTTTAGAGACAAGGTCTCATATTGCCCAGGCTGGCCTCAAACTCCTGGGGTCAAGAGATCCTCCCGCCTCAGCATCCCAAGTATCTGGGATTATGGGCACATGCCACCCTCCGCTGCTAACACTGTGGTTTTTGTTTTTGTTTTTTGTTTTTTGATTTTTTTTTTTTTTGAGACAGAGTCTCGCTTTGTTGCCCAGGCTGGAGTGCAGTGGTGCAATCTTAGCTCGCTGCAACCTCCACCTCCCGGGCTCAAGCAATTCTCCTGCCTCAGCCTCCCAAGTAGCTGGGATTACAGACTTGCGTTACCATACCCAGCTAATTTTTGTATTTATTTTTTAGTAGAGACCAGGTTTCACCATGTTGGCCAGGCTGGTCTTGAACTGCTGACCTCAGGTGATCCGCCCGTCTCGGCCTCCCAAAGTGCTGGGAATACAGGCGTGAGCCACTGTGCCTGGCCCGCACTGTGTTTTAAAAGCCTTGTAGATCCTGACTGTTGCATAGTGTTCCGTAGTTTCCCTTTGTATGCTTTACTTAATTCATCCTTCTGACAATGGATGCCAGACTGGCTCCCAAGTCCTGTTCTCACAAAGAACACCGTGGTCAACACCGCTGCACATGCCTCTTTGTACACCTGAATGAGAATCTCTCTGGCCTACTTATCCAAGGCTGAGAGTGTAAGGTCTTGGCATAAACATACACCTAATTTCAGATTGCTTGAGAGAAGGGCTGTCAGTTTATGTGCCTACAGAAGACCAAGGATTTCTGTCTGCCCACATTCTCACCAAACATTGACATTATTCACCTTATGAATTTTGACTAACCCTGGGGTCATAAAATGAGGTCTGGTACTTTTTTTTTTTTTTCGAGACGGATTCTCGCTCTCTCGCTCTGTTACCCAGACTGGAGTGCAGTTGTGCAATCTCAGCTCACTGCAACCTCCACCACCCACGTTCAAAACAATTATCCTGCCTCAGCCTCCCGAGTAGCTGGGATTACAGGTATGTGCCACCACGACTGGCTAATTTTTGTAAAGATGGGGTTTCACCATGTTGGCCAGGCTGCCCTCGAACTCCTGACCTCAAGTGATTCACCCACCTTGGCCTCCCAAAGTGCTGGGATTACAGGTGTGAGCCACCGTGCCTGGCCAGAAATCCTTAATCTTTTTTTAAGTCTGGTAAAAAAAAAATCTTTAATTTTGATGGAGTTAGACTCATAAATGTTTTTGAATAGAGCTTTGTATTTTGAGAGTCTTTCTTTTCCTATCCCTAGGTGGGGTATTTTCCTATATTCTATTCTATTAGTTTACGCTTAACATCTGTGTCCATAACGAAATGCTCTGTGTACAGACTTTTCTGATACTGTCTTTATCTGGCTTGCGGGGGTCATACAAGAAATTGGGCAGCCTTCTCTCTTTCTGGCTTCTGTAACAACTGGTGTGAGATAAGGACCATCTGTTCCTCCAAAGGCTGGTAGAACTGCCCTATAAAAACATTTCTATTGGGTTTTTTCACATTGGAGTCTCAGATTACAAGTTTCTTTTTCTTTTAGTTTTTTTTTTTTTTTTTTTTTTGAGATGGAGTCTTGCTCTGTCGCCCAGGCTGGAGTGCAGTAGAGTGATCTCGGCTCACTGCAACCTCCACCTCCCAGGTTCAAGTGATTCTCGTGCCTCAGCCTCCCAAGTAGCTGGGATTACAGGCATGTGCCACCACATCCGGGTAATTTTTGTATTTTTAGTAGAGACAGAGTTTCACCATGTTGGCCAGGCTGGTCTCGAACTCCCAACCTCAGGTGATCTGCCTGCCTTAGCCTCCCAAAGTACTAAGATTATAGGCGTGAGCCACTGTGCCCGGCCTATTGTAGTGTTGTTGTTGTTGTTGTTTTCCCAAGAGACAGGGTCTCGCTATGTTTCCCAGGCTGATTTTATATTCCTCGCCTCAAATGATCCTTCTGCCTTAGCCTCCCAAAGTGCTGAGGTTAGGACGGGTGCAGTGGCTCACACCTGTAATCCCAGCACTTCGGAAGGCTTAGCCAGGTGGATCACCTGAGGTCAGGAGTTCGAGACCAGCCTGGCCAACGTGGTGAAACTCTGTCTCTACTAAAAATACAAAAAAATTAGCTGGGCGTGGTGGCTGGCGCCTTTAATCCCAGCTACTCGGAAGGCTGAGGCAGGAGAATCGCTTGAAAATGGGAGGCAGGGGTTGCAGTGAGCCGAGATTGCGCCACCACACTCCAGCCTGGGCAATAAGAGTGAGACTCCATCTCAAAAACAAAATAAAACAAAGTGCTGAGGTCACAGGCATGAGCTACTCAATTTTCTTTCCTGGTTATGGGTCTACTGAAGTTTTGATATTTTTGTGCCAATTTTGACATTTCACATTCTTCCAGAAAGGTATTTACTTTGCTTAAGTTTCTATATTTACCAACATACAATTATTTGTAATGTTTTTTGGTATTTTGATATTTTATGTTATTTGGAAATGGGGTTTTGCTATGTTGCTCAGACTGGACTCAAATTCCTGGGCTAGAACGATCCTATTGAGTAGCTGGGACTACAGGTGTGTGCCACTGTGCCCAGGTTGGTATTTTGATATTTTAAACCTCCATGGGGGGCTGGGCACGGTGGCTCACACCTGTAATCCTAGCACTTTAGGATGCCGAGTTGGGCAGATCGCTTGAGGTCAGAGGTTTGAGATCAGCCTGGCCAACATGGTGAAACCCCGTCTCTACTAAAAAAATACAAAACAATTAGCCAAGTATGGTGGCACACACCTGTAGTCCCAGCTACTCGGAAGGCTGAGGCTCAAGAATCACTTGAACCCGGGAGGCAGAGGTTGCAGCAAGCTGAGATCGCGTCATTGTATTCCAGCCTGGGCGACAGAGTGAGACTCCGCCTCAAAAAAATAAATAAATAAACCTCCATGGGGGGGTGCTCAAGAGTCAGATCACGTGGGGCCTGGGAGCCAGGGAAAGGATTCTGGGTTTGTCCTAAGGATGAACAGCGTGCAAGAATATTTGACTGAGGCTCTAGAATGGAATGGATATGAAATGCCAAAGTGAAGTGCTTGCTCCTGGCCAAACTGCAAAATTTTAAAGAAAGCAGAAACCCATGTTGCCACTGTCGAAGCCCCTCATCCACCGCAAGAGTATAAAGGGATCGAGGGTGGATTTGAAAGGGGCAGTTTGCGGTGATTTGATTTGGAAAGAGCTGCTATGGCAGTGAGTCTGCAGGGGGTGGAGCTGGGGAGCTGCCTTCTAACCTCAAATCTGGTGAGAAGTGCTTCAAGGAAGCCCCCCAGAGCGCTTGAGGTGGGCTTCCTGCAGTCATGGCACCCCCGTGGGTCATTGGTAGGAAAGGCCTCCAGAAAGGAGGTGACCTGCAGTGGGCACTGGACCGCAGGAATGGAAAAAGGGGTCTGGCCCCACGGGCTTGTTTTCTCTGGCACAGGGTATGCAACAGAGTGGGGTAGTGCATGCCACTTGAAAGAAAACCAGAGCCAGTCAACAGAGAGGGGCTGCCCCTTTGCCAGGAGTTTCAGTCAAGGGGGTAGTACATAAGGGAGCCCATAAAACCCCTGAGGGCAGGAGCCAGCTTTAGACAGCTGCCACCCAAGGAGTGAGATGCCATCTTACACCAGTGTCAATCCAGGATGCACTCTCTGCACCCACTGCCCTCCCTCCCTGTTCTCCAAAGGCAGCGTCTTCTCAAGCCTGGGAATGGGGCCAGGGAGAGGCGCAGACCCGACTTCCCTGACTCCTTATCAGTGGGGGCTGCAATGGCCAGAAGTGGAAAAAGCTGTGTTCGTTTTTTTTGTTTGTTTGTTTGTTTGTTTGTTTGTTTTGAGACAAGCTCTCGCTCTGTTGCCCAGGCTTGAGTGCAGTGGTGCTATCTTGGGTCCCTGCAGCCTCAAACTCAAGCGATCCCTGCAGCCTCAGCCTCACGACCAGCTGGGACTACAGGTGCGTACTACCACGCCCAGCCCAAGAATACTTCATTCTAAATCAAGTTCTGGGATTTGGCCACTACACAAAACTGGGCACTTTAATAGAGATTTGTTTAGTAACTTTAGGTGATCACAGGACGATGAGGAAATGGCAGCATAAGATGTAATGGCTGCACTCCCTCTGGCTGTGAGTAGAAATTAGACTGGAGGGCCTGGGGTGGAAACAGTGGCCTGTCATCCAGGAAGTGGGAGGGGAGGGGAAGGGAGGGGAAGGGAGGGCAGGGGAGAGGTCTGAGCCTGGGCCCACCACCATTCAGAGGTCAAGAGAGGTCAGGGAGATGTGGCCATGGAGACAAGACCACAGCCCACGGTGGGGAAGAAGATTGCCAAGAGAGGCCGGGCGCGGTGGCTCACGCCTGTAATCCCAGCACTTTAGGAGGATGAGGCGGCGGATCACAAGGTCAGAAGATCGAGACCATCCTGGCTCATACGGTGAAACCCCGTCTCTAGTAAAAATAAAAAAAATTAGCCATGCGTGGTGGCGGGCGCCTGTAGTCCCAGCTACTCGGGAGGCTGAGGCAGGAGAATGGTGTGGACCCGGGAGGCGGAGCTTGTAGTGAGCCGAGATGGCGCCACTGCACTCCAGCCTGGGTGAGAGTGCGAGACTCCGTCTCAAAAAAAAAAAAAGATTGCCAAGAGAGTGAGGGCCCCCATCCAAGTGAAGAAAGTGTTTCAAAGAGGAGGCAAGCGACCAACTATGACAAGAGCCACTGAGAGGTCAAGGCGAGCCCAAATGAGAACAACTGAATCGCCTGGACCCATTCTCCAAGGACTCATTGTGGGAGGCTTATTACAGGCTTTGGCTGTGCGAATGCGGCTGAGATTGGCCTTCACCACATCACACCGCAGGCCCCATCTGAAACTGTTCTTTTGCAGCTAAAGTCTAGGAAAAAATTTCTTTCCACTGAAGAAGTTTTCTCCGGAAAAAAAAAAAAAAGTTTTTTGCTTTGGCTGCCAGAAAGCTCAGAACTAAATTTGATATTGAATTAATAAAGCACTTTTACAGGCCTTTATGGGTTGCATATTTATATATGTATGCTATTGTTTCTGATCTTTATTTTCTCTTTTAATTATATTTTATTATTTTATTTAAAAAATTTTTTAATAATTTTTTTAGAGACAGGGTCTCACTATGTTGCCTAGGCTGGTATCAAACTCCTGGCCTCAAGTGATCCTCCTGCCTTGGCCTCCCAAAGTGCTGGGATTATGGTGTGAGCCATCCCATGTGGCCTAAATTTTTTTTTTTTTTTTTTTTTTCAGATAGAGTTTCGCTTTGTCACCAGGCTGGAGTGCAGTGGCACGATCTTGGCTCACTACAACCTCCATCTCCCGAGTTCAAGAGATTCTGCTGCCTCAGCCTCCCGAGTACCTGGGGCTGCAGGCGTGCACCACCACACCCAGCTAATTTTTGTATTTTTAGTAGAGACAGGGTTTCACCATGTTGGTCAGGATGGTCTCGATCTCTTGACCTCGTGATCCGCCCTCCTCAGCCTCCCAAAGTGCTGGGATTACAGGCATGAGCCACCACACCCGGCCTAAAATTTTTTGTTTTTAGAGATAAGATCTTGCTATGTTGCCCAGTCTGGACTCACATTCCTGGTCTCAAGTGATCCTCCCTCCTCGGGCCTCCAGAGTAGCTGGGAGTGCACCACTGGTAGCACGGGTGTATACCACTGCACCCATCCACATTCTTGAATCTCCATTTCTGTTTTTTAAATTTTACCTTCCTTGTTCTTGTTGGAAGCCACCTCAGGTGCACTGGGAATGTGGTTTGCAAATTAATCAATGGTATTTCATTTATTCGGCAAGCATACAATGATGTCTTGTAGTAGTCAGGTCTCTCTAGCATACAATTGGCCTAAATACATTATTAAAGATAAAAATAAATGTCTTCACCCATTCTCTGTTGCTTATAACAGAAAACCTGGAACTGGGTAATTTATTTAAAAAACGGAGTCTTGCTCTATCGCCCAGGCTGGAGTGCAGTGGTGCGATCTCGGCTCACTACAACCTCCACTGCCCAGGTTCTCGCAATTCTGCAGCCTCAGCCTCCTGAGTAGCTGGGATTACAGGCACCCACCACCACATCCAGCTAATTTTTGTATTTTTAGTAGAGATGGGGTTTTGCCATGTTGGCCAGGCTTGTCTTGAACTCCTGATCCCAGGTGATCTGCCTGCCTCAGCGTTCCAAAGTCCTGGGATTACAGGCGTGAGCGATTGCACCCGGCCACATGTGCTGTCTTGAGTCTCACGGCCACCCCTGACCAATGGCTGTGGGGAGGGTATCTTGACCAGCGGTCCTGGAGGTGCCACCTGGTTGGAGTGGGGTGGGCGTCAGTTCTCTAGGGATACGGATATGATTTGGGGTGGCCTGAAGGAAGAAGGGCAGGGCAGACCCATGCACAAAAACATGCCCACCACGTACCTACCACGTGCCAGGCCCTGTGAGACATCCTGGAGACACAGACGTGAATCCGACAGGCCCTGTGTCCCCAAGAGGGGCGCTTTCCAGAAGTGGAGGTGAAACCTGCAAGCACAGTTATCCCAGCCAGAGCATGGGAAGAAACTTGGAGAGGGGACAGGTGAAGGACTTGGGGAGTTCAAAGGATGAGGAGGGACTCTAGGTTCTGGCCTTGAGGAAGTAAGGTGAACTGAAATTGCCCTTTTTCTACAAACAGCTAAGAAACTGGACAAAGCACAGGAAACAAGTGTTTTCAGATATTAGACAAAGGGCAGCTCAGGGCTGTGATCCCTGAAAAACGGAAGATAAAGGGGAGGAGCCCTGACATTGCATAGGTGATTTTCCTACCACTGCACTGGGAGGGCAACCGTTGTTCTCACCGAGTTAAGAAGACGAGACCAGAGTTTGGGAAGGCTCATCTTCAGGGCTTCTGATCTAACTGAAGACAGGCCCAGATATGGGTATTTTAAAGTTCCCCAGGGTCGGCCGGGCACAGTGGCTCAGGCCTGTAATCCCAGCACTTTGGGAGGCCGAGGCGGGTGGATCACTTAAGGTCAGGAGTTTGAGACCAGCCTGGTCAACATGGTGAGAACTTGTCTCTACTAAAAATACAAAAAATTGCCAGGCGTGGTGGCGAGTAGCCTCCCCAGCTACTGGGGAGACTGAGGCAGAAAGGAGAATCACTTGAACCTGGGAGGCAGAGGTTGCAGTGAGCCAAGATCGCGCCACTTCACTCCAGTCTGGGAGACAGAATGAGACCCTGTCTCAAAAAAAAAAAAAAGAAAAAAAGAAAAAAAAGCTCCCCAGGGTTCTAAGATGTAGCCAGGGTTGAGAACCACTAGGCTAATCTGCAACTCCAGACAAAGGCGGAAGGGGGGCAGGGAACCCACAAAACAGAAACCAAACTCTAAGAAAACGGGTAAGAGGAAAGTGAAACCGACTCTGGGCACCAGGCTGGAATGGAAGAGCATCTGTGGCTAAAAACAGGGCAGCCGCACCCCCCTGGAGGAACCAGGGCCCTGCCCACCCACTTGCTTGCTGCGGCTTCAACACGCTGGCCTCCTCGGGGTCCCCTCTCCCCACTACCCCTGGAGAGGCGTGAATGTACCTATTTGTTTACCATCAGTCTGCTGCCCCTTCCCCCAACTGGACTGAGCTAGGGAGCAGAGGCTCTGTGTGTTTTCTCTGAGTTCACCTTCCCCAAGCCCAGAGCAGGGCCCGGCACAGAGTAGGTACTCAGCAAATATTTCTTGAGTGACTGAATGAAGACAATGTATGATCCCATGAATCCTGCAGGGCCATGCTTTACCCTGCCCTATGTGATGCTGTCCCCTGAGGTTGGGCCCATTCTGACAATGTCTTTTCTGTTTTTTCAACACAGGGTGCATAGAATCAAGCAGACATGCGCCTTAGTTTGGGGCACTCCATGCAGCCATAGGGCCCTGAAAAGCTTCCCTTTTCTTTTCTTTTTTGTTTGTTTGTTTGTTTGTTTGAGATGGAGTTTCGTTCCTGTTGCCCAGGTTGGAGTCCCATGGCACGATCTTGGCTCACCGCAACCTCCGCCTCCCGGGTTCAAGCAATTCTCCTGCCTCAGCCTCCCGAGTAGCTGGGATTACAGGCATGCGCCACCATGTCCGGCTAATTTTGTATTTTTAGTAGAGATGGGGTGTCTCCATGATGGTCAGGCTGGTCTGGAACTCCCAACCTCAGGTGATCCGCCCACCTTGGCTGCCCAAAGTGCTGGGATTACAGGCTTGAGCCACCACACCCAGCCTAAAGCTTCCCCTTTCAATGGACTCTCCCCTTCCCTGCATCCCAGTCCTACTCCTGCTGCTTTGAGCCACGACATCCCCTTGTCTGTTTAGTACATGCCCTTCCAATCTGCTTTCCAGGATCTTATTTCCATAAATGTCCATAACAGCAGGCACCATTTATTGGGTGCTTACTGTATGCCAGGCACTGTGCTGAGCGACTTACATATCATATCTCATGAAACCATCACATGTCCCTGAAGGAGGTGCTATTATGATCCCCGTTTTACAGATTAGAAAATAGAGATAGGCTGGGCAAGGTGGCTCACGCCTGTAATCCCAGCACTTTGGGGGGCCGAGGCGGGCGGATCACCTGAAGTCAGGAGTTTGAAACCAGCCTGACCAACATGAAGAAACCCTGTCTCTACTAAAAACAATACAAAATTAGCCGGGTGTGGTGGCGTATGCCTGTAATCCCAGCTACTCGGGAGGCTGAAGCAGGAGAATCGCTTGAACCTGAGAGGCGGAGGTTGTGGTGAGCCGAGATAGCACCACTGCTCTCCAGCCTGGGTGACAAGAGAGAAACTCCGCCTCAAAAAAAGAAAAGAAAACAGAGGTAGAGGCCAGGTGGGGTGGCTCATGCCTGTAATCCCAGCACTTTGGGAAGCTGAGGAGGGTGGATCACTTGAGGTCAGGAGTTTGAGACCAGCCTGGGCAACAAAGTGAGATCCCATGTCTCAAAAAATATATATATACATATATATATGTGTGTACATATATATACACACACATACACACACACACATATATATACACACATATATAGGCACACACATATACATATAAAAATACATATATTTGTGTATATAGAGACATATACATATATATTTGTATCTATACGGTCTCGTCCATGTTCTGGAGCCGAGCATCCCTGTAACTTGGAAGGAATGGCCTCAGGTGTGGCGGGATAGGTTGTTAACTTCACCTCTCCATGCCCTGTTCCACACACACACCTGTGTTTAAGTCCAGACCCACCCTAATCAAAGGCCCTGTACCAAAAAGGGGAGGGACCAGACCCGTGGTGGAGGGTCTGGATCACAAGTACCATTCCCTTGCCTTTCTTTTATTTATTTATAAAAGAAAACAGGCCAGGCACGGTGGCTCATGCCTGTAATCCCAGCACTTTGGGAGGCCGAGGCTGACGGATCACTTGAGATCAGGAATTTGAGACCAGCCTGGCCAACATGGCTAAACCCTGTCTCTACTAAAAACACAAAAATTAGCCGGGCATGGCGGCACGCACCTGTAGTCCCAGCTACTCAGGAGGTTGAGGCAGGAGAATCGCTTGAACCTGGGAGGTGGAGGTTGCAGTGAGCCAAGACTGCTCCACTGCACTCCAGCCTGGGCGACAGAGAGAGAGATTGTCTCAAAAAAATGAAAAGAAAAAGAAAAAAGAAAACAGAGGTAGAGACAGCTTAAAGTCACTTGTCCAAGGTAACAGAGTAAGTGGCAGAAATGCCGTATAAAGGATTCTCATGTATGTCTGCGTTTTTTGTTTCTTGTTCTCTATTTGACTATTTGTCACTCAGCACTCTGCATTTAAGCTCTATCCCTGTTGCCTTCTGCCCAGGCAGTTCTCCATTGATGGACACTGATTTTTCTGCCACCTCAAACCATGCCTAGGACACATCTCTCTGCTTGTGAGAGGTTTAACCCAGGAGTGGACCTGCCAGGGGACACACAACTGCCAAAATGCCCTTTCAAACATCCCCACTAACTTACATGCCTACCAAATGCCAGAATTCCATTCACTGGCATCCTCACTAGCAACAGGTTTTATCCGGTTTTCAGTTTTATCTGATGGGCATTGTGTGGGATCCTGTTTTTCTTTGCAGCTCTCTGATTACTGGCAAAAATCTTAGTCCTTATTCCATTTTTTAAAACGACATTTGAACACACAATAGGAAAAATGGGATTTCAGAATAGAAATAGTTCACTCTGATGATGGGAGGTGGCAGTCACATAGCCCTGTCACTCTCCGGATACAAGGAGCCCCCCGAGAAAGTCCAGACCCACTCTCATCAAAGGCCCTGCACCAAAGAGGGGAGGGACCAGGCCCCTGGTAGATTGTCCAGAGCACGGGTGCCAGTCCCCTGCCTCAGGGCCCATAGCCTAATTGAGTGGGAATTTGGTCGTGTCTATGTCCTGGAGCCAAGTGTCCCTGCTCCAGAGAAAGGGATGGCCCTCGGGTGTGTATTGGGGGTTAAGCTGTTAACTCCACCTCTCCAAGTCCTGGACGACATACATGCCTAGACCAAACCCCTGCCTACCTCTGGGCCACTATGTCACTTCTAGAGCCTCAGTCTCCTCATCCATAAGGTGGGGGTATGAGGACATCTCTCCTAGAGGAGGGCTCGGGGGTGCAGGGAAACTGATGGTGGCCTCACACCTGACAAGCACAGAGCAACGTGCTGCTGCAACGCCTCCTGCCTCCCATCAACCACGGGGGAGGCATCCGCAGACCTATTTCATGGCTGTGGAGGGCAAAGCCCAGAGAGGGAAAGGGGAAATCAAGAGATCCCATAGCACGTCAGCTCCCTGACCAGGCCAGGGATGAGGCTGGGAGAGGACGAGCAGGTTCACTCAGTCATTCAACTCTCCTTCCCCTTCTGCCTCCTTCCCCAGCCTCTGGGGCCCCAGGTCCAGCAGCACCCAGGGCAGGGGTGTGGTAGGTGCCCCATGCTTCTTCCTTCTCCCTTTGCACCAAGCTTCTCAGGCCCAAGGGGCTGTCAGTGCCACAAGGACACCTCCCAGCTAAGGTGGGCTGAGTCCAGAGCTGGTGGCCCCTGAGTCAGGCCCTGGGTGGTGGCTGACGCAGTGGGAGCAGAGGAGACCACAGGGAAACTGACAGATTAAATCCAATTCTCCCAGACTTTGCCCTTGCTGTTCCCTCTCCCTGGAGCCCTCTCCCCACGGAAGGCTGTGAGCCCGCCCACTCCATGCTCACTGTCACCAGAGTCTTGCCTGAACTCAGTTAAGAATGCTGGCCCCCCAAAGCTGGGTGTTGTGGCTCATGCCTGTAATCCCAGCACTTTGGGAGGCCGAGGCAGGCACATCACAAAGTCAGGAGTTTGAGACCAGCCTGGCCAATATGGTGAAACCTCGTCTCTACTAAAAATACAAAAAATTAGCTGGGCGTGGTGGCAGGCACCTGTAATCCCAGCTACTCGGGAGGCTGAGGCAGGAGAATCGCTTGAACCCAGGAAGTGGAGATTGCAGTGAGCTGAGATCGTGCCACTGCACTCCAGCCTGGGAGACACAGCGAGACTCCGTCTCTAAAAAAAAAAAAAAAAAGGATGCAGGCCTCCCTTATCACCCTGGATCGCCTGTTTTGCTTTATTTATTTTCCCCACAGCATGGATCACCATCCGACATGCGATTCATCTTTTATTTTTTGAGACGAAGTTTCGCTTTTGTTGCCCAGGCTGGAGTGCAATGGCACAATCTTGGCTCACTGCAACCTCCGCCTCCCGGGTCCAAGCGATTCTCCTGCCTCAGCCTCCCGTGTAGCTGGGATTACAGGCGTCTGCCACCACACCCGGCTAATTTTTTGTATTTTTAGTACAGACGAGGTTTCACCATGTTGGTCAGGCTGGTCTCGAACTCTTGACCTCAGGCGATCCACCCGTCTCACCCTCCCAAAGTGCTGGGATTACAGGTGTGAGCCACCATGACTGGCATGATACATCTTTATTGTCTGTCTCACCACTTCAGAAATAAACTCCAAGAACATTTTGTTCACTTGATCGCTACTACCTAGAACAGTGTCTGGTGTGCAATAGGGTCTCAATAGATAGATAAAGATTAAGTAAAACTTTTAGGAAGGTATCAAAGAAGTGCACCAATCTTCAGTGTACAGCTTAATCGTTTTATACATAACCCAGGTCAAGTTGAAGAACACTTCCAGAAGGCTCCCTGTACCCGACCCCCAGCCAATCCCCACCCCTTATGGATGTACTGACTTCCATCACTGTTGATTAGTTTTTCCTGTTCCTGAGCTTGGCTTAAATGAATTACATCAGGGTGTACTCTTTTTCATTTTTACTAATTAATTTTTGAGGCAGGGTCTCACTCTGTCGCCCAGGCTGGAGTGCAGTGGAGCAATCTCAGCTCACTGCAGCCTCTACCTCCTGGGTTAAAGCCATCCTCCCACCTCAGCCTCCTGAGTAGCTGGGATTATAGGCGGGCCCCACTATGCCCAGCTAATGTCTGTATTTTTCTGTAGAGACAGGGTCTCACTATGTTACCTAAGCTGGTCTTGAACTCCTGAGCTCAAGCGATCTGCCCACCTTGGCTTCCCAAAGTGCTGGGACTACAAGTGTGAGCCACTGCACCTGGCCCATGTACTTTTTTGTTTGGCTTCTTTTGCTCCACGTAAGGTCTACAAGATCTACCCAGGGAGTTGCATTGACAGTGGTTCCTTTTACTGCTGTTCTATCATACAACATTCCACCATTTACTTATTCCTGCTCTTGCTGATGGGCATTTGAGCTGTTTCCAGTTTGGGGCTACAGGCTTGTACATGTCTTCCAGTGGCCCTATGCCACCATCTCTCTTGGTAGCTACCTAGGAGTGGAATTGCTGGGTCATAGGGGAAGTGTGTGTGTTAATAAGAAACTGCTGAACGGTTTTCCGAAGTGGTTGTACTTACTGACATTTCCACCAGCTGTGTATGAGTGCCGTGTAGCCTCTTCCTCTGCAGTACTTGGGGATGTCAGACTCTTTTTCTTTGAGATGGAGTTTTGCTCCTGTTGCCCAGGCTGGAGTGCAGTGGTGCAATCATGGCTCACTGCTGCCTGGAACTCCTGTCCCAGCCTCCCAAGCAGCTGGAACCATAGGCATATGCCACCATGCCAGCAGACCTTTAAAACTGAATGCCTTGCGGGCTCCAGGAGGCCCCATGTGGGCCACCTGCGCCCTCCCCAGCCTCACCGAGTACCTCTGCTTTACAGGCAGCACAGCTCCTGGGTCTGCTCTGAAAGGTTATCTGGATGAACAGACTGTGTCACTGCCCTGCTCAAAAACCACCTTCAAGACCCTCCACCATCTCTCTATGTTTGCTCCTTTCCACCTGCCCTTCACTACACTGGACACAGGACTCTACAGTTTCCAAGACCTGTACCTGTTCCCTGTCCCACTTATCCCTTCACAGCAGACTACAGGGGGCAGAACAGTCTCCATCAGAGAGACAAGGGGCTGCTCAGAGCAGGGCAGCAGCCCGCCGGGGGTCAGCAGCCCACCGGGGGTCAGCAGCACCACGTGGCAAGTGTCCCCCGCATGCCCAGCACTTGCAAGCTCTCCCAACTCCCTTCTGTCCGCAGCTGTGGTGCACTCAGCAGACCCAGGGCCTCCAGCCTCCCCGGATGACCCCTCTCTCCCCTCGCTGCCACCTCACCTGCCACTGACGCGGCCCCAGCTCCCAGTTTCTTTTTTTTTTTTTTTTGACATGGAGTCTCACTCTGCTGCCCAGGTTGGAGTGCAGTGGCGTGATCTCAGCTCACTGCCACCTCCACCTCCCAGGTTCAAGCGATTCTCCTGCCTCAGCCTCCCTAGTAGCTGGGATTACAGGCATGCACCACCACACCCAGCTAATTTTTGTATTTTTAGTAGAGACGGGGTTTCACCATGTTGGCCAGGCTGGTCTTGAACTCTTGACCTCAGGTGATCTGCCCGCCTCAGCCTCCCAAAGTGTTGGGATTACAGGCGTGAGCCACCGCACCCGGCCCCAGCTCCCAGTTTCATGTGGGGAAGGCAGGTGGGTGGATGGGATGGCAACCATGACGTCCTGCGCAGAGCCTGGAACAGACACTGAGATTCCCTTTTATTTTTTTTTTTAATAAATTTAAGAACAGCTCTACCTTCTCTCCTCCCCCCAGAGCAACTAAAACCAACTAAAAGGGGCTATGGTCTGGGGGGCAGAAGGCGCTAGGAGTCGTAATCTTCTTCGTCCTCTTCATCAGGTGCTGAGGGGCCCGGGGGCGCTGGGGGCAAAGGCAGAGTAGAGGCGAAGGGCAGGAAGGGTGTCGGGGGGCTGCAGGGCAGAAGGCAGGAGAGAGTCAGGCCTGAGCCCCACCGTGCCCTCCACAGGGGCAGCTGCCAAGACCCTCCCTCCCCCATCTGACCCTCCCACCACCACCCTCCAGATCCATGCGGCCAAGGCCCAGGGCAGCTCACGCAGGGCAGGCCCAGGCCCCACCCACGGGCCCTGGCAGGGTGGAGCAGGATCTTTCGGGAGAACAGTCTCCTGCCTTCAAGCCCTCCTCAGTTATTCTCCTTCCACCCCACAAATCTGCCACAATCAACAAGACCAAGGGGCCAGGGAGAACAAGAGGGGTAAGTTGGCTCTGGGGAGTCTGCCAGCACCCTCCCATGCCTCTGGGCTGCTCACCTCTGAAAGTGGGCAGAGGGGTGGCTGGCCTGGGGTGGGGGTTGTGATGTCTCCTCTTCCCCATCAGTATCTGTGTCCTCAGATTCATCCTGTGAGCACCGCAGAGGTCAGAGTTGACAAGAAAAGACACGAACCCATCACTGGGAGTGGCAGGGACAGCAGTAGACCCTCATAGCCCCAATTTACAAATAAACCAGTGAGCAAACAGGTTGCAGAAAAGGATGAGAGCTGGCCTCCTGCCAGTTCAGCCTGGGGCGAGGCTGCCTGTCCCATCACCAAGGGCAGGGCGAAGGGCTGGGGCCTCACTCACCTCCTGCTCCGAGTCTGTCCCGGACAGCTTCTTGTCCTTGCTTTTCGTTCCCATCCCACCGTTCTTCCGGCCGCCGCTGCCTGGCTTCCGGCCCCTTTGGGAAGGTACAGTCCATCTGCCCGGAGTGCTCCCTACTCCTTGGCCACCCCCAAGCCCTGTGGCCTTGGCCTTCCCCACTGTATGCCAGGCCCTGGCCCCACCTGCGGGCGCCCTTGTCCCCATCCATGTGGTTGTCTTCCCCGTCCCCCTGCATGTCGGGAACAGATGCCACCAGGTCCTTCAAGAAGTCAAACTGCTGCTCCAGCTCGATGCACTGCTTCCTGGAAGAGGTGAGGAGGGGCTGGCACTCAAGAGGGGCCCAGACACCCAAACCCGCAGTGGGTGGCAGCAAGGGGCCCCAGATGTCAGGCTGGAGCCCGGGCCGATCTCCGCTCCCGGGCCTGCCCTGCTTTACTCAGGTGGCTCCCTCTGCCTGGAAGCCCAGCCTCTCCTCTGCCAGTCTGTGGCCTTGCTGGTGTCCCGGCTGCCGCCCACCTCCCTCGCCACCCAGGCTCTGCCTTCCTCAGTGTGTGAACTCCCCGCGCCAAACCCGCCGGCCCCTCCCGGCTCCTCGCCGCTCACAGGTGGGATGTGGTCATGGTCTTCGCGTTCCGCGACTGGGTCACCTGGCAGGCCTTCTTCAACAGCGACTCTAGGAAGAGCTCGAGCGCCCGGGCTGAGGAGCGTCAAGGAGAACTCCGGGGCAGGAGAGGGCGACCCGCTGCCTCCCTCCCCCACGCCCCTCGACCCGGTCCGCCCCCGGCAGGATACAGATGATGACAGGCACCGCCGCCGCCACCTTCCCAATCTCTTCGTCCGTCTGCATGATCTTCTTGATCCGCGCCTGCGGGTGGGGGAGCAGAGTTCAGACCCCGTCGCCACCGTCCCCTAAGGGGGTGCTGGGGGAGGAAGGGGCATCCCCGGAGAAAGGGGGCGGGGGACACGGACGCGGGGAGGGCATGGAGGGGGCGGGGCGTCCAGGCCCCCGAACACCGCGGCGCGCCCGCCTGCCCAGCGGGAACTGGGCCCAAGCCACCCGGGAGCCGGGCCCACTCCTGCCGGGCTCTGCCACGTGCTCACCGGCGGGAACCGCGCGTTGTACTTCTTCTTCTTGCTCGGCATCTCGGGGCCTCTCTCGCCGCGTCGGGTCCAGCGCCGCCGCCCGCAGCCTCCCGGCTCCCGGGCCTGCTCGCCGCCCGCCCGTCGCGGTTCCCCTGGGTCCTGGTGCCGCCCGCTCCGCCCCCGCCGTTTCCCGCGGAGTCCTAGCGCCGCCGGTTAAGACGCCGCTCGCAGGGCCCTAGTGCCCTCCTCTTGAAGCCTCCTGGCCGGTGCGCGTCCCTCCCCAGTCTGGACCGCCGCTCCCGCCCGCCCCCAAGGCCAGAAGAGCGAACGTTGGCCCCGCCCCCCGCGGCCCGCCCCTCCCGGGGTTCCCGCGATGGCCCCGCCCCCGAGTCAGCACCTCCCCGTCGGCCCCGCCCCTTCCCCTGCCGGCCCCGCCCCACAGCGCGGCCGCTGCGGCCGCTGAGGCCCGCGGCTCCGCCCTGTGGCTGCGCCTGTCTATAAAGTTGTTGTTGAGGTGGCGCGGCGCTAAGATGGCGGCGGCGGCGGCGGCGGCCGTGGCGGGGGTGGGGCGCGGTGGCGGTGGCGCGGAGCCACGGCAGGAGCGGAGCCGGGCCCGGGGCTGGGCCGGCGTCGAACGCAGCGAAGGCCGGAGGTGACTGCGGGCGGCGGGAGGGGCAGGGCAGGGCCGGGGCGGGAGCACAGCTCGGGCCCGTGGGCGTTAATGGCGGCGGGCGCGGCACGGCCGGAGCCTGGCTCTCCTGCAGGCTCTAACAAGCCCTGGTTCGAGTCTGGGAACCGCCCCATTGGCCTCGGAACGGCCTGTAACCTCTCTGGACTTCAGCGTCCTCGTCTGTAAGTGGGCCCGATAACGCCTGCCTGGGAGGCCTGGCCTTACAGAGCCGGCCTCGGGAGCTGCGCGAACGTGCGCTTCTTTGCGTTCCTCTATTAAATGCCAGCGCACCGGATACCTGCCAGGAAAAGGGGGCCTTGGCAGGGCCGGGAGGTGTAGCTGGGGCTGGTTGCTCCCACGCCTGGATTCACCCTTCGGCCCTGCCACGCACTGCAGGTGTGACCTTGGGCAAGTCCTTTTTCTCAGCCTCAGTTTCCTTTTCTGTAAGTCAAGGAGAATAGTAATAACTGCAGCAACCCTTCTGGAGCGCTGACTCCTCAGGCATCTAATTTTCATAGCAGATCTACGGGACAGGAACAGTTGTTATCCCATTGTAAAGATGAGGCAACTGAGGCGCATCGACAGTAACTCTTACTCAAGGCCACAGTTTAATCCAGTGCCTGGCATCTGTAGTTATTGTCTCAGACCCTGCCCTGACTCGGTTCCCTCACAGCAGGATGGAACCAGGTGAGGAGCTGGAAGAGGAGGGCTCTCCAGGTGGCCGTGAGGATGGCTTCACCGCCGAGCACCTGGCTGCAGAGGCCATGGCAGCTGACATGGACCCCTGGCTAGTGTTTGATGCCCGCACAACGCCTGCCACTGAGCTGGATGCCTGGCTGGCCAAGTACCCACCATCCCAAGTTACCCGCTATGGGGACCCCGGTTCACCCAACTCAGAGCCTGTGGGCTGGATTGCAGTGTATGGGCAGGGCTACAGCCCCAACTCCGGGGACGTGCAGGGCCTGCAGGCAGCCTGGGAAGCTCTGCAGACCAGTGGGCGGCCCATCACACCGGGTACCCTGCGCCAGCTCGCCATCACCCACCACGTGCTCTCGGGCAAGTGGCTTATGCATCTGGCACCGGGCTTCAAGCTGGACCACGCCTGGGCTGGCATTGCCCGGGCCGTGGTTGAAGGCCAGCTTCAGGTGGCCAAGGTGAGCCCACGTGCCAAGGAGGGTGGGCGCCAGGTCATCTGTGTTTACACGGACGACTTCACGGACCGCTTGGGTGTACTGGAGGCGGATTCAGCCATCCGTGCAGCGGGCATTAAGTGCCTGCTCACCTACAAGCCTGATGTCTACACCTACCTGGGCATCTACCGGGCCAATCGCTGGCACCTCTGCCCCACTCTCTATGAGAGCCGTTTCCAGCTTGGGGGTAGTGCCCGTGGCTCCCGAGTGCTTGACCGTGCCAACAACGTGGAACTGACCTAGGGGGGCCAAATTGGGGAGACTGCCCACTCCCCCCTCCATGCTGGGGTTGGATCCTCCTGTCTTCCTCCTTGTCCTATGAAGGCCACACCCCCCAGCTCTGGGGACTCCTAGGTCACTTGGGAACTACCTGCATCTTCAGTCCCCTTGAACTTCTGCCCTCTGTTCAGGGCTGACACAAGCCCCACAGGCTGGGGGGCTCCGGTTCCCTGAGGGATGAGCCTTCAGCCTCCCTTTGTAATGCTGCTCCTCTCCACTGCCCAGCACCATGAGTTGGGTGCAGACACCTAGAAGGAGAGACTTCTTGGAACGCTCATCCCCCGCTATACCTCCCCTTCCTCCTGCATCTCCCCTTCTTTCCTTCCCCCTCAGGAGAGAGAAAACTTAGTGCTTCCAGCCCTTCTTGGAGCCTTCATGGTCCAGGGGTAGGGGCCCCACTGGCCTGAGCATGCCATTTTGAGGGGAGGGTAGTTGTGCCTACTTATCCCCTGGCAGAGGGGATGCCAGGACCATGGACATGAGGCTTGCCCATCCCTGCCAACTTACACAGCCTGTACCACTGTCCCCCCTTCCTTGGCTACTTTGACATGTGCCTGCTCCTGGCATTTCAATAAAACCCGGCTTGGGTCTGTGTCTTGAGTGTTTTTTAAAATACTGTCTTGGTGGTTACCTGCTTTCGTTGCTAGGGAGGGGCAGGGCCAGGAGAGACTACCCCCTTGACCCGGCCAGGCCCCCATAGCTGCCCCTAGCAATAAGTTGTGCCTCACTGCTGAGGTTAGGCACTGTCTCTAAGAACCTCTGCAAAACCAGCCCCACTTCCCCTCCATCCGTAATCAGTTTCTCAGAGATTTCCCATAATTCCAGGGGTTGACCCCTCCAGGAACGTCTAAGGGGCCACTGCTAGCCCTCAGGGTGCATTTGTGCATATTAGAGAAAGGTACCAAGTCCAAGCAGTCCTAGGCCGGGGTACGCGGTTTGGGGAGCAGAGGATGGGATGGGCTGGATTTCAGCACCTTAGGCTAGACATCCTTGTGCAGTGAACAACCTGCACAACCCTAGGTAGTCTCTCTGGAAGCCCTGCCATTCATACTCTCCTCTCCTACCACCCTGACCATCATAGGGCCCACTAGACAGTTTGCAAAGCGCTTTCATATGCATTAAATTTAATTCTCCCAACCCCTTTGGGAGATGTTGGCCCCATTCTGTGGTCAAGGAAATTGAAGCCAAGAGGGGAAAGGAGTTTTCTCAGTGTCATGCGATGAGGTGGGCAGAGCTAGGACTTGCATCCCAGTCCCTTCCTCGGGCAATGAGGTCCCTGAGCCCACTGAGGAAAACAGGGAGCTTTTCATAACTCACAAAGCATGTTCACTTACGTGATCTCACTGGGCCGCCCCACTCTGCTGGGACTTGCTGTAGCCTTGGAGCCTGGCTCCTGCACCCCGCCACCTCTCCAGCCCCGTGCCTGGCCCTGGCCTTGATTGGGGGCCAGGGTGTCTGGCAGGGAGCCCCTTGGGACACAGCTCTCGTGCCGTGCCGGGACTGACTCAGCCTCCAGCAGTCTCACCGAATCGGAATTTAGAGCAGGGGAGCGGAGATGCCACCGGGCTGACTGGGTGGAAGTGGCTGAGTCATGAGATGCTGGCTCAGTGCTCTCTCCAGCTTCCTCCCCACCCTGAGCTTCCCCAGGGCTGAGTCCCCCTCTGCCCAGCCTTGGGAAGTCCCCAGAGCTGGGTGGTCTCCGAGTTGGAGCCTGGTGCTCTGCCTCCCTCGGGCTGCCAGGGCCTTGCACTCCACCAAAGTGGGCCAAGGTACCTCATGGGTCCCACAGAGATGCCCAAGTGGGGTCAACAGCACTGGCTTCTTCCATAGCTGAGTGTGTCACACACACAGCCCCTCTTCATCCCTGTGCCTTGCCCCAGCCCACAACTCACCGTCTCCCAAGCCACTTCCACCCTCCTCTTGTCCCCGCTCCGTTCTCCACAGCCAGGTCAACAGATCCCTCCTGCAGAGTGGCCATGTCCTGCCAAAAGCCCTTCCATGGCTCCCCACAGCCTGCAGGATGGAGTCTGCTCTCCTGCACTGGCCGTGACCTGGTTCCCATAGACTTCCCCGCTTCCCTCGGGCACCCCTTTCTGCCCATGCTCACCCAGCTGGAGCCATCTGTTACTTCCTTCACCCCCTGGTGCACAGCCCTGGGCCTCGGGCTGTTCCTTCTGCTCGAGCACCTGCCTTGCAGCCCTGATGGCCAGAGTGTGTGGTGACTTGTGTAATGGCTTGATGTCTGTCTCCTGCTGGCCCCTAAGCCCCATGCCCACACTGTGCTCTGTGAAGGCAGGAACAGTGGCTAGATCTCAGCCCTGTTCCCAGAGCCTACCACAGTGCTTGGCCAGAACAACGACTCCGTAAGTTATTACATGAATGAATGAGGTAATTGGCGACTCCAGCCCCTGCTGGACCCTTCTGCCTCATCCCATCTCCATTCCCTGCTTTGCACTCCTTGTCCAAGAACGTTGAGCTGCGTGTGACTTTCTTGTACACATGGTGGCCTTTCTCACTTTCACGCCTTTGCTGGTGCCGTAGCCTCTGCTTAGCTTACCCTCGCCCACTTCCCTGGCTGGCGCCACGTTGCAGACCCACTGGCTCAGGTGTAATTCTTCAGGATGCTTCCGGATCCTTCCTCACCCCAAGTGTTGCAGGCATGTCCCCTAGGCTCCCACAGCTCCCGCCTGCCTGCTGCTCTCATCTGTATGTAAGATCCCTTCAGACAGTGACAATGCTTTATCCTCCAGCATCCGGCATAGGGCCCAACCTAGTGCAGATGCCAAATTAACATTTTTTTTTTTTTGAGATGAGTCTCGCTTTATCACCCAGGCTGGAGTGCAGTGGCGCAATCTCGGCTCATTGCAAGCTCCGGCTCCCGGGTTCACTCCATTCTGTTGCCTCAGCCTCCCGAGCAGCTGGGACTACAAGGTGCCCGCCACCACGCCTGGCTAATTTTTTGGATGTTCAGTAGAGATGGGGTTTCACCGTGTTAGCCAGGATGGTCTCGATCTCCTGACCTCATGATCCTCCCGCCTCGGCCTCCCAAAGTGCTGGGATTACAGGCGTGAGCCACCGCGGCCGGCCTCTTTTTTGAGATAGGGTCTTGCTATGCTGCCCAGGCTGGAATGCGATGACATGATCATGGCTCACTGCAGCTTTGAACTCCTGGGCGCAAGCGATCCTACCACCTCAGCCTCCCAAAGTGCTGGAATTACAAATATGAGCCCCTGCACTCAGCCAAACATTCTTGAATAAATGAGTGAGTGAATGAAAGCCACTCTCTCTCTGGGCCTCAGTTTCCTCATTCTATTCATGACAAGAGCCAGGCACGGTGCTAAGCGTTTACCTACATGATTTCATCTAAGTTTCACCTGGCTCTATTATTATTGCCATTTTGCAAAAGAGGAAACTGAGACCCAGACAAGTTCAATAATTGGCTCAAGGTTATGAAGAAAGTAAGTGGCAGAGCCAAGATTCAAACCCAGTTCATCCAACTCCAGGGCACCTTATGCACTGTTGAACCTCCACTTTATCGAAGTGCTGTTGGGGTGGGGGCTGCAAGGATAGATGAGACCCTGCAGGACTCAGCATCTGGTTTCTAAAGCACACAGGAGGTTGGGTCCTCAGAACCACCTGGGAGAGAAGCTGGGCCAAAACTGAGAGTCTATTTTTTTTTTTTTAGACGGAGTTTCACTCTGTCACTCAGGCTGGAGTACAGTGGCATGATCTCGGTTCACTGCAACCTCCGCCTCCTGGGTTGCCATGTTGGCCAGTCTGGTCTCGAACGCCTGACCTCAGGTGATCCGCCCACCTTTGCCTCCCAAAGTGCTGGGATTAGAGGTATGAGCCATTATGCCCCGCCGAAAGTCCCTTTTTTTACCGATGAAAAAACTGAGGCCTAGAGAGTGCAATGACGAAGCCTACTGGGCAGGAAGGGTCTCCAGGTCTACAGTGGGAACTGGCCCCCTGCCAGGTCAATGGCCCCCCAAAACCCACCCCCTCAGGCTGGCAGTGAGTTCTGCCCTATTTGGCTGGCCTGTTCCTACCTTGGAGCAGGGAAGTGCCTTTGGCCCAGGGGGTGCTGGGCAAACTTGGACAAGTCCTGTGCTCTGCTCCTTTTATAAAACCAGGGGAAGGGTGACTGAGGCCAGGAAAAAGCCCCAACTCCTTTTCCTCCCACTCCCACATACTGCAAACCCCAGACCCCAGGGAGGAGGCTCCAGAGGGTCTGTCCAGGGAAGGAGAGAATCTGCCCGACTTGACTCCTGTTGGAACTTGGGCAGACTCAAAGAGGACTAAAACAGCTGAGTCAAGAGAACGCTTCAGCAAGAGCTTTGGCAGGATTTGGGGGATTTTCCCAGTGGGGCAGCTGCGCCCCACTCTTGCCGGCTGGGAGGGGCTCTGGCAGGGATGAGGATCAGGTCACACAGCTGATTCATCTGAGGAGGGAAACTCCCCACTCCTCTGACACACATCCCCCAGGCACCTAGGGGTAAACCTGAGGACACCCAGCTGAGAAGCCCACCAACCCCATCTTCCTTTGCTTACTGGGAAAAAATCCCAGGGAGATAGAGTCAGGCAGGGTGGCAGGGCTTAGGGGGCAACTTCCCAGGGAATAAAACCAGAGACTGAGACCAGAGAGAAACCTGTACAAGGGCCACCTCCCTCAGGGGTCCTTTCTTACCCATTTTATAGATAAGAAAACAGGCTCAAATAGTAAAAGTAAACATGGGCTGGGCATGGTGGCTCATATTTATAGTAACAGCAATTTGGGAGGCCGAGGCGGAAGGATTGCTTCAGCCCAGGAGTTCAAGACCAGCCTGGGCAACACAATGAGACCCCCATCTCTACCAAAAAAAAAAAAAAAAAAGCCAGGTATGGTGGCACATTCCTATACTCCCAGCACTCAGGAGGCTATTAGGGAGGAGGGTCGCTTGAGCCTGGGAGGTCAAGGCTTCAGTGAGCCATGATCCAGCTACTGCACTCCAGCCTGGCAAACCTGTCTAGAAAAAGAAAAACAGCAAACCTGTATACAGACCTACTCTGTGCCAGGCACACCCTAAGCAGTTCAGCTGCATTAACTCATTATGGTCCTCACAGACCTCCTCCTTTTACTCATGAGGGAACTGAGGCAGAAAGAGGTTAAATAACTTGGCAACTTGGCCAAGGTCAAGGCTAGAAATGCTCTGGGGACCTCCACAACTCCCAAGAGTCCTTGTACACACCCGTGTCCCAGGGAGCTCTGTCCCTGGTCCCTGAGCAGCTCTGGCCCCGAGGGTAAAGACCTTTCTGGGGCGAAGCCCAAATTGGCTTCTGGGGATCTTCCCTCCTCCGACCGAGTCTGCCCTCTGTAGACCCTAGAGGACGGGGAGGTCACCCACCAGGGCCCAGTTCCTCTTCCTCCCTCCCCTAAAGGGAGAAAGCTGGTTCAGGCAGGAAAATCAGCCCAACCCTCAGAGGCCAGGAGAGGGCAGCGAAGCATTCCCGCCAAAATCTCTCCAGGGCTTTGACTCTTTTCCAAACCCCAATCCATCCTTTCCTCCCGAGTCAGAGCCTCCCTTTCCGGTCTGCCACCCGCCCCTCACAACACATGACACAAACTCACACACAGATACATGCGTGCGTGCTGGGACTCCAGCCTCCAGGCTCCTGCCCTCTGGGAACCTGGTCTGGCCCCACTTACCTCTGCCATGGGCCAGGGGCCTGATGGGTGTTGGAGGTGGGCTGAGTTGTGGCTGTTTGAGATGGGGCCAGGGACCCCACACAGGCGAGCTCTGTCCCATTTGGCTCCCACTCCCAGGCTGTGTGACTCACCCCCTCACCCCCCATGACTCAGTTTACACCGGTGCCCGGAGGTCCTCCCAGGATGGGTGGGGTGGTTTATTGGCCCAGCCCAGGCCTGCCAGCCTTTCATCCAGGACGGGCGTTTCATCCCACTCCTGGCCCAGAGCAGGAGCTGGCACCCATGGGGTACTGGGTCGGGGTATGGCCCAGGTCTGAGGAGTTAGGGGGAGCCTGAGAACTGGGTGACAGGCTCCAACTGTCTGAGCCTGGGTCTGCAGGAAGCAGGAGCCACTCCAAGAAACTTAAGGGGCCAGGCTAAGCAGGCAAATCCATCCTGGGCACTGACAGCAGAGCCCCTGATATCTCCCTTCAGAGGAAATTGCCCGTAAAGCACAAAATAAAACAGCAAGAAAATTCTCACTAACATTTATCCATCGCTTACTGTACTGGTGCCATGCTCAGCACTGTCCATGCCATGGCTCAGTCACTCCCCAGCAACCGTGAAAAGCAGGTCCGATTATTAGCATCTTTTTTTTTTCTTTTGAGACGGAGTTTCGCTCTTGTTGCCCAGGCTGGAGTGCAATGGCACGATCTTGGCTCACCACAACCTCTGCCTCCCAGGTTCAAGCAATTCTCCTGCCTCAGCCTCTCGAGTAGCTGGGATTACAGGCATTCACCACCATGCCCGGCTAAGTTTGTATTTTTAGTAGACACAGGGTTTCTCCATGCTAGTCAGGCTGGTCTTGAACTCCTGACCTCAGGTGATCCACCTGCCTCAGCCTCCCAAAGTGCTGGAATTACAGGCGTGAGCCACTGCGCCTGGCCAGCATCCTCTTTACAAGTGAGGGAACTGAGGCATTGAGAAGTTAGGGAATTGCCCAGCTTGCCCAGCCAGGAAGTGGCTGAACTGAAATTCAAACCCAAGTCGTCCACTGCCAGATCCCCTCCTGCCTGCTGAGTGATGCTTACTGAAGCAAGGATGAGGGGCCCAAAACCTCATCCCGGCCCCTGCCATCTCCATGGAAACCTCTAGTTTCAGGGTCCACAGTATGTAAACCACTCATCTGCAGGAAGGGGAAACTGAGGCTCCCAGAGGGAAAGAGACTGACCCGAAGTCACATAATGAAGTCACTTGAACTACTAGAGACCCAGCCAGGCTGGAGCTGTGTCTTTGATGTTCACCCCACAGTCCTGGGCTGGAGGGGTGGCTGGTGAGGGAAAGCGAGCCCCACTTTTTATGAATATTTTTCCCAAATCCTCGTCTGCCAGGAAGTCTTCTCCTACCCACCCCCACCACAGGTGGAAAGAACTCTTCCTTTTGGGGCTCCAGTAATGGCCCTGGCACTCTCTGGCTCCTCCCCCCAGCACTGTCTCCTTAGCACCAGGACTAGTCTGAGTGTCTGACCACCTCTCTGGGCTGAAAGTGCCTTGCGGCCAGGAGGACGAAGTTGCTGGGGTTTTTTTGTTTTTTGTTTTTCTGGAGTCGGAGTCTCACTCTATTGGCCAGGCTGGAGTGCAATGGCGCGATCTCAGCTCACTGCAACCTCTGCCTCCCGGGTTCAAGTGATTCTCCTGCCTCAGCATCTCAAGTAGCTGGGATTACAGGAGTGCACCACCACACCCAGCTAATGTTTGTATTTTTAGTAGGGACAGGGTTTCACCATGTTGACCAGGCTGGTCTTGAACTCCTGACCTCCGGTGATCTGCCCCCTTTGGCCTCCCAAAGTGCTGGGATTACAGGCATGAGACACCACCCCTGGCCTGGGACCAAGTCTTTTTTTTTTTTTTTGAGACAGAGTTTTGCTCTGTCACCCAGGCTGGAGTGCAGTGGCACGATCTTGGCTCACTGCAAGCTCCACTTCCCGTGTTCACACCATTCTCCTGCCTCAGCCTCCCGAGTAGCTGGAACTACAGGCACCCGCCACCACGCGCCTGGGACTAAGTCTTTAATCGTCCCTACCTCCCCGACATCTGGCTCCATTCAACTTTTAGTTCAGTTAATTCAGAAGAATGGATAAAGAAACTGTGGTACATCCATGCAGTGGGGGACAGAAGCCAGGCACAAAAGAGCACGCGGTGAACGATTCCATTGATGTGAAATTCTGCAACAGACAAAAGTAATCGATGACAACAGAAATGAGTTAAGTGATTTCCTGGGGTGGGGGAATCGACTGCAAAGAGGCAGGAGAGAACTTTCTAGGGGGATGGAAATGTTCTGTATCTGGATTGGAACGTGGCTACGCAGGTGTATACACATAACCAGCACATTAACAAAGTGTGCATTCTACCGAATGTAAGATAAACCACGACGAGGTAGCTTTTGTTTTCGTTTTCGTGAGACAGGCTCTCACTCTGTTGCCCAGGCTGGAGTGCAGTGGTCTGATCACAGCTCACTGCAGCTTCCAACTCCTGGGCTTAAGTGATCCTCCTGCCTTAGCCTCTCGAAGTGCTAGGATTATAAGCGTGTGCCACAGTGCTCAGCTAGATTTTTCTTTCCAGCGAGGCAGATCTACATATACTCAGTGAAAGATCTTCCAAGATTATTATTAGAAAACCAAAAAGCAAGAAACGATACGGGATGTAGATAGGCTACCTTCTGGGTGAAAAAATACGCAAGAAACTGGTTACAGTGGAGGGGAGGCTTCTCACTCTACCCCTTTTGTAGCTTTTGAATTTTAAAATATCTTAATGTATTACCTGGTCGAAAAAGAAATGCAATTAAATGTTTTAGTGTAAAGCAACATAAAAAATAAAAACGACGTTTTAAAATAATTTCTTCTCCAGGCCAGGTGTGGTGGCTCACTCCTATAATCCTAGCAGTTTGGGAGGTCAAGGTGGGCTGATTGCCTGAGCTCACGAGTTCAAGACCACCGTGGGCAACATGGTGAAACCCTGTCTCTACTAAAATACAAAAAAGTATCCGGGCATGGTGGCAGGTGCCTGCAGTCCCAGCTACTCAGGAAGCTGAGGCAGGAGAACTGCTTGAACCCAGGAGGAAGAGGTTGTAGTAAGTCAAAATCGCACCACTGCTCTCTAGCCTGGGCGACAGAGCAAGACTTCATCTCAAATAATAAATAAATAAAATATGATAAAATAAAATAATTTATTTTCCACATCCCCTTTTTATGGCCATCAACTTGGTAGATGCAGATACAGATATACATATAGATACACGCATATCCGTCTCCAAAATGCAATACCTTCAAACATTATTCCAAGCAGGGAGAATAAAAGGTAATGTCCTTCATTGCACGAGGGGACTGTATTGCTCATTGCATAAGGGATTAAGGGATTTCACTTGGGTTGGGGCTCGCAGAAGACCTTGCTGAGGAAATGGTGGGGAAACTGAAAGCTGCAGCATAAGAGTCAGCCAGGTGAGGGGACAAGGGAGGTCCCTTGGGCAGAGGGAGCCATCTGTGCAAAGGTGAGGGGCTCCGTCTGGCAGCCTGGGACTGAGAGTGAGCAGGTGCCTATGAAGGAAAATCCTGTGCATTCGGCCAAGCCCCGCCAGATTTACGAGGATCTGGATTCCGCACACTTTCCTTCCTCACTGTGTGGCTTTTAGCAAGTTGCTTAATCTCTCTGTGCTTCCATTTCCTGATCCATAAAATGGGTGTATTATACCATCTCTCTCACAGGGTTGCTGTGAGGATTAAACATGTTACTTGGAATGGCATCTGGTTCATCAGTGTTCAATGAGCAAGAGCCACTAGTGTTATCCTCTTAGCCCCTCAAGTCTCCCAGGCAGCACGTAACCTAAAAGAACACAGGGTACGCCAAGCACCCTTAGCCCATCCCTTCCCAGGCTTCAGGCCTTCCTGGGTAGCAATTCCAGCTGGGGTAGGTCCAAGTCTGAGGGTGAAATGCTCAGACTCTTAAAATTTTTTGTGATTAAAACTATCCCTAAGGCTGCAGGGTGGGAAGTGCTGAGCTGGAAGCTGTGGAGAGCATTCAGGGGAGAGAGGAAGGGGCCAGGACCAAGGAAAATAAATGTTTGTAGAAGTGAATTAAAATGCCATCTCCAGGTCAGGTGCCATGGCTCATGCCTATAATCCCAGCACTTTGGGAGGCCAGGGTGGGCGGATGACCTGAGGTCAGGAGTTCGAGACCAGCCTGCCCAACATGATGAAACCCCGTCTCCACAAAATACAAAAATTAGATGGCCATTGTGGCAGGCGCCTGTAGTCCCAGCTACTTGGGAGGCTGAGGCAGGAGAATCATTTGAGCCTGGGGGGCAGAGGTTGTAGTAAGCTGAGATCACACCACTGCCCTCCAGCCTGGGTGACAGAGCAAGACCCTGTTTCAAAAAAAAAAAAAAAAAAAGTCATCTCCAGATGTGGAGCAACTGGAACTGTTACCCATTGAACAACATGGGTGGGATGCAAAATGGTACATCCATGTTGGAGCACTGGTGGAGAGTACATTCGATTCAAGCTGAATGTACACCAACCATATGACCCAATAATTCCTCCCAACCCAGGCACATAGCCAAGAGAAATGAATACAACTGGCTCCCAAAAGGATGTATCAAGGATATTCATGGCAGCCTTATTCATAATAGTCCAAAACTGGAAGGCCCCCCAAGTCATCAGCAGGGGAATGGAGAATGGAGAGACCGATTGTGGAATATTTGTGCAATGGGATGCAGCAACAGAAAAGACCAAGCTACCAGGTCACTCAGTAACACAGATGAATCCCGCAGACATGTTGACTAAAAGAAGCCAGGACCAAAAGAGAACGTGCCATATGGTCAAATGTATATGAAGTTGAAGAACAGGCAAAACTAATCTATGATGACAGAAGTCAGAATAGTGGCTACTTATGGGTGGGGAGTGTGACTCAGAGGAGCCTTCCGAGTTGCTAAAAACATCATCATGATAAGGGTGGTAGTTACATGGGTTTATATAGATGCAGAAGTCATTGAGGCTGGGCTTGGTGGTTCATACTTGTAATCCCAATACTTTGAGAGACGGAGGCGGGAGGATCACTTAAGCTCAGGAGTTTGAGATTAGCTTGGGCAACAGCCTCCTCTCTACTAATAAATAAATAAATAAATAATTGGCATGGTGGCAGACCTGTAGTCCCAGCTACTTGGGAGGCTGAGGTTAGGGGATAGCTTGAGCCCAGGAGTACAAGGTTGCAGTTAGCTATGATTGCACCACTGTGCTCCAGCCTGGGAGATAGAGTGAGACCTTGTCTTAAAAATAATAATAAATAAGGCGGGGTGCGGAGGCTCACACCTGTAATCCCAGCACTTTGGGAGGCTGAGGCAGGTAGATCACCTGAGGTCAGGAGTTAGAGACCAGCTTGACCAATAAGGTGAAACCCCATCTCTACTAAAAATGCAAAAATTAGCCGGGTGTGGTGGCGCATGCCTGTAGTCCCAGCTACTCAGGAGGCTGAGACAAGAGTATTTATTGAACCCGGGAGGCGGAGGTTGCAGTGAGCTGAGATCATGCCACTGCACTCTAGCCTGGGCAACAGAGCAAGACTGCGTCTCAAAATAATAATAATAAAAAATAATGAATTATTTTAAAGTCATTAAGCTGAACACACTGATGTGTGCACTTTACTGTATGTGTGCTTGACTTCAATTTAGTCAACAATTTAAATCTAAGAGCTAAAACTATAAACTCTTAGAAGAAATCATAGGAGTAAATCTTCATGACCTCGAATTTGGCAATGGATTTTTACATTAGACACCCAAAGCATGAGCAACAACAACAAAAAGATACATTGGGCTTCAATAAAAAATAGTAATGCATCATTTTGTGCATCAGAGAACATTTTTCCGTCTCCAAAAAAAAAAAGAGAACATTTTCAAGAATGTGAAAAGACAACCTACAGAATAAAAGAAAATGTTTGCAAATCATATAACTGATAAAGGTTTAGTATCCAGAATATAAAAAGAACAACTCAACATTAAAAAAAAAAAAAATTGGCCAGGCGCAGTGGCTCACGCCTGTAAACCCAGCACTTTGGGAGGCTGAGGCGGTTGGATCACCTGAGGTTGAGAGTTCGAGACCAGCCTGTCCAACATGGAGAAACCTTGTCTCTACTAAAAATACAAAATTAGCCAGGTGTGGTGGCGCGTGACTGTAATCCCAGCTACTCAGGAGGCTGAGGCAGGAGAATCGCTTGAACCAGGGAGGCGGAGATTGTGGTGAGCTGAGATTGCACCATTGTACTCCAGCCTGGGTGACAAGAGCAAAACTCCATCTCAAAAAAAGAAAAAAAATTAAGAATGGGCAATGTGCCAGGTGTGGTGGCGGGCGCCTATAATCCCAGCACTTTGGGAGGCTGAGGTGGGAGGATCACTTGAGGTCAGGGGTTAGAGACCAGCCTGGCCAGCATGGTGAAACCCTGTCTCTACTAAAAGTACAAAAATTACCCGGGCATGGTGGCACATGCCTGTAATCCCAGCTACTTGGGAAACTGAGGCAGGAGACTCAATTGAACCCAGGAGGTGGAGGCTGCAGTGAGCCAAGATCGTACCACTGCACTCCAGTCTGGGCAATGGTTGGGAGCAGTGGCTCACACCTGTCATTTCAGCGTGAAGAGAGGTGAAGGCAGGAGAAGTACTTGAGGCCAGGAATTTGAGACTAGCCTGGGCAATATATTGAGACCTCATTTCTACAAAAAAAAAAAAAAAAAGTAAAGATTTGAATAGATATCTGTCCAAAAAACGCCCAGCGCGGTGGCTCATGCCTGTAATCCCAGCACTTTGGGAGGCCAAGGCAGGCGGATCACAAGGTCAAGAGATCGAGAGCATCTTGGCTAACACAGTGAAACCCCTTCTCTACTAAAAGTACAAAAAATTAGCCGGGCGTGGTGGCAGGCGCCTGTAGTCCCAGCTACTCAGGAGGCTGAGGAAGGAGAATGGCGTGAACCCGGGAGGCGGAGCTTGCAGTGAGCGGAGATCGCGCCACTGCACTCCAGCCTGGGCGACAGAGCAAGACTCCATCTCAAAAATAAATAAATAAATGGTTATATATACTCAGCCATAGAAATGAGCAAAGTACTGATACATACTATAACATGAATGAGCCTTGAAAATGTTATGCTGTGAACCCAGGAGGTGGAGCTTGCAGTGAGCAGAGATCATGCCACTGCATTCCAGCCTGGGCCACAGTGCGAAACTCCGTTTTTAAAAAAAATAATAATACTAAGAAAAGAAAATGTTATGCTGGCCCAGTGCGGTGGCTCACACCTGGAATCCCAGCAGTTTGGGAGGCTGAGGCAGGAGGATCACTTGAGGAGTGCAGGAGGCCGAGGCTGCGGTGAGCCAAGATTGGGCCACTGCACTCCAGTATGGGCAACAGCAAGACTCCATCTAAAAAAAAAAAAAAAAGAAGAAGAAGAAAGAAAGAAAAAAAAAGCAAAAATGTTATGCTAAGTAAAGAAGTCAGACAAAAGACCACATAATATATGAATGAGTCCATTTATTTGAAATGCCCAGAATGGGCAAATCCATAGCGACAGGAAGCAAATTAGTGGATACCAGGGGATGAGGGAAGGGGGAAATAGGGAGTAATTACTTCATAGGTGTGGGGTGTTTTCTGGAGTGATGAAGTTTTGAAACTAAAGAAAGGTGGTGGTTGTACAACATTGTGAATGTAATAAATGGCATTGAAGTGTACACTTTAAAGTAGTTAATTGTTTGTTACATGAATTTAATCTCAAGTAAAAATGTAAACTTCAAAGGCCAGGTGCGGTGGCTCACACCTGTAATCCTAGCACTTTGTGAGACCGAGGCAGGCAGATTGCTTGAGCCAAAAAAAATTAGCTGGGCGTAGTGGCACGCGCCTGTAGCCCCAGCTACTCGGGAGACTGAGGAGGGAGGATCGCTTCAGCCCAGAAGGTTGAGGCTGCAGTGAGCTGCGATCCTGCCATTGCACTCCAGCCTAGGCATCTAGGCATCAGAGTGAGATCCTATCTCAAACCAAACAAACAAACAAACAAACAAAAACAACATAGACTTCAATTAAAGAGTGAATAGAAACTGATAAACATAAATATCACCTCCAATGCCCTGGCCATGCTGAGAATGCACAGGGTGCCAAGCCTCCTCTCCTTCACTGCAGCCCCAAAAGGCAGGGATTCTCTGGGGCTCAGAGATGGGAAGGGACTGAGCCAGTCTTACAGAGCCACCAAGGCACAGTGGCAGGGTCCCTCAGGCCTCCCTGCCCCCAAACTTCCAGCGATGGCTGTGGCCCCCTGGGGTTCTCTCCTGGCCTCCCTGGGTGGAAGCTGGTGAGGTCAGAGGCCAGGAACGTTTCTGCAGCCACAAGGCGGGGGTTAGTGACTGAGGAGGTTGGAATGTGCTCCCTCTGAAAGGACCTCCTTGTGGCTCCAGTGACGGTTAGAGCAGGAAGAGACTTTCAAAGTCATGTAACACACACACACACACCCCAGACCTGAATCCCTGCTCCCTCAGCTGCCCCAGTGGCCCCAGCATCCACTGCTTGGGGGCGGTGGGGTCAGGTGCAGGGTGATGTTTCTGGAGCAGGCAAGTGAATGCAGTCAAGGCTGACCTGTGTCACCCCTCCCCTGGTTACCTGTGTCACACTTGACCTGTCCAGCTTGGGCTCTGCCAAGAAGTTGAGGTATCAGTGTGTGTGCACATGTGCTGTGTGAGTGCCTTCATGTGTGATCAGTCCCAAAGGCTCTCACCCCTGGGTTGTTTTGTTTTGTTTTGTTTTTTGACGGAGTCTTACTCTGTTGCCCATGCTGGAGTGCAATGGCGCAATCTTGGCTCACTGCAACCTCCGCCTCCCGGGTTCAAGCGATTCTCCTGCCTCAGCCTCCCAAGCAGCTGGGACTACAGGCATGGGCCACCATGCCCAGCTAACTTTTGTATTTTTGGTAAAGACGGGGTTTCTCCATGTTAGTCAGGCTGGTCTCGAAATCCTGACCTCGTGATCCACCTGCCTCAGCCTCCCAAAGTGCTGGGATTACAGGCGTGAGCCACGGCACCCAGCCTATGTGTCAAATTCTTACTATGTGCTGTGCTAAGCATGTGACATTACTTGTGTCCTCCAACAACCCTTGAGATAGTTATCATTATGTCTCCATTTCACAGATAATGAAAGAGGCTCTGAGAGATTGTGTGCCTCACCTAGGTCACACAACTGGTGAGCAGCCTAACCACATTCAAACCCAGACCCCAGAGCTGTCTGACCCCAGCACGGGTGTTCTGTCCACGGATCATACTGCCTCAAAAACACTCTCCTCTCCTTTCTCTCTCTCTTTCTCTCTCTCTCTCTCTCTCTCTCACACACACACACACACACACACACAGAGATGATGATGACAAGAGGGTGACAAGCATTGGGTCGCTCAAAGGCAAAGGAGAGGCACCAGGCTGGTAACCACTTTCTGAGTGCATAACACTTTATAGCTTACAAAGCATTTTCACATCTGTGATCTCACTTGATCCCACAACAGCTCTGTGAGATCAGCAGGGAGGCCCAGTTGAAGGAAGGTGACCTGCCCAGTGTCACACAGACAGAAAATGGTAGCTCTGGGACTAGAACCCCAGGGGCAATCTGGACTTCCTGGCTCTAAGTCCTGAGTGCACCCACAGGCTTCTGGCCTGTGTTCCCAAGGAAAGTAGCCCAGAGGGCAAAGCTAGAGCTGATGAAATGGAAGGACCGATGGAGAAGCAGGAGAGCCCAGCCCTCTCTTGATCTATTTACTTTGAGTCTTGCTCTGTCCCCCAGGCTGGACTGCAGTGGCGCAGTCACAGCTCACCGCAGCCTCAACCTCCCTGGCTTAAGCCATCCTCCCGCCTCAGCCTCCAGAACAGCTGGGACCACAAGGCAGGCGTACCACCATGTCCAGAAAATTTTATAATTTTTTGTAGAGATGGGGTCTCAAATGGTTCTTTCTGCCTTGGCCTTCCAAAGTGCTAGGATTACAAGCATGAGCCACCACACCTGGCCCCAGCCCTCTTTCTGTAGTCGTGTGACAACTGACAGCTCAGTACTCCATCTGGGCCTCAGTTTCCTCATCTATGATGGAAGTAATCAGAGAGAAGCTTTGGGATGGTGCCCAGCACTAACATTCTGGATGTGCGACAAGGTGTCTGTGAAGGTGTAAGGGCTTTGAAAATCTTGGCTGAGCCTGGGCTTGGAGTGCCCACGGCTGTGACTTGGCAACCTGTGCCAGCTACTCACTTAGCGACTTCAAGCAATTCATTTCAGCATCTCCCAGCCTCAGTTTCCCCATCTGTAAAACAGAGATGAGGATGATACCTGCCTCACATTCACTCACCTTTGACATACTCTCCAAACAAGTCTGGTGGCCACAAGCCTCCGAAAGGCACTGACCGTAATGAAGATGGCGTTTATCAGACCTCAGGACACCTGTAGTGGCCCTGAATTAAAACTCGTTATAGCTCCTGAAATTATCCTGAGTAATACTATTATATTGCATTTTATGTGGGGTTAGTTCAAAGCATTACCTTATCGCAAACATTTAAAATATACCACCCAGCCTGGGCAATACGGCGAGACCCAATCCCTACAAAAAACACAAAAATTACCTGGGTGTGGTGACGCGCGCCTGTAGTCCCACTTACTTGGAGGGGGCGCTGAGGCAGGAGAATCCCTTTAGCTCAGGAAGTTGAGCCTGCAGTGCGCCGAGATCGAGCCACTGCACTCCAGCCTGGGTGACAGAGACCCGGTCTCAAAAATATAAAGTAAAATAAAATATGCCACCATTTTTGTAACCCTGGTTTGTCATTTATTCACTTTTCATATACTCGAAGCCTTAAAACAAGGCCAGTGGAAAGACCTCACTCCACGAAGCTTTGGGTGGCGGTTGGCGTGGCTCCTAGAGATGTGATTCTTTCGTGCTATTTTGTGGGAGCAGAAACGGAGGTTAGCCCAGGCCTCGAGAGGGCTGGGGCGGGGCGCGGGCTCTGGCAGGTGCGTCAGTCCGCAGGGGAACCCGGGGCTCCACCTGGGCGCGGCGAGGAAGTTACACCATGTATGGGCAGCTACGTCAGGGGGGCGGGCCCGCAGCCTCCGGGGAACGCCGAGCCGGGCCCATCCCGGTGAAAAGGCTGCAGCCGGACTTGGGGAGGCGTCGCCAAGTTCGGGACCGACGGGCCAAGGCGGCGCGTCTCGGGGGTGGAGCCTGGAGGTGACCGCGCCGCTGCAACGCCCCCACCCCCCGCGGTCGCAGTGGTTCAGCCCGAGAACTTTTCATTCATAAAAAGAAAAGACTCCGCACGGCGCGGGTGAGTCAGAACCCAGCAGCCGTGTACCCCGCAGAGCCGCCAGCCCCGGGCATGTTCCGAGACTTCGGGGAACCCGGCCCGAGCTCCGGGAACGGCGGCGGGTACGGCGGCCCCGCGCAGCCCCCGGCCGCAGCGCAGGCAGCCCAGCAGGTGAGTGGGGCCCGACGCCGGTGGTCCCACGGGAGGACCGCGCGTGGGAGGCCGGGGTCAACTCCCGCACGCTCCGGGACTGGAGCGGGGAACCGGAGTCGGGGCCGGGCTGGGGGCTGGGGCGAGGATCCTGCCCCTCGCCGTCCGGGGCCAGTTGCCCCCACCGCGCAGCGGGCAGCAGAGACCCGCGAACTCCCCTTCTCCCAGCCGCCCCCTTCTCCCTCGCCGTCCGCGTCCGTCCCTCCGTCTCCGTGCCCGCTTTCTCTCCTCCTGCCCACCTCTGACTTCTGCGTCCACCCTGCTTCAGAAGGGGCGTGGGCGCCTAGGGTGGTCGCCTCGAAGGCTAGGAGGGTCTCTCCGCTTCGGGCTGAATTCCTGGGATCTGGAGTCTGGGCTGGGGTGAGGGTCCCCACACGGGAGGGAGGCGGGATCCGTCGGGAGAGCAGCTGGGCCAGGGTGGGAGTCCCGGCCCGGTCTGCGACCCTCCGCGTGTCCGTCCGTCTGTCTGTCCTTCGCCCCTCCGTCGCCAAGTCCCTATCGTTTCTCGGCCTGGGGAGTCCAGGGGGGTCCGGGCAGTGGAACCTGCCAGGTCCCCGGAGACCGGCCCTCGATCCCTTTGCCGAATGCGGCGAATAGAGACCTCGAGGTTCCGGGACGTGCGCGGGGTCAGGCTGCGGGCGACTCTCGCGACCCCACTCTCAGCCCCTAACGGCGCCCGCTGCCCGCCGGGGGGCACCCGGGAGGCTGCAGGTGCCCATTTCCTGTCGAGGGGCTGCGAGCACGTGTCGACAGGGGAGGGAAGGAGGGGCGTCCGTTCCGCCGAGTCACGGCGGCCGAGTCACGGCGGCTGAGTCACCCGGGGCGTCCCTCCCTTCCTGGCCTGGAGCGGCCCGGGCCCGGGAGTGGGAGATGCCGCCGGCGGTGCCTCGGACCCGGAACTGGGGTCACTGGGACGCCGGGCCCGCAGCGCTTGGGCTCGGGCTACCGCTGTCGGGACTTGCCTGGGCTTGTGGGCGCTTCCCGGACGATTGGGCGCCCACACCCAGGGCCCAGCGGCAGAGCTAGAACCCACTTCTCCCAGAACACTGAGCCCCATCCCAACCCACTCCTCAGATAGCTGGCTGATAGAATGGGAACAGGGACGTTGTGCTGGGCGCTTGCTACATCATTTACCATATTTCACGGAATCGAAGACCTCATCGATTGAAAAAAAAACCCACTATAACTTTATGCCACTAATTTTCTTTCCTTCTCTTTCTTTTCTTTTTTTTTTTTTTTCTGAGACAGGGTCTCCCTCTGTTGCCCAGACTATAGAGCAGTGGTGCAATCACAGCTCACTGCAGCCTCAGCCTCCTGGGCTCAAGCAATCCTACTGAGATCCTAGCTGGGAAGCGACCTGGCCACAGGCACGCACCACCACACCCAACTAATTTTTTAATTTTTTTGTAGAAATGAAGTCTCACTGTGTTGCCCGGTGTGACCTCAAACTCCTGAGCTCAAGTGATCCTTCTACCTCAGCCTCCCAAAGTGCTGGGTATGAGCCACCATGCCTAGTCCACTAAAATTTTTTAAATTGCCAATTAAACTATGATTTCAGAGCTATTAAAGGGTACTTCTTAACATCAGTGAAATCCTGTAATCCTCACCTGTAACAATATTAAAAATGAGGAAACTGAGGCACATGGAGGTTAAATAACTTGCCCATGGTCACACAGCCAGTAAGTAGCTGAGAGCTGAGATTAGAATTGGGACAGCCTGCCATGCCAGGTGGCTAAAGCCTGTCATCTCAACACTTTGGGAGGCTGAGGTGGGTGGACTGCTTCAGCTCAGGAATTTGAGACCACCCTGGGCAACCTAGTGAGACCCTGTCTCTACAAAAAAATTTAAAAAAAATTAGCCAGGCCGTGCGCGGTGCCTCATGCCTATAATCCCAGCACTGTGGGAGGCCAAGGCGGGTGGATCACCAGAGGTCAGGAGTTCAAGACCAGCCTGGCCAACATAGTGAAACCCTGTCTCTACTAAAAATACAAAAATTAGCCGGGCACAGTTGTGGGCGCCTGTAGTCCCAGCTACTCGGGAGGCTGAGGCAGGAGAATTGCTTGAATCCAGGAGGTGGAGGTTGCAGTGAGGCGAGATCGGGCTACTGCACTCCAACCTGGGTGACAAAGCAAGACTGTGTCTCAAAAAAAAAAAAACAGAAAAGAAAAAAAAAATTAGCCAAATGTGGTGGTGCACGTCGGTAGTCCCAGCTACTTGGGAGGCTGAGGTGGGAGGATTGCTTGAGCCCGCAGGTCACTGCACTCCAACCTGGGTGAAAGAGTGAGACCCTGTCTCAAGAAAAAAAAAAAAAAAAGCAATGGAATGGCCTGAACCCAGAGCAGTGACTCTTTCCTGCCTCAGCCCCTCTGCACTGGGCACCTGCCACTTACCAGACTGTCGCACACATTCTCTCACCTGATTCTCACAGCCTCCCCTTGAGCTGGGAGCTGTAATTATCCTCTTCGTGCAAACGGGTGCAGGAGTGGGTAAGAGCCCAGCTGCTGGGCTCATTGGCTCTGTGTCTGCGGACAACTGTTCTCCCGTCTGAAAATGAAGATACTAGGCTGGGCGCTGTGGTTCACGCCTGTAATCCCAGCACTTTGGGAGGCCGAGGCGGGTGGATCACCTGAGGTTGGGAGCTGGAGACCAGCCTGGCAAACATGGTGAAACCCTGTCTCTACCACAAATACAAAAATTAGCCGGGCATGGTGGTGCACGCCTATAATCCCAGCTACTCAGGAGGCTGGGGCAGGAGGATCACTCGAACCTGGGAGGCGCAGGTTGCAGTGAGCTGAGATCGTGCCACTACACTCCAGCCTGGGCAACAGAGTGAGACTCCATCTGAAAAAAAAAAAAGAAAAAAAAGAAAGAAAAGAAAATGAAGATATTACTGTGCCAATGATATGAGTCAGTATTTGTAAAGTGGTTAGAACAGTTCCTGGCAGTTTGTGCTTTATAAATGTTAGTTCTAATGGGGAAATGGGGGCACAGAGAGGTTATGTGACCTGCCCCAAAGCCACACAGCTTATGAGCAGGGATTTGCCACCAGGTCAGTCTCTGACTGCCAAGCTGTGCTCTTTCTGTTCCCAGAGCTAGCCTGTACATTGAAGGTAGACAGCAGTGTAGCCTCTGCCCAGTGGAAGCCCCTCAATCCACACGGACCTCATCTGTGGCCTTCCATTTCTTATTCCTTAGAAGTTCCACCTGGTGCCAAGCATCAACACCATGAGTGGCAGTCAGGAGCTGCAGTGGATGGTACAGCCTCATTTCCTGGGGCCCAGCAGTTACCCCAGGCCTCTGACCTACCCTCAGTACAGCCCCCCACAACCCCGGCCAGGAGTCATCCGGGCCCTGGGGCCGCCTCCAGGGGTACGTCGAAGGCCTTGTGAACAGGTAAGGCACAGAGGCATTGCAGTGGTTCCGACCCCGCCCAGGAGTGCTAGGGTGCAGAGAAGCTCCTGCCAGAAAGGAGAGCACAGGCTTAGGAGGGGGTAAGGTAGGCTACAGGTGACTACTGCCCAAGGCTGAAAGTGATAGGAGCCCCACGGGAGGCCCAGAGGGTACAACAGTCACTTCCAGATCAGGGAAAGCTTCCTGGAAAAGGTGGCATATTAGCCTAGAAGGATGGGTAGGACTGGCAGAGGCAGAGAGGAAGGAAAGGACATTCCAGGTAGCGGGGGTGGCAGGAGCAAGGATGGAGGCGGAGGCAAGAACATGTAAGGTGCGCACACGGAATGGTGAGGGGGTCTCCACCTGCTGACATGCATAGAGGGGGCGCTTATGTTGTCTGGGAGAGAACAGGAACAAGAGGGTTCCCTTCAGCTACTCCCTCAGTCTCAGTTTCCCTGTCTCATTTAATCCTCACAAAATCTCTCTGGGGAATGTACTCTGGTTTTCCCCATCTTCCACCAAAGAAATGAAGGCACAGAAGGGTAGTCACTTGCCCAAGATCACACAAGTAGTGAGTAATGACACAGGACTGGCCTTGGCCCCAGGTCTATACAACTCTAAAGTCAGATCCTAACCACCAAACCAGGGCCAGGTGCAGTAGCTCATGCCTGTAATCCCAGCACTTTGAGAGACCTAGGCAGGAGGATCACTTGAGGCCAGGAGTTCAAGACTAGGTTGGGCAACATAGAGAGACCCTGTCTCTACCGAAAAAACAAAATAAAATAAAACCCCCAAAACTAATCACCAAGCCACGCTGTCTCACTGGAAGCTAACAGAAGGCTCAAAGTAGAGGGAACTGACAATTCTTGGCTCCCCAAAGCCCTTACCAAAATAAGTGAGTAAGAGATGGCGAGTCTTTAAAGGAGTGGCTCATCTTTCCTCTCCCTGGGGCATTTTGGTGTGGGAGACTACAGGGGATGAGGTTAAAAAGCTTGGTCGGCAGGTAGAGGATGGGGAGAGAGGTTAGGGCCCTGGGAAAGGTGAGAGATCAGCCAGAGACAGGTTTCCCAGAACAGAATGTCTGGCCTTTGTGGTGAGGAGGGACTGTGGTATGAGCCGCAGAAGCGGGCCAGGGGTAAACCCTCCTGTGCGTCCTTCCTTCAGCCTGGTCCTGAGGGTGACCCTTTGATCCTGGGTTCTCCAGGTAGGGCTGTGAGCTGTGAGTTGGATCCTTTTGGTGAAATGGTCTCTCTCATCTGGCCTGTCACTCAATGTGGAATAGAGTGAGTGAGTTCTATGGGTTCTAAGTCCTGCTCTGGAACCATAAGTAAGTTATCCTCTCTGGGCTTCAGTTTTTCATGGAAAGTTGCGTTAAGAATCTAGTTTAAGGCCAGGCATGGTGGCTCACGCCTGTAATCCCAGCACTTTGGGAGGCCAAGGAAGGTGGATCATGAGGTCAGGAGATCGAGACCATCCTGGCTAACATGATGAAACCGTGTCTCTACTAAAAAATACAAAAAATTAGCTGGGCGTGGTGGAAGGCACCTGTAGTCGCAGCTACTCGGGAGGCTGAGGCAGGAGAATGGCGTGAACCCCGGAGGCGGAGCTTGCAGTGAGCCGAGATGGCACCACTGCACTCCAGCCTGGGCAACAGAGTGAGACTCCGTCTCAAAAAAAAAAAAAAAAAAGAATCTATGTTTTTTTAAAAAAGAGGCCAGCTGTGGTGACTCCCCCTGGTAATCCAAACATTCTAGGAGGCCAGTGCAGGAGGATCCCTTGAGCCCATGAGTTCCAGACCAGCCTGGGCAACACAGTGAGACCCCGTCACTACACAAAAAAAAAAAAGAAAAAAAAAGGCCGAGCACAGTGGCTCATGCCTGTAATCCCAGCACTTTGGGAGGCTGAGGAGGGTGGATCACCTGAGGTTAAGAGTTCAAGACCAGCCTGGCCAACATGGTGAAACCTCGTCTCTACTAAAAATACAAAAATTAGCCAGGTGTGGTGGTACATGCCTGTAATCCCAGCTACTTGGGAGGCTGAGGCACGAGAATCACTTGAACCCAGTAGGTGGAGGTTGCAGTGAGCCAAGATTGGGCCAATGCACTCCAGCCTGGGAAAGAGTGAGACTCTGTCTAAAAAAAATAAAATAAAATAAAATAAAATCTTTGCATGTTCTCAGTGAAAAACAAGAATCTACGTAAAGTACTTGGCTGGCACATAGTAGTTTTCCAATAAATTGCAACTTAATCAGCAGCACTCATTAGCCCCTCCTAGTGCTTACAGCTCATGGAAGAGGAGACTTGGTTGTCCACAGATCCAGAAGGATGAGGGTCCTGCAAAGAGGGTGCTGAGAAGGAAAGGTCACTTCTGGCTGGGGAATAAGACGGCTTCCTGGAGGCAGGAGCATCTTAGTTGAGTCCTGGGAGATGAGGAGGGTTAGGGTTTGCGGAGGGGGAGGGCATTATGGGAGAGGAATGTGCACTAAAGCTAGGTGCGAGGAGGAAATTTTACCAATCAAAGCAGACAGCGCCTCAGTGCAGGGAACTGGTTGGGTGCAGTGATCCCTAAATCACCGGCTGAGGGGGCCCTGCCATGACCTCTGCCAGGGTCCTACCACTGGGCCACCATGAGGGGCGAGTTCCAGGCAGCCAGTAGCCCAGGGTCCTCCTCACTGCGGGTCTCACCCCCAGATCAGCCCGGAGGAAGAGGAGCGCCGCCGAGTAAGGCGCGAGCGGAACAAGCTGGCTGCGGCCAAGTGCAGGAACCGGAGGAAGGAACTGACCGACTTCCTGCAGGCGGTGAGCACCAGCCCTGGTCCACCGAGCTCAGAGGGACCCTGTCTCCCAGAGCCCCCAGAGCCCCAGTATATGTAGCCCCCTCCTCACCATCCTAGCTCCTTGTCTGAGGGGCAGTCCTTCTGGGAAAATGATGAGGAAAAATTGATTAGAAACTGGCTGCAGCATGTCTCACTCACAGCAGAGCTGAAGCTCAGCCAGCAATCTCCTTTTTTTTTTGAGACAGAGTCTCGCTCTGTCACCCAGGCTGGAGTGCAGTGATGAGATCTCGGCTCATGGCTCACTGTGACATCTGTCTCCCAGGCTCCAGCAATTCTTATGCCTCAGCCTGCTGAGTACCTGGGGCTACAGGCGCCTGCCTCCCTACCCGACTAATTTTTGTATTTTTAGTAGAGACGGGGTTTCGCCAAGTTAGCCAGGCTGGTCTCAAACTCCTGGTCTCAAGTGATCCGCCCGCCTCAGCCTCCCAAAGTGCTGGGATTACAGGCCGGAGTCACTGCCTGGTGCCAGCAATCTCCTAAAACGTCTGGGCCTGATGGGAGTTGTGCCCATTTTCTCCCAGGGGCTTATGGGAGTTGTAGTCCAGACTTGCTGGGGACTCTCCACTGCCCCCCCTCTCCCCCCGCCCAACCCCAGCTCCTCAGAACCCTGAGTCCAAACGTCTGCGGCTCTGGGGTATTCAGCCCTCACCTTTCTGACTCCTCTCCTGATCTTCTACAGGAGACTGACAAACTGGAAGATGAGAAATCTGGGCTGCAGCGAGAGATTGAGGAGCTGCAGAAGCAGAAGGAGCGCCTAGAGCTGGTGCTGGAAGCCCACCGACCCATCTGCAAAATCCCGGAAGGAGCCAAGGAGGGGGACACAGGCAGTACCAGTGGCACCAGCAGCCCACCAGCCCCCTGCCGCCCTGTACCTTGTATCTCCCTTTCCCCAGGGCCTGTGCTTGAACCTGAGGCACTGCACACCCCCACACTCATGACCACACCCTCCCTAACTCCTTTCACCCCCAGCCTGGTCTTCACCTACCCCAGCACTCCTGAGCCTTGTGCCTCAGCTCATCGCAAGAGTAGCAGCAGCAGCGGAGACCCATCCTCTGACCCCCTTGGCTCTCCAACCCTCCTCGCTTTGTGAGGCGCCTGAGCCCTACTCCCTGCAGATGCCACCCTAGCCAATGTCTCCTCCCCTTCCCCCACCGGTCCAGCTGGCCTGGACAGTATCCCACATCCAACTCCAGCAACTTCTTCTCCATCCCTCTAATGAGACTGACCATATTGTGCTTCACAGTAGAGCCAGCTTGGGGCCACCAAAGCTGCCCACTGTTTCTCTTGAGCTGGCCTCTCTAGCACAATTTGCACTAAATCAGAGACAAAATATTTCCCATTTGTGCCAGAGGAATCCTGGCAGCCCAGAGACTTTGTAGATCCTTAGAGGTCCTCTGGAGCCCTAACCCCTTCCAGATCACTGCCACACTCTCCATCACCCTCTTCCTGTGATCCACCCAACCCTATCTCCTGACAGAAGGTGCCACTTTACCCACCTAGAACACTAACTCACCAGCCCCACTGCCAGCAGCAGCAGGTGATTGGACCAGGCCATTCTGCCGCCCCCTCCTGAACCGCACAGCTCAGGAGGCGCCCTTGGCTTCTGTGATGAGCTGATCTGCGGATCTCAGCTTTGAGAAGCCTTCAGCTCCAGGGAATCCAAGCCTCCACAGCGAGGGCAGCTGCTATTTATTTTCCTAAAGAGAGTATTTTTATACAAACCTACCAAAATGGAATAAAAGGCTTGAAGCTGTGGCCTGAGTGCCTCACTGGACCCAGAGGCCAATGGGAGAGTATTTGGAGCCCTAGGTCCCAGCCTTAGCTCTACAGACTCACTGCATGACCTTGGACAAATTCTTTGATATTTTTGGACTTTGTCTTATCTGACAAGTGGGGCTACATCCGCTCGGCCTCATCTCCGGGACTGAGGGGAGACAGTCCTCTGGGGTAAAAGCGAAGAGGCTTACCGCCCCTCTCCCCGTGGGGGCCCACAGTGCTGCTGCGTGTGCCACGGAGGGGCGCTGTTATGCCCCCTTCCAGCCTCAGAGGAGGCGGCCGAGTGGTTCTAGGCCCCCAGCACCTGCTTCCTGCCCCATTGTCTTGGACAGGAAGGAGCCGGGAAGGGAGCTGGAGCCACTTCAGGGGCTGGATTAAGGCCGGTCCCGGCGCCCGATGGGGGAAGTCTGGTTTACCACTGCCCCGCATCCCACCCCAGGCTCGAAGTAATGGGGGAATCATTAGTTCTGCAGTCCTTCTGGATGGGAATTGTACCCTGTATCAGCACCCCACCCTCGCCCCAACCCCGGCGAGTACCAAACAGACGCTGCCCAGGCCGTGGGCTCCGCTTCCGTCCGGGTTTATTACCCCCAATCCAACCCCCAGCAAGTCCCTCCGCTCCAGCCTTCAGTCCCCCTGCTGCCCTGCCAGCAAGAGCGAGGGGCCCTTCTTGGTGTCAGGATTTCTTAGTCCATGCCAGCGGCCCCTCCTGCGCAGCCAGGACGGCGTCCAGGTCCCGAGGTCCACAGCGGTCCCGGGGCTCGGGGAGCAATCCGGGCGGGCGTCGGCGTGGAGGAAGCAGTGCCTTCAATCATCGGGGGAACAGGCCAGGGGCAACTGATCCGGACTGCCCACGCTGCCAGTGCTGGAGCTTCCATCGCCTAGGTCGCGGGGCCCGCACGGGGGCAAGGCAAGCTCGGGTGCTGGCCCGGCTCCTGATCCCCCGGCGCCGCTGGGGCCGCCGCGGGGGCCCCATTCTTCGCCCAGCGCCAGGCAGAGCTCCTTAAGCGCTAGGTTCTCCCGCAGCAGCTCCTCCTGGCGGCCCTCCAGCTCGGCCAGCTTCTGCCAACAGCCGCCCAGGTCCTCGCGCACGGCCCGGGATGCTTGGGTCCCGAAGAGCTGCCACTGGCGTGCGGCGCGCCGCCCGCGCTGGCGCTCCGAGTCCAGGAAGCAGCAGAGGTCGCGCAGCTCACGGTTCTCTGCCTGCAGACGCCGGTTGAGCTGCTTGAGCTCGCGGATCTCGCCCAGGTGGCCCTGCAGCTGCCGATTCACCTCCTGCATGAGGCGGCCGCGCTGCACCAGTGCCGCCAGGCGCGCCGCCTCCTCCCGCCGCAGGCGCCGCACTAGCTCTTCCTTGCCTAGCGCCGCCATCTCCTCGTCCGTCAGCTCCTCCAGGCCGCCTGCCTCGGCCTCCATGGCTGGTCAGGCCTCTGGAGCATCGCCCGCCCGCCGCCGCGGCCCAGGAGCCCCACGTCGGGCCCGGCGCCACTCAGGCTCGGGCTCCGGCTCCGCACGCGGCAGGCAGTGGCCGAGGCAGCGTAGGCTGCAGCAGCTACCCGGGCTGGGCACGCGGCGGGGCGCGCGCCGGGGCGGGGCCGCATGTCGTTATGGAAGGACAGCCAATCCGGTGAAACGTCCCCGGAAAGGGGCGGGGCCTGAGCTCAGGGGCCGCCCCCCTCGTTCCCCACCCACTCCGGGTGTTACTGATCCTCGATGTCAAGGAACCCGCGCGTCATCGCCCTCCACATCGGTCTCAACCCGAAACTAGGAGCTTCGAACCTCCAAGTACCGGATCGCCCCAAGCTTGAGCCTAGGCCTCTCGGCTCTTCTGAGAAACAAGATTCAGGCGTCCGCCCCTGACTCCTGCCCATCCCCCACAGAAGTCAGATGGACCGCTCTCCAGTCCCTCTTTACCTTTGATCAAATTCGGAAGTCTCGGCCCACTAAGGATCGCTCCTGGTTCCTCGGAACCCTGAGTCCAAACGTCCTAGCTCACCAATAGACTACCCTCCCTCCCAGGGAGCGTTTCCTGCCTGGGGGGAGGAACATACAGGATTCGTTTGTTCAATAAACGTTTTTTATGTGCAAGGCCCATGCAGAAATAAATTTAACCAAAATACCGATTCCATCCTCAAGGAGGTCGCAGTCTGTCCGGGAAGTCAAGCTGTGTTAAGCAAGAAATAAATCCGGGAGGAGTATGGTCTGAGGGTCCTTAAGAGGGTTCCCAAAAGAGATGCTATCCAAGAGGCTCTGGTAGATCCATAGGACTTTGCCAAGTAAAGAGCTATTTCAGGGAGAGAGAATAACATAGTGAAAGACACTGGTGCCCGAAAGAGCCTAGCTGCTTTAGGAACAATGAGGATAGCTTGGTTTTTGAAAAGCAGATGTGTCGAGAAAATGCTAAGAGAGAGAGAGCGAGGCTTCAAAGGTAGGTAAAAGCCAGATTCTTAAGAACTTCCAGTACCAGGTTGGAGCATTTCCAAAGGCCACTAAGGATGTTAAGCAAGAGAGTAACATTTGTAAGGATGTTAAGCAAGGGAGTAACATTTTAAAATATGCCTTTAACTGGCCAAGATGGTGAAACCCCGTTTCTACTAAAAATACAAAAATTAGCCGGGCGTGGTGGGAGGAGCCTGTAATCTCAGCTACTCGGGAGGCTGAGGCAGAGAACTGCTTGAACCCGGGAGGCGGAGGTTGCAGTGAGCCGAGATCGCGCCACTGCACTCCAGCCTGGGCGACAGAGCGAGACGCTGTCTCGAAAAAAAAAATGTATTTAAAAAGATTGGGCTGATCTGTGTGGGCCGGACCCTGCGGGGAGGGGACATAAACAGGGAGATTAGTAACGGTGTCAAAGAGCAAGAGCAAGGAGAGCTAAGCAGAAAGACGGCTGGGGCAGCATCAGTGGGGGTGGAGAGGACAAACAGATACTAGAAATATTCGGGAGGCAAATCAGCCGAACTGAATGTGGGGAGAGAGGAGTCTGGAAGAACGCCCAGGTTTCTCGTATGAGAACTGGTGGATGTTAGGGCTGTCACTGAGATAGGGACGCAGGAAAGAAACAAATGGGGAGAGGCAGAGGTCTGTCTAGAATATGTTGAGCTTTTGAGGGGCTTACGGGAAGAGTGTGGATAGACTTGGCCGATAGGCGGCCCCTCCGGATGTGGACTTCCAGGCAGAGCTCGGAGGGGCAGAATTAGAGACGTCAGTAGCTCGTGGGGCTGGGGGTGGGATTAAAACCAAGGTGGGAGCAGGTGCCCCAAACCCAGGAGAGGTGCTCATGCGCAGGATGGACAAACCAGTCTCCAGCAAGAGCCCGAGGAAGTCGGGTCATACCCCATTTTTGCGGAGATTTAGGATAGAGCCCTGTGAAACCCCTAAGTTTAGGATACAGGTCAAACTTAGGAGGTCCCGAAGAGGGCAGAGAAGGTGGGAGAAAAGCCAGGAGGAAGTGAGGGGAGAAGTTACGGGGACCGAGGAGACGAAGAGGAGGCACTCCCTTCGTGCTCCTGCAGACGGCCGGGGAGGGAGACAGGACGCAGGAGCCCGGGACTCCCCCTCCCGGCGGGAGGAAGCGGTGCTCCTCCGCGCAGGCCTCCCCCTCTCTTCCCTCGCCGCTCCCGCCCCGTCCCCTCCCCGACTGGCTGTGTCCCGGAAGTGGTCATAAGCTGGGTCCCGATGCCGCGAGCGGAATCTCGGCGCTCCCGGAAGTGGCCTGAAGGCGGCGCGCCAGTCCCGAGCAGTGCTCGCTCCTGCTCGGGGCGCTGCGGCCCCGGGCGTCGCCATGACCAGTGAGCTGGACATCTTCGTGGGGAACACGACCCTTATCGACGAGGACGTGTATCGCCTCTGGCTCGATGGTTACTCGGGTCCGTGAGGGGCGTGTGGGGAAGCCAGTCGGCGGAGCGGTTGTGTTGAATGGGAGAGGGGGCGGGGCTAAGACTTGGGCATCCTTTAGGGAAGTGGGCGAGCGCCTGGGAATAAGAGGTGTTATAGGGGTCTGGGATGGAAACCCTTAAGGGCCTCTGGCGTCGGCGGGGCGGGGCCTGATGCTAGCGTCCGCTTTCCAGTGACCGACGCGGTGGCCCTGCGGGTGCGCTCGGGAATCCTGGAGCAGACTGGCGCCACGGCAGCGGTGCTGCAGAGCGACACCATGGACCATTACCGCACCTTCCACATGCTCGAGCGGCTGCTGCATGCGCCGCCCAAGCTACTGCACCAGCTCATCTTCCAGATTCCGCCCTCCCGGCAGGCACTACTCATCGAGAGGTGCTCACCCTCTGGGATGGTGGAGACATCAACCAGTCTGACTGTATACCCATTTTGCCGGCTGAAACAGGCCCAGGGAGGGATGGGATTTACCCAGCCATCAGAAAGTTGAGAGTGGAAGGGGTCAGACCTAGGCCCTGCTAGGCCCCGCCAGACTCCCTTTCCTGTCTTTTATGGAGGGTCAATGGTGTTCTCTGACTCCACAAGGTACTATGCCTTTGATGAGGCCTTTGTTCGGGAGGTGCTGGGCAAGAAGCTGTCCAAAGGCACCAAGAAAGACCTGGATGACATCAGCACCAAAACAGGCATCACCCTCAAGAGCTGCCGGAGACAGGTATGCACTGCATCCACACGGACACAGCATCCCATCTACACTTCACTCCCTCCCTTTGGCCACTGGCCCAGTTCCAGCCTCTGATTGTGGCAGCAGCTTCATACCTAGTCTTCTCCTCCCTTCCCCTTTCCCCTCCTTTTTTTTTTTTTTTTTCGAGATGGAGTCTTGCTCTGTGGCCCAAGCTGGAGTGCAGTGGCGCGACCTCAGCTCACTGCAACCTCCGCCTCCTGGGTTCAGGTAATTCTTGTGCCTCAGCCTCTGCAGTAGCTGAGATTACAGGCGCCCGCTCCCACACCCAGCTAATTTTTGTATTGTTAGTAGAGACAGGGTTTCACCATGTTGGCCAGGCTTGTCTTGAACTCCTGGCCTCAAGTGATCATCCGCCTCGGCCTCCCAAAGTGCTGACATTACAGGCGTGAGCCACCGTGCCTGGCTCCCTGTTGTGCCTTCCAAGCTATCCTGTACTGTATGGCCAGAGTGACCTTTCAGAATGACCTGAAATTTTATCAGACCCCTGATAAACTTTCATTGGCTCCCACTGCCTCCTGGGTAGCAGCTGCACTCCTTGGCTTTGACCTATGGACTGTCCTGTTATCTCATCCCTGCAGACCTCTCTAGGCTTACATTTCTCCAGCCCCAGGCTTTCCTTTACTCATGTTGCTTCTACCTGGAGGGTACTGTTCTTGGCAATATCTACCCCTTGAAATCCAAGACAAGAGGTGAGATGCCACCTTCTCCACAAGCCTTTTTGGTACGCCAGGAAGAAGTAACCCTTCTGGGTCTTTGATGCCTTTCTTTTGTATCTCCTGTGAGCTTTCTGTTTATAGCTTAGCATTTGTTTTTTATTTTTTAGTTTCTAGGGCTTAGCCAGGAAAGTCTCTTCCAACTCAAACTTGTGAAGATCTGGAGAGCATGGTGCTAAAATGGGGTTGGATTTAGAGATAAGATTGAGTAAACATTTATCCAAGGCAAGATACAGCAGGAGTTGCTAAGCATTTGATTTGATAACAAGTACTAATAACTAATAGTTGGTTGAAGGAATAACAAATGCTAAATCAGCATCTGCTGACTGGATAGGTGGATGGGGAAGGGAGAGATGTTCAATAAGTGGTTTATTGGGTGAGCGACACAGTGTACACTCTGACCAGTCCTCTCTTCTACCCTAACTGCCCTGCAGTTTGACAACTTTAAACGGGTCTTCAAGGTGGTAGAGGAAATGCGGGGCTCCCTGGTGGACAATATTCAGCAACACTTCCTCCTCTCTGACCGGTTGGCCAGGTGAGGAGCTAGCCACCTCCCCATCCCGCACACTACTTCCTGGGCCCGGAGGCTCGTCCACCTTCCCTACCCCAAACCTTCTGACCTCCTGAGTATGCTGGGGGAATGATTATCCCACTTTTGGTCTGTACTTTTTTTTTTTTTTTTTTTTTAATGAGACGGAGTTTCACTCTTGTTGCCCAGGCTGGAATGCAATGGTGCAATCTTGGCTCACTGCAACCTCTGCCTCCTGGTTCAAGCAATTCTGCCTCAGCCTCCCGAGTAGCTGGGATTACAGGCTTGAGCCACCGCACCCAGCTTGGTCTGTACTTTGGACCAGACTGACCTGGATTCAAAGCACAGTCCAGCGATTTCCAGCTGGGCTGTTGAGAGGTACCATATGTAAAGCCCATGGCACAGCCCTGGCACTTAGGAAGTGCTCAGTAGATAGTAACTGTTACCCTTATGGTCTCCCACTGTATCCACTAGTAAACTTGAGCTGGAACCTTCTCTTCGCACAGATGGGGAAGGGTCATAGAGAAGTGACTTGAGACACGTCACACAGTGACTTGAGGCAGAGAGAGGCCAGAACTCGGACACCCAGCTGAGGTTGCAGGTGGGAGCTGCTTCCTAAGAAGGAATTTCAAGCCCTAAGAGGACCCTCCTCTCGTCTGTGCAGGGACTATGCAGCCATCGTCTTCTTTGCTAACAACCGCTTTGAGACAGGGAAGAAAAAACTGCAGTATCTGAGCTTCGGTGACTTTGCCTTCTGCGCTGAGCTCATGATCCAAAACTGGACCCTTGGAGCCGTCGGTGAGGCCCCCACTGACCCAGGTGCCTGGACGCCTCCCCATCCTCAGGACCTGATTCCCCACCAGTAGTTTCTCCCACAGGCCCTCAGTTCCTGGCATCCGCTCCTGTTCATGGCCCCCACCCAGGCTCCCCCTGCCCATAGAATGTTTTCCCCACACACACCTTGTCTGCAGACAAAGGGCCCATTGCCTCTCTGTGGCCTGGGGCATGTCACTCCATCTCTCTGACACTCCATTTCCTCTTTTGTCCCCAGGGGGGAAATAAGGTGGTGGGTGAGGAAAGGCTTAGGCTATCACAGGAGGGGTTTTTATCACCCACCCCCACCCCCTTCATGGCCTCACAGACTCACAGATGGATGACATGGACATGGACTTAGACAAGGAATTTCTCCAGGACTTGAAGGAGCTCAAGGTGCTAGTGGCTGACAAGGACCTTCTGGACCTGCACAAGAGGTGACCTTGTAGGGGCCCATGGGGCGGGGCCTGCAGTAGGGGCCCAGGTGGCTATAGGCGTGACCCTGTCTCTCTGCAGCCTGGTGTGCACTGCTCTCCGGGGAAAGCTGGGCGTCTTCTCTGAGATGGAAGCCAACTTCAAGGTCTGTGGTCCCATCCAGCCTCTGACCCTTGGCATCTTCAGCCTCCAGTTCGCCACCCCTACCGGGCAGCTCTGCCCCTGCCAGGGATTGGCCGGCAGGTGGCACTGCTGCTCCCTCTGGTGGCCGCTGACGGGAGCAGCTCATAAACAATGGGGACTTGGTTGATGGAGGGAGGTGGATGGATCTGGGGAGGGGCCTGCTCCTCCTCCCCCAGCTTCTGTGCTCAGCTGCCAACTTCTGGGGCAGAAAGCAGAGCTCCAAGGATCCCTGCCCCACAGAACCTGTCCCGGGGGCTGGTGAACGTGGCCGCCAAGCTGACCCACAATAAAGATGTCAGAGACCTGTTTGTGGACCTCGTGGAGAAGGTGAGCTGTCGTGCTCTCTGACACCCAACCTGGTCTGTCCCTGGCCTATACAAGTGCTAAGTATTCTCTTGGGCCCGCAGTTTGTGGAACCCTGCCGCTCCGACCACTGGCCACTCAGCGACGTGCGGTTCTTCCTGAATCAGTATTCAGCGTCTGTCCACTCCCTCGATGGCTTCCGGTGAGCAGCCCTGTCCTCCTGTCCAGCTTGGCTTTGCCCCAGCCTGCCACCTGCCAGGACCTCGCCTCCTGCAGACTCAAGGTTCCCCATTCTGCTACCCTGGGGGTGGGACCAAAGTCTCTGGACCAAAGCTCTGGCTCTCCCTCTTAGAAGCTGTGTGATTTGGGGCAGGTTTCTTAACCTCTCCATGCCTCAGTTTCCTCATGTACAAACTAGGGTTCATCATGAGAAGAATTGTAAGGATTTTCTAAGGGCAAAATGAATGAAGGTGTAGAAAGCACGCAGGGCAGGGCCTCCATCACGGTGAGTGTTGTGAAAACTCAGCTGTCACTGTTCATGTTCTTACAGACACCAGGCCCTCTGGGACCGCTACATGGGCACCCTCCGCGGCTGCCTCCTGCGCCTGTATCATGACTGAGGTGCCTCCCAACGCTCCGCCCACGCTGACAATAAAGTTGCTCTGAGTTTGGAGACTGGTCCTCGCTCCGGGGAGCAAGTGGGGGGCGTGCAGATGTGCCTGTGTCTGTCTCTGAGCACCTGGTGTCCGTGTACAAGGATGGATGTGTACAGTGGCTCCTTGGGAACTGAGACATATCTCAGGGAATGGTGTCTGTGCTCAGCCCATCCACCAGAAGAGTCTGCTCACAAGCCAGAGGTCTTGTCTTGGTTTATTCAGGCTGTATTGAGATTGGGAGGATGGGCAAAAACCTGGGGGTGGGGCTGGCAAGGAGGCAGTTGGCCTAACAGGACAGAGCTGAGGGGGCCAGGTGGGTTCAGGGAGGGCAGGAGACTCGGGGCTTCATATCCGGTTTCTGCACACGGGCAGTGAGCGGGAACTTGGTGATGCCACAGGTATTGCTCCCTCGGTGCAGCCGGAAATAGCCCTAGGAGGTTAGGGGACATAGGGGCGGGAAGGTGGGAAGAGGCCTGTTCTGCCTTGCCCCCTCCCCCAATAGATCACACTCACCTTCTCTCCCCATTGGGCCCCCCAGGAGTTCTTCAGGATCCAGTATGGGGTGGGGTGTGGAGGCTGAGGCTGAGACTGCGATGAGACTGTCTCTGCCCATATCCCCTCCTCTGACTTGACGCTGCCAAAACCCACCAGCAGGACAGAGTGGTCCACAAGCTGGGGGTCACAGGTGGTGGGTGTGGCCTTGATCACACCTTTCCGGTATAGCTGCAGGGGGTGGGGGCCGAGGGGCTGAGTGTGGGGCCAAGTCTCCTGTATGCCCCTTCCCCATCAGCTCCCCCATCTCACCTGAAGGGGCTTCATGTTGATGGTCACGGTGATGGGGCCATAAGTGGCCAGGTACTGCGCAATTCCTGGGGACAGGAACATCATCAGACCCTTGGCATGTGGGTGTGTGGGTCTCTCGCTCCTTCGCTCCCCCCACCCCCTCTTGTCTTCTAGCCCAGTAGCCCAGCGTGTCTGCCTCTGCCCCGGTGTCTGTCCCTGCCATCCGCCCGTGTCCCTGCCCTGCCCGCACTGTGCTCGTTGTTCTGCAGCATGATGAAGTCCTGGATCCAGGCCACCTTCTGGTACTTCTTGGGGTGGCACCTGTGGGCTCTGACTTTGCCCTGGAACGGGTAGTCCTTTTCACTGGCCAGGCCGCCTGCAGATAAGCAAGACAAGGGAGGAGGTTCCGCTCCTGCCCACCCTGTCCCCCTGCAGATGTCCAGAGTGGCGGGGCAGTGCACTCACTGTTGTTGAGGACAGTTATGAACGCGTCCCAGACGAAGCCACCGTGGCAGCCATCCCCACAGCGGCCACAGTCCAGCAGTTCTGGTGCAAGAAGGGACAGTGTGGGTGACCAGGCCCCTAGGCCTCCCTCCCCTGTCACACGCGCACCCTCTCCCAACCCTACCCTGCACGGAGACATCCACAAAATCCCAGAAACTGATGCGCCACAGGGTCTCTATGTTGCCTGCCGCTGCCATGGCCCAGCAGCAGTTGCAGTTTTTCTGGAGGGCGAGAGGGTGGGGCGGGGCTAGGTGTTCGGGCCGTGCCCCTCTCCCTCCCACCACTTAGCTGAATTAGAGCCAGCTGGGTAGCGGCAGATACCTGGTCCTTGATGGGTGAGATGGCGCTGGCCACCTTCCGCCAGTCACAGCTGAAAGGTACTGACTCCTCTGGCTCTTCAGACCTTATTTCTCTGCCCATGCTGGGGACCCCTCCAGCTGCCCTCCGATAGCCATAGAGCTGGCCAAACTCCTCCTCTGGGGAACAGACAGGGCCACTGAGGTCTCCATTTTGACCCCTTCTCCCTGTTCTGCCTCTCCCACTCCAGCTGTTGGTCCCATAATTCCCTGAGGGGCAAAAAGGCAAGGATAGGCCGGGCGTGGTGGCTCACACCTATAATCCCAGCACTTTGGGAGGCCAAGGTGGGTGGATCACTTGAGGTCAGGAGTCCGAGACCCCATCTCCACAAAAAGTAGAAAAATTAGCTGGGCGTGGTTGTGCGGGCTTGTAGCCCCAGCTACTTAGAAGGCTGAGGGGTCGGGGGAATTGCTTGAGTCTAGGAGGTGGAGGCTGAGTGAGCTGTGATTGCACTATTGTACTGCAGCCTGGACAACAGAGCAAGACCCTGTCTCAAAAAGGCAAGGGTGCCAAGCCTAGAGAGGCTGGGCTCCCTGCTGGGTGCTTCCCTGCAGCTGCTGCGCTGGCCCCTAGGCTGGATTAGGACACAGGACTGCAGAGATTCTGCCCCTGCACTGGGTGATTTGATACCAGCACCCAAGCCCCTGGTCCTCAGGGAAATGAATTTCCTTCCCTGGGAAGTAAAAATTGAAGGTCCGCTGGGTCCAGCTGCCAGTGTCCCTGGGGAGATCGCTTCCCAACCACCACCTACGAGCCAGAAGGGTTAATGGTACCTGTGAGGTCACTGAATGGAGTCACCCCAAACTCAGCTGTGCCCAAGTCCTCCTCCTGCAGCCTCTGAGCCTGGGCCAGGTTGTGGGCAAAGATGTCCAGGCGGTGAGCATGCTCTGGACCAAAAGGGAGTTGTCCTAGGCTGACTCCCAAGCCCTTAGGGGCAGGAAGTAGCCGCTGGCTGGGCACCCTTCCACCCACACCCACCCAGTTGAGCACTGGCTCCTTTCCTGTAGCCCCCACAAGGCCCCACTGCAGATACCCAGGCCCAGGAAGTGGTTACCCAGCCCACCGAGGGTTGGGTTTTCCCCAGAGGCAGCCAGAGGACCATCTCTGGCCACCCTAGGTGGGAAGCCAGGCAAGGGGTCCGGTGGTGGTGACTCAAGGATGTGTGGCTGGAGACCAGCTTCCTGCCAGGCCACGTCCTTTACACCTCTGACCACAGGAGGAGAGCTGGAACATGGCAGGGAGAGGAGATGACAAGGCACAGGCAGTCTGGGCTAAAAGGCACACACAGATCAGCCCCCTAGAGAGATCAGCACAGCGAGAGGGCAGGGGCAGGGGTTAGATCATGGGCTAGAGAAGAAGTCCCCAATGTGGGGACAAAATGGGTGTCCTTGGGTGTTTGCTGAATGAGCAAATGACTAGGTGGTGGCCCCCTGTCCACTGCCTAGAATCGCAGGGAAGTGGCTGTGGAGCCAGGGGATCACGTAGGACTAGGGCAGGACCCCACCTCCTGCCACTGCCCTCCAGATCCATAGCAAAGAATGATCCTGGACCCACTCATGCCTTCGGGAAACCAGGGAACACACCCCCAGCCCTGGCCTGTCCTGCTGAGTGGCCTTGGCCATGCCTGTTCCCCACCCTGAGCTTCGATTTCTTCATCTATTACAAAGCGGGATGGCTGGGCTCCGTGGCTTACACCTGTAATCCCAGCCCTTTGGGAGGCCGAGGCAGGCGGATCACCTGATGTCAGGAGTTCAAGACCAGCCTGGCCAACATGGTCAAACCCCATCTCTACTAAAAATGTAAAGGTTAGCCAAGTGTGGTGGCGCATGCCTGTAATCCCAGCTACTCAGAGGCTGAAGCAGGAGAATCGCTTGAACCCGGGAGGTGGAGGTTGCAGTGAGCCAAGATGACACCATTGCACTCCAGCCTGGTCAACAAGAGTGAAACTCCGTCTCAAAAAAAAAAAAAGTGGGGGCTTGGACTGGAGATGTATGTGCCCTGTGATACCTTCTGGGCTCAGGTAACTCCGGTTGAACTGGATCTGGAACAACTTGAAGGCCTCTTTCAGCTCTAGCGGCTGGGGACCTAGGTCCTGGCAAGGAACCAAGGGTGGAGAGGGGCAGTGGGCAGAGGAATCATTGCTGGGGCCCCACCTTAGTTCCCAGCCGTGCAAGGACTGGGCTAGGGGTCAGCCAGTTAGCCTTTTCTGTCTTCCCATGTGCCCTTGGGCACGTCAGCCCCCTCTCCAGCCTCAGCAACTCCCTCTGAAAAATGAGAATGACAGGCCAGCTGTTTCTGAAGGGGTGACCCCAGGCGTGGGACTGGCATAGGTAAGGGTTTGGGAGCACTTACCTGGGCCCTAAGGGGGCCTCTGATGCCTTGGGCTAGGCCTGCCACCAACAGGGCCAGGAGGCAGGAGGGGTGGGCAGTCAGTGCCATGCCGGTGCAGTCTGGAGTGGCATGGAGGCAGGAAGCCGCGCAGATCGAGGAGGACGGTGTGAGGGTGGGGCTGGAGAAACCACGAAGGGGAAGACAGGCTTGGTGGGTGGAGGGTGGACCCCTAGAACCCACAAGTTGCTCAGGCCTTCAGGCTTTCAGTCCCTGCCTGTCTGCTCCCCATCCCACCCCTTTTTCTTTCTTTCTTTCTTTCTTTTTTTTTTCCACCCAGGTTGGAGTGCAGTGGCATGATCTCGGCTCACTGCAACCTCCACCTCCCGGGTTCAAGCAATTCTCCTGCCTCAGCCTCCCGACTAGCTGGGACTACAGGCATGCACCACCATGCCCAGCGAATTTTTTGTATTTTCAGTAGAGACAGCATTTCACCATGTTGGTCAGGCTGGTCTCCAACTCCTGACCTCAGGTGATCCACCTGCCTCAGCCTCCCAAAGTGCTGGGATAACAGGCATGAGCCACTGCGCCCAGCCAAGGGAACCACTCTTGCTCATCCTATGAAGCTCAGTCAGCTCAATGGCCGCCTCTTTCAAGAAGCCTTCCCTGCTTCCCCAACCTCTGGTAGAAGCTTTGCAGCCCCTTCAGCCCAGCTGCACCTGTGCCCATTGGGCATCTGCCTCCAACCACACCAGAAGTGTTCAGTTCGCTTGTGTCCTCGGTGTCCTCGGTTCCCAGGATAGGGCTAGGCATGAGTCAGGCTCGCTAGGTGTTTGTTGACTGAACAATTGATCATCATGAGTTTTAAACAGGAAAGCAGGCCGGGCATAATGGCTCATGCCTGTAATCTCATCACTTTGGGAGGCCAAGGTAGGAGAATCATTTGAGCTCAGGAGTTGGAGACAAACTTGGACAACTGAGCAAGGCTTCATCTCTACTTAAAAAAAAAAAAGTTAGCCAAGCATGGTGGTGCTCTCCTGTAGTCCCAGCTACTGGGGAGGCTGAGGCCAGTGGGATTGCTTGAGCCTGGAAGATTAAGGCTGCAGTGAGCTATGATCATGCCTCTGCACTCCAGCGTGGGTCCAAGATCCTGTGTCAAAAAAACAAAACCAGGCCAGGCACGGTGGCTCACGCTTGTAATCCCAGCACTTTGGGAGGCCGAGGCGGGTGGATCACCTGAGGTCAGGAGTTGGAGACCAGCCTGGCCAACATGGTGAAACCCTGTCTCTACTAAAAATACAAAAAAGCAGCTGGGCATGGTGGCGGGCGCCTATAATCCCAGTTACTCGGGAGGCTGAGGCACAAGAATCACTTGAACCTGAGAGGTGGAGGTTGCAGTGAGCCGAGATCGCACCATTACACTCCAGCCTGGGCAACAAAAGTGAAACTCCATCTCAAAAAACAAAACAAAACAGGAAAGCGCAGAGTCAGAGTCCGGGAGCAGCAACTGCAGCCAGTGCCTCCCGTTCCTCATCCCTCCCACGGTCTAGGGATGAGGATGAGGGGGCTGAAGAGCCAGAAGGATAACAGGGTGAGCATCACAGACGGAGGGAGGCCAAAGCCTGACTTGTGAGGTCAAGGGCTGGGCAGCAGCATTAACACCCGTTACTGCTGCCTTTGTTCTAAGTGGGTCCTTGGGCTGGGGACCTCCCCTATAGGAGTTCAGGCTGAGAACTGGTGACCAAGACCAGAGAAGGGTGTGAAGAGCTGGCTTTCTAGGGTTCCATGGGGTGGGAGACAGGACAGCTATAATCCTGGGATTTATTCACTTACATGCTCACTACTGCGTTTCTTTTTTTTGTTTGTTTTTTTGAGACGGAGTCTCGCTCTGTCGCCCAGGCTGGAGTGCAGTGGTGCGATCTCGGCTCACTGGAACCTCCACCTCCTGGGTTCACGCCATTCTCCTGCCTCGGCCTCCCGAGTAGCTGGGACTACAGGCACCCGCCACCACGCCCGGCTAATTTTTTGTATTTTTTAGTAGAGACAGGGTTTCACCATGTTAGCCAGGATGGTCTTGATCTCTTGACCTCGTGATCCGCTCGCCTCGGCCTCCCAAAGTGCTGGGATTACAGGCGTGAGCCACCACGCCCGGCCTACCATGTTTCTTTATTAGGATTCCTCCCAGAGTCGTGAGGCCACACTTTGTCACCCTGCCCAGAGAGTAAACCAAGGGGCTTCTCTATCTGAAAAGCATGCTGCTGCCTTTATTGAAATGCAGTGGACAGACCATCCCCAGAGTGGTGCCTGGCCCTGTGGTTCTAGAGCCCAGTTATGGGCCCCAGCCAGTCTTGTCCTGTGTGTGACTGATAGTTAAGGCTCCATGTCAGCCCTCAGAGGTGGAGGTCCCAGTGTGGGCCTCTTGTGATGGTAGGGGATGTGGGAGGCCACGGGGAAAAGGAACTGGAGGTGTGGGGCCCAGTGGCCTTCCCTTTGATCCTCTCCTCCCTTCCCTTGAACTAGAGCTCCTGAGGCCAGGAGGTTTGGGTCTGTTTTTGGTCAGTGCTGTGTCCCTGGCTAGCACCACAGCATCTGCTTCACAGTGGCCACTCAGTAAACATTGTTTGTTTTGTTTTGCTTTGTTTTTTTGAGACAGAGTCTCACTCTGTCGCCCAGCCTGGAGTGCAGTGTCACGATCTCGGCTCACCGCAACCTCTGCCTCCCGGGTTCCAGCAATTCTCCTGCCTCAGCCTCCCAAGTAACTAGGGCTACAGGTGTGCACCACCATGCTGGGGTAATCTTTTTGTATTTTTAGTAGAGACAGGGTTTCACCATGTTGGTCAGGCTGGTCTCAAACTCCTGACCTCAAGCAATCCACCTGCCTTGGCCTCCCAAAGTGCTGGGATTACAGGCGTGAGCCACTGCACCCGGCCGAGAAAACATTTGTTGAGTGAATCAATGAACTTCCTCCACCCACTCACTCATTTGTTCATTCAACTGCCTACTCTGCAGATCCCAGCTGGTACCCAGTAAGGGCTGGGCCATGGGCACAGGGGCCTCACTGCCTGAGAGGAGCTCCCTGCTTGGTAGGAGGGAGACACTGATCCAGTGGTGTCTGGGACCTTGAAAGGGACCCAGTGCAGAGCAGGCGAAGGCAGGGAAAGTCACTGGGGGTGCAGAGGACGAGGGAGGCATTCTGAGGAGGCAACTCCAAGTGGAAGGCTCACTCGGGCTGGATAGTGCAAAGATGGAGGTTCAGGTCTAGGTTGTGCACCAGCTGTGCACTAAGTCATCCCCCCTGGGCCTCATGTCTTCATCTCTAATTGGCAATGACAATTCTCAGGCTGAGGCTTGAGTGGAAGATACTTAGTGGAGCACCCACCACTGTGGCTGGCACAGAGTGGGTGTTTGCAGGGCGGGTCCTTAATGCTCTAATATGGGGCAAGGAGCCCAGCGAGTCTTGAAGTCCGTGGGACATGAGTGCAAGTCCCATCCTTCACCTGGGACAAGTCTCTCAGCCTCCCTATCTGTGAAATGGGGTGATAGCAGCACCCCTTTCCTGCCTTTTTTTATATTTCCTTTTTTTGAGACAGAGTCTTGCTCTGTTGCCCAGGCTGGAGTGCAGTGGCACGATCTTGGCTTACTGCAAACTCCACCTCTCCGGTTCAAGTGATTCTCCTGCCTCAGCCTCCTGAGTAGCTGGGACTACAGGCGTTCGCCCCCATAGCCCGCTAATTTTTGTGTTTTTAGTAGAGATGGGGTTTTGTCATGTTGGCCAAGTTGGTCTGGAATTCCTGACCTTAGGTGATCCACCCACCTTGGCCTCCTAAAGTGCTGGGATTACGGGCGTGAGCCACCGTGCCTGGCCTATTGTGGTATTATTACATACTATAAAACTCACATTTTTTTTTTTGAGACAGAGTCTCACTTTGTCGTCCAGGCTGGAGTGCAGTGGCGCGATCTCGGCTCACTGCAAGCTCCACCTCCCAGGTTCACGCCGTTCTCCAGCCTCAGCCTCCCGATTAGCTGGGACTACAGGCGCCTGCCACCACGCCAGGCTAATTTGTTTAGTAGAGATGGGGTTTCACTGTCTTAGCCAGGATGGTCTTGATCTCCTAACCTCATGATCCACCCGCCTCGGCCTCCCAAAGAAAATTCACTTTTTTGAAGTGTACAATTCAGTGGGTTTTTGTATGTTTGCATAGTTGTGTGACCATCACTACTATCTAGTGTTAGAATATTTTCATTATCCCAAAGAAAACCCAGACCCCATTAGCAGACACTCCCCATTCCCCACCTTCCTCTGGCAACCATTAATCTACTTTCTGTTTTTCTGGGTTTGCCTATTCTGGTTATTTCATATAAATGGAATACGTGGGCCAGGCACGGTGGCTCACGCCTGTAATCCAAGCACTTTGGGAGGCCAGGGTGGGTGGATCACCTGAGGTCGGGAGTTCGAGACCAGCCTGACCAATATGGTGAAACCCCATCTCGGCTAAAAATACAAAATTAGCCAGGTGTGGTGGCAGGCACCTGTAATCCCAGCCATTCCGGAGCCTGAGGTAGGAGAATTGCTTGAACCCAGGAGGCAGAGATTGTGGTGAGCTGAGATCATGCCATTGCACTCCAGCCTGGGCAACAAGAGCGAAACTCCATCTAAAAAAAATAAAAAATAAATGGAATATGTGGCTTTTTGTGTCTGGCTTCTTTCACTTCACATAGTAGTTTCAAGAATTCACCTATATTGGCCGGGCGCGGTGGCTCACGCCTGTAATCCCAGCACTTTGGGAGGCCAAGGTAGGCGGATCACAAGGTCAGGAGATTGAGACCATCCTGGCTAACACGGTGAAACCCCATCTCTACTAAAAATACAAAAAATTAGCCGGGCCTGGTGGCGGGTGCCTGTAGTCCCAGCTACTCAGGAGGCTGAGGCAGGAGAATGGCGTGAACCCAGGAAGCGGAGCTGGCAGTGAGCCGAGATGGCGCCACTGCACTCCAGCCTGGGCGACAGAGCAAGACTCCGTCTCAATTAAAAAAAAAAAAAAAAAAAAGAATTCACCTATATTGTGGCATGCATCAGTACTTCATTAGTTTTTATGGCTGAATAATGTTCGACTGTGTGGATGTACTGCATCTTGTTATTCATCAGTTGACGGCTTTTGTGTTGTTTCTGCATTTGGCTCTTATATATAGTGCAGCTATAAACGCTGCGTACAGATTTGTGTGTGTGTACATATCTTTTCAATTATCCTAGGTATGTATACCTAGGAGTGAAATTGTCAGGTCATGTGATAACATTTTGAGGAACTGCCAGACCATTGTCCACCAACAGTGCATGAGGGCTCCAGTTTCTCCGTATCTTTGCCAACACTTGTTACTGTCTTTCTCGTTTTAAAGAGCTATTATTATTATTACTATTTTTGAGATGGAGTCTCGCTCTGTCGCCCAGGCTGGAGTGCAATGGCACAATCTCGGCTCATTGCAACAACTGCCTCCCGGGTTTAAGAGATTATTCTGCCTCAGACTCCCGAGTAGCTGGGATTAGAGGCACGTGCCACTACACCAGCTAATTTCTTTGTGTTTTTGTAAAGACAGGGTTTCACCATGTTGGCCAGGCTGGTCTTGAACTCCTGACCTTGTGATCTGCCCACCTTGGCCTCCCAAAGTGTTGGGGTTACAGGCGTGAGCCACCGCGTCGGGCCTATTATTATTATTATTATTTTAAGATGGAGTCTCCCTCTGTCACCCATGGAGTGCAGCAGTGTGATCTGGGCTCTCTGCAACCTCCACCTCCCGAGTTCAGGTGATTCTCCTGCCTCAGGCTCCTGAGTAGCTGCGACTACAGGCACGCGCCACCACGCCTGGCTAATTTTTATATTTTTAGTAGAGACGGGGTTTCACCATGTTGTCCAGACTGGTCTCGAACTCCTGACCTCAGGTGATCCACCTGCCTCGGCCTCTCAAAGTGCTGGGATTACAGGCTTGAGCCACCGCGTCCGGCCCCTAAAGAGCTATTATTTAACCTTCTGCCCCAGCAGCTGGGAGGGATGGTGGTGGCAGAGTGGCGAGGAGCGGGCACTGCGCAGTTCACCTGAGCCCCAGGCGCTCGCCGCGGGACCCACCAGCACGTCCCCTCCTCGGCAGACTCCCTCCCCGGGGTCACGTGGAGGGCGACTGCGGGGATAAGCAGGGATGGCAAGGGGAAAGGAAGGGCGGGCCCCAGGCGGGGGATCCCCGGACACGCAGTGCTTTCCCGCCTGGCCCCGCCCAAAGACGTGGGCAAACAGAGGCCACGCCCTTCCTGGGAGCCAGCCCCGCCCATACTCCGCCCCAAGGACACGCCCCCACTTCGGGCGGAGGCGGAAACCGGGCGGGGGACGCTGGTGCGAGGAGGTCGAGGAGGCGCCTTGGCACCCGACTCTGGCATCCCGCACGTCCGACATCAGCCCTGCCCTCCTTCTCAGGGGCTTCCATTCATTTTGTGCCAAAAGGGAACTGCCGCCCTCGCCCCCAAACTTGTAGCTTTGTGGATGGAGGGTGTGGGGGAGGCCGTGTGTAGTGAAAGGACCACCCGGCTGAAGACGGTCCTGGGGGTGGAGGGCAGGAGGGAGCGAGAAGGACAGTTCTGCTCCTGGGAGCCTCTCGTTCCTGGGCGAGGGTCTGGGGACCCTGGATGAAGTTTTAGGATCTTTTACAATGACGGTCTGGGGCAGAGAATAAAATTTTGCAGGGAGCAGATTGAGGGTCTGGAGGACTGGGTTAGGTGGGCTCTAGGTACCCAGGACGATCTCGGGAGGCGCACAATGAGAATCTGGGGGCTCCAGGATTACGGTGTGGGTGCACAGGATGAAATTCTGGGGGCGCAGATTAGGTAGGACCTAGGTGAGCAGGATGACATTTTTGGTGAGCGTCTGGGGGCCCCCGGGTGAGTCTGGGGGCCTGGCATCAAGGTCGGGGCCCCAGGATCGAGCACTGGGGGACCCTGGTCCGGCGCCGGGAGGCGGCTCCTGGCGGCGCCGCGGGGGACCGGGTAGGGGCCTGTGGCTGGCCGGGGGCGGAGAAGCGGGGGGTCGGGGTCCCTCCCCCTGGCGCTGGCTCAGGAATCCGCCGAAGGGCGGGCGGAGGCGCCGGGGTGGGCCGCGCCGCGGCAGGCGGGCGGGCGGGGGGCGCTTCCTGGGGCCGCGCGTCCAGGGAGCTGTGCCGTCCGCCCGTCCGTCTGCCCGCAGGCATTGCCCGAGCCAGCCGAGCCGCCAGAGCCGCGGGCCGCGGGGGTGTCGCGGGCCCAAGTGAGTGGCTGTGACCGTCCGTGGGGGAGGGCGTGGGCCGGAGTCTCGGCCGAGTCCGCGGCAGCGTAGCGCCCACAGAGGCCCGCGCTCCTCGGCCTTCGCCGCAGGGGCGCGGGGCGGGGGCGGGGTGGCCGGGGCGGGTGGGCCTGGGACCCGGGCCTGGGACCTGGGCCTGTGAGGAGTCGGCCCCCAGCCCTGGGAGGCCCCGAGGCCCAAGCACGGTCCTGAGCGGGCAGTGGCGGGGGCTGGGCTCGGGCTCCCGGTACAGGGAGTTGAGGTGCCGCGGGCAGAGGCCCCTGACCCGTGTCCACCATCTCGCAGCCCCAGGATGCTCCCCTGCGCCTCCTGCCTACCCGGGTCTCTACTGCTCTGGGCGCTGCTACTGTTGCTCTTGGGATCAGCTTCTCCTCAGGATTCTGAAGAGCCCGACAGCTACACGGTGGGGACAGTGAGGGCCGCTGGCCTGGGACAGGAAGGGTAGGGAGGAAGAGACCGGGACCCAGGGTGACTGCTGCCGGGGAAGTCTTCCTCCCCTGGCTGGTGGAGAGCTGGGGGCCATTGTTTGGAGCAGGCCGGAGGGTGGCCAGGCTCAGGCCCTAGTCTTGGCCTGGCCAGTTGGAGGAGATCTTAGGGTGACCACTGGCCACTTCTGGTTCCCTTCCAGGAATGCACAGATGGCTATGAGTGGGACCCAGACAGCCAGCACTGCCGGGGTGTGTGTGCCTGGGGGACCAAACACCCCCAGGAACCCGGAAAGGGATTGATAGCTGCTTTCCAAGGGACAGCCCCACCTCCAAGAACTGCCGTGGGAGCCCAGCAGCCCGTTCTATGCCCAGCTCTGCTACACAGAGGCCAGCTCTGGCTCTCTGGAGGCCAGTTGAGCTAGGGGTGGCCTCATCCTCTCCCAGAAACCCAGGAAACCTTGTCCCTACCCCTCAGAGGAGCTGGATCCTGTACGCCTTCTCTGAACCACTCTCCTGTCCCAGCTCTTTGTCTCATCACAACCTGGGAGGGTAGCGTCCCCAGGGGTGGGTAAGGAGGCCCCCCATCTTGGGCTGAGCTAGGGCTAGGGCCGTGGGGAGGGATAGAGACCCACTTGCAGGCCGAGAATGAGGGCAACAGTGGGAACAGCTGCCCCATCTCCAGCCTTGGCCAACCCTGGGGAGGGGTCCTGAGCAGGCAGACTTAGCTTGTTGAGCAGAGTGGGAAGGCTTTGCTGGGGCCACACATCTCAGAGAAGGCCGAGCTGGGTTCCTGCCTCCGCTCCCTCCAGGGCCAGCCCAGGAGACTGGCTGTGCCCAGCAGGCCCCTCTCTGCAGATGTCAACGAGTGTCTGACCATCCCTGAGGCCTGCAAGGGGGAAATGAAGTGCATCAACCACTACGGGGGCTACTTGTGCCTGCCCCGCTCCGCTGCCGTCATCAACGACCTACACGGCGAGGGACCCCCGCCACCAGTGCCTCCCGCTCAACACCCCAACCCCTGCCCACCAGGCTATGAGCCCGACGATCAGGACAGCTGTGTGGGTGAGTGGGGACTGCTCTGGTGCCTGGCTTCCAGTCCTCTCACCAGGCGTCTTAAACTCAGACCTCATGTTCCTCCCCAGCTCAAAAGGGCCACTGGTGATGTCCACACCCTCATCCAGACACTCATGTTGTTTAGGACCTGCCGCAGGTGGCCCCAGCTTGTGTGCCACTGCTCCAGCCAGCTCCGGGCCCCTCCCCTCGGTTGCTGCAGAGACACTGCAGGAAGTCTGCCTTCCAGTGTCTGTCCCCTGGGAGCCACAGGCCTTGGAGGAAGGACAGTCCAGGAATCAGTGTTGCTGGGGATGTTTGGACAGGACCTTATTTCCTGTGCAACCCCCAACATGTGGTTTTAGAGGTTAGGGGTGCCTTTCCTGATGGCTCCAGGCTGGTGAACTCTTACGCGTGCTGTTGAGAGAACCGAATACAAGTGTTGGAACTATCTGTCATGTTGGGTGGTGTGCGGGATCCCAGGCAGGGGCTGAGTGGTGTCTCTCGCAGATGTGGACGAGTGTGCCCAGGCCCTGCACGACTGTCGCCCCAGCCAGGACTGCCATAACTTGCCTGGCTCCTATCAGTGCACCTGCCCTGATGGTTACCGCAAGATCGGGCCCGAGTGTGTGGGTGAGTCCAGGAAGCAGCTTCTGTAGTCCCGGCTTTGTGTCCCTGGTCTGGCCCTTGCCCTAGCACCTGACCCCCATTCAAGCCAGGCTTCACCCCCGGCCCCTGCCACCTCACCCTCCGTCATCAGACACAGAGGACTGTAGCGGGGAGTGTTTGGGAGGTGTCCTGGCTGACCCTGCCTAATTCAGCTCCTCGGACACAGGATTATGGGTGGTGAAGCCTTGAGTCCCAGCCGGCTCGAGCCCACCTGCCCTCTGCCCTCTGCCCTCCGCCCTCCTTCTCCTGCCTCTATCCCTAGACATAGACGAGTGCCGCTACCGCTACTGCCAGCACCGCTGCGTGAACCTGCCTGGCTCCTTCCGCTGCCAGTGCGAGCCGGGCTTCCAGCTGGGGCCTAACAACCGCTCCTGTGTTGGTGAGGCTGGGCTGGGCCAGGCTCCTGGGTCCTGGGCAGGGAGGTGTGAGGTGGGGGCGCTCCCTTCTTGACCAGCCCAGGTAGAGTGGAGGCTCTGGGCTCCTCCTCCGCTTTCATCCCTCCTGTTTTTCCTGGCACCCCCAGATGTGAACGAGTGTGACATGGGGGCCCCATGCGAGCAGCGCTGCTTCAACTCCTATGGGACCTTCCTGTGTCGCTGCCACCAGGGCTATGAGCTGCATCGGGATGGCTTCTCCTGCAGTGGTGAGAGCTCCATCCCTGCTGTGTACTCCTCTGTGGACCCCCAGGCCCTAGCTATGCCGTGCCTCCTGCCACACAGTTCTCCATTTGAGGCCTCCGCCTCCTGTCACTGTGCACCCAGCTGCCTCCTGGGTACTCGACCCCGGCTGGCTGTGGAGCACTCCCAGGCTAGTGGGGGAGGCACAAGGAGAGGCAGCTACGTCCTTACTGAAGCCTACTGGTGAGACTGAGGATGTGGGTGCCACCTGTCCCACATATCAGGCTCACCTGCATTTACCTGCATTTGAATTTTGCACTAGGACAAGTCACTCCTCTCTGAGCCTGTTTCTTCTTCTATAAAATGGGTTGTCTTGAGGATTAGGTGAGAGTGTGATAGATGGGCTCCAGCAAGTCTCAAGCTGCAGTGCTTTAAAGTGAATGAACTGCCACTTAATGAGAACCTGCCCTCGTAGTGTATTCCCTGACACACTTGGCCTCCTTCCTCTCAAGAATCCTAGGAGGTATGATTTTCTCCTTCCTCTACAAAATGAGGACATTCATATCTCCCTCCACGTTTGTTGGGAGGATTACATAAAAATAATCACAAAGTCCTGGGTAAATGGTGACTTTCATGATTCAGCTAAGAGAGGTTAAGTGACCCGCCCAAGCTCATACAGCCAGGATGAGATGGGGCCAGGGCTGGATCCCAGACTTCTTACACCCTGTAAACTGGCATGTACCCCCTATGTTATGCTTTGCTGCGGGATGAGGCCTCACTGCTACCTGGCAGCATGAGGGGAACAAGAGAAAGGAAATGTTCTGCCTGTGAAGCTCACAGTTAGTTGGAGGTGACCACTGGGTGCTCAGGTTGACTGTGGGTTGCAGGAATTGGGCGTTACAGCACAAGCCAGACCCATAAGACTCATCTAGTCTAACACACTCATTTTACTGATTGGGAAAATGAGATTCCCCTAGATCAGCTGGTGGGATTCACACCCAAGCCTCTAGATTCCCAGTAACTTATTTAGTGTTTCTTCCAGTTCTGGGCAGAGAGAAGTCTGTGAGCTGCGGCAGCCTGGGCAAACTTTCTTTGAACCCTCCATCTCCCGGCTGAACTTGTGGCTTGTCTCATCCCCCTCTGTCTTCCTACATTCAGTCTAACATGGGGCTGGGCCTTCTTGGGAAATGTTTGTGGGACTGAATGGTGAGGAATGCCCTTGACCCGGGGTCCCCATCCCCATGCTTCCTCAGATATTGATGAGTGTAGCTACTCCAGCTACCTCTGTCAGTACCGCTGCATCAACGAGCCAGGCCGTTTCTCCTGCCACTGCCCACAGGGTTACCAGCTGCTGGCCACACGCCTCTGCCAAGGTACAGGTTGCCCGGGTGGGATGGGCAGGACGGTGTCAGGAGCTGGCAGCCTGACGCCCCCGATTCCAGCCCCTCTCCCCTGGCACAGACATTGATGAGTGTGAGTCTGGTGCGCACCAGTGCTCCGAGGCCCAAACCTGTGTCAACTTCCATGGGGGCTACCGCTGCGTGGACACCAACCGCTGCGTGGAGCCCTACATCCAGGTCTCTGAGAAGTGAGTCAATTCGATGCCAGGCCCCCACAGAAACTACGTCTCCCAGGGGGCTTTGGGGCTGACTGGCATCTATTCAGACCAGCGAGTGCCCCTGAGGGATGATGGGAATCATAGTCCTTCATGAAAACCAGTCACAGGGGTAGAAGGGTCCTTTTGGGATTCCCTCCCTTTGTAGGGTAGGAGAAATTGGGGGGACGGGCAAGGAGCTCATTTGTGTCCCCCACCTCGGGGTCTCTAGCCGCTGTCTCTGCCCGGCCTCCAACCCTCTATGTCGAGAGCAGCCTTCATCCATTGTGCACCGCTACATGACCATCACCTCGGAGCGGAGCGTGCCCGCTGACGTGTTCCAGATCCAGGCGACCTCCGTCTACCCCGGTGCCTACAATGCCTTTCAGATCCGTGCTGGAAACTCGCAGGGGGACTTTTACATTAGGGTAAGGTTTCTGCAACCCTCAACTGACATGCACAATCTAAAACTGAACTCCAGGACGCCTTAAGGGGGAACTCGGCCAGGCTGCTATGCCCCACCCCTCCCCCAAAGCCCCGCCCCCGGAGGCGGGGTTTCTGCAGGAAGACGGGGGTACTCTAAATGCAATTCTAACGGTTAAATGCAATTCTAACGAAGCACTCGGACACGGGAGTTTGAGTCCTGGTACTGGTTTTCCATATTGATCTCAGTTTCTTCACCCACAAACCAAGGGAATGGCGTGTGCAGGGCCCTGGGGTCAGAAAGTCCACTCCTTGCTAGTGGATCTGTTAGGTGGGAGGGGGCCAGGGGCGGCTCACAGTGAGCTGCTCACAGTGACTGGCAGCCGCATGCATGGGTCTCAGCAGGAGAAGGGGTTTGTCTAGTACCAGCCCTTCTCTTTCTTTTTGAAATTGAATGCTCTGAAGGGAGTCTGCTCACTTTGGGTCACCAAAGGTCCCACCAGTCCCAAGAGCCACATGTGGCCTTGAATCGTCAGTTAGCCTGGGTCAGACAGAGCAGGCTGGAGAGGGTGAGAAGAGCCCCAGCAGGAGATTTCTGAGGGCAGGAGCCTGGGTGGGGAGGAGAGACATCGAGGGTGTCAAAGAGCTGCATGAGAGGCTGGGGTGGCAGCCTGGCCAGGGCTGTTCCTCTGCCTCACGGCCACGGGGCAGGGAGGTGACGCTGGGGCAGGGGCCTAGCACACAGGCTGACACAATATATATGTCCCCCCACCCACTGCCCTGCAGCAAATCAACAACGTCAGCGCCATGCTGGTCCTCGCCCGGCCGGTGACGGGCCCCCGGGAGTACGTGCTGGACCTGGAGATGGTCACCATGAATTCCCTCATGAGCTACCGGGCCAGCTCTGTACTGAGGCTCACCGTCTTTGTAGGGGCCTACACCTTCTGAGGAGCAGGAGGGAGCCACCCTCCCTGCAGCTACCCTAGCTGAGGAGCCTGTTGTGAGGGGCAGAATGAGAAAGGCAATAAAGGGAGAAAGAAAGTCCTGGTGGCTGAGGTGGGCGGGTCACACTGCAGGAAGCCTCAGGCTGGGGCAGGGTGGCACTTGGGGGGGCAGGCCAAGTTCACCTAAATGGGGGTCTCTATATGTTCAGGCCCAGGGGCCCCCATTGACAGGAGCTGGGAGCTCTGCACCACGAGCTTCAGTCACCCCGAGAGGAGAGGAGGTAACGAGGAGGGCGGACTCCAGGCCCCGGCCCAGAGATTTGGACTTGGCTGGCTTGCAGGGGTCCTAAGAAACTCCACTCTGGACAGCGCCAGGAGGCCCTGGGTTCCATTCCTAACTCTGCCTCAAACTGTACATTTGGATAAGCCCTAGTAGTTCCCTGGGCCTGTTTTTCTATAAAACGAGGCAACTGGACTGTTAGTGGTTTTCAATCTTTTCTTTTAGGAAGTTTTATTTATTTTTATTATTTTTATTTTCCCAATGAGCCCTCTGCACTCCTAAGGAAATTTTATTTGATGAGGACCAACTGGTGACATAAAATAGATTCCAAGCTGCAATGCCCCACTGACTCCATCTCCCTGACCAGGGAATTCCAGGTGCTAAGCAGCTTTGTTTAAAAACCACTGGACCAGATGGTATCCCTGGTTCCTGCGTATTTCACAAGGTCCCCAGGGCTAGGCATCTTCTACATGACACATATGGCTGCAAACACTTAGATTCTAATTGTACCCCAAAAGATGTTGTTAAAAGGCTGGCTAGCCTGGGTTGGGGGACAGACGGGGGCTGGGGGCTGTTTCACGGCATAAGCTCAGGTCAAGGGGCCGTAGCTGCAGTAGAGCTGGGATAAGGTCCTGCTCAGAGCAGGCCCCAGATTCCTGCAGGAAGAGAGGCAGCGAGGGTCACGCCCTGGGCCTAGGGCAGCCCCAGTCCCTGCCACTCCCTCCAGGTTCCGTCTCTTGCCCTCACCTCTGTAGACGCCCACACTTAATGGTGCTCAGCAGTGTCTCTTGTTCCTTGGGGGTGGCACAGGCATCATAGGCGGCCAGGAGGCTGGGGGGCAGGGGTTTGAGTTTCTGAGGCTGACAGTGGCCCACTCTGGGCCAGCACCATGAGGGGCCAGGCAGAGGGGTCAGCATGGGATGGAAGAGTTGGGACACTGCCCCACTTCCTGAGCTTGGCACTCAAGGCCCCATGCCAGCCGGGCTGTCCTCCCTCCCTGTGGGAACTCTGGGGCAAAACCAGCAAAGGCTCCAAACCTTCACCCTCACTCCCCTTAATGGCCCAACCCCTTCTCCAGGAAGCCTCTTCTCCACCAGGTGGGACGTCTCCCTCCCTCCTGTGGCCTCCACTACCTGGGACACTATGTGGGCCTGCTGGCTTCCTCCCCACTTGACCTCCACGAGCACCCTGGGATCTGTCTATCTCTGGTCTGCAGAGCCCACACAAGGCCAGGCCCCCTCCACGAAGCATGGATTAAGGTGAATTCCATGCATGGAGGGCAGGGGCTGAGGACACCTAAGGGCCCTTTAGGGCCTACCTGGCAGGGGTGCTGTATCGATCCACCAGGGCTGCTGCCTTCTCCCCACTCACTCCGCGCACCTGCATCAGCTGCCGGGCAAACACTTCTCGCACCGACTGGGCCTGGGTTCGGGAAAGGGCTGGATCAGTGGGGGTCTGGGCCAGGCCATGTCTGAGAAGCTAGGCAGAGACAGTACCTTATTCTTGATGGCTCCTGCGTTGAAGTCACTGAAGGTGAGGAGTGAGCAGAGAGGGTTTGGAGAGGTCATGGCCCCTGATTCAGGGTTCCCAGGGGTTCCCCAGGGGCGGCTGCGTAGGGTGTGGCCCTGAGGGAAGAAGGGACTGAGGCCAGGCTGGAGCTCGAAGGAACAACTCCAGCCAGCCCCTGCCCAGTCCTCAGCCTTGGGGGGCCAGCCTGAGAAATGGGGATCTCACCCACCTTGCTTCTTTTGGGGATGCACAGGGCCCAGGCAAGGTGAATTCCTTGTGGGCTCTGTCCCGACACTGGGAAAGGGGCCTCTGCTCACCTGGTAGAGTCTCTGCAGGCCCCGCGTCAAGAGGGCCAGGTAGGCGGCTGACTCCTTAATGTCTGCTGTGCGCTTCACAAAAAAGCCATCAATGACCTGGGGAAGAGGACCCAAGAGAGGGAAGGTGGCTCCTGGCCTAGACCATGAACCATGGACCACAGGGGCCCCTGCCTGCCTGCCTGGCCCTGCCCTCCCAGCTCACCTGAGTGTTGGTGACAGCCTGCAGCAGTGTGCTCTCAGGAAGGCTGAGGTTGTGGACGGAACCATGCTCTTCCACCAGGTATACCCGGCGCTCCAGACCACAGCGCTTCAGCCGGAACTAGGGAAGTGTACAGAGTGGACAGGGAGGGTCAGGCTGGATGACCACATGCCTGGGCATCCATGATGTCACACTCAAAATGGTGCCGGGACCCTGTTCCCACCAGTTAGCCTCTGCATCCTCCCTAGCCTCTCCACCTGCCTCACAGGGGCCTCCGCAGCTTTGCTCATGCTGACACTCTTGTCTAGAAAGCCTTTTCTCCATCTCTCAACACTGCCCATCCTTCAAGCCTCCCCTGGGCCGGCACATGGCCTCTGTGACTAGGGGTCCACCCAGCAGCAAGTACCAAGGTACAGCCTCTGTATTTCCACTCCTGGAGGTTTATGCCTTGTTTATCCAAGACTGCAGGGGCTGGGTACCCAAGAGGTCTTTAAAATGCTCCTGACCTCAGCCCAAGAATGCAGGTACCTGGCTTCCTACTGTGCGCCTGGATGGGCCTGTGGGGGTCTGATCCTGGAGCAGCCACAGGGTGGGTGTGGCTGGATTCCAAAGGGCTCTGCCTCAAGGAGGCTGCCAGAAGTGCCCCTGGATTGCTCTGGGCTGAAAACGGGGCTTCGGAGCAGGCAGGGAAGCCTGGCAAAGCCAGCAAAATTACCTTCTGCTCCCGGAAGCGGCCGTCGATGATGCTGCTGCAAAGGTCATCCAGTCGCTTGCGCTCCACAATGTGATCCAGTACCAACTCCCCAGGGTTTGCTGCTGACAAGCCAGCCGTTAGCTTGCGATCCCCTACCCACCAGGCCCTGCCCCTGGTGCCAGCCTGTCCACGGCCCTTCACCTGGGTCTCTAGGATTGGTCTCCTGGGCCACCCACACAAAATCTCCAACGTGCAGCTTGCGCACCGTGTGGGTCACGTGCAGCCGCTGTAGCTCTCGGAGCAGCTCCGGCCTGTGCCCGCCCCTGGAGTGGCAAGGAGGGAAGCCTAGATCAGAGCAGGGCAGTGCCTACCCCCCAGCCTCCTCTGATCATCTCCCTCGTTTCTCCCCACCTCACTCACCCCCGGGTCTCGCCAATGTCCACACACAACAGCACCCTGTACTCTCCAGGCCTCAGCTCCAGTGGCTGCTGCTGGACCCCTGCTTCACTGGCACTAAGTGGGGGGTGTTGGTATGTGAGGCCAGAACCCCTTGTGCCAGGGCAGTTGCCCCACACCCATGCCACCCGACACCCACCACCCACCCACAGTAGGGAGGCAGCCACAGTTCAGCTGCAGGTGATGGGTTGGGGCGGGGCTTTGGCCTCATTTCCCATCCCCTCCTCCCTGTTTTCCCCACTCCTCTGCCCTCCTCCTCACAGCTCTGCTGAAGCTGCTCCTGGCACTGCTGTCTCCTCCCCAGGGGGCTCCTTGGGCCCGATGCCCACATTCAGCAAGCTCAGGCCTTCTGACTCGGCCAACTTCTGGGCCAGCTCCAGGCCCTCTGGGGTCAATGAGTACCTGGGAGGCAGAGGGGACAACACAGCTCTACCTTCTTCACTCATTCCTGGCAGGCTTTCCTGCCTGCCCCCAGCTGGGCTGGCCTCACCACCCCCTTGGCGCCCTGCACAAATGACCCCAGTGGCTCCTGCTCCTCCTGGTCTTCTTGGCTCTTAGAGCAGTTCCTTGGGCCTGCTCAGCGCCATTCTCAGGTCTGCAAGAAGTGTGTCTCAGACAATTTCCTTCCTCCTGTCTTCACTAATGCTGTTTCCTCCTCCTCGGAATACTTATCCTGCATCTCTACCCGCCAAATCCTAAAACGTGTCAAATGCTATCTCCTCTGAAAAGGCTTTCTCCTCCTCCAATAACCACCGCACCCTCCCACCCCCGCTGCTGCGGTTTCACACCCTCCAGGTATTCCAACAGTGGGGGCTCCTGAGGAAAGGCCCACCCCCCCCAATCTCAACAGCATCAGCTCTGGGAGTTGTTGGGTGACTCTAAGGCCCTACTAAGAAGTTCACTCATGCTCTCCTGTATCTCCTGCAGTTGGCCCCACCTGGCTGGCTGGTGTGTCCTGAGGACCAGGTTCCTGTGAAGGAGGGAGCGGAGGGCTGGCCAGGGTCGAGCACTCCCAGGGGCTACCTGTGGATCAGAAAAGAGACCCTCAGAGAGCACCTGGTACCACCACAAGTCCATGTTCCCTGTGTCCCCAGCCATGGGCCACACATGGGCCCACTGCAAGAAAAGGCAGTCTTTGGTGGGCCCCAGAGCCACTTGGGCCTGTCCTCCCTGATCCCTGTGCTCACCCTGGGGGACTTCTGAGCACACCTCTGCAGCAGCTCCTCCTTGGTTAAGAAGTGGTGACCATTAGGATTCTGAAACCAAGGTAGAAAAGACAGGGTAGGCTCAGTGCCAGGGCCCCTCCTCATCCCGCTCAGGTGGCTGGGATAATCTTTGCCTGCCCTGCCTGGGCCAGGCCCCTCGGGGAACCTCCCACCCCACTGCCATGGTTCCGCCTCCCGGTGTAGCCCAGTGCTCACCAGGTGCTCCCGGTAGAGCACCAGCAGTATCACTCGGGCTCCTGAGTGCCGAGCTGGCCAGTAGCTGCCAGAGCCTCCCGCTTTGGGCTGGGCAGGAACCTGAAAGGTACAGAGGAGTTCTGAACATGAAAGCCAGCCAGTCATCTTTGAATAAGTCCCCAGCAGGCTTTGTGGCCCTGGGTAAGTCACTCAGTTGTCTCTCAGTTTCCTTCTCTGTAAAATGGGCCAGGTGATGGGATGATCCGCTGCAAATCTGGGATAAAACAGCAGGCAGTTTCGGGGCAGTGGGTGGGGGTGTCTGCCCAGCCTGGCCTCACTTCTACCATGCGCTGCAGGACAGGTGTAATTAGACAGGAAAACTCAATAATGGTGACCCCGTAACTAACTGAGCTGGGATCCTTAAGTAGCTTGATCATGGAATTCTCTCATTGGCTGTTACCAATATTTCTATTCACAGGTTAAAATACTAAGTCGAAAAGAGGATAAGTCATTTGCTCAAGGCCAGGCATCACTGGTGAGATTTGGACTCAGGCTTGCCAAATCCCCCAAGCCAGAAAATCATACTCCCGCACTCCCACTTTGCCTTCCACTCCCCTTGCCCCTTCCTCACTGGCATGGAAGAGTCCTGGACTTCCGCAAGTCGCCCCTGCGGGGCTGGACTGTTCTCTCCAGATGGTGAGTCCGGGGCATGGTCACCTGCGGGAGAGAAAAGAGTTAACTCCACACTCCACGAATCCGGCAGCTGCGAGGATCTGGGATGCAACCTACTCAGATGGTTACGTGAGACCGGTGAGGGAGGCTCAGGGAGCGCCAGCCACTAGCCCTAGGCCGAACGGCAACTGGGACAGGAGTGGGGAGCTTAAAAGCCAAGGGCTCCCAGGAGAGTACGGAGGCTCCACCTGGGGGAGGTGGGGGATCACCGACCCCTTTCCGAGGCGCTCACCGCCCGATGTTCGGTGCCGCTGCAGCCGCTCGTCCAGCATCCGGCAGAGCCCGTCTCCGAAGTGCTGTAGGATCTTAGCTTCCTTCCCGCTGCGCAGCGGCAGTGGGTACCGTCGGAGGGAACGCAGCGCCTGGCCGGGCAGGGGTAGGGTACCTGGTCAGGGCAGGCCTGACCTGGCCAGCAGCTTTTCCCATCGGGCCACGCCAGGACCCACCTTCTGAAATACGAAGCGCGTGCGGCGCCTGCTGCGGGTCGCCTCGTCCCGCCACTCGGTCAGCCAGCGAACGAAGAGCGGGTTGGGACAGGCAGGCAGCGGGCGCTTCCGGCCCAGGCGGACCGGGGCCGCCATGAGCCCGAGGGCGGGTCCTCCGGCGCTCCACGCCCGCGGGACTGGGACGCCGCCAGTTCTGGAGTCGGGATTCGAACACCTGGCCCAGGGCGGGGCGGGGGAAGAGGGAGACCGAGGGCAGGACCGTTGAGATCACGGGGCCCCAAACACAGGGGGCACTAACGAGAGGAGAGCCTGCGGCCGCCCTCCCACCCCTGCGCTGCTCTAAGTGGTTGGTCAGGGGCGCTGTCTCTAACGATCTTTTCCCTTGGCTCCACTCCAGCCAGCCTTTGAGACGCGCCCTTTCCCAGCCCCCGGAGCCTGGACCGGCTCCTTCCTGTCACCCCAGATTCGAGAGCGGGGTCTTTGTGTAGGCGAGAGGAAGGCGGACAGCGCCCCCTGTGACGGGGAGGACTGGCTGGGCGGCGCTTAACGGACTAACCTGAGCTTGGCGGCTCTAAGGTCTCTTAAGATTGTCAGCTTCAGCCTCAAGCTTGAAGGAGGCTGGAGATGGAGACTGGTCTTGAAAAGAGTCCAGGAGAGGCGGGGGCTAGGAGACAAACGGGTGCAAACGTATTGGTGGGAGGGACACCCAGAAATGGGTGCCGGGGATGAGGACACAAAGGTAAGGCAGGAGGAGCTGCAGGACCCTTGGAGGAAATGGTGATCCTCATCCCCGGGATACAGGGCAAAGAGTGTGTGGTGGAGAGGAAGTCGGGGACGTGCCGAGAAGGCCCAAAATAGAACTCGGAATGTCGGGGGTCAGAGGCCTAGAGGAAGGAGGACTGTAAGTAAGAGGTGCTTGGGCATCCTGGCAGTTGGGGAGGCCTGAGATGGGCACGCGGTTGGGTTTGGGAGCGGAGGAGCAGGCTGCGGGTTAAGAAGCCCAGACACAGGTAGAGGGGAGAACACTTCGTCATTTTTGTGGCTAATCGGAAGTGGGAGACCCTCAGGGAGGTTGAAGATGGAAACCCTACAAAGGGCTTCAACCTGAGAAGCCTGAAAGACACGTATAGCTGAGTTGGACACAGGCGACCCGCCAGGGTTTGAAGCAGCACCCGGCCTCTAGCTGCTATGCCGGAAGTCGCAACACGCAGGTCTCCAGCCTGCGAGGAAGGGAGAGGTGGGCGCCAGAGCTCCAGTCCCGCCCCTCAGGACTGTGCCTAGCCCACGGCGCAGTAGCCCCAGCCAAGCTAAATTGGACCAATGGGCTCCGGCTCCCGCCTCCCGCCCGCCGCGGCCTTATAAGGAGCCTCAAGCCGGCTGTCGGGCTGGCCCCGCCCCCTCGAGTCTCTTGTCCTAATAAGGACATCTAGGGCATCCCGCGGCTGGGGGCGGGCGAGAGCGCGTCTCCAGGGTAACTGCGAAGCCCCCCTCTCTCTCCCCGTTGCTCTTGGAAACTCTAAGGCTCAGAAAAGGGGGCGCTAGCCTCATATTCATGTAGGGTCGCTCGCGGGAGGCGGGGTCAAGCTGCTGTCTCCACCTGGAGCGCCGGGAGTCCGGGCGGGGGCGGTGCTGTGGAATGTCCCCGACTACAACCCCCGGTATGCTCTGCAAGGTACCCCACTCCCAGGCATCGCTCTCCGTTTACACCCTTAATTCCGTTTATAGGATTAGGGCCCCCAGTTCCCTTTCTGGGTTTGCCTCTGACTTGTTTGCGACCCAGTCTTTTCCTGCAGAGTGTGAGGCTGTGGTCACTGTTCTAGAACAACAAAATCATCCCGGAGTCCCCCGCTCGTTTCTTTTTTTTTTTAAGGCATATACTACCACAGAACTTGTCTCAGTTTTGCGGATGTTAGAATAACCATGTACCTGGCTATCAACTCGAGAGCTGGGTTCAAGTCTGGTTTAATATCTATTTCTTCTCATTGGCACGTAAAGGCATGTAAAGAAGCCTTGAATTGAATGCACAAACCCTCGTCTTTACCCTTTAACGCCTCATGACTTTGCCAAACATCTTTAAACAAGAACAAAGCTCTCAGAGATTTCCTTGTACCTTTCCCCTGTGCCTTTTCCTCCTATTCTTGTTTTACTGACGTTGGACATGGCCTTTTTTCAGGAGACGAGAGTGGCTTTACACATGCAGAGTACTAGTGTTTATCCGACTGACGACGCCTTCATACTTGTGATTTCCTTTGCTTTAGGTCGGGATTCCAGGCTAATCAATAGTTGCTTCGATTCAGAAATGCAAAACCCTAACCTCACTCAAAAATTTCAGGCCAAGGGATCCAGATAATACCAGATGGGTCTTAAGAAAGCCGTTTTGCTGTGGGATAAAGAGCCGCTTAGTCGGGGATCGTTTTCGGGTCATTTTACTGAGCGCCGCCTCGCCGGGCTCAGAGCGGTTCCTGGGAAATTGGACCAATGGGCTCGCGCTGCGCGCTGCGGTGCCGCCCAGGACCTGGGCCTACATTTCCCTACATGCACTGCAGCTCGGAGCCGGCCGGCGGGAAGACTCCGTTACCCAGCGAGCGAGGCGGCGGCGCAGGGCCAGCGGACTCCATTTCCCGTCGGCTCGCGGTGGGAGCGCCGGAAGCCCGCCCCACCCCTCATTGTGCGGCTCCTACTAAACGGAAGGGGCCGGGAGAGGCCGCGTTCAGTCGGGTCCCGGCAGCGGCTGCAGCGCTCTCGTCTTCTGCGGCTCTCGGTGCCCTCTCCTTTTCGTTTCCGGAAACATGGTGAGCGGCAGGCCACGGCGCCTGAGGGAGGCGGCTGCGGGTCGGTCGCCTGCGCGCGGGAAGCGACTGGGGAGCGACGTCCGCACCCCCTCCCCCAGCGCCCCGGGCGGGATGAGGGTCTCGCACGAAGGGGCGGGCGGTGCCGGAATGCGCGTGCGCGCCCGTGGGCGCCGGGGAGGGCCGGTCTGGACGTCGCTCGCGCTCCGCCTGGGCTCCCCTCCCCCACCCGCTGGTGCGCCCGCGCGGACACCGGCCGCGGGGGGAGGGGTTCGGGGCGCGCGCTGGGGCGCCCCTCGCGGAACGGCCGGCGTCGCGCCTTTCTTCTTAGGGGCGCGCTCTCGACTGGAGCATGCGGCGTCCAAACCCGGCCCGGGGGCGGCGAGGAAAAAGCGCGCGAGAGGTCTCGGCGCGCGCGCCCCACCCAAGGCTGTTCCTGTCTGCGCGTCACCCTCCCTCGGCAGCCGGGTCCGTCTCGGGAGCAGGTGGCAGGGATGCCTGCGCCCGGGAGGGGCGGGTGCTGGCGCGGCGAGGGGTGATGCTGGGAAGACGGGGTCCCGGTTGGGGCGTGGGTGCCTGCGATTAAGGCCTTGCACCGCAAGGCTTGGAGGGGGCATCGCAGAGACCGCGGCCCGTTCGGGAGCGCATCTAACGAGCTGCGTTCTCACCCGTGCATCGGGCGAGGGCTGGAACGGCGCTGTCTGTCGGCGCGTGCGCGCACGCTCAGGCCCGGCCGCCGGTGCCGAAGCCCTGGGCCAGCGAGGCCTTCCCGGATGGGCCTGAGTGAGGGTGGAGCCGAGTTTAGGGAAGTGACCCAGGCGGGCACCGCCCGGAAACCACCCCGCCCCCTGTATACGGCCCGAGGGCTGAGAAAACCGAAGGTTATGTAGCTTGCCCAGGCTCCTGCCTGCAGGAGATGGGTCTGATACACCCGTTGTTTTAGGGCGATTCCACAGGGTTAGGGACCTGGAGATGCTGCTGCCTCTCGGATACGCGTTTCTGCATTGGTGAGGGGGCCGGGCCCAGCCGATCTCCTGTCCCCGCCCACTCCGGATGCGGCCGAGTCACGTGGCCGGCTTCTTCTGCAGTTCCGGGGAGTTTGGGGGACCAGATTTACCTTGGATTGCCCCTCCCTCTCCTGGCTCGGGCACCCCGAAGCACGACGCAGAGTAGGAAGAGTTTAAAGACCTCGAGGCCTCTGGGCACTTGAGTTTGGCATGTTAATTTTTATCAGCGACTTCTGGGGCCTAGCACCATTCCCGGAAGAAGGGAGTTGTCGGGCAGGGTCCTTAATGGGGGTTGCAATTCTTGTCTTGGTTGGGAAAGAGCCTAGCTGGGAACAGGGGTCGTTTGTGTAGTAACTGTATTAAGCAGTTCTGGTGGGTTTGTTGTAACTGTTCGGTGTCCTTGGGGTCCCATCTAGCATTGTGGGGTCTTGGCTCTTTCTGAAGAGGAGTCTTGGCTCAGGTGTTTGGGTCCTCCATATCCGAAGTTCTAAATCACCAGTTTTATCCAAAGGCTGAGAGCAAGTACTGTGAGTAGCAAATGAGTCAGTAGCCGGTGGATCTTTTAATTCTGGGTTCACATTTTGGTCAAGGTTCTGCTTTTCACGAGTTTTGCATTTCTATCCTGTAAAATGAGGGAAGGGGTTGTTGAACTAGGTGATCAGAGGCCATGGCTGCCATTCTGAGGTTGTGTCCCATCTGGTTCTTTGACAGTGACTTGGGTGGGAAAACTAGTGACTTGCCTTGGGAAGGGCACTAGTGACCACTCGGGACGTGGACTGAGATCTTCTGAAAAAACAAGGGGCAGTTCCCTAGAATCCTTTTCTTGACGTATACGTGGCATGTCTCCTAGGCCTCCGGTGTGGCTGTCTCTGATGGTGTCATCAAGGTGTTCAACGACATGAAGGTGCGTAAGTCTTCAACGCCAGAGGAGGTGAAGAAGCGCAAGAAGGCGGTGCTCTTCTGCCTGAGTGAGGACAAGAAGAACATCATCCTGGAGGAGGGCAAGGAGATCCTGGTGGGCGATGTGGGCCAGACTGTCGACGACCCCTACGCCACCTTTGTCAAGATGCTGCCAGATAAGGACTGCCGCTATGCCCTCTATGATGCAACCTATGAGACCAAGGAGAGCAAGAAGGAGGATCTGGTGTTTATCTTCTGGTGAGCTCATTCTGGCACTTCTTCCTGTCACCTGCCCCCTTTCTCATGATGGGAACTTCTGTGGCTCCTGGTCAACCCAGATGTGTGGGTTTGGAGGGGGAGGGGGTTGTAACAAAAGACTCCTCACTGCCAGCCCAAGGGTTTCTCAAAGTCACCTGTGGCTTTGCTGTTGCTGGGAGTTGCCTGACGCGTGTTTCTGTCCAGGGCCCCCGAGTCTGCGCCCCTTAAGAGCAAAATGATTTATGCCAGCTCCAAGGACGCCATCAAGAAGAAGCTGACAGGTAAGGGCCAGCATTGGTGCTGAGTGCCCTTCTGCTCTGGCCTTGGCTGCAGGGCAGGGTGAATGGCACGCAGAGGGGGTCTGCCCCCTTGTCTTCGCTGCCTGCTTGTTCCTTCCATCTGCTTTGATTGGCTCCTTCCCAGCCACAGAAACTACCCCCACCCCAGTGCTTCCTGCTCACAGATGCTCCCCTTTCTTCTTTATAGGGATCAAGCATGAATTGCAAGCAAACTGCTACGAGGAGGTCAAGGACCGCTGCACCCTGGCAGAGAAGCTGGGGGGCAGTGCCGTCATCTCCCTGGAGGGCAAGCCTTTGTGAGCCCCTTCTGGCCCCCTGCCTGGAGCATCTGGCAGCCCCACACCTGCCCTTGGGGGTTGCAGGCTGCCCCCTTCCTGCCAGACCGGAGGGGCTGGGGGGATCCCAGCAGGGGGAGGGCAATCCCTTCACCCCAGTTGCCAAACAGACCCCCCACCCCCTGGATTTTCCTTCTCCCTCCATCCCTTGACGGTTCTGGCCTTCCCAAACTGCTTTTGATCTTTTGATTCCTCTTGGGCTGAAGCAGACCAAGTTCCCCCCAGGCACCCCAGTTGTGGGGGAGCCTGTATTTTTTTTAACAACATCCCCATTCCCCACCTGGTCCTCCCCCTTCCCATGCTGCCAACTTCTAACCGCAATAGTGACTCTGTGCTTGTCTGTTTAGTTCTGTGTATAAATGGAATGTTGTGGAGATGACCCCTCCCTGTGCCGGCTGGTTCCTCTCCCTTTTCCCCTGGTCACGGCTACTCATGGAAGCAGGACCAGTAAGGGACCTTCGATTAAAAAAAAAAAAGACAATAATAAAAAGGCTCATTAATGGGATGTGTTTTTCAAGGTTGGGACACAGGAGACTTCAGGATTGGGGGTGCACTGGGATAATGGTGCTATCTCTCTCCTCTGTACTCCACACCCAACCAGCCCCTGCACACCCTTATCTGGCTCCAATGACTGGCTGAGACGCCTTTCTGATGGTCACCATTATTCTGTTGGTGCTGTGATTGACACTGGACTGGCTGTTTAAGGAGTGGGTGCTGGCTACAGGGGTCTTCCAGCGGAAGTGATTTATGCCTGAACTGGGTGCTCTGTAGCCTTGCCTGGATGGACAGTGAGGTCCATCTGATATTCTGTTCTGTCCCTTTCTAGGTGTGGGCTGATAGGCAAGTCAGAGGTAGCTCAAAGGTTCTGTTTGGTCTGCTGTCTTCCCTGGATGGCTGACTCAAGTTTATGAGGGTCAGGTTCAGTGGCTGCTGTGAGTCAGGCCAAGTTGAGCCTTTGACCTCCTCTAGATGTGGCTGGAGTGCATTCAGGGTGGGGCCAGCCAGGTGGAGCCCGGGACTTCAGACCCCGGTGTCTTGAGCACTGCCTCCCTGTGTTTAACCAAAAGGGTGTTGCCGGTACCCTGAGCCTTTTGCCAGCATTGTCAAGGGCTGTTTCCAGCCTGTACTTTGGGCTTTTTCCTGCCCAGCAGGCAAAGACATACAAGAAATCTGGCCCTAGGGTGAGGTGAACTGGGAGTGGTAATGTGGCATCTATATTTCCCTTATCAACTGAACTGAGGAAGAGTCCTCCTGGTGTTACAGTTGGCTCCATAACTCCTGGGAACTTGTGAGCGGTTCTGGGAGGAAGGGCTAGATCCCTTTTCTGGTTAGGAAATAGGTGTGGAGAACTTGGGATTCATTTTTGTGCTAGGGTTTATGGGGGTAGGGGCAAACCTGGAAGACTTCTGGGGTTCCTAGGTCCCAGCTTCTGGGTGTCGCGCCTTCCCACAGGGAGCCTGCTGTCACTGGAGAGAGGGCTGAGGATGCTGCAGGGGTGCCCTCCTTGGTGTCTCCAGGATCTGATCATACTGCCTTGGCAGAAAGTGTGCCTGGTGGACCTTTGAGCTGTGGGAAGGGAAGTAAGGACAACAGGCCTCCTTGCTACAAAACCAGGGTTTTTATTTGCGAAGGAGAACAGGCCGGGATCAAGTGAGCTATGATTCCTTCAGGGCTATGGGTGAGGGTAGAGGCTGTTCCTCAGCTTCCTGGGGAGAGGTGTCAGGGTCCCTGGGGCTCTGCTGACTGTGGCCAGTTATGATGCCCATGCTGCCCTGTGTCTTGCAGGGCCTGGCACCTGTGGTGGTGGTGATAGGGGGTTTGGGCTTTCCCTGAGAGGATGTGGGGCAGAGTGAGGGTGTGGCTAGTGGCACTGCTAGGGAAGGAGACATCTTGCCGGAGAGAGGGGTCTGGGATACCCTGGTCACTGGAGATCCCAGATTAGGGTCTGGCTGAGCTCTGGCTACTCTAAGGCTCCCCCTTTAGGGCAACAAGGGTGTTCCGGAGAATCAGGGTGCTGGCCTGCAGAGGAGAAACAGGTCCTTGAAGTCCCCTGCTCCCTGAGTCAGGCTGCCATTCTTTCTGCACCTTAGATGCTCCCTCGCTCCCCACACCCCTGCTCTCTGCAATAACAGCTGCTGTTAATTGGGCCTTCCTACCCAGAAGGCACGGGTCCTGAGCCAGGGAAGCATGGCCCCAAGCCTTAGCTGGGGCTCCTCTCATGCACACACACGCGCATACATGCGTGCACACCCTCACATGCACGCACACCCTGGTGCCTGGGGGAGGGAGGGAGGTGGGAGGTGGGAGGCTTCACAAGGGCCCAGTGAGGTGGGAGGGCTCACCTTGGCGTGTTTGAGCTCCAGCTCTGCCAGCTCAATGAGATTCTTTCGAAAAGAGGAGACCCGGCGGGACTTGAAGTCCATGAGCTCTGGAGAGGAGGGGAAGAGGCATGGGGATCCGGGCAGGGCAGGGCATGTGGCCCCAGGCTGGGGCTGGGGGCTGCGGGCTCACCTTGCTTGGCGGAGTCGGAGAGGCGCTCGAAGCGTTGGCAGCACAGCTGCTGGTGGCTCTCGGCGGGCCGCACCTCCCGGTTCCTGGTGCGCGCCTTGTCCAGCGCCTTGTTGGCATTCTCGTAGTCGGCCAGTGCCCGCAGCCGCCGGTACAGCAGGTCCTAGGACCATGGGCACAGGGTCACTGCTGCCCTGTCCTGGCATCCGGGCCTGAGCGCTGCGCTGGGGCTGCCTCTCACCTTGGCTGCCTGTGAGTCACGCATGTAGTACCTCAGCATGTCTGACAGCTTCAGGTCCTCATCGGAAGCCACCCGGCCCTCCAGCTTCTGCATCAGAAAGGTGGGCACTGGGAAGGGAGCTTGTCAGAGGGGCAGCTAAGGGGTGGGAGGCACCTCTTCATCTAAATATCCAGCAAAGAAGCCTTAGGTAACTGTTCCAGGTCAGGTCTGGTGTTGAGGGGTGCAGGCCAGGGAAGGCTTCACAGAGGAAGTGGGATCTAGTCTGGATCTCGGGGACTGAGTAAGAGCTGGACAGAGGGCGCTGAGGGCTTGGCAGCTGTGCAAGCCCGGCTATGTGTTCAGGGAAACTTTAGTTCAGGGAGGGCACTTGGGCAAAGCAGGGGAGGGAGGCAGTGGCTGGAGCACAAGAGGCTGAAAGTGGAAGCTCAGGACTTTAGGAGCTTCCAGAAGGGGCAGGGTCTCTGAAGGGCCTTGAGCAGGGAAGAGATGCGGTCCAATAGACATTTTAGGAAGATGGCAACACTCCAGTGACTTTCTTAGGGAAGAGTGGGGAACATGTGTGCCCGGGCAGTGTGCTGGCAGCTGGGTGCAGCCTGCCAGAGGTTTGGGCACACCCTTGTGCCTCCCAACCCTCCGCTGCTGCACACGTGCATACATGTGCATGCCCCTGCACCCCCCAACACACACACGAAGCTGGATCCTTGTCTTCACCCCACCTTTTGTTAAACTAGTCTGGAGTGTAAGCCCAACTTGCCACTGGGCCCAAGTTATCACTGAACCCAAGATGATCCTGGAGCTCTTCCCTCTGCCAGGACTCATCTTCCCTGCAAAGCTCACCAGGAAAGCCTTTGAGCACAGAAGGCAGTACTCACCCTCAGCCGTTCAAAGAGCTCTGCCAATTTGAGGAAGCTCCTAGGAAGCAGTAGGGAGGGAGTTAGGGTAGGGGGCTGAGGAACAGCTCAAAGCCTCTCTGTCTCAGCCTCTCCTTGGGAATCTCCCTCTCCCCTTTCCTTCCCAACACCATCCCCCAACAGGAGAGCCTACACCTCCCACCTAGAGCTGACAGTAGACATCTACAGAGTGACCCCTCATGGGAAGACATGGTATTACAGGCACAGGGAGAGGGTAGGGGTGGGGGGAGTCCTCACGTCCTTAGCTGGTTGACTTCCTGTGTTCCCAGACTGCTCAGCGCAGCTGAGATAGGGATATAATCGTCTGCCAGGCCTGTTGGGGAACAGCCCCCATCAGAGCCCCTACATCTGCATGTCAAGCCTTGGTGCTTGTGGCCACAGACAAACAACAAGGCACGCCCTGCTCTCTTCTCTCCCCCAAGGAGTTGAACCGCTGGGGAGAGGGGCAGGGGGATCCAGGACCCCTTGGGCCCTGCGTACACTTGTGGGCGCGCATGACGCGGTCGGCCCGCAGGCAGGCATCTCGGATACGGGTGTGATACTCCAACAGGAAGGTCCTCTCATGCTCAAAGAAGTCATCCACCTCCTAAGGGAGCCAGGCAGGACCCCATTTACACTGGGTCACCACGGGGCTTGACAACACAGGCACCCAGGGTTGGCAAAATCTCCTTCCAAACCAGGCCAGGCCCCACCAGTGGCTTCCTTCCCACACCCAGCCTGGGCCTCAATCTGTGCTGTGGACTTGAGGTGCTGGGTTGAATCCGGAGAGGAGCACCAGGGGTTACCTTGAGCCCTGACATGCCCGTGATGAGGGCTTCATCCGCGGACTTCACAATATTCCTCAGAAACCCTCCGAGGAGCTCCTTCCTGTTCTTCCCCCGGACACTCAGCTGAGGCACACAGGGAGGGTATGATGCTGGGGTGGGCGTTCTCACCTCCCACCCCAAGTTGCAAGCCACTCACGGAGCTGTGACACAGGATTGGGCCCACTTGGGCCCCTTCTCCAGCCCTGCCACCCCTGGGTGCCTCCCCACCCAAGGTAGACTCCTGGCCCAAGGGTGACCCCAGGGATTCGGCCCAGCTCACATCCTGTCCATATTCCAAAAACACAAAGAAGTTGTGGTCTCGACGCAGGGTGGGGTGGGCCGCCAGGCGCTGCAGAAAGACTTCGTGCATCGCAACTGTCTTCTTAAAGATGGCCAGGTACTCCCTGCGAGAGTGGCAGCAGCTCACCGGCCCTCCTCAGCCCCCATCATCCTGCCTGCCCCCTTTCTGGGGTCAGAGGTCAGGGTTGCTAAACATTCATGGGGAGATAGCTGGGGAAGACATCTGGACTCTGGGGATGGCAGGGAAAGGAGGGGGCACTCACGCTTCCAGCTCCTGCTTCATCTTGGCAAACTCTTCCCGAGTGACAGAGCTGTCCCCCTCGCCCAATTTCTGTAGCTTTTCCCTCGAAGCCTCAAAGTCTGGCCTCGGAGGGGCTGGGGGGATCTGCTCAAAGGAGGGACGGAGCTGGGAGGCCTCTCACTGCCGAGACGGCCATCACAGCCTTTGGTCCTCACCCAAGTGCTCTGCCTGTCCCTCCCAGCCCCTGCCCAGCCCCTCCTCACGATGAGGCCGGCGTACTCCTCATTCTCCACGTAGGCATCATGCAGCCAGATGAACTCCTCGTGCTGCCGCACGACTGAGAACTCGGTCTGGGCGAAGTGAGGGAGGCAGCTCTGGAAGCGGGAAGGCCAACTGAGGTCCTCTCTCTGCCCCAAGCCCTGCCTCAGCAAGTCTGGGCATGCACTTTTGGGCCCCCCTCATCCCACATCCCAGGGAGGACAAAGTTAGAGCTCAGGTGTGCATGATTTCATTTAGAATGGTGGACAGGAATGATTAGGACTCGGGGCCTTAGGCAGAGCTAAGAGGCTCACTTTCCAGGAGGGGCTGAGGGCAAGTGCCAGGTGGAGGAAGAGTGCCCACAGGCTGTGTTGGCACATGCCTACCACCCCCTGGGGGAGGCCTCCTGCGGGCAGCCACCAGGACCTTTCCTCGTGCCCCGCACTGCCTCACCTTTGTTTGAACAGTGAATTTCACCTTGTCCCGCTCACTCACTGCGTCAGAAATCTCCACCTGTAAGGAGCTGTCTCCCTGCAGATCCACCGATGCACAGGAAGGCTGCGGAGGAGGGGAGGTCTCTGGCCTGGCTGAGCATGGCCCCTTTGCCCTTCCTTGCCCTGCAGGCTTTCTGATCCACCTGCAGAACCCTCTTCAGCAGCACTGCTTCAGCAATGCCCCAGGTCACCAGAGAGGGGTCCTGATAAGGCACTGACCTGAGTTTTGCAACTGCCAAAACATTTTAACCCTCCCATCCTTGGAGGCAGGCAGAAAACTTCCCATTTTACAGCTGTTGAAGCTGAGACAACCAGAGGAGAAGTAACTTGTCCAAGGTTATGCAGCTGCAAAGCGACAGTGCCAGATTGAAACCCAGTTGTTGTTTCTTTGTTTGTTTTTTTAGACGGAGTCTTGCACTGCCCAGGCTGGAGTGCAGTGGCGCGATCTCAGCTCACTGCAACCTCCACCTCCCGGGTTCAAGCGATTCTGCTGCCTCAGCCTCCCGAGTAGCTGGGACCACAGGCATGAGCCACCATGCCTGGCTAACTTTTGTATTTTTAGTAGAGACGGGGTTTCACTATGTTTGGTCAGGCTGGTCTCAAACTCCTGACCTCAAGTGATCCACCTGCCTTGGCGTCCCAAAGTGCTGAGATTACAGGCATGAGCCACCGTGCCCAGCAAAACCCAGTTTCTTAATTCCCAACCCCATGCACTTTCTCAGTTACTTGCCCACCCCTTCCCCAGCTGGCTACCTCAGGCATCCCTTAACCAGGGCTTCAAGTGAGTTGGATGAGACATTCCCACCTCTTTTGCGGGGGTTGCCAAAACCATTCCATTTACTACTTTTGGTGCCAAGAGGCAAAAGCTTACATGCAAAGCATGTGTATTTCTTCAAGTGAAAAGATCCACAAGACACCAAGCTACTAGCTCATTCTTGCATTGAGCTATTCAACATGTATTTATTTATTTTTGAGACAGGGTCTCGCTCTGTCACTCAGGCTGTAATGCAGTGGTGCCATCATAGCTCACTGCAGCCTCCAACTCCTGGGCTCAAGTGATCCTCCTGCCTTAGCCTCCCGGGTAGCTGGGACTACAGGCATGTACCACCATGCCAAGCTTTTTTTTTTTTTTTTAGAGACAGAGTCTTGCTATGTTGCCCAGGCTGGTCTCAAACTCCTGGGCTCAAGCAATCCTCCCACCTCAGCCTCCCAAAGGGCCGGAAGCAACATGCATTTATTGAATACCTACTGTGTCCACACCATAGTGCCAAGTGATATTAGGGGGAAGGGAAGAGGCTTAGGAATCACTCTACCCTTCAGCATTGCTCACCAGTATACAACAGGCACCTGTCCCACCTCTCAATCTGGAGGCCTCCTCACTCTCTCCTCTCTCTGCTTTTGGCACACTTTGGAGATGGTCCCTGAGATGGGGCTTGGTGATATGTGGGTCCAGAAACAGGCAAGACCTTGCTTGATGGTGGCCCATCTGCAGTAGTGATGTCTCCTCCCTGGATGGAGATCCCTGCATCTGTCCCCTCCTCCTGGCTGTCCGGCATGAAGGAATTGACCCTGAGGTCACTGGCCACTGTTTACAGGGTTATCTCTACATTGTTTCTCACTTTTTTTTTTTTTTTGATAGCATCTTGCTCTGTCACCCAGGTTGGAGTGCAGTGAAGTGATCTCGGCTAACTGCAAACTCTGCCTCCCAAGTTCAAGCAATTCTCTTGCCTCAGCCTCCTGAGTAGCTGGGATTACAGGCACACGCCACCACTCCCAGCTAATTTTTGTATTTTTAGTAGACACGGGGTTTTGCCATGTTGGCCAGACTGGTCTTGAACTTGTGAGCTCAAGTGATCTGCCTGCCTCGGCCTCCCAAGGTGCTGGGATTACAGGTGTGAGCCACTGCACCCAGCCCCCTTTTGTTTTTTTAATTAAGGTATAAGTTATATACAGGAAAGTGCACAAATTTTAAGTGTAAAGCACCAATTATTTGTATATGTGTATACAGCTGGGTAACCATCACCCAACTCAGATCATGATAGATATATATTTTATTTATTTATTTGGAGACAGGGTCTTGCTCTGTCACTCAGGCTGGAGTTTGGTGGCGCCATCACAGCTCACCGCAGCCTCCGTGATGAGCTGGGCTCAGACAATCCTCCTGACTCAGCCTTCCAAGTAGCAAGGACCACGGGCATGTGCCACCATGCCCAGCTAATTTAAAAATTTTTTTTTAAAAGTGCTGTAATCCAGCACTTTGGGAGAGAGGCTGAGGCAGGAGAATTGCTTGAGCCCAGGAGTTTGAGACGAGCCTGGGCAACATGGTGAGACACCCTTCGACCCCCATCTCCACAAAAAAACTTTAAAAATTAGCTGGGTGTGGTGGCACATGCCTGTGGTTCCAGCTACTTGGGGGGGGCTGAGGTGGGAAGATTGAGCTTGGGAGGTGCAGGCTGCAGTGAGCCAGGATCTCGCCGCTGCACTCCAACCTAGGTGACAGAGTGAGAAACTGTCTAAAAAAAAAAAACAAAAAAAACTAAAGCTAAATTTTTTTTTTTGAAATGGAGTTTCACTCTTGTTGCCCAGGCTGGAGTGCAATGGTGCAATCTCAGCCCACCACAACCTCCGCCTCCCGGGTTCCAGCGATTCTCCTGCCTCATCCTCCCAGGTAGCTGGGATTACAGGCGCCCGCCACCACGCCCAGCTAATTTTGTATTTTTAGTAGAGATGGGGTTTCTCCATGTTTGTCAGGCTGGTCTTGAACTCCTGACCTCAGGTCATCCTCCCGCCTTGGCCTCCCAAAGTGCTGGGATTACAGGCGTGAGCCACCGTGCCTGGCAAAAAACATTTTTTTAAACACTCCGGAAGGCTCCTTCTTGCCCCACACCCATCAATTATCTCCCACCCCAGAACTAACCACCATTCTGACTTCTATCACCATAGATTATTCTGGCGTATTCTTTTTTTTTTTTTTCGAGACAGAGTTTCACTCTTGTTGCCCAGGCTGGAGTGCAATGGCACGATCTCAGCTCACTGCAACCTCTGCCTACCAGGTTCAAGCAATTCTCCTGCCTCAGCCTCCCGAGTAGCTGGGATTACAGTCATACACCACCACGCCCAGCTAATTTTGTATTTTTAGTAGAGATGGGGTTTCTCCTTGTTGAAGCTGGTCTGGAACTCCTGACCTCAGGTGATCCGCCCGCCTCGGCCTCCAAAGTGCTGGGATTACAGGCGTGAGCCACCGCACCCGTCCTGGCCTATTCTTTTTTTTGAGACGAAGTCTCACTCTGTCGCCCAGGCTGGAGTGCAGTGACATGATCTCAACTCACTGCAACCTCTACCACTCAGGCTTATGGGATTCTCCTGCTTCAGCCTCCCAAGTAGCTGGGATTACAGACGCCCACCACCACGTCCAGCTAATTTTTGTATTTTAGCAGAGACGGGGTTTCACCATGTTGGCCAGGCTGGTCTTGAACTCCTGACCTCAGGTGATCCACCCACCTTGGCCTCCCATAGAACTGGGATTACAGGTGTGAGCCACTGAGCCCAGCCTATGCTGGCCTGCCTATTCTTGAACTTCACAGAAATGCAATTATGCATTGTGTATTCTTTTGTGCCCCTGTTCTTTAGAGAGCTCTCTACGTTGTTGAGTGGAGAAGCAGTTATTTTCATTGCTGTGTCTTATTTCATTACATGATTATATCATAATGTATGTATCTACTGTTGATGGTCATTTGGATTATTTCAAGTTTTTGGCTATTATGAATAAAGCTGCCATGAACAGTTTTTTGTTGGTTTTTTTTTGAGATGGAGTTTTGCTCTTGTTGACCAAGCTGGAGTGTAATGGCAAGATCTCGGCTCACTGCAACCTCTGCCTCCTGGTTCAAGCGATTCTCCTGCCTCAGCTTCCTGAGTAGCTGGGATTACAAGCATGGGCCAGCATGCCTGGCTAATTTTTTGCATTTTTAGTAGAAACGGGGTTTCATTATGTTGGCCAGGTTGGTCTCAAACTCCTGACCTCAGGTGATCCGCCCACCTTGGCCTTCCAAAATGTTGGGATTACAGGCGTGAGCCACTGCAACCGGTTACTTTTTTTTTTTTTTTGAGATGGAGTCTTGCTCTGTTGCCCAGGCTGGAGTGCAGTGGCACGATCTCAGCTCACTGCAACCTCCGCCTCCCGGGTTCATGCCATTCTCCTGCCTCAGCCTCCCTAGTAGCTGGGATTACAGTCATACACCACCACGCCCAGCTAATTTTGTATTTTTTAGTAGAGACGGGGTTTCACTGTGTTAGCCAGGATGGTCTCGATCTCCAGACCTCATGATCCGCCCGCCTCGGCCTCCCAAAGTGCTGGAATTACAGGAGTGAGCCACCACACCCAGCCTTTTTTTTTTTTTTTTTTTTTTAAAGCAGGGGGGTGTTCTCGCTATGCTGCCCAGGCTGGTTGAACTCCTGGCCTCAAGCCATCCTTCCACTTCAGCCTCCCAAGTAGCTGGGATTACAAGTGTGCAGCACCATGTCTGGCTTCCATGAACATTCTTACACAGGTCTTTAGAAGACTTTTTTTTTTTTTTTTGAGACAGAGTCTTGCTGTGTCACCCAGGCTGGAGTGCAGTGACGTGATCTTAGCTCACAGCAACCTCCGCCTCCCAGGTTCAAGTGATTCTCCTGCCTCAGCCTCCTGAGTAGCTGGGGATACAGGTGCCCGCCACCACGCCTGGCTAATTTTTGTAATTTAGTAGAGATGGGGTTTCGCCATGTTGGCCAGGCTGCTCTTGAACTCCTGACCTCAAGTGATCTGCCCGCTTCGGCCTCCCAAAGTGCTAGGATTACAGATGTGAGCCACCACGCCCAGCCGTCTTTTGAGGACTTTTGACCTAAGTCCCCATTTCTGTTGGGCATGAGAATTGCTTAGTTACAGGGAAGACATATTGTATGTTTAAAACACTTTAGTAAATACTGCCAAACGGTTTTCTAAGGTGACTAAACCAATGTACACTCCCAGCAGCACTGTGTATGAAAGTTCCAGTTGTACTACATCTTTGCCACAGAGTCGTTAGTCATTTTATCTCTCTCTCTCTCTATTTATTATTTTTTTTTTTTTAAAGAAAAGGGGTCCTGCTAATGTTGTCCAGGCTGGCCTTGAACTGGGCTCAGGCAATCCTCTGGAGTAGCTGAGAGCTGCTTTTGTGTACACGTATCAATTGACCTATTAAGTATGATAAACTTTGGACTCTCTGTTCCATTGGTCTATGTTTGTCCTTATGATAATATCTCACTGGACTGATTACTGTAATCTAACAGGTGAGACTGGAAATCAGATAGTGCAAGGCCTCCACCTTTATTCTTTTTTTTCAGAATCATTTGGGTGATTATAGGTCCTTTACATTTCTACCCCTGAAAAACATACTGGGATTTTGATTGTGATTGCATCGAATATATAGATCAGTCTGGGCACAAACCACTGTGACAGCTCAGAATTGTTAGTCTTTTTTACTTTCACCCTGTTAGTCCAGGCATGGTAATTGCGCATGGGGAGTGTAACTGGTATTACCTGGTGAGGAATGATGTTGAGCGGCATTTTCTGTATTTATCAGCCATCTGCATATCTTCTTTTGTAAAGTGCCTATTCAGGTCTCTGATTCTTTCCTGCCACCTCTTTGAAAGATCAGATTATCTGTTTTTCAGTAATTTGTAGGAACTGTTGCTGGAGACAAACCCATTGTTGATTATACCTTTTGTCAGTATCTTTTCCTAGTCTATAGTTTGCCTTTGACTCTTAATGGTTCAAATGTTACAAGCTCAACATAACAGTCTTTTATGTCTATGGTTAAGGCTTTTTGTGTCCTGTTAAAGAAAACTTTGCCTACCCCAAGGTCATGAAGATATTCTATTTATTTTTCTAGAGGTGTTACAGTTTAAGCTCTTGCAGTTGTATCTATAATCCATTTTCTTTTTCTTTTTCTTTTTCTTTTGAGACAGAGTCTTGCTCTGTTGCCCAGGCTGGTGTGCAGTGGCACGATCTTGGCTCATTGCAACCTCCGCCTCCCAGGTTCGTGATTCTCCTGCCTCAGCCTCCTGAGTAGCTGCAATTACAGGTGCCCGCCACAACGCCTGGCTAATTTCTGTATTTTTAGTAGAGATGGGGTTTCACTCTTTTGGCCAGGCTGGTCTCAAACTCCTGACCTCAAGTGATCTACCCTCCTTGGCCTCCCAAAGTGCTGGGATTACAGGCATGAGCCACCCTACCTGGCTATGATCTATTTTCAATTCATTTTCTTCATTTTAATTTTAATTTCTTTTTCTTTTTTTTTTTTTTTTGAGACGGAGTCTTGCTCTGTCGCCCAGGCTGGAGTGCACTGGCGCAATCTCGGCTCACTGCAAGCTCCACCTCCTGGGTTCAAGCCATTCTCCTGCCTCAGCCTCCCTAGTAGCTGGGACTACAGGTGCCCACCACGCCCAGCTAATTTTTTGTATTTTTAGTAGAGACGGGGTTTCACCATGTTAGCCAGGATGGTCTCGATCTCCTGACCTCATGATCCCCCGGTCTCGGCCTCCCAAAGTGTTTCTTTTTTTTTTTTTTTTTTTTTTTGAGATGGAGTTTCGCTCTTGTTGCTCAGGCTGGAGTGCAATGGCGGATCTCGGCTCATTGCAACCTCCGCCTCCCAGGTTCAAGCGATTCTCCTGCCTCAGCCTCCCAAGTAGCTGAGATTACAGGCGCCCACCACCACACCCAGCTCATTTTTGTATTTTTAGTAGAGACGGGGTTTCACTATGTTGGCCAGGCGGTCTCGAACTCCTGACCTCAGGCGATCCACCCCCCCTTGTTCTCCCAAAGTGCTGGGATTACAGCCATGAGCCACCGTGCCTGGCCTAATTTTAATTTCTTGAGATGGAGTCTTGCTTTGTCACCCAGGCTGGAGTGCAGTGGCACGATCTTGGCTCACTGCAGCCTCTGCCTCCTGGGTTCATGCCATTCTCTTGCCTCAGCCTCCCAAGTAGCTGGGATTACAGGCGTGTGCCACCAGGCCCAGCTAATTTTTTTGTGTTTTTAGTAGAGACAGTGTTTCACCATGTTGGCCAGTCTGGTCTCAAACTCCTGACCTCAGTTGATCCACCTGAGCCTCGGCCTCCTAAAGTGCTGGAATTACAGGCATGATCCACCACGCCCGGTGATTTTCAATTCATTTTGAATATGCAGTGTGAGGTATGGGTTATGATTCATTGTGCCATGTGGCCAGCTATTTGAGCACTGTTTGTTATAAAGATTTTCCTTTTGCTATTGAATTGCTTTGGTGTACACATATCCATTGACCTATTAAGAGTGACAAATTTTGGACTCTCTACTGTGTTCCATTGGTCTAAATGTTTATCCTTATGATAATATCTTACTGTCTTGATTACTGTAACTTGACAGGTGCGACTTGAAATCAGATAGTGCAAAGCCTCCAACTTTATTCTTTCTTTTCAAAATAATTTTGGCTATTATAGGTCCTTTACATTTCTACAGATATTCTGCTTGTTAATTTCTACCCCTCAAAAATGTACTGGGATTTTGATTGTGATTATATCAAATATATAGATCAATCTTGGAAGACTAGATCTCTTTGTAATTTTATAATTTATAATTTTTAATCTTCCAATCTAAAAACAGGTAATATCTTTCCAATTATTTAGGTCTTCTTTAATGTTTTGTAGTTTTCTGTGTAAAGGTCTTGCATGTCTTCTGTGAGATTTATTCCTAGGTATTTGATGATTCTCTTTTTCTTTGCTTTTTATTTTTATTTTATTTTATTTTTTATTTTTTGAGACAGAGTCTTGTTCTTGTTGCCCAGGCTGGAGTGCGATGGCGCAATCTCGGCTCACTGCAATCTCTGCCTCCTGGGTTCAAGCGATTCTCCTGCCTCAGCCCCCCAAGCAGCTGGGATTATAGGCGCCCTTTCTTTGCTTTTTAAATTATATTTTAAAAAGTTTCATCTTCTAATTGTATATAGAAACACAATAGACTGGGCATAGTGGCTCATGCCTGTGAACCCAGCACTTTGGAAGGCTGAGGCAGGAGAATCATTTGAGCCAAGGAGTTCAAGGCCAACCAGGGCAACATGGCGAAACCCTATGTCTACAAAAAAATACAAAAATTAGCCAGGTGTGGTGGCAAACACAGGTAGTCCCAGCTACTTGGGAGTCTGAGGCAGGAGGATCGCTTGAGCCCAGAAGGTCGAGGCTGCTGTGAGCCATGATCACACCATCATACCACTGCACTCCAGCCTGGATGACAGTGCAGGACACTGTCTCAAAAAAAAAAAAAAGTCCAGGCGAGGTGGCTCATGCACTTTGGGAGGCCGAGGCGGGTGGATCACCTGAGCTCAGGAGTTCGAGGACCAGGCTGGTCAACATGGTAAAACCCCGTCTCTGCTAAAAATACAAAAATTAGCCAGGTGTGGTGGGGGGCGCTTGTAATCCCAGCTACTCAGGAGGCTGAGGCAGGAAAATCCCTTGAACCCGGAGGCAGAGGTGGCGGTGAAACAAGATCGCACCATTGCACTCCAGCCTGGGTGACAAGAGTGAAACTCCATCTCAGAAAAAAAAGAAAGAAAGAAAGAAAAAAAAACCATAATAGATTTTTATATATTTACCTTGGTCCCCACAAATTTACTTGTTAATTTTAATAATTTTTTAAAATATCTTGCTGAACTCACTTATTAATTTAATCGTTTGTAGATTCTTTTTTTTTTTTTGAGACAGGGTCTTGCTCTGTCATCCAGGATGGAGTGTGGTAGTGCCATCTTGGCTCATGGCAGCCTTGAACTCCCAGGCTCAAGGGATCCTCCCACTTCAGCCTCCTGAGTAGCTGGGACTACAGGCATCTGCCACCATGCCTGGCTAATTTTTGTATTTTTTTGTAGAGATAGGTTCTCACTATGTTGCCCAGGTTGGTCTCGAACTCCTGGGCTCAAGAGATCTCCTAAATTAGGCCTCCCAAAGTGCAGAGATTACAGGCCTGAGCCACCTTCCTGGCCAGTTCTTTTGGATTTCCTGCATATACAGTCCTATAATCTAAAATGATGACAGTTTTAGTTCTTCCTTTCCAACCTTTATACCTTTATTTCTTTTTACTGCCTTATTATACTTGCCAAGACCTCCAGTACAATGTGGAAGTGATGATATGATGACATGTTCCTAATCTCAGAGGGACTGCATTTAAATTTAACCCCAAAGTGATTTTAGATATTTTTTTTAATCAAGGGTATCTTAATGAAGCTTAATGGAGCTCCCCGCTATCCCTAATTTGATGAGAGTGTTGATTTTTATCAATCTTTTTCCTTTGATTGAGATAATCATATGGATGTTCTTGTTATCTGTTTATTTATTTATTTATTTTTTTGGAGACAGAGTTTCACTCTTGTTGCCCAGGCTGGAGTGCACTGGCGCGATCTTGGCTCACCACAACCTCCGCCTCCCAGGTTCAAGCAATTCTCCTACCTCAGCCTCCTGAGTAGCTGGGATTACAGGCATGCACTACCATGCCCGGCTAATTTTGTATTTTTAGTAGAGACGGGGTTTCTCCATGTTGAGGCTGGTCTCGAACTCCTGACCTCAGGTGATCCGCCCACCTCGGCCTCCCAAAGTGCTGGGATTACAGGCGTGAGCCACCGCGCCCGGCCTTTGTTATCTGTTTATATGCTGAATTTCATTGATTGATTTGCAAATGTTAAACCACCTTGCATTCCTGGAAGAAGGCCTTGTTCATGAAGTATTATCCTTTTATATATTGCTTATTCAGCTTGATAATTTTTTTTTTTTTTTTTGGGACAGGGTCTCACTGTGTCACCCAGGCTAGAGTGCAGTGGTGTGATCATGGTTCACAAAAAAAATTTTTTTAGTTACTTATTTTCCAGCCGGTGTGCGGTGGCTCATGCTATAATCCCAGCACTTTGGGAGGCCGAGGCGAGTGGATCACCTGAGGTCAGGAGTTCAAGACCAGCCTGGCCAACATGGTGAAACATCGTCTCTACTAAAAATACAAAAAAATGCCTGTAATCCCAGCACTTTGGGAGGCCGAGGCGGGCGGATCACGAGGTCAGGAGATCGAGACCATCCCGGCTAAAACGGTGAAACCCCGTCTCTACTAAAAATACAAAAAATTAGCCGGGCGTAGTGGCGGGCGCCTGTAGTCCCAGCTACTTGGGAGGCTGAGGCGGGAGAATGGCGTGAACCCGGGAGGCGGAGCTTGCAGTGAGCCGAGATCCCGCCACTGCACTCCAGCCTGGGCGACAGAGCGAGACTCCGTCTCAAAAAAAAAAAAAAAAAAAAAATACAAAAAAATTAGCTGGGCGTGGTGGGGCACAGCTGTAGTCCCAGCTACTCGGGAGACTGAGGCAGGAGAATTGCTTAAACCTGGCAGGCGGAAGTCGCAGTGAGCTGAGATTATGCCACTGCACTCCAGCCTGGGCAATGAAGTGAGACTCCCTCTCAAAAATAATAATAATAATAATAATTACTTATTTTCTTTAGTGTCATATACTCAAGGCTTTCTTCTTTTCTAAAATATGCATGTGGTGGTATAAATCTCCCTCTGGAAACTGTGTATCTTATGAGTTTCGATATGTCATATTTTTGTAATCATAAATTTAAAAATATTTTCTAATTTCCATTATAATTTCTTCTTTGGCCTAAGAGTTATCTAGAAGCATGTTGCTTAATTTCCAATATTTTGGAATCTAGTTATGTTTTTGTTTTGATTCCACATTAATTCTGGGTCAGAGTATATAATCTATGATTTCGTCTTTTAAAATTTATTGATACTTGCATTATAGCTCAACATTTCATTTATTTTGGTAAATGTTTCATGTGCATTTGAAATAATGTATTTTCTGCAGTTGTTGGGTATAGAGCTCTACATAAGTCAATTAGATCAAGTTGATTAATCATGTTATTTAAATCTTCTAAATCCTTACTAATTTTTTTGTCTGCTTGTTCTAACAGTTGTTGAGAATTGTGTTAGAATTTCTAACTGGTCTGGGCATGGTGACTCATGCCTATAATTCCAGCACTTTGGAAGGCTGAGGTGGGAGGATCACTTGAGCTCAGGAGTTGGAGACCAGCTTGGCCAACATAAAAAGACCCCATTTCTAAAAAATAAATACAATTACTTACTATTTAATTGTAGGTTTGCCTATTACTCCTTTTAGTTCTGTCATCTTTTATTTTGCATATTTTGATGCTATATTATTAGGTGCCTATAAATTTAGGATTGTTTTACCTTTCTGTGGAATCAAGTCTTTCATCATTATAAAATGTCCCTCTTTATTTCTCCTTCCTTCCTTCCTTCCTTCTTTTCTTCCTTCCTTCCTTCCTTCTTTCTTTCCTTCTTTCTTTCTTTTTTTGACAGAGTTTCACTCCCGTCACCCAGGCTGGAGTGAAATGGCATGATCTTGGCTCACTGCAACCTCCGCCTCCCAGGTTCAAGTGATTCTCCTACCTCAGCCTCCCGAGTAGCTGGGATTACAGGTGCCTGCCAGTACACCTGGCTAATTTTTGTATTTTTAGTAGAGACGGGGTTTCACCATGTTGGCCAGGCTGGTCTCAAACTCCTGACCTCAGGTGATCTACCCACCTTGGCCTCTCAAAGTGCTGGCATTACAGGCGTGAGCCACCGCACCCAGCCATCCTTCTTTATTTCTAATATACTTCTTCTTCTTCGTTTTTTTTTTTTTTTTTTTTGAGAGAGTCTTGCCCTGTTGCCCAGGATGGAGTACAGTGGCGAGATCTTGGCTCACTGGAACCTCCATCTCCCGGGCTCAAGCCATTCTCCTGCCTCAGCCTCCTGAGTAGTGGGGATTACAGATGTGTGGCACCATGCCCAGCTAATTTTTGTATTTTTAGTAGAGATGGGGGTCCGCTCTGTTGGCCAGGCTGGTCTCGAACTCCTGACCTCAAGTGATCTGCCCACCTTGACCTCCCAAAATGCTGGGATTACAGGTGTGAGCCACTGTGCCTGGCCCTTTTTTGGTTTTGTTTTGTTTTAAAGACAAGGTCTTACTCTGTGTCCCAGGTTGGAGTGCAGTGACACAATCACAGCTCACTGTAACCTCAAACAATCCTGAGCTCAAGCAATCCTCCTACCTCTGCCTCCCACATAGCTGGGACCACAGGTGTGCATCACTATGCCCAGCTCCCACCCATTTATGTCAACCCTTCTGTGTCCTTATATTTAAAATATGTCTCTTTTAACAAACTCTAGTTGTTTTTTTTCCAAAATACAATCTGACAATATTTTTTTAAATTGGAGAATTTAGTCCATTCATAATCATTGTAATTACTGATGTAGCAGGCTACCAACTTGTCATCTTGCTTTTTGCTTTCTCTTTGTCCCATCTGTTTTTATTCCTGTATTCTTTCTTTCTTGTCCTCTTTTGGATTATTTAAATAGTATTTTATATTATTTCTTTTATTTGTTTATTTTAATTTTTAAATTTTACTTTAAGTTCTGGGATACATTTACAGAATGTGCAGGTTTGTTACACAGGTATACATGTGCCATACTGGTTTGCTGCACCTATCAACCCGTCATCTAGGTTTTAAGCCCCACATGCATTAGGTATTTGTCCTAATGCTGTCCCTCCCCTTACCCCCCAGCCCCCCACAGGCCACAGTGTGTATTGTTCCCCTCCCTGTGTCCATGTGTTCTCATTGTTCAACTCCCACTTATGAGTAAGAACGTGTGGTGTTTGGTTTTATGTTCCTGTATTAGTTTGCTGAGAATGATGGCTTCCAGCTTCATCCAGGTCCCTGGAAAGGACATGATATTCTTTTTTATGGCTACATAATATTCCATAGTGTATATGTGCCACATTTTCTCTATCCAGTCTATCATTGATGGGCATTTGGGTTGGTTCCAAGTCTTTGCTATTGTAAATAGTGCTGCAACAAACACGTGTGCATGTGTCTTTATAGTATAATTATTTATAATCCTCTGGGTTTATTTATTTATTTTTGAGACAGATTCTCGCTCTGTTGCCCAGGCTAGAGTTCAATGGTGCGATCTTGGCTCACTGCAACCTTTGCCTCCTGGGTTCAAGCTATTCTCCTGTCTCAGTCTCCCAAGTAGTTGGGATTACAGGTGCGCACCACCACGTCTGGCCAATTTTTTGTATTTTTAGTAGAGATGGGGTTTCACCATGTTGGCCAGGCTAGTCTTGAATTCCTGACCTCAAGTGATTTGCCTGCTTTGGCCTCCCAGAGTGCTGCGATTACAGGCTTGAGCCACCACGCCTGGCCAGTATTTTATATTATTTCATTTTCTCCTCTATTATATTTTTGCTTATATATTCTTTTAATGTCTCTATATTTAAAGGAAGATCTTAGAGAAGGCAACACCTAACCTAGAGGATAAGTACTGGTAGTGAACTTTCAGAGTATGGCTCCTGCAAAGGCTGGGGGGTGCATCCATCTGTTCAATAGCTCAGCACATCCTCAGAACATACAGCAAAAATAATATAACAATAATAATAATATAATAGCTAACCCTTATGTTGGCCCTTACAATATGCTAGGCACCACTCTAACCATTTCATGTATATGCCCTAAGCATTTTATATATGTTAACTCCTTTAACCATGAAGATGAACATACATAGATAAACATTGAAGCAGACCATTCTGTTCCATGCTTTGTGTCTCTCAGCCCCTCTTGCCCCTCTAAACCACTTGAACCCCGCTCCTCATTTCTTGGCTTCTCTGACACTCCCAAGGCAGGCTCTCCCCTTGCCCCAGACCCCAAACACATGCAGTCTGGCTAACTGGTGCAGCAGGTCCCCTAGTCCCCAGCCTCTTTCCTCCTGCCTTAGTATCTCTACTCTGACCTACACTGCTTGGTAGCTGCTTGAGGGAGATGGGCCTCAAAGGTGGACCACAGCTGCTCCATCCTCATCCTCAGCCACGGCCCACTATGCATATGCCTCCATCTCCCAAAAGGGTGCACCTCTCCATGCTCTAACCATCCTTGGCACAACGTGGATGCTCGACAACTCTTTGCTGAAGGAAGTCAAAAGGAAGAAATGGTCTTATCATTACATGAACTCAGAACACAAGTGAAGCCATTAGGGCTGAACAGGATTCTCTCGCCTTGGGAAAGGAGAAGAGGATGCCAGCCTCTGCTCAATCCCTAACATCCTGCCCTCCTCCCCGCCCTCACCTCCCACCCCCTACCCACCTACCCCCATCAAGACAGCCTGAGTTGGTCTTGGGGAGGGTAAGAGTGACAGTGACGGGTCCCTTTCCATCTGTAAGGACAAAGGCAAAACCCTGCCTCCCTTGGCATCCTCATCAGTCCGCACACAGGTGCCACAGAGGCTCCCCACTCCCTTGCTCAAGTCTCCTTTCTCTCACTTGCGCAGACACACACATACACACAGAGACACATGGGCACATACACACACACAGACACACGAGACAAACACAGACACACGCACACACAGACACACATAGAAACACACACAGATACACAGACACACACAAACACACAGGCACAGAGAAACACACACACAGACACACACAACGACATACACAGATCATACACAGGCACACAGACACACACAGATGCACACACAGACACACTGACATAGACACACACAGATATACAAAGACACACGGATACAGACACACACAGACACATGCAAACACACACACAGACCCAGAAATACACAGACACACACACACAGACACACGCAGACCATACACACACACAGAGACACACACACACAGACATAAAGATGCACGCAGACCATACATAGACACAGAGACAGACACACACTCAGACACAAAGAGACACAGACCTGCGCAGACACACACAGGCACATGCGTGCACACACAGATACACACAGAGACACACACAGATGCATACATGCACACATGCAGACCATACACACAGACAGACACAGACACAAAGACACACGCAGACCATACACAGACACAGACACACAGACACACACACACAGACATGCACAGACACACACAGAGACAGACACAGACATGCACGCACAAACACCCACATGGACGCATACGTGCACACACACAGACACACACAGGCCATACACACACACACAGAGACACGGAGACACACAGACACACACACAGATACACAGAGACACACAAAGACACAGACACACACTGAGACACACACAGACACACAGACACACAGAGACACAAATACAGACATACACAGATACACACACACACAGACATATGCAGGCACATCGACATACACACAGACACACAGAGAAACAGACACATGCAGACTATACACACACAGACACACACAGAAACACACAGAGGCAGACCACACACACACAGACACACACACACCACCGCATGATTGGGCATCACGGGCTTTCATGGAGTGAGGGGAGGCTGGGGTGGGGGTCTTCATCCTTTCTCTACCTTGCCCTCCTTCCCAACCTCCGCATACGTCTCCATCGCTCTCCTGGGCTTCAGCGTCCGGCCACTGCCCGCGTGCTCCCGCAGGTCGTCCCCGTAACTCGCCCGAGGAACTGACCGAGTGAGGATGCTCTCAGCTGACGGGGACGCTCTCCCCCGCCCGGCCAAGGAGTCGCCTGGAGTCGGGGGCGGTTCCCACCGCGTTTCCCTCAGCCACGCCTTTCGATTGGGTAGCGGGGCACCGCGCGTGACGCCATTGGCTGCATTGTCTGTCGTTCCTGTCCCAGGCCCCAGCTTTTAAGGGACACGCGGCACGGAGAGTGGGCCGGTGATAGGCGACAGTGTGGGAGCTGGGGTCAGAGTTCATAGGGTCGCAGAGGCCGCGTGCCGCGTCTCCCTCCAGTCCCCGGGGGACTGACCCCCACAACAACCCCGTGCCGCCGTTCCGGGCCCCTCCTTCCAACGGCCACGTGCGGCCTGCGCGTGCGCACTCGCCCAGTTTGGCGCCCACCAGGCAGTGGGGAAGGGGAAGGGGAAGGGGAAGAGGGTGAGGGTGGCAGGGTGGGGACAGGGAATGGGAAGCAGTGGTGGGGATGTGGGTGGTGGACCAGGGGCGAGGGCAGGGGACAATGTCTGTGGAGAAGGGGGGTCTGTTTAGGTTTCCGCTCTTGGACGGGAGGGAGCGGCGGGGTAAGCAGCCTAGGAGGACTAGGGAGCTCCACAAGTCCCGCGGCCAGGGCGCCCCAAGCGAGGCCGGGGTCCGCGAACGGTCGCCACTGGAGCGGGGCTGCAAGGGGGTGCCGATGCTGCGAGAGAAAACCTGGGGACCTTGGAACGGGCTCATGGTAATTGGGAAGAGAGTGGAGCTCCTGACTAGAAACACTCGAAAGCCGAAGCTGGAGTCTGAGTACTGGAGACTGGAAGATGTGGAAAAGACGGTCTTGAAAGGGAAGTCAGGCCCGAGTCAGGAAAGGATGGATGTGAAGCTGCTATACCGTGGAGCAAGTGCATCACAAGCTTCAGCAGATTTGGGGAAAGACAGCCCAAGGGGTATTTGGGGAAAGCAAGAGGTCAAACACGAAATAAAGGCTAAATCTAAGAGTGCAGGGATGACAGCAGGGCCTATGAAGGGGTCTGGGTTTGAAGAGAGGTTGAGGTCTGCTGGGGAGAAGGTAGGGACCAGTGGAGAGGACTTGAGATCCAATGGATATAAACTGGGACAGGATGAGAAGGGGTTGAGGTCTAGTGTAGACAAGATGAGATCAAGTGTAGAGAAGCTGAGGTCTACTAGTGAGAAGCTGGTGTGCAGGGGAGAGAAGCAGGGGTCCAGTGGAGTGAAGCTGAGGTCCAGTGGCAGAAAGCTGAGATCAAGTGGAGAGAATTTGAGATCAAGTAGAGAGAAGCTGAGATGGAGTGGAGAGAAGCTGGGAACTAGTGGAGAGAAGCTGGGAACCAGTGATGAGAAGCTGAGGTTGAGTGGAGAGATGCTGAGATCAATCAGAGAGAAGCTGAGGTTGAGTGGAGAGAAGCTGGGAACCAGTGATGAGAAGCTGAGGTTGAGTGGAGAGAAGCTGAGGTTGAGTGGAGAGAAGCTGAGATCAAGCAGAGAGAAGCTGAGGTTGAGTGGAGAGAAGCTGGGAACCAGTGATGAGAAGCTGAGGTTGAGTGGAGAGAAGCTAAGATCAAGCAGAGAGAAGCTGAGGTTGAGTGGAGAGAAGCTAAGATCAAGCAGAGAGAAGCTGAGATTGAGTGGAGAGAAGCTGGGAACAAGTGATGAGAAGCTGAGGTTGAGTGGAGAGAAGCTGAGATCAAGCAGAGAGAAGCTGGGAACCAGTGGAGAGAAGCTGAGATCAAGCAGAGAGAAGCTGAGGTTGAGTGGAGAGAAGCTGGGGTCAAGTGCGGAGAAGCTGAGATCTAGTGAGGAGAAGTTAGGGACCAGCGGGGAGAAATTGGAGGGTTCAAGAATGGGGAGCATAAATGAGAAGAACATTGAAAAAGTGGTAGAAGTTACTGGCGATGAAAGAGTGATGGCATTTACTCATGATGAGATGGAAATTCCTTTTGAAAGTGTCAAAGGGAGTGAGGAACTACAAGGGACTGAGAAAGGAGTGGGAGTTGAGGGGGGCATCTTGAGTGAAGTGAAAGATATCACTGATGAATCTGTTTCTATGGAAAAAAAAGATATTATAGGTGAAGGTACCAGTGAATGAGGCAGATGAAGGATTGACACCAAAGAAGGAAAGAGGCAGACAGGAGAAGTACTGAAAGTCAGAGGAGAAATTAGAGCCAGACAGAACATTATTGACACTGAAGGGGTAAAGTTGAGAAAGGAAAGGAGAGAGTCTGAGCCTAAAATAAAAGAGAGTGGAAGTGAGGAAAAGAGCTTCTGGGGCTGAAGGCGGAGGCCAGGATCAAAGGAAGCAAAGAGGAGTCTCTGGTTCAGAGGGAAGTGGGAACATATGGAGGAGAAAGAGAAGACTTGGTAATGTGTTGACAGAGGACACTTGGATATTGGGAGAAAAGGTGTGACTGGGAGCTCATAGGGAAATGTTTGAGAAAAGGATGGAGGATGGGCTAGAAGGATTTAGTCTGACACTAAATGGGGTCTATGAGATGGAGAATTGCAGCAGGATAAAGGGTAGATTTTGAGAGTTGTGGAAGAAGGTGCAGACTGAAGTGGGCAAAATTTCTGAAAGAGGAGCCTGAAGAATGAAGGGCTCCCAAGTGACAAAAGCAAGAGAGGAGATAAGAAAGAAGTGAGAAAAAACATAAGAAGCCACGTGCCATAATGGTGATTGTGTTTGTTGGTATGTCCTTCATTATTTCCTTTTCTTTTCTTTTCTTTTCTTTCTTTCTTTCTTTCTTTTTCTTTTTTCTTTTTTTTTTTTGAGACAGTCTTGCTCTGTTGCCCAGGTTGGAGTGTGCAGTGGCGCAATCTCGGCTCACTGCAACCTCTGCCTCCCAGGCTCAAGCGATTCTCCTGTCTCAGCCTCCCAAGTAGCTGGGATTACAGACATGTGCCACCATGCCTGGCTAATTCCCTCACTATCTTCTAACTTCCAAGTATTGCTATTTATAAGTCTTTTTGTTCTTTTCTTTTAATTCTATAGATAGTGTTTTTTTCTATGTAAATTACCTGTTTGCTACCACTCCCTAACTCAACCTGTATCCTCACCCCATTTTCTCTGGCCTTACTAGAGGATGTTAGACCTTGAATTATAGCTGTTATCTTTTTTTCTCCTTTTGCCCGTCTCTTTTTATTGTATTCTCTGGGCAATTTCATTAACTTTAAAACAATTGATGTATAGTAGATGTACGTATTTTGGGGGTACCTGTAATATTTTGATACATTCATATAATGTGTAAAGATCAAATCAGGGCAATTGGGATATCCATCATCTTAAATATTTATCTTTTCTTTATGCCAGGAACATTCGAATCATTCTCTTCTAGTGATTTTGAAATGTACAATAGATTATTGTTAACTACAGTCACCCTACTGATCTATAGAACACTGGGTCCCATTTCTTCCATCTAACTGTACATTTCTACTCATTAACATGTCTTTATTTCCTCCACCCTTCCTGGCCTCCAGTAACCACCAATCTCATCTCTATTTTCATGAGATCCACTTTCAACTTTATTAACTGTATCTTTCTTTCTTATTGAAATTTTACATTTTAACTCTCTTGTTCATTGATTGCTTTTTTTTTTTTTTTTGAGATGGAGTCTGGAGTCTTGCTCTGTCACCCAGGCTGGAGTGTAATGGCGTGATCTTGGCTCACTGCAACCTCCGCCTCCCCGGTTCAAGCAATTCTCCTGACTTAGCCTCCTGTGCTCACTGCATGAGCTGGGATTACAGGAATGCATCACCACACCCGGCTAATTTTTTGTATTTTTAGTAGAAACGGGGTTCCACCATGTTGGTCAGGCTGGTTTTGAACTCCTGACCTCAGGTGATCCACCCATCTTGGCCTCCCAAAGTGCTGGGATTACAGGCGTGAGCCACCGAGCCCGGCCGTGCTTCTTTTTTTATATATAGTATTTCTGTTCTTGTTTCATGAGTCTGTTCTCTTAGCTCTCCAAGGATTTTTCCAGTTTTTAAGTTTTCTTCTGCTTTTCTTATTGTTTCCCCTGAGTTCCCCTCCCCTGCTTCCCCCCGCTCCATTTTTTTTGTGTGTGTATTGTTGGAAGTTTTCCTCAAATGTTTGATCTTCGGCTGTCCATATTTAAGAATGAGGCATTAAGCAGAGGCAATTGGAAGCACAATTTGGGGCTTGTTGATCTATGGGCTTCACTCTGTGGCGACTGAAGCAAGCAGGATATTTTACTGGGTACACCCAAATATCAGAATCTGTAAATCTCACTGAAGGGACCGTCTGGTTTCTACAGAGAATTCTCCAATCTGTCTGGGGGATATCTGCATGGCCCCTGCTATAGAGGTTACAGCAGCAGGGTCAGGGGAGACGGTTGTGGAGCCACCGCTTGGTACATATGTTTTTACCCAGTCCCTTGTTTTCAGCTCAGTGCTCACTCCACCTTCAGCTGTGCCTGGTGTCCCTGAGTTGGTGCTTCTCAGATTCAGTTTCCCCAAAGAGTAAACCCTCTGCTGTGCTATGGGAGTTGGTGCCCAGCTAAAAAAGGTTGGGGAGGGGATTTGTAAGCTTAACTGCTTTATATACAGACTCCTAAATAATTTCTCTGTTCTCAGCTCTATGCCTTTTTCCTTCCATCTGAGCTATCTGGTCCCTCCATGTCCTGAACTTTTTTGGGGATAAGTAGAGTGAACTGTTAACTTTTCGTTTCTATTATCTTTAAGCACTTAAGTGCCAGCTGCCTCCACTCTGCCAAGTTGGTTACCACTCCATCTCCAAACTTTTTTTTTTTTTGTCATTGTTGTTGTTTTTGAAATAGGGTCTCACTCTGTCACTCAGGCTGGAGTGCAGTGGCATGATCATGGCTCACTGCAGCCTCAACCTTCTAGGCTGAAGCAATCTCCTCAGCCTCCCAAGTAGCTGGGACTACAGGTGTACACCACCACAAGAGACTAGTTTTTTTTTTTTTTTAAGTAGAGATGAGGTCTCTCTATGTTGCCCAGGCAGGTCTTGAACTTCTGGGCTCAAGCGATCCTCCTGCCTCTACCCGAAAGTGCTGAGATTACCGACATGAGCCACTGCACCCCGCCAACTTTTCCCATCTTAAAAAACAAAAACAAAAAACTTCTCTGTACCCTACATTTCCCTCTAGTACTGTCCCATTTTTCTTGCTCCTTAAGGTAGGCACAAAAGTGGTCCGCCAAAGATATATTCACTTCCTAATCCCAGGAACCTGTGAATATTACCTTAATATGGCAAAAGATGTAATTAAGTTAAAGATCTTGAGAGAAGGGCCCACTTTAGAGGTGGGTCGTAAATGCCATTACAAGTGTCCTTGTAAGAGAGAGGAAGAGAAGGAGAACAGACACACAGAGAGGAGGAGGCAGTGTGATCTCCCAGGCACAGGCTGGAGTTATGCAGCTACGAGTCAAGGAGTGCCGATGGTCGCCTGAAGTTGGAAGAGGCACAGAATGGATTCTTCCCCAGAGTCTCTGTAGAGAGTGTGGCCTCCGCCAACACCTTGGTTTTAGCATCTGACCTCTAGAGCTGTGAGAGAATAAACCTCTATTGTTTTAAGCCATCAGTTGCTGGTAATTATTATTATTTTTTTTGAGACAGAGTCTCACACTGTTGCCCAGGCTGGAGTGCAGTGGCGCGATCTCGGCTCACTGCAAGCTCCACCTTCTGGGTTCATGCCATTCTCCTGCCTCAGCCTCCCCAGTAGCTGGGACTACAGGCGCCCGCCACCATCCCCGGCTAATTTTTATATTTATTAGTAGAGACGAGGTTTCTCCATGTTGGCCAGGCTGGTCTCGAACTCCTGACCTTGTGATGTGCCCGCCTCAGCCTCCCAAAGTGCTGGGATTACAGGCATGAGCCACCACGCCCAGCCGTAGTTCGTTCATCTGTCTGCTATAGTTCCTGTAGTTCTGTAGTTCCAGTTCCTGGAAGTTGAGGCTAGAGGCCCTGGCTTCTCTTTCTCCATCACGTTCATCACCTTCTGACTCAGAACTTTCCTACTGTAGCTGTTTACATCTATCTGTCCTCACTAGGATGTAAATGAGCTCTATGAGGGCAGCAATATGTGTCAGTCTGGTTACCCTCTCTAGTCCAGTGTGTAACCAGCCCATAGTAGCACTCAGCATGTGTCTGCAGAATAAATCAACCCATCATATTCAGTGACTTCATCAGTCTCAGTACTATTTAATATCTATTGAGAAATTGCTATAATAATTTACCCTGTTTCTTAGAATGTCACATTTTTTGAAACCTCAAAAGCCTGAAACTGTCTTTGTTCCATACTTGTACTTGAGGTTTTTCTGGATATAGAGTTTCCCTCAGCAGCCTGAAGATGTGCGCCTTTGTTTTCTTCCTTTCTGCATGGCCATTGAGAGTCCAGATCTATTTCTAAGCTGAGCCAGTTGCACAACCAGGCGTTCTGTGTATGAGATCTGTTTGCTTCTCCCCAGCTCCGCTATTTCTCCTTCTTTATTGGGCAGAAGCTGATAGCTTGCTCTTTCATTTTCTAGGAACTCTGATCCCATTGTTAGACAATAAAGTGGAGATATTAATAGGGAGTGGGCAGAGTTGTAAAGATAAGCTATAGATGGCTCAAGCCTCATGGTAGGATCTTCTTGACAAATGATTATAATAGCTAACATTTACTGAATTCTTGTAATAATCAGGGTAATTTAATCAGCACCATGCTAAGCACTTTACATGTTCTCTATAATTTAGTCCAATAGCTCTTTGAGATAGGAACTATTACTCTATCGACTCTACCCAGTAGACACTGCCAGAGCCAGGCACAGAGTCCAGGCAGCCTGACTCCAGAGCTGAGCTGGAAACCGCTCTGTCTGCTGAATGGCCTCCTCTATTCCTACCAGACAAGCCCTGAACCTTGGCTTCCTCACCTGCCAAAGCAAGGCCTGGGATCCTGAATGGGGGTAGGGAATGAGGCTGTGCAGCAACCCCTCCATTCATTCGGCGCATACTTACTGGATGAGCGCTTCAGTGGCAAGTATTTAAGAATATAAATGTTGGTGGGGTGCGGTAGCTCACACCTGTACTCTCAGCACTTTGGGAGGCCGAGGCGGGCGGATCACCTGAGGTCAAGAGTTTAAGACCAGCCTGGCCAACATGGTGAAACCCCGTCTCTACTAAAAATACAAAAATTAGCCAGATGTGGTGGCTCACGCCTGTAATCCCAGCTACTTGGGAGGCTGAGGCACAAGAATCACTTGAATCCTGGAGGTGGAGGTTGCAGTGAGCTGAGATCGCGCCACTGCACTCCAACCTTAGTGACAGAGTGAGACTCTGTCTCCAAAAATAATAATAATAATTGTGTGTGTATATATATATAAATGTCAAAAAACAATGACGTTTATTTTCTTTCCTAGATCTCTGCCATCCCGAGATCATCACTCCTAGCCTCCTCTGGAAACTCTCTGAGAGTTGGGGAATTGTCTCTTTTATAAGAGGCCTACACAGGCACGAGGTCATACTTGGGCAGTTTTCGGCTTTGTGAAAATCTCTCAGATTGCACCGCACAGTATACAACTGATGAACCAGACAACCACAATCGTTCTTTGGATTGCATTTTCTCCTGAGATATCAGACGCATTTCACCAGGGCCACAGAAAGAAAAATGAAGACCAAGATACCGTGACAAATGCCAACTACCTCATAAGTGCAGATATTTTCAGTTATCTAGGTAGCTAGAGCTTTGCATAGGTAATACCCTTTTCTACTAAAATTAACCAAAACACACACATTCCAGGGCTCCTGAGTGATTTTTATATATATATATATATATATATATATATATATGTATATTTAAGTATATATACATATATGTATGTATAATTATATGTATATGTATACATTTATATATGTATATAACATATATATATTTTAAATATATATATATCGTGTGTGTGTGTGTGTGTGTGTGTGTGTGTGTGTGTGTGTGTGTGTGTATATATATATATATATATATATATATATATATATATATATATATATATATATATATATAAAACAGAGATGGGGGTCTCACTATGTTGCCCAAGCTGGTCTCAAACTCCTGGGCTCAAGCCTAGATGATTTTTTTTTTTTTTTTGTGAGACGGAGTCTCGCTCTGCCACCCAGGCTGGAGTGCAGTGGCACAATCTCGGCTCACTGCAAGCTCCTCCTCCCGGGTTCACGCCATTCTCCTGCCTCAGCCTCCCAAGTAGCTGGGACTACAGGCGCCCACCACCATGCCTAGCTAATTTTTTGTATTTTTCATTAGAGATGGGGTTTCACTGTGTTAGCCAGAATGGTCTCGATCTCCTGACCTTGTGATCCGCCTGCCTTGGCCTCCCAAAGTGTTGGGATTACAGGCGTGAGCCACCACGCCCGGCCAAGCATGGACGATTTTTAAAATTTTTATAATTTTATTCTTTGTATAGTCCCAGCCTTGTTTCTTGTAACAGAATGTGTTAAAGTAACATTAACTTTTGGTTGGGTGCCGTGGCTCATGCCTGTAATCCTAGCACTTTGGGAGGCTGAGGCGGGCAGATCACTGGAGGTCAGGCATTTGAGAACAGCCTGGCCAACATGGTGAAACTCCATCTCTACTGAAAATACAAAAATTAGCCAGATGTGGTGGTGCGCACCTGTAATCCCAGCTACTAAGGAGGCTGAGGCAGGAGAATTGATAGAGCTCGGGAGGTGGAGGTTGCAGTGAGGAGAGATCATGCCACTGCACTCCAGCCTGGGTGACAGAGGGAGACTCCATCTCAAACAAAAAACAAAACAAAACAAAACAAACAAAAAAACAAGTAACATTAACTTTTGGTTAAAATGCATTCTTGGTTGGTCCAATTAATTCATTCAGCAAACAGTGAGCACTTATCGTGTGCCCTCTGGGAATGCAAAAAATGTGTAAAACCGGGCTCTTGGCCTTGGCCTTTTTTTTTTTTCTTTTTGAGACAGGGTCTCACTCTGTCACCCAGGCTGGAATGTAGTGGCACAATCTCGGCTTATTGCAGCCTCCACCTCCCAGGTTCAAGCAATTCTCCTGCCTCTGCCTCCCAGGTAGCTGGGATTACAGGCATGTGCCACCACACCTGGCTAATTCTTGTATTTTTAGTGGAGACAGGGTTTCACCACGTTGGCCAGGCTCGTCTCAAACTGCTGACCTCAGGTGATCCACCTGAGCCTTGGCCTCCCAAAGTGTTGAGATTACAGGCGTAAGCCACCATGCCCAGCCCAGAGCAGAGAGAATCTTAAAGAAACTAGCAGGATATGAGCCTAGGGCCAGACTGGGGAGGGAGCCTCAAAGGCAGGATTAAGGAATTGCGACTCTGTTCTGTAGGTGACAGGGAAGATGATGCCATCAGATCTGTGCTTCACATAGAGAAGTCCGGCTTCGAGATGGAGTCACCGGAGCATGGTGTGCGGGCACTCAGTAAAGTGGAGATGTGATTACTAGATCATTATGGTAAGTAGTTCAGGCCTGGCAAGGTGGCTCAAGCCTGAAATGCCAACACTTTGAGAGGCCGAGGCAGGAGGATTGCTTGAGTCCAAGAGTTCCAGACTGGCCTGAGCAACAGAGTGAGACCCCATCTCTACAAAAACAAACAAAATTAGCTGGGCATGGTGGCATATGCCAATAGTTGAAGCTACTCAGGAGGCTGAGGTGGGAGGATCACTTGAGCCTGGGAGATTGAGGCTGTAGTGAGCCTTGATCGCACACCACTGCACTCCAGCCTGGGTGACAGAGCAAGACCCTATCTCAAACACACACACACACACACACACACACACACTCTTACACACACACACACAAAATAAATAAATAGTTCAGGGTAGAGAGGATGAGGTTATGAATTACAGCGGAGAGAGGAGGAATAAAAACAAGACTTGAGAGAGTATTAAAAGTCCCATTTAACAGAATTGGCTGATTAATGTGAATGGATGGTGAGGAATGAGGCGCCAGGCGCATGGATAGCAGTAGCTGACGTGAAATGCTTACTCTGCATTAGGCGTGTTACACACATTATCTCACTTAATCCCACAACCGCAATTGTATTACTATCCACATTTTATAGGTGGCATTGAAGCCCGTCAGAGTGGTCAATCGAAACGACATAGCTAGTATGTGTTGGTAGTAAGTGGTGGTGTGAGGAGGTTTTGGACCTATGTGGTAGCTCTACCAGCTGGCTGGGTCTTCAGTGCCATGTGATTGGGAGGTGAAGCGACCACCCTAGTCAGCAGTGAATGAATGGCGGATTCGGGCCAGAAGCCTGCTGGAACCATCTTCTGCTCCGGAGAGCTCACAGTTAGGTGGCTCTGATGCCACATCGGCCATAGATGTGTTATGTTTGCCCCAAAGAATATTTTAAGACCATGTTTAGAATTAATTGGTACCTTTTTAAAATGCAGAGATTCACATTAAAGAGTGAGTTTCTGGCTTTTCTTGGAAAATGAGAAGATCTGGCCACACTGGGCCCATATAGGAACTGGAGTTGCCTCTCTCTGTTTCCTTCAGCTGGGGCCTGTGCCCCCCTGTTGGCCAGGCCCCACTGGCCTGCCTGGGGTCCCTGCCACCTCCGCAGGCACCTGGGTCTGCCTTTCTGCTGTTCTGTCACGAGGTGTGCCACTCAGCTTGGCTTTGAAGCCAGGCTGTGTTTGTGCATTGAATGCACGCCAAGCCCAGGCCTCCACTGATGGCTAAATACCTTTTCTGAATTGTAGGCAATATAAGATAAAAACGTGCTGCGGGAAGTGAGAAAAACTACATGCCCCCCCATGCTGAGTGCCCACAGGAGGCGCACGGGTAGTGCAGGAAAAAGGCAAATGGCCATAGTTCCTGAAACCAGCATAAATTAAAACAAAATACAAATCATACCCTGGCAAATGGCAAGTAACAGCCTATTGCCAGTATGCGAATCACGTTGTGATTTTTTAAAATTTGTTTTGTAATAAATAATTTGTTTGAATTTTGAGCTGCGTACTTTGGACATATGATAAGGAAGCTGTGGGGGAAGATTGTGTGTGTGTGTGTGTGTGTGTGCACACGCGCGCACCTGTGCATGTTTATGGGGGTGTGGACCACAGTTTACAAAGCTTGGAGTTTTCTATAGAAATTCAGTTTCAGAGTCTGGGTGCAGTGGCTCACACCTATAATCCCAGCACTTTAGGACACCGAGGTGTGCAGATTGCTCGAGTCCAGGAGTTTGAGAGCAGCCTAGGTAAATGGCAAAACCGCGTCTCTGCAAAATATACAAAAATTAGAGGGTCCTGGTGAACCACGCCTGTAGTCCCAGCTACTCGGGAAGCTGGTGTGGGAGGATCACTTGAGCCCGGGAGGTGGAGGTTGCAGTGAGCCGAGATTGTGCTACTATGCTCCAGCCTGGGTGACAGAGCGAGACCATGAAAAAAAAAAAAAGGAAAAAAGGAAGGAAGGAAGAAAGGAAGGAAAGAAGGAAAGAAACAAACTTCACTTTCAGAACATTTTTTCAAGACCAGCCTGGCCAACATGGTGAAACCCCATCTCTATTAAAAATACAAAACTTAGCCAGGCATGGTGGCGGGTGCCTGTAATTCCAGCTACTTAGGAGGCCAAGGCAGGAGAATCACTTGAACCCAGGAAGCGGAGGTTGCAGTGAGCCAAGATTGCACCTTTGTGCTCCAGCCTGGGTGACAAGAGTGAAATTCGGTCTCAAAAAAAAAAAGAACATTTTAATAAACTTTTATGATTAAAGGGTGAAAACATGTTTCTGTACCATAACGTTCAAATGTGAGGTCCACACTGGCAAACAGGTATTTATCTGTATTAAATATTATGTTCCATTTAAAGTATAACAATAATTCTCCGTGCCCATGGTCAGGTTGGGCAAATGACCACATTTCATGCTTGTGTGAGTTTTTGTTTGCAATCTGTATACTGCCCTTAGAGATACAGGTTCAAACAGGTGCAGGAAGCAGAGCTGCCAGCAAAGTGCAGGAGTCGACTCTTTTTCTTTTCTTTTCTTGCTTTTTTTTTTTTTTTTTTTTTAGCCAGAGTCTCGCTCTGTCACCCAGGCTGGAATGCAGTGGCTTGATCTCAGCTCACTGCAACCTCCACCTCCCGGGTTCAAGCAATTCTCCTGCCTCAGCCTCCCAAGTAGCTGGGAATACAGGTGTCTGCCACCATGCCCGGCTAATTTTTGTATTTTTAGTAGAGATGGGGTTTCACCATGTTGTCCAGGCTTGTCTCAAACTCCTGACCTCAGGTGATCCACCTGCCTTGGCCTCCCAAAGTGCTGGGGTTACAGGTGTGAGCCACTGCGCTCGGCCTCTAGACTCTTAATCTATGTTCTTTGAGTTACACCTGACAACTTTCCATCACACCTGGCTGCCTGGCTCAGGAACTGGAGGAAGGCGGCCAGTGCTGGCCAGGAATTTCTCAGAGGCCACTGGACAGTATTATGGAGTGGCCCCTGCCCCTCAGAGGCTCACTGTCCATAGCACAGGGGTCATCCATCCTGTCAGACCATGCTGACCCCACTCACGAGAGGCTAGCCCTGCAAGTTCTCCCCTGGGAACAGGAAGTAATCGTGCGAGGTTTACATGGCAGATCAGCTTGGTCTCGGGAGCTATTTCTACACAAATCACGTGGGGCTCAGAAGGCCATGCTCTGCTGCTCCCTGGACTCTGGCCCCTGTCCTGCGTGTCCTCCTTCCTCTGGTCCTCAGAGACTCCCCGTTCCCTGCCATATGCACACTTAGGGTGGGACCGGGATGTGCACTGTAGCCAGTTCTGTTCTTGTTTGTGTTGCTCAGAATCCATTGTTTCTTACTGATGCAGATCAGTGCCTAATACTAGGTGTCCAGCACCATGCTGGGAGCCAGGGATACAACAGACAGGTGCCTCCCTGGGGGATAAGTGGAGCACACGCAGGTAATAATCAGTGAACTGGGTAGCGCTTTGTTACAGGCCTCTCACAACTGGTATTTTATCTCCATCATATTGTAATTTTGTTTTTGTGGTGTGACCTAAAAAGCCTTGGATCCTCAAAAGATCTGGCCAAGTTCATGGTAAAGTTATTATTCCTTTAACAAATGCATTCATTTAACAATATTTATTAAGCACCTATTATTTGTCAGGTACCATTCCAGATGTCAGGATTATAACAGAGAACAAAACTGACAAATAGCACTGTTCTCTTGGTGCTTACATTGTTGTGGAAGGAGACAAAAAGAAATAATGTCAATATAATATGTCCTAAGAATTTTAAAGAAAAACTCAAGCAGGGTAAGGGAGAGAGAATGACGATGGGGAGGAGGGCCGCTCTTTGAGGAAGGCCCTTCTGGTGACCCTTGAAGCAGAGCCCAGCAAGAGGGGAGGGGGAAGCTGTGGTTTGGAGGAAGTCTTTTCATAGCGGGGAGCCTCAAGGGCAGAGCCCCCGAGGGGGAGTGTGCCCTACCTGTTGGAAGGAAGCCACTGATCTGCAATCCTGTTTTCCTCGTCTGCAAATTAATGGGCTTGTTGGGAGGGACAAATGAAATCATTTATATGAAAACATTTATGTCAACTGTAGAACACTCTATAAAAGTTATTCTCTTTATGTTGACTTCATCAAGTATTTGCAGTGTCTAAAGCAGGAATGATCATAATGATTATATTACAATTCTGCCCTTTCATTTTTTTTATTGAGGTGAAATGCATATAACATATAATTAATCATTTTATAGCCTACAATTCAGTGGCATTTGGTGCATTCACAATGTTGTGCAACCACCACCGCTTTCTATTTAAAAACCTTTTTCATCATCCCCACCTTTTCTTTCTTTTCTTTTTAAAATAGAGATGGTGTCTCCCTACATTGCCCAAGCTGGATTAGAACACCTGGGCTCAAGTGATCCTCCAACCTCAGTCTCCTGAGTAGCTGGGATTATAGGCACTCACCACTGTGCCTGGCCTTTCATTTTTATTTTATTTTATTTTATTAATTATTATTATTATTTAGAGACAGGATCTCACTCTGTTGCTCAGGCTGGAATGCGGTGGTGTGATCATGGTTCCCTGCGGCTTCCACCTGCTGGGCTCAAGCAATCCTCCCACCTCAGCCTCCCAAATAGCTGAAACTATAGACATACGCCACAGTGCCTGGCTAATTTTTGTATTTTTTGCAGAGCCGTGGTTTCATCTTGTTGCCCAGGCTGGTCTTGAACTCCTGGGCCTAAGTGATCCTCCTACCTTGGCTTCCTCCAGTGCTGGTATTACAGGCGTGAGTCACTGTGCCTGGCCTTTTTTATTTTTATTTTTTGACACAGAGTCTCACTCTGTCACCAGGTAGGACAGTGGTGCAATCTCGGCTCACTGCAACCTCTGCCTCCCAGGGTTAAGAGAGTCTTATGCCTCAGTCTCCTCAGTAGCTGGGATTACAGGTGCACACCACCACGCCCAGTTAATTTTTTTCTATTTTTAGTAGAGACAGGGTTTTACCATGTTGGCCCCACTGGTCTGGAACTCCTGGCCTCAAGTGATTCACCTACCTCGGCCTCCCAAAGTGCTAGGATTACAGGAATGAGCCACTGCACCCGGCCTTTGGCCTCATTTTAATTTTTATTTATTTATTTATTTATTTATTTATTTATTTATTTATTTATATTTATATTTTTATTTTTTTTGAGACGGAGTCTCGCTCTGTAGCCCAGGCTGGAGTCCAGGGGCGCGATCTCGGCTCACTGCAAGCTCCGCCTCCCAGGTTCACACCATTCTCCTGCAGTCAGCCTCCCGAGTAGCTGGGACTACAGGCGCCCGCCACCACGCCCGGCTAATTTTTTTTGTATTTTTAGTAGAGACGGGGTTTCACCATGTTAGCCAGGATGGTCTCGATCTCCTGACCTCGTGATCCGCCCGCCTCGGCTTCCCAAAGTGCTGGGATTACAGGCGTGAGCCACCGCGCCCGGCGCCGCATTTTTAATAGTCACTTGAGATACCATTCTGGAAATAGGATTTCCCCCCGTATCTGACTTTGTCCTTTCTGTTTCTGCCTAGCCTCCAGCTCCTAGGCTTCATCCATGTATTTTTCCAACAGCAATTTATTGAGCACCTACTGTGTGGGAGGCACTGTGCTAGGCAGATTCTGGAGACACAACAATGACAGTGACAGGGAGGTCCCTGCATCCCCAGGACTCACAGTGTGGTGGGGGATTTAGACAGTGAATGGATAATTGCCGGAAAACTAAATTATGATACATGCTTATAAGAAAAAATGTTTTGAAAATTATGTTAAATACATTTGTGGAGTTATCGAAGCTACTGGAAGAGAGACGCCACTCTCAGAACAACATGACTGGTTTTATAACTGTGCTCCCAGTTCAGACACGGGGGACAAAGATGACCTCGGGGAGGCGACCTGGATTTTGCTGGGGCCTAAGCAGCGAGGCCGGCCCAGGAAGAAAGAGCGGTGCTTCCTTCATTTGCTCCTGGTCACCCTCTGAGGTGTGCAAGGGTAGATAGTGTTGCCATCGCTCCCATTTGAGAGATGTGGAAACTGAGGCTTGGCCAGGCGTGCTTGCCACCTGGAGGGGCTGACGTCTGATACTTGCTTTAGCCAACGGTCAAAGCGTTTGTCCGATAGGGGGCAGCGGCGCGCCAGGCTGGAAGGAGAGCGGCATCCGCGCGCGCGGCGCTCCCGGCGTTCCAGGAGGGGGCGCTGCTGACCCGGCCTCGGATCGCCGCTCCCGCCCCGGCCTTGCCCCGCCGCCCTGCCCCACCCCCCGCCCGGAGCCCGGCACTCGTGACCTCGCCAGCTCTCAGCTCCCTCGGGCGATTTCGTGCACGCTAATGTGCGCCTCTGTGTTTTCCTAAATGCTGGTTTCTTCATCAAGCGGCGGAATAACGCATCAGGGCAGGTGACCCACGTCACCGGGGTGATGCACTGGTGCTCGCCGGGGCGGGCGCTGTGCCTGCGGGAGCCGCGCGGCCGGCGCGGTGTCGGGGCGCCTCGTGGGGGCCGAGCCGCGCCCGCACGTCCCTCAGGTAGGCGCGACCAGAGTTTCTTTAGACAGGATGACCTGGCAGCGTTTCCACCCCACCCACGGCGAGTTTCGCTTTCCTAATGTGGTTAAAAAGTGCGTTCTATCTGAAATAGGGTGGTTGAACAGGTTTCAACATTTTACTTAATTTTTTGTTTGTTTTAGATTTCTTCCTTCTGGTGGGTCTCTTTCTTTTTCTGTCAAGAAGATGTTCATAACTGTCCTCTTTGGCATTTGTTCAAAGTCCAGTTCTAATAGCTTTTGGACTGTGGTTTAATTTTAACCATAAAGCATTCTTTTGGAATAATTGCTTTTGAATCTGGGAAGAGCCAGCTGGATACAAGGCCATAAACACCCCCCTGCGGGGAATGTACAGGCTTTAAGTTACGTTTTTTTACCACTAGCATTTCTCTTTATCTTTTTTCTTTTTTTGGAGACAGGGTCTGGCTCTGTTGCCCAGGCTGGAGTTCAGTGGTACAATCAGAGCTCACTGCAGCCTCATCCTCCTGGGCTCCAGCGATCCTCCCATCTCAGCCTCCCGAGTAGCTAGCTGGGACCACAGGCACGCATCACTGGCTAATTTTTTTTTTTTTTTTTAGAGACAGGGTGTTGCTATGTTGCCCAGGCTGATCTCAAACTCCTGGTCTCAAGTGATCCTCCTGCCTCAGCCTCCCAAAGTGCTGGAATTACAGGCCTGAGCCACCATGCCTGGCCTAGCATATCTCTTTTTTTAAAAAAAGGAGACTGATGGGGGTTGGGGGGATGCAAATTGTGAGTAGATAGGTGGGATTGGAGGAGAGTTTGAACATCTGCTTTAATCAACTAAATGGTGTCTTAGAGCTGTCCTGCGGGCAACCATGTGGCCTCAGATTTCTGGGACAATCTCAATTTCTGGGACAGAGGACTGGCCCACTGGCCCTTTGTTAGGCTACGCATCAGACCACCACCAATTTCCAGTTCTGAAATTGTGGTCACCAGAGAGACCTATCAGCAGCCATAGACATTATCTCCTTCGGAATGACTGGACCCAGGCAGCCAGGCAGAGCTGGGGTCCCCAGAGCTCCTGGCACTAGCCGGAATATTTCCAGTTCCTCTTCTTCCCTTACAGCACAAGTCCTTTGGTAATCATTGCTCATATTTGTAGAACCTTAGAGAATTTTGGATGTAGCAGGACAGAAATTGGTTGCCTGCCATTTTGTGGCTTGGGTGGCATACATCTTGTTTGGCAATTAAAAAAAAAAGATGAGAAGAAAATGGGATATGCAATGGAGACCAATTCAAGAAAAAGTGATTTATGCCAGTCCTAGCTGAGGCAGATGAATTTGGGAAGACTTACTTGTTTTCTAGAAATAGTCTTCACTTGACCAGAGATTCATACTTGGGCGTATTTAAATACAGAGCTCTTCTGGAGCATTTGACTAGAAGGACAGAAAACCAGAGACTAATTAACCAGTTGTTACCAGCGGGAAATCCGTTTTTGTTTGTTTGTTTGTTTGTTTGTTTTCTTTTTGAGGCGGAGTCTCGCTCTGTCGCCAGGCTGCAGTGGAGTGGCGTGATTTTGGCTCACTGTGCAATCTCTGCCTCCTGGGTTCAAACCATTCTCCTGCCTCAGCCTTCCAAGTAGCTGGGATTACAGGTGCACTCCACCACACCCAGCTAATTTTTGTATTTTTAGTAGAGACGGGGTTTCACCATGTTGGCCAGGATGGTCTCAATCTCCTGATCTGGTGATCTGCCTGCCTTGGCCTCCCAAAGTGCTGGGATTATAGGCGTGAGCCACTGCGCCAGGCCAAGAGATCAGTCTTACATGAAAATCAAGGGTTCAGTTACCCAGTGGGTCAGTAAGAGATGAGGCTTTCATTTAGAAAAACCGGAGCCTGAGGCCGGGCGCGGTGGCTCACGCCTGTAATTCCAACACTTTTGGAGGCCAAGGCAGGTGGATCACGAGGTCAGGAGTTCAAGACCAGCCTCGCCAAGATGGTGAAACCCTGTCTCTACTAAAAATACAAACATTAGCTGGGCGCAGTGGCAGGCAGCTGTAATCCCAGCTACTTGGGAGGCTGAGGCAGGAGAATCGCTTGAACCTGGGGGGCAGAGATTGTGCCACTGCACTCCAGCCTGGATGACAGAGTGAGACTCCATCTCAAAAAAAAAATTAAATTAAAAATAAAAGTAGAAAAATTGGAGCCTGTGCAGCTCTCCTGAGGGCAGATGCATAAAGCTGGGTGCGCCCCTCCAGCCTGCTGGGTCCCACAGAAGCTCAAGAGGCAGGGGCCATGTCTTTCACCACTTGTCACTGCTATAATTCCCTGTTTAGAACTCTCAGTGAGTGTCAGATCAACACATTCATCCACCATATCCCGTGTGTATAAGAACAATCCATCACTCCTGACCTAATCCAGCACAGAACAGAACTTCTGGAAGAGGACTAAAGAAGAGAAAGAGTGGAAGTGTCACATGCCCAGAGGAAAATAGATGCGACAGAGATGAATAAAACAAAACAAAACAAAAGGAAGAAAGCCAAGCTAATCTGGGAGTTCCATCACGGCTAAGAACGCATCTTTGTTTTGTCACGCGGTTTCTAGCCCGGCTCAGACCTGGGCTGCGGCACCTCAGGCATCTCCTTTCATCTCTCGGCTTTTCTCCTGGCTCCCGGGCGCTTCTCGAGACTTTTTGGACCTGGACTGGTCCATGGCAGAACACCTCTTTCCTGAGTCCTCCCTATGCACCTGCCCAAAGCGGGGGATTGGGGTGGCACTCTCCAAGATGCCAGGCTCCTCAAATGGAGCCATCACCCCCTAGGCTGTACTTGGCATTGTCTCCAAGGAGCCTGGGGAGGTAACCGGTTGGGGACTGATTCACTTGGGAGGGAGGGAGCGAGTGCAGATTGCAGATGCTATCTAGTCGGGCCAAGTCAACCTGGGGAAGGGCAGGTCTGTGTCTCAACTGGTTTAGGGGTGGGAGAGTGGGATTGGAACTTTTACACCTTGCATTCTTAGGACGTCACAATGGTTTTCCCAAGGCCTCCTTATCTGAGGGTGTTTACCTATTCAACCAGCATACGCAGGTTCAGGACTCCCACTTTGTCCGGGTTCTGTCCTCACAGGCACAGGAAGATTAATGCGAACAACAGGGTCTGACAAACCAAAACTCACAGATAAGAGACTTGGGTTATTAGGGCAGATGCCAGAAGTCATGGGATCTTCACGGGGTGGCTGTAGGCTGAGCAATCTCCCTCGGGATGTGAGGGGGTGTATTTCTGCGTTATTGGTCATTGAGAAATTCCCTAATCTTAGAGAGAAAAGGAATGAAACCAAGGGCTTGAATCGGAGTATACGTAGTTGACCTAATTATAAGGTTGTCCATCCATCTGTTTAATAAATAGTTCCATGATGTGGGACGGCAAGGTCACTCATAGCCCTGAACATTAACAACGTTTTCCTAAGGTTCTGGAAAAAAAGTGGTAACCATGTGTTCAGCTGCAGGCTTGTTCTGTCTCAGGCCTCAGGCTGACATGAATCAGAAATAGAGGGAAATGTGGAAGTGGCATTGCAAATATTAGTTCTAAAAACGGACTGGGAAGAGAGAGTGCCTCTAGACCCAGTCATGGCCTAGCCAAGCCCCAGAAGAATGACATCACCCATTGTGCCTCGTGGGGAGCCCCTGAGGCTGTCATGGATTTGTAGTCCTATGTGGGACAGCGCTGCTGACGCGGTTATTTCCTGCACTAGACCTACCCTGTCAGCAAGACACTGTTTACATGAGCTGAGTGCCAAGTTGCGGCACATTATGCACAATCGCTTTTAAGTTCAATTAAATTAACGTTTAGAAACATTGTAGATAGAAAAAGCTAAAGAGCATTTTAGCAAACAGTGATTACCTAGAGATGCAAGTGCTTTGAATTTGAGCATTAGAGAACTTGTGAATTTGTAGGAGTTAAGCAGGACAAGTACCCATCTAATGAATGTTCATAAGGGAAGCGCGCGTGTAGGAGGCATTTCAGGTAGCCCAGCGCAGACCAAGGAGGGAAGGAAACAGATAAGATGTCAGAAAACATCTTCAAATACCCAGAGTTGTTATCCCCTCCACGAAACATTGGAGGGCGAATTGTTTGGGTCAGTAAAATAGAATCATAAAGTGTGAAGAAGAAACCTGTGGAACATTCTGGAAGAATTGGTCAGAGATGGGCCGGGCGTGGTGGCTCACACCTGTAATCCCAGCACTTTGGGAGGCCGAGGTGGGTGGATCACCTGAGGTCAGGAATTCAAGACCAGACTAGCCAACATGATGAAACCCCGTCTCTACTAAAAATACACAAAATTAGCCGGGCGTTGTGGTGGGCGCCTGTAATCCTAGCTACTCAGGAGGCGGAGGCAGGAGAATTGCTTGAACCCGGGAGACAGATTGCAGTGAGCTGAGATTGCGCCACTGCAGTCCAGCCTGGGCAACAAGAGCGAAACTCCATCTCAAAAAAAGAAAAAAAAAAAAAAAGAATTGGTAAGAGATGAATACCCCATCACAGCCTCTTTGATTTCAGAGGTGAAATAGTTGAACCCCAGACCTCACTGTCAGATGTAAAGAGTCACTCCAAATTTATAAGCTCATTAAACTAGTATTTCTGACCGTTTACACATTTGGCTGTAGAGAAAATACACAGAATGCTTCCAGCCACACCTATGCCTACTCAAGCCACTTAGCTGACAAGCCACTTAGCTTTTTCTTCTAATTACTCGGGTGCGCGTCTCTGTTATTTACAAAGTTTGGTGAAGTCAGGGCAGGGGGAATTTATGGTTCGATACCCTTTCTAGCACAGAGGGGTAAAATTCAGCCTGTCTTTTGAAATCAGTCTGAACTGTCAAACTCCCAGTTGAGGACTCCTCTCCCCAAATCAGGAATCTTTTTTGTTTTCTCTGGCTATGGGCCACAGTCAGGGCTTTGGAGTTCATTTGTATGCCCTCCCCCATCCCCATTAGTGTTATTGTGTATATTTGAGGTACTTATTCTTCACTGACCATAGGTGAATAGGAGCTGGTTCACCTAAAAGCTCCCACTCCCCATTCACTTTTTTTTTTTTTTTTTTTTTTTTGAGATGGAGTCTTGCTCTGTTGCCCAGGCTGGAGTGCAGTGGTGAGATCTTGGCTCAATGCAACCTCTGCTTCCCAGGTTCAAGCGATTCTCCTGTCTCAGCCTCCTGGGTAGCTGGAATTACATGTGCCCACCACCACACCCGACTAAGTTTTCGTATTTTTAGCAGAGACGGGATTTCATCATATTGGTCAGGCTGGTGTCGAACTCCTGACGTCAGCTGATCCACCTGCCTTGGCCTCCCAAAGTGCTGGGATCGCAGGTGTGAGCCACCGCACCCAGCCCCCATTCACTTTTGTTTTAGGAAATGAGAAAGCTTCTGCCTTTTTTCTTTCCTTCCTTCCTTGGATGTTAGTTAAGATCAGTGAGGTAATGGTGATAAAGTACTTTGAATTACCTCAAGGAGAGTGCAGCCCAACTTGTTATTATTTACCTAGGTCAGTTCACAAACCCCCACGATCTAGGGTTCCTGTCTCCTGCCCTGGGGATGGTGCCTGGGAGAAAGGAGATGTCACAGACCCAGTCCCACAGGGCGCTGTTGGCTGGAGTTGGTCATTCCTTACTTTGACATCAACAGGCTTATCTCTAGAAATAGGCTAAATGGTAGCTCAGGCGCCGGTGTTGCCTCATCCCGCAAACTCCCAGGGAGGCTGCCTACTTCCAGCCCCTGTTCTGGGAACTAATGATAGGTGGGATGAAAAGACTGTTTCCTCTGATGCGCTTTTATGAGTTGTTTTCGAAGATGAGGTGGCAAGGACATGGTTAACCCGCTCCCTTGTGCAGGGAGACATCAGAATGACAGGGCACGGGGAATCTCCCCAACCCGTTCCCAGGAGAGCTCTTGCCGAGGACGGCCCAGCTGTTAGCCAGAAATCAAGGCAGCCTCAAGCCCTGTAACCCAGATATCAGTGGGCTTTTTCGGCTGACGGTGCTGTGGCCTGCGGCAGGCGGCAGTGTGGGTAGAGGACAGCTGTGGCTGAGGCCGGCAGCTCTTTCCACACGACTTCTTGGGTAATGGCTCTTCTTAAGCCTGTGATATTTAGGGATTGTCAAACTTCCCTTTCATCCTGAGCCACCTTCCCTCATGGGTAGCAGAGGAGTTGGATTTCTTTCTTTTCTTTTCTTTTTTCTTTTTCTTTTTCGACAGAGTCTTGCTCTGTCGCCCAGGCTGGAGGGCAGTGGTATGATCTCTGCTCACTGCAACCTCCACCTCCCGGGTTCAAGTGATTCTTCTGCCTCAGCCGCCCGAGTAGCTGGGATTACAGGCACGCACCACCACGCCCAGCTAATTTTTGTATTTTTAGTAGAGATGGGGTTTCACCATGTTGGTCAGGCTGGTCTCGAACTCTTGACCTCAGGTGATCCACCTGCCTTGGCCTCCCAAAGTGCTGGGATTACAGGCGTGAGCCACCAAGCCCGGTCAAGGAGTTGGATTTCTTATGACAAGAGTATTATGGCTGTGTGTCCCAGAGGAGGCACTGTGTCCTCATGAGGGTCCTTCACTGAAAGGAGAGCCTCGAGGACAAAGGAATCTTCTAGAGACGACGTTGGGAGGGAGGAGTGGAGTTTGCAGGTGACTCTAGAGGACCCCAAAGTCCAGTGGGAGCTCATTACCTCCTCGATAGGAGGAGCCTGTTGTTGTATGAGTGAGGAAAGGTGGCAGAACCGAGGCTGAGAGAGGCTGCGAAGATGCAGCAGCAGTGCTGAGGC